>NC_000003.12:30010000-31260000 GCF_000001405.40 Homo sapiens | reverse complement strand
CAATGCTGAGTAATATTTCATTATATGAATATGCCGCAGTTGCTATTCCATTTTTTACTTGATGGAAATTAAGTTTATCTTCAGTTTTTGACTATTATGACTAAAATTGCTATGAATATTATTGTACAAGTCTTTTTGTGATCAAATGCTTTTATTTATCTTGAATAAATACTTAGTAGTTGAACTGCTGGGTTACCATTTAGGTGTGGGTTTAACTCTATAAGAAATACCAACTCATTTTCCAAAGTGATTGCAACACATACATTTTTAATATTGCTGACAAACCAGGTCAATATTTCAGGACAATGGGAAAGGTACTGTTGGTAAGTCAAGATTTAAAGAAACCCTAATTGGGATGTTGAATTTATGTGTCAACTTGACTGGACTAAGGGATGCCCAGATAGCTGGTAAACCATTATTTCCGGGAGTGTCTTTGTGGGTGTTTCTGGAAGAGATTAGCACTTGAATCAGTAGACTGAGTAAAGATTACCCTCACCATTGTGGGTAGGCCTCATCCAATCCATTGAGGGTCTTGAAAAGAACAAAAAGGCAGAGGAAGGGTGAATTTGCTCTCTCTTGTTGAATTGAGACACCCATCTTCTCCTGCCTTTTTGGGCATTAGCACTCTGGCATCTTGGGTTTTCAGACTCAAACTGGGACCTACGCTATCAGCCCCCCAGTTCTTGGCCTTTATGCTTGGATTGGAACTACACCATCAGTTTCCCTGGATCTCCAGCTTGCAGGTAGCAGATCATGGGACTTCCCAGCCTTCATAACAAATCTTTTTCTATATATTTATATATTAATATATACTATTGGTTTAATGGAGAACCCTGACTGATACACTTGTTTGAGAAAGGACACCTAACCTCAAAAATGAAAGTCATTGATGTGAGTGTTCCATAATCCAATATGTGAAACTTTATGATAAAAATGTTTTGGCCCAGTGATTTGAAGATTGCCAAATTATGTCATATGTTCTGGCCATAAGTCAACAGGTTCCCAAATCTATCATCTGCCTTCTAGGCCTTTCTGAGATGGAGTTCATTTTCTTTGGGGTCTAGAAAAAGTATTAAAACTCTAGGAAATTAAAAAAATGGTATCTGGCCACCATAAGATATCACCTTATACCTGCCAGTATGGTTATCATCAAAAAGACAAGAGATAAAAAGACATAAAGATGTGGTAAAAATGGAAGCCTTATATATTGTAAGTGTAAATGTAAATTGCCACAGCTATCATGATCATGGAAAACGGTATAAAGGTTCCTAAAAAAATTAAAAATAGAGTTACCATATGATCCCATACAAAATGGGATTGAGATACCAAACAATCCAACTTCTGAGTATATACTAGAAGAAAATGAGATCAGTATTTTAAAGAGATATGTGCACCCTCAGGTTCATTGCAGTATCATTCAAAATAGCGAAGATGTGGAAACTGCCTTAGTGTCCATTGGTGCGTGGATGGATAAGAAAATGTGGTACAGATAAATTTGATGGAATATTATTCAGCCTTAAAAAAACAAGGAAATCCTGTATTTGTGACAGCTTGGATTATGGTAAGTGAAATAATCTGGAGAAAGACAAATACTATGTAGTATCATTTGTCTATAGAATCTTAAAAATAAAGTCAAACTCATAGAAACAGAGTAGAATTGTGGCTGCCAGGGACTGGGAGTTGGAGAAATGGAGAGATGTTGGTCAAAGCATACAAAATTTTACTTATAAGATGAATAAGTTCTTGAGGACCTAATGTATAGCCTAGTAAATATAGTTAATAATAATGTATTGTATACTTGACATTTGCTAAGAGAATAGATCTTAAGCATTTGCAAACACACACACACATGTAATTATATGAGGTAATAGTTAACTTGATTGTCATAATCATTTCACAATGTGTATATCAAATCATTACACTGTACACTTTAAGCATATACAATTTCAGTTGTCAATTATACCATTATACCTCAATGAAACAGAAAATAAATGAATGAATAAATAAATAAATGAAAAGAATGGTGTCTGGTAAAATTACCAAAACTCTAGGAAGCTGTGGAAGTCGAAATCCCTAAAAAGAATAAATATTTTTTTAAAAAAGTTAAATTCAGGATTTTAACATTTATATAGCCACTTTTTGCTGAAAGAGTTTTAAATAGTTTTGAAATCATTGTACTTTTGTTTGTTTTGTCTGTTCTTAAAGGCATTGGAAGCTTTTGAAAAATCAGCCATACTAAATTTGTTATTGCAGTTTAAATTGTATATGGGAATTGAATTAATCAAAACTTGTAATCAATGACTAAGTGCTTAAAAAATAGGCTTTCAAAGTTTCCTTGAGTCTAATACAGGAGTCTAATGAATTGAACATTAAACAAAATACAAATGCTAGTCAATTTTTTTTTCACACACAAAAGCCCCACAGACGTTAAAGAGAGCCTATTATGGTTTTAATTCCTGGAGTTATTAAACTTTGTCTCACTAAGAAAGATGAAGTAGTTGAGCCAATAATAATTAGTCATCTACTTCTAAGGAGTGGGTCTGAAGAGTTACTTAATTAATGAGAAACAAGTCTCTCATTCTGCTAAAACAACCTTGAGGGAGATGGACAAGTGTGGAGCTTTTGTGAACTATGAATCTATGAATTGCTAGAAAAACCTTGTGGCCAGCTGTGGCCAGGTGTGGCCCAAGAAGCTTCATTAAGTTTGTCTCCAAGGCCCACCACCTCCAACCCAAACTACAAGATTAGCTTCTCCTTGGCCAAAAGTGGAAATTACTGTGGACAGGGTTGAGCAATTTTAGCCCTTTCATCCTTGTTCCCTACTCCAGTGAATAGGACTCATTTCCTTTCATTAAGACTGGAGTCCAGAAGGCATCTATCATGTCTCATGTGGGAGGGTTAAGGATAATCAGGTAAGTCGTTTCTCTTGCCCTTAATTTCTTTAATAACTTGAAGGCCATTTGCATCACACACTCCTAGAATACCAGGAGCAGATTACTATCCATTAAAGAAATTAGTAAAATTTGAACATTTTGGAAGAATCAGCCAGCCCTAAAAATAATTCAAGAGGGTACTTGGAAAGCTGGTTGCTGAGAAGGTTTCAGCTCAATCTAATTCAGCCAAGGTGATGGAGGAGCATCCCTCATTAGGAAGCATGACTAGAGTGAGACTGTAACTAGAAAAAAAGCTTGAACATAATCTTTTGTATTGTAATTCTTATGAACTCAAACATGCTTCCCAAGGGGAGGTCAATGTGGAACTGCAGAGTTCCTCACACTTCCCTACTGAGTAGTACCCTTCATGCTTAAAAATGCAGCAGGATGGTATTTTTAAGATGGATGTTGTTTCACTTCTAGGAATCCCTAGGTACTTCTAATTGTTGTTCCCCCTTCTCTCCCTACCTAAATCAATAGCATTCTTTGCTTTAGGGGAAGGTAGGTACAGTATATAACAAAGACATCATTGTTGTCTTCAACTTTCAAGAGTTTTGAGAGTCCATGACTGGAACTATAGTATGAAAGCCAAGTTGATTTTGATTTGTGAGAACTGGGTACTTTATCTCAAGTACCTTGAGATAAAAGGTATTTTTATTCTGAGTCTCCAAGGAGGCATGGTTTGAAATAGTCTGAGCCTTGAGGACTCAGATCTGAGAATTAATACTGGATATGGAAAGGTACAGGATATGGCATTAGAAATTCTCTCCATTATGAAGAGAGATTCAAATTCTACCACTTGGTAGGGAGAAGAAGAATTGGAGGACAGCAATAAAATTAGGTCAAAGTCAATATTTCTATGGGGTGTTGAAACCCTGAGGGTGGAGTGGGGGTATTATCTCCACAATATGGCGGCTCTCTGGGTGCCACACATCACTTCTTCGCTCCTTAAGTCTGCCCACACCTCTCTGTATGTAGGTCCTTCATAGAGCTTTGAACCACCTGTAGGATAGTATTTCCTATTACAGCCCAAAAGACTAGAAGATCAGATGGAATCTGGGCTCAACTAGAGCTACTCATAACCTCTTCAAAGGGAAAATTGCTCTCTAAGGGAGTTCATGAAGTCATTTATTTAGTTAATCAAAAGATGTGTTTAACTGATTAGCTTTTGAGGGCTTATGATGTGGGCCAGTTATTATGGTAGGCAAAGTTATAGCCTCCCAAAAGCTTATGAACCAGAAGTTTAGTTGAGTGCCATGTATACAAAAAACTCCCCACAAAACTGCATCATGAGCTGTATAAGTTTTCTGTAAGAACAAGATAAAATCGCCAGCAATGCAGGCCATGTGGGCCCCTAAAACATGGAGTTTTGGGAATTAGGTTGTTACTTGGTGCTGTAGGGAGTAAAATCAATCCAAAGGAACAAATGGAAGCCCATTGTAGGTGCAGATTCTAGATCTGAACAACAGATCCACGCTGTAAGATGTGCCTTCTTCAAACATGCAAATCTAATTATGCCATTCCTGTTCCTTAAATCTTGCTGTGCTTCCTAGTGTTATTAGAGTAATGAAAACTCCTTATGACACTCCACAACACTCTGCCTGTGCTGACCTGACTTTCCAGTCTCCTTTTGTGTTATGTTTTCTCTGTACTAGCCCTAAGAGGAGTACTTTGAACTCATTATGTATTTTCCTGCCTCAAGGACTTTGCATATTCTATTTCCTCTGCCTAGAAGCCTCTCCACTCCTGTCTATGCCTGTGAATTTTTTACTGTTCCTTTACATCTCAGCTCAAGGGACACGTTCTTGGGAGAGTCCTCCTGGAACTCCCTGACTAGGTTGCATTTCTCTGTCAGACACCTTCCTGGCAGTGTGACTTCTCCTTCTTAGAACTACTTGGAATTTTATGTTTGCTTTTGTGATTATTTGATAAATGTCTGTCTTTATAGACAATAACATTGCTACGTACTGGATTGTGTCCTCCCCAACCCCCACCTTCAACTCACATATTAGAGCTCTAACCCTCAATTGACTATATTTGGAAGTAGGGCTTTCTGGAGGTAATTAAGATTAAATGAGGTCATAAGTGTGGGTCCTAATTCAGTAGGATGGATGGCCTTATAAGAAGATGAAAAGTGAGATCTCTCTCTTTCTATCTTTCTCCATCATGTGAGGACATACCAAGAAGACAGCCATTAGGAAGCCAGGAAAAGCACCCTCAGCAGAATCCAACCATGCCAGCTCCCTGATCTTGGACTTCCAGCCTCCAGAACTGTGAGAAAATAAATTCTTGTTTTTTAAGCCACATAGTCTATGCTATTTTGTTATGACAGCCCAAGTGGACTAAGTCAAATACCCACTGGCACAGTGCCTAGAACAAACCAGCGGTGCCTGTGACAAACCAATCATTATTTATCATCTACCTGAATAAAAGGCATTTGAGGTGAATCTGAGAGAGCCGGTGTATTAGGTTCCAGTGGCCAGTGCCAGAGAGGGGAGGTATGGGAGCAGGAGCAGGTTGAGAGACAGGGTGGGAACAAGAAGACCGAAGAATCCAGAAGAGAGACTGTCTCTAAAGCAAGAAAAGACACCTTCTTTTCATTGGCCTTACAGCATGATGATAGGCTTGTGGTTTCAAGGTGAAGGGCTAGGCCCAACTGAATGCACAACAGATGTTAGAAAAAAGGGTCACTAGTTGGTAGGATCACTGGGCAGTGGACCCCAGATAGGTCTCCAAAACCCTACTTTCATGGAAGAGGGACCCTGGGGAAAAAAAAAGTTCGAGGTCACAGATGGTTTTCATTTCTTCCAGTTTATTTTAATCTTTCTCTAATAGGTAACATTTCACTGAAAAATATAATTGGATTCCTACAGCCCAAGGAACATTTCATGAGAGAAGAGCTATAGAAGGTCTTTACATTCATCTTGACTGGAGGGAAAAGGGGTGGGGGGAGGGGATGAAGAGAATGCAGTTACGATGAATTGCAACAGAAACTGTTGCTAAATAATGAATCACTGAAACGCAGCCTTTTTGTGGGGGACCACGTGACATATTCTGAAGACTTGGTCTTTAGTTCGGCTCTGATTTTCTCACATTGACATACATTGTCAGCATATAAGTGGTGGGTATGGGAGAGAAAGCTCAACATCAAGTGTTATTTTCTGTTGGTGTAGAGGGAAGGGCATTGGACTAGGGATCCCATGATTGCTTGTTTCTGTTTCTTTAACCTACTCTGTGATCTTGATCAAGGTTTTTACATCTCTAGACCCTGGTGTCCATACTTGGAAAATGAAGGAGTTGGACGGATTGCTCCACTCTTAAGGTTCTGAGATTCTTGATATAGCAGAATGCGCTGTCTGTGGCTTCCCCTGTTGGCAGAGAAGGAAGGTGAGAGAAAGGAGGGGCTATCTCTTAGGAGTTTACAGCCTGAAGGATACTGGAGGAGATCGTACCATTCAACAGCTCGCTGGGTCTATAAATGAATATGGTGACAGTAGTAAGCATAATGGATTAATACGTAAACTATGAGGTGCATTTTAGCTCCTTGGCAAATTCAGTAATTCTCCTGGGAGGCTTTGCTGTCACTTCTGGCCACTGTTCTGGCATGGGAAATCATGAACAGCAGCAAGGAGGCACTCCCTCTTCATAAACCTATTTGCTGATCAGTGCCTGATACCAAGAGGGAAAAATTACCTTAAAATCCCAACTCTGTGATAATCCATACCCAGCAGCACTTCAAAGGAAGCATTTCTCATTGTGGAGATGAAGCAACATTATGAAGGGTGAAGATTACCTAGCACTGTGATAGCATTTTTTTCTCAAAGAGCACTCACATCTCATAAAGTCCTGTTGGGTCTGCTCTCACTCCTCCCAGAAGGGAGGGGGAAACAGGCTGTATTTTCCTTCTTTCGTGGATGGGAGAACAGGAATGACAGGGGCCATGGCTTTGTCCAATGGCAGTATACCTACCCAGCTACAGGAGTCAGCTTCTCAGGCTAGTCCTTTTTGTTGTCACCAACAAAATACTATGTTCATAGTAAGTTTTGTTTTGGTCTCCATTTTTTCCCCTTTTAGTACCTCTGTTTGTGGGAGGAGTTGTCTATTGAGTCATGCTAGAGTTTCCTTGCTGAAGTCAAGGTCAGCCAATGAAACTCTGCAAGGTGAACCATCTGAAGGAATACCAGTTCCAGAATATATCTCTATTCAACAGCAACAACGATAGTAGCTAAGGTTTGTCAACAACTTATTATGTGCCAGGTGCTGTTTTTCTTACCTATATCCTCTCCATTAATCCTCACAAAAAATCGCATGGGGTATTGCTATTATCACCAGCTTGCAGATATGGAAACTGAGACTCAGAGAGGTGAAGTAACTTGCCCAGTCACATCTGTAGTGGTTTTGTGTGGTGTCAACTAGTTAAACTTGAATCATCTTCCTGGAACCCTCTTTCTTTCCATGATTCTGAATTAGAGTTGACCCAAAGAGAAACTTGGCTGAGATTTGCAAGTTGGAAGTGGAACAGCAGCCTTTACTCTCTGAAGGTTGTTGTGGTGAGAAGTGGTGAGAGACAGATGCAGATGTGCCAGCAGATTCAAGCTTTTCCTCCAAATTCTCTTTTCCACGTTCAGTTCTTCCCAACTGATAGCCCTACTGACCAACAGTGGCTCCAGGCCCACCATCAGATGCAGAGCAACCTCCTCAGTTGACTTTCCCACCAGCACTCTTTTGTGGCCCCGCATCAGTAGCTAGACTTTCAGGCTATCCGGATTCCTAGGCTCTGACTAGCCCACCTGTGCCAGTGCTTCCAGGGGACTGGCTAGTGACTTTTCTTTGACCCCCCCAATTCCCCTTCTGTGATCCTTATTTCTGCAGCTTTTCCCACAATTGTGTAAGGTCTCACTCCTATTCCAATCCCTTATTTTGTACTACCTATTATGGTCTTCTGCCTTAATTGAACTGTGCCTGATGCAAGTAGCTGTTAAAAGACAGAGTTGGGACTTAAATCCAGATCTAACAAACTCAAAGTGCACACTAATAACTCCCTGTATGGTGATTGGTAGTGAGATACAGATTTTGTAGTGATTGGCAGTGAAATACAAATTTTGCTAGCCAATCATTTCAAATATATATAGTGAACCCTTCCAAATATATTATGGTGACTTATATAAAATATATATTTTGCTAGCCAACCCTTCCAAATATATTATGGTGACTTACATAAAAATCATGGTCTTTATATCGTGGTGAAACTTTTATTTTTCCTTTTTGAAATTTCTATGCCACTCACCACATTAATAAAACGATTCCCAAGAGCCTTCCAAAATAAAAAAGTTTGCCAGCCCTAATTCTTATTTTGGGTATGCATTAACATAAAGCAGGGCTTTTCAACTCTAGCTCCACTGACAATTGGGGCTGGAAGATTCTTTGTTGTGGGGCCTGTCCTGTGCACTGTAGGATATGTAGCAGTATCCCTGGATTCTACCCAGTCAGTGCTAGAAGCACCCCTAGTTGTGACAATCAAATGTCTCCAAGTGGGTAAAATTATCCCCAGTTGAGAACCGTTGGCATAAGGCCACAAAATCCATGAGCATATGGGGCTGTTGCTTGGAATTGGAAGTCACTCAGTCTCTTCTCTGGTGTTGGTCATAACCTCTTTCCTTGTATGGTAGACAGCTTCTTTGGTGGTTCCTTCAGATCTTCTTACTCTGAGCTCATCCTTCTTCCTTCTCTTTATCCTCTCTCTAGGTGACTATATCCACTGCCTGTGACCACATTTACTTTCAGTCAAGGCCCATGTTAGTGTCTCCACCACTTCCGCTGCCTCTGATGTCACCATTACCCTCACTGAGCACTGTTAGTCTCCCAACCAGTCTCCATCTTCACTCTTCCATCCTCCCACCCATTGACTCCATTACAACTTTAAAGGATGTGGATGAATTATGAAAAATGCATGCGAATAATATTTACCAACTTCAAGATCGAGGTTATTGTCTTAGAGCAATATGGCTCTTCTCAAATGAGAAAGGAAGGATGAGAGTGGTGTTATGGTTATATTCTGAATAACTCTCTGTTTAAAAGAGAGTGATGAAGCAAATTATAACGAATTTAAGTGGTGGACATTTGCAGCCTTTTACACTATTTTCTGGGCTTTCATGAAATGTTTTAATTTTTAAGAAAGGGTAGAAGTATATTGAACAATTATGACTAGCATAGTGTTAAAACTGCAACTTTATGTTTTAGGTAAAAGTCATATGATCATTTCATGTCCTATGTCTCCTTTTGATCCAGAGATTAGAATCCCCTTCCTTGTGAAATAAACAAATCTCAACTTGGCAGTAAATCTTTTCCCCTTCCCTGGATTGGGCTGTTTCAGGGTAGAAGCCTGCAGGTGGAGAAGGCTGAGTGGTCCTGGCTTGCTGCTTTCTGCTGATTCATCCCCTCTTCCTCCACAGAGGCATGGTTTCACTCCCCAGTGATGTGGGGGAGAGGAGGAAAAAGACACAGAGGGAGATGTCTTCTCACTTGGCTGGGTGTCTTAGTGCTAGCCAAAACTGATAGACATTTAAAGCTTGCTATTTCTCATGGTGGCCTCTTTTTGCCGGCTCTGTAGGATATTTTTGGTGGGAATCTGTTTTCTAGGATGCCATTGAGTCTGGTTGTTGTACTTCTATACTAAGTGGTCCCTTAAGATTCCTCCCTCAGCCCCAGGGCATTTAGTGAATCACCTCCAGCTTCTTTCTGCAGAGCTTCCTTGCTCACCCCTCCTCCTCCAAGTATGGGCCAAGATCTAAGGCAGCCTCACAGTGGCTCTCTCTCCTTCCCACTGCTGATATCTGGCATCTACTAACTCAGTTTTCTTTGAGAGGGCATTCCTCAGTGATACTAGAAGCTGTACCCATGACTATAGCTTGTCCTGGCTCTCTGCCCATCCCCCAACAAGTCTGAGCACCCTTAGAGGTTTTTTTCCTTGGGTTTTTCCATTCAGTGCTACCTGCTTTATCCACCCATCCAACTTCTCTGTTTTTGACTCCTACAATTTAATTATTACTTTCAAACTCCAAAGATTGAAGTGGGAGATGAGGAGTGGTATTCAGACTTGTACTGTGTTTTGTTGCATTGCATTATACTGTACTATACTGTACTGTCCTGTTTTTTATTATATTTCTTTCTGCTGCTTATTGGTTTCAGTCTTTATGTATCTGTCCTTCAGTCTAGCAATTGTTTATCTATTTCAGTATTGACTGAACACTTTCAATACTGACTACTATATTCCTGGCCATGTGCTAAGCTTATGACATGCACTATCCCAGTATACACATAAAGAAACTGAAACTCAGAGAGATTAAGTGACTTGGCCAAGGTCATGCAATCCAGGGAAAGGCAAGTCTGGTTGACTCCATAACCCATGTTCTTAACTCCTACACATATTACCTTTCAAGATTGGTGATATGTATAGTGTCTAGGGGTGAGTGGAGGGTAGGGTGGGCTGGAAGAGAAAGGAAACATCCTGTCTTCTTATGTTTTAAAAGTCAAATCCTATTTAAAACAGGTGCCCATTTTTAGGATCATAATTTTTAGCCCTAACTTGTTCATGGCACAAGTGAGGGAGAGTATATGTTTAAAAAGTCAGGGCTGAAAAATTAAGCCTAAGCTTGCAAGCTTGTGAACACACATATAGTTCCATGAGCTCATGTGATTTCTTCAATCTGTTTAGTATACTCTAGAATCATGATTTTATTAATATATTAGTTTCCTGGGTTTGCTGCAACAAATTAACCACGAACTTGGTGGCGGAAGACAACAGAAGGTTGTTTGCTTACAGTTTTAGAGGCCAGAGTCAAATTGTCAGATGGGGTTGTGCTCTTTCCAAGGGCTCTAGGAATCTTTCCTGGCCTCTTCCAGCTTCCGGTGATTCCTGGAGGTCCTTGGCTTATAGCAGCATCACTCCAATCTCTGCTTCTGTCTTCACATGGCCTTCTTCTCAGTGTGTTTCTGTGTTAATTTCTCCCTCTCTTATCCTATAAGGACAGGCCATTGGATTTAGAGTCCACCCTAGTCAAGGATGATCTCATCTTCAGATGCTTACCCAAATCACATATGTGAAGACCTTTGTTCCAAATAAGGGACACGTTCTGAGGCTCTGGACGGACATACCTTTTGGAGGCCACCATTCAACTCACTAGAATAGGTTTACAGTGCTAGGCAATGCACAGTGCCTCTGTCTCTATAATTGTGTGATGCTCTACCTGCCGCTAGCTCTTTCACACATGATGTATAAGGATGAATGAGAGGCCCTGGGAGGCTGTGAGTGTCTGGAAGCCAACACAGTCAGATGGCGTTAAGCTGCCTTGATTCCTTCAGCAGTAGCCGTCTGTCAGTAAATAAAAGTCCAGACGCTTTGCAGAGCTAATGTGTCTTGAAGTACTCACACTCTTTGAGAGAAACTTGAGAAATGGGAAAATTGGGCTCAATATGTGTGAAAGAACTGTATCCTCTTCAGGGGAAAGCCAGTCTATACGTTTCAGAGAGCATTATTATTATACAGAGACACAAACACACAGAAACTAAGTGAAAAATCATATCTGCTAATATGCTCATTCTGGGGACTTGCCCCATTTCCCAGGCAGTTTCACGAAAAACTTTCCCTCTGAACTACCTGAAAAGAATCAATACCCACTGGATGAGTCATCACAGCCCAGGCTTCTTCCACAAACACAGCTGGGGAGGGCTGCTTAATGCAGTGTCCATTAAGGTTAACGGGCACTTCCAATAGGGTTTTTTCACGTTTCCCTTGACCAAGTTCAACTCACACTTCATCCAGACAGGTGAGTACTAAAGACTCATGTTTCATGAGTCCAGCTGCCCTGGTCATTTTGATCAATTCAATTTTTGGTTTCCTGGGAAATGGCATGGATGCCTGACTGTTCAGTGTTTGTCTTCGGGCAATTCAACACATTCAGTTTAGTTCTGCAAATGTGTCATTGGAGACTGTTCAGTGTTGGGATGCTGTGTTTGCCAGGTGATTCTACCTCCTGGGACCACATCCAGTGGGAGCTGGCAAAGTAAACAACCAAAGGTACAAGGGGAAGTGCTTTCCTCCAAGACTGTGCAGAGCTCCATGGCAACCTGCATGGGCAACAATTAATTCTTTAACTTTTTTTTTCTTATTGCAAAAAATAATCAACATTTCTGGTAGAACATACAGATAGGAAAAAAGAGAAAAACCGGAACTACTTATAATCCCATAACACAGAAATAACACTTCTTCACATTTGGTCTGTATCTGCATCTGTATGCATCTTTGTATCTTGGCCTACATTTGTGCCTGTCCCTTTGTCTGTGTGTGTGTCTTTATCTGTAACTAGATCTATATTATGCTTATATTTATCACTATATTTAAATAACATTTAAACATTTCCCATATATGTACCTACACATTTTATTTTATAATCTACTTGTTTACTTAACAGATCATTGCAAACATATTTCCATGTTACATGCATTCTTCTTCAAAATTTTTAGTAGCTGTGTATTATTCTATTGTATGGACAGAAGTTAGTTATTTAACCAATCCTGTACTACTCTGAATTTAATAATTTTATAGATAAATTTGTACATAAACCCTAATTTTGTCCTTAGGAAAACCCCTAAAATTGAAGCCTCAGTGTCAAAGTTAGGTATGTGTATGGAGCTTTTGCCTCAAAGGAGCAAGAAAATTTGCCTGGGAGGGGTTGGGAAGGAGGGAACAGGAAAGCATGACTTTTGAGTTGGGGCTTCAAGAAGGAGCAGAGTGTGGTGGAGGGGAGAGGTGACAGTCTTGGAAGAAGAGAAAAGGGGCAGGCAGGGGACTGCGGGGTGTGTCCAGGGTGCAATCTCTGAGCTCCTGAGTTCTGGGGGTGCTGTTGGGGAGGGCCTGGAGGTGTGGCCTGAGGGTAGCGGAGGAGGAAGGGAAGGGGACACACACACTGCAGATGTATCCAAATCTTTAGGGTTTTATGTTTCAAAGTGCACATTCCTACTGCTTTCCTTCCAGGTTTGAGATTTTCGTCTCTGCCCTCTCCCTTTGAGAATCCCTGTATAATAAGAGGCATGACTGATAGGCAATGTTGCCCATAGGAATAGTGTGGAGGCAGGAAAAGAAGAATCATTGTTAGGAACAGGAGGGAGCCACTGAATGTTTGTGGGCAGAGAAGTGACAGATTCCATGGAATTCACTTAGATATGCTCTGGGCTTCTCAAACCATCCGTGGTGAAGGACCAGCTGTTTTCTGCCTTTTCTCATATATTACAGACTGATATTTTTAGAAACTATAATAAAAAATGAGTTACTAGAAAAATGTAATAAAAAGGTACAAAATGCAAGCACCAATTATTAATTATTAGTTTCAACAGACACAAAATAGCTTGTCAAATTGCTACAAAAGCTTCACATGCTTGTCTTAATCTCTGTTCTCTCCTCATTGCACACCTGTAATCAACAGTTTGCCAATGTCCCCACTCTACAAATGATAGCATGAGTGCAGCCTCTGCTCTGCAAAGATCTGATCTGAGGGAGAGAGGCTGATTAGGAGGCTGTATGCTGTATTTTAGAAGACAGAGAGCAGATCAGGGCCTGGTCTAAGGCAAGAGCAGGGGTAAGAAAAGGAGGGAAGACAAATGAATGAGTAAGACTTTTGGTCTTATTTCAGCCATTTTGTTTTATGCTTAAAAAATGCTTTTGATTAGTTTCTTTGTTTTCTGTCTGATGCTACAATTTTTTAGGGGTGGCTTTTATTTTCTGTAATCATTTGGAAGGTACACATTCTGTTTATTAGCACTACAAGTAGTTTTCATTAAGTTTTTCAAAAACGTATGGCACCTTTATTTCTCCAAACTTGATAGAGGAAAAAAAAAAAAGAAAAAGAACCATTGTCTTTTGACCTCCCATTCTCTAAAATGAGAAATGCTCTACATTTCAACTTTCTCCTACTCTCCATTTTTCATTCTTTACTCTTGTTAATATAATTTGGGGGTTATACCTAAATTCTTATTATTAAACTATTATTATATGGCTTATATGTCTCATTTCATGATCGCTTTTGATATATTATAACCATATTTATAATATTCATTTAGATATAGCTCTGTGTTTAACTGGGTTCTGTGTTTACTGTTGGTGCTTTTATACCAAAGCTTTTTTTTTTTTAAAAAAAAAATCAAGTTCATTTATTTTGAATCACCTCTTGCTATGATGAATGAAAGCATTAAGTAAAATTGCCAGGGTAACCAACTGGGAGTGTGTGTGTGACATGAGAAGAAAAGCAGCCTGACCTCTTGGAGCCGGCTGGCATCACAGCTAGACTTTAGTGCTCTCCTGTTGAAAATAACTTCACAGAGCATCAGTGTCAGACCAGGCTACTCTGTGATGATGGTGGAGCATGACAAAGACAAGACCACTTCATGACCATGTCTGAACACAACAAAACATGTACATTGTACAAGCCACAGAAGTGACCAACCATCCCCCTCTCATGGCTAATACAAGGGATTGCTGCTTCTTTACCAAGTACAGCGTTAATCTTTTCTGGTCTTCCCACATTCTAGATAGATAAGATTTATTAAGATACCCATTCATAAGATACCCCTGCTTCTGGACATCAGCCAATCCAAACCAAAGCCCTACACACTAAAATCACTTAACACAAAACACAAATCCTACAAATGCTTTGTAATGCCCTCTCACTAACAAGACTCAAGGTTTCCCACGGTGTGAATTCTCCCTCACTGAAATGAGTAATAAACCCAACATTTTTAGATGTGTTCCTGGTGGTCTATAGCTGGAGGGCATTCACAAGGAGAATTATTGCTTTGATGGTCCTCCTTATTAGCCTCCTCATATCTACCTCCTCTACCCAGTAACTTTGTATCCCTGCTACCACTCTGAGACCAAGCTAAGATGATGGAGGACGAGAGAAATAGAGATCAGTCAGGTGAATCTAATTGTCTGGACAAGGCCACAGTCATGTGAAGTATCCCCGCTCAGATCTGCAGAAATCCCCAGACAACTCATAATCTTGTGAACAAAAATAAATGTTTATTGTTTTATCTCACGGAGATTTTGTGGTTGCTTGCTTTGCAGCATTATTGTGGCAATAGATAATGGGTACAGTTTACTGTCTAAGAGTATATTTCTTTTGACAACCTACTTTGGGGAGAATTATTGGATCATACACTTTTCTTCGAAACTTTATAAATTTGCTCCATTGTATTCCAGTGTTGGGGCTTGATTTTAGCTTCTGCTTAAACTGTTGTGATTTTCTCTTGGTATCACCAATTATGTATAAGTTAGGTCTCTTATCCTCATTCTATTTACCAATTTCTTATTTATCTTTTTATCTTTAATTGCATTTTTAATTTTCTTGAACTCTTTCCCTTTTTCGATTGGCTCCATTTTTTGTCTAAGGCCAAAATTAAATCTCTTTTCCCATCACATCTTCATTCAACTCTTGTTTCATAGGTTTTCGATCTAAGTTATATTAAAGGTATAATATTTTTCTTTTACCTGTAATTACTCTTTAAAAAATATGCTATTTATTTATTTGTGTTGTCAGGGAAATACTTTCCTTCTCCAATAATGCAAAATTGTAGAATTATTTTTATTGTGTGTGTCTGTGTGTATAGCTACATAGATAAGTAGATATATAGATATACATATATACTCCTGGAGTTTTCAAAAAAATAAGCACATGTGTTCTTCATCCCATTATCTCCTACCTAGATGATGACACATACTCCTTGTATCACAATTGAAGAGTGGATGGATATATATATAGCTCCTAACCAAGTTTCCATTGTTTTTTTAGACACTTGTCTGACAAAGCTTTTCTGCATTATCTGCTCTTAATTTTCTGAATATGATGAAGAAAATTATTTCTGAGTAATCCAAAACAATGTGTAATTACTATGTCATAAGTTGCAATAACTACTATTCTCAATTCTTCTGGCTTTTCTCTTTTCCAATGGCTGCTAAAATCCCAGGATACAATGCTTCATTTCCTGTCTACTTCCATTCTGGGCCAATGGAACTACCATGTCCAGTGGATTCAGAGTTGTGCTTTTTGATATAGTAGCCACTAGTAACCTGTGGCTATTGAACACTTGAAATGTGTCTAGTCCAAATTGAGATGTGTTGTAAATGTAAAATACTCGCCATATTTCACGATGTGGAATAAAAAAGGGATGTAAAATATCTCATTAATAATTTAAAAACATTGATTTAATGTGGAAATGAAAATATTTTAGATATATTAAATATTCTATTATAATTAATTTCACCAGTTTCATTTTGCTTCTCAAAAATGTGGCTACTAGAAAATTTAAAATTGTTTATCTAGTGTGTATTCTATTTCTATTAGACAATGCTGACATAGAGAAATACTAATAGAGAATGAGGCAAAAATGTATGGTCATTTCAGAAAGTCATTTTCTGGTCAACAGGGACCCTGAGTCTCTGGTATGAGAATACACAGGAAAGGCTTGTAGAAATGTATTCTGTCATGCTTTCTCCTGTCTTTATTATTTTGTTTCAAAAGTCAAAGCAAGTGAACACTACCAATAGTCTTTTGCCTAAGACTGTTTCACCAGTTAAATTTTGCTGTGTGGCAAACTACTGGAAAACTTAGTGGCATATGACAGTAAGTATTTCTTTCTCAAATATTGGAGAGTTAGCATAGTTCCCTCATTTAGGTTGAATTCCAAATGGGGCACTGTAGCTGGGGCCTCTGCTTCACGTTTCTCATCCTCTAGCAGGCTAACTTGGGCATGTTCTCATGGCAATTGCACAGGAGCAAGAATGAGACCAAATCCAATCTGACAAGCACTTTTCAAGTTTCTCCTTACATCACATTTGTTAACATATCATTGGCCAAAGTCAGTTACACGGTAAGCCCTGAACTCAGAGTGGAAAGGCACTATGAAATTATAAGGCAAAAAGCATGGACTACATAAACGAATGAAGAATGGGGGGCCATCTCTCCATTGTGATTAGAAGGAATTCATCCAAAAGTTTGGGGAAATACTAGCATGTCTAGTTTCCAGTCATATTTCAATTTTACCTCAATGGGATGGGAGGTGCTATTATGACCTGAAAGTCCTTCACTGTGTTTAGTCAAAAGTACACCTTTACGTTCCCCTTAAACTGCTTTTGAAAGAAGCAACACCATTGCATAATTAGCAGAAAATATTCCATTCTCATTTTAGACAAATGTTACAAGAAAGTTTACTATGATTTTTAAGCTAATAAAATTATTATTTTATAATAATAATGTACCATTATTATTATAATTATTTTATCATAATGATTAAATTTATTATTGTTATTATTCATGAGATGGAAAAAACAGCATTGCATATGTCACTAATGGCAAAAATAAAACTGGAATTGTCCAAGTAGCATCTATTTGCCCACACAGGGATGAGCTTGTGCGTTTGGAACAAGGGTAATAGTTTCTTATTGGAGCAGCCAGCTGGATAGAAGGAAATGTTCAGGCCAAATGTTTGCTTTCAGCCAGTCTGTTTGACCATATTGAGAAGGGGTTACCAACTAAAACATTTGTGATGGATTGTGAAGTATGATATGAACCATGGAGAAGTTTTCATTGGCAGAAAGAATTTGCATCCCTTCTTTGAGCTGACTAGCTACATGATCTTGAGCAAGCTCCTTCAACTCTGAGAGCCTCCTTTCATATTCTAAAATGGGGCCAATGATTTTCCACCCACAGGGCAGCTGAAAGGATTATGTGAGAAAGCACAGCATTTAACATAAGACATGTTCTGAAAGTGGTAGTTATATTCTAATATCTCTGTATGGAACTGTTCTGGGGATTCCCTAATTGTTCCACCTCTATTTGTGGTTGACAGTGGTAGTCATTTAGCACAGCTAAAATATTTTCTAGTTAACATCTTTTACTCGTTTGTTTGCACATTAATTTACTTACAGATTTAAAAAACAATTTTTTTTACAACTCCTTCATTCATTCATTCAACAAGCATTTATTAGTAGTTTCACAGGATGGATTTTTCTGGAGGAGATATTCAGACAGAGTTTGGGGAACAAAATATTGATTAGGAACCAACACCTGTAATGGTGAGGGAGAGAAAGCAGGATTGGGCAGAGGGAAAGTTAAACTGCAATACAGGACAAATGGGAAGCTGGTGGGGAGATCTGGAGTGGGTGTTGCCTGTTGGAATTGTCCTATGGCTGCATCTAGCCACGATGGCTGTGCTTTGTACCTCTACTTTGCTCATTCACTGGATGAGGGCTGCCCCAGGAAGGGCATAGCTGAGGTAAGGCATAGCTGAGGCAGTCTCTGAAGGCCCTGACAGCTGAAGGCTGTGTGCTGGCTACACTCTGCAGGGGCAGCAGGTCCTTCCTTGAAGGGGATCTGGGTGGTTCATCTTCATGTCCTGTGCCGGTGGCTATTGCGGGCAGACCTTGAGCTAAGTCCTGGGGATGCAGTGCTGAACTGGGAAGACAAACTCCCTCATCCCCTGGAGCTAACAGCCTAAGCTGGTTTTGAGAATTTTCAGTTGTTTCATTATTTCAAAGGAACAATCTTCTTTAGGTAGACTGTCTCACCATGGAATTGGGACAACAGGCTAATGCCCTCAGTTATTATTCAGGATAGGAAGAAAGCAACGGGTGCCCCTGTTTATAGTAACACAGATTCTGGGATATATTGAATTCTCTTCCATTCATTTTTCAGCTGATTTCAACGGTCCCACAAACACTGATTTTCTCTCTTGTGCCAGGCACGGTGTCAGGTGCTAGGGGTATAACAGTGAGCAGTATACAGTCTTATAGGGGAGGCAGACACATAAAGATAACCTCAACATAAAATAAGAAATTATGAAGTAGAGACACAAAGAGGCTGCTAAGGACACTCAGGGAGAGGAAAGCTTCCCCTGGCCTGGAGGTCAGGGGTAGCTTCTTGGAGGATAAGATATCTGAGCTGAGTCTAGAAGGAAGAATATGAGTCAGCCAGAAAAACTAAGTTTCTACTCTTTAGTAATTCCTTCTTATTTCATAGAAAAGGGAACAAATCAGAAGTCTTAAACATTTATAAAAGTAATCATGCCAAGAGAATCCAATGTTTAATGAGACAAATTACTTTTATGATCTTTAGATGAAGACGTTTCCCTTCATTTTCAGCCTTGAAAGCTTAAAGATTTTCCTCACTTCACACTGGTTGATGTTGGTTCTTTGTAAATGATTTCACTCTATGTGTTAAAGTTTAATCATGACTGTAAGAGGCCATCTATATAGAAAAAAATCTGTGCACTCCTAAATGTTATGTGATGCACAGTCACTTGATTTAATTGGAGTTCTGTTGAGTTGTTTCTGCTCATAACAGCATCATGGGAACCCTGGAGGAGGCTGAAGCAAGCCTCGTGAATGCAAATGTGTCAGCCTCTTGCTCACACAGTACAGCTCCTCTCAGCCTGCATCCCTGTCAGTTTCATGACTCTTGGGTGACAAATATTAGGATTCTGGAAATTGGGGATCTTAACAGAAGTGTATTAAACACAGGCCATGTCTCCTCCCTACAAATGGTTGTGAAAATCCATGTGCCAAGATATATTTGCTAATACAAAATTTGGGAAACCTTAGAGTCAAAAGGTCTATTTGCAAACGTGATGGGTAGCAAACTGCCACATTAGTTAGCAGAGTTTCTATAACGATGGCTTTAATACAGAGGAATGAATATCAAATATGCGGAGGGAGTTGAGATTTCAGTTTTTCAGGACTAATTATAACTACCACCACCTGTTTAGTGTGAACTGCGTCTATGTGTAAATCAGAAATCAGCTGAGTTCCCCTTTCCTCTTGGGCTCCAGAGAAAATGGACTCACACCCTAATTCTTCATGGCATAGAAAGTCCAATCCTCTCCCTAGTATTTCTATGACTTCCTGTGGTTTTCTGTGTCTCCTGGTCATCTCTGACTCCATTTCTAGCTGTTGCTGAATCCTTACATTCTGCTTGTGTTCTTGTCCTATATCGGCTTTCCTGTCAACCCAAAGGAAGGTCAATGGCCATTTCTCCTTGAGTGTCTTTCTGATTTCCTCCCAAATATGCCACACATAAACTGCGTGATTGCTTTCACTGGAGATTTGACAGCGGTAGCCAGTATCAATAATATTGGATTTCTCTATTCTTTAATAAGACCTTTAACCATTTTTGCTGCTGTAGTTACAGACACCCCACCATGGCCCAAGGTGCTCCTTTTTCAACTCTCTCCAGGCCTCTTTTTTTTCCATCTGTTTTTCTCACCCAAGATTACTGTTTAATTTTTTTTTCAGACTGATTTTGCTATTTCTTTTTTGTTTCCTTCTATCATAGTAGGACTCAATCTTGGGCTGAATATTTGAAAATACTAAGGGCTAGGCACCATCCCAAAAGTTTCTTATTTAATTGGTTGGGTGTGAGACCCAGATATAGGTCTTTAAAAAAAACTCAGCTTCATGTGTTTTGAAATATGCAGCCAGGGTTGAGAATCACTCAAAATCTAGCCCATGTCTTCAGAGATTCATCTGGTTTGGTCTTACAGAAACTCTGCTACTATATGAAACACACATTTCTTATTATACATAGTTTAAATTTAATCTTTATAACAACTTCTACAGGTAACTATCAATGTCCACATCAAATTTATACATACTGAAGATGGAGGCTCAGGGAGGTCAGAAAATTGCTGAGATTTATACTGCCAGGAAATAGTGGAGGCAGGGTTTCAATCCAGGGCTGTGAAATTTCAAATCTTGTTTTTGTTTTTCCTTTTTAAATCGTTTTATTGAACCTCTTTGCTCAAGGTGGAGAAGGAATATGGACACATCTCTGTCTTCAATTATCTCCCCTTTTAGGTATCACTGCTTATTTTTCACCCATTTCTGTTTCTCTGGCTCCAGTAAAATCTTTGTCAATTTATATCAGGCATATGTTGTTTTTTCTCCCAAGGATCTCTCTCTGTCCAAAGCCCAAGAACCTCTCATTTATTCCAGAAATAGGTCTCCTTTAATAGCTAACATTTACTGAGTGCCTATTATGTGCCAGGCACACTGAAATACAGAGAGGCTATGTAACTTGGCCAAGTTCACACAGCTAGTAAGAGCAGAGTCTGATTCAAACCTAGGTGTACTACTCAAATTCTAATGTGTATGGGAATCACCTGGGGACCTGATTAAAATGCAGATTCTGATTCTGCAGGTCTGGGATGGGACCAGAGGGCTTTGCATTTCTAACAAGCTTCCAAGTGGTGCCTAAATCAGTCCAGTCCATACTCTCAAAATGTTGAGGATTTAGTGCTCTTTGCCTTTCTGTTTTCCCTATTTAAAACAGCTGGGGGCTAAATGCAACGTGGAAAATTTCATATGCAATCTCTGATGTTTCTTTTCCTTAGTAAAATGGACTGTCGGGCACTGTGCTCCAGAGATCCCAGGACTACTAAAATGTCAGAGATTCCATTTAACATTAATTAAATTAATTAATTAAAAAGCAGCCATTACTCAGATTTAAAAAATAAGGTTTCCCTAGGGAGGGACAGAAAAGATTGATATAGGCAAGGTACTTTCATGTTGAGAGGTAGGACTAGGACATTTGATGTTGAATGGTGACAGTAGATGTTTTAGATTCTGCCCTTTTGCTCCTTCTTTAGTCAATTTAGTGAGAAATTTACTTTGGCCATCCCCAAGCTTCTATGAAATGCAAACTGCAAGGGGAACTTTAAAGAACAGCTCCCAACAGTTGCATATTATTCCACAGAAGCTCTTTTACTGAAGGCAGTTTCTTCCACGTGATTTTTTTTTTTAGTTGCCGTTCTTCATTTTGATGTTTAAATTTGCTGAAGCTCTGTGACTAGAGCAAGGGGTGATTAGTGCTTGGGGAAATCCACTTATCACTGAAGCCTGCTGCTGCCAAGAAAAAGGGCAGGGACACCCGTACTAGGCAGGGCACAGACTGCCAGCCAGTGTGTGGAAAACGACTTTCATTACAGGAATAGGCAGACCTCTGATATACTCATAAAGGCAACCAGCATTGAGTGCATTGTACCCTACATGGAATACTTAATTACAGAGGATAGTTATGGGTTCCAGTTGACAGAATCATCTAATCAATATTGCTTATGCCAAACTCTAATTTACTTGTCTTACAACTCATTAAATTTGAAATATTATTGATTTTCAAGTAGATGACTTAGAGGATAAGTAAGTTTTGTCTTGGGGACCTTTGTTTGAGTTTGATCTCTGTGGACCTGCAAGCAAGAAAACTCAAATCTCTTCGTTGGGCAGTATTTGCAGAATAATCACTCCAGATATATTCCATTGATGCAAATAATTTGCCAGGACTCCTTATTTCCCAGTAATTCATTCTGAATGGGCTATTTTCCAGTTTGTGAGGAGGGTGTCTCCATGGCAGGGCCAGTGAATTGTATGACTTGGGGAGGCAGTTCTTAAGAACATGTGCTGAAATGTAATGTCTCTTTATATTTTACAAATCAAAAGATACTATGAACCTTCTTTTTCCCCTGCAATAGAAACCATCTCACTTTGTTTTCAGCAGCCTATTCTGTCTTTTCAATAGTCTCTTCTTGCTGTGTGAAGGCAATACTCCACAGAGAAGTCTTTGACCTGCCTTCTGCATGTGCTGGAATCTGACAACCCAATGGCCACCATTAACCATTTTGCCCTAGCCACACGCTGAGGGTGATGGGTGGGTTGGTGTGTGTGTGTGTGTGTGTGTTTGTGTGTGTGTGTGTGTGTCAGGGGATGGGAGGGTGATCAAATGAATTAAATTTGGGCTGGTTTTCAGTCTTTGAGGTGGCAATTGTAAAATTTAATAATTTGAATAGATGCCTATTGACCTGATTCAAAAACTGTAAAAACCTGAAAAGGTACCCAGTGAAAAATGTAATAAGTGTTCCCTCATCTTGTTCTTTTAGGTGCCTCATTGTTTCTCTTCCAACAGGAAAACTTCTGTTTCTTTGTGACCTGCTAGAGTTGCTTCACACATATTTAAGAAAGAGCAAATGTAGATCCATTTTCTCCTATTTTTATAAAAGATAGTATCTTGTATACACTGTTCTGAACCTTTTCTTTAATTTTTTTTCTTTTTTTCCTTTTCTTTTCTTTTTTTTTTTTTTTACTTATTGGCATATCTGGGAAATTTTTCCATATCAGTACATAAGAAGTACCCTCGTGAAAAAGAAAAAAAAGCAACTGGATAACTTTCCATCAGGTATATATGCCATAATTTACCTAATCAGTCCTCTCTTGATAGACCTTTGGAGCCTTTCAAGTGTTTTGCTATTACGAATACCGCTATAGTGAATGATTCGGTGCATAGGCACAGAAGCGCATAATGACTTTGCATGTAAGTCCTTTTGCAATTGTGCAAGTGTATATGTAGGATAAATTCCCCACAGCGGAGAGCTGGGTCAAAGGATCCATGATAGCTATTACCAAATTGCCCTGCATGGGTGTTGTGCCTGTTTACCTTCTTACCAGCAATGTACAGAAATCTGAAGCTGGCAATTTTAATCCCTCTTGGCAAGCACTTACATTTCTAGGTCAGAAACTGTACTATTCGGGGTTGCAAACAACAGAAAGAGAGTCCAGTTAATTTAAGGCAGAAAGAGTTTATTGGAATCGATTGGAAAACTGGAGCACAGACTTTGGGGAGACAAGGGAAGTAAAAAAGCCAAAGATGTGCGTTGGGAACAGTCTCATGGGAATCATATCTCCAGGCGTAACGCCTGTGGCCACTGGCATCTCCATGGTGCACCCCACCCCAGATCTTGCCCTCCCTGCACCACATACAATCTCTAACTTCCTCTGAGATGTGAAATGGAACCAAATTTGGCTTCCATAGGGTTATAAAGGTGGGGGAAAGGGAAGGGAACCCCTGCCAACTTCTCTGCCTTCTGGTAAGAACCGTTTTCAGATTTTGGGCAGCCCAAGCAACGTGCTCTATGAAGACCAAGCTACCTCTTCAACTCTCTTTCAGTTGGGGTGCCTCCAAAGATACTTCTTGAATTATGCGGGTTTTAGGACCTGTGTTTAAAAGCTCCTCTGGCTTTAGGATCTGAATTGGGTCTAGAATCTGCCACTGTGCCCAGGAGGGGATTAATACATCATTTTAAGACTCAGTGAGTCAAGTCAGTAAGGAGTCTACCATTTATTGATCACCTGCTGCATGCTAAGTAAGCAGACACTTGGCCAAGGATTCAGTGTCAGGAATTTGTCCATCTAATTCTGCTTCAGCTCCTCTGATGGGTGGCTGAGCCTTGGGCAACCCATTCTTCTTAAGCCTGTTTTCTCATCCATGATGCAGCTATAATAATATTGACCTACTTTCCAGGGCTGTTGCAGGGATTCATTTAATTGATAGCAGTAAAGAACTCTGAAAATACTTTAGAATCTCCCAGCCCCCATCACCCAACACACATCTTTGCCTCCAAGCCCATTTCCCTTCGGCACTCCTGCCACTTGTCCTGTAATTTGGGTTGGCTCAAGGAAGGGAACAGACAAGGGATTGGAGCACAAATATGACTTGTTTGGCAAATAAAGAGTCAGTGATCCTGAGCCAATGCAGAAGGATGGTACTTAGCAGTTAGCAACTGTTGTTAAGGTTTTTGTGGTGCCCCACTGCCACAGGTCCAGCGAGAGAGGATCACAACAGATGCCCAAGTCCTAATTGCTTTCCCTGGTTGTCATCTTCATACATAAATAAATTAGCAGCCCAGCCCTTGACACTGATGGTATGAGTGGCTCACCCTGAGCAGCTGTTACAGAGTGTCTCTGATATTAATCACACACTCCCTCCAATGGCAGTGACCTTAGGGTGAAAATGCCTTGCTCTTGTTCCAGCAACTGAGGAGCAGTCAGTCTCACAGAGCGAGTATATACTTGTGCTGGGGAGAGTGAAGCTTTGATTCTTATCATTATGATAATCACAATAATAACATTTTTATATCACATTAGGGTTTACAAGCATTTTACATTTGTGATCACCATTGAGCCTCAACAATGTTTTGAGGTAGAAAAAAATGGTTATCTCCACTTATGATAGAAAAACCCAAATTCAGAGAGATTACTGGCCCTAAGATCCTAAAGCTGGAAAATGAAATCTTTCACCCAGCAAGTCTAGCACTGTCTGCATTATATTATCCTCTTTCTTTAAATGATAAGTAACTGCCTCTAGTTCTCCCCTTTGATGCTGAAGTGAATTGACTCAGAAATGTTAAAATATGCACAACAATTCTTGATTAAATGCTCACTATACCCCACGTACTGTGCTAAATGCATCACAGCCAGAATATCATCTAATCCTCACCCAACTCTACTAGGTAAGTATCTGTGTCTTTCTTTAGAGATGAAACAAACTGAGGTTCAGAGAGGTTAATAACTTGCCCAAGGACACACAGAGTTCAAGCATTCAACTGCAATTCTATACTGCTAGCCTCAGAAAATACTAGTGACTGAGAGCCAGCAATACCACTGCACAAGGCAGAGGACTGCTTTTTCATGGTTGGATAGAAGAAAGGGGAAGCTGCCTCTGGCCTCTGGAATCAAGGGTTGCTTCACTTCAGCTTACTGCACTGACCGAGAGTTTATTTCTATAATTTCAAGAGGAGAGTTGTAAACCCAGTGCGGTGGAGGTTGCTGGGGATACAGTAGAGGAGCAATGGAACGTTTCATAAGTGCATGGTAGAACATGCATGGCTCTCACGCTCCTGCCCTAGTCCTGCCGCCTGCTGCGTGTGAAGTGTCCCCTCCCACTGCATTGCCCCCTTGTGAGGCAGGTACAGCTGGGAGCTAGACTCTTATGCTTGCCACATCACCTCTGACTTTAGCTGTGGCTGGGGTGCACAGTTCAGAGCCCAGCTTTGTGCTTCCTGCCCAGAGTGTCTGGCTTCCAGCACATATCTTATATTTCTGCTTTCTGTCCCAGGGATTCCCTGATACCAGGGATGCCTGAGGGAGCTCAGAAGACCCATACATCATTGGAGAGGGGGCAGAAGAACTCTGGGGAAATGCTCTTTCACCTCTCCTTGTGAGAGCACAGTGGCAACCCCCACAATAAACCTTTATTTTGTCTTTTTTTTTTTCTGTTGCTGTACCCCATTCTTTGCTCCTTGGGATCACCTTAGAAATAACCTACCTGCATCTAGATTCTTGTCTCAGGTCATGCTATTGGGAGGAACTCAAACTAAGAAAACATATTTCTTTTCTAACAGCCTTTATGGTGTCATTCACACGTTATGTCTTCTAAACAGGGTGGCCAAATTGTGTGGTAATTATGGTCTGCATTTGAATTCTGGCTTCTGTGAGATCTTGAACAAGTTACATAACTTCTCTGAACCTCAGTGTCTTATTTGCAAAAGGAGAATTGAAGTAATACCTTCTTCACTGTGTATTTTTGTTGTTGTTGTTGTTGAGATGGAGTCTCGCTCTGTCTCTCAGGTTGGAGTGCAGTGGCGCGATCTCGGCTCACTGCAAGCTCCGCCTCTCGGGTTCAGGCCATTCTCCTGCCTCAGCCTCCGGAGCAGCTGGGACTACAGGCACCCGCCACCAAGCCCGGCTAATTTTTTGTATTTTTAGTAGAGACGGGTTTCCCCATGTTAGCCAGGATGGTCTCGATCTCCTGACCTCGTGATCCGCCCGCCTTGGCCTCCCAAAGTGCTGGGACTACAGGCGTGAGCCACCGCACCTGGCCAAATTTTATGTGTGTTAAATGCATGGGGCAGTGTCTAGTGTTCAGTAAATGCCAGTGTTGGTCCAGTTACTGTCTACTATGGTAATAAACACAGGTTTTGGAGTGGGAGGGGTTTGTCTGCATCCAGTGTCATTTACTTGGTGTCCTGTAGCCTTTGGTAAGTTTCCTTTCTTTGTCTCCCTTATGTATACAACGAGGCTAATAAGACTGGCTACATCATGGGGTGTAAGAGTTAGCTAATACATAGTCTGGTGCATAATAGCAGGATTTCAGTATTAAATGTAGCTGTTATTGAAATAACAGTTTCTAGTTGGATTTAATGGCTTCCTCCTCTGTAATCTTTTCATACTTCCTCATATAACTTCTAATGGAGTTACTGCGCACTTCCCTGTCTCTCCCCCAAGACTATGAGCTTCTTAAGGGAAGGGGTTATGAGTCATTTCTCCCTGAAGCATCTGGTATTGTACCATGACTTTCAGGCAAGACGATTAAAGACAGTTTTAGTAGAGAGTCAGAAGAAGCGCTTTTGGGAAGCACTCTAGTTTGGCTACCTCAGTGAATAAGAAAACTGTAGTTCCAGAGTTCCAGAAACATTAACTGAGCACTGGCAAATGCCATTGACAGGGCAGGCAGAAGGCAAATGAGAAGTAGCTGAGAGGAACTGGCCTCATTCGGCTAGTGGCTTAAGGCGGTCTTGGTTAAAGAGGCTTTTCCTGGAGAGGCAACAGGGTTGTGGAAGCGGAAGTGCTAGCCACTAGTGTTGGTGAAAGTCAGATGCATCTTCTAGGAAGCACTTAAGGCTTTTCAGAGGCAGGATTGTCAGCTCAACCATGGCTTTCCCTGAAAAAGAGACCGAGGGCATGCAGGGGAGCTGGAGGGGGGCCTCTGTGTGACACCTGGGCATGGGGCTGTCCTGGCCGTGAGGGGTGGGGTGAGGGCGGAGGGTCAGAGGAAGCTCTCTCTAACCTTATTTCCCTTTAGTTTCTCATGGGACTACACCCTCAACATCAAGTCAGATGAGGGCAAACATGCCCTGGAGAGAGGAAATCACAGAATTTGGTTGTGTGGCTGAAGAGGGTAGTACAAGGGTGGAGAGGGACAGCAGCGTGGACTGGCAGGTAGCAGAGAGCTGGGTCTGCAGAAGAACTTCGGCATCTGCTCGGGGCTGACAAGAGGAGTTGGCTTCTTTGCTATCTGTCCTGCATAGCTGACCAGCAGGCCAAACTTACTGCAGCTTGTGGCTGGAGTGTTAGCCCTGATTTGCCTCAAGGATTCCAAGGGAGATTCATTTCCTCCTATTTTCTCTTGGGCCTCCATTCCCCTCAACACAAACCTTCTCAGCTAATCCCTCTGTGCTGGCTTCAGAAGAAACTGAGAGATTGGTGGCAAGGAGGGTTGGAAGCCAGAGGTGGTTTCTCCAAGTTGGGGATTGTGGTGTTTGAGGCATTGCCTTCCGTCTTTGGGGCAGACTGGGAACTTTGGTAGGGGGTAGCTGAGAACTGCTGCTCTACTTCATCTCTGATCATAGTGGAAACACAGGGATGGGACGTGGCTAAGGGGTCATCTTATCCAGACACCTATGCAATGCAGGATTCCACTTAATGGCTTCTTGTACAATGACTTAAGGCTCACTCCCTCTGGAAATTATCTTGGCTGAATATTTCCACCCTGCCCCCCCTCCCTCCAACAACTCTTTTCAGTTTCTTCTTACCCATCTGGCCACTCCTTAGTTTCCCCCCAATTTCCTTTTGCATGTTGGTGTTGCTGGATCTTTGTCCTTGGTCTTCCCACTGACTTCAACTGCCTCTTACAGATCCATGACCTCCAGTTCTATAGTGCCAGTCCTGATTACTCTGTTCCCTGGATGTCCTTTATGCCTCCAAACATGGCACAGCCAAAACTCCTCCCCCAGATGTTCCTCTTCTGAATTCCCCAGCTCAGTGAATGGAGTCATTTTTCACCCAGTTTGCCTAGTCCAAAATCTGGGTGCAATCAGCTACTCTCTTAAATACCGCCCCGCCTCCCCCCCACCCCCCACTGACCCCACCGCTGCCCCCTGACCCTCACCCCCAATAGTCTCACACACTCCCCAGCACCTCCACAGATACATGTCACCAGATGTGCTGATTAATTTCCAGGTGCCCTCCAGGCCCATCTCCCTCCTTGTCCTCCCTGCTCTGTGCCCCAGGAGGCTGACTTCTGGGCTGCGTCATCCAGGATCTATTGCCCTCCTGTTCTGGGTTGGGTTCTGTCAATGGGAGGTCCTGGGAAGATAAATAAGTTGATGCATTTATTATTCCTGCCCCTTCCCTACTGGGCTGTGGTTTGGCAGTGACTGCATTTCTTCCCCTAAGGTCTTGGCTCCTGTGAGCCTGCCCTCTCCCAGGAGTTCAGTCCTTTCTAAGTTCCAATAACCACTGCCTCCCCTTGCCCCTTCAGGTCTAGGGCTGGTAACAGCTTCCTGCTGTTGTTAGTGCTTCTGTGTGATTGTCCCTTTTGGTGCTTGTAACCCTGCCTACACTTTTCTGTGTATTGTCCCTTTAGTAAACTTTCTGCAGCTATATCTTTAAGCACCCTGGATGTTTCTTGCTAGGATGCTGCCAGATATATCAGGTCATGACATTACTATCTCCTTCATCTTCTTCAACTCTAACTTTGACTATTTAAAAAACAGGAAACTGGTTTTCTAAAACGAAATCACAAACAGTTCCAGGCAATAGTTCCAGCCACATGCCTCATTATTGTATCTGACCTGACTGTCTTGTGGTTCTTCTCATCAGTATGACGTAGAATTATTAGTCCCATACTTTGGCTTTGTTTCCTGCCTCAGGTAGCATTGATGGCCCTCCATACTTCCCTTCAAGTTTCCTACAGGGTGTTCACATGTACTCATTCCCTTGGATGCTTGCCTTCTCTGTAATATACAAAGTATGGGGCATGCACCATCAAAGCTGGCTTCATGGGTGTGAGGTCCTACACTTAGAAGGGCTCAGTGCTTGGGTTCTTGCTCTTCTGTTACTGTCTTGAAACTATTAATAATTTTCTTAAATTTATTTTTAATTTTTTGTGAGTATATAGCAGGTGTATGTATTTATGGAGTACATGAGTTCTTTTGATATAGGCGTGCAATGCTTAATAATCACATCATGGATATTGGGGTATCTATCTCCTCAGCATTTATCCTTTGTGTTATAACAATCCAATTATACTATTTTAGTTATTTTAAAATGTACAATTAAATTATTGTCAAATATAGTCAGCCTGTTGTGCTATTAAATACTAGGTCTTATTCATTCTATGTTTTTTTTGTACTCATTAACCATCTGCACGTCCCCTGCCATGCCCCCAGTACTCTTTCTAGCCTCTGGTAAACATACTTCTACTATCTACGTCTATGAGTTCAATTGTTTTGATTTTTAGATCCTACAAATAAGTGAGAACATGTGATGTTTGTCTTTTTGCACCTGGCTTATTTCACTTAACATAATGACCTTCAGTTCCATCCATGTTATTGAACATGCCTGAATCTGATTCTTTTTTCTTTTCTTTCTTTCTTTTTCTTTTTTTTTTTTTCTTGAGACAGAATCTAGCTCTGTTGCCAGGCTGGAGTGCAGTGGCGTGACCTCAGCTTGCTGCAACCTCTGCCTCCCACGTTCAAGCGATTCTTCTGCCTCAGCATCCTGAGTAGCTGGGATTACAGGCACGCACCTCCACACCCGGCTAATTTTTGTATTTTTAGTAGAGATGGGGTTTCACCATGTTGGCCAGGACGGTCTCGATTTCCTGACCTTGTGATCTGCCCACCTTGGCCTCCCATAGTGCTGGGATTACAGGCGTGAGCCACTGCGCCCAAACTGATTCTTTTTTTATGGCCAAATAGTACTCCATTGTGTATAGGTATCACATATTCTTTATCCATTCCTCTGTTGATGGACACTTAGGTGCTTCCAAATCTTGGCTATTATGAACAGTGCTGCAACAAACATGGGAGTGCAAGTATCTCTTCAATGTACTGATTTTCTTTCTTTTGGGTATATGCCCAGCAGTGTGATTGCTGGATCATATGGTAGCTCTATTTTTAGTTTTTTGAGGAACCTCCAAACTGTTCTCCATAGTGATCGTACTAGTTTATATTCCCACCAACCGTGGACGAGGGTTCTCTTTCCACATCCTCACCAGCATTTGTTATTGCCTGACTTTTAGATAGAAGCCATTTAAACTGGGGTAAGAGGATATCTCATGGTAGTTTTGATTTGCATTTTTCTGATGATCAGTGATGTTAAGCACCTTTTCATATGCCTGTTTGCCATTTGTGTGTCTTCTTTTGAGTATATTAATAATTTTTTAAACAAGGACCCACATTTTCATTTTGCAATGGGCCCTTCAAATGATAGAGCTGTTCATGTGTCCCATACTATGATTTAGGTAGTGTATGGGCACAACAATGAACAACACTGAATCACACAGAGAAGGAAATGGCCTCCTTTTCATTTATCTTTTGATCCTTCTGATTATTTCCCATCCAAGTACTAACTAGGCCCAACCCTGCTTACTTCTGAGATCAGACGAGATTGGGTACCTTCAGGGTGGTATGGCCATAGACCCTTATGAATATTTCAAGAAAAAAGATTTCATTTTTGTGCCAGCATGTGTTTAACAGCTCTCTTGACACCTGCTAATTCTCTCCTTTCTAATGTAGAGAGTGGGCCTTAGATTTTGGGCCTACCAATAACATCCCAGGGCCACATAAGAACACATTTTCTTTCATGGTTCTCTTTTATTATGGCAAGTGATACCACTTTTTCATTTATGGAACTAATAGAAAGTTTTCATTAAAAACGAATTTAAGGCCAGGTACGATGGCTCACACCTGTAATTCCAGCACTTTGGGAGGCTGACGTGGGCAGATCACAAGGTCTAGAGCTCGAGACCATCCTGGCCAACATGGTGAAATCCTGTCTCTACTAAAAATACAAAAATTAGCCCGGTGTGGTGGCGGGTGCCTGCAGTCCCAGCTACTCGGGAGGCTGAGGCAGGAGAATGGCATGAATCTGGGAGGCGGAGCTTGCAGTGAGTCGAGATAGCACCACTGCACTCCAGCCAGGCAACAGAGTGAGGCTCTGTCAACAACAACAACAACAACAACAATGAATTTAAATAAAAAATATGGGTTAATTAAAAGTAAAATGGGAAGTAAATAAGTGTAGAAGTGACATTTGGATATAACAATGATCTTGAAGACTTTTGAGAATAATTGAAGTTTGGGTAACACTAGCTTAGGATAAGAACCATTTTTCCTTCTACCCTCAGCTCCCCAGAAGCCTATCCCAAGCCCAACTAGCCCTTGAGGAATTCAGGAGAAGGCTGTTCTGGAAATTAATATAAGAACTGAGTAGGAAGAATTAATGTTATTCTCAGTTGAAGTCTTTGGTTCAATTTAAATAGCTTTGATTATGATACTTACAAGTTTAACCCAGAAATGGGTATATTAGAAGCAGAATCAGAGGGCGGCTGACTGTAAGACCTAATCATGCATTTATTTGTTGCTGCCATCCACACCATGCCTGAACCCTAACAGATAAGTCGAGAGAGGCAGAGTGAGGTGAAATAAACCTCTAGGGGCAGCTGAAGAAGACACATATTTCTCTGTAAACCTAAAACTTCTAAAGTCTTTTAGGCTTGGGGTTTTAGTGCTCAAATGGCAAGGAGTTAAACCAGGAGTAATCAGAGGGGTTAATTTACCAAAAAACCAGTTCCCAAGGTTCTTCTTGGGTGGCCGTCCTGAGCTGGTGATGCACGTTCAGTCTGTGCATCTTTTCATCTCTGTGTATGACATTTAAGATGGCAGAAACTTTCCCTACTGGCTACATTCTTCATCTTATTACACCCATCATTGATTTCATTGGCTGGCATTTAAAAGAGGAAGCTTGTTAAACTAAGCTGTTATGCTTGTGGTTTTACAGGTTGGCACAGCAAACAATTATAAAAAAGGAAGAAGCATGCATGGGTGGACAGAAGTGTGTCTCTCCTAACAACATACAAACACACTTCTAGAAAAAAAAAGTCCCCACTAGCACAAAGCATCTCTGAGTGCATTTTGCAACAGCAAACTCCTAATCTCACGATCCTTCTGGACTGTAATAAGTGATGTGAAATGATTTCATTGGATGGGAGATGGAGGTTGGTGCACGTTCCTGGGCCCAGCCCCATATGTGTGGAAGTTATAAATGTGGTCCAGTTTCATTCCATTCCTCACAATTTCTGGGTAAATCAGGTCAATTACAGTTCCATCTTCTGCCACAACATCATGCTTAGCTTGGACAACTCAATACAGGGAACCCAAGTGCAGGGTAGAAGTTAACTAATAATAGTAATAATGAGGATAATAACATTAACTGCTCTGCTCCAGGAATGAAACACAGAGCCCTTACTTAAATCATCTCCAGCTCTTAGAGAACATTTGAAAGCCAAGTGTTATCCTCAGTTTTTAAGTGAGCTGCCCATTTGCCTGTTTGTTCTAATATCAATTTCCTGCCTGCTCCTTCTCTTGCTGTGTTCTGTATTTCAGAGAACTACATTTTCTAGGCCCCCTTGACAATAACTCTCCAGGTAGCTTCAGCCGATAGGAAGTATTGCTATGAAATTGGGGGTCAGAGGAAGTGAGGACCCAGGATTTTCTCCCCTAAGGCCCCCCCCACCCCCACCACTTCACTGGGTGGCACCTCTTGCGTAGCAGCATATCATTCAGTTCTGTTGGCCACCTGCAGCTTCCTGGCCCTGATTAGTTACACCACATCCTCCCATATTCCTCCAACTGCAGGATGGTAGCAGCTTCCTGCAGTTGTTAATCTCTGTGCTGCCTCACTGTGTTCTGTTTGTCTCCTCAGTTATTATAACCCTTGGCTAAACCATTCTCTAGTAAAATTCCCCCCATGTGAGTGGAGCAAACGGTTCCTGGTTTCCTGGCTGGATCGGACTGATATGCCATGGCAGAGGTTAGCGAACTTTTTCTATAAAGGGTCAGATAGTAAATATTTTAGGCTTTGTGGGCCAGGAAGCAAAATCGAGGTACTAATTATGAAGGTATTTATATAACAAGAGGGAAAACAAATTTCCACAAGTTATTTTAGCTCACAGACCATACAAAAGCAGGTGCAGGCTAGAATTGGCCAGCAGGAAAGGACAAGATGAACCAGTTAACCAGCTACTCCAACAACCCAGGCAAGAGTGGGTGGTGACTTGGACAAGGATGTTGGCCCTGAGATGGTATATGGTGGTTGGCTTGGAGTCATATTCTCTGTCTTAAAGCCAGAGTGATTGTCCTGAAATACAAACCTGATCATGTCACTGAGTAAAACCATCCCAAAGTCCTAGATTGTTCACAACGTAGTTAGTGAGCTCTATGGACTCAGTAGCCATCTATTCCAAACCCCCATATGAGAACGCTAATGGGATGAGGAAGAACCAAGGAAAAGAGGGGGAAGTGGTGCAGTCTGTTTCTGTGTGGCAGCAGGGAAGAGGGATGAACAACAATTAATTTGGATGGATTTGGAGCTGAAAGGAGTTACTGTCTGTCTATAATTCTTTCCCTTCATTCCAGATTTCAGGACTTTCAAGGCCAGCAGTTTGAGGGATTTGCTGCTAGCCCAGTTAAATTAAAAAAGGTGAATGTGTATTTTCATGTAGAGCTCACTCTGATGGGAGAGGGTCATTGTCATTTTAAATTACAATTTACTTCCAGTGCAGTGTTACTTCTTTCCAATGAGTGTGTTACCCTCCAAGCATCCTGGGCCCCAAGAATGGCCTGGGGCACCCTTCTCACTCCTGACCCCACACAAGGCCCAGGCTCCTGGCACTTCTTTTCCTTAGTATGCAAGGAATTCCCATCCCACACACCTTTAAAGCTTAACCTGAGGCACATGGAGAGAAGTCCGGGATCTATAAACTTGGATTAAAAAATTATTTATTTTCACGAACATCCGAATGAAACTTAGCACTTCTTTCTGTGATAAATGTAGGTGAGAAACCCACCATAAAACAGTTCCAGGCCGGGCACAGTGGCTCACACCTGTAATCCCAGCACTTTGTTAGGCCGAGGTGGGTGGATCACCTGAGGTCAGGCATTCCAGACCAGCTTGGCCAACCTGGCAAAACCCCATCTCTACTAAAAATACAAAAGGTTAGCCGAGTGTGGTAGATGCGTGCCTGTAATTCCAGCTACTTGAGAGGCTGAGGCAGGAGAATCACTTGAGTCTGGGAGGCGGAGGTTGCACTGAGCAGAGATTGCACCACTGTACTCTAGCCTGGGCAGCTGAGTGAGACTCTATCTCAAAAAAAAAAAAAAAAAAGAATTAGCAGTTTCAGCACATATTATACAGATATTTTCATACCACACAGCTATTGTAGATATTTTGAAATATTCATTACTTCCATAAGTCTAAGTTATTGCACCCACCACTATATCTTATTAACGTTTAATAAAGACACACAACTATCAGTACATCACCAATTTTTTTTTAAATATCTTGTTAGCTGTATTCTTTTGTTATCCTTAGTATTTATTTTATATTCATAAAAACATTGTTCAGGGAAGGTGCTTATAAGCTTCACCAGTCTCCCAAATCCTAAAGAAGAGCCCAGTCCCACCCCTCAGTGTTTCCACTCACAAGAAATATCAGTGGATGGTGTTCGTCCCAGTTGGGGACAGGTATAAAGCCGAGTTCTCCTTCCTTAAGCACCTCATGCTTAAGAGGGAGCCAACTGTGCTCCCAGCCTTCTCCAGCACAGAAGCACTTAGTTAATTGTGCTGAACTCAGGGCCAGACCTCAGGGAGGGAGAAGCAGCTTGTCTGGGCCGCTTTGGCAATCAATTATTCCCCCAAGCAGAAAGATTGATAGCTTCTGCATATCTTGGCCCAGCTAATAATATCGCAGATGCTGTTTTAATTCCAAAGCACAGAGCCACCCCCAGACTTTCTTTTTAACCTCTCTGCCTAAAATGGGACGTAGTGGAGTGGCTTTCAGAGACAAAGTGACTATGCCACTTTGGGTCCATTTTAATACTTACGCATCATGATTCTGTTCATTTCCACAGCTCACCTACTTTCTGGCTACCAATTTGGATTTTATCCCACCCTTTGGTTACATTTCTCAATTTCATTTATTTATTTATTTATTTATTTATTTATTTATTTATTTTTTATTTTTTATTTTATTTTTTTTTCTTTAGCTCAAACAATCTCCTTCCCTGAATGTTCTGAAATTGCCTTTTCTCCTACTGGAAACCCCTGGATATTTTCTTGTCCTTCTCTGGACCTCTCTAATCCTTGATAGGGCTTGAGAAAACAGAGGTCTCTGAGTCTGAGCGATGGGCTGGGAGTGGGGAAATGGGAATTGGTTATTGTTTTCCTCCTGCTAGTTGTTCAGAGACACTTGCAACCCTGCAGGGCCCTGAAAAGACCTTTTGAACAGATTTCTCCATGACATTGCTGAGAACTTATCCCTGATAATATGGTCATTTCCAAGTTCAGCCTGAAAGCTCAGAAGTTTAACTAACAGTTTCTGGCAAGAAGTCTGTGATTAAAAGTGTTCAACTTTCCCACTGTGATTGCCTAGAACTTAGCTGCCTTCCTCTCACTATTTGCTCATTTACCCTCTCCTTCTGTCCTTCTAGTATCTCCAGGGGATTTCTCCTCCCCACCCCCCAAGAGTCAAATAGAGCAGGGGGCCCCAACTCCTGGGCCACGAATTATTAGGAACTGGGGCTACACAGCAGGAGGTGAGCAGCCAGCCAGTGAAGCTTCATCTATATTTACAGCCACACCCAATTGCTCCCATAACCGCCTGAGCTTCACCTCCTGTCAGATCAAGGGCAGCATTAGATTCTCATCGGAGCTCAAACCCTGTTGTGCACTGTGCATGCGAGGGATCTAGGTTGCACACTCTTTATGAGAATCTAATACCTGATGATCTGTCACTGTCTCCCATCACCCCCAGATGAGACTGCCTAACTGCAGGAAAACAAGCTCAGGGCTCTCACTGATTGTACATTACAGTGAGTTGTATAATTATTTCATTAAATATTACAACGTAATAATAATAGAAACAAAACGCACAATAAATGTAAAGCACTTCAATCATCCTGAAACCATCGCCGTCCACTACCCAATCCGTGGAAAAATTGTCTTCCATGAAACCAGTCCCTGGTACCAGAAAGTTTGGGGACCACTGAAATAAAGCATTGCCAACATGTGGCCCTGCCAGGAGCTTCTCTGAAAGGTCTTATAAGACTTGGGGGACACTGGTATCTCAATCAAGCAGTGTGGATGTTTTTGCTTTTGTCTCTGTGTTTTAAGCACAGGAAATCCCAACACAAGCAGTATCTTGGACTCTTTCTGGGCAGGGGATTATGTAATTCAAGTGTTCCTATTATTGCACTTGTGTTAGTGACGGGTGCTGATCATGACCATGCTTGGGTGCAACCGTCTCTTAAGAACTCATGGTAAGCTTGGCTAGTTTACATTCTTCTCAATTGAATTCTTTCCTTTTTGTCCCCCACAAACAAGAAGGTTTCAGGGTCCCAGAAGGAAGTTGAATTCCACTGAAACAGCAGATAATTTTAAAATGATACTGTAAGAGGTGTGCATAGGGTTCAGGGGACCCAAGGGATGCTGAGACCCCCAGAGACTAGCATTGGAGGAGCCTAGACTGTCCCTAGACCTGAAGAGACAAGGGCAGCAGGCAGTGTTATGGGAGCCCCATGAGAAATGGAGCCATAGAAGAGGGGCTGCCCATCTTTCACAGGAAGATACAGCCACTTTCAGAACTGTGGTGCAGAAGGAGGGAGGGTTTCGTTGAAGAATATCCTGGCCTCACTCCCTTCTCCTGTCCTCACATTTCCTTCTAGTAGTTCACATTAGTTGGCCCCTGTCAGAAGCCAGAGAGCAAGGAGACTTCTGTGGCCATATGGGTTACAGAGCAGAGGGGAGAAAGGCAGAGGACAGACCTGGGTCAGGGGCGGGCTCTGGAGAATATGGTGGCGGATGGGAATAGCAGCAGTGCTGTTTGCTGGGCTAGGCTGGGCATCTGCCTGAGCCCCGTGCCTTCCAGTGTGTGGTGCAGTTCTTCACTTTTCACAGAAAGGTTCTGACATGCTGAAAGATGAGTGAGCAAGTAAATTTTATTAAGGACAGTATAGGAGCAGTGCAGGAGGCCTTCATCCCACATTCCATGACATCCAGTGCAGTGTTACTTCTTCCCAATGAGTATGTCATCCCCCAAGTGTCCTGGTCCCCACAAATGGCCTGGGGCACCCTTCTCACTCCTGACCCCACATGAGGCCCAGGCTCCTGGCACCTCTTTTCCTTAGTATCCAAGGACTTCCCATCCCGCACACTTTTAAAGCTCTCCTCTCTTAATCAGAGCAATCTATGTATCGGCTTGTCTAGATTTATAGTCATGTCTGAACTTTCTATAATTGAGAAAGTTCTTCCTTAGAAAGCAGTTGGAAAAATGGTTTTTATTTTGGCTTACCCGTTTTTTGTTTTGTTTTATTATTGCAGAATAGAAAACTGGGAAACCCCAAGTTCTTTGCTCTTTGGGCTGCAAAAAAGACAGACAGGACAAGGGAAACTGTTGAAGTGTTAGACAGTATCAGATTTTTAACATAAAGAGATTTTCTTTCAATGTTTAATTGTGGTAATAAACACATAACATAAATTTATCCTTGTAACCATTTTTTTTTTTTTTTTTTTTGAGATGGAATCTTGCTCTGTCCCCAGGCTGGAGTGCAGTGGCGTGTTCTTGGTTCACTGCAACCTCCGCCTCCCGGGTTAAAGCAATTCTCCTGTCTCAGCCTCCCGAGTAGCTGGGATTATAGGCGCACACCACCATGTCTGTCTATTTTTTTTTTTTTAGTATTTTTAGTAGAGATGGGGTTTCACCATGTTGGTCAGGCTGGTCTTGAACTCATGACCTTGTGATCCACCTGCCTCAGCCTCCCAAAGTGCTGGGATTACAGGTATGAGCCACCGCGCCGAGCCCTTGTAACCATTGTTAATTGTATAGTTCAGTAGTGTTAATTATATATTGTGCAACAGATCCTTAGAATTTTTCATCTTGCAAAAGCAAAACTCCATACCCATTGAACAACCATTCTGTCATCTCCCGTTTCCTAGCCTCTTGCAACCACCTTTCTACTTTCTGTTTCTATGAGTTTTGCTAACTTAGATACCTCATATGAGTGGAATCATATGGTATTTGTCTTTTCGTGACAGGCTTATTTTGTCTAGCATAATGTCCTTAAGCTTCATGCATGCTGTGGCATGTGACAGGGTTTTCTTCTTTTTAAAGGTTGAATAATATTCCATTGCATGTATATTCCACATTTTCTTATCTACTCATTTATCAGTGGCAATTGGGTTGCTTCCACCTCTTGGCTACTGTGAATTATGCTGTGATGAACATAGGTGCAAATATCTCTCCAAGTTCCTGCTTTGAATTCTTGTGGATATATACCCAGAAGTGCAACTGCTGAGTTTTATGGTAATTCTATGTTGAATATTTTGAGGAATCGCCATACTGTTTTCCATGGTGGCCACACCATTTTACGTTCCTACCAACAGTGTACAAGTTTCTAATTTCTCCACCTCCTCACCAACACTTGTCATTTCCTGTTATTTTTTACTTTTTCTTTCTTTTTTTGATTTTGGACAGCAGCCATGCTAATAGGTGTGAAGTGATATCTCCTACCTTTGTGGTTTTGATTTCTCTAATGATTAAGAATGTTGAGCATCTTTTCATATGTTTGTTGCCCATTCGTATATCATCTTTGGAGACATGTCTATTCGAGTCCTTTGTCCTGTGTTGTTGTTGTTGTTGAATTGTAGGAGTTCTTTATATATTTTGGATATTAACCCCTTGTCAGATAGATGATTTCCAAATATTTTCACTCATTCCATAGTTTGTCTTCTCACTTTGTTGATTATTATTTTTTGAAGACAATGTCAGGTTTTGCCTAACTTCTCTAGTCATAACAATCTTTGGGCTCTTCTTCAAAATATAGTGTATTCCCAACTCATTTTTCTAGAAATTCTGATTCAGGAGCTATAGTTCAGGGCCCATGCATCTGCATTTTCAACCAGGGTCTCAAGTGATCCTACCAAATACATTCGTAACACTTTGGATTCCACTATAATTGTGTTTCTCAACTGCAGGGCTGCGCAATGGAAACACGTAAAAAATATTAATGTCTGGTCCTACTCCCAGAGTTTCTGAATTATTTGAGAAAAATCAATTATCAATAAATTGAGACCTAGGTGTTGGGATATTAATAAGCCCTGAGGGGACACTATTAAACATCCAGGCTTAAGAACCATGGCCCTATCTTCCCCTTCAGGGCAGGGACCCCCTCCTGGCATAGTGCCTGGCTCAATTTGTATTTGTTGTACTCCATGCCTCACTTTCTTATTTTGAAAGTGATTCTTTTATTTATTACATTTGAAAGTGGTTCTTGTCTGGTGGGGTTGAGAGCTTTATATGTGAATCGGACATCTGTGGTTAAAAGTCTCCATGTTGTGGTGAGAAGTTGATAAAAACCTGACTGTCAGTTTGTGTCACAGATGACCCAGTGAAGGTCTGCTCTTTTGTGGTGAGATCTGAATGTTTCCTTCTGCAGAAGTTACAGGCACTGATGAAAGAAGTTGGCTGCCTCAACTGCTCAAAAGAATGCACCTTTTATCTCTGGATTATCTACCATGGTTAAGTCCACAGCTGCTTGCAATTACCCTGGACCCTGTGAAATCATCTCTTTATTCATGGCAGGTTTTTCTTCTCAAAGACTAATAATGTGATTATTTAAAAATTATTTCTACACCACTCTATGTAATGTGGATGTGTGGTTTTGTGGCTCTAAACACCAATATGGGGCAAGAAAAGCTAGCTGGAGAATTTATAAATTAGCTTCCATTTATCCTTCAGACAAACAAGCTATTTATTAATAGGGGAGTGTGGTAAGAGAAAAGAATGTGGAATTGAGAATCCAGACCTCATTCTTTTGCCTGCTATTTGAGGGCTTGTGGGGCATTATGTCTAACCTCTCTTGGTCTCAGCTTGTTTATCTGTAAAATGGAATTAAAAATAGTACTCACTTGGGCTGCAGGACGACCAAATGGAAAAGAAGTAAAAGTGATTTGTTAACCTTGGTATGCAAATAAATGTTATGCCCTTAATAAGTGGAAGTTGACCCTGTTGCTGCTGTTGTTATGAGCTGTTGTGTCTATCAGTGAACACTGCTTTTACAAATCTCTTCTAGAGGAAAGAGGCAAACTCTTCATCTTCATAGTGCCTGCAAGGCCCCAAAGAGCACACAGCCCCAAGGACATGAAATATTTTTGAGTACATTTCCTATCTGTACATGTTTGCCAAATTATTCCAAAATATGACCAGCCTCCTATTGGATGAACACAACTGCAAGTCATAGCCCCATTTTCTTCTTTAGCTTTTTCAGATGACCAGTCTCTTCCAGCTTACTCACCAGCCATAACCAAATCAAATGGAAAGAGAAATTGCCCGTAACTAGAACTCATTCATGCCAAAGTGTTGACATGCCTATTCCTAGATGCATTTGAAATCTGTTTATTTCTACTTGTGGACCCAAAGCCATCTTTCATGTTATATACAAAAAAGTTTTGTATAAATTTTTCTTCAGCTGATAAGAGGTATATTTTTGAAAGCATGGATAAATTTAAGATTTTAGCATGAGACAGTGATTTGGAGAATGAAAGCAGTTGCTCTCAGGGGAGGGATACAGGGCATACAAAAAAAAACTCATGGAGAGAGTATCAAGAACCTCTCATTAAGGCATGTGAAAGTAATGTTGATATAAAAGACAGGAACAAGATCTTTACTGAGCACCTACTACGTACTAACGCAGTGTTAGCTACTGCATTTCAGTTTCTCATTTGATTCTTATAGTGACCCTGCTGGAGAGGCACTCATTTCAATTTTACACAAGAGGCCTAGAGATGTCATGTGGTTTGATCAAGATCACACAGTGTGAGTGATTTGTTTGATTCCAAAGCCCATATGTATTCTTCTTTACCGGTCTGACTCAGGGGAAACCAACTACAGTGACAGTAAGTAGAGACAGATACTTGAAAATTATCAAAGAGATGGATATTTGGAAACACAAAAATTTTTTGATATATAAAGTACTTCTAGCAAGAGTCATTTATGTCCCATTTATGCCTAATTACCACATAACACAATAATGATTATGATTAAATATCTGACAGATGAGTTGGCTGTACATTTTATTTGATCCAAACAGAAAGTACAGCACATATGGGCTTTATCTTCACCATTTCTTGCCCACACAGCATGGTCATTTCTTTGGTCAGCAGTTTCAGGCCACCACCTGTAGTCTAGACATAAAACAAGGTAGAGCCACATATAGTCTTTGCATTAACATCAACAAACGAATAATTTATTGATTTGCTAATTGTTCCTCCTTGTTGTGTACAGGTATCATTAGGAAAAACAAATACATTTAGGCTTCAGTGACTAAAAGTTCCTGCTTTGGTTATTGAATTCACTGAGACTGGTTTTTAAATTTTGAGATTAAGATGAGTGTCTAGGCCCGCAGCGAGTGAGCAAATTAACTGATTTGTTCTTGGAGAGAGAAAAGAGGTTGCTTAAAATGGCAAAGAATGGGGGTATGAGTGGCAGGGAGATGCAGCTATAATGAATCAGGAAGCAGTGGATTAGGATTCAGAAAATCTGGTTTTGCTATTATTTGCTATATAGCTGTAACCTACGCATATTACTTTTTTAAATCCCTAAAGTGAGAATAATATCTATCTTATATGGCATGTTTTAGACTCTTAATGCAAACCCTGAGACAAGAATTTTGAGTGAAGTTTCTTTATTTTGGATGTGATCCAAGGAAGCATAGTGAGGTAATTGATGAGCAAGTGAGAGCTATGGGTAACTGGGGGTCAATACCATGAGGATGCTGTATTGTTATCTACCGCTATGTAACAAGTTGACCCAAAATTTCGTGGTTTAAAATAACAAGTATTTACTGCATTCATATTTTTTTACATCTGGAATTTGGAGCGGCTTGTCCAGGCGGTACTGGCTCAGGACTGATCTCACATGAAATTATATATAGCCAAGACATTAGTCAAAGCTGCAATAATCTAAAGGGATGAGTGGGGTTGGATCATCTATTTCCAAGGTGGCTCAGCCATGTAGCTTGTGAACTGGTGATGGTTGTTGGCAGGACCTACGTTCCTATCTGCATCAACTTCTCCACAAGTTGCTAGAGTGTTCCCATGACATGGAAGCTGGCTTTTCCCAGTAGAAGTGATGCCAAAGAGAAGTCGCCTTCTTATGACTTAGGTTTGGTCATAAGTGATGCTATGATGACATAGCATCACTATCATCTTCTGGTCATTCAAAGTGAGTCACTTAGTATAGCCCACATTCAAGGGAAGAAAACTCAGTCTCTATCTCTTGAAGAGAGAAGGTTTGAATAATTTGTTAACATGTTTTAGAACTACCACACACCCTGTGTGGTACACACTTCAGAATTTTCCTTTTCCCTGAGAGTGAAAGGAACTGAGTTATTGATTGGTTGAAGATACTGGGTGGTGTGCTGCAGGCAAAAGTGAGTGAAATTGAGAGAGAGAGAGAGAGAGAGAGAGAGAGAGAGAGAGAGAGAGAGAGAGAGAGAGAGATGTTCTCCTGTTCGGAAGGAAATATAGGAGGTTAAGAGATACTCTCTGAGGTCCTAGGGTTGCTGAAGAGCACTGTTGATAAGCTGTACTGACACAGACTGATTCCTGTCCACAAGAAGAACCAGTGGTGCCCAGGCCAGTTGAGAAATCTGAGCTCAGTTTAAGCCTAACTCTTACTTAACAATCTCCATTTATCATGACTGGAAGAACGTGCCTTTTCTTACCGTTGTATTCTTCAGCTGAAAATGGGATTGAGGATTTTGTTCTATTTCCTAAGACCCCCTTGCTTGCACTAGCAGATTATTTCCAAATGCCATATAAATGAGAGGTATTTATAAACATATACACATACACTTACATCCACAAAGACAAATTGCACCCCTCTCTGCTTTGCTATTTCTGGTGCTAACCTTCATTTATAATGCCATATTTATGTAATTACAGTGCTGCAGCGGTGGATCATGATTTCAAAATACAATCATAATCACCATCAGAAGAAATGCGAGAGAAGATGAAAAACAAATGCAAAGCAATTAAAAAAGGATGAGTTTTCCTACTGAATGAGTGAATGTGTTTTCCCATTGCCTCCTCCTACACTTGGGCCTTGGGATGCTCTGCCCCTAGCCATGTGTATGTGTGTGGGGGTGTGCATGCACGTGTGTGTGTGCGTGTGTGTGTGCTTACATTTTTGCCCTTATTATGAATCTGGGCCTGGGATTAGAGCATGAATACTCACTGAAGTGGCTTATTACTTGGAGAATACCATCCTTCTGCTTGATTGGATTTTTCTGTTTAAGCATCTATGGTTTTAGTGGTCAGAGGGTCCTGGCCACAAAGTTTATTTTATGACCCATGTACCACCCTTCACATCTCCTCTTATAAGGACACTTTTAGTACATGACTTCCACAGTAGTGCAGTAGTATTTTTTTAAGTTTTTCTATGCTTGAAAAATAATTTTCCACTTCCAGAATTTACCTGCCCCTCCATCCTTGCTTTCCCAATCCCTGCTCCTTCCATTATCCTTTTGCAACACCCCTCCACCTCCATCACTGACCGAGATGCCTGAAAATTCAATAACATCCTATTATCTCTGCTGGGCAACTTGCCAGCTAGAAGCTCAGAGGACTGGTCACTTTGTTTTGGGGACACTGCCTTTCTTGCTTGTTGCATTCTTGCAAACCTGTGGAAACACTGAATCCCTTTGCACTGCCTGGAAAGTCATTCTTTGTATTGATTCTTTTTTCTTTTTTCCATTTCTGGCTTGGGGTACAATGAAGGCACAATATATTTCGCCAAATCTTAAAACCTTAAAGCAATTTGTGCATCCAATTTTGGGGCTGCCTTTTTCTTCCAGAAAGTTCCCTGAGGCTATCTCATATAAAATCTTACTTTGAATAACATATTTGGACACATTGATGAAAACATTCCTTTAGTGCATTGCCAGTTGCCAGATTGGAGAAAAAGACTTCAGGAGAAAAGGAGGGAATATTTTAAATTTGCTTTTGACTGTGGCTTCAAGGAGTAATAATCACCCATTACTTTGGATCAGAATCTTCCAATGACTCAAGAGCACATATTTTTATCATTTGCTTTCTGTACTCTCATCCTCTTTATCCCATGTTACTCTGTTCCTGTGAGAGTTGGGGGGCAAGGAAAAAATGTAAGGAAGGGGTAGAGGTGAGAGAATTTAAATGGGAAGTCTGATTCCTTTTTATTTTTTCATAAAGTGCCACACATGCAAGTCCATGAGTATCTCAACAAATCTGTCCCCCACATCCAATGCATCTTTTGTACTGACAAGGAGAGGGGGTTGGAAATGTCATCTGTAGCCAGCTTATATCCTGTCAGTGTTAAGGTTTTATTCTTGTGACTTTATAGTTCTCAAACTCTTTTTAAGGGTCACTGGAGGGTGATCTTTTGTTTAAGAGATGGGTTAGGGGAGGGAGTGGGTTTGTGTGTGCCTCTTGGTCTATAATAATTATGGCTGACATCGAACTTAGAAAATAGGTTAATTTCAAGAAATTCTTTTAATTTCTTAATTAAATAAGAAACAACAACCATTAGTTTATTTTAAAATAAACGTTAACGATTAAATACGAATTTTTAATGTAGATCCCTTTTACTGATTTAGGGCAAAGAGACCTTCTTTCACTAGGAGTTGTTTCCTCTAACTCAGTTCACCTCCTATTGTATCTCATCTCTGGCTTCTGAAATCTTACTCCTATTTTAATGGCTGGCTCAGGATTTCCTGTCTACTGTTTCTTCCATCGCTGATAGAGTTTCCCTTCATCTGCAGCGACCACACATACTCTAATTAACTGCCCAGGATTGCTATGTTAGAGGAATGGGGTGGAATCTAGCAAAGTGTAGCAAATTATTTTTATCTCCTACTCCCTGTTAAGCAGCAGTTGTTATTCTATTATCTGTGTTTTGAATCTAGCTGTTTGATCCTCAAAGTCTAAAAGTAGCTTCTGTGCAGTTTTATGGTGGTATGGCTGTTACTTGCTGCTATAAATTCCTCTGGTTGAGCCACATCCGCTTGCCACATCCTGAAAATACACTCAACTATATTTTCCCATGCACACCTATATATTGTGGCGGCCTGTAGTGACATTGCTTTTTTTTTTTTTTTTTTTTTTTTGAGATGGAGTTTCGCTCTTGTCACCCATGCTGGAGTGCAGTGGCATGATCTCGGCTCACTGCAACCTCAGCCTCTCAGGTTCAAGCTATTCTCCTGCCTCAGCCTCCTGAGTAGTTGGGATTACAGGTGTGCCACCACGCCTGTCTATTATTTTTGTATTTTTGGTAGAGATGGGGTTTTGCCATGTTGGCCAGGCTGGTCTTGAACTCCTGACCTCAGGTGATCCACCTGCCTCGGCCTCCCAAAGTGCTGGGTTTACAGGCGTGAGTCACTGCACCTGGCCAACATTACCTCTATACACATTTATTTTTCCCTTCCTCACAAACCCGCCAGTTCTGAATCAACAGCAAGTACAACATTGCCATTTCTCGCACACCATGCTGACCTTGTTGTTTCTTATTTAGCTAATGATGTGTTACAGTTGGCATTTCACTGGGAGGTTTGCAAGAGTCAGTCTCTCTTTTTCTAGTGCTACAATTAGATTCAACAAGAGAGAAGAGTGCTGTGATGGGAAAACTTTACATTCTCAGACATTATTTCCATCTGGGCATTTTGAAAAGATGAAGAGCAGGCTTGTCATTATGTCTCCATCTGATAATGTGGTTAATGTATCCTTCATAAAGCTCAGCTTAAATAGGGAAAAACAAGGGAATTGCAATGGTGCATTTCCATGACTTCTGATGGCAACACTCTAATTCTTCTGCCTTGTTGTCTTTAAGCAAAGAAGGGAGGAGATGGGAAGAGGAAAAAGAGATAATGTAAAAGGTAGGCAAAGGGAATGGCTTGGATGTGCTCATACCTGAGGCAGGAACAGGTTGAGGTTAGTACAGTGCTATCGAGTTTCTTATGTTACCTTCCTTCTGCTCTTGCTATTGACTTTGCTTTCTCCTAATTCTGGCTTGCTCGTGATTCCTCATGGCTTCTAAAGGTATTTCATGGCCTTCTTTGATGTACACTGTCATCGTCTTCTCTTACTCATTTCCTGTTTCAAATATCTGAGGAAGAGAATCTGACTGGCATAACTTTTTTTTTTTTTTTTTGACAAAGTCTTGCTCTGTCACCAGGCTGGATTGCAGTGGCAAGATCTTAGCTCACTCCAACCTCCGCCTCTTGGGTTCAAGCGATTCTCGTGCCTCAGCTTCCCAAGTAGTTGGGATTACAGGCACATGCCACCACACCCAGGTCATTTTTATATTTTCAGTAGAGACGGGGTTTCACCGTGTTGGCCAGGATGATCTCATCTCCTGACCTCATGATCCGCCCGCCTAGGCCTCCCAAAGTGCTGGGATTACAGGCATGAGCCACAGCACCCGGCCATAACTTGTCTTTTTACCTGTGGCCACTCCAGAGGTCATGGAGAGGCTATGGTTTGGCTGCTCTTGCTTTAGATTTGCACCCCTGACTGAGACCAGAATGGCCAGGCTGCATGGTATAAAACATATCCTCCTGGGGCTACATGTTCTGCAGAGGCTGTGGGTAGGCACATTCTGGGGTATGGTAGGTGGCAGCCATTATCACCTCAGGTTCTCCAACACAGCAGACACAAGCTATTCATGCTTGTAATTAATTTTGTACCCTACATGAACATAAGGCAAAAGAGCCCACAAACAAAGGGATCTAGCAAATGGCAATTGTAGGATGCTCGTTGTTGATACATTTGGTTCAAAACGAAAGGCCTCTGTGTTAAAATCCACAGCAGGAAACAACAACAACTACAAACAAAAAATCCTCAAGAGTGGTTTTACTAATGAAAACATAGATAAACAATCATTTATGCCCTCAGAGAATGAATAAAAGATCAAAGTTGGAATAACAGAACACAGAGACTTTTTTTCCCCTTTTTCTGCTTCAGCAAAAATCACCCAAGGACTGAAAAGTTCACTATTCTATTGCTTCTTGTATATGAATGCAAATGTATATAGGCCAAAATTCAGGTGGGGTTTTTTCCTGCCCCTTGAGATCTACGTAAATTTGCCTTTAACTCTCAAATTCCATGGTCCACAGAGCTTTACCTCCAAGATTTCTGCTACTTTCTAGAATGGGAATGCCAGTAGATGAGTCAGTGTGTCCTGTTGGCTTTCTATACCACTTGGGTTCAGCTACCTCGAGTGTGCCTTTGTTCTGTAATTTGTCCATTCTAGTAGGAAACTGCCATTTTGCGGAGGGTTTCGCCCTCTCCCACAGTCCTGTTTCTCACCTGTCTCTTCCAGGTTTCTCTAGATGGCTAAAGGTCTTCCATTTCTATTTCTTCTCTTTTGCAGAGCAACTCAACTCTCCCTCCAGATTTATTCTCCTTAGTTTTAACTCCTTAGCCCTCAAAAAACCTAAACAGAATTGAGGGACTTCCATTCAGTCTCTATGCTTATAAGGAGGCAGTAGGCATTATATAGTAACTCGCACATAGATAGCAAATAAGCTATATAGTACTTTATAAAAGCCCCCACCAAAATGTGAGATTAGAACCATTATCTCACTGCTGTCAATGAGAAGACTTGAGTACTGAAGTTAAGTGAAGAACTTGGGATCACTACGTAACTAGTGTGGCAGGTTAAATGCCAATGTGAAAGTTACGTTAGGTTCCAGTAGATTCAAGGAATGCCATAGGTTTCATATACTTGTATTTCAACAAGACTTTGTATCAATTTGTCAACACATCTTTGGTGGAACTAGTGGATCTATGTTTCTGGACAATTGGGTGGATCTGTTTCTGGCTGAACGGCCATCACCAGAAAGTGCTTATTAGTGAATTACTATCAAATGAGAAAAAGTTAGAATGGATTTTTGGCACTTTGTGGCATCCGAGTACTCATGACCTCTCGTGACAGTGCCCTGAATTCATCTGGGGCAGGAAGTGCAGGTGGAATCCTTCTATTACAGCTGCTAAGGCATCTCATTGGCCAGATCCTTCTTCTTACTGCCCTGGTACAGCCAGGAGTCAGTCATGAGACCTGAGCTCAGCAAAGAAGACCTTTCTCTGGGCTCTGCAAATCTTGAACAGAGTGACACAGACAAAGAGATGATGATTAGAGCTTATTTATTCCAGAGCCAGCCTCTTAGGCTAGACTGTCTGATGTACCTGATTTTGGTTCTATCTGGTTATGTTGTTCCCAGGCATGGTTCCTTGGCTTTCTTTTGATTTCTTAGAATGTGTTTTTGTTAACTGTAATCAAAGGACCTAAATGAGAACAGATTTCTCTAGTGGTACGTCAAATTCTGTCCATGACTCTCTGTCTTGTCTGCCATTACTTTTCAATATCTGAGATTAAAATGTGGATTATATCAGGGACTGGAATGATTACAACAAATTGGAATGATGGATAAAAACAGGCAAAATATGACTAATAAAGATGATTGCAGATTGGCATTTTAGATGCTAAAATCTAACTGCACGCGCTGAGTTAGGTAAGTGGTAGAAGCTTATGTTAACTGCAATAATAGCAATAACTCCCGTTTAAGGTATACAGTGCAACAAATCCCACAGATTGGGAAATTGAGGCTGGAGATGACTCAGCTAACATCTGGTGGTAGTAGAATTCAAACACAAGTTCTGGGTTTTTCCCTAAGGCTATAGGTAGTAGCCAAAGCTGCAATCATAGAAGATTTAGCCAGAGACCAGAACCAGCAAGGGCAGTTCTGGGGTCCAAAGGCTGTGGTGAACTCAGGTATGAGCCAGGGGGCGTTGTAATCCAGGGGCTGAGGCAAAGCAACCTGCAGGGGAAAATTAAAATCAAAGTGGTGTTTTATGTACTGCCAAATACGACACAGCAAATATGTAAATTCTCCCTGAATCCATCTGTAAGTTTAATGCAAATCTTATCAAAATCCCAGTATGATTTTTCCTTTTTCAATTTTTAAAATTATGGTAAGATACACATAGCATAAAATTTACCATCCTAATATTTTATATATACACTTAAATGGTATTAAATACACTCATAATGTGCAACCATCACCACCATCCATCTCCATAGCTCCTTTCATTCACCACCATCCATCTCCATAGCTCCTTTCATTTTGTAGAACTGAAACTCTATACCTATTAAAAATAACTTCCTCACTGGGGCCTGTTGGGGAATGGGGGGCTAGGGGAGGGATAACATTAGGAGAACCACTTAGTGTAAGTGACCGGTTGATGGGTGCAGCAAACCACCAGGGCACATGTATACCTATGCAACAAAACTGCATGTTCTGCCCATGTAACACAGAACTTAAAGTATAAAAACAAAAACAAAACTTCCTATTCTTGCTCTTCCCCAGTCCCTGGCAATCATCATTCTACTTTCTGTTTCTATGAGTTTGACAACTCTAAGTACCTCATGTAAATGGGAGCATATAGTATCTGTCTTTTTGTGATTGGCTTGCTTCACTTAGCATAATATCCTTACGGTTCATCCATGTTGTAGGTTCATCCTTTTTATGGTTGAATAATATTCCATTACATGTATACACCACATTTTGCTTATTCATTCATTGGTTGGTGAAAACTGGATTGCTTCCACATTTAGCTGCATGGACATGGATGTTCAAATATCTACTGGAGACTCTGCTTTAAATTCTTTTGGGTACATACCCAAAAGTGGAATTGCTGGGCCATATGGTAATACTATTTTTTTTGTTTTTGTTTTTGTTTTTGAGGAACTGCTGTAATCTTTTCCATAGGGACTGTATCATTTTATAGTCCCACCACCAGTGCATAAGGGTTCCAATTTCTCCACTCTGACAACACTTATTATTTTCTGTTTTTTTGAGAGTAGCCATCCTAATGGATGTGAGGTGAGATTTTATTATATTTGCATTTCTCTAATGATTAGTGACGTTGAGCATCTTTTAAATATTTATTGGTTATTTGTATAATAGTCTTTGGAGAAATATCCACTGATGTCTTTTTCCTATTTTAAAAATTGAGGGTTTTTTATGGTTGTGGCTGATTTGGGGAATTCTGTATATGTTTTGAATATTAATCCCTTATCGGATATATGATTTGTAAGTATTTTTTCTCATTCTGTGAGTTGCCTTTTTTTTTTTTTACCTTGTTGATAGTGTCTTTCAATGCACAATAAAAAGATATGTTTAATAGACTCCAGTTTGTTTATTTTTTCTTTTGTTGCCTGTCTCTTGGATGTCATATCCAAGAAGTCATTGCTAAATCAAATGTCATAAAACTTTGCTCTATGCTTTCTTCTAAAGGTTTTATAGATTTAGGTCCTACCTAAGGTATTTGATTCATTTTGAATTAATTTTTGTATATACTGTTAGGAAAGGTTGGAACTTCATTCTTTTGCTTGTGGATATCTAGCTCAGCATAGTTTTTAATAAACATAGGCAAGTTTATTTTAAAATTTACATGGAAATGCACAGCACCTAGAAAGCTGAAATATTTTTTAAAAGAATAACTAATGGGAGAAAATTACCTCATATTAATGCTTACTATGTAGCTATAGTAATCAAGACAAATGTAGTGTTTGTGGAGGGACAGACAGGTAGATCAAGGGAACAGAATAGAGAACACAGATATAGACCCTTATAGATGACTGATTTTTTGACTATATTAGTCTATTCTCACACTGCTAATACAGACATACCCAAGACTGGGTAATTTATAAAGAAAAAGAGGTTTAATGAACTCACAGTTCCACATGGCTGGGGAGGCCTCACAGTCATGGCAGAAGGCAAAGGAGGAGCAAAGGCGTGTCTTACATGGTGGCAGGCAAGGGAGCATATGCAAGGGAACTGCCCTTTATAAAACCATCAGATCTTGTGAGACTTATTCACTATCACGAGAACAGTGTGGGAAAAACCTGCCCCATGATTCAACTGCCTCCCACCGGGTCCCTCCAGTGACATGTGGGTATTACGGGAACTACAATTCAAGATGAGATTTGGGTGGGGACACAGCCAAACCATAGCATCAACAAAGGTGCAATAACAATTCAGTGGGGGAAAAATGGTGTTTTCAACAAGAGGTGTTGGAGCAATTGGACATTCATGGGCTAACAATAGGAAAAAAAGAACCTCAATCTAAACCTCATACCTTATACAAAAATTAACTCAAAGTGGACCATAGGTTTACATGTAACATGTAAAACTATAAAACTTCTAGAAAAAAAAAAGAAGAAACTCTTGAAAACCTAAGGCTAGCAAAGCATTCTTAGACCAGTTAGCAAAAACATGATTCATTAAAGAAAAAAGTGATAAAAAGAGCTTCACCAAAACTAAAAACTTTTGCTCTGCAAAGACTCTGTTAGGGAGATGAAAAAACAAGCTATAGACTGGGAGAAAATATTTGCAACCCACATAGTTGACAAAAGACATACCTAGAACATATAAAGAGCTCTTAAAACTCAACAATAAAAATTGAACAAAGAATCCAATTTGATAATGGGAAAAATGCATGAACATATATTTCACTAACAAGAATATACAGATGGGAAATAAGCATGTGAAAAAGACGTTCAGCATTGTTACACATCCAGGAAATGCAATGCAAATTAAATTCACAATAAGATATAGCTACACATTTATTAGGGAAAGGCGTAGAGAAACTCATGTATTGCTGTGATAATGTAAAATGGTATAGTCACTCTAGAAAATTATTTGGCATCTTCTTATAAAACTAATATAGACCTAACATACAACCCAGAAATTACACTTTTGGACATTTATCCCAGACAAATGCAAAGTTATAATCATACACAAATCTACATTAATGTTCATAGCAGCTTTATTTGATACAGCTCAAGGCTGGAAACAATCCAAACATGTGTCAGTGGGTAATTGGTTGAACAAATTATAGCACATCTATACCATGGAATATTGCTAAGCAATAAAAAGGACCAAAGTGCTGATACATGCAACAACTTGCATAGATCGCAAATGAATTATGTGGAGTTGAAAAAGCTAATCTCAAAGGTTATACTATGTGATTTCCTTTATATAACCTTCTTATAATGACAACAATTATACAGCTGGAGAACCAGATTCATGGTTGCCATAGAACTGCTTTGTATCTTGACTGTGGTGGGCACACAAATCTACAGATGTGATAGCATTGCATAGAACTAAATACACACACATACACACACAATGAGTACATATACAACTGGTGAAATCTAAGTAAGTCTGGTGAATTAAATCAATGTAAATGTCCTGGTTGTAATATTGTACTATAGTTATATAAGAAGTTATCACTGGGGAAAACTGGGTTAAGGGTGCACAGGATATCTCTTTATTATTTCTTACAAATACCTATGTATCTACAATTATTCAAAATAAACAATTTTTAAAAAATCAAATGAGTAATCTTTGTGATTCACCAGAAGCTGGTGTAAAGCCGAATGTCACCTATTCCCCAGGGTAGACCAAAGCCAGTTCTACCTGCCTCTACGGCCCACACTCTCCCCAGGTGAAGCTGCCATGAGCTGTCCTTCACTTCCTCCATCCTAAGGCCTGGAAATCATAGTATCTGGCACATGATGGTCACTAAAAGCTTCGCAAATGAAGGAGATCTTTTTCTGATGTCCACTTTCTACAGAAGTCTCTCCATTAGCTGGGTTTACTTTGTTACAATTGTTTTTCACTGCTACTATTTTTCACTATTATTCTAACAGTTTTACATGAGTAAGTGACAAAGCCAGATCACAAAGGGGGAGTGATATGGTTTGGCTGTGTCCCCACCCAAATCTCATCTTGAATTATAGTTCCCATAATCCCCATGTGTCATGGGAGGGACCCGGTGGGAGGTAATTAAATCATGGGGGTGGTTACCCTCATCTGGTTCTCATGATAGTGAGTGAGATCTGATGGTTTTATAAGGCACTTTTCTCTCTTTGCTCAGCACTTCTCCTTCCTGCCGCCATGTGAAGAAAGATGTGCTTGCTTCCCCTTCTGCTATGATCATAAGTTTCTTGAGGCCTCCCCAGCCCTGCAGAACAGTGAGTCAATTAAACCTCTTTCCTTTATAAATTACCCAGTCTCGGGCAGTTCTTTATAGCATTGTAAGAAAGGACTAATACAGGGAGAAAAGGCAACGCAACTCCCCAATGAATGAACAGCTGAATTCTTAACTTTTAGCTAATTGTCTAAGACCCCAAACTCAAAGTTGACAGATATATGCAGGCAAGAACAATGGTGAAGAATTCAATTACCATATAAAATGGATCAATCTTGTCCCAGAACAGAACACTGAACATCTCTTTAGTGAAAAAGAAAATTATCTTGTTTTAGTTTATTTACTTTCCAAAACAAAATGAAGACTTCTGAGGTCAGGACAATATAAATGTAATTCTCTGAGTCACTATGATAAAACAAATCTTGGCAATTATTTTGCTGAAAAGTTCAAGAATTTCTTTTTTCATTTATCACTCAGAATAGAAGTTAATCATAAAAATAGCTATTTGAGAATAGCACAACTCTAAAACAAGAATTCTTCAGAGTCCTTCCAAGATCTGAGTAGTTCCTAAGTAGTGGGCCAGATTTTATTTTTATTTTTTAAACTAGGCATCCAAAGTAACAATCAGTTTCTTTTGTCGTATCCTTTCTTCTTTACATCCTGTATGAGCACTGAGTTTGACTGAGTTTGGATGTGTTCCTATTCAACATTTAATGGGATTCACTCATAGGCTAATCTAATTCCTTATGTGGCTACATAGCTATCTAACCGAGACCAAAGAAGAAGAAATGATGAAGAAAAAAGGAAGCCAAAGATGGACTCACCCTGTATATTGCATCTGAGGTTAGCGTTGGGTGCCACTTCCATAATAACGTGGATGTTGCCTCTAACCAGCATCTTCAGGAAGTTCTAGAGATAGGAAAGATCTCCAGAAAGATTATGCCAAGCCATGAGTTACTTCCTAAATGATCCACCCTATCTTATGGGGTTGGATTAAGTTTTTCTTTTTGAGACAGAGTTTCGCTCTTGTTGCCCAGGCTAGATTGCAATAGCATGATCCTGGCTCACTGCAACCTGCGCCTCCTGGGTCCGAGTGATTCTCCTGCCTCAGCCTCCTGAGTAGCTGGGATGACAGGCACCCACCACCATGCCTGGCTAATTGTTTTGTATTTTAGTAGAGAGGGGGTTTCACCATGTTGGCTAGGTTGGTCTTGAACTCCTGTCCTCAAGTGATCTGTCCGCCTCAGCCTCCCAAAGTGCTGGGATTACAAGCATGAGCCACCCTGCCTGGCTGGGTTAAATATTAAATAAAGTACAGTCCTTGGTATAGAGAAGCACTTGTTAATCGTTAACTCTTGTTACTGTTTTATCATTATTACTATTTCAATGACTAAAATTTAAGAGTGAGAAAACCATCATTAGATAACCTCATTCACCCCCGTTATTCTTGTTCTAGGATGTCAGAACTAAAATGAGACCTCACAATGGTGGAGTTTTACCCCTTGAGCTTCTCTCTTGATATGTGGAGGAATGAGCATAACTTTCATAATCTCTAAATCAGGGGCCAATAAAACATTATGACTCCTCCTTGCAGAGTCCTATATATTCAGCAGTTCTTGGTTACAGTATTATAACCCCTTGTGTCCTTAGTATATTCTGCCATAGTAAAGTGGTGTATGGGATATACTGACTCTTTGGCATCTTTGAAAATTATTTCCTTGTAAAGCTAATATGATAGCGGTTTGACTTATAGCAACATGCCTTGTTTGCTTAATGTTGAACTCTATGTCAACAGTTCTGACTCTCCAATCTGCAGTTGATTGTGCTGACTTTGGCCCAGTAGCCATAGAAATTGCTCTAAACAATTTATACCCAGTCAGAGCAGACGCTATGATTTCATCATTTTGGACCACTATCAGTTCTACACAGAACCCAGTGCAGCCGCTACCCCTTGCCAGATTTGTCTCTATCTCACAGTGTCAAATTGGAGTGGCAGACACAGCTTTATTGATATTGCCTTCTGGAAATTTCCCACTTACCAATATGTTTGATTCTTGGAAACATGATTTAGTTTATCCCAACAAAAATCCCATAACATCAAATGTGAGCAGAGGGCTTAAGATTAGGCTTTAAATTGCTCATTTCTGGTTTACTTGGCTATTGCTAAATGAATACTTCTGAATAACTAACTATGAAAATCCATTTTTTTTTTGACAAACTCAGTTGGGTAGTCACACCTACCACATTCCCTGGTCTGTCTTTTCCAACACCAATATCTGAATGACTACCCCGATTTACTCCCCAAACTACATCTCAAGCTCAGATTTCAAACTGAACCCAAATCAGAATATGAACTATCATTGAAAGAAGAAGAAATGAAACGTCTGATAAACGTGAAGATGCCAATTTCTCATGGTCTGAAAAATGTACATCAAAATGAGATGTGATGTAAAAACATTTGTTGGATTGATTAAAATTTGTAGAAGGGCCAAGATTAAACCCCCATGCTATTAACCCCTTCCCTAAACAATTTTCTGAGCTTTGCTTTTTATGTAGAGGTTTATTTATTTATTTATTTAATTTAGTGTTGGAAGGGTCTTGCTCTGTCACCCAGGCTGGAGTGCAGCGGCATGATCATAGCTTGCTGTAACCTTGAATTCCTAGGTTCAAGTGATCCTTCCACCTCAGCCTCCTGATGTAGCTGGGACTACAGGTGTGCACCACCACTCCCAGCTAATATTTCTCATTTATTTTATTTTTTTTTGTAGAGCTAGGGGTCTCGCTGTGTTGTCTGGGCCGTTATTAAACTCCTGGGCTCAAGTTATCCTCCCACTTCAGCCTCCCAAAATGCAGGGATTACAGGCGTGAGCCACCATGGCTGGGCCCTACAGTGGAGTTTTAAAAAATTATCTTTAGCACATACGGTTTGGCCTCTGGAAAGCTATTAACTAAGGCAATTCAAATTCCAGCCCCCAGTAGCCTGCTGTAAATCAGAGCATTTGGATATTGGGTGGGTAAGACTTGACAAGGCAAACAGCGAAAGCCTCCAATATCTTGCTCCTTAGTTGCTGTGGGAGGTTTTAAGCCATGAATTTTGCTGGAAGCAATGGAAATAACATCCAATTCCTGTTTGTGGGCCATGTCCACTGGAAAAGCATTGTGCTAAAGGGGCAGACAGGAGAGATTTATGATATAGTCCTCTATTTTAAGGATCTTAGAGCAGGAAAAACCATTGAAGGTGAAACTTTCCTTTAACTTGTAATATGGATGTTTCATGAAACAGAGATAGCATTGGATGGAACAATTAAAGAATGTGATACTTGAACCGGTTTTTTTTTTTTTTTTTTTTTTTTTTTTTTTTTTTTTTTTTTTTTTGAGACAGTCTCACTCTGTTGCCCAGCCTGGATTGCAGTGACATGATCACAGCTCACTACAACCTCAACCTCCCTGGGATCAAGCTATCCTCCCATCTTAGCTTCCCAAGTCATTGGGACTACAGGGAATGTGCCGCTGTGCCCAGCCAAACTGGATCTTCAGTATGTTTATGTAACTTTCCGGGAGCAGAGGTAGGGTGTTACAGAAAGGGCATCTACTTTAGTACAAGCAGAGAGGCAATACTTGTTTAAGAAATAGGAGAAACAAAATCTTAATAAACATGGATGCTTTTGTTGAGAAGAAATAAAAAACAAAGTTTTCCAGCTGAGGCTTGATTAGAGAGAGAAAGAAAGCTTTCACAAAGCCAGGAAGGGAAGTCTGGAATTGAGGCAAAAGGCCATTGGCAAATCTCAGTGAAGGTTTATTGAACACTTTCTATGTGTTCCCAGGATTCTGAGGAAACAGAGATGAGTTGGATACGGCCCTGCCCTGAAGGAGTTTGCAGGTTATAGCCAATGATAAGTGGGAAAGTGGACTCTTAAAAAGACTAGTTTGACAAGATTATATAGAAGAGATGGAAAGTTAAGAAACCCTAAGCACAAAAGTTGAGGCAGAATCCAAACTGAAGGCAAAGTATGTCTAGCAGGTCATTTTAGGGACATTGATTTGTTTGGCTTCTTCTTCCCCAGTGTTTTCAGCTTTGGAGCTTCAATCGAACTTTTGAGACAAGAAGGTAAGTTAAGGTTTCTAAAATTGCAAGAAAAATTTCTTATAGTATAAATACATACTGTGCAACATTCACTGTTTATGTGAAATTTAATTTGACTGGGCATATTGTATTTTGCAATGCATTTGCTTATTCTAGTCATTGTTCCTAAATGTCATTCATCCTCTGCAATTGATGTACTTGATTGTGTTCTGTGTTTATTTACAGAGGAAAGACAAGAAAAGTGTCTTCTTCACAATTTTATTATTTTGGTGTCAAAGATTCCAGTTGATTATCCCTTTCTATCTCCAAAGTCTGGCAAACCCTACTTACCTCCCCAACTGCTTTCGAAAGCATAAACAAAATAAAATAACATCATCAAAGATTCCAGAAGATTGGGAAAGGTGTGGAAGGTAGTGATTAAAGTATAGTTGTAAGGGCCCTTTGACATCAATTTTATTCTCTCAGGGGGCTTAAAGTGTTTCTTTTCTGCTTCCTTTACTACAAAGATATTTCACTCAAACTCTATCTTGTTATAGACTCTTGAAAACTGGGGATATGGTTTCTAGCCTTGTAATTTGTGTAATAAAATGTCAGTCATAAAAACCACTGGGAATCTGGGACATTTGTAATGATTGGGCTGTCGTTAAAATACATGATTGCTCAAAGGTATGGCTTAACCCAGGAAAACACAAACCACAATAAAAGGTCACATGGAAGATACAGGCATGGGCAGGCATCACTTGGTGGCAAGCAACAGAAATCCCTTAAGAAAGCGCGAGTGAAAAGCAATTTATTTCAGGGGACTCTGATGGTATTTTGAAGAAGGTATAACTCCTGGAACTGGAAAGCTTTGAGATACTTATCTCTCTCTCTCTCTCTGTCTCTGCCTCTCTCTTTCTCTCTGCCTCTCTCTGTCTCTCTCCCTCACGAATCTCCCATAGTATTGGGTGTAATCTTCACCTATTCCAAAATGTAGTAAGCACCTTAGTTTACATGGCTTTCCAAGTCTTGCACCTGTGGCTAAATAACTACAGTGTTGGTGTCTGAATTCAACTTCCTGTGAAGGAGACCCTTGAGTGCCTACCCTTCATCAGGTGTTCATCAGTAGGATGGGGGAAGGGTCCCATGGCTCCCGATGTCTTTAACAGGACTCTGGGCATGGATTTGGGCAGTTAATTAGACAGAGCAGCTAAATCAAGTGACATATTTTCCTTTAATTGCTCCTAACTAGAATAAGAGGATGATTTGTGTCCTGATTTTTATGAACTTTTGCATTCTTTCTCAAGTTCTAAATTCATTGAGTAAATCCTTCAGAACATTTGACCTTGTATTATGGGTTTTGTGGTTTAAATTTCCCATGAAGTTAATTATACCATGGACAGTATTGGGGTGAAAGTATAGTCCCTAAGATCATGTTTAAAATGTTTTGTCTCAGAATTTTAATACCCCTTTTGGCCTGTAAACACTTTGTAGCACCATGATAAGCAAAGACAGTATTTGATGCAGGTCAGTTTTAAGTGGGAGAAGGAGGAGTCTCTTTAATTTAGAGAGGCTTAATAAAGGACATTTCACTGAACAATTGGTTATAACAATTGAGTTTTCTAGAGGTTTTTTTTTTTTTGGCCTTCCCTCAAGTTGTGTTGTGTACTGTGCAAGAATACGAATAGGCAAGAGCGAGTGGAGACGGCCTGTAATAGGCTTCCAGTTAAGCTCTTAATTTACGCTGGTTGTCTTTATCGGCCAACGCTCCCACGTCGTTATCTGTGAGAGAATGGAGAAGAAAAAATGGCATTCTATTTTTTGCACCCTCTTCTCCTTGTGATCTTACATCTTCACTTAAAAGCAATCAGGTGCGCAGGTGAAGAGATAGGAAAAAAAGGGCTTTTAATAGCTTTTGATATCAAGATTCCATCTTCCTCCTTAACGGCTAGCCCACACTTCTGTGATGTCTGGTGATGTTTTCAGTTCCACCTTTTGTGTTTTAAGAATTGCACTTTTAAAATTAAAAATGCCTTAAGGAAGGACAGCAGGGTATCTGGAGGTGGCGTAAATAGAGATGAATGCTCTTCAAAATCCACCTGATTTATTCTGTCAGTCAATTGCAATATAGTTATCTTCCAACACTAGCCTTAGGTTTCAGGGTACACAAGTCTAGGATAAAGTGGTCTCTGTAAAGAGCATCCACAGGAAGCATGCTGCCCACTTGGCAATGCAAGGTGGTTATTTGTTTGACTATACCATGCTGTCCTTCTCCTTCCAAGGGGCCTTCGGATAGGCTGATGCTATGGAGTTGGAATCTTAAGCTGGAGGATGAGCCAATCAAAGTCATAAAGGGAAGCCATATGTCACACACTTGGAAGTCCATGTGTAGACATCAAGTTGAGAGTGTCAGAGGCAAGGTCAAGACCAGGATCTTAGCACCAAGGTTAGAGTGGCAGAAATCAAGACTAAAGTAAGTGGAAAAAATACGTGGAAGTGGCAGAGGATGGTGCCTGAAGAGGTAGGATAGGAGAGGACTCCGAGTGTAAGTGTTGTGAGAGAACATTATAGATGAGCGGTGCTCAGCTGCAGTGTCCTAGCCATGTGGGCCTCTGACTCCTGGCAGCAAACGGGATGGCGGATGCAGCTGTTGAGAATGCCCTGCAGAGTAGCCAAGACATTGATAGGGTCTTCCGTGCAAGGATAAGATGACTCTTCCTTACACTGCCCCACAGCAGTTGGTTTGTAAGAAAAAATTCCCCAAGATTTTAAGTCCTGGGTATGCATGGATACCTACAGCTCTGACATAAAGCCATATGACTCTTCTACAGAAAGATGAGAAATTGGCTGATGATGCCACTGTGGTGGTCACTGGAGGCACCTGTGGTCAAAGGGCATGTGCATATCTCTGCTTTGACCTTTATTCCTTGGCAGAGCAGAGGAAACTTCTGCTCACAAAGTTGTGTGTGTCCTGCTTCAACATCACAATTTAAGGGGAAAAAAATGGCATAATTTTGTCTGAGTCTTGAGGAGGGACTCTGGGAACTATGGGTGTTTATTAATATGCTTGACTCCTCATTTCATGAATAGGGTGGGGCAGGAGTGGTGACTGGCCCAGGCATAGGACAAGTGAATGACTGGGACCAACAATTGATTCTATGAGACTAGCCCTACCCAAAAAAGAATAGCGAAACAAGAAGGCAGGCCAAATCAGAGACACCATAGGAACGCCAAGGGTCTGACAGCAGGGATATCACACATGTACACCAAGTGAAGAGGGCCTGAGAAATGACTAGATTAGGAACCAGATCAGTGCCAAAGTCAGTAAGAGACAAGGAAGGAAGTGAGTAGTATGATGGTGTGGGGAAGCAGAGAGATGTGCTATCAATTGCCAAAATAATCAGGAATATAATTTATTTATTCAATATATCATTCAGTTTTTCAAGGAGTCTTCATTCATTCATTCAACAAATATTCAAGTTTCTAAAATGTTCTAAGTTCTAAGCCTAAATATTGGTATGCAATACTACCAGGACCCAGACACCAACATGGTGCGGTAGTTCTATGACTTGAAAGAGCATTATGAGAACGTATGGGGAGGGCACCAAAGGAGAAAAGAGAAGCCTTCCTATTGGCAGAGAAAGCTGAGTTGAGGTTTAGGGACAAGTAGCAGTTAAGTAGAGAACGCTCATTTGGGGCAAAGGCCAGGTGGCAAGCATGCCAACAGTACTTTGGGGAAGCCATATGGCATCAGACTGGTTGGGACATACAGTGATAGGTGGGGCATGGCAAGGCATGAAGGTTTCAATAAAAGCAAGGGCCATAACTTGATGGGCCTCCTAAGTCATGGTAAGGACTTTGGACTTTATTCTAATAGCCGTGGAGAGCTACTAGAAGGGCTTTTAGCAAGAGAAACTCAATTTGAGCTGTGCTGGGAAAGATCACTCAGGCTACAGGTTGCATAATTTAGGGCTGAGACCAGAATGAGCTGGCCTGGAAGGTGGCTGTTGAAAAACAGATGGGAGAGAGATTTGGTTGTCAAAATGACGGGGCTTGATTATTGGCCAGAGACTTGAGGAAGATGGAGGAAGCCAAAACAAGTTCTACGTTTCTGGATTGGATAACGAGGTGGATGGTATAGTTATTTGTCTGTTAGTGGAACTAAGAGGAGAATTGGGTTGTGGAGGGAGGACAATGAACTCAATTTTGGATATGTCTGAGGGTTGGGGGGTGGCAGGGGGATGCCCTGCTTTTGCACTAATCCAGTGCCTGTCTGGGTGGGTGGGAGAGGCTGTTTATAGCACCAAGCACAGGCTCATTATCAGTTAACAGCCATGGCTTAGTTTTCTCCCTGGTATAGAAGAGGATCTGGACTGAGGATGCAAGGAATTTGGGCTGGAATATGCCAGAGAAGTAAACCTTGAGTTAGAATCAAGACGTGTGGTAACAAGATTTAGCTTCTGAATGCAGAGACAAACAAACACAAATCGAAATATCTCAGTGTAAAAAAAAAAAAAAAAAATCACAGAATTTCACTTGCACCAATGGTTTTGTTTTACAAATTCCTTGACATGCTTCTGTAAGAAAGCAATTGCTTTGTTGCTGTTTTCAGGGGGCGCTTCCTGCAGGGCACACCTAGAAAATGGTGTGTTTCACAAAAGATATGCCATCTCCCGGGGCTCTGATTTTCTTCTCCTCGGGTCAGTATTTCACTCTTGTCAGGATATTGCCTGATGCCTGCCTGTCTCAAACCCCAGAGGAGAGCCATCTGTTGAGCTGTGGAATGTTCTCAGCCACAAGTCCTACATCATTATTCTAGCCAGGTCATGCTGTTGCTTGCAGAATTTTTTATAGATAGAGGCTCAGCTTATGTTCTGAATTAGACGCTCTCATCTGCCTGTGGCAAATTGCGGCATGTGCTAGTGGAAACTCCCTCTTGGGTGGTGCTTGAAATATTTGGGATATTATCTGGTTAGACATTCTACTACTCCTTTTAAACAACTCTTTCTCCATTCAATCTTTGAAAGCCAAAGTGTGTGTGTGTGTGTGCGCGCGCATGTGTGTGTGTGTGTGTGTGTTTGTTTTGGATTATTTCATACCAAAAGCATTTTCCATTTTCTTATTAGGAACTTTCTCTTTGTCCAAAAGGAGAAAAAGAAAAAAAAAAAACTTGTAGAGAACACACTAAGTTTTTTTTTACAAAATGGCCTGTTTATACTTTAAAGGTTGTATTACGGCATAACAGATTTGTAATTTTAAACTTTTAAAGAGGGAACAGTTTTGAATTTAGCCTAGTATTAGTGATGTCACTAAGGAATACTTCCATTTAATAGCTTTGAGTGAAATAAATGCTCCAGCTTCAAGGAAAAAACAGCTAAAGGTAAATGGGGTGGCTAAAGGGAGAAACATATTACAGAGGCAGTTATGCAGGTTCATGCTACAAGTGCTGAGCCATTCTTATCTTTTCTTCTTGCTCTGAATGGATTAGGAGGATTCTATTCCTTGAGTTGGGTGATAGGAATTATTACCCTATCAAAGAACAGGTGGGAAGGGCTGAGCATGCTGGCTGGTTGGGAAAGTCTACAGACATTGGGAATTTCCTTTCCTCTGGTGAAGTTCACTGCAGAAGAAAAGCTTTAGGAATTTTAACATGCCATGAGGTTGAAAATTCTGGAAGGTTTTAGCTACAAGAGATTGAGGTGGAGCTATACTCAATCCTGGAGACAGAAGTGGAGTTAAATCAAGTAGCCACTGATGAAAGTCCTTCAAAGGTTCTTCATCATCCTCTGGATAAAGCCCAACCTTCTTAAGATCGTGTATGGAATTTTCATGATTTGGCCCTGATAATGTTTCCAGCCTTATTTTCTTGCCATCCTTATCCATCTTTAATACCTGGTACCATGTCATTCTTCCCAATGTTTATCCTCAGCTTTTCAAATAAAGCATACTGTTGTCAAAGAAAGAATATAACTAAATATAAACAAGCTATTCTCTGTATCTCAATTACAAATTTCTTGAAATAAATGAACAAATCTGACATAAAACCAAATTTGCTTCCTATTGAACTTGGAAAATGTGTTTCTGAAACAAATATGACTTGGATAAATAAATGACCTTTCTGCCTTTTCCAAGGTCATGTGGTAGTTTGGTGATGAAGCACACCTCTCTTTTATTATCTGTAAAATAGGTATATTACAATTTACTAAATATGGCTGTTGAGAGAATAAAATGAGATCATTCTTTTAAAGGACTACTGATGGTACCTGCTGTATAGTTGGTACTAAATCGTGACCACTATATTAATCTAAAGGACTGACTCAGCCCCTTCCAATGGGTGATGCTTCTAGAAATAAGCATGAGCCCACAATGCTCTGACTTCCTTACTGTGCTTCTGAATGATTCCTCTGTGTGTGTGTTTATGTGCTCACACCCACGCCCTCGCCGAATAGCATGGCCTATACATCACACGGAGATTGTTTTCCAAAAGCCTGTTCCATTATAATCTACATTTCCATCAACCTTCTATTGACTTTGCCATGCAGTTCAGATCATCACTTAGCTATTACTGACACCTTTGAGCACATCTGCTGAGAACTGTGCTTGGAGGGGTTGCACATTTTGAGGGTGTGTGCATAATGATATAAGGTTCTAAATAATAAATTAAAAGATAGTTTACAGCCCTCATTATAGCCATCTGTGTTAACTTCCCATTACAAATTAGAATATCCATTTTGACACAAGTTTAATTTTTCCAAAACACCTGTTCTAAAAGGCAATGTACTTTTTACATAATGGAAATGGCAACACTTTGAAAATATTACACTTTACTGGAAAGTCAGTTATGTTCCAGAATAAATGTTTTCCATGGCGGGCGGGGTGGGTAGTTCTCATACGTAATGAAGACCATCAATCACCAAACAAAAACCCCTCATCACGTATAAAGAACTCACCCACAGATTTCCTTTTCTTTCTCTTTCATTAATACCTTTAAAAATCAGCAATAAGTTCCTTTGGTTTTCTTCTCATATTTTACAAAAATCATTGTAGAAGCAGAGGTGTGATCAGTTAACAACTGTTGACTTCTGAAAAAAACAACAAAGCTTCCATCTTAAAGCATCCACAGAAATGGAAGCAATTTCCATTACAACCTTGTGGATTAGGCAGCTTATTTGTACAATCCATTTTCCTTCATGTTGTCTACTCATTTCATAAATAATTCTGTCTGTGTGGTTGTGCAATATACTGATATTTCACTAATTTTTCTGTTAATCCAAATAGCATCAGGCATTGAATGGTGTAGGCATTTTTGGAAACTGACTTCAGTACAGACTAAAGAGAATTCTGGATTACAATGGCTGTGCCATTTTCTAGGCATCATTTACTGGAACTGGGTAGCAAAACAAAAAACCAGTGTTTCCTTAAAATAAGACAATTGGCAAGGCCTGTCACAAGAAGTGAAAAGATTTCTCTTCCTTCTTGGTTTCCTTTTAACTATCTCTATAAAACAAAGGAATTGCCAGAAACCTTTGGATGCTTCCTCTGTCTTCATGAAAAGGACTACTTAATTGAAGTTACCGACCTTCTTTCCTTTTGCATTCAAAGATCACCTCTACCCCCTTGGAGAGATGTCAGGGGAAAGATTTCTGCCTTCCAGGAGCCTTAGAGAATTATGATCATCCGTCTCCATGTATAATATACTCTCCTTTGAGTACATTAAAAAGCCGTAACATGCAAAACATACACTGTATGTTCTTTACTACTTTTCAGATATAGGTTCTTTGAAGGCATGATGGGTAGGTTCAGTGGTGGATGCAGGAGGGCTGGATTTTAATATATTTCTGAGCAATTCTAAGATTCTGTGATGTCACTTGCATGATCTAAGTTATTGCTCTGAACATCACTTCTATGGGCTGACTGCCAACTACATTCTTATGTTTATTTCTGCACTGTTCCTTACTCAGGCAGTTTCTCATCCCTTTTATGCCCTCCTCCTCAAAAGTGGAAAGGCCTGGAGGGGAGAGGGAGCCTGTCATTTTGGGAGGAACACAATAATTGGCTGTGATCTGGATTTCACATTGTTGAGTTGAGAGGTGTGAGTGAGAAGAGATTGGAAATCATGGAGAGTCATATCAACTTTGCAACTGAATTTGAACTTGATCCTAAGGACAAGGAGGTGCCAATGAGCATTTTACAGACTAGCCATATGGTAAGATTTTAGTTTTAGAAACATTACTGTTAATTCTGGGTAGTGGGAATATGAGTGTTCATTTTACCATTCTTTGTACCTTTCTGCATTTTCAAAAGTCTGACTCAAATGGAACTAAACAAATACAGCTCTTCCTGGCTACAGAGTTGAGAACAGATTAGAAGAGATGTGACACATACGTCAGCTGGAAATTTGTGACAGTAATTTAGACAGGGGACAATTATGTGTTAATCAAGGCAGTGCCTCAGTAGGAATGGAAATACACAAATGGATTGAGGCACATGTCAGAGGTAGAGTTGGAACTGGACATGAAGGGGAGCGAAGGAAGTGAGTGTCATTGGGTTTCTGGAAGGTCAACTGGGTGAGTGATAATGGTCCACACAGGGACACACAGGGAAGATGATTATGTCTGCTTGGGACAGTTGGAAGTGCCTGAGAGTCATCTTAGTAGAGGTGCCCTACAGGAAGTTAGATGTTTTAATCTAGAGCTTGGGAGAAAGTTTGGGAGTGCAGATTTAGATTTAGGCATTGTCAGTTTGTAGAAGCCATAGGAATAGGTGAGATTACTGAGAGAATATAAAAGAGTAAAAATAGGAAGTTTGAGGCATGAAACTCTGAGAGACATCTATAGGTATCAGGATGTTAGAAGAAGGAGACTAACAAGTGGATGAAGAACTTGTTTTACAAGGGAAAATGTCACCAATTGTGGCAAAAAGGTCAAGTGAGATAATTCTGAAAAATCTTTTTTTTTTCTTTTTTTGAGACTGAGTCTCCAGCCTAGGCTGGAGTAGCCCCATCTCGGCTCACTGCAACCTCCACCTCCCAGATTCAAACAATTCTCATGCCTCAACTTCCAAGTAGCATGGTGTGCCACCATGCCTGGCTAATTTTTTTGTATTTTTAGTAGAGATGGGGTTTCACCATGTTGCTCAGGCTGGTCTCGAACTCCTGAGCTCAGGTGATCCTCCCACCTCGGCCTCCCAGAGTGCTAGGATTATAGGCATGAGCCACCATGCCAAGCCTGAAAAATCATCTTTGATTAAATTTAGCAATAATGACATTTTTGAGAAGAGCAATGGTGGTGGAATGGCAAGGGAAGAAGGCAGATTGCAAAGTTTAAAAAAATCAAATAATAATAACAATAGCTACATTTTTGAGAGCTTATTTTGTGCCAGACACTGTGCTAAGCTCTTTATCAATATTGTCATATTTTATATTCACAGCAATCCAATAAGTAGAACTAATATTCATTTCACTTTACTTGAGAAAACTGAGATGTAGAGAAATTAAATACTATGGCCCCCAATCACACAAATCAGATGGGGGAAGAATGACTCTGACTCAAGTCTACTTTAATCCATAATTCCTAATCTTATTAGAGAGAAGAGAGGGACAATGAGTGTCCACCTGCTTTCAACAGTGAGGGTCTGAGGTTTGAGGGAAGGCAAGAGAGAACCAGAGGGGCTAGCCCAGGAAGAAGAGGGGTTTTGTCTGTCTGCTTGTTTGTTTTCAAGATGGGATAACCTGAAGTATATTAAGTATTGATGGAGAAGAACTGGTAGAAAAGATCTGGAGAGAGAAGGAAGGACTGACCCACAGGATAGGTTTCCTGAGGAGGTAGCACAGGATGGAATGGGGTCCTGAGCATGCACTAATGTTCTCACCATAGCGATCACAATAGTGGGGATCCCACATTGGGGAACCGGGCAGTAGATGGGTGAGGGAGGTCTTGCCTTATGGCTTCCATTTTCACTGTGAAGGAGGAGGTGAGGAGCTTTTGTCAGTAAAGAGGGTGATGCCCAGGTAGAAGCTTTGCTGAGCATGAAGTTGCCTGTGTGGAGGAGGGGAGAGTGCTGACCAGAGAAATGCAGAAAGACTCCAAGGAGCATGTAAGGCCCAGTGGAGGCTGAAGGCCACAACTTTGTAATGAAGCTAATCTAGGGCAGAAAGGAGGAGAGAAAGGCACAGTCTGTGCTTGATACTTAGGAAGAATGTATTGAATCATGCAAAATTTGGTAAATAAAAGAGGGGAGTGGGGTGGGTGGGGGGTGGGGGAGAGCCAGAGGATGGGGGAAAGAGGACATGGGACTGGGGAGAGACAAAGAGAGAGGAGCCCTGACGTGGCTTTGGAGGCCTGGAACACCAGGATTATTGAGAATTCCCGTGTTCCCTGGGCTCGCTGGCATTGCTTTATCAGGATTTTCATTTTGTGGAAATCCTCCTGGGTCCTGGCCAGTTCACGCTGTGACTTTGTAGTTCACAGCAGCGACTGACAGCTTCACAAACCAGGCTTGATGTCTGACAGACAACCACATCTCTGCTGCTAAGTGCTGGATCTGAATTTCTGCATAGCTTTGCAAACCCCACCATGGAGGTTCCTCGCAGGACCTTCAATTTTTGCCTGACTCTCTTCCTTCTCTTATCAAATTTCAGGATGGCATTTCAGGCATCATTTTCTTGACAGGAAGGGTTGAACCCAGTTGAAAATTCAAATGCAGTAAGGGGTCTTGCTTGGAAGGAACTGTGTGTTTCTAAACCAAGGCCGGATGGCTTTGAGGCTGGCAGCCTGGAATCTTCCTTCCATGGGGATCTGCTCCTCCCCCATGGAGAATAGAGTCACTTTGGTGGACATGGACATATTACTTTTGGTACTTTCAACCTAACTCCTAATAGACCATGTCATCACTCACAATTGACCTTAGATCATGGGGTCTTCAACCAAGTTGGGGAGGAGCTGAAAGACGACCGAAAGAAAGATTTTACACAAAACTGCTCTAGTTCTTGGTAGATCCTTGTGAATAAGTGCTAATGTCATCAATTAAAATTCTGGGACACCATGCCAGTTTTCAGGTGAAAGTTTTTCCTCTTTGACAGTTGCAAACAAATCACACTTCCATTTTATTCATTCACCAAATATTTATTGAATACCTACTATGTTCTAGGCATGGTCTATTGTAATGGTGCCCCTCACTTTAGGCTTCTGTGGTCAGACATTTTCTCCCGTGATTAGGACCAAATATTTGGAGGAGGGATTAAAGCTCTTGTTTACTGAGCACCTTTTATAGCCTGTGCTATGGGATCTCCAGGCCTACCAAGAATACATCAAGGTAAGAAGTATTATGCCAATTTTATAGATCCAGAAACTGAGATTAGACGTATGAAGACAAATAGCAGGACTGGGATCTGAACCCTTGCCTATCTGTTTTCAAAGCTCATAATCTTTCTCCTTGTTAAGCTGCCAGAGAAGAAAAGCAGAAATAAAGTGGAGACTGAGTTTTCAAGAACGGTATTTCCTCACATAATTGTATTTTGGCATTGGAAGCAGCCATTTACTCCTTTATATAAATAAGGATCAATTTCTTAGCAGGTCATTTTCCTAGCAGTGAGACTGCATGTAAGGTTATAGACTGGCTAATTTTTTTTTTAGTTGGGGGGTGGGGGGTAAATGTAAAGAGCACATTTACAAGGTAAAGCTAACTGTGGTAAGCCCTTAACTACCTTGAAAAGCTGTGTGGGTTGTAAATCCTTATTCATTTTGTACTCATTCTTCCATCCACTTGGCACCAGTATAATTAGCTGATGTTAAAGAGATGTCAACTGGAAGAAGAAAAGGGAATTCATCTTGGTTGAATATCCCTGGAGGCACCTGCCTATGTCACCCCATTTAATTGTACACATACCCTGCAAAGTAAGAGAGACATGTAGGAATTTACTTATTGCCCAAGTAAGAAAAGAATTAAGGATTTGGACTCCAGTGTGTCTGGCCCCAGAGTTCTAGCTTTTACCAGTCTTACAATTATAGAGAGCACTTAAGGGATTTTGCGGGGGCTGGCAGGGAGGAGGGTAGGCGAGGGTTAGATGTCAACTCAGTAGGAAACAGATCCCCTACTCAATCTCCTGGGCCTTTGCTGTTTTCACCTTAATTTCAGAGTGATTTTTATTTACAACAGCAGAAGCTGACTGTAGCTACATGCAACCTATGTGACTTTTCTTGTTGTGTATTACAAGGCTCTATAGATCTTTCGCCAGAAACTTCTACCTCAGGTAATGTCATAAGGTAGAAGTAGCAGTACTTTTGGAGTCAAGAGGCTCACTTGGAGCCCTGGTTCTACTGAGGAGCTATGCATCCTTGGGAAAGACTTTAAATTCTTTCGGGTAAAATCTTAAAACTCTTATTTTCCTTACATTTTAAATGGAAACACTGATACCTATGATATTCAGCCATTCATCATTCATTCATTCATTCATTCATTCATTCATTCATTCATTCATGTACTTGTCCCCATGCCAGGCACTATCTAGCCAAGAGAGTTACAAAGTGAACAAAATAGACAGCATGCCTATTCTGAAGAAACTCATATTCTAGTGGGGAGATTGATTGGAAACAATAAGCAAATACATTAACACAACAGTTTGGGATTGTTTTAAGTTTCATAGAAGAAAAAAAAATAAACATGGCCCTATGATGAAGATGGGTGGCCTGGATGAGGGAGACCACTCTAGGTTGGGTGGCTAGAAAAGGCTTCCTGAGGGGTAACATGTGAACTGGGATCATAATTACAGAGGAAGCCAGGGGAGAGGAACACATCCCAAGGAAAGAAGAGAACAAAGGAAAAAGATGGACAGGTGCTTGGAGTGCTTGAAAAACAGAAGGAAGATCTTGGATGACAGACCCAGTGGCATAATATATGCATAAATACTTTGCATGTTGTAAATAATTATATAATTCAAAGATTATTATTTTTACTTCTCTTACCTTATCTTTCTTCTCTCCCTCCTTTCTTCTACCCCTCTTCCTTTCTTCTTTTCAGTTTGTCTTTTGTATCAGTGCTTCTCAAACTCTGATTAAAAAACAAGCATTAAACCAATAAAAACCTCATTTTTAATTTTTATATTTCTAGTCTGTTGTGGACTGGTACTTTTGTAAAATGTCCCAGTACTGTCAAATAACTACAGAGATTTCTAAATGCTGATCTTCATGTCTGCACCTCCCTCCTGGTGGGCTGGTCTCTGATAATTGGTGGACCACACCTTGAATAGCACTTTCCTAGATAACGGGGCTTTTCTGGTCCAACCCTGGCTCACAGACATAGTCATTGGGGATCGCTGACCACTTAACAAACTCTAATAATCCAATGTTTTGGTTTTATTTAACACTTTATTTAAATGGGGCCCAGGCTCCAAAACCACACACTGGACATCCATGTAAGCAAATCGTATTGCAGGCCTCCGTGTGTTGCTCTCTGATTTCTACAGATCCTCCAGACTCTCAGAGACGAGGGCCTGGAGGCTGGCGTAAAGAACTGCCCTTAGTTTTTCCTGATACTGTTGTATAATAAAACAGTCTAATTAGCCTAGAGCCAGGGCAGCCCTGTGGGAGATTTCATACATAATCTAGAAGGAAAGCAACGACAGGCGGGCTTTTCCCACTAGGTCTCAATTCCTTTTACTAAGTTTGAAAAGCCAGGGGGAAGTGTCCAACAAGGACAGAATTCTTGCCAAGGTGAATTTCCAGCTGGCTTGAAAAAGCTTGAGCAATAATGGCTGACTCTTAAATGGGGAATGGACAAGGTTATTAAAACTATCAGAGTGCACCTTGGGGCATTTGTAGCAGCCAGAGCGAGCTGTGAAACTATGTAGTGGAGAGGTGAGGACCCCATGCCCGGTCTGGGTGAGGAATAAAAATAAGGATGCCAGGTTCCTGGGGGAAATGCTGTTTTTCAAGGGTGACACAGAATTTCTCTGATACCTCAAGCAGTGTACAGAATTTTTAGCCCCTGGAGAGATTTCAGTCCTGACCAAAAAAAAAAAAAAAAAAAATCAGAGACTATTGGCTTCTGCAGACAGAAGACAGTCTTCTCATTTTGTCTTAATTTTCGAAACAACTAAAAATCGAGCAGAAATTGTTTGGAAGACTTCCTCAATGGAGTGTTCCTCTAGGCAAGGAAATGGAGTTGCTCTGGAGTTTTCTGAATAGCTACTTTTGATTTGGCAGACATAAGCCCATTATCCTTTTCTTGGATATTCTTCTCTCCCTGTAATTAAAAAAAAATTCCTGGAAATTTAAATATTTGAAAAGAGTTTAGAAGTCAATTAAAGGAACTATATGTTATCATTCAGTTTTAGTCTCCATGGGTACAGGTGTTTGCAACAACTTGAAGCTTAGTTCCAAAAAAGGAATGTCATGTTCATGGAGATTTAAAGAAGAGTAGTAGTTAAAAGCTTTGGACTTTGGAGTCATATAGACTCAGGGGTGAATTTTGACCCTGCCTTTTCCTAGCCCGGGTAAATCATTTCACCTCTCTGGATCTCTATCCCTCATGTGTAAAGTGGAGTAATGATAATACTGATGAGTGGCCCTTGTTGCCCCATTAAATGAGTTACATCAAGGGAGCCCTCAGCACAGTGCCTGGCATACATTACAGAATGCTTCCAATTAATGCCTGATGCTATCATTTTGTTATTCATTATTACTTTCTTGGCCAACTCGAATCCAGGGGACTCCTATCCTCTGTTGACACCTTGCTCATGTAATAATTGGGCTACTTCCGTGCTTTTTGTTGCCCTACTCCTTTCCATCAGCATGTGGATTGCTTTTATTTGTTTGATTTGATGCAGGAATAAGCTTATACTGTTGTGCCAGCTGCTATGGTGGACATAGAAAATGGATTAAAAATGGTAGAAGGGGATTGATATTTATCAAAGACTCACAAAGGGCACAACCTATTTAATCTCATTTAATTCTCACAGCAGCCCTGTGAGGTAGGTATATTACTCTTGTTTCACAAATAGGGAAAGGAATCCTGAGATGTTAAGTGACTTGTCTAAGCTCACACAGCAAATAGGTCGATTTGCATCCAGCTCTTTGTGTCCCCTAAGATACTGTTTGTCTTACTGCACTATACCACCTTTTTGCCTTTGATGAACTCATGAGCTAGTTAGGTGAGAGAAAATGTGCATAATTCAAGGCAGGAAATACACTAATAGGAAGCTGTCACATACAAGTTGGAAGGGGGGTAGCAGAACACACCAGCCAGCTTGGCTGCCTTGCCTATTCCCCTTCCCTGAGGTTGTATATCCACAACCACTACTGTGTAGGTGGTGGAAAACCTGTGCTGTCTAGATCAGTGGTGGACCCTTGACAGCCAGTGCTGTCTAGATTAGTGGTGGACCCTTGACCCAACTAGAGACAAGATGAATCTCTTTATTTTGCTTAAAATTTTTTAAATTATTTATTACTTATTTATTTATTTATTGAGACAGAGTCTCGCTCTGTCGCCCAGTCTGGACCTGAACTCCTGGGCTCAAGTGATCCTTCCATCTCAGCCTCATAAGTAGCTGAGACTGCAGACATGCCCCACCACACCAGCTCTCTCTATTCTTTAAGGACATAAAGACTATAGTTGGTGGGTGTTTGAATTGAGAGATTGCATAGACCAGGAATAATATACTAGTCTTCTATTATTGTGTAACAAATTACCACAAATTTGGCAGATTAAAACAGTACCCACGTATTAGCTAATACCTGGCCCTGTGTGGCTGGATTCTCTGCCCAGGGTCTCAGAAAGCTGAAACGAGGGCATTGGCTGATCTGTGCGCCTTTATCAGGGTTCTGGGGAAGAATTCTTTTTTAAGCTCTCTCAGGTTGTTAGCCAAATTCAATTTTGTGTGTTTGTCGTTGTAGGGCTGACATTCTCATTTTCTTGCTGGTTGTTGACTGGTGCTGTTCTTAGTTCCTAGAGGCCACTTGCAATCCTTGTCCTTCCTCTCTGAAGACAGTAATGGAGAATCTTCCTCCATTGAATTCTTTTCATGCTTTTCACCTTTTTTCTCAGGGAGAGCCCAGACTCTTTTAAGGGCTTTTCTTAAGCCTAAACCCCTTTTCTTAAGGAGAAATTACCATACAATATAACTGAATCATGGCAGGGAAATCCATGGTATTCATAGTCCTGGGGATTATGCAAGGCCCATGCACCAGGAGCTGGGAGTTTTGGGTGTCACTTTAGAATTCCGCCTAACACAGATGGGGTTGCCATTTGGGGAGCCATATGCAAGCAGTGCTGGGAGATCTGGAGGGGAGAAGAGAGGAAGAGGAGAGGAGAGAAGTGGAGAGAAAGGAGGAGGGGAGGGTAGAGTAGGAGACAACAGAAGAGAAATTTCCTTATGGAGGCTCCAAGTGAGAATGTTTCCTTCCTTGCCTTTTTCAGCTTTTACAAGCCATCTAAATTCCTCCAGTCTTGGCCTCTTCCTTCATCTTCAAAGTATGTCACTCCAGTCTTTGCTTCTGTCATCACACTGCCTTTTCTCCTATGTTGACAAATTTCCCTCTGGCTCCCTCTTACAAATGTACTTGTGATTACATTTGGGGCCCATTGGGCTAATTCAGGATAGCACCCCCACCTTAAGATCCTTAACTTAATCACACCTGCAAAGTCCCTGCGAGTTAACATTTACAGGTTCCAGGGATTTGGACCTGGATATCTTAGTGGGGGTAGGGGTGGGGTGTGGAGCTGGGGGAATTATTCAGCTCACAAAAGTACATGTGGACTCTTAAGTCCCATGGCTCAAGTTCACATCCCAACCCTGCCGTTCCCTAGCAACATGACCTCAGACAAATGATTAATACTTGGCCTTTCTGTGTCTCAGTTTCATTATCCCTTAAGTGGGGATAATTATAATAATATCTGCATTGATCATTTTTGTGAGGATTAAGTGAGGAAATTAATGAAAAGTGCTTATCCCAGAACACAATAAACATTTAGTAAATATTGGTGATTATAGTTTCCACTGATGTTATTTAGAGCCTATGCTGCATATTTGTTGTTTTAGCCTGCCAACATCCATTTTCTTCTGTTGCTGCTAATAGCGCCTCTGTTTTTCTTGGAGAACTTCCTTTACCTCACTCTCAGTTTATATGGTTTAGGCGGGGCTGAATTCAGTACTAGCCCCAGGACTGTGAGTGGGAACCATGTCTAAACCCACCAGTATAATTTCCTTGCCTTGGTCCCAGGAATTGGTTCAATGATGCACATATGAGCTAAATTGGTCCAAGCAGTGTGACTCTCTGGCTTTTCCAGGAGCAACTAGAAAGGAATATTTTCATGGAGTTGCTGAAAGCAGAGTGTGTGAAGATATAGCTACTGGCAGCCCTTTTTATCTTTAAAGTTTTGCCACACTGTAGAGACAACCTGGAAGGTGGGAAGCAGAATTAAGGGAAGGAGAGAGACCCCTGAAGTTTGAGGTTAAGCTTCAAATACAGCTGGTCCTGAAATCAGCACTTTTGTGGTCTGTCCAGTTATGTGAGCCAACAAAGTTCCCTTCGTCAGTAAGAAGGGAACTTTTATCTGAAGGATTTCCAGAGTCATGGGATTGGGAGATCCTTTCTTTCTCTTTGAGTGGAGACAGAGATTTATTGGCCATTTGTAGGCTTCAGCCAACTTGTAAGAATCCAGAAGCCCCAGCCATGTGTGCATAGCCCCAGAATATTATTACCTGGGTACAGTAAAGTCCCTAATATTCTCTCTCCCCCTTGCACAATAATGGTGATAACAATGATGGTATCTATCGAATGCCTCCCTTGTGCCATCCATAAGGATTTCTCATCCTTTCTAGTACTTGCAACAGCACTCCAAGGGAAAGATTATTTTGCAGATGGGAAATGGAAGTACTGGGAGGTAAATTTTCCAAGGCCAAATAGCAAATGCTCAGCAAAAGCAGGGGTCCATCACAGGGCTTTCTGGGTTCAGAACCTGTCCCTTTCCTACACTGCTGCAATAACTCCCACAGCCAATCTGGGAGAAGTCCCTACAATCAGGAATCAAGTGACTGTTTGCAATAGCCACAGCCACTGGGCCTTTATTCCTGGAGGGTGGGATTCTCCTCTTGTTCTGTACTTTTTTTTTCAGAAGAGGCTGTAGGCACATAGACTCTAAAAGCCTCTTCTATCTGAATAGGTTCATTGAGAATTCTGTCCTTCCACATTTTCCCATTTTATTTAAACCTCCTCATGTGTTGGATTTGTGTCTAAAGGATTTTCTTTAGTGTTCAAATTAGGCATTATATGCTCTTGGGAATTATATACCTACTAGATTTACCATTCTTTTATAGGAATACATCTAAACTGAGATGTGAGACAGAACATAAAGCAAATAGAAAGTAGTTACCACCTTTTGAGCTGTCATATTCCAAAATGGATAATAACAGTAGTGGGCCAGTGAATAAAAAGCATGAATATGCACACACACATATATGTAAGGATAAAACATTGTCTTGTGATGACAAACAAATGTTGGACATGAGATATATTTGGATCTGAGCTCTATGCCCATTACTTTCAAACTCTAGGCAAATTACTTGATCATTTACCTCTCAGGCCCCTCAATTAAAAATTGGGATGATAAAAACTCCTTATAGGGTCACTGTGAGCATTGCAACTATTATGTGGGAGAAAATGAGAGCAACAGCAAGCAAGAAAGAGAGTCATAGAGAGTCATAATAAATGCTACCTGCTTGCCTTTTGCTAATGCTAGTTTGATATGTGTGCTGTCATTTATTAATACAAGTGTCTAAGTAGGTAACACCTAACTTTCCAATATCTTCTTTTAGTCCCTATTTTAAAATTTTAATTTATAAATTTAAATATTTCTGTTCTCACTCTCATTTTCTCTCATTTCCATTTTTCTTTGCATCTGCCTCACCCATCTCTCCAGACTTGCTTTCTTCACTTTCCCATGCATATAGCTACAGAGTTGTCCCACATCTCCTGAGTTTCCAAGTCCTCAGTTCAGAAGAGTCACTAGTAACTATGCATCCCAATTCCAAGATCCTGGGATAGGGATTGACAGGTCCAACTGTCCAGTTAATAATGGCTGGAAAGTTGGGTCAGGTCAGTAGAGGCAGGGCTTCAAAAGCACACTGATTTCCTGGCAGCTCTCAGAAAAAGAGAATCAGGGTGTGTCGATACCATATAAAGATTTCAGAGAGCCATAAAAGTTGGCAAATGAATGGATATGAGATTTGTGTGAAATTTGTCACAACACTTGACAGCAATTTTTTGCCTTGTTCTCTCTGCTGAAACCAGGGGTCACCTGGACTTCAGCTCTGATTCTTGTACCAGCAGTGGGTCTTGCTCTCCTATGGGCTGTCAGCCGAGGTCAAGAACCTGCTCCTGTCCAAATATGACCCCCAGAAGGAGGCAGAGCTCCACAGCTGGATCGAGGGACTCATCAGCTTCTCCATCGGCCCCAACTTCCAGAAGGGCCTGAAGGACGGGATTATCTTATGCACACTCATGAACAAGCTGCAGCTGGGCTCAGTCCCCAAGATCAACCGCTCCATGAGAACTGGCACCAGCTAGAAAACCTCTCCAACTTCATCAAGGCCATGGTCAGCTACGACATGACCCCCGTGGACCTGTTCAAGGCCAACAACCTGTTTGAGAGTGGAAACATGATGCAGGTGCAGGTGTCTCTTCTCACCCTGGCGGGGAAGGTCAAGACTAAGGGGCTGCAGAATGGGGTGGAAATCGGCATCAAGTACTGGGAGAAGCAGGAGTGGAACTTTGACGATGCCCCCATGAAGGCTGGCCAGTGCATCATCGGGCTGCAGATGGGCGCCAACAAATGTGCCACCCAGTCGGGCATGACCATGTCCGCACGAGGAGGCATCTCTATGACCCCAAGAACCACATCCTGCCCCACTATGGACCACTCAACCATCAGCCTCCAGATGGGTACAAAGAAGTGTGCCAGCCAGGTGGGCATGATGGTTCCCGGGACCTGGCGGCACATCTATGACACCAAACTGGGAACCAACAAGTGTGACAACTCCTCCATGTCCCTGCAGACGGGCTACACTCAGGGCGCCAACCAGAGCAGCCAGGTCTTCGGCCTGGGCCGGCAGATATACGACCCCAAGCACTGCCCGCAAGGCACAGTGGCTGACGGGGCTCCCTCGGGCGCCGGGGACTGTCCCGGCTTGGGGAAGGCCCCTGAACATCCCCCTTACTACCAGGAGGAGGCCGGCTACTGGGGATCCCAGCACACTCTCTCCCCAGCTTGTCTCCCCGTCTGGGTTTTGGGGTTTTTCTGTATTTTCGTCTTTTTTTTTTCTTAACCTGTTCAGTGCTGCCAATCAACCGAGGGTCTGTGAGTGGCGGCGTCGGATCAGGCAGCAGGGCTTTTTCCCCCTTGCCTTGGTCCTTCACAGGACTGAGCACTGGGCTGTAGGGGGAAGGGTCAAGGCTGTATTCCGATATGTGCAGGGTGAGGGTCCCTGCTGGCACATCCAGGCTGTGGGCTGAGCTGTGCCTGGGAGAAGAGACCTGGGCTTGGAGGGAACTTGTTCCCGAAGGTTTCCAGTTGCCTCACCTCTTGCCCCTTTTGTCAGAAGATCAGTTTCTGGTTTCTGTACCCGCAAAAGTTTCAGGAAGTATTAACAAAAGAAAAATACATTTTTTTTCCCCAAGGAATGGGGCAGGGACAGTGGTGAGGGTGCTGGGAAATTAGTCTCTGGGAAAGGGGGCCCAGCCACGATGCTAAATATCTCAGGTTCCCAAGTGGCTGGCTTTACCTAGGACCCTCAGACCAACAGACCTCAGACCCTCAGACCTGCACTGTGGCCCTGTGGGGAAAGTGAGGCCCATACAAGGAAGTGGAATTCTGAGTTGTTGGGGCTAAACCTGACCCCCTCTCCATGCTAACCCCCACACTGTGGCCTCAGTAGGGTTTTGTTGTTGTTGTTGCCCAGGCTGGAGTGCAGTGGTGCGATCTTGGCTCACTGTACCTCCACCTCCTGGGCTCAAAGGATTCTTCTGCCTCAGCCTCCCAAGTAGCTGGGACTGGAGGTGGTCCACCACGCCTGGCTAATTTTTGTATTTTTAGTAGATACTGGGTTTCACCATGTTGGCCAGGCTGGTCTCGAACTCCTGGCCTCAGGTAATCCGCCTGCCTCGGCCTCCCCAAGTGCTGGGATTGTAGGTGTGAGCCACCATGCCCAGCCCCTCAGTAGGTTTTAAGGAGCCCCCAGCCCTACTTCTCCCATTCTGGGCCTGACCAGCTGTACTGCTCCATCTCCCCCGGGCACACACCCTGCCAAGTACTGCACAGGGATCCCCACCCAGGGGCCCTACTACACGAGATAATGTGAAATATGACCATGGACCAAACACAATAAAACCTCTGTTTGTAAGAAGAAAAAAAAATAGCCATACTGCCCAAAGCAATTTATGGATTTAACACTCTTCCTATCAAGCCACTAATGTCATTTCTCAAAGACTTAGAAAAAACTATTGTAAATTTCATGTGGAACCATAAAAGAGCCTGAATAGCCAAAGCAATCCTAAGCCAAATGAACAAAGCTGGAGGTGTCACATTACCCAACTTCAATCTATACTATAAGGCTACAGTAATCAAAACAGCATGATACTGGCACAAAACAGGCACATAGGCTAATAAAACAGAACCCAGAACCCAGAAATAAAGCTGCACACCTACAGACATCTCATCCTTGACAAAGTCAACAAAAATAAGCAAAGAGGAAAGGATTCCCTTTTCAATAAGTGGAGCTGGGATAGTTGGCTAACTATATGCAGAAGAATGAAACTGGACCCCTACCTTTCACCATATATAAAAATTAACTCAAGATGGATTAAAGATTCAAATGTAAGACTTCAAACTATAAGAATTATAGAATAAAACCTAGGAAATACCGTTCTGGACATCAGCCTTAGGAAAAAAATTATGACTAAGTCCTCAAAAGCAATTGCAACAAAAACAAATATTGACAAGTGGGACCTAATTAAAGAGCTTCTGCACAGCAGAAGAAACAATTCACAGAGTAAACAGACAACCTACAGAATGGGAGAAAATATTCACAAACTATGCATCTGACAAAGGTATAATAACCAGAATCTATAAGGAACGTAAACAACTCCACAAGCAAAAAACAACTAACCCCGTTCACAAGTGAGCAAAAGGCACTTCTCAAAATAAGACATACAAGCAATCAACAAACATATGGAAAAATGGTCAACATCACTAATCATTGGAGAAATGCAAATCAAAACCATCAGGAGATACCATCTTATACCAGTCAGAATGGCTTTATTAAAAAGTCAAGAAAACAGTAGATGCTATTAGACTGTGGAAGAAAGGGAATGCTTATACACTGTTGGTGGGAATATACATTATTTCAGCCACTGTGGAAACCAGTGGCGATTGCTTTGGCGATTCCTCAAAGAACTTAAAATGGAAGTGCCACTCAACCCAACAATCCAATTACTGGGTATATATGCAAAAGAAAATAAATCTTTCTAAAAAAAGACATGTATTCATTTGTCCATTGCAGCACTATTCACAGTAGCAGACGTGGACTCAGCCTAGGTGCCTATCAACGGTGGTAAAACGTGGTACATATACACCATGGACTACTGTGCAGCCATAAAAAAGAACAAAACCATGTCCCTTGAAGCAACATGGATGCAGCTAGAGGCCATTGTCCTAAGTGAATTAACACAGAAACAGAAAACAAAATGCTACGTATTCTCATTTATAAGTAGGCATTAAATATTGGACACTCATAGACATAAAGATTGCAACAACAGACACTGGGGAGAAATAGAATGGGGAAGGAGGGGACAAGACTTGAAGAACTAATTGTTAGGTATTATGCTCATTACATGGGTGATGGGATCGTTCCCATCCCAAACCTCAGCATCATCCGGTATATCCATGTAACAAACTTGTACATGTATCCCCCGAATCTAAAATAAATGTTGAAATTATTTTTAAAAAGAAGGAAATTCTAACACATGCTACCGCACGGATAAAACTTGAAGACATTATGCTAAGTGAAATAGGAGAGTCACAAAAAGACAAATACCATATAATTTCAACTATATGATGTACCCAGAGTAGTCAAATTCATAGACAGAAAAAGTAGAAGGGTGGCTGCCGGGGGTTGAGGGGTCAGGGTGGGTTGATGGGAATTGCAAGTTTTCAAGATAAAGAGTTCCGGGGATTGATTGCACAATTACGTGACTATATTTAACACTACTGAACTGTATCTGTAAATGGTTAAGATGGTAATTTTATGGTTTGTATGTTTTTAACCACAATTCATTTTTTAAAAAAGAATAAGTAAATGAGGAAATAGAAGTAGGGCAGGGCCTTGTGTAAATTGATAATGTCTCATGAACCGAGGAATATGATTAACTCAATCCTTCCCATGACACATGCACATTGAAAAATATGTAGGCCAATTCTTGTGGCCCTTGCTTTTCCTAAAAGCCTCACACTATGGGAGTAGACAGATAAGTGATCCTTAGGTTGAATCTTCTTTGTGTTGCTTGCAACCCTGTTTTCTATCAGATGAGCATGGTTGATTCTGATAGATTTGGAGGTTTTATGTTCACATTCTTTTCTCCCATCCACTATTTCTCAGCTTTGAATTGGCAAGATTTATTATAGTTACAAGGTTCTATCTTCCCCTTCTCTTTGTTCAATTTGATTTTGTTTAATTTAAACCTTGCTTTCTCTTTCTCCAGATTGTTTCGGATTCAAACTTGATATCAAAGCACTGGCAGATCACCTCGCCTTGGCATGGCTTACAAAATTAGGCTTGGCACCATCACAGTCACTTTGTCTAGAGATGTTGAGTATGGCATTGTTTCTCAGCTGTCATAGGTGGTCTCAATGTGCTACTGCAAGATGGATAGTGTTCTTAACATGGAATCTGAAATAGCCATGCAAATCCGAATGTGTATATTGGGTATGAGGCTAGAGATGGTAGTATTGAATACAGGTCCTAGCTTGGGAGCACAGATGGTCTAATCATTGTTCATGATTCCCAGTTAGGTTGGACAATTCTCATGGCTAATTATGTACTCAAAGTTCTATTCTAGGTAGTGCTTAAGTTGTTTTTTTCGGTGATTTTACAAAAGGAGATGCATTGAAATTCCCTTAAATTGTGAACTGATTTGGTGATACAGTTTCACTGATGGAAATAATAAGGAACTGTATAAAAACATTGTTCTCTTTCCTGAATGGCTCAACTGAAATGCTTAAAGTCTTCCCAAAACAACAACAACGACATATTGAGATTAATGGCATCTTTCCTATTGGTATCTATTTAGATGCTGTGACATGAGTGGAAGAATTTTATAGTCTTTGTCTTTGATAGAGTTAGATAATTTCTCTGGTCTTGGCCTGCAATGTTCTGATTCTGTACTGCTGTAAAAGTTCAAGAGTTCTTAATAAACAAGTTGGAGATTCAAAAGGACATACACACACAACAAAGAGAGAGAGAGAGAGAGATAGAATCAAGATCAAAGTAGTCTAAGAAACACTTTGTCCATGGCATGGTCAGGGAAATATGTAGGAGACACTGTTTTTTCTAAGGAATAATGATGATCTGTGATGCCGTCTGTGATAGCCAAGGACTTAGGGGTTTCTTTGCTGGCCAGTGTAGTAAAGTGGATATGAGAGATGGAAAATAAACCCTGTTCTTGCTATAATCAATATTATCTCCATTTCTTATAGGCACCAGCCTCCCTAAGCCTGGCTGCTTGAGAAGCTAAAGCTATGAATTATGAGTAATTGTTTGTTACTGTTATTTTTATTGGGCAGAAATGGAGCTGGTAAGGAAAAATAATTTTCTTCAAAAACAAAATGGATTGATAAATGCTACAATATGGATGACCCTCAGAGACATGCTAAGTGGAAGAAGCCAGATACAAAAGACCACATATTGTATGATTCTATTTATATGAAATATCAAAAAAGGGCAATTTATAGAGAGAAAGTAGATTAATGATTGCCTATGGCTGGGGATGAGAACAAGGCATGACTGCAAATGGATAGAAGAAATCTTTATTGGCATGATGAAAATGTTCCGATACTGAATTCAGGTGATGGTTGCATAACTGTAAAATCATTAAAATCATTACCAAATATCATTAAATTGTACACTTAAAAAAGCTGAAATGTATGATAAATAAAGTGTACCTCAAATATATATGTTGAGAAAGGAAGAGAATTACGCCAGACAGAAGCCATAGGTTTTTTCCATTTGAAATTGTACAAGTTGGCCCTATAAACCATCTCGTCTTTTGCCTTCAAACTGAAGGAAAGTGGATTCCCAGTGTCAGGCGACAATCACTTTCTATTGTAGCAATTGCCTGAAATGCCATTTAGCAACTGTTCAGGACTGAAGGGGCTGGATATCTTATATCATGGCACTACACTTGTCATAGATGTACCCATTCAATGCCAGATAATGGTTTCCCGCCTGCATTGCTGCTTCATTGGTGGGCTCTCCGTCTTCTCAAGCGTGGTCTTGTAACCTTGAAAATGGTCTCTCCTGGACAATGGTATTATCACCTCTCACCATAGTACAGTGCATTTTATAAACTTATCACTTATTGTGTTATGATAAAATGATGTTTTATCTGCGTCCTGCCCAAAATATAAGCTCTTCCAGGCTGAGAGGCTGTGTTGTATTCATCTCTATGTGCTCGGGACTTGACACAGAGTAGATGATCAATACTGGTCAGAGATGACTTTGTTTGCCAAAGAGTTGCTATTGAGCTGGAGAACAGTGGCATGATCATGGCCCACTGTAGCCTAGACCTCCTGGGCCCAAGTAATCCTTCCGCCTCAGCCTCCTGAGTAGATGGGACTACAGGTGTGCCCCACCACCATGCTTTTAATTAAAAAATTTAAAAATTTTTAATTTTTTGTAGAAACGGAGTCTCACTCTCCAGCTCCTGGCCTCAGCATTGGTTAGTTTTGCCTGTTTGTGAATGTAAGTTAACAAATCATACAGTAGGCATTCTTCTGTCTTCTGCTAAACAGTATGATATTGATTCAATCATTTTTTTTCTGTGATTCAACTTATTTTTACTGCTGTTGGATATGTCATTGTGTGACTATACCAAAATTTATTTATTCGTCTACATTGATGGGCATTTGGTTAATTTCCAACTTGGGCATATTTATGAATGGTGCTGTTAAGAATAATATTGTACCTGTCTTTTGGTGTATGTATATATACGTGTTTTGGGGCAAGGGAATGTATATACCTAAGGCTAAGATGGCTGGGACATAGGATATGTATATGTTCAGCTTTAATAGATACTGCCAAATAGTTTTCCAGCCAGTTTGTTCCAATTTACACTCTTGTTAGCAGTGTGCGAGCATTCTAATTGCTCCACACTTGGTATTAGTCAGTCTGCCTTTTTCATCCTAGCCTCCTGAAGGGGGTAGCACTATTACAGTGTGGCTTTAATTTAGTTCCTGACAACTAATGAGGCTGAGTGACTTTTTGTATGTATGTTGGTCATTTGGATATTCTCTTGGTCAAGCATTTGTTCAAGTATTTAGCTCATTTTCAATTGAGTAGTCCCTGTTTTTCTTAGTGATTTGCTTGAATTCTTTTATATTCTAGATATGACTCCTCTATCAGATATATGTTTTGCAAATACCTTCTCTCACTCTATGGGTTGCTTTTTCACATCTCTTTGTTGAACAGAAGTTATTAACTACAAAATAATTCAATTTATTGTTTTCTCCTTCTTGGTTAGTACTTTCTGTGCCCTGTGTAAAAAAGCTTTTCAGATTCCAAGAGAAGTGGAATTTTATTTCACGCCCAATGAGGAAGGCACAGCAGGAAAGTGACATGATCACCTTATGTTTGTAAAAGTTCATGTATGCTGCTACTTAGATATGAGAATAAAGGATTCCATGCAGGGGTCAATTGCATCAGCCCAAGTGAGAGATGATGAGATGATGGCTCAGGATTGACAGCGTTCACAGATGGGTTGGCTGCATTGAGGTGGAGGAAAAGGAGGGAATGAAGGGTAATCTTCAGCTTATAGTTTAGAACGGAGTAGGTAATCGTGCCATTTACTGAGATGTGGAACTGAAGGCACTTTGAGATATACGAAGAGTGATTTTTTAAAAAATGAGATACATTTTGTATGTGTCAAGTTTGAGATGTCTCTGGGGCACCCAAGTGGAGACATCCGGGGGCATCTAGATACGCTGGTTTGGAGCTCAGACTTAGGGCAGGAGTGCGCATGTGGTGGGGGTTAGGGAATCTGAATTCAAAGCCCTTGGAGTCCTTCCTGATTGGTCTGTAGGAAAATTGATCACTCCTTCTTTTACCTGCCTCTGTATTCTGCACAGATTTCTGTAATGGTATCAGTAAATCTTTCTTAAAAACAAATTTGTCTCACTCAATTAGTCTGGGAATTCATTGAGAACAAGGTATCTGATAATGTCCCTGTACATTGCATGAGTCATTAATTTTTGTTAACTAGATGAATGGGTTTTCTCAAAAAAGAAAAATACAGAACTTAAAAATAAATAAAAATAAACAGGCTTTTAAAAACCGAAACCTACTATTCAACTAGAATTCACAAAATGTTCTGCAAATTCCAGTAATAAGTCAATAAGACAAGGGAAAGCTTCAGTACTTGAGCAAATAGAACAAAGTTTGTTTCCAGAACGTCTAAATTGCCTCCTGACAGTGAGTAATAAAATGGTTCTGTGCTTGGTGCCTCGAAGCAGAAGGGAGGATACTGGGTACCATCCTGTGGCATGATTATTTAAATAGGCTGCTGGTCTGTGTCAGGGTCAGCAGGCAGAAGATGCAAATTTTCATGACAAAGTGGAGCTAAAACAGAGCAAAACTACTTGGGGCAGAGGAGGGAACTGACGCCTCTTTCCAGCTTCCTATTTCCTGTGCCTCAGCATCTCCCAAAGTTGGCTCTTTTTGAAAGCAAGAGGAAGAGTTAACACATTAATTGAAAGCCATGTTTGTTTTCTAGGCTTATTGTCACAAAATTCTCCTACCTCACTGCTCTGCTGAGGCCCATTTCAGTGCTTCTTAAGGAAGCATGAAGCTCAGGGGTCCGGAGGAGGACACAATTTCAGTACGGCAAACCTATCAAAACCCAGAGTTTTGAAATTCTGCATCTCTTTGTCTGGACCCATGGTGTCCATAGATAGGTAATGTGAGCCACCTTAAAAATTGGTAGAAAGAAACAGGTGAGATTAATTTTAATAACATATTTTATTTAACCCAATATATTGAAATTATTATTTCAACATGTAATATAAAAATAACTCATGAGCATCTAATATCCTTTTTTTGGTATGAAGTCTTTAAAATGTGGTATGTATTACAGTTCTAATAAGCCACATTACAAGTGCTCAACAGCCACATGTGGTGAATGGGTACCATATTAGACTGCTCAGGTCTGGAGTTAAAAACTAATGCAGCTCCTTGGCACACAATGCTTCCTAGAGTTACAGCTTTGGTCTTACTTCCATAGACCTACCGAGTCCAAGAACATCTTCCTGCATTTGAATTTTCTTCCCACAAACACCCCCAGAGTTTCAGTTTAACTTGCTCTCTCCTTATAGCTGCCACCACTCACATGATTCCTTGGTTTCTGTTGCTTCTGAAACTGGTAGTGGACAAGACTCAGCCCTTCTGCTCTGCCTTCCTCCATTTCCTTCATTCAGGGCCACAGACACCTGCTATATTGAGCTTTCCTATTAATATCATGAGAAAATGTGGGGAAAATACAACACTGAGAGAAAGCTTCCAGGTCCTTCAAGTCTTTTCTTATATAATGCCTGACCCTTGAGTGAGATGAAGCTGAAAGCTTCAGCTGTTTGTTTGTTTTTCTCTGTGGAGGAGCTTCAGCATTTGTTTGTAAGGATGGGGTTTACCAGTTCTCCTGCCACTCCCACCACTTCTGCAGCTCCCACTAGTAGTGATGGCCAAAGGAGGCTTTCTACTGAAGGCCTGTCTTCCTGGTTTTCGGCCCAGAGAGCAGCAAGGCCGAGAATAACAAGCGGACCAACTCCGGAGGGCTCTGAACTCCCTGACATCACTCACTGAATCTTTCTCTCCACTGGGAATTACCAGACAACTTTGGGTATGTTCTCCTATAGAACAAACTAAACCTAGACGATTGCATAGCTTAAAAAGGGGCATGAGGTTATGAGAAAATGTAGAGTGGGTGTTAATGAACTTGGATTGGGGTGGCAAAAGAGATTGACTCCATTAGCTTGTTAGAATTTAAAGAACTTTCAAAGAAGGAAATAAAAAAGTGAAACCAATTTATTTCCATGCCAACAAAGATAAAAGAGCACCGGCTAAAGGCAAATTCCATCACCTCGTGCCTCTCACATGCCACTGGCAGCATTAGCAGCTGGGCTCAAGTACATGCTGACATGACTGTGGTGACAGTTCTGTGTCCCAAACACTCGCTCTTCTTCCTTCCCCCATCTGCAGTGAAATAGTGAAATGTTTGACAGGCCCGGCCCAGGGAGAATTCTTTCTTCATGACCTCCTCAGAGGGGTCTCACTTATGGGAAACAATCTTGGTGAACTGTGCAGTTGCCTGGGATTTAGGAAAAGTTAAGCAAGCAAAATGGCAGCTAAGGTCCCAGGCTGAGTCAGAAGGCCTGCCTGAAGTAGCTCCTGGCTGTCATGAGAGGGTTGACAAGGCAACTTTGGTCTTTTCGTTAGACATTCAAACAAAATGAGAATATACTCTAAATTCTGTCTCTGAAGACCCTTTGTGGCCTAAGTTATCAATCATCACCTGTCTTAGCCATTCAGACTGTCTGGATATTAATAAATGACTTTTAGGCAGCCGTCCTATGCCTGTGTTATATGTCTTAATGTGGATGTGTAGAGGGCTGATTTGATAGTGTAGTCACGAGCTGCTGTGTGGCAAATCTACTCCTGGCTTTTCCTGACATATGTCTGATCACTCAGATAAATGAAGAGAAAGGGCAATGTGAATACCCAATCATTATGAAAAATGTTATTCCTATTGTGGGCAATTAAGATGTATTAAGCCCATTTTATGTGAGAAATATGCAGATCAGATTCATGGTAGGTTAATCACAAGTTGAATGCTAAAACTTTTTCATTTTTCTTGAGCGAAGATGAAAGTTTCCAAATTCAGTGAATGATGAATCTCGTCGAGGATTTACATGAAGATTTTCACTGCCAACCCCATGGCAGATGTTCTCATTGCCTCACGCCCAAATTATTAGAGAAGGCTTTTCTATTCAAGACTGTTGAATCCTACCCAGCAGCCATTCTTTTTTCTTCCTCTGTAACAAAACTCCAATTTTGTTTAAGTACTTACTGTTAATGTGTCAAGTCCAAGTGCATTGTGGTGAACCCATTTCTCTTTGTGATTAGTTTGTGGTTAGGCATGGACATGTGACCCTCTTGTCACCAATAATACAAAGGGAGAGGACGTCATGGACCTTCTGGGAAATATTTTCTTCTCTGATGGAATGAGAAGAATGTCTGGAACCTCTGTCTTGTTGGATAGACTTCAAGCTGCAAATCTACATACTTTGTCTTAGGTTGGCCTTTCCGAGAAGCCAACCCTGAGAAAAATATTTAAGTTCAAGAAGTTTATTTGGGGAGTGATCTTAGGAAACAGAAATTGGGACATGGGGAAGTGATGGGAAAAGACAAGGGGGGTCAATAGAATGTGTTTAATGATAGGTTTCTGTGGGCAACTGAGCCCCAGTCTTGTTGAGAACAGAGTTGTCCCACCCAAGGGGTGAGGAAACCTGAGTGTTTATCTACCAGTTCTCATGAGGAGTTGTTTGAGCACTGCTCCCAGGGTGTGTTCTCCCTTAGCACTTCCTGCCTGCCCTACACATGGGATGAGAACATGCCTGTGGCTAGAGAGATCCTGCAGACAGAGAGTCACCAGTGCTGGCCATCAGAATCCTTTGGGACAGGGTACATCAGAAGGGTGAGTTCTGAGAGATATGAGTGGGCCCTGACAGTTCCTGTTAAGTTGCACAATTAACCACCTCTAGAACCATCTTCCTCCAGATTTACTTTTGTGTGCAGAAACAAATCCCTATTATTTAAGCTATTTTCAGGAAGGTGCTCTCTCACTTAGAAGCAGGAGGGCTATTTGGCTTATATGTGCTAGGCTAGCAATGTGTTGTTTACAGCCAGCAACCACTTTGAAGACTCAGTCACGTGTTTTAATTGCCCAGTGCCAGTGCTGTGCCATTTAAAAAATATTTCAAATATCACCCCATTTCTAGAAGTATCTAACTGATAAACCTCCTATCCAGTCTTTTTGCGGCTAGCCCCTTCTATTCCCTAATTTATCTACTGAGTAATGACTGACCCAGGAATCTTCCTAGAACATCTTTTTCATCATATCACTCTATTTTGGAGAGCCCATAGTTTAAAGATGAAATTTCTCAACCTGACCTTCAAGGTCTTCCCCATTCTGGCCCCAACCTACCTGTCTACTCTTCTTACACTCATACATAAACTTTTACTGCTACTACTAATAATACCACCTACTATTTATTGAATGCATGCTCTATCCCATATACTGTGATAAGTGGTTTACATGCATCTCCCCATATAATTTGCAGAATAATCCCAAAGTATAGATAGGAACATCAAAACCATTTTATAGAAGAGGAATCTGAGGTTTCCGAAAGTCATATGTGAACAGGAAGCAGATTCCAGGCCTTCCTAAATAGAACAAGCACATTATAATTTATTATATAATGTATTCCCATGTGGACTCTATACTTCTAAAGGGCATATGCATGTATTTTAAAATTTGGCCAGTGCATTGTACAGTTCTTGCATGCATGGTAAATGTCTGAAAAAGTATTTGCTGAATAAATGTTCCCCAAGCTCCATATGGGAGACTGTCTGACACCATGACTTTTCCTTTTGAATCTCTCTCTGCCCATGTCTTCTTCCATGACACCACTTTGTGGTAAAGGAGAAAATTATCCCAAGACTGATAAGAAAAATAATATAAATCAAAATTAACTGATTTAAATATTCATTGAGGGCATGTGGAGAAAAGGGGAGTTTCATGCATTGCTCGTAAAAATATGAGGTGTTTCTGCCTTTTCAAAAAGCAATATGGTAGTTTCCATTAAGACTACAAAATATATATTTCCTTGGACCCAACAATTACCAATTGTAGAAATCTATCCTGCAGAAACACAAACACTGATACATAAAACATATGCAAAAATGTGTTTTTGCTACATTGTGGCAAAAAATGGAAGATATATGGATGTTCATCAATAGTGAGATAGCGGAATAAATTATGGTATATACTTATACCATGAAATCTTATGTAGACATTAAAAAAGACAAATTAGAGCTATTCAAGATGATTTTGAAGAATTAGCACAAGGTACTGTTTTCAATAAATGCTAGAGGCAAAAAAGAATGTGTAATATAATCTTTTTTATAAAGTAAATAATGACAAAGAAGTGGTGTGCATCTGTGTGTATGTACATGCATGTGTGCGTAAATTATATAAATAAGGAGGAAAGCATGAAAGACAAAAAAAAAAGTTGTTAGCATAAGTTACTTGGGAAAGAGGGTAGGGCCAGCTAGAGTGCCACTTTGGAGATAGGGTGAAGCAAACTATTGAGATAAAGGAGAAAATGACACTGCAGTTAAAAAAAAAAAAATCAAAGTTATGCATGTAGGCAAAATCAGGTATATGTGTGAGTATATGTGTAAATATACTAAATTAGAAGTAATAAAATAGGTGACAACAAACACTTATTTTAACCCCAATATATTCTGCAAACACATTCCGACATTGTACCTATGAATAGAGAGATCACATCCTACTCTTAAGATTTTATTTACCCCCATAGAAAGGTCCTGTTTTCCCCAGTCTTGGTCTTGTGATCGCACCCATCCTCCAGTCTTTCTTTGAAGAACTTGAACAGGTTTGGTAAGGATCATTTTGCTCTCAATAGGTTGGATGCCTTCCTATGTTTTGTTTAGTAAGATGTTGCTTACTTAGGCAGTCAGGTATATGGAAACAATTAACCTGAATTTTTTTTTCTTTCTGGTTTTCATGTTTCAGCTTCAGCCAGCCTAGGTTACCTTTAGTCACTTTGAGAATTTCACACACATTCACATTCCTGAGTTAGATACTTACATTGAGATTTTTGCTTTGAATACAGCAAAGCCAACATGCCCTAGGAAAATTCTCCTAAAGGATACATTCCCCTAAAGGAAAAAAGAATGAAAGATACAGATACAAACTCATTTTTTCAGAAAAACTAAATAACAGCAAAACCCCAAACTGCAAAACTGGCGGAAGTGCTATAAAAAGCGGTGGAACCCAAGCAAAGGGGTACGCATGAAGCAGAGAGAAACACCATGGCCAGAGAGCTTAGAGATGGCCAGAAACAAGTCACCCATGAAAAGCGAAAGCACACACTCAGGTGAAAAATATCTAAATCCCAGTGGTTGCTGGAACTCCCCAGACCTGTATTCCTTTCAAGAAACAAAGGAGATGAGGTTAAATGAATTACACAGGTAAGCCACATCTGCAGGAAGCAAGGTGTTTACATGGCAGTGGAGGAGACACAAGTCCTTACATTGCAAAAAACCCTATAGTTGTCTATCTCCATTAGATGGGGAGAAGGAAAGGGTAAACACACATAAATACACACACACACACACAGCAAACAATATTCAAGTACACCTGTAACAAGAAATCTACACAATAATTGTTGCAAAAAATACCCATCAACTTCAATGGTGAGTAATGAAACATGTAGAGTACAGGATCAGTGTAAGAAACCAGAAAGAGTGATGAGAAGCAATAGTAAACAGTGGCCGAGAAAGATACGTGTTTAGAAAAAAAATATTACTATCAAAAAGATAATAATCGCAACCATTTTTCCATTATGACTAAATAAACCTAACAATCCCATCACCTTTGTGGAGCTAGAACAAAAAGCAGAAATGTAAGAGCTCAAAATAAAGATAGTGCCTTAGTCAGTTTGGGCTGCTAAAACAGAATACCATAGACGGAATGACTAAACAACAGAAATTTACTTCTCATACTTCTGGAGGCCGGGAAGTCTAAGATCAAGGCATCAGCTGATCTGACATCTGGTGAAGGCACTCATCTTGATTTGGAAATGACCATTTTCTCTGTGTTTCCTCACATAATAGAGAGGAGAAGAAACATTATCTCTCTCCTGTCTCTTCTAAAAGACACTAATCCCATTCATGAGGGCTTCACCCTGATGACCTAATTACCTCCTAAAGTTCCCACTCCCAAATACTGTCACATAGAGTATTTAGGCTTCAGCATATGAATTTTGGAGGGACACAAATGTTCAGTCCACAGCAGGTAGTAAGAATACAAGAAGAAACCAAACATGACCTTAGCAAAAAACATGAAAGAGCATATTAAATAGTAACTATTAAAATATTACATAACCATTACAAAGGTGTCTATTAAATAAAATAAAATAATTGACTAAAAGTGGATAGTAGAGGTGAAGGAGGAAGGAAGGAGAAAGAGAAAATGTATTAAATTCATCATTTATAGTAAGAAATTAATAGGTAGTGTATAAGTTGCAGTTATAAAGATAACTGCTAGCACAAAAATACATATGGTACTAAAGATGAGAAGAAACACAAAATATAAAGCAAAAGATGACACGTTAAAGAAGTTTTGAAGCTAGAAAAAGAAAGCATAATATAAAATAGGATGATAAAAGTACTTGTCATATCCGTACTCATAAATGGGCTAAAATCTCCTGTGGAAAGAAAAAGCCTTTCATATTGGGATCACTACAACATATCCTAACAAGTCTCCTGGACCTCAGAGATAATGAAAGAATCACCTGGGGAGTCACCTATTAGGGGAAAAAATCAGCTGGATACAGATTTTCCCCAGCAACAGTCAGTGCTAAAAGACTGGAGTAACAGCTACAAAACCCTCGAGGAACTAAATAAGATTCAAAGATTTGATACTGGGACAAAAGTTGTTCAAGGCTAAATTCAACAGATCAGAACAGAAAACCACACAGAAATTGTTTTTCCTGTAAGCCTTTCTTGAGATGTCTACCAGAACAAGGGTTTGCAAACTATGGCCCTTGGGCCAAATCCAGCTCACTGCCTGATTTTAAAATAAAGTTTTATTGGAATGCAGCCACACTCATCATTTACATATTGTCTTTGGCTGCTTTCCTGACACAATAGCGAGTTGAGTAGTTGTAACAGAGACCTTATGGCCTGCCCAGCCATATATATACATATACAATCTAGCCCTTTATAGAAAAAAAAATGTTGACCCCTGAAGAAGACTGTAAGTTCTTTAAGGGTAGGAGGTCTATTTCAGTTTTCCTTATATGCTTAGCACTTATAACATATAAGAAATGCTCAATAAATATTTGCCAAATGAGTAAGTACCTTAGTTCTCATTCTTTCACCTTGAGCTCACTCACCCCATCTGCTTCCTGAATCGCCGTTCTTTTTCTTCATTCCCTGAATAGACCCTTGGTAATAGGAATACAGGAAAGTAAATAACTTTTCAGTAAAAGACTGCAAGAAGCCACAAAGAGTTAACACGCTGGCCAAACACTCAGCAGACTAACAGTGAGTTAGTCTGTGCAGAATTGCATTGCATTCTCTGAATTTCTTACAGCTTCAAATACTGCTAAGAATATCTTACATTTGTGCAATGATCTACAGATAACAATTTACTTGCTCTCTTGTCCTTTCTCTGCCTGACTTCCATTAAAATTTGTTCTGTTCTCTTATAAAAAAAAGTTTGAAGGGAAGAACGGCTATACTTAATAGGCATAGAAATTAAACTACAGGATTGCTTGTTAAATCAATCCTATTTCTCTCTCCTCAAAGCTTTTTTTGTCCCTTTTCCTACCCCTCCCCTTTTATTCATGCTAGGTTAGCTTAGACACTTGAGAAGCTTCTGAGCACCGGGGAAAATGGACATCAACCAGAACACCTCCGTTTTCCAAGAGGCAGTAAATTGATGGTTGAGAATGGAGGCTCTAGAGTCAAAGCTCAATTTTAAGTCCTCGCTTTGTCTCTTATTAGCTGTGTGGCTTTGGTTGTGTTATTTAACTCTTCTATGCCTCAGCAACCTTATCTGTGAAACGCATATCGTAATAGCACCTACTTCATAGTGTTGTGGGAAAATTAAATGTTTTAGTGTAGAATAAAGCACTTATAAAAGTACTTGGCACATAGTAAGCATTCACGAGTGTCAGCTAATGTTATTGTTGCTGTCATCATCCTTCACTCTCTGCTGTTAAGGGAACAATTAGCCAGGGACTGGTTTACTCAGTGGTATCTGCAGCAGAGCTATGAGGAGAGTGTGGATAAGAGCGCTTGGACGTGCGTGGCTCTCAGGCTCCTAGAATGAAGTGTTTTCTTTCCTTTGATCTCTGCAGGGTAGTGACTGCTCTACGGGCCTCAATAGCTTCACGTGATGTTGATTTCTGTATCTTGTTGGTTATGGCCAGTGTTTCTTCAGGAATTCCACTTTTAGTTGATTATTCAGTGAAGCTGGTAAATATGATTCCCTGCAGCTCCAGGAAGAAGTAATTTCTGGTTTTTGTTATTTTTGGAAAACTTCTTTGTATGCCTCATTGCTGGTTAAATAGACAAGACTTCTGCTTGCTAGATTTCATGAATTTGGGGCTTTCTAGAAAGCAATACATTATGCTGCTTTAAATATTAAGTGTCCTCAGGATGGGGAACATCACACCCTGGGGCCTGTCGTGGGGTGGGGGGAGGGGGGAGGGATAGCATTAGGAGATATACCTAATGTAAATGAAGAGTTAATGGGTGCAGCACACCAACGTGGCACATGTATACATACGTAACAAACCTGCACGTCGTGCACATGTACTCTAGAACTTATAGTAATAAATAAATAAATATTAAGTGTCTTAAAGAATTACTTTAAACTGATTGCCATGAATAGGATTCACTTTATTTCAGAGTCGAAGAAAGCAGTTCATGTTATAACATGCGGTGTCTGAACGCACAAATCAGGTATTCATCTGATTTTGGCCACTCTAGGACTATAAATAAAACCGTCAGTTCATCAGGTTCCAATTTTCTATCTATAGTCATTCTCAGATTTTTTTTTTTTAATCCTGGGATGTTCTTGGGACAATAAAAAAGATTAGCTAAGAGTGACCAAATCCGCACCCTAAATTTAGTACTATGTTACACTGACTACATACTGTATGAGCTTTAAAGCACTGTAACAACTCACAACAAAAGTTATGTAGTAAATTCTGATATAACCTTGAAGTCTCCACCCTAAGGAGGGAGTGCTGACTTTCAGACACTGAGCCCAAGCAAGTGGCCTTTACACTGGTTTAGTCTGGTTTCTTTCTTGCACGGTCCAGGTTTTGCTAACTTTCCTCAGAGAATCCTGAGCCTGCTTTGCTGGCATGTGTTTCCTTTTGTCCCAGTTTTTGTTACTAGTTACCACAAATTCTTAGGCTTTGTGATATACTTCCCTTATATTCCCTTTTAGCACAGCTCCCATAATGTATCTCTGGAAGGTTAAGTCTGGCAAAACTGGCCTTTACTACTTTACTAATTATATATATATATATGAATGGCCCTCATCTGTTTCCTTGGGGTGGGCTATTTTTCTTTTAAGAAAATGAAGATGATTTCCTCTATGTTTTTTGCAAAAATTCATTATGACGGTAGGAGTGAATATGATCATGGAGATAATGATGTTGATGTTAACAATGACTGCACTTCCTACTACCATGCCATCCTCACAACAACCCCTATAGAGAGATTTTTATATTATTTAATATTTAGTTATAATTTATTCATATAAATTATTTGCAAATATAATAATTTATTGAGAATATTATTTGTATATTCCTTTTACAGACAGGAAAATTGAGGCTAAGAGAAGTTAATTAACTTGCCCAAGATTACATCATTAACACATTTTTGAGCTGGAATTGAAACCCAAGTCCAACTGTCTGTGGAGTCCCAGGTTTTAACCACTAAGATAATAAAAATATAAACATTTACAAATGTAATTTTAAATTAGGAGATCAGATGTGCAAATCTAAAGATTGGGTCATGGACTAATTAGGAATCATAATTGTGTGGAAGTAGCTACCGGCTGGAAAGAACTCTAAGGATTCATTTTGTCCACACCCTGAACCCACTCTCCTCTACTGGGCCATGAATTCTTTTAACGACTACTTAGAATTTTTAAATATTTGTACCATTCAAGGATTTTTATAGTCTTCAAATATCTTTTGTTTTCCATTCTGTTTTTCATAATGAAAAACAAAAACTCAGACCTTAATTTTCATTTAACTAAGTTAAGGTGTATTATCTGAGGTTCCTCAGACAACAGTAAGAGATAATAGACAGGAATTAATGACCCCATTCTTGCATTAGTAGCAAGTAGCATTTTAAACTCTTTGGTTGGTTTCTAGGATGTTGGTTTTACATGTGAAACTTGGATGAATGAGCAATAAAAAGAGAATACTTGAAATGTGTATTTCCTGGCTTCTGTGTTGTCGACATTTGGAATGGTGGTTTATTTCCCACAACCCAATTTTAATATATGTTTTATTCCGTGCATCATTTTGTAAACATAGTAGAGGCCCACCACATGGCAATTTGATTGGCATGGTTGAATCTAGTGCTCGTGTCCTGAGGCTTCTGAGCTAGTGTGGAGGGAGGAGTCCTTTGTAACATGTCTCTGATCAAATTATGCTTTCTCTTTAATTTGTTTACAACTCAACAGCACCTTGGAAGCAGCTAGGTAATTTAGATGGCAGGCATAATTTCATATTTCTTAGGTTTATATTCAGGGCCAACTAAAATAAGGCCTTTATTTCCTCTAATTCATTGTAAAATAAGGAGGTCTTGGGTGGGTGTGGTGGCTCATGCCTGTAATCCCAGCACTTTGGGAGGCTGAGGCGGGTGGATCACGAGGTCAGGAGTTCAAGATCAGCCTGGCCAAGATGTTGAAACCCCATCTCTACTAAAAATATAACAATTAGCCGGGTGTGGTGGGGGGAGCCTGTAATCCCAGCTACTTGGGAGGCTGAGGCAGAGAATTGCTTGAACCCAGGAGGCAGAGGTTGTAGTGAGCTGAGATTGCGCCATTGCACTCCAGCCTGGGCAACAAGAGCGAGACTCCATCTCAAAAAAAAAAAAAAGAAAGAAAGAAAGAAAGAAAGGAGGTCTCTGGATCAGAATCTTCCTTTTCAGGATCCTCTGCAAAGGAAATTCCACTGGGGAGGTAGGTACAGCAGCAGTTCCTGACTTTGATATTAGAGTTGTAGAAGCATGAAAAAAATCTCCCTACCCTAAGCATTTTACTCAAGTCATCTTATTCCTCCAATTCTGATATTTCCTACAGCAATTTCCTCAGTATTTACCATCTTGTAATATATGGATTTTTCCAAGCTGACCTTTTGGAAATGAGATGTGATGTAAATAAGTGTACAACTGTATTAAATATATCTTAAAGAAACATGACTTGTGCTTATCTACTTTTCCATTTCTATCATCTGAGGACCGCCCTGAGATCCACTAAGATAGAGTTGTGTTTGGTTGGGATGGGTAATTGTAGAGAAAGGCAGAATAAGCACCAGGGAAGATGAGAGAAGTCAACAATGCCTGGAATTAAGGAAAGGAAAAGGAAGGAGAAATGGGGAAGGGGCAATGAGGAGGATGAGATTTAGAGAAAACCCCTTTTGTTTCTACAGGCTTCCCTGCCATCTCTCCATTCCACATTCATGCCCACAGTTTGTTTTGTGAGTGTGTGTGTGTGTGTGTGTGTGTGTGTACTGGAAGGCATGGGGTAATGAAAACATATTGGCTTAGCTCTGTGACTAACAAGAAAAGTGGTCACTGGTTAAGTTAATGTCTTTGGGCTCTGTGTTCTCATTTGTAAAATAAGGAAAGTGTTGCTTCTAATTCTGAACTTTTGACTCTGATGCAGTTTCTCACTGTGTTCTCTCAAGTTCAACCAGAAAATGAAATGAATCTGAAATCCCTTCAAGTTGTTAAAAATTTGCATATATGTATAACATATGTATTAAGTATACAAAACTTTAAATGTACAACTTTATGAACTTTTATATGTGTATATTTGTATGTGTGTGTATATGTGTGTTGCATGTGTGTATATGTGTGTATATATGTACACATACACATACACGCAACACACATATATACATGCACACACCCACGTAATGGCACCTAGATCAAGATACAGAACATTTACAACACCACAGCCTTGCCTATTCTCAGTCTGTTTTTTAACTTCGTATTGATATTCACGGTCATAATTCACAAATGGAATCATCATACCTTATGTCTTCCTTTAGGTCTGGTCTTTTTTGCTCTTTATTGTACTTCTAAAATTTATCTATGTTGTTCTATTTAGCAATCATTTATCCTTTTTCTTGCTGAGTAGTATTCTGCTACCCATAATATACCATTGTTTATCCACTTTATTGTTGATGAACAATTGGGTTGTTTCTAATTTTTGTCTATTTTGAATGAAGCTTCTATGAACATTCTTGTCAAAGTCTTCTGGTGGACATATGTACTCATTTATTTAGGGTATATACTCAGGAGTAGAATTACTGGGACATGGTTTTACATTTAGTTATAGGAAGAGCTACCAAATAGTTTTCCAATGTGATTGTGCCAATTGACACTCACTAATGATCAGAGTTCCCTTTGTTCCACATTCTCACTAGCACTTGGTATTCTTTTATTCGATGTAAAGACTATTTTTTATTTGGTCCTTCATTCACTTTTATTAAGAAAAAATATTAATTGAGTGCTTATGTTATAGCAGGCCCTGTGCTATGGAGAGGTTATTGTTCTTACTGTCATAAACCTAATGTTTGAGTTAGGGGCCCACAGACTTGTTCAACTATACTTGAACAACACAGACTTCTGCGATCCATTATATGCACATGTACAATACAAAATTTTTTTAGGTACTGTATGTTGGAGAGGGAACTTCTGCCTGAATTCTAATTTGGTAATACACTGCAGGGAGGAGCATCTACCTTTTTGTCCATTCTTCCATTCTGCTTCCTGGCTCCGTTGCAAAGGAGAAGTTGTAGATCTGGCTGGTTAAAGCCTAAAGCATTCACTAAGAAGCATCACTGGTGCAATTTCCAGGCTTCAAATGGCTTGCAGCTCTTTTCTGAAATCTTTCTTTCACTGTCTGTCTTCTACATAGAAGGTGCGGCCACAACTTTCAGAAGATCAGAGAAGGCGTATGTGAGGAGGAAAGAATTTAGCTGGGTCTTGAATGATGAGTATACCCACTGGATGAAGAAGTTGGGTATAAGTATTCTGGTTAGAGAAAAAGAAAAGATAAAGACAAAATTGTGACTTCCAGGGACTGTTGGTGATCTGGTTAGGTTGGAGTGTAGGATTTGAGACAGGTATAGTAAGTAAGGTATGTGGCCACAGAGGTAGAAAATGGATAAATCTCCAGTAGTCTTTTATGATATGCAAAGAATGTTCCCTGTTGGTGGTGAGGCTACTGTGGGGATTAACCAAGATAGTGATATTATGGCATTTTCTATATTAGAACATTTTTTGTATTATTAAAATATGTCCTACATTCTGAAAAATAAAGCTGAAAATGCTAAGTAATATGTGTCCTATTTCTAACAATTGTGGAGTAGATTCAACACTATTCAGTTGTTACACAGAAAAGTGCTATTTGAAAATGTTGATTACTGAGTCCTCTAATTATCAGCATCCTACTGAGTAGTGGGCTTGTTAATACCTCAAGAGTAAGGGCTATGTCTCTAGCCTCTTACATCTTATAAATTGAAGACATTTCAGAGTAATCTTAAGTCCAATGTTCTCATTTTACTTATAGAGATTGATGCTTATTTATTGTATCTCCAGCATCTCCAGTTCAGACTGCCCAATTCTCTGGATGCACTCCAGGGTTTGTGCATCCTGGCATTGTGACAGGTTGGGCTAGATCATGGCAGATGGATAAGAAAGCTAAGCATATCTGAAAGTCAACATCTGGGGTAAAAGTGAACTGAAAAATAACATAGACTATCCCAATAGAGGGTCAGTTTAAAACAGTTGTGCAAGGAGTCAAGGTCCAGGTCAGAAGTAACGAGACAGAACTAGAGACCTCAAGGCAGGATGGGGCTGATTCTGAGACATCTATGGAGGTATGAAACACTGAAACCAGAGTCTTGTTATAGAGGAATGTTGGTTATGGTCATAATCATTGATGGGAAGAAAGTCCTGAAGTATACGGCATCAGTTATTTTTTTTAATAGGTAAACATTACTTGATTGCCATGAGGATGGCTAAAGTCCAATCTTGGTATGCCAAAAAAAAAAAAAAAATGCTGGACTGAATTAAATCAGCTGATACACTGTGTTGCAACTGAAACCAATAACTGTAAGGAGTTGCATATGAGCTAGGATATCCTGTTGCAAGGAACAGAAAATTTAATTTCAATTGACCTTTTCAGTGAAAGAGATTTATTACTTTAGGAACCTGAGCATGCAGAGGCAATAACGCGTCCATGATTGGTTGATCCAGCAGTTTGAGGGTAGCACTATGGATTTAGTTTCTTTCCATCTCCCTTCTATGGCTCTCACGGTGTCATTTTCCTCCTAAGTCTGGTTGCCCTCATGGCTTTAAGATGGCTGTCATAGGCATTGGGATAATACGGTTTCTGTTCAATGCTGGCAGGGTACAGCGGGTTTATGGCCCAGCTTTCTGAGCAAGAGTCCTACAATCAACCTTGATTGGCTTGCACAGGTCACAGGCCCACCCTTGAACTCATGCTTGAGTAAAACCAACCAGGGACCACTATTGGAGTGAGGGGGAAGTTTGAGCTTATTCTGAAATAATATGGGATGCATGGAGAGAGGTAGCTATTCAAATAATATCTGGGGGCTATTAAAAGAAAGACATGAAATGTATTGGGTGGGTAACCAACTGTGTCAATTATAAGCAAGAATACTTGACATAAACTGAACTTCTGGATGCCACTTGCCGAGAATCTAGACCCCCAGCACTAGGGTTACTAATTCAGTATCTCTGCATTTGAGTGCATTTCCCCTATTTATGTGACAATAAAACACTTTTGGGAACCACAAGAATGCATGACTTTAGAAAAATTTTTAAAATTTTCCATGAATTCTTTTCCTTTATAACAATACTATTAGTACATGTTTATAACCTAAAATTTAGAAAATACAGAAAAATGAAGAGGACCATTTGAAATATTTTTCTTTCTTCCATGGGAAATGCGTGTATTTCCTAAAGAGGGATGGTATTGCATTTGTTAAGTGGAAGTACTGAGCATGAGCTTTGAAAAATCTATTATGCTCCTTTCTGATGAATGCTTTACATTTCATTAGAATTCCTCTACATCTTCAGAGCAATTTTGGGATACTTGCCAGCAGTTAATGGTCTCTCTGTACTATTAACACACAGGGACAGAGGAGCTTTGTCATGTCATCACCAAGACTGGCTTTATGGAGAAAGTCATTAATCAAGGCAAGCAGGGCATTTTGCAAATATCCAGGCCTGGCGAATCCAACCACCTCAACTGAGGAAACTTGTACCTGGAAGAATCTAAATGTGACTCAGCCCTCCCTGGAAATGACTGAGCTTCAGCCTGAAGGACTTCGTTACCTGAGGGAAATCCTTATGGATCAGGCTTGAATTATTTTTATTTACATGCTTTGTTGAAGGTGAGCTTGTTTTCCTAAACTTGTATGCTCAGCTGTTCACCTGAACCCCTGGACTGGAGGGACTGTTGACACTCACAGTTCTCTGGATGGGTCACCACTTGCCCTGCCAGCACCGTGCTCTCACCTTGTTGGAAGGAAGTTTAAATAATACAGAGAAGATGTCATAGAGGTGATGAGTTTTAAATGAGCATATTATGATAACAAAAAATGTTCCAAATTTCTATAACCTTCAATGCCTCTCAAGAAAGATTTCTGGAAGTTGCTTTATAGTCCCTAGGAATGACAGTCACATAGCAGGATTGTTTCTTCTTCTTTTTATGCACTTTGTGCCAGGGATTCTTTTGAGAATCTTAGGAAACCTATGGATCCCCTTCCTAGCAAAATATATATACATACAATAATTTTAATGTAATTTTTGAACTATCCCTAGACAGGTTAACAGGGCCCAGATTGAGATATATGATAACTCCTCTCATGAATGGTTTAAAAACTGGACTCTTGAGTTAGGCCACTATAGTTTATTTATTTACCTGCTCTGATACTTGTGTGATCTTCAGCAAGCTGCTTAATTTCTCTGTTCCTCAGTTTCATTAGCTACAACATGGGAATAATATAAGAACTTACTTCCTAAAGCTATGGCGTGCAATAAATGAGATAATGATCTGATCTGCCACAGGGGTGCAGTGTTAAGTTCAGGGAGGAACTGTATTGTGACCAAACTTGCTATAATACTTTATCCACTCACTGATTTAGGTGAAGTTGTCGAGGGTGCTGCCTGTTACATTACATAGCATCCCATCCCCTGAGGCAAAGTTTAGTTTACTTGCTGTGCACTGGGAAACCATGGCAAGGTTTTAAGTAGAGGAGCGATAAGATTTTTCATATTTTCTTTTCTTTTGCATTGAGTGTGCAGAGAACGAACAAAGTGAAAGCAGAGAGGCCACTTGCAGAGAGAGAGCACTAGTCCTACGTCATTAGTTGATGTGGAAAGTGAAGGAGAAGGAGTTGAGAATAATCCTGAGATTTTCGTCTTGGGTAGCTGCATGGTTTAGTGGCACCATTTATCCAGACAGTAAGAGGGTTTTGTTTTTATTCGGAAGTGGATATAATAATTTCGATAAACTTTGTTTTGAATGCTTGAGCTCGAGGGCTCGACGGTCACTGACTTGGAGATGGCTGATAGGAAGTTGAAGGTATGAAAAAGGTAGGGTGGATTTACACGAGGGAATCATCAGCACATGAGTAGTATGAAGTTCTTGAGAACTTGGAATAACAGAAGAATAAGATCATGAAGAGGGGCAAAGCATGCATCAGCATTTATCAAGAAAAGTGAAGAAATCCATAAAGAAAACTGAAGTGAGCCAGAGGACGAAATGAAAATTATGATTTGGGTCATGGACTCCAGAAAATGTAGAGGAGAATGGGGCATTCAGTGAAGTCACATGATTCTAAATGATCATGTGAGATTAGAACTGAAAAGTACACAGTGTTTGCAGAAAATTTTACTAGAATATTGAAGGAAAGCATCCTCATAGTAAGCTGATACAGGAAAGAGGTGTGGGAAGTGGAAACCATGAGTATACATGACTCTTAAAGCCGCTGAATGCAGAAACCCAGGTGCGTTCATGTACACAGAAGGACATGGGGAGAGGGGCTATCTTTGTACAGTCTGCCGTGACAAAATACCATGGACTGGGGGGCTTACACTTACTACTCACAGGTTTGGAGGCTGGAAGTTGAAGACCAAGGTACCAGCAAATCTGATTTCTGGCGAGGACTGGCTTCCTGGCTTACAGATAGCTGCCTTCTCACTGTGTTCTTACATGGCCTTTCCACAGTGCCAGTAAAGTGAGATGGGAATAGCTCTCTGGTGTCTCTTCTTACTAGGACACTAATCCTATTGGGTCAGGGCTACACCCTTACAACGTCATTTAATTACTTAATTACTTCCTTGTAGGCCTTATATCCAAATGCATTCACACTGAGGGGTCAGGGCTTCAACATAAGTATTTTGACGAGCACACACTTCCGTCCATAGTAGGGGCATTTGTGTGTGAGAAAAATTATTAACAAGTAAAATCTAGAATTTTTCTTGCTGATTTGGCCTGCAGTTATTGAGGCTGACTGCCTTATTCCCAGCTCAAAAAACTTCTAGTGTAAATGTTAACTTTTCTCCTAGGGACCCACAATAAATTACTTGTGTCGATTGGCTCTCCGGCATCTATTGTTTAGATTTGGGAATACTGCCCCATGGAGCTCTGCAAAGCAGCCACTTTGGCCACAATTCCTGATTACCTTAAGCCCATCAGTATGTCCCATGCTCCTGGCCACAGTGATGGTTAATAGATGGGCACATATCCCGACTCAGGCTAATGAGAGCCAAAGACACTTAGTTTCAGGGATTTTATTTAAACTCTCAGGGTTGCAGACCAAATTTCTTCCAGATTTGTATTAGGAAACATGTAGGCCTAGATGCTATTGGCAACCATTTTGTGACTATGAAGGTGGAGAACTATTGAGAAGCTGGAGCTGAAAAATAAAGGGAGAAAAAAATGGGCCTTGCCTGCACTGTTTAAGCCCATGCATCTAGTCTCCCTCCAGGCTTTCTCAGAAATTGAGCTAATAAATTCCTTTTATTGCTTAGGCTAGTTGGAATTGGGTTGCTTCTTAAATGTAAGCAAAAGCATTTTAGCTAATACACCCTTCCATTTCTTTGGACACAAGTTTAGAAATAAAAATTAAAATATCCATTTATTTTTTACTTTGCAGCTTACAGGAATATTTCACATCCATTATCTCATTTGATCTTGACAAATAGCATGCCATTTTAGAGATGAAGGTCATTAGTGGACAATTTGAAACGAGAATTTGCATCTTTGATTCTTACTCACTACATCACCATTAAATCTGTTTTAAATATAATCAACTAAATACTGAATCAGTAGTTACATGTTTCACTGCTAAGGCCATCTTCACGTTGTGCTTTTATTTTTAATGTATTGTTCTACAACACTGAATCCTTTTACAAAGGCTACTATGACCTGTAGTGAATAATCAATACTTTAGTATTAAAATACATGAAATATTAATGAGTCTGTAAAAAAAAAATCACAAAGTTACTTTAAATGCTTTTAGCCGTCCAAGCCTAGATGGATTATATTCTAAAGTCTTAAAGAAACTTGCAGGTTTATGCTATGCTTATTATTTTAAGATGATGATGATTGTCCTCATTTTTGAGACTTTTTGGAGAATGTGAGAGGCACAACAAGGGCAAACCTGGGAAAATACGATGTGATTTTCAAAAGGGAGATGTGAAGAATTACCTAAAGCTTGATATAGAAAAATCTAAAACACTTCTTGAAGATAATTAAGAAATGTCTCATTTGTGGAAATTTGGAGAAGAATTTGACAATTACTGGTATAAGCCCTTTCTGTCTAGCTGACTTGGTCACTAATACAAGTCAGTCATATCAATAATAATAACTTGTTAGAGACCTGGTTATTATTTTGAAAGCTCAAAGTTACTCCACATTCTTCTGTGATCTCAGCAAAACTTTCTATTCTCCTCTGATAGCTTTATGGATAAGTGGATAAAATGAAAGCTGTAAGGTGAGAGAAGATTTACAGGTAATTTGAAAACATACCCTTGGAGTGACTGTGTCTGTGACTCAGCTGCCTAGAAAAGGGTTGATTCTATACATCTTTTGGTGGCATGCTATCCACTTTATTCCGTGTGTGGCTCCTATTTTGTTTATTTTGTTGTTATTTTCCCTTTCATCCCCACTTGCAGTGCCATTTTTACCTCTTAGATGCTCACTCTGGTGTATTTATTATAATAAGTGAACTTCCTAGGTTTCTTGAATATGTTTATTTAGATATTGCTGTACCTTGGAAAATATATGGAGTAGTGTGTGTGTGTGTGTGTGTGTGTGTGTGTGTGTTTAAATCTGTTAAATGTAACTGAGATATAAATCAGATTCTCTTTCCATTTTTACTTCCACTCAATGTTATGTTTTAAAGAACTATTTATGTGTACTTGGTAAATCTGGTTTATTGCTCCTATTACATAGTTTTCATAGCATTCAATCACATGCACTTGTCGAGTTCTACTTATCCATTCTTCTGGAGATGAATCTTCCTTTCAAGAACAATGTTGCAGTAAACATCTTCGCTTGCATCTCCTTATGGACCCATACGAGAGATTCTCTGAGGCTCATTCCCAGGAGTGAATGATGCCAAAATTTTTCATCACAGTGTCTGAACTAGTGTATACTTCCATCAGCTGTCTGTGGGGATTCCTTTTCTTCTGATAACTTCTAAGCATTTGATGTTATCCGGTTTTCTATAATTATCAGTATTATTTGTATGAAGTTGTATCTTTTTTTTTTAACATTTCTATGATTATTAAGATTATCTGTTTGTACTTGTTTCCCAGTTTTTGAAGTTTCTAATCTTATCCTTAGTCCATTTTTTTTTGCTGATTTTCATAAATTTCCTAATAGTTCTACGTACTAATTCCTTGTGCATTTTGGATGACTCAAATGTCTTCTCTCAGTCTGTCACCTGCATGATAATTTTATGTGCTTTCGTAAATAAAATTCTTTAATTTTGATATGGACAAATTAATCAACTTACACCCCACTTACAATTATGCTTCTTAGAGCTTATGTAAGAAATCCTTGCCCACTTTAACATTTCTAAGACATTTTAATATATTTTCGACCTTTGCCTTGATGGTTTTACCATTTCCATTTAAGATTCTAATATACTGAGAGTTTTATGTATGTTGTATATGGATTTTAACTTTATTTTTCTTCAGCTAGTGAACCAATTTTGTTAACTACACTTACTAAATAGTCCAATTATTTTCTTTTTAATTTGTGATGCAAAGTCTATACCCACATACACACACATATATGAAAATCCACATATACCTCTTCAGTTCTGCTTCTGTACTTTCATATTTCGTTGACCTAGTTTTCTCTTCTTGAACTAGTAATATATCCTAATTAATAGTAATATGTTTCTGTGATATATCTTGCTTGCTGGTGGGGTAAGTCATCCATGTTTGCATTTATTTGTAAAAATTTTCTCAGCTTTTTGTGAAGTTTTCTTTCACAAAAATTTAAAATTCAGTTTGTCAATCTCCTTCAAAAAATACTACCAGGCACAAAAGTTAATTCAAAATGGGCCATAAAATTCAATTTAAAAATGGAAATTGGAAAGCTGAAGCAAGACGGCAGAATAGACGGCTCCACCAATTGCCCCCCACCACTGCAAGGACACCAATTTGACACCTATTTACACACACAAGAAAAATCTTTTTTTTTTTTTTTTTTTTTTTTTTGAGACAGAGTCTAGCTCTGTCACCAGGAGGCTGGAGTGCAGTGGCGCGATCTCGGCTCACTGCAACCTTTGCCTCCTGGATTCAGCAATTCTCTTGCCTCAGCCTCCTGATTAGCTGGGATTACAGGCACGTGCCACCACGTCCAGCTAATTTTGGTATTTTTAGGAAAGACGGGCTTTCACCATATTGGCCAGGGTGGTCTCGATCTCTTGACCTCATGATCAGCCCATCTTGGCCCCCCAAAGTGCTGGGATGACCGGCGTGAGCCACCACGCCCGGCCAAGAAAAAATCTTTATAAGAACCAACATCAGGTGAGCATCCACAGTATCTGGTTTTGACTTCATATGGCTGAAAGTGGGACCAAAGAGATAGAAAAAACCAGTCCTGAATCACTAACACCACCCCTCTCCCACTCCCAACAGTGGCAACGTGGTTCAGAGAGCTTCTCTGGGCACTGGGGGAGAGAGAACACAGCAACTGTGAGGCATTGAACTCAGTGCCTTCTTGTGTTAGAGAAGAAAGGAAAACCAGACCAAACTCAGCTGATGCCCACCCATGGAGGGAACATTTCACCCAGCCTTAGACAGCCTGGAATCACCAATCCCAGAAGTCCAAACTGGAGTGCCTGCAAACCTCAACAATGAGGGCTCCAGTGCTCTGTGTGTCCAAGTAAACTTGAAAGGCAGTCTAGGCCATAAAGACTGCAACTTTTAGGCAAGTTCTAGTGCTGAATTGGGCCCAGAGACAGTGGACTGGCATTGTGGGGGTCGGGGCCGGGTGGGGGAGTAAATGACATACTGAGAAACCAGCTGGGGCATCACCCCTCCTCTAACCCCAGGCTGCACAGCTTGTGGCTCCAGAAGAGACTTCTTCCTTCCACTTGGGGAGAGGAGAGGGTAGAGTAAGGAGGATTCTGTCTTGCATCTTGGATATCAGCTCAGGCACAGCAGGATAGGGCACTGGTCAGAGTCATAAAGCCCCTGTTCCAGGTCCTAGTTCCCAGCTGGCATTTCTAGACACATCTTGGCCAAAAGAGAGCCTGCTGCCTTGATGAGAGGGACTCAGTTCTAGCAGCATTCATCACCTTCCAACTGAAGAGCCCTAGGACCCTGAACAACTGGTAGTTATGCTCAGGTCCTATGTTGAGGGCCTTGGGTGAGCCTCTGAGATTTACCAGCTTCAGGTACCAGCACAGTCACAGGGAAGTAGAGCACCAAGGCTCTTGGGGTCCACAATTCCAGGACTTGACCTTTGGCTGGCATTTCTGGACCTTCCCTGGGCCAGAGGGGAGTGCACTGCTCTGAAGGGTGAGTCCCAGGCCAGGCAGTATTCACTACAAGTTGATTTAAGAGTACTTGGGCCTTAAAAGAACATCTGAAGTAGTCTAGTAGTACTCCTCATGGCCTGGGATGGCATGGCTTTGGGGTGATGCTCCTCTGTCTTTGGAAAGGGGAGGGAAGAGTGGGAGGACTGCATCTTGTGGTTTGAGTGCCAGCTCAGCTGCTGTACAATAGAGCACCAGGTAGACATCTAAGGTTTTTGACCTCTATGGTTCCTAAATCCCAGATGGCACCTTTGGACCCAGCCAAGGTCGGGGGGACTTCATCACCCTGAAAGGAAGAACACAGGCCTGACTCGCTTTGTCACCAGCTGATTATGGAGTTCCAGGGCCTTGAATAACCATAGGCAGTAGCCAGGGAATAGTTACAGCAGGCCTTGGGTGAGACCCAGTGCTGTGCTGGTTTCAGGTCTGTCCCAGTGCAGTCATAGTGGTGGTGGCTACACTCTACCCCCAGCTTTAAGTAGCTCAGAACAGGCACAGAGAGATATATTCTGTTTGTTTGGGAGAAAGTAAGAAACAGAGTAAGAGTGTCTGTCTGCTAGTCCAGAAAACTCTTCTGGATCTTGTCCAAGACCACCGAAGTGATACCCTATGAGTCTACAAGAGCCACAGCATTACCCCCTAAATGCTTGGATTACCCCCTAAAGGAGATAGAGTTTAGATTACAATACCCTAGTCTTTTCAAATATCTGGGAAGCTTTCCCAAGAAGGATTGGTACAAATAAACCCAGACAGTGAAGGCTACACTAAATATCTAACTCAAATGAATATCTTTTAGCATCAACACCATCCAGGAAAACATGACCTCACCAAATGAATTAAATAAGGCACCAGAGACCAATCCTGGAGAAACAGAGATATGTGATCTTTCAGACAGAAAATTTAAAATATATGTGTTGAGGACACTCAAAAAATTCAAGATAACACAGGGAAGGAATTCAGAATTTTATCAGATAAATTTAACAGACTTAAATAAAAAGAATCAAGCAGAAATTCTGGAGCTGAAAAATGCAGTTTATATACTGAAGAATGCATCAGAGTCCTTTAAGAACATAATTGATCAACCAGAAGAAACAATTAATGATCTTGAAGACAAGCTATTTGAAAATACATGATCAGAGGAGACAAAATAAAAATGAATAAAAAACAATGAAGCATGTCTACAGCATCTAGAAAATAGCCTCAAAAAGGAAAATCTAAGAGTTACTGGCCTTAAAGAGGAGGTAGATAAAGAGATAGGGGTAGAAAGTTTATTCAAAAGGATGATAACCAAGAACTTCCCAAACCTAGAGAAAGCTATCAATATCCAAGTACAAGAAGATTGTAGAAGACCAAGCAGATTTGACTCAAAGAAGACTACTCAAGGCATTTAATAATCAAACTCAAAAGAGTCAGGGATAAAGAAAGGATCCTAAAAACAGCAAAAGAAAAAAACAAAAGACATACAATGGAGCTCTAACACATCTGGCAGCAGACTTTTCAGTGGAAACTTTACAGGCAAATGTGGTTTGACTGTGTCCCCACCCAAATCTCATCTTGAATTGTAGCTCCCATAATTCCCACTCATTGTGGGAGGGACCAGGTGGGAGATAATTGAATCATGGGGCAGTTTCCCCCATACTGTTCTCATGGTAGTGAATAAGTCTCACAAGATCTGATGGTTTTATAAGGGGAAATCCCTTTTTGCTTGATTCTCATTCTCTTCTCTTGTCTGCTGCCATGTGAGATGTGCCTTTCACCTTCCACCATGATTGTGAGGCCTCCCCAGCCATGTGGAACTGTGAGTACATTAAACCTCTTTCTTCCGTAAATTGCCCAGTCTTAGGTATGTCTTTATCAGCAGCATGAAAATGGACTAATACAGTAAATTGGTATTGGTAGAGTGGGGCGCTGCTGTAAAGATACCCAAAAAATATGGAAGCAATTTTGGAACTGGGTAACAGGCAGAGTTTAGAACAGTGCAGAGGGCTCAGAAGAGGACAGGAAAATGTGAGAAAGTTTGGAACTTTCTAGAGACTTGTTGAATGGCTTCAACCAAAATGCTGGTAATGATATGGACAATGAAATCCAGCTGAAGTGGTCTCAGATGGAGATGAGGAACTAGTGGGGAACTGGAGTAAAGGTGACTCTTGCTATGTTTTAGCAAAGAAACTGGTTTCATTTTTCCCCTACCCTAGAGATTTGTGAAACTTTGAACCTGACAGAGATGATTTAGGGTATCTGGCAGAAGAAATTTCTAAGCAGCAAAGGATTCAAGAGGTGACTTGGGTGCTGTTAAAAGCATTCCATTTTAAAAGGGAAACAGAGAATCAAAGTTCAGAAAATTTTCCATCTGACAATGTGAGAGAAAAGAAAAACCCATGTAGAAAGCTGAAACTGGATCCCTTCCTTACACCTTATACAAAAATTAATTCAAGATGGATTAAAGACTTAAACGTTAGACCTAAAACCATAAAAACCCTAGAAGAAAACCTAGGCAATACCATTCAGGACATAGGCATGGGCAAGGACTTCATGTCTAAAACACCAAAAGCAATGGCAACAAAAGCCAAAATTGACAAATTGGATCTAATTAAACTAAAGAGCTTCTGCACAGCAAAAGAAACTAACATCAGAGTGAACAGGCAACCTACAGAATGGGAGAAAATTTTTGCAATCTACTCATCTGACAAAGGGCTAATATCCAGAATCTACAATGAACTCCAACAAATTTACAAGAAAAAAACAAATAACCCCATCAACAAGTGGGCAAAGGATATGAACAGACACTTCTCAAAAGAAGACATTTATGCAGCCAAAAGACACATGAAAAAATGCTCATCATCACTGGCCATCAGAGAAATGCAAATTAAAACCACAATGAGATACCATCTCACACCAGTTAGAATGGTGATCATTAAAAAGTCAGGAAACAACAGGTGCTGGAGAGGATGTGGAGAAATAGGAACACTTTGACACTGTTGGTGGGACTGTAAACTAGTTCAACCCTTGTGGAAGTCGGTGTGGCGATTCCTCAGGGATCTAGAACTAGAAATACCATTTGATCCAGCCATCCCATTACTGGGTATATACCCAAAAGATTATAAATCATGCTGCTATAAAGACACATGCACACGTATGTTTATTGCGGCACTATTCACAATAGCAAAGACTTGGAACCAACCCAAATATCCAACAATGATAGACTGGATTAAGAAAATGTGGCACATATACACCATGGAATACTATGCAGCCGTAAAAAGTGATGAGTTCATGTCCTTTGTGGGGACATGGATGAAGCTGTAAACCATCATTCTCAGTGAACTATCACAAGGACAAAAAACCAAACACCGCATGTTCTCACTCATAGATGGGAATTGAACAATGAGAACACATGGACACAGGAAGGGGAACATCACACACTGGGGCCTGTTGTGGGGTGGGGGGAGGGGGGAGGGATAGCATTTGGAGATATATCTAATGTTAAATGATGAGTTACTGAGTGCAGCACACCAACATGGCACATGTATACGTGTGTAACTAACCTGCACCTTGTGCACATGTACCCTAAAACTTAAAGTATAATTAAAAAAAAAAAGAAAAACCCATTTTCTGAGGAGAAATTCAAGCCAGCTGCAGGGATTCGCATAAGTAATGAGGAGTCAAATGTTAATTGTCAAGACAATGGGGAAAATGTTTCCAGGGCATGTCAGAGACCTTTGTGGCAGCCCCTCCCGTCACAGGCCTGGAGGACTGGGAGGAAAGAATGGTTTCATTGGCTGGGCCCAGGGCCCCAATGCTGTGTGCAGCCTAGGGACTTGGTTTCCTGCCTCCCAGCCACTCTACCCATGGCTAAAAGGGGCCAAGGTACAGCTTGGTCTGTTGCTTCAGAGAGTGCAAACCCAAAGCCTTGGCAGCTTCCACAAGATGTTGAGCCTGAAGGTACAAAGAAGTTAAGAATTGAGGTTTGGGAACCTCTGCCTAGATTTCAGAGGTTGTATGGAAACACCTGGAAGTCCAGGCAGAAGTTTGCTTCAAGGGCAGTCATCTCATGGAGAACCTCTGCTAGGGCAGTGTGGAAGGGAAATGTGGAGTTGAAACTCCCACACAGAGTTTCCACTGGGCACTGCCTAGTGGGTCTATGAGAAGAAGGCCACCATCCTCCAGATCCCAGAATGGTAGATCCACCAACAGCTTGCATTGTGTGACTGGAAGAGCTTCAGACACTCAATGCCAGCCCATGAAAGCAGCCAGGAAGGAGGCCATACCCTGCACAGCCACAGGGGTAGAGCTGCCCAAGACCATTGAACCCACCTCTTGCATCAGCATGACCTGGATATGAGACATGGAGTCAAAGGAGATCATTTTGGAGCTTTAAGATTTGACTGTCTTGCTCTATTTTGGACTTGCATGGGACCTTTAGCCCCTTCATTTTGGCCAATTTCTCCCATTTTGAATGGGTGTATTTATCCAATGCCTGTATCCCCATTATACCTAGGAAGTAACTAACTTGCTTTTGATTTTACAGGCTCATAGACAGTAGGGACTTGCCTTGTCTCAGATGAGACTTTGGACTGTGGACTTTTGAGTTAATGCTAAAATGAGTTAAGACTTTGGGGGGCTGTTGGGAAGGCATGATTGGTTCTGAAATGTGAGGATATAAAATTCAGGCAGGGCCAGAAGTGGAATGATATGGTTTGGCTGTATACCCACCCAAATCTCATCTTGAATTGTAGCTCCCATAATTCCCACATGTTGTGGGAGAGACCCAGTGGGAGATAATTGAATCATGGGGGCAGTTTCTTCCACACTGTTCTCATGGTAGTGAATAAGTCTCAAGAGATCTGATGGTTTTATAAGGGGAAACCCCTTTTGCTTGATGCTCGTTCTCTTCTCTTATCTGCAGCCATGTGAGGTGTGCCTTTCACCTTCTGCCATGATTGTGAGGCCTCCCCAGCCACATATAACTGTGAATTTATTAAACATCTTTCTTTTGTAAATTGAGCAGTCTCAGATATGTCTTTATCAGCAGTGTGAAAACAGACTAAGACACAGGCCAAGAGAGAATGGCATATTTAAAGTGCTGAAGGAAAAAAGGAACTTTTACCCTAGAATAGTATATCCAGTGAAAATATCCTTCAAACCTGTAAGAGAAGTAGTTTCCCAGACCTAAAAAAGCATAGTGATTTCATCAACATCAGACCTGTCCTACAAGAAATGCTAAAGAGAGTACTTCAATCAGACAGAAAAGGTTATTAATGAGCAATAGAAATTATCTGAAGGTACAAAACTCACTAGTGATGGTAAATACACAGAAAAGTACAGAATATGATAACACTATAACTGTGGTATGTAAACTACTCTTAAGTAGAAAGACTAAATAATAAACAAATCAAACATGATAACTACACTGCTGTCATGTAGTCATGAAATAAAACACAAAAAAACCTAACTACAACAACCTTTCAAAACATAGCACAATAAAATATAAATAGAAACAACAAAAAGTTAAGAAGCAGGGTGATGAAATTAAGACATAGAGTTTTACTCATTTTCTTTTTGCTTGTATGTTTGTTTGTGCAAAGGGCATTAAGTTGTTATCAGGTTAAAATAATGGGTTATAAGATAGTATTTGCAAGCCTCATGGTAACTTCAAACCAAAAAACAATGGAGACACAAAAAATGAAAAGCAAGAAACAAAATCATATCACCAGAGAAAATCACCTTCACTAACAGAAGACAGGAGAGAAAGGAAGAAGAAAGAGAAGGCCACAAAACAACCGAAAACAAATAACAAAATGGCAGGAGTAAGTCCTTACTTATCAATAATAACATTGAATATAAATGGGCTAAACTCTTCTATGAAAAGGCATAGAGTGGCTGAATGGATGAAAAAATAAGACCCATTGATCTGTTAGAAACACACCTCACCTATAAAAACACACATAGACTGAAAATAAAGGAATAGAAAAAGATATTCCATGACAATGGAAACCAAAAGCCGAATTTGCTGTACTTACATCAGACAAAATAGATTTCAAGACCAAAACTATAAGAAGAGACAAATAAGGTCATTGTATAATGAGGAAGGGGTCAGTTCAGCAAGAAAATATAACAATTGTGAATACATAAGCACCCAACACTGGAGCACCCAGAAATATATATAAAAATATTATTAGAGATAAAGAGAGAGAGGTAGACCCTTATACAATAATAGCTGGAGACTTCATTACTCCACTTTCAGCATTGGACAGCTCTTCCAGACAGAAAATAAACAAAAAAACAATGGGCTTCGTCTGCATTATAGACCAAATGGATCTAATAAATATTTACAGAACATTTCATCTAATGGCTACAGAATACACATTCTTTTCCTCAGCACATGGATCATTCTCAAGGATAGACCATATGTCAGATCACAATACAAGTCTTAACACATTCAAAAATGTTGAAATAATATCAAGCATCTTCTCTGACCACAATGGAATAAAATTAGTAATCAATAACAAGAGGAATTTTGGAAACTATACAAATACATGGAAACTAAACAATATGTTCTTGAATGACCAGTGAGTCAATGAAGAAATTAAGAAAGAATTTGAAAAAAATTTTGAAACAAATGAAAATAGAAACACAACATACCTAAACCTATAGAATACAGGGAAAACAGAACTAAGAGGGAATGTTATAGTTATAAGTGTCTATATCAAAAAGAGGAAAAACTTCAAATAAACAATATAACTGTGCATTTTAAAGAACTAAAAAAGTAAGAGCCAACCAAATAAAAAATTAGAAGAAAAGAAATAATAAATATCAGAGCAGAAATAAATGAATTTGAAATGAAGTCAACACTACAAAAAAAAATCAATAAAACAAAAAGATGTTTTTTTGAAAATTTAAACACATTGGCAAACCTTTAGCCAGACTAAGAAAAAAACGAAAGAAGATCCAATTAAATAAAATCAGAAACGAAAAAGGAGACATTACAACTGATACTGCAGAAATTCAAAGGGTCATTAGTAGTTACTGTGAGCAATTGTATGCCAATAAACTGGAAAATCTAGAAGAAATGGGCAAATTCCTAGACACATACATCCTACCAAGATTGAACCAGGAAGAAACCCAAAACCTGACAGACCAATAGCAAGTAACAAGATAAATACCTGACAAAGAAGTGGTATCTAGGCTATATGAAGAATGCCTGTAATTTAATGATAAAAGGCAAACAGCGATGTCACAAACATGTGACAGCCATGTCACAAAAAGGATACTGAATTGCCAATAAGCACATGGAAAAGTACTGAACATAATTATTCATCAAATAAATGCCCATTAAAACCACATTCATCAGAATGGCTAAAATTAGGCAAGCCACAGTGGCTCACATTTGTAATCCAAGCACTTTGGGAGGTGAAGGCAGGAGTACTGCTTGAGACTAGGGGTTTGAGACAAGCCTGGGCAGCAAAGCAAAAGACCATCTCTCCAAAAAACTTCAGAAAATTAGCTGGGCATGGTTGCCTGTGCCTGTAGTGCAGCTACTTGGGAGGCTGAGGTGGGAGAATGACTTGAGTCTGGGAAGTCAAGGCCACAGTGAGCTGTGATTATGCTTGCACTCCAGCCTGGGGGACAGAGCAAGGCCCTGTCTCAAACAAACAAACAAACAAATGCTAAAATTAAAATAACTGACCGTAAAAAGTGTTGGTGATGCGGAGCAACCACAAAATGCTGGGGGTATAAAATAGTACAACCATTTTGGAAAAGATCTGACAGTTTCTTATCAAATGAAACCCTTAACTAAATACTTAATCCTCTGACAGAACAGTTTTACTGTTAGGTATTTACCCAGGAGAAATTAAATATCTTCACAAAAAGACATGTAAGAATGTTCAATTTTAATCACAATAACTCTAAACTGGAAACAGCCCAGGTATCCCCATCAATATGAGAATAATCAAACTATGGTATATCCATACGACAAATCACTATTCAACAATAAAATGGAATGAGCTACTGATACAGGCAACAATATGAATAATTCTAAGAATGTTATTTTGAGTAAAAGAAATCTTATACAATAAAGTATATATTGTCTGGTTCTGTGTACATAAAGTTCTAGAATAGGCAAATTTTTCTATGGTGAAAATATCAGAACAGTGGTTGACTGTGATGGGGGGCAAGAGTTGGTGAGGAAGGGTCATGTTCTACATCTTGATAAAAGTTTGGTTTACAAATGTGTATGCATTTGTCAAATTTGATGCACGTGCAGTTAGGATTTATGCATTTAATTGCATGCATTACATGTATTCATGTGCATTTTACCCCAAATGAAAAACGTGCAAAAAACTACTCAATTCAATTTAATAATATGCATACTAATGTTGATTTTAAAAAGTCAAACTCTGTAAAATATATGAAGAGTTTGATTCTAAGCCAAATATGAGTGATCGTGGCCCAGGACACAGCCTCAAGAGGTCCTGACAAACAGTGCCCTAAGTAGTTGGGTTACAGCTTGGTTTTATACATTTTAGAGAGACAGAAGTTACAGGTCAAAACATAAATCAATACATGTAAGGTATTCATTGGTTTGGCTTAGAAAGGTGGGACATCTGGAAGCAGGGGCGCTTGCAGGTCATAGGTAGACTCCAAGATTTTCTGATTGGCAATTGGTTGAAAAATTAAGCTTTGCTTAAAGAGTGAAGGCAGCAGAAAGAAATGCTTCAGTTAAAATAAGGGGGATTGTGGAAGCCAGGGTTCTTGTTATGTAGATGAAGCCTCCAGGTAGCAGGCTTCGGAGGGAATAGATGGTAAATATCTCCTATGGGACCCAAAAAGCTGTCAGACTCTTAGTTCAATCTCTTCTGGGTCAAGAAAAAGCCTGGAAAAGGAACGGGATTCTTTACAAATTGTGAATTTCCTCCACAAGAGATGGCTTTGCAGGGCCATTTCAAAATATGCCAAAGAAATATATTTTGGGGTAAAATACTTTGATTTCCTTTAGGGCCTACTATCTTTCAAGTAATGTTATACCAGGGTCAGGTTGGAGTTGGGTATCTTATTGCTACAGAGTCTGTTTTGTCAGTCCTACTATCTGATCTCTATTTTAATGTTAATGCTGGTCAATTGTGCCTAAACTCCAAAGGGAGAGAGTGTAATAAGGCATGTCCCACCTCCCTTCCCATTATGGTCTGAACTAGTTTTTCAGGTTTTTCACTCCTTGGACAAGTGGGTGTGTCTGTTCAGTTAGCTAAGGGACTTAGAATTTGATTTTTGGTTTACATTAACATATGAAAGGGGGATACACACTGAGTTTGAAATTTACTTTGAAATGCAAATTAAGATTGATGAATATAGAGAGACAGAGGGGTAGACATATGATAAATAAAGCCTAGTAAAATATTAGTGGTAGGTTCTGGGTGGTGGGTATGTGAGTGCTTGCTGTAAAATTCTTTCAACTTAGCTGTTCTAATAGTTTGTTCATTCACTTGAGTTTCCTATGTTATTGATCATATAATTTCCAAATGATGACTACTTGTTTTCTCTTCCAGTCTTAACAGCACCTCCAGTATCATGTTGCACAACAGTGATGATAGCAGGTGTGGTGGATGCTTTGGATTCGTTTGCTAAGCATCTTTTCCAACCTCACTCTGATGTGTTTATTGGAGGAGGTTCAGCAAATGAAGCAGATATTTTGCTGGCGTGGATTTTAGAAGAGTGACATGTTGCATTATTGCAGAAACTTTCTTGTGAAGCCCAAATTTCTGAGATGGTTTCAGTTAATTTAGAAAGTTTATTTTGCCAAAGTTGAGGACACGCGCCCGTGACATGGCCTTAGGAAGTCCTGACAACATGTGCCCAAGGTGGTCGGGGCACAGCTTGGTTTTATACTTTTTATGACATCAATCAATATGTGTAAGAAGTACATTGGTTTGGTCTAGAAAGGCAGGGACAACTTGAAGGAGGGAGGGAGCTTCCAGGTCACAGGTAGGTGAGAGACAAGTGGTTGCATTCTTTTGAGTTTCTTGTAAGCCTTTACAAAGGAGGCAATCATACATGCATCTGTCTCAGCAGAGGGATGATTTTAACAGAGAAGGAGGCAGGTTTGCCCTGAGCAGTTCCCATCTTGACTTTTCCCTTTAGCATAGTAATTTTGGGGCTCCAAGATTTTCCTTTCACATTGTTCAATAGGCAGGTACAGATAATTTATATCTCTCATTTTGAAAAAGTATGTAATATATATGTAAGCTACATTGCATAATAATAAACACATGTGCTGTACTCACAACCCAAGTGAAGAATTAGAAATACTATCAACACTATTGAATCTGCCTGTGTATATTTCCATGCTTTCTCACTCTGCCACATGCCGCATGCCCCAGAGATAATCACTATTTTGAATTTTGTTTATAAGACCCTTTGCTTATTTTTTAGATACTATTATCACATATGGATATGAGCTTGTTTGTGGGCTGACATTGTGTATGTCATTGCTTGCTTTCATATGCCTATAAAGGTATTATATTGTATTAAGTCTTCTAGTTCTTGCTTTTTTCTCTTAACAGTATGTTTCTAAGATTTATTCCTATAGTTATTTATATCTGTAGTTCATTTAATTTTTAATGCTGTCACATTAGAAATAGTGTGAATATTCTGCAATTTATCCAATCTCTTATTTGCAAACAGTTTTAGCTATTCCCTTATTTGCTACAATACTGTTATGAACATGCTAGTTACTGTATCCTGTTATACATGTGCAAGAGTTTCCCTAGGGTATGACCAACCAAGGAATAACTGTGTCTTCAGATATGTGAATTCTCAAATTTACAAGAGAGGGCCAAATTGCTTGCCACAGTCTCTCTATTTACCCTCTGTCAAAAAGTGCATGAGTTTTCATGATTCATCTCCTTTAGGACACTTATCAGATTTCCTAATTTTTGCCAATCCACTCTAAAATGATATCTTATGATCTTAATTTGTATTTCCTTCATTGGTAATGAACATTTTTTTCTTGTGTTTATTTGCTATTTGTAATTCTTTTCTGTATGAAGTATCTGTCTTTTGTCCATTTAAATTTTTTGTTTTTTTAATCACTTTGAATAATTCTTTTTGTATTCTAAATATTATTTCTTTGTCATATGTATGTTGCAATATTTTCTCCTGCTTTGTGCTTGTCTTTATGTACTTTTAGTGTTTTATGATGAATGGATATTAATTTTAATATATAATTTGTCAATGCTTTTGCTTATGTTTATTGAGTTTTGTGATTTTAAGATTTTTTTCCTATCTTGGATCACATTCTATGAATAAAATTGGCTTGTCATTTTCATGTTCTTTCCTAGTTTCGGTGACAAAGTTATTTTGCTTTCTTAGAATGGATGGGGACTAATATTTCATCTGTAAGTCTCTAGAAGAGTTTGTGTATTTTGGAACCATTTATTTGAAAATTTGATAGAACCTGACTGAAAAATGACTTCCCTGTGTACAGATTTTTAATTATTGGTTCTATTTTCTCATACAATTTAGGTTATATTTCTTCTTGAATCAGTACTGTTATATTTTTCTAGTAAGTGTCCATTTTATCTGTTGTCAAATTCATTGTAATACAAATTGTTTATAATGTTATTTTATTCCTTTTTACATCTGTGTGGAATCTGTTCATATGCCCTTCTTTTCATTCCTAATATTATTTATTTTTCTCTCCCTTCTTCTTCCCATCCCTCTACCCCTGGCTAATGATTACTAGGCTTTTGTCTGTCTCAATAGACTTTTCAAAGAACCAGCTTTGGCTTTTTGATCCTGTTCTCTGATCTGCTCTTATTTTATGTTCTTCTTCTTCGTTTTTTTTTTTTTTTTTTTTTTTTTACTTTTTGGGTTCATTTTGTTTTCCTCTAAATTCTTAAATTGGATGTCTAAAAAATTAACCTCCAGCTTTTTTCCCCCAATACAAGCATTTAGAGCTATAAATTTCTTTCCAGATATCAATTTTGCCTCAATGTACAAGTTTTGATAGATTTAATTTTAATTTAAATTTACATATAAATATTTTTAAACTTCCATTATAATTTTGTAATCCTCTTTATTTTTATCTTTAGTTTTTGTTTTATTAACTTATCTGCTCTTTTCTTTATCCTCCTCTTCCTTTATTTTGATTTATCCTGGTGTTCTCTTTCTAAATTTTTAGCTCAATAAATTTCAGTCTCTATTGCTGTTATACCTATTCAAGGCTGTATATTCTTCCTGAAATATCACTTTTGCAGTTTTTCACAAATTCATCCCCGTAGTTCCTCATATTCCAAATTTTCACTGTATGAATTTGTGCTACGTGAATGGAAAGAGCAACTAATTTTTTTTCTTTTTAGATAGATCTGGAGACTCTCACATTTTCTCATCTGCAAAATGGGGTTTTTGTCTGTTAAGGCTCTTTCAATTCCATAAGACAAGAAACTCAGTTCCAATCTATTTAATAGAAAGGGAGGCTGGGCACACTTCGTGCCTCCCTTGTTTCAGGAGTCATGCCTGTAATTCCAGAACTTTGGGAGGCCAAGGTGGGAGGATTGAGGCCAGGAGTTCAAGACCAGCCTGGGCAACATAGGCAGACCATGACTTTACAAAAATTAAAAAAAAAAAAAAAAAGCCAAGTGTGGTGGCACATGCCTATAGTCCTAGCTACTCAGCTACTCAGGAGGCTGAGGTGGGAGGATAACTTGAGCACAGGAGTTCAAAGCTGCAATGAGCTATGATTATACCACTGCACACCAGCCTGAGCAACAGAGTGAGACCCTACCTAAAAGAAAAAAAAAAAAGTGGGGACGGTGGGAATGTAGTGACTCATGTAACTTAAGAGGTCAGGGATATGTATAATTTAAGAGTATCTTTCGGATTGGCTAAAACAAGGTGAACAAAGTCTCCAGTCTCTATTTTTTGTTTTTCCATTTCTTTTCTGTGATTCCTTTGTGTTGTCTGGAATCTCAGGCTTCCCATAGGAAGATTGTCATAGTAGCTTCCATCTAGAGACAAAGCAGCCAACTTGCAACACCATGGTGTCAAACATGAAGATGAAAACCACAAAATAAGAACATCCCAACAGAAAGAAGCATAGGTTCCTGATTGTATCATGATGCTGCCTCATACTTATGCTTCTATAAGTATAGAAGCATACTCTATGCTCACTTTTTAAGAGTTATTACATGTAAGATTTTGTTTCTTCTTGCCAAATGCAGTCCTAACTGAAAGCATTTGAAAAGCTCATAATGCAGAGACTCGCCCAAACCAAATGCTCAATGAATCATAGCAATTACCACTTCAACGCTCCCTAGGAGTGCTATTTTCTTAGAGGGTATAAACCTTACTATGCAGCTTACCAAACCACACTATGTGGTCGCTATCTATCAATATTTTATTTTTTGGACTTCCATAAGGTCAAATCCCTCTTCTGAAATCAGATTCCTGCCTAGGAGAGGAAAACAAGGATTTGGGAATTTAAAAGATGCGTGTGACTTAGATTTTCTCCCCAAAGAAAAGATTGTGTCCCATGGAGCAATGTTTGAGCAGGTATGAATGGGTCTGGGGAAAGCTGATGAGTAATTCCATTTTACTGGCCTCTAGGTCATTTCAATTGTGTTCCATAAGGCACAGAGAAGACAGCCAAAGGAAAATTCAGGGTTGCCACAGCTTATGTAGTTTCCATGTCTAATCAATGAGTCTGCAGCTCATATGAATGAGAAATTTTAAATTGATTACACAGCAGTAAATGAGTACTTTACTGTCTTTTCTGTGTGAAAAATGGCTATGTTCATCCCGTCAAGTGGAATAAGATGATTACATGCACTATTGTTTTATAATAGTTATCCCATCAATAAAACATGATTTCACGTCTTTCAAGGGGAGCTAAAGTGCTAATATTTATTTTGAAATAAAAAGGAAACATTTATAAAAGCTTCCTATTTAAAGTCCTCTAAACCATTTAAATAATAAGAATAGTATTTCTAAATTTACCTTTTGGTAAAGTTATAGCTAACATAAAGCTGAAAAGATAAATAATAGTTTAGTTAAAAGGAGCAGAAAAAATATTGAATCAGAAACTCCTTCCCTCTCCCTATTCACACTGTGATAGATTGCGAAAAGGGTTTTGTTCTTTAACCGCCTTCCAGCATTCATGCCCTTTTCAAGGTGACATTATCATCTCTTCCATCAACAGTGAGGTCTAGAGACTGCCTGTGGCAATTTTAAAGTACAGTCCCCAGATTCTTTGACACTCCTTTATTGAGAGATGGGTTTATGTTTCCTCTACTTGAATCTGGGTACTTACTGCTTGACAAAAGGAATGTAGTATAAGTGGCGCTGTACCAGTGTCTGGGCCAAGCCCTAAGAAACTTAACTGTTATTTCCTGTCTCTTGTGATGCTTGCTCTTAGGACCCGGCCATTATCCCCCTGGAGAGTATCACAGGAGAGAAATTTGCCAGCCAGATGATGGAGCCATCTTGGAGGTAGATCTTTCAGCCCTAGTTCAGCTTCCCAGCTGATATCTACTAGAGCAGAGATGAACTTCTGTACCAAGCTCTGCAAAGAGCAGATTTGTGAGCAAAACAAAGGATTGTTGTTTTGAACTACTATGTTTTGAGGTGGTTTGCATAGAAATTGATAGCTGGAATACTGCCCTTGAATATGAGCTATCTGTGTGTTTTACTCTAGCCAATAGAATGGAGGAAGTGATGTTGTGCCAGTTCAGAGCCCATATGTATACTCAAAAGGCCTTGAGAGCTTCTGTTCTCTCTTGGTACCCTACCTTTGGAGACTGTTGGAAGATGAGAGACACGTGGCCAGCTGCTCAGTGACCCAGCCAACAGCCAGCCTATCTGTAGAAATATAAGACCATTCTAGACAAATCAGCCTTCCACCAAATGACCAGAGATGCATGAGCAAGTTAGTCAAGAGCCACAAAGCCTGGCCCAGACTAGAACATCTTGAATGTTTCTCTCACTACAATCATTTTGGCCTTTATCATTAATAGGATGTTGTTGTGGATGGGCAACAGATCACACCAGCAAGTCCCTCTTTCTCCATTTTTACAACAAGTTAAGGCTAAACTCCAACCATGATGCATGTCTGTTAGGAAGTAAGTATTAGCATTGAGACACTAATAGATGACAGATAGATGACAGAATAAGAAACAAGAATGTTTTGGGGTGACAAAGTGTGGTAATAATTCAAAATCATTATTAATACAAAATTGAATTTTAAAAATGGAATATATGAACAATGGAAAGCAATATAGCACTGAAAATGAGTTAACTAAAACCACATGTTATCAATGGGAGAATCTCAAGAATATAATGGTTAGTGAAAATACAACTTGGGCGGCAGAATGAAGTATTTTCCTTTTAGGTATCTAAAGTTTTGCAACAGTTGGCCATGTAATTAGACACAGATATTTGGGTGGGCTACATGGAAAAGGGTATTGATTATCGTTTATTGGAAGTAAAAAAATGGATTTAATCAGTTTTATAAGAGCTGTCAAAAGACAAAATTACAACCACTCCCCCCAAATTAGTTTAAAGATCTAATTGGCTTTTGTTTGTGATTCTAGAATCAGGCAACACGTTATTTAATAAAATAGAATAGTATTCTGCGGGGCATGAGAGAACAGTTGGTTTTTGTAAGGTGGGAACAAGGAAACAGAACAATTTTTTAAAAAGCAGGTTGGTTAACACTGGTTTACTACAGGTTACTTTTCTTGGAAGGGTTAAAGCACAGGGAACTTATGCTGACTCAGGTAGACTTGATTGCTGTGAATCTCTTGTTTTCAGGAAACATTGGTCTGTTTGGACATTTGCTTGCTTTCTTAAAGTTTCAGTCTGATGATGTGGCATTTAGCATTAGTGACCCCATTTCAGTCTGGTCTGGTCTGCTGGGGCCTTAGTGCAGAAGCTCGGTCCAAAACAATGACCTCTCTTAATTTTGTTTAATAGAGCATTTTCAAAGTTTGGTCAAGTTTATATAAAAAATAACATTTAAGCCTAATAAGCTATCTATTACAATCAATAAGCTACTGGCATTTTAACAGACAATAATTCTTGACAACTATGGAGTATATATAAACATATCAATGAATTAGACTTTAGCTTTCATTTAGTTTTATGAAAGAGAAAAGGGAATCATACATTGCTCAGAATTGGGTTGCATAAGATTTTCATAAATGTTACTTAGTATATTCGGAATATACTTGTCCTCTAATTCCATGGACTCGGTTTCTGCTAGTAGGGCATTGTTTACTTCTACCTTAATCAATGCTTTTGGGAACTGGAGCACAATAGGGCAAAAGTGCATAATTATTCTGACACATCCTGAGATTTGCATTACAGAGGCTGCCACAAGGCTTAAAGCTTGATTAATGCTTAGTGGTGAATTTCTTCTGAAATTATGATTTTCACTCTGCCAAATAGCTCTGCAGATTTTCAAGATCTGTGATTACACCAACTGAGGGTCTTTCACTCTGGGAAATGAGTCCTATCCCCACTTGCCTTCTCCCACATCTGGTCTGTGACTATATGCCAGTGCTCTGAAAACTGATCAACAGTGTTCTTTCTTCCTTTACAGTTTTGTTTTTGCGGTGGATTAGATTATATTACTCCCTCCCTGTTAGAGGTGTATACGTCCATACTTTAACATGTGACTTTGCAGTGCTTCTTGCTGTAGGAGGGGTATACCTCCCTTGTCCCCTGACCTGGGGCTTAGATAGGTAACTTACTTTGGCCAGTGGAATACTAGCAAGCATGACATAGCTGAGGTTTGCTTGTGTGGCTGAGCTTGTTCTCTTGCTTGTCATCACCACGAGAAGAATTTGTCCCTAGTAGTCTCTGGACCAGAGGTAGAGCAGATTTGAACCCAACCCACACCTAAAGCAGAACCACCAAACTGACTTGCATACATTTGAGTAAGAAAAATAAATGCTGAAGGTAAGATTTGGGGGTTGTTAAATAGCAAAAACTGACGAATATAAGTTTCAAGTTGGGTCACTCGGAGCTATGTAATTCCGAATAGACCATGATCTGAGAAAGTTTGGTAAATCTCTTCAACAAATAACTATGGCACAGCAATTTTACAACATTAAAATAAATTGAAGACACCTTGTAGACCTAATAAGTATCCAGTTTCCTCTGTTAACACAGCTTTTAATACAGGTAAAATATAGACATGAATTTCTTCTTAGATGCTCACAGGCATTCTGTTTCTTTTCTGTTGTCGATGTGTAATTTTCAAAGAGTTAAAAGCATAATTGCCATGCAAATGTAGAACGTCTACTTGTCAGCAATTTAGTCAACCTATTAATGAGAGAACAAGTGAGATAGTAAAACTGGTTCCAAGAATATATGAGGAACAGTTATTTCTAGACACTAGCAAAAAAAAATGTTAAAATAAGATTGCTAGGCTATATAGAAAACTGGTTAATGTTCTATGGGGCAATAAACATTAACTTTTAAGGTTCTCTTTTCTAGTGGAAGATGGAAGTAAATGACAACAAGCAAAATGAGAAGAAACAAAGGCTACTGTTCACAGTTTGCTGAGCAAGGGAGTCAGCCACTATTACTTGTATTTTGGAAGAGACTCAAAGGCAGGCAGAGGAAAAATCTTATTTATAGTGGTAAAAAGGGAAGGCTTTGGGGGTACTCTGATTGAAGGCTGCTGTCATGGGGGAGCTGAAGGCAGGCTAACTAGAAATGGTGCATCCCATGTGATTGGTTGGGATGCATATTTGGCTTTCTCTGGCTAGTACTAAGTTGAAAACAGAAACAGAAATTAAAGAAACTGTCAGTTATTAATCTAGTCCTACCCATTTTGGGCCAATTGTTACAGGGGCTATTTTTTGGCTTCCTGGATGGTTACTAGAGATGGTGGTCTGATTTCCTGTAAATCAGGCTGGCTATAAGTCAGAAGTAGGCTGGCTTCCTATAGATTATGGGTTGGTTTCCGGGGATGATTTTTGCAGGCTATGGATCAGAGGTCTATTTTTATATATGGTCTGGCAACTTTCTATTTGTATATTCAATCTTTCAGTACAAAATTCTACAAATTAACATATGTGTAGTAAGTCAAAAACAGATACATTCTCCTAGAAAATTAAACAATCCTTTGTGTAGGCCTATTCAGCAAAATTCTAGTATGGCATTGAGAAAACACCCTACTTTCCCTTTACCTTATTTCCAAGTTTTTGATAATGTTTTACCACTGTATATTAGAGAAGGATAAATATAGAGGTTGTTAGAAATTCATACAATTCTGGAGAACATAGACACTAGATAAGAACTGGACAGAAGCACTGTAATTATTTCAGAATACATTTAATCCAGGAGGAAAAGGCAGTATTAGAAAGATCTATGTTGGGCAGAGTTTGAACAGCATTCTTCAATCTGCTTTACCAAGCATAAAACTTGTATTTTTAAATCTTTGTCTAATTTACTTCTTTAATTTATTTCTCAGTTGGTTCACACTTCAAGAATTGAAGAGACAGATGTTGTCTCTTTTTCTCCTCACATCTTAACACTAATTACTTCCTACAAGGTATCATTCAATAAACCAGAAAAGTAAGATCAATATCACAGATGCTCTTGACCAATGATACAAGGGAAACTGGACACATAAACCTTATCTTTTGCCCTTCTCTCCCCCATCAGAGTAGCACATGAGACAACTGTACTCAGCTTTGTAAATTATTAGCCAAATTTCTTAAAATTCTTAAATTCCTTACTGGCAGGTGGCTACAATCTACTGACGCATGTGTGTTTGAGAAATAGACATTTTTCTTTTCCAAAAATGTATAAAATAAAAATCCTTCCATGCCATCTTTTGGGTGTTTCTGGCATTATGTTATTTGTCTTTACATATATAGTTGTTAATTTTGGTAGGTGTCTAATTATGGACCACTATTTCATAAGACAATGGGACAGTATTGTTAATGGGAAACATCTTCAAAATATAATATTAACTTTAAATACAAATTTAATTAACTGGTCTCAACCATGAGGAAAAAGTCTATATTTATAATTCAAATTTTATTTAAACTCTACCTTCTCAAGTACCGTTGTTATGCAGCTTACTCATTTCTACAGTGCAATTTATAACAAAAATATCAATCACCTGGTTATCCACTAGATGTCAGTCCATCCTCACACTGAGGTAACAGGTAGACTATTCATCTGGTGACAAAAAAAAAAATCTGAGAAGTCATATACTTGCCTCCCTCCCAGTGGCATGAGGGACACCACAAGCAGGCCAACTTTCCATTCTTTTTTGTGTAATATAGGCTCAGATTGCCTTTATCATTGGCTAACTGACATTGGCAAACTGTGGTCTCAATAATCTCTTGCTTCCCTCTCATTAAACATGGCAGGCTCCAACTGAATTTGAAGGGAGTAATCAATGCTTTGTTTGGCTGTGTTAAATTCATGACGCAGAATGGAACTGAATGCCAGGATCATACGATACAAAAATAAATGTGTCTCTCAATCATGTGGTTCATTTTTAATGACCCCCAGAATGGAACATTACACACCCATTGACTGTAACCATACTGCCTGGCATGACTTTAGCTGCCAGCATCCTCAACAGCATCCTCCCAACAAAGGCTCAGGGTATATTTAGGATGCACAAAATTTATAGTATAATAGTTCATATGCTCTTAACTTCATATGAGCAAGTATTTTAATCAGGATGATCCTGGTGCAGGCTCAGAGGCATTTATGTAGTTGATAATTATGGTTTCAGAAGCTCTTTGCAGGGAACAGTTTACATTGGCAGTCTCTAAATCATATCTAGTTGAGTTAAAGCTACATTTGCCAAAGTGTCCTCTGACAGACACTGGTCCTGTAGGATGTGAATAGATTATAATAAAAGGATTCATAGAGGAGAATTCCATGGAATACTCTGGAAGAAACAGAATCAAACATGTTTCTCTGATGCAGGACTTCCCAGCACTTTTAATAGTGTCATGTGCAAATATCCAAGAAGAGGCTGTAATATGTGGGTTTTCTTTTTGATTTTAGAATAATTATTTTACAGAATATTTTGCCAAAGAAGTTAATTTTGAAAAAAGCAAAAGAGACTTCTGGACTACAAAGAGATACTTAGTCTCATGTTGCCCTTCCACCCTTTCTTACTGTTTTTCTTTCTCTTTCCTTCTGCATCATATATTGAACATATTTTATGTGTCAGGCACTATGCTGGAATAAAGTAATTTAGGTGTCATGCTGCAAAGAACAAAGGGTATTACTAGGGCATACTTTTTCTAGTAATACATAGAAATCCTTGTATCTAGGTACATTTTACATTTGGAAAGTTTCAAGGTCTGCAGCCCACCTAAAATAGGCACTGGCTATTGCCGTTGGACCCATGTTGTATCAGGGAAGGAAGTAGTTCTCTATGCAGTCAAAGGAATTCTTTCAGCTGGATTTGAAATCTTTTAGTGAGGACTTGACAAGAAAAGTGTTTAACCAACAGGAATTTAATGGGAAAAGTTTGGAGTTGTCGGCAGGACAGAGGCAAGTTTTGGAACAGAATTAAGTGATCCAAAGAGCCTGCCTTAAAAAACTACATAAGGGAGAGTATTAGAGGGAAGAAAAGGGTAAAAATGCACACACAGAGCAAAAATGAAGGCATGCCATGGGAATATGCCATGTCCAGTGGAAAGCAGGGCCCTGTGGCTGAAAGGAATATTCTTGGTTTGATACTTCTCTATTGTGAGCAGTACCAAGACACTTTGTAAAGTGCACATCGAGACCTCAATGAGGCAAATTCAGGCTGCTAAATATAGATGCGACAATGCCAAAGGCTGGGCCTCATTTCCCTTGGGAAAGGCATGTGTGGTGGGTACCATCTGCTCTCAAATCTATCAATTTGCCCTAAAGTCGTTGTCCTGGAGATTGAGAATGCCTTCATTCCCATCCATGCTTGATCATCTCTTTTAACAGATTTCTAGCATTTTCTAATAAAAATGCAGAGAAGGCTAGAGGAGAGAGTGTGTGGAGAAGTGAAGTAACATTATTTCTGTTGAGAGAAAATTTAGAAAATGGTTAGGTTATGAGAATGAGCTGCATCAAGTAGAAAAATGAAGATGTGTCCTGAATCTTCAGCTAGAAGCACTGGGCTCTGATAAATACATTTAAGACTTTAACAATCATTCATATGTAGGTTTCACTTCACCAGCTTGAAATACAATATAAAATTACTCTTTAAAAAACTTTTCTTGGGCTGGGTGCAGTGGCTCATGCCTGTAATCCAAGCACTTTGGGAGGCCAAGGCAAGTGGATCACCTGAGGTCAGGAGTTTGAGACCAATCCAGCTAACATGGCAAAACCCCATCTCTACTAAAAATACAAAAAATTAGCCAGGCATGGTGGTGTGTGCCTGTAATCCCAGCCACTCAGGAGGCTGAGGCAGGAGAATCACTTGAACCAGGGTGGCAGAAGTTGTAGTGAGCTGAGATTGCACCACTGCACTCCAGCCTGGGTGACAGAACGAGACTCCATCTCAAAAACAAACAAACAAACAAAAAAACGAAACTTTTCTTGAAATTATGATATGCAGGTATACCTCATTATATTACACTTTGCTTTATTGAGCTTCTCAGATATTGCACTTTTTACAAATTGAAGGTTTGTGGCAATTCTGCATCAAGAAAGTCAGTTTTTCCAACAGCATGTGCTCACTTCATGTTTCTGTGTCGCATTTTGGTAATTTTTATGTTACCAAAATATTTCAAGAATCATCATTATATTTGTTATGATGATCTGTGACCAGTGGTCTTTGATGTTACTATGTAATTGTTGTGGGGTGCTGTGAACCATGCCCATATAAGACAGTGAACTTAATTGATAAATATCATATGTGTTCTGAATGCTCCACTTACTGGCCATTCTCCTGTTTCTCTCCCTCTCCTCAGGCCTCCTTATTTCATGAGACACAAAAATACTGAAATTAGGACAATTAATAACCCTACAAGAGCCTCTAAATCTTCAGGTAAAAGGAAGAGTTGCATATCTTTCACTTTCAATCGAAAGCTAGAAATGATTAAGCTTAAAGAAGCGATGTTGAAAGCCAAGACTGGCCAGAATCTAGGCCTCTTGCACCACACAGTTAGCTAAGTTGAGAATGCAAAGGAAAAGCTCTTGAGGGAAATTAAAAGTGCTTCTCCAGTAAACACATGAATAAGAAAGTAAAATAGCCTTATTGCTTGTATGGAGAAAGTTTTAGTGGTCTGGATAGATCAAACCAGCACATTCCCTTAAACCAAGGCCTAATCGAAAACAAGACTTTAACGCCATTTATGAAGGCAAAGAGGTGAGAAAGCTGCAGGAGAAAAGTTGGAAGCTAGCAGAGGTTAGTTCATTACGTTTAAGGAAAGAAGCCATTTCCATAACATAAAAGGGCAAGATGAAGCAGCATGTGCTGATGTAGAAGCTGTAGCAAGTTACTGAGAAGACCTATCTAAGTTCATTGATGAAGATGGCTGCACTAAGCAACAGATTTTCACTGCAGCCTTCTATGGGAAGCAGATGCTATCGGTTCTTTCATACCTAGAGAGAAGTCAATTCCTGGCTTCAGAGCTTCAAAGGATGGGCTGATTCTCTTGTTAGGGGCTAATGCAACTGATGACTTTAAGTTGCAGCCAATGTTCATTTGCCATTCTGAAAATCCTAGAGCCCTTAGAAATTATGCTAAATCTACTCTGCCTGTGCTCTATAAATGGAACAACAAAGCCTGGATGAGAGCACATCTGTTTACAGCATGGTTTACTGAATATTTGAAACCCACCATTGAGACCCATTGCTAAGAAAAAAAAATAATCCTTTCAAAATATTACTGCTCATTGACATTGCACCTGGTCACCCAAGGGCTCTGATAGAGATGTACAAGGGGATTAGTGTTGTTTTCATGCCTGCTAACACAACATCTATTCTGCAGCCTATAGATCAAGAAATAATTTTGACTTAAGTTTTATTATGTAAGAATTATATTTTGTAAAACTATAGCTTCCATAAAGAGTGATTACTCTGATAGATCTGGACAAAGTAAATTGAAAATCTAACGGAAAGGATTTACCATTCTAGATGCCGGTAAGTACATTTGTGATCTATGAGAGAAGGTCAAAATGTCAACATTAAAAGGAGTTTGGAAAAAGTTTATTCCAAGCCTTGTGAATGACTTTGAGTGGTTCAAGACTTCAGCAGAGCCTGACTAACATGGTGAAACTCCGTCTCTGCTAAAAAATACAAAAATTAGCCAGACATGATGGCGGGCACCTGTAATACCAGCTGCTCAGGAGGCTGAGGCAGGAGAATCGCTTGAACCTGGGAGGTGGATGTTGCAGTGAACCATTGCACTCCAGCCTGGGCAACAGAGCAAGACTCTGTCTCAAAAAAAAAAAAAAAAAAAAAGAAAAGAAAAGAAAAAGAAAAAAGAAAACCAAATAAGCATGACGTTTCCCTGAAGCAGGCCATAAAAGAATTCTCTGACCTACCTCCCCTGAAAATAAGTCATAAGACCCTCATCCCAAAGGGATCCTGCCTGATACCTAGAGGCCAAGAAAACTTTGAACAAGCAGGTCTTGCTGAGTTTTCCCCAGTATGTTACCATTGAATCACACCCTTTTGTCCTCCTCCTCACGCTTCTGTACCACAGTTCATAAAAACACAGTTTTCCCTGAGTCTTTGGGTCTTCATTTGTGAAGGTTCCCATGTAATACAAAACCTTTAAAACAAATTTGTTATGCTTTTCTTTTGTTAATCTGTCTTTTCTTATGGGGGTCTAACCCATAAAGCTTGTGATGAGTGAGGAAGAAAAGATTACCTTTACTCCCCTACATATACAACTCAAAACTTAAGAGAAATGGGGTCTTGACCTTGCAGCTATTTCTTCCAGAATGTTCCTTGAGTTCTTTATCAATTAATGGATTCAAATAAACACATCATGTGATGTACCTCCTAACTCCACTGCCGCTAGCTCTAAGCTCTCGGCCCTGGTAAAGCTAAAACATTTTCCAACAGAACAAGATACCTACTTTCCATTTGTATAATTAAATGGAAAAAAGACTATTTTTTTCCAAGGTGACCTAATATTGAATGATAAAAAGAAAGTTGCAAAAGGATATATACAACATGATACCATTTATGTAAAATTTAAAATCTTACCAAATATTAGTATGTATTATTGACAAAAGTTAAAAATAGACCTGAAAATAAAATGTACCGGTCTCAGGACAGTGGTGACCCTTGAATAGAAGTGATTGTAACAAGGCTTGAGGAAGTGAGTAGAGGCCCTAACTGCGTTTGTGACATATTCTTTTCAGAGTAATTCAAAGCAAATATAGTAAAATGTTAACATCTCTTAAATCCTGGCAATGGGTTCCCAGGTGGTTGTTATATTATTTTCTGAACTTCAGTTTATGTTTGAAAGATTTCATAATTTTAAATTTTAAAAAGTTTTTCTCATATACACTTCTTAAATGTTAAGTCGAAAATGTTAAGTTGAAAAAGTAAGAACCAAAACTGGTTATGTATTATAATCTCAACCATGTGCCAAAAAAATGAACAGAAAGGGGATTGAAAAACAAGTAAATCAAAATGTTAATAGTCATTTCCAGTTTGGGGCAATAGTGGGAGATTGTGTGTGTGTGTTAGAGACAGCATGTATGTTCTTTATATGTCCCCTTATTTTCTTAATGAGTGAAGGGATCTGGAATATACCACTATGGGATAAAATTATTTTGAGCTCAAGACATTTGAGAATCAACATATGCAGAAGGAGGCTTTGCCTGACACCCCCACCCCCACCTTGCCCTTATCTGCCTGAAAAAGCAGAGCCTTTCAAAAGAATTCAACTGCCATAGATTCTCCTTCAAAAGAGGCTTTCCTACATGGGGTAGGGGAAGAATTGATTCCTATTATTTGTGGGGGGTGAGGGGGTGGGATTGATTCCTATCACCAGATAAATCACATGAACTAACATTACCATAAAACTGTCATACTTCCCATCTGTTCTCCTAAGGGCCAATTTATCTGTGCCGAGTCATTCATTTTTCCATAAGTGCCTTTTCTCTCCCTCCCATTCTCCTATTAAGATGGTATATAAGCCCCAAATTATAACTGCTTCTTTGAGCCATATTTTCTGTAAGCTCCTGAATAAATGTATGTGAATAAACCTAGTCTATTTTTTCCTGTTAATCTTTTGTCAGTTTAATTTGCACTCCTCCAAGTGCTGAACTGAAGTGGGTAGAGAAAAAACTTTTCCTCCCTAACATTACCTACCTAATTTTTACGTGATTATTTAAATTGCATAAATGAGGAGTGCAGGAAGAGTGAAATGTGTTAAAAAAAAAAAAAAAAAGTCTAGCCCAGAGTTAGCAGATACTTGCCAAGGCAAGGATTGTATATGTACAAGTTCCCCACAGTCCCTTAGCACTACGGGAAGTGGTAGTTTATTTCTCTCTCCTTCTACCTTGTTCAAAGGCGAGGCACTTGCTCCTGCATCCTCAAACTGTAGGTTTTAGCAATTTCCTTGCATGAAAACTGGGTTTTATCTCTGGGAGTTCCACGCTGCTGTGGTGCTAAGAAGGGGTTGAAAAGAAGCTCAGCAGGCCCTACTAAGAAACTTAATTTAACAGTTTTCAACTTCTGGCAGGAGCTGGTTAATCTTGTTTAAAGAAGGCCTGGACTTCTAATTTGAGCCTTTTATCATTTGCATCAAGAATGTGCTTCCTAAATTGCCATAAGACATTTGTCTGAAATGGAAGTCAGGTTAAGAACAAGACCAACAAGGAGAAAATAGGCTACTTAGTGAAAAGAGACATTACTGAGGATAAAGGACACCTGGAGGTAAATCCGCAGCAAGTAGCAGCTCTTAATCAACCATCCCATATCATGTGCAAATGCCCTACCCTTCCTTACCTCACTGCTACTGCAACCGTCACATTTTAGGAGCTCTCCACAAACCTCTCTGCTTTCTGGAACCATCCTTCCACCTACCAGAGAAATTATTCCTATACCTTATCCCCTAGCAATGCTTCTCAAACCTTAATGTGCATATAGATCACCTGGTAATCTTGTTAAACTGCAGATTCTAATGTAGCAGGTCTGCAATGGGGGCTTGAGATGCTGCATTGCTAATTTGCTCCCAGGTAATGCCAAGGCTTCTTGTCCATAGACCACACCTGGAGTAGCTGAGCACTTATAGGACCTTCTTGATTTTTTAAAATAGTACTTATGGCATGAACTGGGTTTATTTCTAGAGAAGAAGGCACAAAAGAGGAAAAAGAATGTCTACTGAGCACCTATCATATACCAAGCACTTGAAGCTCATTTGATGCTATTTTTTTTACCTCAATGTAATCACTTAAGCGCGGTCCTCCACATGGAATAGCCCTGTATTCCACCCCCACATTTCTGTGTCACTGAATACTGAATCACCTTTTAAGACTCCATCCAGGTATCCTATATTCAATAGATCTTTTCCTGAAAGGAAAAAAACATAACCCAATTCATCCTGTACCCTGAGTCTCTAGCAATATCTGACATTCATTAATAGTGTTGACATTGTGGGGGAGGAGAGAGCTTTTCTTCTTTCTTCTTAGGTTAAGCGTCTGAGGACTGTGAATTGAACTGTTAAATGATAGATTAACAGGAGACAGAGCATACAAACTTTAATTTTACATACATGAGGCCTCTACATAAAGGAAATGAAAACCCAAAGAAGCTGACTCAGTGCTTATATACCATTTTAACAAAGAGTGATAAATTGTGAAGTGACTAGACAAAGAAAAGCAGAGGTTGAGCTCTAGGGGCAGCACATTGTGGGAAAGTTAATAACAGGGGAAATGAATGGAAGACAGGATAATTTAGTAAGATTTCTTAGTGAAGATTCATGTTGGTGCTAACTTTTCCATCTGGTTTGTGGCCAAACCACCCCCAACCCCAGCCCGACAAGATTAATGGCAATCCTCATTTCTCAGAAGTTTCTGCTTTTAGTCAGATAAGGAAAGCCCTGAAAATGTTTCTTTCTGCATCTGTTGATTTTCAGTTGCCTTCAGCTCAAAACAATTCATACACCACAGTGGCATATTTTGGAGTGGCATATTCTGATCTCTTTCAGCATTCAATAAATGTTTAAAAGAGGACTAAGAAATCCCTAATAAGCCTGAAAAAGAAATATTATCATCTCGATTTTATAAATGGGGAATCTGGGGCTCAAAACGTTTATGTGACTTGTTCAGGGTCACACAGTAAGTATTAGAGACCCAGGTGTGTATTATTGTAAGATCAAAACACTTTAATTATGCTACTTTGAGTTTCAAAAATTTTTTAAAAGGCAACTTATTAAAAGTTGTAACAGGTGATATTTTCTCAAGTTTCCTGTTATTGTGTTTTCCCCCCGATCTCTGCTGTTACTATGGAAATTCTAATAAGTACTTGTTTATATCATTTTTACTTTTAGGTATCAAGCTTGAGACTAGATGCTCAAGTTGAATATTATAATATACTTTAATTGTTCACAGTACAAAGTGCATCCCAGCAAAATTGAAGCAAGGCAAATTTGGAAAGTGGCAGAGTGTATCTTGTGATGTCTCCCTGATATTTTGGCCTTTTCTTCTTCTCCTTCTCCCATATAATACCTTGGCCTGGGGGGTCCAAGTCTCCCTACTGTCTAATCCTACCAACGTGCTAAGCAGGGGCTGAAAACTCAAACGCTTGCAGCAAGCTGGGCATTAAACAAAAGGTGACAAGGTGCTTGTATTGAAGTCTAGCATCACACTTGCCAGGTACTTCACACTTTGCCCTTTAAAATATCAAACTGGTAAAATGAATCAGATAAATAATATCCAGATGTTGTTATTTAGTAGCAGTGAAGAAAAGCATGGTAGTTCCTGATTTCAGTGGACCTAGTTTCATTTAGTAGTCAGGTACTCCTTGTTCATGTTCCTCCTTACTTTCCTAAAATACCCAATGCATTTAGTTGCTTACCTCCTTTAGGTACTCAGCCTTCCATGTTGTTCCCCTGTGGATCCATCTCCCTTGCTTTCCTCCACCAATCTCCTCCATCTCTGTTTTGCCTCATCTCTAAATCTCTACAGCAAATTGATAAACAAATCATGGCTAATAATGTCTAAATAGTTACTCAAGAACTATTTGCATTTTACCAAATGTAATAGGTGATATAATAGAAGAAAGTGACAACTAGTAAGAATATTAAGACTAGGTTCGAGGTATGAGCACCTCTCTAATATCTTTCAAATGACAGTATTTAGCTGACAATTGACTCCAGGTTTATAATTGTTCTCCAGGTCTGGGGCTCTGCCTTCATTTTAGGGCAGTATTTCTCAAAATTAGTCTGTAGGTCACCTAAATCAAAATTTCCCATGAAACTTATATAACTTCACCCTTACATGACAAAAAAGTAAAGATAAATGAGTAAATACATGAATAAAGGAAAATCAAAAGTTTGTTCTCCAAATGTCAAAAACGAATAAAACAAATATACCTAATTGTGTATCAAATTGGTGACATAATATGAGAGTTGGCAAATTACAGTCTGTAGGACCAAACAGATCTGATGCCCATTTTTGTAAACAAAGTTTTACTGGAACCCAGTCATACCCCTTGGTTTCCTTATTATCTATGGCTGCTTCTCTGCAACAATTGCAGAGCTCAGTAGTTGCCACAGAGACTGATGACCTGCAAAGCCTACAATATTTGGCATCTGGGTTTTTACAGAAAAAAAATTGTCAACCCCTGATATAATCACAGATGAACATAAATGTTTCACATGACATTAGATTAGACTTTCTAGTCTGTACATCCTTAATGGGATCTATTCTATGGACAAAAAGAGCTGCAAAGAATTCTGCAGGACTGCTGTTATTAACCATATTGGCATAGTTGTTTTGAAACTATTCTGTGTATATAGGATGGGAAATGAAATAAGTCATTATGTTAATGTTGTTGGCTACCAGGATTGTTAGTGTGAAAGAAACGAGAAAGGTATAAAATCAAAGAGATTAAAATACTGTAATGTTAACTTTTATTTTTCTCATTTACAACATTTTTCCTAACTACATCTTCTAAAAAGGCCTTGAAGCAACACCAATCTTGTAACACTGAGCACTGGAGCCCAGATGATGGTTTCTAAATACCACTATTCACAGAAATGAAATAGAACTTGAAGAAATGGCTGATTTCGTATTTGGGGTGGGAAATGGACAAGATGAGTGTGGATTATCTTGATGAGCCAGAAATCAAGGAAGGTATCAAAAGCTAGGAGAGTCATGTCCAAAGGACGTTGGAGCCAAACTGAAGGATCTTATTAGCCAAAGATGAGAAAATTTGAGCATCAAAATACAAACAAATGAAACAAACTGGACCAAAAACCCTCTGGTCGTTCTTGAAGGTAGCTGGATCATGACACCTTCTGTTACTAATTGATAATTAAAGGAAAAGAAAAAATTTATTTTGCCTGCCCATATGAACTGTATTTCAGGATAATCAACCTAGTTAATATGGGAAAGTTGGTTTTATGGAAAAAAACTCCTGCTAGTAAAATAGAGAAGAAATGATAAAATTTTTAAATGACCACTTGCAACTCTTAATAAAAATAGTGCCAAAATCATTAGAAGACTTGCAGATTAAGTATTTCACAAAAGAGAGATCAGGATTTTATGATCTGAACTTGCTGATCAAATTTTCACCCATAAAAGTGGAACCATCAGACTTTATGTGACTCCTGATAAGATGCAATGTGAAGTGCATAGAACCAACTATGAAAAACATTGAATGTGAATCTAGTCAAGTTTTTAGATCTAACTTGTAGTTTACAGGAAGTACAGGGGACAGAGGGACGAATTAATAGATGATACAACCAGACAAATCTAGAATGTGAAGCATCCCACCAGCTTCGCTTATTTCTTGAAAAAGTCAGTGGTGTGAAGGGGGAGGAGAAGGGTATACTTTATAGGAAAAGAGATTTAAGAAACATAACAATCAAATACAATATATCACCTTATTTGGGGCCTGATTTGAACACATGAGCTACAAAAGCTGCCTTTGAGATAGTCAGAGAAATTTGAATCTGGACTGGGTATTAGATGATATCAAGGAAATATTGTTGGCTTTGTCAGGTGTGATACTGGTGTTGAGGTTATATTTTTAAATGTCTTTATGTATTAGAGATGCAAATATTTGTAGTAACATGGCATGCCGTCAGAAATTTTTCTTAAAAGCTACAACAAAAGAAGGGAAGGAGAACTGAAGTAGAGCAAAATATTGATAATTTTTAAATTTGGCAGATGGATTATGGTGTTCATTATACAATTTTTCCTACTTTGGTGTATTTTTAAAAACTGTCATTATAAGAAGCTAAAAAAGTAACTACCTGATCCTAACAATCAACCCCCTGGGGCATAAACCCCAGAGAAATTCTCATTCAAGACATGTATACAGTTGTTCATTGCAGCCTTGTTTGTAGTAGCAGGAGGTAGAGTTGAACACAACCTACTGTACTTTTCTATCACCAGGGGAATGCATACATAAAGGGTGATGGAAATATACTAAGATATACTAAGCAGCAGTTAGAAGCCACAAATTCTGTGGGATGCACTCTCAGCAATCTGGGTAGCTCTTAAAAATAGAGTGTTAAGAGAAAAAAGTAAGAAACAGAAAAATTTATACCAGAATTTAATTTATATATACAGTTGTCCCTCAGTATCCTTAGGGGATTGGATTCAGGACCTCCTGAGGTTACCAAACTTTGAAGGTATGCAAATACCTTATGTTAAATGGTGTAGTATTTGCATATGACCATGCACATCCTCTTGTGTACTTTTATGTCTAGATTACCTAATACAATACCTACACATCACTTCGTGTATGTGAACTCAATGTAGTACTCAACATGCAGCAAATTCAAGTTTTGCTCTTTGGAACTTGTGGATTTTTTCCTGAATATTTTTAATCTGCAGTTGATTGAATCCATGAATGCAAAATCTATGGATATGGAGGGATGACTATGTGATATATATATTCTTTTCTTATGGTACACATATATTACATATGTTATTTTATATATGTGTATATATATATAAATTCATATAAAGCCACAACAACTATTTTCCAAAGATACCTTAAAATTCTAGAATATATATCCAATACATTCAAATGGTTGTGTATAGGAGGGAGGAGAGTTGAAATTGGCAGTGGGAATGAAGGGGAATCACCGAATAAAACAAGAAAGTGGCTTTGCATGGAGTAACAATGTCGGTGTGCCAAATTTAGGGGTAGGATTAAACTTTCCGTGTCTGAAGTCCAAAAGACATGAAAAATGACCCACCTAGGACCTCTTGAAACAAAATAGAAAATAGAAGGAGTGGAAATCTGCTTTTTTTTCTGAGTCCTCTCAAGTGATTCTTAAACACCAAAAAACTGATGTATCTTAAGGGAAATCACCAGTTCAAGGTCACCAGACTAAGTCAAGAACAGCAGAGCATAAACTCCCCAGAAGGGCCTGAAAAATTCTCCCCAATGTCAAATTTCTGTTTGTGTATAAATGTGAGTTAGTTAACACTGAATTAGTTCTGAGAATGAGGAGCTATATAAATGCTAATTACTCCTGGGCAGACAAATTTCCTATTTATCACTTAGGGAATTTCCTTTTCAATCACCTGTAAAGGGGAAAAGGAATCTATTGCTATTCTCACCAGTGTTAATTATAATATGAGTTAGGCATAGCACAAAGATGAAAGAAGAAAAGATAACATCCAATGTTTGTGAGGGTATGGAGGAACAGGCCACTTCAGGTATTGTTGGTGGGAGTGTAAAGTGGTACAGCTAGCAAATCTTGTCTGAAAATCTCCCCTTATAGAAATTCATCCTCCAGAAATACTGTGCAAGACATATGTACAAGACTGGTCATTTCAGCATAGATTGTCACTGAAAAAAGAACACAACCCCAAAATCCTTCAGTATGGGAATAAGTGAACATGTTATAGTATATCAGAAACTATTCAAAAGCATTAGCATCTATATACACTGATGGTAGAAATGGCTTTCCAAGATGTAATAGTTCTGAGAAATAGTGCTAACAGAAAGAAAACCATAAGGGAGAAGCAGTATATATAATACGACATTGATTTTGTTTTTTGAAGAAGAAAATGGAAATTAATTATTTTAGCCCATGTGGGGAAACAGAGTTGAATATTTATGCTCTAAATTGTAAACAATGATTATCTCTAGGGTACAAGATTTGGGGAACTTTTATTTTGTGTATTGTGTTTATGAAATAGTTGTATGCCAACCAACTTTGTATTACATTTATAATTACAAAGAAAACAATAAAGATTTGTTGGTCCCTTAGTGATACAATTTGGCTGTGTCCCTAGCCAAATCTCATCTTGAATTCCCACATGTTGTCAGAGGGACCCAGTGGGAGGTAATTGAATCATGGGGACAGGTCTTTCCTGTGTTGTTCTCATGATAGTGAATGAGTCTCACAAGGTCTGATGGTTCTATAAGGGGGAGTTTCCCTGCACAAGCTTCCTTCTCTTGTCTGCCACCATGTGAGATGTGCCTTTTGCCTTCCACTATGATTTGTGAGGCCTCCCCAACCATGTGGAACTGTAAGTCCAATAAACCTCTTCTTCTGTAAATTGGCCAGTCTTGGGTATGTCTTTATCAGCAGCATGAAAATGGACTAATACACCTAGATATTAAGAGGATAAAAGTCTTAAAAGGTCTCTTCTACACTGCATACACTAGGACTTAGAGCAACATGCTGTGAGAACATGTCTTGATTAATTAGATGCTTATGGTCAAGGAATTTTACTAACAGGAAAGAGCTGGCTTATCCTATAAGTGAAATGAAATTATCCCCCCCATAGTCAAGCAACAATGACACCAGCAAGAAGTCCAAAACAGACTCAGTGCTTATATATAGAAGGACTCAAATGGAAAATAAATAGCTATAAAAACCAAAAGCAACTTGTTCTTATCAGATCTATAATCTTCTGAACTGATGATTTTCTTCCATATATTCTTCACTGAAGCACAGGACAGGTTTTTAGAATGAAGTGTAAAATTGCTATTAAAGCAATCCCTCCATTCTCCTCCCCCAGTAGAGCAATAAGGAAGTCAGGAGGGAAATTAGAGTGTAATGATGAGGAAGGAATTGTGAGAACTTCAATTGCAGTGACCTGGGAGCATGTTAACAATGTACGTTTGTGGCTAGTTAGGTGCCCTGGCATCTTCCAGGAAGACTGCACCCAGGAAGCTGTAGGAAGCTCAAGTGCATGCCCCATCAATGTCAGAAAGGGCAAGCAGGAAAGTATTTGCAGCACAAGGGCTTTGCGCTCTGAGTTTTCAGGAAACTAATATCATATATAAGATCTTGGAGAGCTGTGCCAAAGAGGCATAATAGGCTGTCAGTGACACCCAAAACTGGGTGTGGTGTCTGAGGATGTGGGGTGAGTCTTAGCTGTATCACCATCTAGCTTGTCAACTTTGAGCAAGTTCGTTGCTTTTTGTAAGCCCCAGTTTATTTATTTGAAAATGAGATTGATAATAGTACAAACCTAATTAAACTATTCATCAAATAAGATGGTTATGAGGATTAAATAACACTTTCAAAGTGCTCAGCACACCATCTGACAGGTAGTTAGTACTTAATAGATAATACAAGTGATTATTATCATTGTTGTTGATGAAACAAGGTAAACTTCGAGGAATCTTTTGGATGGCATATTACCTATCTATTTCCGTGTCACAAGTTATGGTAAATATTTATAATCTCGTGTAATTTCTGTAGGTCAGAAATTTGGAAGAGACTTGTCTGGACAGTCTTTCTTCGGGTTTCTCATGAGATGTTACAGTCATGACGCCCACTGGGATGGTAGTCTTTTGAAAGCTGGACTGAGGCTATCAGACCCACTCTCAAGACGGCTCACTGACATGCCTGGCAAGTGATGGCTGTTGTTGGAAAGAGGCCCCAGTTCCTCACCATGTCGACCACTTCATGAGGCTGCCTGAATGTCCTAATGACATGGTAACTGGCTTCCTCTATAATGAGTGATGTAAGAGAGCAAAGCAGAAGCCTCCGTTTCTTTGATAACCTAGCCTTAAAAATCACACCCATAATTTTCTTTTCTTTTCTATTTTTTTTAAGAGATGGAGTCTCGCTCTGTTGCCCAGGCTGGAGTGCAGTGGCGTGATCTCAGCTCACTGCAACCTCTGCCTCCCGGGTTCAAGCAATTCTCCTGCCTCAGCCTCCTGAGTATCTGGGACTACAGGCACACGCTGCTACACTTGGCTAATTTTTGTTTGTATTTTAGTAGAGATGGGGTTTCACCGTGTTGCCCAGGCTGGTCTTGAACTCCTGAGCTCAGGCAATCCACCTGCCTCTGCCTCCCAAAGTGCTAGGATTACAGGCGTGAGCCACCGCCCCCCGCCCACACCCATCATTTTCAAAATGTCCCACTGGTTATACAAGTTGTTTCTACTTAGTGTGGGAGGGGGTCTTCATAAGAATATGAAGACCAGGAGGTGAGAGTCATGGGAACCATCTTGAAGGCTGGCTCCCACAGACCTTAAACCTTCCTTGGCCCAAATGGAATCCAAATTCTCACTTCAACATTCCATCTGAGCCAGTCATGTCTTCCTGCTAGATGAGAAGGGAAGTTTCATGTGGAACAAAGCAAAGATAAATCAATTATGATAACAGTCCTCAAGATATTTACATTCTAAAAGAGAACATAGACATGTATGTAATAAACCAGGTCAGGGGAAGAGAACCTCATCAGTTAGTGTTTTAATTCTTAAATAGGAAGCAAATAATAATCATCATCATAATATGATCATAATGAACACAAACTGAGTGTTATCTATGTGCTAGGCAATGTACTGAATGTTTTACTTATAGTACTCTTCTAGTTAGGTAAGATTATTATCCCATTTTTTATATAAGGCAATTGAGACATACAGAAGTTAAGTAACAGCCCAAAAAAAATCACACAGAAAGTAACATCGGAGAGTGGACTTCTGCCTCAACAAGCTGGCCCCAGAGTCTATGTTTTTAATTGCTGTGTGTGTCAGTCTGGGTTCAATCTGGGAAGCAGAACCACCATGAGTATTATAAGAGGTTTATTTATTTATGTTTTTCATTTTAACTTTTAAGTTCAGGAGTACATGTGCAGGATGTGCAGGTTTGTTACATAGGTAAATGTGTGTCATGGGAGTTTGCTGTACTGATTATTCCACCCAGCTCTTAAGTTTAGATCCATTAGTTATTTTTCCTGATCCTTTCCCTGCTCCCACCCTCCAACTTTTGATAGGCCCCGGTGTGTGTTGTTCCCCTCTATGTGTCCTTGTGATCTCATAATTTAGCTCCCATTTATAAGTGAGAACATGTGGTATTTATTTTTCTGTTCCTACTTTAGTTTGCTATGGATAATGGCCTCTAGCTCCATCCGTGGACAAAGGACAAGATCTCATTTTTTTATGGCTGCATAGTATTCCATGGTGTATATGTACCACATTTTCTTTATCCAGTCTATCATTGATGGGCATTTGGGTTGATCCCATGTCTTTGCTATTGTGAATAGTGCTGTAATGAACATACAAATGCATGTGTCTTCATAATAGAACGATTTATATTCTTTTGGGTATAAACACAGTAATGGGATGGCTGAGTCAACAGTATTTCTGTCTTTAAAGAATCACCACACTGTCTTCCACAATGGTTGAACTAATTTATACTCCCACTAACAGTGTACAAGCATTCCTTTTTCTTTACAACCTCACTGGCATCTGTTATTTTTTGACTTTTTAATAATAGCCATGCTGACTGGTGTGAGATGGTATCTCATTGTGGTTTAGATTTGCATTTCTCTAATGATCAGTGATGTTGAGCTTTTTGTCGTATGCTTGTTGGCTGCATGTATATCTTCTTTTCAGAAGTGTCTGTTCATGTCCTTTGCCCACTTTTTAATTGGATTGTTTGGTGTTTTTTCTTGTTTAAGGTCATAAGGGGTTTATTATAAGACTTAGAACTTACCCAGTTGTGGGAACAGCTGGAAAAGTAAAGGTCACAAATAAAAGTCAAAGGACTGGAGAAAGGACATGTATTAGTCTGCGAGGGCTGCCATAACCAAGTACCACAGACTAGTGATTTCAACAACAGAAATTAGTTTTCTCACAATTCTAGTGGATAGAAGTCTAAAGATCAAGGTGTCAGCAGGGCTGATATCTTCTTCTAAGGCCTTTCTCCTTGGCTTGTAGATAGCTGTTTTCCTCTGATGTTTGCATGTATCTCTCCTTCTGTGCGTGTCTGTGTTTTAATCTCCTCTTCTTATAAGGAGACCAGTCACATGTCCTTACAGTTGAGTCATAGGGCTCAAGCCATGACATCAACTTACCTTAATTATCTTTAAAAACACTATCTCCTTGAGCCAGGCATGATGGTTCATCCCTGTAATCCCAGTACTTTGTGAGGCTGAAGTGGGAGGATTGCTAGGAGATAGGAGTTCAAGACCAGCCTGGGCACTAGCAAGCAAGACCCTGTCTCTACCAAGGAAAATAAATAAATAAAAGAAGACAAAGAAAAACACTATCTCCAAATACAGTCACATTCTGAGGTACTGGGGTTTAAGACTTTAACACATGAAATCTTAGCATTGTGGGAGGCCGAGGCGTGTGGATCACGAGGTCAGGAGATCAAGGCCATGCTGGCTAACACGGTGAAACCCTGTCTCTACTAAAAATACAAAAAATTAGCCGGGCGTGGTGCTGTGCGCCTGTAGTCCCAGCTGCTGGGGAGGCTGAGGCAGGAGAATGGCGTGAATCCGGGAGGCGGAGCTTGCAGTGAGCCGAGAGCGCGCCACTGCACTCCAGCCTGGGCGACAGAGCGAGACTCCGTCTCAGAAAAAAAAAAAGACTTTAACACATGAATTTTGGGGGCCATGTGCAGCCCTTAACAGGTCACTATCCAGCCCTGGAGTGGGTGACTGAGTCCAAGCTTTCAGGGAAACCTGGAAGCTACTAAACCCATCTCTCTGTTGACCTGGAACCACAGAGGAAGCTGATGAAGTTCACGGAGGCTGTCTGCTTTCTGTGACCAGCGCCTTGTGAGTTCACAGTGATAACAGGCTGGAGCTCACCACAGCTCATCATGACTTGCAGTAGGAAAGGGAAGCTGCTTCCCTATAGCAGGGAAGATCAAGGATAAATCGAAGCCCACTTGCATCTCAGTGTCTGTACCTCAACGTCCCCTACCAACATGGAACTTCAGATCATTATGACTGCCACTTCACTTCCACGTCCCAAACTCATCCAACTTCACTTTTGGCAACTCTATCCCAGACCACATAAGAAAAAAGATTCTGGGAAATGTAGTTCCAAGCATAACTAGGTTGTGGAAAGAGCAATAGAGCACACTACACAATACTACATCTCTGAGTGATAAGCTGCCTCTGGACAATTGAGAATCTTGAAAATCACTTCTGTTTTGAAATATTGTATTTTTGGGTTTCTGTTGCTCAACATCTTAAATATCACTGCAGTCCGTTAGGCTCACAAATAGTCCTTTTCAAACGGAACTCAAAAGAATTATCAATTCACGATTGCAATACATTAAGGGAAAATAACCTTTATTAAATGTGTATTGTATGTCAGGCATGGTGCTAGGATTTTTTAAGTGTATTGTGCCATTTTATCTAATAGCTATCTTAAACAGCATTATTAGCATACCTGATTTGCAAATGAAGGAACATAGACCCAGAGGGATAAAGCATTTTCCTCACAATCATTTAGTTGGTAATAATAAAATTAATGGCTAAATTTTACTGAATGCTTGCTAAGTGCCTGACACTGTGATTTAAATGCATGTTATCAAATCTTATTACCAGATACTTGAGTCAGAGGCTATTGTTATTCTTGCCTTACCATAGGGAAAATTGAAGAACAGAATATTTCAATACTTTGTCCAAGGTCACAAAGCAACTCACTGGTAAGGTCATGTGTGACAGAAACTGGGGTGCTTATTAAACATTCCATATGCTTTCAGTTATCTCCCAGAGTCCCTTGCAGTTAGTTGTGGCCATATGACTACTTATGGGCAATGGGCTATACAGAGAAATAATGTATGTCACTACTGGGCTGAAATTAGAAGAGCATAGGCAAAGTTTCTACTTTTTCTCTTCTCTTACTGCAGCGCCTGGGGGGATAGTCCACATGGTGGAGCCTCCATTAGCTTGGGTCCCCAAATAATTGTGTGAAGCAGAGGCACCTACCCTGATGACTGTGTTGGATGTATAACATAAGGAAGAAGTAAAAGTTTGTTATGTTGGAACTAAGTCAGTTATTATTATTACTTATTTATTTATTTATTTTTTGAGACAGAGTCTCGCTCCGTTGCCCTGGATGGAGTGCAGTGACACGATCTTGGCTCACTGCAACCTCTGCCTCCCGGGTTTAAACAATTCTCTGTCTCAGCCTCCCAAGTAGTTGGGATTGCAGGCACCCACCACCATGCCTGGCTAATTTTTGTATTTTTAGTAGAGACGGGATTTCACCATGTTGGCCAGGCTGGCCTCGAAACCCTGACTCATGATCCACCTGCCTTGGCCTCCCAAAGTGCTGGGATTACAGGTGAGAGCCACTGCGCCTGGTAAAGTGAGTTTATTTATTAACTTTTTTTTACCACAGCATATCTAGCCTATCTTGACCAACATAGGCCTTGCTAGTCTGACTCCAGAAGTCCATAATCTTTTTTAGCCACTCAACTATGCTATTTTCCCCCAGTGACAGGAGAGAATGAGGACCTAAGTGTGAAGTAATACATGTGATTACCTTTCAAAAATAAAAAAGCATACAGAAATATAAGATACCAAGATATTATGATAGGTCCAATCTGACTACAAGTGCTTGACTCACTGAGGCCAGCTATATCAATGATGATTCCCACTGGCAGAATTTTAAGGAATAGTTGCAAAATTTCACCTGAAAAGCAGGGCTGTGTTTCCTAGAAGTGACAAGAGGAAAGGAGAGCAAGTTAAATCTTAGAGCAGGCATTAGTAAACTATGAACTGCTGCTTGTTTCTGTAAACAAAGTATTATTGGAACGTGGCCACATTCACTCATTCATTCACTCATCCAATTATGTTTCTTCTATGGCCGCTTTTGAACTACAACAGCAGAGTCGAGTACTTGTGACAGAGACCACATGACCCACAAAACCTAAAATATTTGCTCTCTGGTTGTTTACAGAAAATGTTTGCTAATCTCCAATCCAGAGTTATTAAAATGCAACCAGGAGGCATAGGGCTTTTCCTTAGGGACCCTGAAAGACTTTCCAGATCTTCCCAAGGGGCCTGCTTATGACCTGAAAATTCCCTCCTTAATCACACTTTCAAGTTAAATTAAGACCTTAAAGGATCCCATAAAAATGCAAATAGATTATCTGCTAACTCATTACCCCAATTAACACTGTGGTGCTAATTCCATTTCCAGCCTTATCTGTCTTTAGTATATCTGAGAGCGTAGTGAACTTTGGAGGGAGCGGAAGGAGGAGAAGAAAGTTTGGGATGGGTTAAGAGCAAGGTTGGGAGGCTTCTGTTAAACCACTGGTCAGCATGGCAAATGGAGAATCAATGTCATTTGCTTCAGAATTTGGGCTCCATCTACCTTTTTAGGAGAACTCATAATCGCTCTTCTGTAGATGAACCCAACTATTGCCAATCCCATTTCTTAGGTTTTGGGGCTAAGGGTAGTAGCATTTCTCTGATTTGGGGAAACAAAAAAGCACATACTCTCGTGAATGATTGAACATCAGCTCTTGTGAATAATTCTTAGAGATTAAGGCCCTTTTACATGTGGCTTCTCTATCTGGAATCCCTTACCCTGTTTTCTGATTGGCTAAATTTTATGCATATGCTCAGGTTCAGTTTAGGCTCGTTTCCTTCAGGAAGTCTTCCTCACTGGCCAACAGTGAGTTAGTTGTTCTTTTAGCCCCATATCCTATTCCCATTCCCAATACTTCCCAGGTGATTGGGCCCCCTTCCCTATGTCCCATGCTTTTGGGAACTTCTCTTAGGCCTCTTGTGGGCTGCACTCCTCCCATGGGGTGAAGAGTTCTGGCCCTGCTTCTATGTCTTTCTCTGAGTAACCAGGACCTTGTAATTCCCAACCCAAATGGCCTTAGGTCTCTTCAAAGTGCCTGCAGAAGTTTCTTCCAATATTCCTTTTACAGAGGGTGGATAGCTTAGCTGGGGCGCATTCCTGGTCCTGAATGTTGGCCAGGGGGTGGCTGGTTAGGGTGACGGTGATGGTGGATCAAATTTGGACATATTGGTGGCGTGTCCACATGAGGACCCTTGAAGTGTGGGTAGAGCCTGGGATGGGAAGAGAATGAAGTCAGGTTTTATAGCCCCCACAAATGCTAGAAATAGGCCTGGCCATCACAGCATTCACCGTACAATATTGCTTTGATTCCTGTGCCATTAGACTGTAAACAAATTGGTGACAGGTATTCCTTCAAGTTCTTGGCTGGGTGAGTTGCCAGGTGCCTTGTTAACTGCTTCAGTATAGAGCATCACCGGGAAAGGGAGACGCACTATAGCTCTCAAGCCTTACCATCTGCAGAAATATTTTTGTAAAGGAAAAGGTTCACCCAGATTCTCTCTCTGTGTGCACCATCTGCAGAATTCAGTTGCCTGGAGGCCGCCTGAGCTTGAAATGAATGAAGAATCCTTCCTGGCAGACATTGCTTCTACCACCTGACCTACTTCTAAAGGGTGAAGCATCTCTTAGAAAGTTGGTGAAGTGAATGACCTTGAAAAACTGTAGTAAGACTACACCAGCCTTAGACGCTTTGAATCATGAATGCTTAGCAGTGAGCTGGGGTGAGAGACAGATGTGCTATGAACCATCTAGGTTGAAACTTGTCCCAGCCAGCAGAGTTTCCATTCCACCAGAGCAGAATCTCTCACTTGACTTGCTTATTCAGGGCATTGGCAGTCTAGTTCTCTTCAACAGCTGATTTTAAAAATTGATGTATTGAACATTTATTATATTAAATATTCAGGTATATTGTGAGCCACTTGAAATTGAACATGGTGGGAATATTTGCATCATGGAAATCAACAAACACTACAAATCAGGGCTCCCTTCTTCCCCCTACCCCAGTCTAGCTGATTCACCAGCATACCCCTGCTTACCCTGAAGGAAACCTTATCCTGCACAGGCATGCAGGGGTCAGACACAAAAGCAATTTCTCTTCTTTAAATCTTTATTTTTAAAATAAAAGTATATATGCTTCCTGTAACAAACTCAAAAGAATAAGAATGGATAAATTGAAAGAAGAATTTTCTAGCTTCCAATCTAACACCCCCCTGTCCTATAAAAGTAACTTTGGAGTAAAGACTTCTAGAATTTCTCTACAGTTATACAAATGCTTTAAAAAAAATCCCACACTTCCCAAAGCAATCTACAGATTTAATTCAATTCTCATTAAAATACCATCATCATTCTTCACAGAACTAGAAAAAACAATCCTAAAATTCGTATGGAATCAAAAAAGAGCCCATGTAGCCAAAGCAATACTAAGCAAAAAGAACAAATCTGGAGGCATCACATTACCCGACTTCAAATTATACTACAAGGGTATAGATACCAAAACAGCACGGTACTGGTATAAAAATAGGCATGTAGACCAATGGGACAGAATAGAGAACCTAGAAATAAAGCTGAATATTTATAGCCAAATGATCTTTGACAAAGCATACAAAAACATAAATTGGGGAAAGGACACCCTATTCAATAAGTGGTGCTCGGAAAACTGGTAAGCCACACGTAGAAGAATCAAACTGAATCATTATCTCTTACCTTATATAAAAATCAATTCAAGATGGGATCAGACTTAAGTCTAAGACCTGAAACCATTAAAATTCTAGAAGATTACATCAGAAAAATTCTTGTAGACGTTGGCTTAGACAAAAAATTCTTCATGAAGACCCCAAAAGCAAATGCAACACAAACAGAAATAAATGGGACCTAATTAAACTACAAAAGCTTTTGCACAGCAAAAGAAACAACTGGCAGAGTGTACAGATGACCCATAGAGTGAGAAAAAATATTTACAAACTATGTATCCAACAAATGACTAAAATCCAGAATCTCCAAGAAAGTCAAACAAATCAGCAATAAAAAAAACAAATAATCCCATCAAAAAGTGGGCAAAGGACATGAATAGACAATTCTCAAAAGAAGCTATACAAACAGCCAACAAACGTGAAAAAAATGCTCAACATCACTATTAAAACCATAATGAGATACTACCTTACTACTCCTGCAAGAATGGACATAACTAAAAAGTCAAAAAACAACAGATGTTGGCATGGATGTGGTGAAAAGGGAACACTTTTACACTGCTGGTGGGAATGTAAATTAGTACAACTACTGTGGAAAACAGTATAAAGATTCCTCAAAGAACTTACCATTTGATCTAGCAATTTCACTACTGGGTATCATCTACCCAAAGGAAAAAAGTCATTATATGAAAAGACTCATACACTCACATGTTTATAGAAGCACAATTCACAGTGCAAAGGTATGGAACCAACTTAAGCTTCTATCTACCAATGAGTGGATAAAGAAAATGTGGTATATATCCACACCATGGAATACTACTCAGCCATAAAAAGGAATGGAGCTGGAGGGCATTATTCTAAGTGAAGTAATTCAGGAATGGAAAACCAAACATCATATGTTCTCACTTATAAGTGTGAGCTAAGGTATGAGGCAGAAAGGCATAAGAAATTATATATTGGGCTTTGGGGACTCAGAGGGGAAGGTTGGGAGGAAGTGAGGGATAAAAGACTACCTATTCGGTACAGTGTGTACTGTCTGAGTGATAGGTAGACTAAAATCTCAGGAATCACCACATAAGAACTTATCCATGTAGCCACAAACCACCTGTACCCCAAAACTATTGAAATAAAAATGAAAATGAAAAGAAGTATTTTTAGATAAACAGAATGAAGCTACATATATTTTTAACACCTTTTTTTCTTCTAAAATATATTGTGGACATTTGTCTGAGTTAGATCATATAGATCTACACCATTTATTTTAATGATTGCAAAATATTCTATAATATTGTCTTCTTAATGTCCATTTAGGTCATTTTCATTTTCTTTTCTTTTTTTTTTTTTTTTTTTTTTTTTTTTTTTTTTTTTTTTGCTTAACAAAACATCCTGCATATGAAATGTGTGTGTCTGTGTGCGTGTCTGTGCCGGTGCATGTGTGTGTGTCTGTACATGTGTGTGTATTTCTGTGTGCAAGTAGACCTATTTCTTTAGGATAAATTTCCAGGAATGAAATATTGAGTTGTTACATAATATCTTGGTAAATAGCGCTAAGTTGACCTGCAAAAAATTGTACTAATGTCCCCTACCTTCAGTAAGGAGAAGAGTTCCTATTTTTAAAATTAAAATTCCCACCAACAATATATATTACCAATACTTTTAAGTTTTGAAAATTTGTTAAAAGTTATATTTTATTGTTGTTTTTACTTGCATTTTCATATTCACTAATGGACCAAGTGTCTTGTTTTCCATTTGTATTTCTTCTTGTGTGAATTATCAAATCATCTTTGCTCATTTTTTAAATTGATTTATTCATTTAAAAATCAATTCGTAGAAGCGATTTAAATAAAATGTACTTTTGGCCATTAGTCTATAATATGCATTGCAAAGATTAGCTTCAAGTATATTTGTCTTTAAACTCTGCATTAGGTTTATCCATATAGAAGTTCTATACGGGGGATTATTTTGTGTTACATTTACTAAGGATACCCAAATCCCAAAGTATAAAAGCATGATCTTATATTTTTCTAATATTTTCTATTTTTCTTTTACATTTATTTGTAAGTTTTTATTCATCAGAATTTATTTTTGTGTATGACATAATAATAGATATATGTACAAGAATCTTTTGAAGTATTGTTTGTAGCAATAAAGTTAGGAAACAACATAAATGCTCTTTATTAAGGGAGGAATTATATATATTTTGGTAAATCTATACCATAGGGCACTATATAACCTCCTAAGAAACAGGTTCAAACCTATTGATATGGAAGTATGTCTTTGTTGTATTAATAGAGGATGAATTTCAGAGAAATGTATACACTATGCACTGTGAGGACTTATGATTAAGGCCACGTAGATTGTGTATTGCTAACTCCATAGGACAGTGATATGATTGGCATCCCTTGAGTTAGGCAATATAGTAATTCTCTTCACTGTACCACCCTAGTCACTGACATAGGTGATGCATACTCTGTTGATCTTTTGTGAGTTTCCCTTATCTTGTTTTCGCTTTTGGTATACTTCTGCAGTTTCTCTTTCTTAGTGAAACCCTCACTGGGGTTTCAAGAAAGCTGGAGGCTGGCTTTATTCCAAGGCATCTAATAGTACCATGGAACATATGCAGGCTTCCTCACTAGACTGCAGTGTACAGACCCACTTCCACCCTAGCCTCTCTTTTCACTTTGTGAATGTGAGAGCCCACAGCAGGTTCCTACTTTTTGACCTCTCCAGGCAGAATCAGGCACTATTCTCCCCTTCCCTCCACACTCCTAACTCTTGGGATCATATATCAGATTCTCCAAGAATATTATCAAGCTTGTTATGGGGACAGTCTTGGGTGGGCCTATGAGTTTTTACAGCTTAGTAACTATCCATCTTGGAACTGTATACAGGGAAGAACAAGATAGGCAGGAGGTAGTTAGAGGCGAGGGAAGAAAGAGAATGTTATAATAGAAAATTATGGCCTGCTTACTGTGGCAGATAGAATTATTGATCCCAACACTCTCCTATAGGAGGTGTACACAGCAAGCATACCTCACCTCCTTTGCTGTGGTCTCCTCATGGTCAAGATGCATTTCCTTGCCTTTCTAACTTGGGATTGTCCATATAGTTTGCTTTGGACATAAGATCTTACTGGACATAGATTGTGTCAAGGCTTGAAATATTCTAGCATGACTGGGCTTGCTCTATTGCGCTGCACATCTGCTATTATCCTGGAAGAACTTGCCCCAGGGAGCCCTCTTGTGCCAGAAGAATGAGTCAGGTGAAGTAGAGTGAATTGAAGTCCTAGCCTGCAGTCAAGTCTACATAAAAAAGAATGAAATCGTGTATTTTGCAGCCATGAGTAGAACTGGAGGCCATTATCTTAAGTGAAACAACTCAGAAACAGAAAGACAAAGACTGCATGTTCTCACTTGTAAGTGGGAGCTAAATAATGTGTACCCATGGACATAGAGTGTAGAGTGGTAGACACTGGAGACTCAGAAGGGTGAAGGGGTCGGAGAGGGGTGGATGATGAGAAATTACTTAATGGGTACAACGTATATTATTCAGGTGATAGATACACTGAAAACAAACTTCACCACTACACAATGTATCCATGTAACAAAATTGCACTTGTACCCCTTATCAAAAAAAAAAAAAAGTCAGCCTAGCTGACACCATCCTCAATCTGTGATCCCTGATTGATCTAAAACACACAAATGAGAAAGAAATGCTTGCTGTTGTAATTCACTGAGTTTTGGCATGGTTTCTTGTGAAGCATTCTTGTGAAAATGATTGACTGATTTTTCCTTTATTCTATGAAAACACAATCCTAATTTTATTGAGGCAACAAATAACCTCAACTAAAATAATACATTTTTAAGATTTCTTAATTGCTAAGTGTGTCAGTGTGACTAAGTTTTGGCCAGTGGGATGAAATGCTGAATCAGATTTCTGAGAAATCTGATTAAAAGGAACTGACTCAGCTGAGACATATACTCCTTTTGCCCTTTCCTCCTTCCTTCTTGCTTCCAACTTCACACATGTGAAAACCGCAACTTCAGTGGCCATCTTTGAGTCATAAGGCATCTTTGGGCTGGAAGCTAAGCTCTAGGATGGTGAAGGAGAAAAAGAAGAGCCTCAGTCTTTGATGACTGTGAACCACCGTAACATTCTAAATTGCATACCTCCAGACTTCTCTCATTTAAAAGAAAAAAATTCTACCTTGTATGAATCACTCCTAATTCTAATTGATAGTGTAGTATAATGTTGAATGAGAATGTAGATTAAAACTATCTATGCTAATACTACAAATACATTAAAATAGAATATCTGTAAGAACAAGGACTAGAAGTTAGTAGGGTCAAATGATAACAATGATTTTATTATGTGAAGGTCAATATTTGCTGAGTGATGAATAATTATTGTCAGTCTGAATGAAAAGGCAGTATGCCAGGAGGTAGCTAAACCACCAGGCTGGATAGAAAACTAGTTTTGGCTTTTAGCTTTAGTTTTGAGCAAATAATTATGGCGTCTTCTTGGGAACACAATTTAACTTCCTGAGTCTCAGTTTTCTCATCAGTTTCTTGAAAAATGGAAAAATACAGTTAAATATTATTGAAAAGTTAATCATGATAATGTTAAGTCAGCTATAGCTAGAGTGGCTATTAAATTTATTATCCTTACTGGGACATTTTTGCAAGTAAATGGGATATTGCTGGGATTTTTCTGGCCATCCTAGGTGTAATGCAACTGGGTTTTAGGACTGATCTTCACTCAGTGGAGGAATTTAAGTTCAACGAATATTTTATTTATAATAAAGCTAAATTCCTACACATCTAATAAATAAAAACTTTTTTTTTCCATAAGGTAACTGCAAAAACAAATAAAAGATGTATGTATTCATTAACTTCACAATAATGCAATCCCATGTTTTATGCAATTACTTTTTTGGGGCCCACTTATTTCCCATTACAGGATTTTATTGTAGTAACACCTACATATGAGTCTCTTCCAGGGTTGTCATAAGACCCACACAAGCATCTCTAAAGGGACAGTGCCCAGGAAATTGTAAAACCTTATGGGAATGCTAGGAGTTTTTATTGAAAAGAGGAAAATGTGACTTGACAGCCGTTGGGGTAACATTAATCACATGGGAACATGCATGTCAGGTACAAAGAGATGACACAGGTGGAGACATAAGTTATATGCAAAAAAACAGTAATTACATCTCCTCTCCAGACCTTCTCTCCTGAATATGGTCTTCAGCAAAATTGTGATGGAGACATTTTTAGATAGCCAAAATAAAGAAACAGAAATGGAAGCAACAAACTAGTATGTGTACAATATTCCTGAAGTTGAATTCTTGTGCCAGCTAAGCACATTATTATAATTGTTATTGTCACTGACTCCAGTGTATTAAGTACAAATAATTATGCTGTTTTAATTATGTAGTAAATTGACTCTTTTAAAGTACTTGGAAAACATCAAATAATTTTCCTGTAGGAGCAGTTTCTGAGGAGGAGTGCACTTAGGTTGCTGTGCCTGACTTATTTATATATACATGTGTGAAATCCTGCCTCAGGGATGTCTTCTACTTGCCTAGTTCCCTGCCTGAAATCAGGCCATTAGTGCCACATTCCCATGAAATGACTCACGGATTTACATTTATTCATTCATTTATCTACATTTATTTGGGGGACTTAAGATCTGCCAGGTGCTTAATACAGCGGTGAAGGAACTGCAAAAGATGCCCAGTTCCCTGCCTTATCCTCTGAATCTTCAGCCTGCTCCTGAGGCTTCCAACCGCCAGCATCTGTATCTTGCTTCCTGAAGGTATTCTCCAAGGCAGTGGGAGACCACACTTGCCATCACACCCTGCAGCCCCTAAACAATGACTGCTAAGAGCTGGTGTATAAATACCCCCATTCCCTCATTCTACACAGGGAATAACTCTGAGACGCATGGTTTATATAGTTTCCCAGACTTACCCATCAGGATTAAAATTAGATACAGAGTGACAGGGGCCTGATAAAACCACCTTTATTCATTGCTTTCCTTTCTCTGTCTTATTGCCTAACGGGGCTATCTGAGATTCCTTCCCTAATAAAGTATTTTCATCAAATCTTTGTTTTAGGATCTGCTTCTAGGTGAATGCTTGAAGGCATAACCACTGCCTTCTTGAAGGGTTGCCCATTCAATCGCCTCTAGGGGCCAGGCAGGTGTGGTAAATGAGTGAAGCAAATTAACATTCCTCCTGTGAGCTTTACCTACTCCCATATACTTATTACTCAGGGATCCCTGCCTAAAGATGTTAGCATACTAGCCATTCCTTCCCTGCAAGGTATACTTTTTGCTTCCAGGGAGCCTGAGGAGGAATGATTGAGTAAATGAATGGTGTTGCATTCAACAGCTTTATCTACTCATTCATTCACCACACATCAACCCATTCCCCATTTACTCACTATCCGTTCAATCCTCTACCCATTCACTCACCACTCATCCACCTGTTCTTTCGCTGCTCACTTCCACACTGCCCATCTCCAAACATTATTAAAATATTCTCTTTGGGCAGAAAATTATGCTAATTTAAGTAGGGAGAAACAAGAAATGTATAAAAGGTCAATAGCCAATCTTAACATATTTTAGATTTAACTGCTTCCTTTCCCATGAACAATTGGATCTGTTAGAAATTTTCTGAATACCTCAGGCTGCTTCACTTCAAAAAGCATTTGCTTTAACTATTTCATCTTTGTAAATCTCTTCTGCCTTCTTTACTCTGTGGATAGCTCACATTTATCCTTTACAGACTTCTTGAAACGTAGCACCTTTAGTGGATGCAGTGGTTTGCCAGAGAGGGCCCCCATTCAAGTCCCCATTCAGGACTGTGGCACTCATTTACTGCATTACTGGGAGTGTTGGTTGTTGATGGCTTGTATTACTCACTCCTCAGGGGCTCGACTGGTTGATGTGGCGGTACAGAGGCCTGATGCCTTTGCCACAGATTAGGATCTCTCCTAAGGTCCACCCCCGTTTCAGAGCTTCTCATTTGACTGGTTGAGGTCTCAGTTCCAGCTGCAATGTAGCTTATATTTTCCCTAGTCCAATTCTGCTTTCCTCACTCTCTTACAGAGTATTCCCCCATCAACCTCCCCAGTCAAATCTCAGAGAATCAGAGTTGGTTTCTGATGTGGTTTGGCTGTGTCCCCACGCAAATCTCATCTTGAATGGTAGCTTCCATAACCCCCATGTGTTGTGGGACGGACCTGGTGGGAGGTGGGACGTAATTGAATCACGGGGGTGGGTTTTTCCCATTCTGTTCTTGTGATAGTGAATAAGTCTCATGAGATCTGATGGTCATGTAATGGGCAGTTTCCCTACACACACTCTCTTGCCTGCTGCCATGTAAGACATGTCTTTGCTCCTCCTTCACCTCCCACCATGATTGTGAGATTTCCCTAGCCATGTGGAACTGTGAGTCCATTAAACCTCTCTTTCTTTGTAAACTACCCAGTTGCAAGTATTTCTTCACAGCAGTATGAAAATGGACTAATACAGTAAATTGGTAGCAGTAGAGTGGGCTACTGCTATTAAGATACCCCAAAATGTGGAAGCAACTTTGGAACTGGGTAACAAGCAGATGTTGGAACAGTTTGGAGGGCTCAGAAGAAGATAGAAAAATATGGGAAAGTTTAGAACTTCCCAGAGCCTTGGAGGGCTCAGAAGACAGGAAGATGTGGGAAAGTTTGGAACTTCCTAGAGACTGGTTGAATAGCTTTGATCAAAATGCTGACAGTGATATGGACTGTGATATGAAGTCTAGGCTGAGGTGGTCTCAGATGGAGATGAGGAACTTTTTGGGAACTGGAGTAAAGGTCACTCTTGCTATGCAATGAGACTGGCTGCATTTTGTCCCAGCCCTAGAGATCTGTGGAATTTTGAACTTGGGAGAGATGATTTAGAGTATTTGGCAGAAGAAATTTCTAAGCAGCAAAGCATTCAAGAGGAAGCAGAACATAAAAGTTTGAAAAATTTGCAACCTGACAACGTGATAGAAAAGAAAACCCCATTTCCTGGGGAGAAATTCAAGCCTGCACAAGTAACAAGGTGCCAAATGTTAATCACCAGGACAATGGGGAAAATGTCTCCAGGGCATGTCAGAGACCTTCATGGCAGGCCCTCCCATCACACACCTGGAGGCCTGGGAGGGAAAACTGGTTTCATGGGCTAGGCCTAGGGTCCCTGCTGCTGTATGCAGCCTCAGGACATGGTGCCCTGCATCCCAGCTGCTTCAGCTCTAGCCATGGCTAAAAAGGGCCAATGTACAGCTCAGGCTGCTGCTTCAGAGGGTGTAAGCTCCAAGCCTTGGCAGCTTACACATGGTGTTGAGCCTGTGGGTACACAGAAGTCAAGAATTGAGGTTTGGGAACCTCTGCTTAAATTTCAGAGTGCGTATGGAACAGAGTGAGACTCTGTGTCAAAAAAAAGAAAGAAAGAAAGAAAGAAATCATTCATAGTACGGTGTTCTTTTTAGTTGTGACTTCTCAGGATACTTCAAGTTAAAAGGACATAAACTACACAGGAAGAAGCCCCTTTTCATTAAAAAGGATGAAGCCATAGAAAAAACACTAGAAAAATATAGAAAATGTGAAAGTAGTTATCTCCTGCCAGTAGGATGACTGATGATTTTTGTTCTTAATGTGTTTTTGTATGTTCTAATTTTCTGCTATGGATTTACTTTTATGATCAGAAAATATATTATAAAATATACTTAAAACTAAACAACAGTAACAACAACAACAACAAAACATATTGCCTCAGTGTTGGATTTTTCTGCTTTGAGAATCCCTCTAGAATCAGGACTAGAGCAACTATAGGCTATGGGCCAAATCCTGCCCATGACCTATTTTTGTAAATAAAGTTTTATTGGAACACAGCCACACCTATTTGTTTACATAATGTCTATGGCTGTTTTCTTCCTACAGTGGTAGAGTTGAGTAGTTATGATAGAGATAATATGACTACCAAGACTAAAATACTTACAGAAAAAATTTTCCAACCCACGCTCTGGACTGTGAGATCTGTGAAGGGAGGAACTGTTTTACTTATTTTTGTGTCACCAATGTCAGTGCACTGAAAAGTCCAATAAATATTTGTTAAATAATTGAATTTGGGAAATAAAATAAAAAACCTATGCAATTATTAACATAGGAATCTAATACATTCAGAAATATAAATAAGCATAGTTATTGGAGACACCAAGAACTTTGTTCTTTTGGGGCTGAATATATAAATTATTTTTAGGTGATACAGGAGATATCAGATAATTCTGAATGGATGTAATGAATTACTAAGTTTTCAGAGGAGTAAAATAGAAACCTTAGGTTTTTGACATGGCTCAGTCATTTTCTAGCCATGCAACCTAGAACAAGTCACTAAGGGCTCTCTTAGCTTCTTTTTTCTCAGCTATGGAATAAGTAGAAGAACACCGGCTAGGCCAAACTCAGAGGGTTTTTGTGGTAAGCTAATGACATGACGGTGTGAAATGATCTGAAAACTGTAAAGTATTACCCAGGTAAAACGGATTACATTGCAGTCAGAAGTCATTTTCAAAATTAATGTGAAGCACCAGGTTGGTGAAGCCAACCTGATCTATTTGTGTTTTCTAGGGGGTCTTAAACCTTGAAGGCTTGGTTGAATCAACCAGGACCTATGACTGTGCTCCTAATGTGAGCTGAGATGTCTCAGATGGTAGAATACAGGATGGGGTGTTGGTGGCAAATGGCCCTTTCCTTCTAAAAATTGTTCAAGTCTTCAGCTTCTCCCTGGCAATGGGGTTTGGCTTTGTATAGAACAGCATCTGATTTGTCAGCAACTTTTAAGTAGTTTATTGATTTAACATTTCTTCCAAGATGCTAAAAAATCCTTGGTCTGCTGACAGCAACAGGGAGCTGCGTCTTGAAAGAGGACTCTGACGGCTTGCTCTCAGATGTCCTGGCTCCAGCCTTTGCAATCACTGTTTTTCAGAAAATTGTTTTAAATAGCGTTTATGTTCCATTTTGAACAGCCTCTTCTTTTTTTTGCTTCCTTCTTTCCCAACAATCATTGGCAATTGCAGTGTCTTTCCATGGTATTTCACTATCTAACACACTATTGCCGAATGAAGTCATTTCATGGTGAAATAACCTAGGCAGAAGACATGTCTGTTTTGGTAGAATACTGAAGTTCACTATGTCAATGCAATCAGGTTCACAAAACAATTTGCAAAACTAAATTTTCCATTTATTTTTTTCAGAGCACTAAGGAAAAATAGAATCTGTGGAGATGGTCCTTCTGCAAATCTCTAAAAGGCAGGATGTGCTCTTACGAGAATAAAAGGAAGGAATGCATCTTAGAATTAATGCTTTTGGGGTAGGCGGGCTCTCCTAGCACTCTTCTTCCTTTCCTCTAACTCCTTTCATAGCTTCCCACTTCCAAGGAAGAACAATTTACTAATCTGATTGGGCTTTATCTGATTTGTGAATGGACTACTGGACCTTAAAAATCAGCAGGAATTTCAGGATTTCCTTCTTTCTTTCCTTTTATCCTGTGCCTCTAACAGTGTGGGTCGGGTCAAGGTGTTCATTCTCCCTAGTGCCCCATTTCCTCTTTCTTGTGTTGTTCCAAATATTTAGATTTGTAGGAGAAGTAGGAGGTGAGGGTGACCAATTCATCCCAGTTTGCCCAGGACTTTCTGGGCTTTAGCACTGAAAGCCCAGCGTTTCTGGAATCCTTTCAGTCCCAGGCAAATTGACATAGTTGATCACCCTAGACCCTATTTCAGCCTCCAAACTGAGCCACATATACACCTTAACTTTTTATGAGGAGCCTTGAATTGGGGATTATGGAGTCTAAGCTACTAATTAAAAGCTGTTTTTAAAAAACATTAAAAATTTCAAGTTAGCTTTTCTTTCTTCTATCTACTCCCTCATTCTGTAACCCCCTGGAGAAAAGGGATGAAAGACAGGATGGCTTCCCTGCTATAATGGCTCTAAAAATGACTCTTGACATCTAAAATGGCTATGTGTTTTATGGACACAGATACAGAAGGACCAAAAGGACCCTGGGGTCAGTGTCCTGGGGAGCAGGATAAGCAAAGGAATTGGTGGAGACAAAAGAAGAGGAGAATGGAAAATAAAGGCTTTTAAGAAAACGGGCCAATTCTCTAAACAGGTCTCATTTTGAAGACATTTATTCAGGTGAGCAACGTTGAGTTTCCATGTTGTGCTGGATCATGTGCCAGGCCCTGGAGATACTAAGGTGAGTGAGACACAGTCTTACACCTCAAGAAGCAACTTGTCTTGCTTTCTTGGTAACTCTCAGCCCGGTGAGCTCAGCTTCCTCCTTGGACTATGTGAAGGAAAGCTGGGTATAGATCCAATGGGAAATCCTCACCGAGGCCACTTTTTTCAACTGTGACCCCGTCAGGAGAGCTCTGCTCGGCAACCCAACTCTCATTAGGTGGCAGTGTCCATGGTTTTTTGGTCTGGGATGAACGACATTTGTTAACCAGTGCAAATGGGCCTTCATCTCTTTAGAAGCCAGGGTTCAGTGTGCTTCCATGTCCCTGGCAAGCTTTTAAGTTCCCATCACACCAAATTTGAGAAGATCTGCTTGCCTTCTGGCCAGAGGAGATTATTTTAGTATCCTTTAAAAGATGTCAGTGGTTATTTTCCTGGCAAATTCTGGAGAATTGCTTAATCTTGGTCTCTTCCAGGGTTATGCTAGGTAGTGAATAAATGATTGTCTTTTCTATTGTGAGTTTCTTTATCATTACCTCATGGGTAGTAGATCTTATGAAAATCCAAAAATTTTAGTTCTTTTGAGAAATTGGCAACTCTGGCAAATACTGGACCCCATTCTTTGAATAACAACCATCTGGAGTTCAATGGGGACTTTAGAGACGGTTTGCAGTTCCAGATCCCTGAAACCACCCCATCCACTGCTGTCTCTCTCATACTGTAGCAGAAAGAGTCCATTTTTTTTTTATTCCTGCTTGCTTCCTTCTCTTTTATGTTATCATCGTATACAGAGTTGATTTTCCAAACCCTGAGTTCGAGTCTATAATCATTGCACCCTCTTCCATAGTGATCATTTCCTTCCTCCGTTTTTCCATCCTTCCTTCCTACTTTTCCTTTTTCCCTCCCTTTCTATTCTGGCCCCTCTCCTCTCACATCATCTCTCTGCCTGGCTATATAGCTTTATGTAGAATTGTGCATCACTTATAATGTGCACAGAACAAATATTTACACACGATGTCCAGCACAATCATGTAAACCAGGAGATTTCAGTGTGTGGTCCACTGATCATCAGCATCAGAATCACCTGGGAATTTATTATAAATACAAGTTCTCAGTTCCATCTGGACCTACTGAATTAGAAACTCTGGGAGGGTGGGGTCCAGCAGTCTGCATTCTAACAAGTCTCCCAGGCAATTCTGATGCGCATAAGTTTGAGGACCACTGATCTAAACCTTCAAGCAGCAGCCATTTATTGAAAATGAGCTTGTGGAAGGCAATTTACTTCCTTGGCTATCATCTGAGAATAACAGAAATTTCCTCCTCGTTTTTGCTCCATAGGCGTGCTTTGGAGGTGAAAGAATGTCTATTTTCAGTCCAGAAATCACCATTTTGTGAGGTATCAGTTCACTTTCAGTTTCATGGGATGTTTATTGTGGTCTGGAAGCATTTTTTGTCCCTGTCACTGGCAAAAAGAAGGGAGAGGATGAAATCCTCCCTTGTGGTCTGTTAGTTCTTGATTAGATACTATTTGTACTGCTCCTTCAAGTGGTTCCTTGGGCATAAATCTTGTCTCCCCAAACAGATGGTAAGTTCCTCGCAGACAGGAGCTTAAAGCTCAGCAAATCCTGGCTGACTGATTTGAATGAAACAACTTCATTTGCTTCCTTTGCCAAAAGTTGTAGCAGGGACTGAAAAATTCATTTCTCAATTCAGATGAGGATAGCTTGTGAGGGTGAGCTGCTGAAGTAGCTTCTAATCATGCCATCTTGGGTGCAAGTGCCTTTTATCAAAAGGTCCCAAGAATCCTCCCTTCCAAGGGTCCTGCTCACTGAGGATCCTGGGAACTACTTTGGGAACCAAGCCTTGGAATCACTTTCTCTCTAACATGCAGAACATTGTGCCTAATTACTTGGCAAGGAAGAAGGGGAACCCTGATTTTGGGGTAGCTGGGAAAAGGCCATGGGTATGGGTGAGAGGTGATGATTTGATTATGCAGGTATTTAGTTGGTGGCAAGGCCTTGATCTGGCTTGCAGGCTGATGAGATACAACTGGACTGTGCCATCCACTTAATAGCAGGTTAACTACATCAACTCCTCCATACTCCCTGCTTCTTATACCCAGGAAATTTAGGTACAGAAAGGGTAGGGAATCTATCAAACAGCTATTAAGGGAGACTATTCATTCATTCAGTCAGTCGGTTAGTCATTCACTCTGTCCATATGCCGCTATTAAGCTCCTGCTGTGTGCCAGACAATGAATAGTTCCATATACTTGTGTGTTGTGAGTTTCTCTTTTGTTATGCTCCAAATAACGGCTTTGATACTTCTGCAATTGATTTCATTAATTAAGTTAATTTTATTCACAATGTTGGGGACATAAGAAATGGATGCAAATGAATGCTAATTTCTGAATTAATATTTCAAGCTAAGGCCCTTGCCATTTTTTAAGGGAAGATTGCTGCAGTGGTATTGGAATTCAGAAATAGAAGCTTGTTTTTCCTCCTCTCTCATTTAAGCTGGGTAGGCTCTCACCCTGAGAATGAAAGTGTCTGAAGTCTCGAGGACTTCTGCCCTGGTTTTATTCTAGCTCTTGGGAAGTATTCATTAATGCTGAAAATGCTACCTTTTGCCATCTTCCCTCATGACTCTTTTTTTGTCCTAGGTCATAGAATCGATGAGAAACTTATCTTCTCTTTCTGCTCCAGTCCGGCTTTCCTTTCTTTGGCCTTTTGCACACATACATGGTAACATAGGATGGCTCTGAGAGAAAGAAAAAGGTACCGGACAGGATGCAAGCTTTTCAAACCTCTCCTTCTGCTGGTTCCACCCATCATATGTTTCTGTGTTAGCTCAAGCGCCTGGGGCAGGAATTCTTAAGGAGAGTGCTTAAGTGGAAAACTTTCCTACACACAGCAATGATATTGCCTTAATGTGCTCTTTCAGGTTGGGCAACTGACATGTTTGTTTCAGTGGAGGAGTCTCACTGCAGATGAAATTCCACCTTCTTTCTGTGAATGTTTTTGCACTGTAGCAGCTCTTTTTTTCTTTTGGGTGGTGATAAGAGTCGGGGGTGGTGGTTGGATTTTTGCTGGGAGAGCAGAAATTTCTGATTCCGTTTCTTTGACTATTTTAAAGCCTCTATTGGGAGACAGGAAGGATGGTGAAACATGCTGCTCATAGCAATATTCAGGAATTCATATTCTGGAAACCCTTAGCTCAACCCGCAAGACCCTTTGATGATCTAGCCCTTGAAGCCTTGCTGGTTTTGTCTCTTACAGTGCCTGCTTCTCCTCACAAACCTCCCCAAGGTCTAACCGTATGGAATCTGCTCACCATTTTTCTGAATACTCCACACTGCTTGGTACTTTTAGGCCTTTGCACATTCAGCTTACCTGGGGGAAAACCTGCTCATCTTTCAAGACTCAACTCGAACATCAACACTTACATCAATCCCAAGAGAGCCTTGTCTGTCCCATCCCATGCCACTCCTGGATAGAGTTGACTACTGTTCAACTCTATTGTTCATACCAATGCTGTGGCATTTATTGTACCATTTTTTAGTTGTTTCATAAACAATAGGTTACTATCACAGTGTTTAAAACCGTTTAAAAACAGAAGCAAGGTTGCATGAATTCACTATCAGTTCTGTCATTTACAAGCAGTGTACTCTTGGGAAAGCTACCTCGGCTCTATGCTTTAGTTTCCCTGTCTGTAAAATGAGAGTAATAATGATAATAATTACCTCATAGGTTTGTTTTGAGGATTAAATAAATCAGTATTCTCCCCTTCCTCCTCTTCTTCCTTTCCTCCTCCTCCTTCCCTACACCTTATTTCTTATACCCATTACTTTCCCTTCTATACAACCTGCCCTCAGGAAATAGTGGACATAGCCTAGAAAACTAATTTTTTAATTTTAGATTTCTTAAATAAGCTTCTGTAAATAACACAAAAGTAACAGTGTCAAATGTTGGCTATTAAATATCACCAAGTAATCTATTAATAAAGTAAGTCCAAGTTTATTGTTTGCTTCAGTAAAGGAGATCACTCCCTTAACAGTCTTAATGCCATCTCAGGAGGGGAGGATGAAGTTTCAATATTTACAATTCCAATAGACTTGCGCAAGGTTCGTGATAAAATAGTGTGGAGTTAGTTGACATAACAACGTAATAATTTCAAGGCAAGTAGTTCAAAGCAGGCCTCGGATTATTGGTGAACCTGTTTGAGTTATCTATGGTTACTTTTTGAGTACTTCTAGGAGTCCCTGAAATATACAATAAAAGGCCTTTGGAACTCCATCTTCCTGGGCAACAGTGTCCTGGAATATTCATGTTCATGTGCAGAGTAAGTTGGGCAGGCATAGATAGTTTCAGTTCTTAATACTTAGAAGGATAGTATATTTTTTATTTTCAAGATCCAGGCTTTTTTGAGTAATAATTTATGATGAAATTCCAAATGGCTGAGCTGCAAACAAACTATAATGCCTTGAGGAATTTGAGAATACAGTATTTACCATGCACAATAGAGATGGGGAAGTATGAAATGACATAAGAGCCTTTGAATCCCACACAAGAGAAAAAGTACAACCATCCAACAGGAAGAAGAAATTAGGAAGAGAAGTTCCTGGAGCTTAGACAATGTTTTGAAAAAAAAAAAAAATGCTTGGGCAGGGTGCGGTGGCTCATGCCTATAATCCCAGCAATTCGGGAGGCTGACGCAGGTGGATTACCTGAGGTCAGGAGTTCAAGACCAGCCTGGCCAAAAGGGTGAAACCCTATCTCTACTAAAAATACAAAAATCAGCCGGGCATGGTGGCAGATGCCTGCAATCCCAGCTACTCGGGAGTCTGAGGTAGAATTGCTTGGACACAGGAGGCGGACGTTCCAGTGAGCTGAGATCATGCCATTACATTCCAGCCCAGGCGACAGAGTGAGACTCCATCTCAAAAAAAAAAAAAAAAAAAAAACAAAAACTTGGCGTATCTTCTTTAGGAGGTGATAATGATGGAGATCCCCAGATGTTTGTTTGTATTTTTCTTCTTATCTAGAACTGTGCCAACAAGAAGGAACTGAAATGATTAGGCAAAGGCATTTCCTGTCTGGAGAAGGGTTGGGAAGTAGCACTCTGTGTCTCCCATGCTGGAGTGGGAAGAGAAAGTTGGCTAAGTGTGGAGAGCTTGCAGACCTCCAGGGTGTCATTGTGACACTGACAGGGCTTTATAAGGGAAGCTGTGGATTTCTCATCCCAGGCTAAGGACTGGATGCAGAGCATAGACAAGTTTTAGAGCATTATCCACTTGAAAGAAGGGATGGAAGTCTCCCAGTCAATTATTGAGGACTGCTTTTGCACTGAAGTTTCAGCCCATAGTAATCATTAATTTTGTTCACAAATCTGGGGGAAGGTATGACTGGGCTCACTCAGCTAAGTTGTTCAGGGTCTGTCATGTGGTTGCAGTCAGATGATAGCTGGGCCTGGGGTTACATTGAAGGCTTCTATATTTAGATGTCTGACCCCTGAGCTGGGGAGACTCAAACAGTGGAGAGTAGGTACAGCAGGGATTGCTCAGGATTCTCTTTCTTTCTTCATGTAGTTTTTCTACAGGGCAGCCACCAGTGGCACACATCTTGCATGATGGCTGAAAGCTTCCAGACTGAGTGTTCCTAGAATAACTCACAGAAGCCCCGTGGCCTTTTCTACACTAGCCTTGAAACTCACAAGGCTACCCTTGTGCTGCATTCCCCTCATTGATGCAATCACAAACGACTGCTCAGGTTCAAGAGAGGTGGCATAGACTCCACATCTTGTTAGGAGGTGTGCAGAGAATTTGAAGTCATTCTTTAAAACCTTCACAGTGTGATCAGGCAGAACAGACAGGACCCCACGTTTCAGAGAAGGCCCAGATGCTGCTCCTTCATCCCAGGAGAATATGAGAATCTCTGGAAACTCAGGTCAACTGAGAGATTAAGAGGGAAAGGAGGAAGATAGAGAGTATCTTCAACTGAACAAATTTAAATCCTGAATCGGCTTGTTTAAATCAGTTTTTGATTTGCATTGATTGAAAAAGTAAAGTTTCTCAATTCCAAGCAGAAAGAATGGCAAAAGAGCTGAGTTAAGTTTGGTTACTAAAAAATATAGTTATATATTACACATTTGAAGCTATGCCTGTGTGAACCAGTGCTGGAGACACTGGGAAGTTGGCGGTCCGCTCTCATAAAACCAGCTGACCTGTGCCCAACTCAAATCCAATTTTTGTGCAGATAGGATGCTCTGAAAGATTTCAGCAGGTTTTGGGCTTTGCTGGAGACCATGGAGGGAGCTGACTTAAGGCTTTCTTCATTTCTGGGGCTAATAAGAACATAGTCACTAGCAGAGAGCCCTGGTGGGGAGGATCACAGTACAGTTTCCTGGAGAAAATGTGGCCAGCAGGGGTCTGAGAAGCAGGGTGTGTTCTCACCCGATGAGTGGTTCCGGGACTTCTTGCTGGTGCCAGATCCTAAGAAGCTATGATGGATCTGGAAAAAGCAGAGTGAGTCCTCCCCTACTTCCAAGACCCTGAGAGTGCTAGTGTTTCCAGATGCATCCAGGGAGCCCAGAGACTCTGCCCCAATACTTCCACTGGAATGCCAACTTGACAGCTGGGCCAGCAATGATCCATGGTAAGGACCAGGTACCATCACTGTCAGCCAAGGTACCCCAGAGTTAAACCCTGGGAGTACCTATTTATTTGAGACCCAAGACAGGGCACTTAAAAGTACCCCCCTCCTTTTTATGACAACATTATTTTCAGTGATATTTGATATTTGCTAATAATCACTTAATTTGTCTTTAAACAATTAATGAAAAACAATACATTTTAATATGCAAAATGTTATTAAAATTCAGTAACATATTTCAAGTATGAACTAGACTTTTCACTTCCTAAGCAAAACTATTATGGCTTATAGTTTGTACTCTTTTTCATTTTAAAACATTTCGAACACAAATAAAAACTCCAAATGCTCACATAGTAATGGAACTCCAGGTGGCCCAAGTGCGTTTTCTTTACCTTTAAGGTTACTGTGCTATCATTTTTTATTTAGAACCTACTGTTTAAATGTAGGAATATGTAGTACCACAGGGACTGGAGATGTGGATTGAATCTGAAGTGAGCTGGAACAATTCTGTACTACGATGAACTTAATCTTCGTAGGCACTCGTAACTGAGTCTTGGTGTGTTGGGGGCCAACTTTATAACTGAGAGTTTTCTGAATTAATTTCCATGCAGTATACAATGTTTATTAAAAGGTAAGTAATCAAAATTCACTAATTTTAAGGTTTCGTATGTATAATTAAAACTCAACACTAGCCATAGCTAAAACTAGCTAAACTTAGACCAACGACAGATTTTAGGGGAAGAGGTACGGATATTGTTTAAATTGCTGTGCATGGTGAAAATAAAAGGCAGACTGGCTTCTAGTTGGTTTTTTTGCTATTTTTAAATTCTCTACAGACACTGTACCCCTTCGTAGCTGACTCTTCTACTGCCCTCTCTTGTGTTATCCCTGGTGGGCTCTGGCCCAGGGGTAAAGTGGTAAAGTGGTAAAGTGGTGTAGAATCCAGAGCAAGAAAGGAGAAGGCCCAGATGCTGCTCCTTCATCCCAGGAGAATATGAGAATCTCTGGAAACTCAGGTCAACTGAGAGACTAAGAGGGAAAGGAACTGAGCACTGGTCCAGACAGCTCCTCAGAGAAATGAAGGTGATAGAAAACACATTCAAGTATTCAGCAAAGATGATAAGAACACCAAAGGAGATTTGACCAGATCATAAAGAAAACAAAGTTATCTGGAATACAAACTATAACCTTTTAATCTAAAAGTTTTTTAGATGAATTAAAGAGGGTCGTGACCTTTGAAACCTGAACTAGAAGATCAAGAGAAAGGACTATTTTATAACTCAGAGCAAAATTGCAAAGAGAACTAAATCATGGAGAAAGAAAGAACTTAAGTAAATTGATGTACAGATCCATGAGACCTAATATATGAACCATAGCGGTTCCAGAGGAGCAAAGAACAGATGGAGGAGAGTTTACTTATAAATAAATAATAAAAAGAAATTTATCTGAGCTGATGAGACAATTGAAGCTAAAGAAAACCCTTAGTCTGCAGAGTTCTTAGAAGTGTTCTGAGTACCAGGTAGTATTAAAGAGAAAAGCCATATAACTCAGTATACCCTGGGAAAATTGCTGAACTTAAAGGGTAAAGTGAAAATCCTATAAACTTCAAGATAGCAAAAAAAGTTACTTACGTAGAAAAAAAAAAAAGAATGATTGCCATTTGAACTTTGTTTCAGCAACACTGAAAATTAGAAGACAGTGGAATAATGTTTCTTTAAGCTTCCAAGAGAAGCTGAAGAATCTTATATGCAGCCAAGAGACGATTCACCTGACAGGGTGAAAGAATGAGATTTGTGAATTTGTAATAAGTCAGAGAAAGTATGTACATGACTCTCCATGTATCATGTGAGTCAAATAACTGAGAAAAGACTCTGAATAGTCCCCAGCATGGTAAGCAATGGACAATGTTGGAATGAATGGAAATATATAATGTAGGTGCTAAAACGAATATTCTGCAGAAAAAGAGGCCTACTCTCTGGATAATGATCTACAAGTATCAAACTGGCCTCATAAACCTAGATACAGGGAAAGTAGAAACATTTAAACAGTCTCATCTTACGGAGAGGAGAGAAAGAAGAGAGAGGACAGAGACAGGACTAGCTTCATGGCCTGTGATCTGTAACAGAGTCTCATGTTCAGAAAGGCCTCACACTTCATATAATGCTTTGATGCTGTTGTCTTAAAATGATTAATAATTTTGAACTAGTGGCCCCGCATTGTTGTTTTGCAACGGGGCCCTGGATTAGTCCATTCTCACACTGCTATGAAGAAATACCTGAGACTGGGTAATTTATAAAGAAAAGAGGTTTAACTGACTCACAGTTCCACATTGCTGGGGAGGCCTCAGGAAACTTATAATCATGTCAGAAGACAAAGGAGAAGCAGGCACCTTCTTTGTAGGGTAGCAGGACCGAGTGACTGCAAGCAGGGGAAACGCCAGATGCTTATAAAACCATCAGATCTGGCCGGGCGCGGTGGCTCACGCCTGTAATCCCAACACTTTGGGAAGCCGAGGCAGGCGGATCACAAGGTCAGGAGATCGAGACCATCCTGGCTAACAAGGTGAAACCCCTTCTCTACTAAAAATACAAAAAATTAGCCGGGCGTGGTGGCAGGCGCCTGTGGTCCAGCTACTTGGGAGGCTGAGGCAGGAGAATGGCGTGAACCTGGGAGGCGGAGCTTACAGTGAGCCGAGATCACGCCACTGCACTCCAGCCTGGGTCAGAACGAGATTCCATCTCAAAAAAAAAAAAAAAAAAAAAAAAAAAAACCATCAGATCTCATGAGACTCACTATCACAAGAACAGCATGGGGGAAACTGCCCCCATGATTCAGTTACCTCCACTTGCTCCTACCCTGACATGTGGGGATTATGGGATTAAAATTAGAGGTGAGATTTGGGTGCGGACACAGAGCCAAACCATATCAGGCCCCCAAAATTACATAGCTGGTCCTAAATGGAGATCTTCAATATAATAAATTTTAGTCCTGAATTGACCAAGTTTAAATCCAGAAGATTCTGAGGTACTTTGAGTTGAAAAGAGTTAGAATTTTCTCCTGAATAGACATGATGGCTTGAGAACTTGGTTAAATTGACAAATAGAAAGAAAAAAAGTTAGATGTTTGTATACCAGCCTCTATCAATTTTATACTTGACAATTTGCAAACTTTTTGAGAGCAGAGACTCTAACTTTCTCATCCGGATACCCTCCTGGGACTTCTCACAGAGAAGGTGCTTAATAAAGGTGAAGGGAAGGTGCCATCTGCTATGTTGCTGCACAATGCACATGCCATGTGCAAATGCGGTCACTGTTGAGGAAGGGCAGTCTTCCTAGGTTATAAAAAGTATCAAGAGCCTGTAGTCTCTGATGCTTTGATTACAATGAAAACATTTCAAAAACTGCCAGGCGCTGTGCTAAAAGTTGCCAGGAGACACAAGATACATAAATCAGGGGTACTATTCACAATTTAGTAAGAGCCAGTCACCTCTCTTAAATTCTCCCTTCCTATCTCTTGAGCAAAATTGCTCTCTTGAATCCTCCCCTTTCTAGCTTTCTAAGTTTGGCCTTGTTCTACATATTTCTTTTCTATTTTAAAGAATCTACTTTACTTTATTGCACCTACTAAGACAGGCATCTCTGGGTTTTGCTCTCCAGCTTCCATGTTTCTTCTGATACCTGTCCTGATTTTGCCACAGGTCCTTCCTCTCCTCCACACCTCTCCTTAGGAGAAAGCATTTATCTTCATACTGTCACTTCTGTACAGAAGCTTTCCAAATAGACTCAGCCCACCCTGACTTCTGAGCTGAGCTCCTAGGAGACATTTTGGTTTTCCTATGGTACATCTCCTTTGGAAAGTTCTATCATTATGTTAAAGTAAATCACAAAGCTGATCCCAAACCAGGTCAGCATCCCATTCTTTCCATTTTCATCATTTCTTCATTTGTTTAGTGCTCATTTTGCTCCATTCATTTGGGTTTCAAAACATGGAGTTCTTGCTTTCTTAGAGCTCTCTCTATTGCCTGAATTGCACAGGTTCATTTTCTCTTTTAGATCCAGCTGAAATTGTGTTCAAAGCCTTTTGGGAATATGTGTTCCTTCTCATGCTTCCTCCTGACTTGAAACCCACCAGGCTTCATCACTGAATGTGTCACAGCCTCTGCCATAGCTTCTGGCTTCCAGACCTTATGCCTTCTCTAATGTAGGAGTTTTTAATCATTAATTTTTGTGCCTGTGTATCTGTGTGTCTGTGCCATGGGTCCCTTTGGCACAACTCAAGGCCTCTTCTAAATAACGTTTTTAAATGTACAAAGTAAAATACATAGGCTTACAAAGTAAACCAATTATATAAAACTACAGTTACTGAAATAGAAACCTTACTCCCACCAATTTATGCTACAGTAATACATGTGCTTCTCTATTAATGCCTTATACAACAATATGCAGTGATAGGTTCAGTAAGCATTATAATTTTAAGGCAGTAATAGGTATAATTGGTATTTTGATATACCTGCAACAATGGTAACAGGATATAAAATTATCTGTACCTTTTATGTTGGCAAACATACAAGTACTGCTGATACTACTGAAGTTGGTTGCTACATTCAAAATAGAACAAAATGCCACATTTTGATTGAGATTAGTGTAAATAAAGCTGTCAAGTCTTTCCAACCTAAGTACATGAACACCATGTTAAGAGCCTTTGCTTTAATCAGTCCTGATATAGCTGCCAGGCTTATTTCCCCCAAGTAATCTTTTCATTATGTCACTTCTTTCCTTAACCTGCTCTGGCTGTTTACTGCTTCTTGGAACAGAATCAAGTCAGAAAGCTTGGCAGTCAAGAACCCTCATGATATTTGCTGCCCTGCCTCTGCAGACTTTTCTGACACCATCATTCACCTTGGAGACTGCTCTCTAGCTAGGCTGAGTTCCTTGTTGTCTTGAGGACACAGCAAGTGCATACCTGTATGTTTTATTCAAGGTACTATATTTGATAGTGAAAGAAACATAATTTGCTTAAGTAAAACAAGGAGTTAATCATGAATGAGTCCAGGTGCACAAATAAATCTTCCTGGTATATTCTCTGTAAATCTCCCAATTCTTTTTTCTGCATTGAATTTAATTTCAAGCAGGATCTCCTTTATTTTGGCAAGATAGAAACAGAAGTCCAGGCTTTCTTATGTTTTTTTCAGTGTACTAAACCCAACAGAAGGAGAACCTCATTCTAAATGGTGTCAAGAAAAGCCCTTGGAATTCCTAGTGGAATAAAACTTGGATTCTGTCTCTTTCCTTGAATTGACTACAGTGAACACAGAGATACAGTATGCAGATGGACCAGGCCTTGCTAATGTACCCAGTCCCAGAGCTGGGGATGAGATCAGCCTGTTAAATAATATGGAAAGAACAGGACAGGGTTGGACCCCAGGGAAAGATCAGGTTGCTATTACCAGGATGAAGTCCCTAAACTGGGCAGGTAAAAGCAATAGATAACTGCTAATTCCTTTAAGACTGGGTTCTTGTCCCTTCCAAAAATATTTTCTTCTTGGTCATTTTTTTTTCTAGACAATTCCTTTCCTTCATCCACAGAAGGAAATTTAAGTAATTAATTCAGTTATTAAGGGCTAAGTAATATCATTGAGTACCTACTGTGTGCCCGGTGCTTTAAACCCACATACCAGATTTAAAATTCAGTCACAGTTTGCAAGTATAGCAGTTTAATTCAATTTATTACTCTCATCAAATTAATGTTACTCTTTACGGTGGGGGAAATTTTTTATCAAAATAATTCAGGTTCTTCTGATCAAAATGTCATTTCTTTTTGGGTCAATACTCAATCCAGGCTTTAAATTCAGATAATTAAAAGTTGAAACTCACTATCAAGCCTGATCTTCCTTCTTAGGGTTTCTGCTCTCCCTCTTTTCCTCTCCAGGATGGTGTCTGAATGCAAAGGGAAACATATCCAGCATGGTAGCTGCAAGGGAAGGGTGCCTTCCACTGGCTGCCCTCTTCTGCTCAGTTTCTGCTGCCTGCTTGCTGCCTCTGCCACTATCCATGGACCATGTAATGAACTACAGTCAGGAGGTCTATGCACTTGACACAAAGGCCCTGGCTATGCATGGAACTTCTCTGCCTTTTTCTGGGTTTCTCCACTGGAACATGAAGAGTTATGGATCTCTGTGGAAACTACGAGTACTATCTCAGGTGCTCTTACTGCCTAAATGCCACAAGCCTCTGTTTCTGCTCTACAGCCCTTCTTGACTACGTGGGGCACATTCTGAGGGGGCTTCCTCCAATAACTATTGAATTGAATTGGGAAGCCCCTTTCACTTTCAGCGTGTCTCAAATTCAACCCTCCTGATTTATTTTACCGGCTCACACACATCTACCTGTCCGCTTTCCCTGTGGGACAGGAGGACCACATCTTGCCTTTGTTCTTGTCCTCCTTCCACGTTCCTCTAGGTTATGTCCCAGGCTTCTTTCTCCTCCCTGTGTAGTGGCAGAACTTCTCTCAGGACAGACCCTCTTTCCTCTGATCTTTTGAGTTTACAAGCTTCAGATCTTTGGAACCAGCAACAACTTTTTTCTCTCTCTCAAAAAATCTCAGCTCTTATAAAATGGAAGTTACAGCTTTCACCACTATTGTCTCTGAATGTGCTTTAGGAGCCTATTTTGAATGTAAAAAGCTGAATGCCTAATGCCCTGTTCTTGCCTGAACTCTGTTGTCTTCCTGAAGCAATGGGAATTAGCCTCAATGGCTGGTGAGTAGCAGTTAGCAAAAACAATCTGCTTTAGCCTATCCTTGCTGCTGCAAGAAATTACCACAATCACAGTGACTTAAAGTAATATACATTTATCTTACAGCTCTGGAGCAAAGAAGTCCAAAATGGCTTCCATGAAGCTAAAATCAAGGTGTCATCAGGCCTGTACTCTTTCTGGAGGGTCTAGGGCAGAATCCATTTCTGGGCTTTTGCCAGCTTCCAGAAGCCCTCTGCATTCCTGTGTGTGTGGCCCTGCATCCCTTCACCCTTATTTCTGTCTTCACATCTCCTTCTCTGACTCAGATCCTCTTGACTTCCTCTTATAAGGACCCCTGTGATTATACTGGGCCCACTCCAATGATCCAGGGTACTCTCATCACCTCAAGATCCTGAACATAATTGCCTCTGCAAAGTGTTTTCTTTTTTTTAACCAAGCAGGCTAACATAATTACAGGTGCCAGGGATTAGGACATGAACATCTTTGGGGTCATTATTCAACCCATTATACTATCCAACATGAAAAGTTTGTTAAAGATATGTTGTAAGATATTACCTTGCTCAATGTTCTAACTCCTTAAGTCATCCACGAGTCAGGTGCTATTATTCTCATTTGACAGAAAAGGAAATTACAGTAAAAATCACAGGAGCCTCAGGTTTGGGTCTGTGACTGCCTGACTCCGCAACGAGTGTTCTTTCCACTGCTTTCTCCTAATGAGGCTACTCCAGCCCATACCAAATTTTTCTTTAATCCAAATTCCAAAATCACATTTTCATGTCACCATCTTCTATTTGATTGTAAATTGTTTGGAGTATTCAGAGTGCAGCGTGTGAGTGTATGTGTATGCATGCATGAATGTGTGCATGTGCAAGTGTGTATAAGTCTTGCCAGACAAGATTGTAAGTACCTAACACTGTGATGCTTTATTATCTCTTTTGAATCACCACTCCAATACAGAGGCCAATGTGGTGTGGTCACACAGTATATCTGTCACAAAAATTTGCTAATTTTGATGGTTGATACTGGAGTCAGCACCATCAATGCACTTAGCCAGCTGAAGTGTATTGAATTTTTGCTGCATGCTGAGCCCTGGGCCTAGTTGGGAGACAGAGCATCTCTGTATGCTAAAGATGGCCGCAGTCATCTTTATGATGACTGATAGCTCTGATAGCTAAACACAGTGTCTATTGTTCCTTTCCCATTGAACACCAGACTATGGGCCATGCTCTGCTGGACACTATATGTCAGTTATTAAACTCTCACAGGAACCCTGAAATTCGGGGATGAACTTATTTACTTTTTGGCTGCTTTGCTTCTCTTTCTGCGATTTTCTCCTTATTTCCCAAACCACTTTCATTGATGATTACATCCCAATTTTGGACTAGCAAAATAGGAGAGCATATCTGGTCGTTCCATTCAAGAAAGGATGCTGAAATATGAAGCTTACTAGGATACCAGGAGAGGGAACTGCTCAACCTGATCATTCTTTGAGACAAGATGAAGAGCTTTAGAGTTTTGGTCATTCAGTATCTAGATTTTCCCAGGTCCGTAAAAATTCTTGTCAAAGGATTGTTGACTATAACACCAGGCTACTGTAATAGGTACAGGTAAAGGTCACTTCAGAGCTGGAAGTGACTTTGGGACAAATGGCAGCACTTACCATGACCCAGTGCATAGCTGCCTAATGGGGCCTGCTCACATGTCTCAAAAGCCATCAAGCTGCACGTATCTCTGGCCGCACTAATATTTTTTTCTACTTCCTGACCACCATCCCGGGCACATTTTTGGGAGAAATAGAAAATTGACAGAGATCATTCTTAGAGCTTCTGTTCTGATTCTGTTCTGTCTTCCTTCCCTGGTTCCATTTCTTAATCACCAAGACCCTCACCTTCTCCCTTCTCCTGCTAATCACTCTCACAGAAGTGTCTGTCATATTATCTAACTCTAGATCTAGATGGATATAGGTATATATTTTAAACCTTAGGGTTACAAAACTTTTGGGTGCATCATAATTCTGTGGAGATTCTGCTAAAAATATAGAAGTTAGAGCCCCATCCTCAATCTCCTGAATGAGAACTTTTGAGTATGGGTATTTTAAAAAACGTATTTAACAAAAAAGTTCTTGCCAAATAATTTGGTCGCCCCTAATATTAGAGAGTCACCTCCTTAGTGTAACTCCCTCTTCCTGGTTTTTCTGTGCACTGCCACATCTATTTCACTCATTGTGAAAAGGCATTTCAGACATCAACAAACAGGTGAGTAACACTGGGGTCCTTGATGCACTGAGGTGGACGTGGGAATAGAGAAGATTAAAATAAAATACAAAGACTATTAGTCTTTTTGGCACCCACTTAGGGTGAGGCATTCAGTGGAGAGCTTTATATATAATATCTCATGCAATCGTTTCTAAATATCTCTTAAAAAGTATTATTGTCCCAATTTTACAGATGGAGAAATAGATCTCATAGAGGTTAAATAACATGACTGAAGTAGAACAGCCAGAATATGACAAAGGCAGTTTTTAAAGCTTATCTCTTGGTTTCCCCAAAACTCGTATTACTGATTCCAAAATATACCATGGGAACAGGAGGCATTGAAGTCTAGTTTTGCCTTCATTCCCTTTGGTTTTTATAAACTACACTCCCCAGACAAGTGGTCTATGAAATACAGAAATATTCACTCCCCTTTCCCAAATAAAGGATTCAGTGGTCAAATAAGTTTGGAAATGCCATTTTCAGTAGCCTAGTCTTGGAGAGTTATCATATAGTGACATATTGAAGACCTTAAAAACCCATTACAGGGAAGATAACTTGGGTGAAGCCCATCTTTTCCACATTTATTTCACATTCATGATGCTATATTTTCAAAATACATTGCTTCAATTTCTGAGGGAATGTGTGCATTCAGGAGAACATTAGCTTAGCACGTAGGCACCCCCCTGCTTTAAAGGATATGCAGGAGAAATAGAATGAGAAGATAATAGCCAAAGAGAAGAACCATTTGCTGTTTCTTCCTTCAAAAGCAGGGAAATTACACCAGAGCTTCCAAAATGGCATAAAAACTTTCCCATATCTCCTGTGCAATTTTTTGGGATGGAACGCTGCTTATAGCATATTTATTATGATTATAATCTATTAGGGAGTGATTTCTCAGTCGATTTGCTGATGTTGCTTAGACTACACTACCATAATATCGCTAGCCTGATTTTCTGGGTCAGAGAGAGCCAAGTAGTGGGAAGTAGCTTCTCCCTCTGCTTTCTTGAGTCTTGTGTGTTCATCTGCTGCAGAGCCTTCAGGTAATACACCACAAGATACAATTTTTAAATTAAAAAACAAGAAAGTATATTGGATTAATTCATCATGGCTGGTTTTCCACCTGGAGCAAAATAGATTTTACAAGCTTCCCATCCAATCTTGCACAAGAAATGGCACAAAACCTGGGCTGGATTTTCCCTAGTACTGTAGTCTGCCTGGCAGTCTGAAGTGAAGGGTTGTTGAGAAGCATAAGGAGGGGAAGATCAGTGCTCCTGGCTTCTAAGAGGCAAAACTGCCAGCATGTTTTCTAGGCTAAGAGGAATGCCCTATTCTTGTTGGGCTGTTTAATCTACTGATTTCATTGAACATTGCTGGAGGATTTTTAAGGTGAAAATATTATGTGGTTAATTATACAGCTCATAAGCTCTGGGTAGTGGCTTTCAGATTCTATCACTCCAGGCAACAAGAGAAAACAACGCCACATAACATGTTTTGCCCCTGGAGAGTAAGTTAACAGAGTTAAAGTCAGAGTTTTGAAAAGTAACATTTTCAATTTGTAAGAAAAACATTTGTAAGAGAAACATCTGGAGTTCTTGGGCGTCTCTCATCCAGTTGCATTAGGAATGCCTTGTCTCTCCTTCTGAAAAGGCCCATTGTGGAGAATGAGTTTCTCTGTCTTGATTATAGTCTTCTGCAGCAATACAGTTGTACCTGAAGGTGAGAAGGGAGGCGATATTCTACTTTCATTGCTTCGTCCAGGTCTTCTGATGTGGCGAAGCCTGCAGAAACTCTGGGGCCATCCCTGTGTCTATACTCCACCAAGGAGACATTCAATGTAATTTACCTTTTACGTACCCACCCTTTGTTATGAAACTACTGGAAGCAGTTTTCCACAATAAATGAGACACCAAGAAAGTAGAATGCTTGATGTTAAGGAAACCAAGAATCCTATACATGACTGAGGCAGACGAAAGCCCCCAGATGAGGGTGAAGGAAACACCTGGGATGAGAGCTGTGCAGCAGGTCCAGACAGCAGGAGGACAAAGTCTCCAGCAGGGAGAATTCAGAAAATAAAAAGTAGAACCAACAGATGATCCGATACATTGCCCTGTGCAGAAAAGTGAATGAGAGGCTATTGGACAGTGTAGAAAGAATTAGCCGTAACGATAGAGAAAACTAAGTAAATGAAGAAAAAAGGCTATTTTTAACTCTGGGTAAAATGAGAAGTTGCATAAGAAAGAAGCCATTCATAGTTTACTACTTATATGCACTGCCAAACTACTTGGTTTAGCAGTGAATATAAATTACATAGCATTAATGTAATGGAAGTATACTGAGATGAAGGATATGTAAGTGGGAGGTGGGTGGCTGTTATTAGAAAGCTAAATATTTATCTACTATTTTAGGCCACTAGTAGAAAATTTCTAAAACTGATAAATCAAGAAAAAGCAATAAAATATATGCTTTGGTTAGCTATGAAAAACAAAACCACAAAGTAACAGTGACTTAAGGAAAAAGTTTATTTCTGTCTCAGTCAACATAGAACTAGGCAGTCCAGGATTGGAGTGATAGCTTTGTTCATCAAATCCTCAGTGACCCAATCTCCCTCTATACTGTTGTTCCAGAGTGAGGGGCTTCCTTTCCCAAGTTAACCGCATGGCTGAATGTAGCTGCTCAGGCTCCAGCTATCATGTCTGTATTTCAGCCACCAAGAATGAAGAAAGAATGAAGAAGGAAGCAGTCAAAGGATGTTTTTCCGGTGTCATTTAAGAAAGGTTCTTGAAAGTTATATGGAATGCCTTTATTTACATTCCTTTGTCCAGGATTGAATTGCATAACTGTATGCAATTAAAAGAGGAGCTTGAAAATGCATTTCTGGAAGTCATGAGCTCAGCTTGAAATTGTGGTATATATTTCCATGGAAGAATGAAACGATGGATATGGTGGAACTAGCCATTTCTTCCACATATATTATTTAGAAATGCGGAAGTAAATTTCAGAATAAATATCTAAAGGACTAAAATCACTGAAATTGCTGGTTGGGGAATGAGGCTTCTGGATAGGAAGGAGTGGTAGAGATTATTGCTGTATTTTATTATAAATTTTTAGTACCATTATCTCTTAACTTTTTATGACATGTATGTATTATATTGATAAAATAAATGCATTAAAAGAAATCATAAAGGTCCCTGACATAGTGGGTATGATAGCAGGCTACGCAGGTTGTAAGAAGGGAGGGTGAGAGGATATGCATCTCCATTTTCATCTCATATTTGTCCCTTGCTTATCTCTCAATACAGGGTTAATATGGTGTTTTTAGGCTTCATTGCAATATGAACTAGTAATTGGACCTGTAAGATCTGTTCTATTTTCCTGTGATCCTGTGAATACAAAGAAAATTTTGAGTGGACATCAAAAGTAATGGTGATGGAGATAAGCTAGGAAGACATCTCAGCAGCTTAAGTAATACTTGTTTACTTTCGAGGTGTCAGAATTCTCCTTTTGAAAAGTCAGGTATCTTTCTACTGTGGCTTTTCTCTTAATTCATAGCCTCTTAGACGGTGAGAAACAGTGACGCTTAATCTGGAGATTCTGATTTTGGGCAGTCCAGGTAATCGCTCATGCCATGTCTTATTCTCTCAAATTCTTTGCAGGAAATATTTTCCCTTTTCCAAATTCTTCTTCATCTCTGACTTAGAGAATGGCCCAGTCAATTCCAGGGTCCTTGTCTCCACAAATGGAAGTGCAATTTATGAAAGCTCAATCCTGCTGCTATGTGAAAACATCTACAGTCACAGAGAAGAAAACAAAATGCTGGGATGAGACAAAGTACCAGTTACAGCATGTGACTGAGGTAATAATGAGCAAGATGACATCAATAGTATCATTTTTTAAAAAATAGCTTTTGCAATAATAATGACTATATTTTAATTTACTATAGTTTGATTTACTGGATATTAAGAGCTACTATCTTATAGCTCATCTCTGATCTTTGATAACTCTACAGGAATATATTATTTTCATCTCCACTTTAAAGATAAGGAAACACAGTTCAGAGATGTGCCATATCTACATCTCAGTTTAACAATAAGTCAGTGGGGTTTGGGTTTCAACTCAGGACTGTCTGACTTTAAAGGCTGTGCTTTTTGAATAGTAACATAATTTGAATTTTTGGTGGCTACTTCATCCAATGTCCAGCCATCCAGTATTTTCTGAACATCTGCTGTCTTAAGCACTGTACTGGCTTCAATAAGGCACATGTAGCTGGACCACACTGAACATACCCTAAAGGATCATATCATCTGAGTGGAGATGGGGAGAATCGGATATAAAACTCACTGTTATAAATGCAATACCATACATACTAATTTGCCTAGGACCATCTTGATTTTTTTGTCACAATAATTATTAATAGTATTTCTTTTCACTCTCAAAAGTGCCTGGGTTTGGGTAATAAACTATCTGGTTATTGTAGCAGATGCTGCCAGGTCCCACTCATATATCCCATTGCTCCTACCATCTCAGTCTGCTCCATCTGATTGCCAACTTCCAACACCAGTATTTCTTTTGACTGGGGCTTTCTTTTGCCACTGGAGCTTGTTTTGCTAGTAGGACAGAAGTGCTGAGGAGTGAATGCCCCCTGGGAGCAGCCCTCTAGCAATGACTGATGATTAGTCAGTGTATCCATACTCCAACCCCATCACCCCTTGAATGAGATAATTGAAGTGTGTATCCTATACTGGCTCCCCTGTTCCCCACAGGACTAAGTTCCAGTTGTCCACAGCGGTAACTGGCTTGAAAATGCACCTTTTATTGGCTGCCTTTCCCATCTTGTCCCTCTTCCCCACCACCCTATCATATCTTCCTGTAACTTCCAAATAACATCTCTACATTCAGATACTTGTCTGGGCCTTTCCTCTTGTCAGTAATCCAAACTGGAATACCCCTCTTATCTATAGAAAAGTTAAGGACTGAGTGGTTTGGTTTAAAGTACAACCTTCATGGGTGTAGTGAGACTTGACCTTGACATTTGGATATGATTTAGGTAACAATGTGAGGGAGGGAGGATAATACAGATAAGGGTGGCCAGGTGCAAAAGGAAGGCAGATGATGAAAAAGGGTACAGACTGGGGATGGACATTTGTTCTGGGAGAGAAAGACAGACTATAAAGCAGAAAACAGAACTTAGGCCAACAAAGACTAGAGAGCAATCACAGATGTTTGAGCAGGATAGTGAAATGTTGGACGCACTATTTTAGGATACCATGTTTGGCAGTGGGCAGTCCGACAGGATGAGGAGAGAGCTGAGTCAGACCAGCCAGTGGGGAGAATGTTGATGTTATCTGAATAGGAAGAGATGAAGGCTGAGCTCAAAGTGGAGGAAAAAATATAGTAAGAAAGAGTGGTTATGAGTCATTTCAAAGGTGAATCCACTGGATTTAGTAGGTGACTAGCTACAAAGGATGAAGGACAGAGATGAGTCAATGGTGACTGCTCCCCTCAACCTACAACCACCCTATGATTCAAGCTGTGAACAACATGGATGATAGGCTGACACATTTAAGAGAAACCAATTCTCTCAAATATTAAAGTGCATTCAGTGTCTCATTGTGTTTCTTTTCCTTTCCAAGGCCACCCCGAGTGCCTGTTGAATGGTTACTCTCTAGAGTGTACTTTTCTTTAATTAAATGACACTGTGGTTAAGAACTCAGGCATTGGGCTCAGGCCGAGCAGGGTTCAAATTTTAATATAGTTTCCTGGGTATGTGGCCTTAAGCAAGCTTAGTAATGTTTTGAGCCTCAGTTTTCTTTTCCTTTTTTTTTTTTTTTAATGTGGCTATAGTTAATCGGTTTTTTAAAATGTAGTGTTTTAAGAATTTAATGAGATAATATGCATAAATGTTGTCACAGTATGTGGCACCTATATAAGTGCTCAGAAAATGATGCCAATTATTATTAAACTGGTAAGAGCAGGCATTACACTTGCTCTTAGCCAAAAGTTCAAGAAGCATTTATGCCAATTACTATTAACAAGGTGAGGTGAACTGTCTGACCATGTCTCAGAGTGTCTGTAAGTAAAGAGGACTATTAAAGTATATCTGTAGATCAATGTAGCTAGCTAGATCTCCCCACCCCACCCTCTCTCGTTTTCTTTCTCTATCTTTATTTGAGGCCCAGAAACAGATAATACTGTTCAGCATTCTGCAGGAAGCCCAGCATCAGGAATGCGGATGAAGAAATAAAGTCTTAGCTCCAGACAATTTTTTCATCTCTAGATAGCTACAATATTGGGGAGTTTCTATTCTATTCTTTGTGCCAGAGATCATATCCCATTTCATGGATGGCTTTAGGTCAATAAATAGGTCTATTTTTTGCTCTTCAAAAGACTCCCAGACACAATTCATTTCAAACAAAAGTCACCACCCACCATCCTGCTTTTCACGCTCCTGCCCATGAAAATGATTCTCTGAACACAGAGCTCTCACCCCAGTCCAGGGGCTCAGTGGGGAGGATAGAGGTGTGAATTCTAACTGACAGGCCTGAGCTAAATAGGAACAATTGTCTTGCAGGGGAACGGTGGCAAAGGGGATGCACCCCGTCCCCTTTCAGTCTCTTCTGAAGTCAGTGCTGGTTGATTCTGCAGCTGGTGGATTCAAAATGCAGCAGTTCAGAGTGGTCATTTAGTTTGAAAAGAGCTCTGAACTGACTAGGAAGTCCCAGGTGGCACTTTTTTTGAACTTTGTGGGCGTGCCCGAGGCTTTCTTATAATCCAAGGAGTAATTCTGAGGCGAGCTGGTGGGGCCCTCTGTTGCAGCCTCTTACCTGCAATGGCAGTGTTTCCCACAGGCCCTCCTACTGCCCATTGCAGGGCTTCAAGGGAGGCAGGGTGCGTGTGGACAAATCCGTGGATTTCCTCAGATTTCATCAGAGATGACCAGGGTGCTGGAACTTCTCAGTTTGACCTTCTGTGACCAAAGTCTCCCACAGGACCAAGTTCTGTGATTTCTGATACTTAACAGATATCCCCAAATGCTGGAAAGGCCTCTCCTAAATCTCCTCAGTATCAAAATGGCAAAACCCTGAAAAGACTGCTTATCTCTGTTCTCAGGGACTTAGTCCCTCAGCTGAGCTGGGGGAACAACAGATTTCAGTAATCCATCATATTTGGCTTCTTCAAAACAAGATTCCATCCACTGAGACCAAAACCCTAGAGTATGCAGTAGCCTGGGTGAGTTTTCTGCAGGAAGGATGGAAAGTTTGGAGAGGATGAGATGCACATCTTTTAATAAAGGCCAAAACATTAAGTTGCAAATGAGAAACAAATAATTTTCTTTTAGTCAGGCACCAGCATTGGGTAAATATAGAAGGAGTGGTTTGAGGATTAGGTTTTCTTCTTTAGAAAATTACTGAAAAACTACTGAACATGGAGGCATGTGTAAGCCAGCAGAGCAAGCCATCTTGCAGTGGGATTTCCTCCGGGACATCAAGGTTTTGAGGTAACCTAGTGTAACAGATGCTTATGGAACACTCCCCCCACCATCTCTTTACTAGGCTGGTGTGCTCACCCCCAGCTACTGTGGGTGTTGGTTGCCAGCAGCTACTCCCTTCTCCAGAGAGGCTCTCTCTTTGGCTAACACTGCCATACCCAGTGACATTAGGTGGTTACACGTCCCATCCTACCTACCTCCACCAGGCAGCCTGTGGCCAATGACTGACTGTTACCAAGGGTACAAGAGCCCAAACTCCCTTGCTTCTGGGCAGGACAACTCCAGAGCTTACCCTAGGATGGGTGAGACTAGGTTCCATGCAAAACATTTTTACCTTGCCTTTTTTTTTTTTTTTTAGTATGCCTTACCCTGCTTCCCTTACTCCCCTACGAGTTTTATCTGAGAGCACACTCTCATTAAGTCACATGCACAAGAACCCCTGCTTCAGGCTCTGCCTCTGGAGAATGCAAACGAAGATACCTGGCTTATACAGAAGGCAGTGAGCTGATTGGCTTCCTTGTCAGAGGCACTGTAAAGGGGCTGCCTTCTTTTCTCTAGAATATAACTCTCTGAGTTGCCTGATTATAATCCCCTTAGAGTTAAAAAAAATCTTAACTGCCTATGCTCTTGATTTCAGTTGGACTTTTTCTTTAAAAATGCTTAGTCAGTGTGCCATAGAATTCTTAGAAGTTTTCTACTAATTAGAAAGTGACTCTCCTCCTCCTAACACACTTACACAATTATCTAACTACTCTAGAATATTATAATTTAGATTTCCATTCCATGTGTTTCAATTCTTTTTGCCAAAATCATGACTTTGAAACTCTTGAGTTTCCTGTTGGAGCTAATTATCTGCAAGTATATTAAAATGTCCTTTTCTTTCCAAAAACATCTATCCATATAAACATTCCAAAAACTGAAAGCTTTTTATTTAATTTTTCAAGGTTTTCATTCTGAGTGGTTTAATTTAATGCCAGCAGGAGGGAGCTGGGACACATGAATGGAGAGTCATGGTAGAGATGTGTAAGAACTCAAGGGGCAATAGCTTTCTCCAGTATTTTTTGCCTCCTCTGTATTATTGACTCCTAGTCAAAATGGAATGTCAAATGTTGGATTCTGCAGAAGCATACCATGAGATAAGGGTACGTATGCAAAGGATTTATCAAGGAAGTATGAGGAGAAACTAGTAAGGGAGGTGGGGAAGACCAGGGATGGGGAAGAAGCTAAGCCAGACAGTAGTATAGGGAAATCCCACAGAGGGCAGCTTCAGCGGGACACTCAGGGGAGCTCAACAGTGTCAAGGACACCCTGAAGTGGTTTCTACAGGAAGGAAGAGACAGGGCTTTTGTTCTCCCTCACCCAGTGGTCACTGTTCAAAGGCCCCACAGCAAGAAAGAGGTGGGAACAGGTATTTCTGTTCTTTTTCTGTTTGGGCAAAACAGCTCCAGCGGCCCAAGATTAGTCATCCACAGATAGTCATGGGTGTAGCCTGTTCCCAGCCAAATCAAATGGAAGCTGGGAAAGGGACACAAAGAACAGTAAAAGGGACTCCAGGGGATGTAGGTGAAACACTGACAGAGTCCACTACAAGTGGTTAACAGAAGAAAAATGTGCAGTGGGTAGGTGTTTGATCCAAGCACATCTAGATTTGAGTCATTCAGGTCAAAGACTGTGGTCCAAGCTGCACTTCAGCTACAACATTTGCTACTCTCAGATATCCCATCCCACCCTGGCTACTGTGTGGTGGTGGTGGCTGGATTCCTACTTGGGGCCTCCTTTGGAGCCTATTGTCAGACAGCTGTCAGGTAATCTGGTTTCTGCACTGTCAGTTGGAGTGGGACAAATCAGACCTATCATAGGCATAAATGTTCATAATTGTGGGTGTGGATATGAATATGTCCGAACTGCTGAAGATTCCTGAAGCTGTGGACTAAAGTAGCAAAGCCAGTAGATAATCTGCTGGAAGTGCCTTAGGGCCTAATAGTCTAGGTATAACCAGCAAGCAAAGCAGGTGCACAGCTCTGGAAGAAGATAGCCTGTTACCTCCCCTGGATCTCAGTGGAAAGGTGCTCAGAGGATCTGTCTGGCTCTCCAGGCAAGTGAGCACATATTAGAGAGTATAGAGTGGCTCTGGCACCATGAAAAGGGAAAATTGGAAATAAAACCACATATAAGAGGTGGCTGATGGGCCCTTTTTCTTTGTTCCAGAATGTTGCCTATGGACCAAGGCTAAAAACAAGAATGTTCTACATTCTGAAAAGAATGACTAAGGAGTGACATATGGGACCTCCCTTAGTTCCTTCCTGTTGCTATAAAAGGTGCCTCACTTGATCTTAGCCAAAAGGCTGATAAGTGATAACAAAATATCTTAGACTGAATAACTTATAAATAATAGAAATTTATTTTTTATGGTTTATCAAGAACAAGGTGCTGGTAGATTCAATATCTGGTAAGACTTGCTCTCTGCTTCCAAGATGGTGCCTTGCTTATGTGCCTGTATTAGTCCATTTTCACACTGCTAATAAAGACACTCCTGAGTCTGGGAAGAAAAAGAGGTTTAATTGGACTTACAGTTTCACATGCTGGGGAGCCCTCAGAATCATGGCGGGAGGTGAAAGGTACTTCTTTCATGGTGGTGGCAAGAGAAAATGAGGAAGAAGAAAAAGTGAAAACCCCTGATAAACCCATAAGATCTAGTGAGACTTATTCACTATCCTGATAATAGCACAGGAAAGACTGGGCCCCATGACTCAATTACCTACCCCTGTGTCCCTCCCACAACAAATGGAAATTCTGGGAGATACAATTCAATTTAAGATTTGGGTGGGGACACAGCCAAACCATATCAGTGTCCTCCAGAGAGGGAAGTACAAAATGAAATGACATGGCGTAGAATGCTGAAATGACAGAGAATTCAGAATCTAGTTGGCAATGAAGATCATCAAGATCCAAGGAATTTAAGGAAATCCAATAAAATACAAGAGCTGACAGACAATATAGCTATTTTAAGAAAGAAGAAAACTGATCTTCCAGAGCTGAAAAACTAAAAACAAGAATTTTATAATACAATTGAAAGTATTAACAACAGAATAGACCAAGCTGAGGTTTAATCTCAGAACCCAAAGACCAGTTATTTAAATCAACTCAGTCAAAAAAATAATAAAATAAAGAGAAAATAATTTTAAAAATTAAATAAAACCTCCTAGAAATATGGGATTATGTAGAGACCAAACCTATGACTCACTGACATCCCAGAAAGAGAATGAGAGACAGCAAGCAACTTGGAAAGCATATATGTGGATATTCTCCGTGAAAACGTCCCCAATTTTGCTAGAGAAGTTGACAAGCAAATTCAGGAACTTCAGAGAACCAGAGAATCTCAGCGAGATATTATACAAGACAGACATCCCCAAGACACGTAGTCATCAGATTCTCCAAGGTCAACGTGAAAGAAAAAATATTAAAGGCAGCTAGTGAGAAGGGTAGGCCACATACAAAGGGAACCCCATCAGGTTAACAGCAAGATGTTCAGCAGAAACTTAATACACCAGAGGAGATTGGGGGCCTACATTCAGCATTCTTAAAGAAAAGAAATTCCAACCAAGAATTTCAAATCCAGCCAAATAAAGCTTTATAAGTGAAGGAGAAATAAAATCCTTTGCAGGCAAGCAAACATTAAAGGAATTCATTACCACCAGACCTGCCTTACAAGAGGCCCTTAAGGGAGTGCTAAACATGAAGGAAAGATCATTATCTGCCACCACAAAAACACATTTAAGTACATAGCCCACTGACGTGCTAAAGCAACTATACAACCAAGTCTACATAACAACCAGTTAACAACACAATGACAGGATCAAATCCTCAGATATCAAATATTAACCTTGAATGTAAATAGGCCAAATGCCCCACTTAAAAGGCACAGAGTGGCAAGTTAAGAAGCAAGGCCCAATGTTGTCTTCAGAAGATCCATCTCACATGAAATGACACCCATAGGCTCAAAGTAAAGGGATGGAGAAAGATCTATCAAGCAATAGAAAACAGAAAAGAACAGGGGTTGCTATTTTTATTTCAGATAAAACAGACTTTAAACCAACAATGATCAAAGGAGACAAAGAAAGGCATTACATAATGATAAAGGATTCAATTCAACGAGAAGACTTAACTGTTCTAAATATATATGAACTCAACACTGGAGAACCCAGATTCATAAAACAAGTTCTTAGAGATATACAAAGAGACTTACATAACTGTATCATAATGGTGGGAGACTTCAACACCTCACTGACAGTGTTAGACAGATAATTGAGGCCGAAAACCAGCAAAGATATTTGGGACCTAAACTCAACACTTGACCAAATGAACCTAATTGACATCTGCAGAACACTCCACCCAACAACAATAGAATATACACTCTAAGATCAACCACACATTTGGTCATAAAGCAATTCTTAACAAATTCAGAAAAACTAAATTCACACCAACCACACCATAAAAAAAGAGCAAATTAATACCCAGAAGATCTCTCAAAATCATACAATTACATGGAAATTAAACAACCTGTTTTTGAATGACTTTGGAGTAAAGAAAGAAATTAAGACAGAGATCAAGAAATTCTTTGAAACTAATGAAAACAAAGATACAAAATACCAGAATCTCTGGGACACAGCTAAAGCAGTGTTAAGAGGAAAGTTTATTGTGCTAAACACTTAAATCGAAATGTTAGAAAGATCTCAAATCAACAATATTATACCTAGAGGAAGTAGAAAAATAAAAGCAAACCAACTCCAAAGCTAGCAGAAGAAAAGAAATAACCAATATCAGAGCTGAACTGAATAGAATTGAGACATGCAAATTCATACAAAAGACTAATGAAACCAAAAGTTGGTTATTTGAAATAATAAATAAAAGTGATAGACCACTAGCTAGACTAGCAAAAAAGATAGAAGATTCAAATAAACACAATTAAAATTGAAAAAGAAGGCATTACCACCAACCCCACAGAAATAGAAAAACCCTCAGAGACCATGATGAACACCTCTATGCACACAAACTAGAAAATCTAGAAGAAATGGATAAACTCTTAGAAACATGTAACCTCCCAAGACTGAACCAGGAAGAAATTGAATACCTGAATAGACCAATAATAACTTCTGAAATTGAATCAGTAATAAGAAACCTACCTCCACATCACTAATCATCAGAGAAATACAAATCAAAACTACAAGGAGATACTATCTTTTATGAGACAGAATGGCTAACATTAAAAGAACCAAAAAATAACATGCTGGCAAGATTGTGGAGAAAAGGAAATCCTCAAACACTGCTGGTGAGAATGTAAATTAGTTCAGCTACTGTAAAGCAATTTAAGATTTCTCAAAGAACTTAGAACTACTATTCAACCTAGCAATCCCATTACTGGATATATACCCAAAGGAATATAAATCATTCTACCAAAAAGACATATGTACACGTATGTTAATTGCAGCACTTTTCTCGATAGCAAAAACATGAAATTAACCTAGATGTTCATCAGTAGTGGACCGAATAAAATTTGGTACATATATACCATGGAATACTATGAAGCCATAAAAAAGAATGAGATGATGTTCTTTGCAGTAACAAGGATGCAGCTGGAACCCCTTGTTCTAATAAAATTAACACAGGAACAGAAAACCAAATACATGTTCTTACTTATAAATGGGGGCTAAACATTGAGTACACATGGACACAAAGAGGGAAAAAATAGACACTGGGGCTTACTTGAGAAAAGAGGGTGGGAGGAAAAAAAACTTCCTATTGGTTACTATGCTCACTACCTGGGCAATGACATCATTTGTACACCAAACCCCAGCACCCCACATTATACTCATGTAACAAACCTGCACATGTACCTCCTGAACCTAAAAGAAGAGCGGAAAGAAAAAAAAAAGAATAAAAAAGTAGTCATTCAATAAGAACTTCTCACGCAATATTTAGGGCATACTTATACTAAAAATTGATGTTTTTAAAATCTGAAATTTAAATTTAACTTAGAGTCCTGTACTTTGGCAATCCCAGACCCAACACTTCCAACCCAGAGCTTATCAACTGCAGCAGAGGTATCTCTGCTTCTAACTGTTAGCTCACTGTCCCTCCTGTCTACATAATGAAAATATTGGGGTATGAGATGGCCATTGTCAGCAGTCTTGTGGGAAGCCCACTGTGGAGAGAGTTTTTTTCCTCCCTTCCATGCATAGGAGGAAATGAGGGTTGCATTTTCCGGTTGATAGGAAGGAAGACGTAAAGTCCTTGAGAGCATTTGTAAGACTGGAGGTATCTGCTCTGCAAGAAGTAGAGATTTTAATTTTTATGTCAGATTTCTGCTTGGGCACTGATCCTGCTGATTGGCCCCTGTGCATCGAGCAGCGAGAAAGAGAGTGAGGAAAAGAGCGAGGAAACAGAGGGAAGGAAGGCAGAGAAGCTTACTGTACTCCCATCATTTGGCTTGGCAAAGATGAGCCTGTTGGTCAAGGGGATGCGGAACAAGGAAGCTGAGCTTATGCTAGTCCTCTGATGTATTGCCCCAGAGGGATGCCTTCTAGATGAGGGTATCCTAGCAGCAGAGATCATGGGGAGCACACTGGAAAAGGCTGTGGTGCTGGGGGGCTGTGGAAGGGTGGAAATGGAGCTGGATGCCTACTTCAGGAAACGATGGTGTAGAGAGAAATGTCAAGCCTCTGTGAAGTACCCACCCATGTTCTTGTAAGCACCTGGAAGACTGACACAGGATCTTGAGGTATCCAAGGCTAAAGGTGAAGGCCAGAGGAGGAGGCAAAGTCGATAAGAAGAGCCAGTCTTGCTTAGGTGGCCAAGTAAATGATGTTTCTGCTCTGGAGAAGCTCAGAAGATGTGGAGTCACAGAGGGAGGGAGGGGTGTATGCAAAGCAGTCACATTTCTCTGCCCACTCTGTGCCTTCAGCCACAGGTCTAGTGGGTATGTAGTGCAGAGAGCTTTGAAGTGAACACAAGATTGAAATTAAAAACTGGTCCAGACTTATCTTGATAATGAATATCGATGAAATAATTTGGAATTTCCCCAAGATGACGTTAAGAGATAGCAAATGTGGGCTTGATAGAGATAAAAGTGAAAAGGGGATAAAATGGACCTTCTTTATGTCTATACTCTGATGAAAAAAGTGCTCAATAAACCATGTCTATCGAGCAAAATGGAATCCAAGAAGGGCAGAATTCCCTTGATGATGTGACGGCTGATGCTGCCATATCTGCTCCCCATGGTGGCAGATGCGATGTGCATGCCGTTGCCTGCCCAGTCTACCTGGTGAGAGGGTGAGAGGGTGAGGTGGAGAGGTACCCATGATGTGTAAGAGCCACCCCGAGAATTCTCTCTACAGAAGATTTGCAGCCGAGCCTGCACCCAAACAGTGAAGGGAGCCCCCTGAACCCCTCAGACTGAAATGGGATCTAAACAAGTGAATTTGAGGCCAGGCACCATGGCTTATTCCTGTAATCCTTGCACTTTGGGACCAAGGCAGGAGGATTGCTTGAGCCCAGAAATTCGAGACCAACCTGGACAACATAGTGAGATTTTGTTTCTACAAAAATGATAATAATAATAATAATTTGAAAGTGAGTGAATAACAACTGGATGAATGTGGGGATTTTTAAATGAAGTTACAAATGGTATGTTATAACCAATGGAAAGTTTAAGTTCGTGAGCTACACTAGTTATTATTTAAATCATCTCTCTTTGATACTGGAATTCTTCCTGCTTACCTTTAACATGGATATGAGCGCATGCACATACAAATATATTCACATAAAAATGGTGTTAGTGTGATAGATTCTGCTATTCTCTTCCAGTTCCGATTGCGTTAGGAATAAAAGTTCCTTGGTGAAAACTTAGCCGACAGTTGTGCTGATGACGTATGAGACAAGGTTGGACCTCATTCACATTTCCACATTTGCATTTGCCCTGCAGGGCTTAGTGTGGTAAAAACTTGCATATGTCAGTGAAATGAGAAACCCTGACTCACAGGTTGCTGCTTGGAAGCGGATCTGATAAAGACAGCCAGCCCCATTTTTCCATAGTCAATTCCAGCTGGCAATTCTTGCTCTAAGCACTGCTTTCTTCATCCCCCTTTCACTGTATCAGACATAATGCATTGCTTTTCTTGCTGCAGAGGTGTGTCAGAAGTATTTTTCCAGTTTGCTAATCCATGATTTTTTTAAATGATGGATAATAATGTTCCCATTGATCTTGCAAATCAGAGTTTGCAATAACCAGTTCTTTCCCATGTACCATTATGGCTACAGTCAAAATGGACTATCACAAGTTTGCAAAGTTTGAAGGCAAGAGGCAGTATTATAAAATCACAGTTATATTAAGTTGTATTGAGAATCGAGGTTGAAAGCAAGGTTAGGAAAATTCTCTCATTTTTTTCCTTGGCTGGCATTATTAGGTACGGTGTTTTCAGGAGAGGATTATTGTTAAATAACTTTTATCTTTTGTAGCTTTGCAACCTTGAGAAAATTATTTAACCTCTTTGCACCTTAACTGCATCATATTTAATGAGGATAATAATAGTATCTACCTCTAAAAGCTGGTGTGAAGATTAAATGACATTTTATATGTCTATATCTAGGTATAGGCATAAGTCTAGACAATAATACAATATAGGTATCTTAGCTGTGTTCCTAGCACATAGAAAACTCTCAACAAATGTTATTATTACTATTTCTGCTACTATTATTATGATCAATTTTCAAGATAGTAAGATTTAGTATGGCATAGTAGAAAGAGTACACGTAGGTTTTAGAGAAAGTGAATTCTCAAGTCACAGCTTTGCCATGCACCATGAGAACTTGAAAAAGAGGATGACCTCTCTTAGTTATCATATCACCAAATGGGCAAAATCATACTGCTGGTATAGGATTTTCATTAAGGAGAGTGAAGGCTGAATAAGATCATGTTTATAAAGTGCCTTGCACCTATTTGTTAGCTCCTTCCCATTTTCAGAGGCCAGTGAAAGACCCTGAGTTTTGCATCTTTACACCAAATTTCTTTGTCCTAACACATTTCACTCATCTTCCCTCAATCTGAGGAGATAAAACATGATTTCCCGGTACCCAATCATAACTAATCCTTCTCTGGAAGGATTAATACATGAATAGCACTCAAACCATCAAGTTAAAGTGACTCATTTTTGTTCTCTGGGACCAGCTGAGTCTAGGTAATTAATTTAGTGAACATTATGTGCCCAGTGAACATGTGACAGCAATTCTGTTTTTCCTCTCTGAACCTTCTGCTGGAATGGGGCAGTTCAGTCCAAGGTCTCAACCAACCTCCACAAGGTTTGACATTAGGGACCTTAGGACACACTTGGGATACTGGGTGGGTAAGAATCTCAGCCATATTCTCTGCTAGAAGATCCCTGGGCAGGTGAAGGGGAGTTACAATCTTAGTGGTCCTCTACCTTGGCTATACATTGGGATCACTTAGGGACCTTTGAAAAATCTCCATGCCCAGGCTGCACCTCAGTACAATACAATCAGAATTTTAAAAAGCTATCCAGGTGAGATTTTTAAAATTTATTATTTTTATTTTTTAGAGACAAGGTCTCCCTCTGTTGTCCAGGTGGAGTGTGTTGGCCTCATCACAGCTCACAGCAACCTCAAACTCTTGGGCTTAAATAATCCTTCTGCCTCAGCCTCCCAAGTAGATGGGCCTACAGGCACAAACCAGCATGTCCAGATACTTTAAAAAATTCGTTTAACTTCACTCAGCTGACCTTCACTCAGCAGGGAAATGCTTTTTGTAAATGAATGCTCCTTTAATGGAACTTCATAATTATATCTATTTAACATGTGATAATTGTTTTTGCTTTGCTATCAACCTGCTTTTATACTTTTAATAAATTTTATTGAGGCATTAATTTACATAGAATAAAATGCATCTATTTTAAATGTATAGTTCAATGAATTTTGACAAAGAAACACACTCCTGTAACCACTACAATCAAGACATAAAACATTTCTATCATACCTGAAAGTTCTCTTGTGCCCCTAATATGGTTTGGCTGTGTTCCCACCCAAAATCTCATTTTGGGTTGTAATCCTCATAATCCCCATAATCCCCATGTGTCAAGGGTGGGACCAGGTGGAGGTAATTGGACCATGGGGGCAGCTTTCCTCATGCTCTTCTTGTGACAGTGAGTGAGTCTCACAAGATCTGATGGTTTTATGAGCATCTGGCATTTCCCCTGCTTGCACTCACTCCATCCTGTGAGGAAGATGCCTGCTTCTCCTTTGCCTTCTGCCACGATTGTAAGTTTTGTGAGGCCTCCTAAATAACACGGAACTGTGAGACAATTAAACCTCTTTCCCTTATAAATTACACAGTAGTTCTTCATAGCAGTGTGAGAAAAGGCTAATACAGCCCTTTTGCAATCAGCCTTCCCTCTATCCCTCAACCCCCTGACTCAGGTAAACAGTGATCTTTTTTCTGTCATCACAGACTAGTTTTCCTTATAGTAGAACTTCATATAAGTGGGTCATAATGTAAGTATTTTTTTGTGTCTACCTTCTTTTGCTAAGCATGTTTTTTGATATTTGCCTATTCTGTTGTATGTTTCAATAGTTTATTCTTTGAATTGTGAAGTTGTAATCCATTCTATGAATGTATCAGAATTTATTTATCCATTCACCTTTTGATGGACATTTATCAACCTAATTTTAGTACCTTTTTTATTATAATTTTCTCTCTACTTTTCCTCTTACAGCTATTTTATAGTGAAAACAGAGAAGGTGATCTTTCATCAGAACCAGCATTTTTCTATGAATTCCTGAAATGAGTTCAAGCAAAGTACTTAGAGGTGATTGGGCAAATGGTCAAATTACTCTCCTTGGTATAAAGTGGAGTTACACAGCCATACCATCTGTTTCATGAACTCTCAGTGCCACTGGGTTTGTGAAGTCACAGACATTGCTTGCTCTAGGCTATTTCATTGATTCTTGGTTGCTATTTATCTCATTATAGTCAAGCTCAGTTATTCACCAAGAGTTAAAGTGACTCATTTCATACTCTTTGGTCTCCTGAACTTAACTTTTGTGTTTAATGATGTAACAACAAAATAATGGACAAATTCAACACTGTAGCTGTTTCATAAACCCCTTAAAATATCTGTAAGTTGCCAATTATTCCTTAGAGGTAGTTTTGAAAAGGAGGCTTGCAATACACAAACACATGCACACACGTGTATATATTATATATGTGTATGTGGGAAAATATATACATGCATGTCTATATGAAAATACTTTTATACATACATATATGTATATATGTTATCTATATATAAATATGTATACTTTCATTTTAGAAAGTATAGATTTTGCTATACCAACAAAAATTCCTTTTAACATTATTTTTGCTGGCTGCATATTAATCTTTTGAGTGGATATACCATAATTAACTTAATTTTTCTTCTATAAATACACTTTTAGGTTGTTTCTATTTTTTTCTAATATAAAATGCTCCAAAGAATGTAGGGGGACACAAACATTTTTATGTAATGCTTTCTTTAACTACTGTTTTTTGATTTTAAAAAAATTATACTATGACTTTGAGTTCTTTTTCCTTTCCCTCTACAGTCAATACATATCTATTCTAGGTCACTGATATAAATATACATTTCTAGAAAGTTTTCTCATGTGTAGGAACTCTGGATCAAATTCACTGGCCTTTCATTACTCTTGGACTTAATGTTACAAAGACTTTTCAACTTCCTTAGCAAGCGTTTTGCCATCAAGGCAAAACTCATCAATGTTAAGGGTAATATCCTGTATCACAAATCTCAATGCTGCTCAAAGGGGCCATGGTACAACAGAAGGTGAAATTTGATGATAGAAAAACTCAGCATTCTAGAAAAATCTGCAATGATATCCAATAACAAATGATTTTTATTCTATAAAATTTCAAATATCTGGTCATTTTGTTGTAGTGGGTGAATTCATTTTACCCGTATTATTTACAAAATTAAAAGATCAGCATTTGCCTTACAGTATTAAATAACCAGGAGCTTTAAATCAATGCACAGGATATTTATGTTCCTGGTATTAGCTGGGTCATGGACAGATTTTCCAATGATAATTTAAATTTATTCCCAAATCTTATTCAGTTGCTTTCAGCAGAATTTTCCTGAAGGTCTCAGCAGGTGGAGACAATCTCTGGGTCACAAGTGCATTTGTACACAGTGGTTACGGCCTAGGGAAAAAATTCTCAGGCACTGATCAAGGTAACACAGCCTCATTTTTTTTCCCCTAATAAATTGTAGTGTATCCTTACATCCTTTCTTTTTTTATCACATTCTTTGCTGGTAGGGTCAGTAATGTAGATATAGGGAGAAATGTAGGTCCAGTAGCCAGGAAGTTACTAGAAATATTTATATTTTGGTATGCAATTATAAGGTATGGGATGCAAGAAAATTAAACTTGCTTCCCAGGTTCAAAAATGACCCTTTGGATACAAAAATTATGGGCAATTCCTGCAAGGCGACTGCTAGAGAAGACAATATTTTAATTGTGTATATAAATTAACATAAGTCATAGATTTGTAACCACCCAATGGGTTCAACTTGCCTGCTGCCTAGACAGAGCCAATTTATCAAGACAGGGAATTGCAATGGAGGAAGAGTAATTCATGTAGAGCCGGCTGTGTGAGAAACCAGATTTTTATTATTACTCAAATCGGTCTCCCCAAGCATTCGGGCGATCAGAGTTTTTAAAGATAATTTGGCAAGTAGGAGCTTCGGAAGTGGGGAGTGCTGATTGGTCAGGGTTGGAGATGGAAACATAAGGGGGTTGAGGTGAGTTTTTTTGCTGCTTTCTGTTCCTGGGTGTGATGGCAGAACAGGTTGAGCCAGATTACCCGTCTGGGTGGTATCAGCTAATCAATTGAGGGCAGGGTCTGCAAAATATCTCAAGCACTGATCTTAGGTTTTACAATCGTGATGTTTTCCCCCAGGAGCAATCTGGGGAGGTTTAGACTCTTGGAGCCAGAAGCTGCATGACCCCTAAACTTGTAGCTAATTTGTTAGTCCTGCAAAGGCATACTGATCCCCAGCAAGAAGGACATCTTTTTGGAAAAGGGCTATTATCAAGTTTGTTTCAGAGTCAAACCATGACCTGAATTCCTTCCCAAAGTTAGTTCAGCCTATGCCCAGGAATGAACGAGGACAGCTTAAATGTCAAAAGCAAAATGGAGTCGGTTAGGTCTGATTTCTTTCACTGTCATAATTTTCTCTGTTATAATTTTGCAAAGCCAGTTTCAGATTCCTCCTCAAGAAGTGCACAGTTGGAAGAAACCTGAAGAATCATAGCAAGGCTTTGGGACCTGAACAAAAATATAATGAGTCAGACACACACAATACACTGAAGGCCTTGAAATCTAAACTGACATTGAAACCACCATCCACAAAAGATGAGGAAGAACCTGCAGTCTGACCCTAACCAAGCTGATTGCTTGCTGTAACAACAACAGAACCCCTGCAATCTCTTGAGGATACTAATAGAGCCCATAGGCTCACAACATAATATTCAAAATGTCCTGAGTAGAATGCAGTCAAAAATTATTCAACAAAATGAGCCAGGAAGAACAACCAAATTTTTTCTTAAAAGTATAAGCAGATGTCAAACATAAAATTACTCAGATGTTAGAATTATAAAAGACTTTAAAACAGTTATTATAACCAAACTCAATGGGATAAAAGAGAACACTCTTGAAATGAATGGAAAGATAAAAAGTTTTCAGCACAAAATAAGAAACTACAAAAAGAACAAGATATAAATTTGAGAAAAAAATTATAATATTCGAAACCAAAATTTACTGAGTGAAATTAATATTAGAGTGAAGATAGATAAGTCAGTGAACTTAAAGATATATTAATAGAAATAATCAAATTTGGACAACAGAGAGATTAATCTTTTAAAAAATTAATAAGGCCTCAGGACCCTGTTGAGCAACATGGAATGGTCTGCTATTCATGCTATTGGGGTTCCAGAAAATAAGAGAATGAGATTTTTGCAGAAAAGTAGTTGAAGAAATATTATCTGGGTTGAAGAAATATTATCCTGAATTTGGTTCAAGACATAAAATTACAGTATCAAGAAGGTCAGTTAATCCCAAACAGGTAAAATTCAAAGAAAACCACCCACCACTACTTGAATTACTATGGATTTCTCATCAGAAACCACGGAGGACAGAAAACAATGGAACAGCATATTTAAAATGATGAAAGAAAAGAACTGTTACCAATATTTACATACTCAGTGGAGATGTCCTTGAAGGATAAAGGCAAAGTAAAGACATTTTCAAATGAAGAGAAAAGCAAACAAATGTGTTACCATTAGACCCACTCTAAAAGAAAAGCTAGATGAAACTCTTTAAACTGAAAGGAAATAATACAGAGGAAAACTTGGAATTTCAGAAATGAAAGAAGAGCAAAAAAAGCAGTAAATATCTAGGGAAATATAACTTTTTATTTCTCCCCTAAGTTTTAAATAATACACATGACTATTAGTAGCAAATATTATAACATTATCTGGTTGATTTTCTATGTATACAGATGCAATACATATGACAAGTGAAATATGCAAGACAGAGTGCAAAATGGCCTATAGATTTGTCAGGATTCTCTATTTTATAAAAGCTGTAAAACATTAACTCTAAATTTACTATGAAAAAAATGCATGTATATTTAAATCATCAAAACAACCATAAAAAATAATTCAAAGAGATGTAGTCAAAGAGTCAATAGGTCAACCAAAATTAAATATTAAAAGATATTAAAATGGGCTGGGTGTGGTGGCTCACACCTGTAATCCCAGCACTTTGGGAGGCTGAGGCGGGCAGATCACAAGGTGAAGACCACCCTGCTAACATGGTGAAACCCCGTCTCTACTAAAAATATAAAAAATTAGCCGGGCGTGGTGGCAGGCGCCTGTAGTCCCAGCTACTTGGGAGGTTGAGGCAGGAGAATGGCGTGAACCCAGGAGGTGGAGCCTTGCAGTGAGCAGAGATCACGCCACTGCACTCCAGCCTGGGCGACAGAGTGAGACTCCATCTCAAAAAATAAAATAAAATAAAATAAAAAGATATTAAAATGATCTAAAGGAAGGCAAGAAAAGAAAAACAGAAAAAAAATGAGGTAAACAAAGATAAATAAAATGTTAGCTCTAAATCAAATTATATCAGTGATTACATTAAATGGTCTAAACACACTAATAGACAGTGATTGTTGGATTCTATAAATAAGCAAGCAAGCAAACAAAACACACAAGACCCAGCTTAGCTGTCCACAAATGTTCTATTTTAAATATAATAATAAAAGTAGGTTAAAAGTAAATAATGAACAAAATTTACTAGGCAAACATTAATCACACTAAAACTAGAGTGGCTATGTGAATATGAAACATCATAGATCTCACAACAGGAAAATTGCTAGGGATAAAAAGGACATCCCATAATGATAAGAGGGTAAATTCACCAAAAAGAAACAATCCTAAATATGTGTTTACTTAAAAAGAGAGTTTCAAAATATATGAGACAAAAACTGATGAAACTAAAGTGAAAAGTAGACAAATTCACACAAATACACTGAGAGATTATACTGAAAGATTTACTACTCTTTCAGTTACTAATAAAATGAATGGACAGACAATCAGTAAAGATATAGAAGACTGGAACAATATTATCAACTAACATGACTTGATAGGCATTTATAGAACACTTCACACAACAACAACAGAGTCTACATTCTGTTTATGTGAACATGGAATGTTGAAAGTATATTACATTTTGGGAACAAAAAAATAACAAACTTAAAAGAATGAAAATAATGCAGACTAAGTTCTCTGACCACACCATATCTAAATTAGAAATTGGTAAAAAAGATATCTGGAAATTCCCTGATTATTTGGAAATTAAACCACACATTTCTAAATAGATAATGAGTCAAACGTAAAGTTTTCAAGGGGAGTTATAAAATATGTAGAACATGATGAAAATAAAAATACAACCTAAGAAAAACTGTGGTATGCTGCTAAAGCTGTATTTACAGGGAAATTAATAGCATTAAATGCTTGTATTAGGAAAGAAGCCTCGAATCAATAATCTTACATGGCCATTTAAAAAACTAGAAAAAGGAGAATAAATTAAACATAAAGCCAGCAAAAAAGAGAAAATAAAAAATTAGCAGACATCAATGAAATTGAATAAAGGAAAGCAATGGAAAATAATAATAAAACAAAAACGTAGTTCTTTGAAAACATCAACAAAATCAATAAACTTCTAGCCATAGATAACCATGGAACAAAGAAGATATACGTTATCTATATCAAGAATAAAAGAGGATATATCACTACAAACCCTACAGATACTAACAAAATAAGGACAAATAAATAACTCCATGACCAGACACTTGACAACTTAGGTGAAATAGAAAAATATTTCAAAAGATACAAACTACCAAAATTTACTCAAGCAAACGTAGATAACCGTAATAGTCCTGTATTTATTACATTAAATTAATAAAAATTAATAAAAAATCTTTTGACAAAAATCCATGCACAGATGGTTTTACTGAAAAATTCTACTAGATTTTAAAATAAGAAATGACACCATTTCTGCAAAATTTCCTCCAGAAACTAGAAGAGGAGGGAAATACATTTTATGGAGACAGCATCACCCTGATACCAAAACCAGGCAACTGCATTACAATAAAACTACAGACCAATATTCCTCAGGATATAGACATAAAAATATTCAACAACATTTTAGCAAAGAGATTCAAGCATTATATAAAAAAATCAATTATGATAAAGTAGGGATTATCCCAAAAAATGTAAGGCTGGTTTAACATTTTAAGAATCAATCAACATAATTAACAAATTATTGAAGAAAAACCACAGATTCACATCAATACATTCAGAAAAAGCACCTGTAAAAATTTAACACCCATATAATATAAAATTCTTAGCAGACTACGAAAGATGGGAACTTCCTTAATCTGATAAAAGGCATCTATGAAAAACTTAACAGGAAACATACTTAGTAGCAAAATTCTGAATGCTTTCGCTTCACGATCAGGAGCAAAGCAAGGATGTCTGCTCTCATAATTCTTATTCAACATCATATTGGAAGTTCTAGGCAGTGCAGCAAGTAAAAAAATATAAAATGCATACAAGTTGAAAAGAATGAAATAAAGCTATCTTTTTTCACAGATGTCATGATAATCTATGTAGAAAAATCAAAGAAGTCTTCAAAAAAAGTCTAAAGCTAATATGTGAGTTTAACAAGTTCATAGGATACAATGATATACACAATATTAAATATATTTTGATATTCTCACAAAGAATTGGAAATTAAAATTTAAAACAATACTATTTATGATTAACTCTAATTAAATTTGTACAGAATCTCAATGCTGAAAGCTATAAAACACTAATGAAAGAAATCAGAGAAATGATGCAGGGCAGGCAAGCCTCAAAGAGGGGCTTAGCCTGTGTGGGTTCTTGGTTTTGCTCAGGAAAGAATTCAAGGGTGAGCCAGTGGTAGGGTAGAAGAAAACAGCTTTACTGAAGCAGCAGTGTTAAAGCTCTGGTGGTGTTACAGCTCCATGACTGCTCTTGTAGAGAAGGGCTACGCCATAGACAGTGTGCTGAGAGTAGCATCTCAGGGCAGTTTTGCAGTCATATTTATATCTACTTTTAATTACATATACATTAAGGGGCAGTTTTTCAGTCATATTTATATCTACTTTTAATTACATATACTAAGGAGCAGTTTATGAGGAAATTGCTAGGAAAAGGGTGGTGACTTTTGGGTCATCAGGTTATTGCCATGGAAAAGGGAGCTAACTGGTTGTTACCATGGCAATGGTAAACTGATGTGGTACTCTGGTGGGCATGTCTTATGGAAAGCTGTTTCCACCCTGTCCCTTTTTTAGCTTGTCTTCAATTTGGTCCAGTATTTGAGCTCCACCTCTGGAGTGAAGTCCCACCTCCTACTTCAGAAAGACTAAAGAAATAGAAAGATGTGAATATATTTTTGTGTTTATTTACAACTTGCATATATTTTTAATGAAATGTCTGTTCATGATTTCTGCCCATTTTCTACACTTGATTGTAGCCAAAAGGACAAGAAGTGATTTTTTCCCCATTTTCTTGTAGAAGGAGCAGGCAGCAATCTTTGCTGTTCTGCAGCCTCCGCTGGTGATACCCAGGAAAACAGGATCTGGAGTGGACCTCCAGCAAACTCCAACAGACTGGTGGCAGAGGGGCCTGACTGTGAGGAGGGAAACTAACAAACAGAAAGGAACAACATCAACATCAACAAAAAGGACTTCCACAGGCAACCTACAGAATGGGAGAAAATTTTTGCAATCTACTCATCTGACAAAAGTCTAATATCCAGAATCTACAAAGAACTTAAACAAATTTATAAGAAAAAAATAACCCCATCAAAAAGTGGGCAAGGGATATGAATGGACACTTTTCAAAAGAAGACATTTATGTGGCCAACAAGCATATGAAAAAAAGCTCATCACCACTGGTCATTAGAGAAATGCAAATCAAAACCACAATGAGATACCATCTCATACCAGTTAGAATGGTGATCATTAAAAAGTCAGGAAAAAACAGATGCTGGAGAGGATATGAATAAATAGGAACACTTTTACACTATTGGTGGGAGTATAAATTAGTTCAACCATTGTGGAAGACAGTGTGGTGATTCCTCGAGGATCTAGAACTAGAAATACCATTTGACCCAGCAATCCCATTACGGGGTATATACCCAAAGGATTATAAATCATTCTACTATAAAGACACATGCACACGTATATTTATTGTGACACTGTTCACAATAGCAAAGACTTGGAACCAACTCAGATGCCCATCAATGATAGACTGGATAAAGAAAATGTGGCACATATATACCATGGAATACTATGGCAGCCATAAAAAAGGATGAGTTCATGTCCTTTGCAGGGACATAGATGAAGCTGGAAACCATCATTCTCAGCAAACTAACACAAGAACAGAAAAACCAAACACTGCATTGTAGAGAGCCAGCAAAGGGATTGTGACCAACTCAGCATTCCACTGAGACTATATGATCAAACAGCAAACTGTTTATCATGAATGCAGGATGTGGGCAAACTAACATCTGCTCCAGCTGCCAGAAGGTTTGCTGAAGGCAATCACTCCCTGGTGCCATGCTCCTTAGGGTTATCTACTGGGACATCTAGAGCCTATTCGCAGAATGCAGTCTTGCAAGCCTGCTGTGAATCAAACTGCTGACTGACAATCACCCCCACCTTCTCGTTATCTCTTTTACCTAATAAATACAGAGGGCTGAAAAAGCTCAGGGCCCTTGTTCACTAGAAACAAGGAGCCCCCTGACCCCTTCTTCCAAATATACTCTTTTGTCTTTATCTTTATTCCTGTGTTCGTCCTCCTTTGTTCAGTCCAACAGGGATAGGGTCGGTGGCACTGCATGTTCTCACTCATAAGTGGGAGTTGAACAATGAGAACACATGAACACAGGGAGGGGAACATCACACACCAGGGCCTGTCAGAGGGTGGGGGGCTAGGGGAGGGATAGCATTAGGAGAAATACCTAATGTAGATGATGGGTGGATGGGTGCAGCAAACCACCATGGCATGTGTATACCTATGTAATAAACCTGCACATTCTGCACATGTACCCCAGAACTTAAAGTATAATAATAATAAAAAGAAATTTTAAAATGGTCAAGTGGTGACTCATGCACTGAACATTAATTCAAAATTATCACCTTTATGCAAAAAATATATTATTCAATTCTTAAGAGTTATATTTGTATTTTATACATATTATTAGAATACAGTTTCAAAGTTGAGACATATTCAGAATACATAATGATTGAGTAGTCATCACATTTGTTTTAATACATTCTACACCTCCTCACTTATTTAAAAATAAATAATTATACAATAGAAAAAAACAGTTTTAATATTGTCATGAAATTCAGACATGTTACCAAAGTTGATATATATATATTTGGCTAAGAAGCACATAAAATATCTTTAATATCATTAAAGAAATGAAAAGTGAAATCACAATGAGATACCACTACACACTTACCAAAATTTTTGAAAGAAAGCTATGGACAATATCAAGTATCAAGTGCTGTCAAAGATGCTGAACATCTGGAATTCTTATACATTATTTGTGAGACTGGAAAGTGGTATCGTTACTTTACAAAGTAGTCTGGCAGGTTCTTGTAAAGTTAAACTTATACTTTCTATATGATTTAGCTAGTGCCCCCAAAAACTTATATACGAATGATTATAGCAGTTTATTTCATAATTGCTCAAAACTGGAAATAACCAAAATGTCCTTCAGCTAGTGTATGGATAAATAAACTGTGTTATAATCATACAATGAAGTGCTATTCAGCAGTGAAAAGAAACAAACTATTCAAACAAGCAATAATGTGGATGAATCTTAAATGTATTATACTAAGTGTTAGAAGCCTGACTCAAGAGGCTACATACAATCCCATTTACATGACATTCTAGGGTAAATAAAACTGCAGGATCAGGAACAAATTAGTAGTTTCCAGGGTTTAAGGGTAGGGAGGATTTGAGTATAAATGGGAAGCGCGAGGAATTTTTAGACATCATGAAGCTGTTCTGTACCTTTATTGTCACGGCAGATATACAACTCCATATATATTTTAAAACGCATAGAACTGTACGTTCCCAAAAAAACAAATTTTACTGCATATAAATTTTGAAAATAATTTTGTAATGGCAACCTAAATAGGTCCATTGTCCTTAACAATTCTCTGCACCCCGTATTTCCCCATCAATTCTATGTAAGCAGAAAACTGGGACAGGGAGAGCAGGAGAGAACTGACACAGTTCTGAGTCACTGGCTTGCTGTGTATTCTCTCCCCTACAAAATACTCTATTAGGGCGATGTGAAGTTCCATGTCTGTCTGTAGCACATTTACTAATTTCACTGTCCTGTGTCCTTTCGAGTAGGTGGAGAAGAGAACTAGAGAGCGATTTTAGTGTGGAGAGAGAGGGCAGTCACAGAATGTCCCGCACCTCCACTCCTTGGTGTGACAAGAAGTTTCCCATAGGCACAACTGAGTTGTTTTCCTACAACCCATCCAAACAGAACGTCAGCCAGGTAAGAAGATCCTAATAGCAAGTGGCCATGGAAACTAGCAGTATGAAACGGGTTTTGAACATGAAAGAGAAGTAAAATAAAGATCAAATTGTTGTAACTTCTATAATCAGGACTGCAATGCCAGGGCTAGTGAAAAAAATGGATTAAACTCAATGAGGGTCACAGCTGAAGGAAAGTTGAGGGGTTTAGTTTTCAACCTGTCTTAGTTTCTACAAAACATCCAAGTAGAGACATACTGTGGGCAATGAAATGCAGGTTTTGGATTTTTAGGAGAAGGCTTGGACAGGAGAGGATATTTATTATAAGATAGTTCAATTTTCAGCAACATGACATTATTACAGATTTCAGGTAGAAATAACTTTCCCTTTTCTCAATCAAACTGATCCCAGTCCTTTCTTATTTCCTCCCTCCTCTACATGGTTACTCTTAGTGTCATGTAAAACAACTGAGCCAAACCAAAGCAAACCAAACCCAGGAGACTGGTAAGGGGGCTGGGACACAAGATAGTTTCGGTTTTGTTACAGCTGCCTTTCCCTCACAAATATGTCTGCTCCACTTCTTTTTTTTTTTTTTTTTTTTGCTAAATGATTGAAATTATTTTGCTATATGATTGAAATTTTAAAGCAGACTGGACTTTTTAGATAAACAATGGAAAAGTACAGAATCCTTCCAAAATATGCAACAGGAATCAACATAAAATGGTCAAAGAGAATGATTGGGAAAAAATCATAGTTTCACTTGTGTCCAGACAAATTCAGACTGTTCAATAGATCTGCTTTGTACAGATGGTTTTGCATCATCGAGTGCCTTTAGAATGCACTAGTCATGGCAGATGAAAGGTGGCCCTTCTTTTGACTGCTCTTGGCTTAAGAAGGTCTTGTACTCCAGGATCCAGCTCCAGATATAGGAAGTGTTTCCTAGGGCAAGGGAAGTTACAAGATTGATTCTAATCACTCTTGGGAGCATTTTGGAGGTATATAACAGGATTTTGAATCAAATTTTTACTTTTAGGACACAAGGAACCCTGTATTAGTCTGTTCTCACACTGCTAATAAAGACATACTCAAGCCTGGGTAATTTATAAAGGAAAGAGGTTTAATGGACTCACAGTTCCACATGGCTGTGGAGGCCCCACAATCATGGCGGAAGGCAAAGAAGTAAATGCACATCTTACATGGTGGCAGGCAAGAGAGCTTGTGCAGGGGAACTCCCATTTATAAAACCATCAGATCTCCTAAGACTTATTCACTACCACCAGAACAGTATGGGGGAAACCACCCGCATCATTCAATTATCTCCACCTGGCCCTACACTTGACACATGGGATTCTTACCATTCAAGGTGAGATTTGGGTGGGGACACAGCCAAACCATATCAAACACATTAATACTGTTAGTTTACCCTGCAAATACTAATTTTGAAAGCAAGAATTGAAATGCATTGAGTGCCCACAATGTGCCAGGACTATGTTAGCCCTGGATGTATAATCTGGCTTCTGGACTTCCCATAACTGTAAAAGTTAAGAATAATGATAAAAAGACAAAAACTTAAACTATAGAGTGACAAAATTGAACTACAAAAACTTAAACTACAGAGTGACAAAATTAAAGCCTCAGATCTCCTTTATCAATCTGTTTAAAACAGCAACAAAAGCATTTTTGTTGATTCACCATTATTTCATTTTTTATTTTTAATTTATTTTGAAATTTTAGATTCAGGGGGTACATGTGCAGGTTTATTACATGGGTATATTGTGTGATGCTGAGGTTTGGGCTTCTAATGGTCCCATTGCCCAATAGTGAACATAGCACCCAATAGGTAGTTTTTCAACCCTAGCCCCTTCTCTGCCTTCACCCTTTTGGAATCCTCAGTGTTTATTATTCCCATCTTTGTGTCCATATACACCCAATGTTTAGCATCCACTTATAAGTGAAAACATGCAGTATTTGGTTTTCTCTTTCTGTGTTAATTTGCTTAGGATAATGGCCTCCAGCTGCATCCATGTTGCTTTAAGGGACACAATTTCATTCTTTTTTATGACTGCATAGTATTCCACAGTATATATATACCACATTTTCTTTATCCAATCCACTGTTGATGGGCACCTGAACTGATGCCATATCTTTTCTATTATATTCACTGCTACTTCTGATCTAGCTCTCTTCTTTCTTTCACCAGATTTCATGATAAAGGGGGGCTGAAGCTACCAAGCCTTTTTTAAAAGTTTAGAGATGAAAGGGCTCAGCAAATGCCAAGTGTTGGGACAGTTGGTTATTTTCTCAGGTGAGCAGCAGAAAAAGTAGGTGTTTTTGCATTTATGGAAATTTCTATCTTAAACATTAGAATAATATGCAGGGTGCTGTGATGTTCATGTGAAGAGACACATGGGGGTAATACTGGTGAAATAAATCAATTCATATTTCCCATCTCTCACTGACTTTGACACAGCCACTGTCTGAATTGTTTGGATTCTCTTAGCAATCACAATCCTTGTACACAAGAATCATTTTTTTCTCCTAACACCTGTGACTCACAACCTGCCTGCTTTCTCTGATGGCAGGGTCAAGCTCAGCCTGTGCTCGGGCAGGCTGGAAGTACCCAGGAGTTCATGGCCTGAGGAGCAGCTCTCTAGCAATTATGGACAGGTGTTGGAGGATAAATACTCCAACTTCCTCATTCCTTGTATGGGCCACTCTGAAATGTTTTTAATACAGTCTTCTAGAGAACCTCTAAAGGAATGAACCCCATTTGCAATATTCTGCACCTTAATGCATCCTACATTCGTTTTCTTTTCTTACCTTTCTCACTCCCTCACCAACGTTTCCTGGGATCACCTCTCAAACAAACTGTTGCTTTTAACGGCAAAAACCGTGATTACTTTTGTACCAATCTAATACATGCATCCATTCCTTGTCCCAGAGTATGCTTAGTGGGAACCCATTCTAAGTCACATTTGCTTGACACGGTGAAATTCTCACATTATTACAACTTATTGTGCATCTTACACTCTCTCTCTAAATTTGTAATCATATATGTTAAATATGCATACAATGAGATGCTGTTGCCTGAACAGTCTTAACTTATTAGTTGCAAGTTATGGTTCCCTTATGAATATGTCATCTCTGTTACTTTCTAGATACACTCACAAAGGCATCCACATGTCCCAGTATATATTGCACCATTTCCCCTCTCCTTTTGTTCTTTAATGTTTCTTTGCACTAATAACCTATTTGGTTTACCTGATCCCAGGGAGCCGTTTCAAATTGTTTGAAAAGTTTCAAATGGGGAATTGTGTGCTTGCTCCTTCCTCTCATTATGCTATGGTTAAATGGATATCACAGAGTGACAGACTTGGGCTGACTGTCCCTGGTCATTCACATCAAAGCAGATAGGCAGTGGTAGGTGGCAGAGGGAAGTGATGTGGCATCTCTCTAGAGAGAAAGAAATGACTTGATGTGGTTGAGTTTCATCTTTTCAGGTGGGTGTTGGGATGCAAGGACAGCTGTGTTTCCCAGAATGTAAAGAAGGGCAGAACACCTACTTGAAACCACTATGTATGTGTTGCCCAGGTACATGATCATGTGCATACACATATATATGACAGTGACTCTCCCAGAGAGAGAAGTAAACTCTGTTGGTGATTACTTTTAAGCAAAATCTCTAAACACTAGCTATGGTTACTAACAGTTTGAGGCTTTTTATAAAGGGTTCTGTGATTCTCTCTCAGGTCTAGCTATGGTATTCTTCTCAGTAACTTAAGAGTACGTGAAGCATAGTGAAGTTTGAGAGAAGGAACACTATAGTTGCTAATGATTCTCGTACATTAAAGGAGTGGATTTATTATGCCAGCTTTTCTGTGAGATGAGCCTGTGGTAGACTAAAGATTGCTTCTTCCTTCCTTCCCCAAGATGTACACTTCCTAATCTCCAGAACCTGTGATTGTTACCCCATATGGCAAAGAAGGGACTTTGCTGATGTAATCAAGTTTAAGGATTCTGAGCTGGGAGATTATTCTAGACTATCGAGGTGGAGTCTAAATGTAATCTAAATGTCCTTGTAACAAAAAAAGAAAAGGCAGAGGGCCAGGCATGATGGCATGTGCCTATAGTCCCAGCTACTTGGGAGGCTGAGGTGGGAGGATCACTTGAACTCAGGAGATCAATATTAGCCTGGACAACATAGTCAGACCCTGTATCTAAAGAAGAAACAAGAAGAAAGAGGCAGAGGGAGTTTTTGCCACATAATAGGAAAAGATAACATGGCAATGAAAAAAGAGATTGGAGTGATGCAACCACAAGCCAAAAGATTGCCAGCAGCCACCTGAGGCTAGAAGAGGCAAGGAATGAATTATTCCATGAAGCCTCTAGAAAAAAACCTATCCTTCTGATACCTTGATGATAGTCAGGTAAGACTCATTTTGAAATTCTGACCTCCAAAATTGTCAGAGAATAAATTTGTATTCTTTTAAGCCACTGAGTTTTTGGTAATTTGTTGTAGCAACGATAGGAAACTAATACAGATCTGCTAGACTGCAGAAACTGCTGGAGAAATTGTACCAGATGGATGATGCACTGTCATCTGAATTGTTCAGAGACTTCTTTTCTCTTGCCACCCAAATTCAACTTGTACATTCTTGTCACTGTGAAGGCTTATGGCAGATATTCACCCATATTTTTTTTTTAACACAACAAAGGCTAGATTAACTTGATGGCTAGTGGAGACTGGATGGAGAGGACTATGCTTAACAATGAAAGAGGTCCTATTCTGATCCAGGTGAAACAGTGATTTGTGTGGAAGCTTATTTGGTCTGGTACTTGGACCTTTAGACCGAAGAGTCCCAAGTGATGCTGTGGGAAAGCAGACAATCCAACACAGAGACATTAAAGCCTCAGGAACCTAGCTGGAGGTGTTTGGTTTGACTACAAGTCTCTCAGCAGTCATTCTTGCTGGCAATTATTAGATTTCTGGTTGTGCATGAAGACCAATGCCCATTTGGTGAATTTTATATGAAAGCCAGAGTTCATTCAATGGGTATGGAGGACAGGAAGAGGCACAACAATTGGCTGACTCTATTGCACTTATTTTGAAGTCTTCTGTTTCTCTGAACTCTTCTTTTAAGCATAATGACAACCACTGTGTATGTGTGAGAATTTACTGTGTGCCAGGAAACATATACAGTACCTAAATTAACAACAAACCAACAAGAGGAATAATATTGAGCACTGTTTTACAGATAAATGCGGCTCAAACAGGTTAAGCACACTGTCTGGATTACACAGCTAGCAAGTTGTAGAGTTGAGATTCAAAGCTGGATCTATGGAACACAGAAGTCTGACCCTAACTTATTTGCAACACTGCCTCTTCTAGTTCAAAAACCTAAAATGGCTGGGAATTATTCCTCTTCTTCTAGTTCTTTTTCTTCTCATACCCAGATACCACCCTTCTATCAAGCAGCAGAGGGTACATAAAGTGGAAGAATTAGAGATCATGAGTTTGTACCCAACCAAATTATCTTATTATTTCCTCCTTCCACTCCATGCACACACCATTTTATGTTCTATAAAGAGAGCCCTATTGAAATATTTTATTTCAATTTGTCTGCTCTCAGTTACAGCTGTGAATAACAATGACTAACACTACGACTACCACCACCGAAACAATCAATAATGTGCATGACACATTATGTAAATTTTTGCAAAACTCATTCATATATAGGCTTTTCTCATTTTCACAGCAATAATTAAGGCATATAATATCCCATTTTATAGGGAAAAACAGCAAAGCTCAAAGAGGTTGAACAAATAGGAGGTCTCCAGTTCATTTCATTCCAAATTTTACTTCCCAGTTAATCAATGGGACTCCATTGACCAACCCACCGCTATACAAGACATCCTAGGTGTCTTTGAAGCCTTGGTCATCCCTTTGTGAGCTGGACTTTGATGGTGTTAAGGCTATTTTGTACACAATCTCTTGGCCACGTTTAGCAAAAAAATGTTGCTTTTATATAGTGACACTTCACGGTTACCTCTGCCTTCAGAGGAAATCAATGTCCTTTCAAAATTTTTCTTCCATGTGTAAGAACAGACCAGCCCTTCTGATGGCTCTACTGCCCCTGTTTGCACTGAGGCACTGAGCTGTATCTAATGCAATCTTCCAGTTTCATCCATTCATTGTATAAATATTTACCAAGAATTTACAATGTATCAGAGACTTTCCTAGCTGATAGTGTTGTTGCAGGACTTTTCCTTAGCTCAGATAAAGATAGGGTCCTTGTCCATCCCATGGCCATGAAAATTTAGGCTCGCAGGTGGTTTGAAGGGTTGGTAAAACAGAGTTTTATTGGGTGAAAAGGAAGAAAAGGAGGAAACAGATACTCTCACAAGGCCAGAGTCCCTGCTAGAATGCTTTCTGCCCGGCCATTCGAAACTCAGTTTCCACACAGGAAGAGGAGGGGAACAGGCTCCTCTCCATTGCAAACAGTGCAGACTTTCCCAGGCTCCATCCCAGTGTGCAGGCTGGCTGGACTTTCTCTGGGGGAAACCCTCCCTCCTGGCCGTCTCATTCCCTGCCCTCCAAAGAAGTACAGCTAACTGCCGTTAGATTAAGGATAAGGATGAAGACTGATCTTAACTGCTTCCTCCTGACAAGAGGCACTGTTTTGGGGAAATGGCAGTCCGAGGTTCCTCAGAGGCCTATCTATGGGTCCCCAGCAGAAGGGGCCATTGCCAGAGGCTCCAGTTGCATGACCGTTTGGTGTTTGATGAACTGAAGGCAAGAACAGACAAACCGGGTTATTAGAAAACATGTATCAAAATGAAACAAGGGTAGGGGTAAGGACAGCTCAAAAATTCCAAGACCTTTTACCAGTTTGCACAGGGAGAGGGAGACCAAAAGCCCAACTGGTAAAAAACTTTATCCTTTTGCTGGCATGTTGGGCTTCTGGGTTTCCTTCCCTTGAGCCCAATCCTAAGCCAATCAGTTTAAGGTTTGGGAAATTAACTCTTTCCAGTTTGCAGGATATATCTGAGGGAAGTGTCTCATAGTATGGAGACACAATAATTACCTCTCAGTGAAGAGAGAACCAAGGAGAAGAAAGAAAAAAAGAGGGTGTTTTTTTAAAGGAGTCCCAAGAGTTCAGAAGTCCCAGTTAGAAGGGATACAGGCTGAAGATGAATGGCTACCCATCTGGAAAGAGTGGAGCAGGCATCCCTGGTTCCCTTCTCTTCCTGGCAGATACCCAGGGTACATGAGGGTCAGAGGGAAGAGCGTCCTCTTTCCGTCTTCCTTCCTTGCATCCCCGAGTCCTGGCGACCTTGGCAGGTGCCATCATGAATGACAAAGCAGCTTGCACCCATGAAGCAGGGAGGGCCTAGAGAACAGGAATTATCAGCTCTCACCTGTGCCTCCTCCCTGCCTACTGTCAGTAGCCTTGGAGTTCCCTGGACCTCATTTATGTCGTGGATATTAATGTGGCCTTTATCTGTGAAACAGGAAGCTTGGGGTTGTCTTAATCAGCAGGAATCAGCCACACTCACCTATGCCGTGTCTTTTAACCTCTGTTGTCATTTGCCTCTGGATCCCTGTTTTTCTTCTTAGGGCTTTGACCAGAAGCTTGGAATTGAGTTTGGGACAAAAATGTGTCTCAGGGAGTTGCATGGACTCCTTATCATAAGCCGAATGCTAAGGTGAAACTGTGGAACTGAGTCCTCCTCCAACAAGGGAGAGAAAAGGATGTCTTGTGACACACCCAGATAGCTGATAGATATCGTTATGCTTGCTAGGATTTGGGTGCACAGTGCTCGGCTTTGGTTAGTTCCCTTCATCTTACTTTCCCAAAAAGGAAACCTCTGGGTGATGGCACCCTACTTATTCCATCACCTGGCAGGATTTGGAGGATAATTGCTCAGAACTAGAAAATTGATCCATATTTCTACATTACCCATTTCTCTTGTCCTTTCTGAGCTGCAACCAGAGATTGCTAGTAGGTTCACAGGAATGAGCAGGATTAGTCTAAAATGTAGGTAAAAACTTAAAAACAACTAATGAGTTTAGAATTTAATGATAAATGTGTAAGTTTTGAAACATGATTCCTCTCTCTACAGTACTCATGTTTGTTAAATAAAACAAATCATCATAGGACTGAGTGGTTTGCAAAATACACTTTAGTCTTATACTTGGCCTGATTATTTGCATAAAGTGCAGCAAGAATAATTATTTCTACAAAGGCCTTTTGGATTGGCTTTAATGGAGCTCTGTTCCCCAAGGAATCTCATGTAAGACCTTTTAAAGCCTAGACCAACCATGAGTTTATCCTCAAATATCTGTGAGTTGGGTGCTCCTCTCCTCTTAAGCTCCTAAGATAAACTTGGAGCTCCTGGACCTGCTAGAAAGTGACATTTTTTTAATTGACCACAGGTCAGGAATCTTGTACGGGGACTGCATAGACAAGGACATGAGGCCAGTTTCCCCATTGGACTTTATTGACTCTGCAAGTTGAGATTGACTCCTTAAAGGGAAGTATACCCTTCCAGTCAAAGCCTTGGTAAAATTACCAGTTTCTCCAATTGCATCCTGTTGCAAAAGAAAAATGGGTTCTTATTGCACTGATGCAAACAACTATATTGCCGTAAGAATGCTCACAGGTAGGTTCTAAATTCTGGAACGACAGGCAGAGAGAAACAAACATGCTCTAAATTTTGATCATAGGAGTATACCTTCTTTAATTATTAAAGGCTGTAAATAGTTCAAAATAAGTTCCCTTGACTCTGAAAAACAAAACAAGATTCAGCAATATTCCATGAAAAAGTCAAAAGTTTGCTTCAGCTTTCTGAGTTCAGTCCATTTAGTTAACTGGTTTTGCTTGATATTTGTGAACATTTTAGCTCTTCATGAGTCCTGTACATTTTTCTTTATTCCAATGTTACAATCTCCAAAGTTATGAGAAACTTGTATTTCAGAGTACCTGTTAAAGTTCTATAGCTTATTATAAACTATCTTTGAAAAAAAAAAAAGGATTAAAACAAGACAACAATGGTCTGTGAATAACAAAATGTCCAGGGTAGTTACACTTAGAAACACAATTGACAGGTTTGTTATCTCTGTGGTTTACAATAACTTAACAACCTTCATTATGATTGATAGCATATGCTAGACATTAGAGTTTTAGAAATCCCATACAATTTTGGAACATATATTAGCATTATTTACCAAAGTATAACCTAAAGAAGATTGAACATCACTTTGGCAATCCCATGTACCTAAACACGTCAAATAATCATGTTTGCTTCTCTTTCTGGACACTTCAGGGGCCCTCTGAAATATTCAAAAAGCCAGGTGCCAGGGAAGACAATTTTGAAACTGAAGTTTGATTTTGGGAGGCTGCTATATATGTTCGGGGTTTAAAACACTTGATGTTATGAAATAGAATTCCAGGTTACCATAAGTTATTTATTTTGCCAAAATGACTCAGAAATTTTAAAGAAGCAAAAAGCTTTTATAACCCTTTAGAAATTTTGCCAAAGAACAGATTAGCCCCTTAGGAAAACCTTATTATTCTTTTATTTCAATGTTAAATTTACAGAAAAACCATATAATATCCTTTTAGGAATTTAGTCAATATGTTCACACAGAGAACCTCTTTTGCAAGATTAATTTCTAGAATTCTTCTACCACTTCTTTGAACCTTCAGCTTTTTCCTAATTTAAAACAATCCTTTAACCCTAGGCCAAAGTTAACATTTCCATACCTTCTTATAAACTTTTACAAAAAAGAAAAAACATTTTACTGTTCTTCCACATCTTCCATGTAAATCTATTTCAGGTAGTCTCAATTACATGTTATAATGGTAACTCCTAGCAATTCTTAACTTTTAAGGGGAAACCTGGTAAGTTGCTATAATTATATCTAGGTGCAGGCAAAGTTTGACTCCCAGCATAATTAAGGGTGTGGTTAGTTCCTTATGTCCTCCTCAGGCCTTACCAGTTGTGAAGCCAGCAAGTCAAATAGTTCTTAAAACTCAAAAAGCAGTTTATAATTTTAAAACACTTAGCAAATCTTGCATCTGACCTTCATTATTTAGCCCACCTATTTACATCTTAATGACACCTGCATTTTACCAATAATATTTAAGTCTGCTTTCATTTCTCAAAGATGAAACTCATGTGAACTGAAAGGTACCACAGCTTTTAACTTCCCTTAAAAAATGTTTGATCCAAGCGCTTATCTTTCTTTAGGCCAAATTAACTAGAGCTCTTTTTACAGACATCACACATAGTACACACACAGGCAGAAGAAAACCCAGTCACTGGGTGGGGCTAGAAGAGACAGGGCTAGAAGAACATGCAGATGCCAAACCAGAAAGAAACTTATTCCCTAAGGCAGGATTACTAAACAAAGCCATGCCCTCAGGATGTAAAACAAGGTGGAGACTCCATTTCACAACCAAAACTTTGCAGAAAACACAAAAAGTGATAATTCTGGAGCCTGCCCTAGTAAAAAATGTTTCTAAAAGAAAAAAAAAAACTTTAAAAGTTAACTTGCTGATAGGGTAGAGAAGGGGAAAGAAAAGAAACAGTTTAAAAATGCCTGGGGAAGAACCTCTTACTCTTACGCAAGTGGTTTCTCCACCATAGACACAAGTTTAATGGCTGTGAGTCAGAGCTGGCCTCCCCCTGGTGTGGGGAGGAGGAGACTCTGTGGATGTGTGGTAGAAAATGTCAGCCAGTAGCTGGTGGCACCTTGGGCTATGTGTCCCAGCCCCGTCAGGGAGGGGAGGGTGGAGGGTAGATGTTGCTCTCTGATCCATCCTGAAAAATGAAGGAAAAGTCCATGAAAAGGCACAAGAGTGATGAGGGGGTAGGGACATGTTTCCTCCACCCTCAGAAGTCCAAGGATGAAAATGCTTAGGAGCAACAGTGAGAGGTTTTGAGTCCCCATTTCACTCACCACTTCTCAGGCCCCATATTGGGTGCCACAAATGTTGCAGGACTTTAGTTTGGCTAAAGATGGGGTCCTTGTCCGTCCCATGGCCATAAAAATTTAGGCTCATAGATGGTTTGAAGGGTGGGTAAAGCAGGGTTTTATTGGGTGAAAAGGAAGAAAAGGAGGAAACAGGGACTCTCACAAGGCTAGAGTCCCTGCTAGAACACTGCCCGCCTGGTCATTTGAATCCCAGTTTCCACACAGGAAGAGGAGGGGCCACGCTCCTCCCTGCTGCAAACGGCATGAACTTCCTAAGGCTCTCTCCCAGTGTGCAGGCTGGCTGGAGTTTCTCTGGGGATCCCCTCCCTCCTGGCTGTCTCAATAGGAAAGTAAAGATGAGCAAAACAAACATGGAGTTAACAGTTTAGTAAGAGAGACAGACAATTAAACTACCGGAAGTACTTGTGTTATTGGGTTACTCTCTTGATGCCCATGTAAGACAGCCTAGATCAGCACCACCCCCCACCTTCCAAATGACCCGAAGACATCTAAGAAATGGATACTTATTGCTATATGCCATGGAGACTTTGTGATTGTTTCACAGCAATTGTTGACCAATAAAGCATCCTTGACAGTTGCAGAGTTGATTTTCACGAAGAGTGATCCAGGAAAATAAATGCTCTGGTTTCACTCTGTTTTCTCCATTCAATATCCTTACAGAGCTAGAGGGCAAAGACGACCATTGATGTAGATCATAGAGATTATCCCTCTGAGATAGAGAATAGGGAGGTGAAGGTAGAGGGTGGATCTAGGTGAAATGGAGACTATCTAGCTCAGAGACCTAAAGGCCAAGTAAAAGCTAACCAGTAAAGGGAGCAAGTACTAAGCTAATGATATAGCATGAGCAAAGGCCCTTGGGTGGGGGACAGCATGGTGCCTTAGAGAAACAGACCAATGTGACAACAAGATAGAGACTGAGATAGTCCATAATGAGAGTTGGAAGGTAGGCAAGGGCCTGTGCTTGGACAAGGATGCATAACTTATTTTGAACTGTCTCTTAAAACGGTTTTTTGCAAGGATAGGGAGTGACATAATTTTATTTATGTTTTTAAAAAGACAACTCTGGCTGCTGGGCTAATAACAGATGTGAAGGGAGGTGAGGGAATATGAGGAGGCCAGTTAGGGAGCTGTTATAATTTACTTCTTCAAATATTGAGTTGTTGCTGCTGAGCCAAGTGACTGCATTAGCCACCTGTAGCATTAAAGTATTACGAGTGCCAAGGGAGGGGCAGTTAGGCAAAGTCAGGACAGAAATAATAGGAATTGTTTCAAATGACAGGGCAGAAATGAGGCTGGCTCCTGTGGTCTGAATGCAGGAAACAGTCTTTTCCAGCTAGAGAGACCTGTGTCAGCAAATAGTTTAACAGAAAGTCACCAAGTGATTAAGGAGGAATGCTCTGCTTCAGAGGAATCCACCTGTCCACAGGCCTGAAAATGATGACTCAGGCCTTTGAACTTCTGCCACTCAGCTTTCTTCCCAGGCTTGTTTGAAGGATGCATTTCATTTGCCCTTTCTATTTGGCTCCCCAGGAATAAGCAGAGCAGAAGGAAGTTTCCAGGAGCCTCAGGTCAAAATATTCAGGGCACATTCCTTCATCTCACCTCCATTCCCAGCTGCTGCTATTGCTGCTGCTGCTGCTATTCTCTCATTGCTCCTTGATGGGCTGGCCATGGGAGAAATCTGCAGTTCCCTGAGGGATCTCCATATCGTCTGCTTAGCAATCATTCCTGAGCCTTCCAGTAATTGCCTGCCAATAGGGAGGAAGAGAAGAAACTGAGAAACCTGCATGGACCACAACTCTTCAATTCCTCATTTCCCTCTCCTGCCTCTTTTTGCACTTATCTCTCTCTGCCTTTCCTGTTTCCTTATTTTTTTCTTTGCTCTATTTGCCTCCAAAGTAATAACCCATTTCTCTTCAATTTCCTGAATGTGATAATCATTTCTGCCAGGCCCAAGGGACGATGAAGTTAATGAAATTTCTGTCAATAACAAGAGGACATTTATTAAATGGAAATTATGTTTAAAGATGAGAGTGAGCATCACTCAAGGCTAAGCGTTCAGAAGAATAAAGAAATTATTTTGAGGAATGTTTTGTTTGGGAAGATTTGTACTAAACATCAACATGTGCAGTACACAGAGCCTCCTTGCTTTAGGGAGCAGATGGAAGAGGTGGCAGAGTTTGGGGCTAAAGAGCTAGATTTTGGAGTCTGGTTGAATCCTGCCTGTGCTGTGGACTACGTGTGTGACCTCGGGAAGGTTACTTAATCTCCCTGCCTCTGTTTCATCTATGAAATGGGAATATCTATAAAAATTTTACTTATGAAGTTCTTGTCATGTGAAGTGAATAAATTCGTATCATATGCTCAAGACAATGTCTGGCATATAGTAAGCATGTTCTAAATGTTTGCTATTATTAGTCTAAATGAGGTCAGTAACAAAAATAATTAATTGCATTTTACAAAAAATTAATTAATGAGGTTCCTTTCAGAAAGAAAAATAAAACTGGAAAATTTGGTTGCTTTTTAGATCATACCTTCAAAAGAAAAATTAGAGTAAAGTAGAAATCATAAAGGAGAATGTAAATACTCTAATTGTTTCACATAATAGTTGAAAGGCTTGCAATAAAATAAAGATGATGTTGGTAATTTAGCATAGTAGGACATACAGCCCTCACCAAAATTACTCAACATATTTATCTTTTTGTTCACCTTCTGAAATGGTATATAGAATCATAAAATGAATTTTTTGTTGGCTACTGTAGCCTTGTTCCCATCACTGGGTAGAAATACTGCGCTTTCAGAATTGATTTAGTTGAGGAGTAGCTGAAATATAGCAAAGGTGATAGGAATCTTTAAGGACACAGTCTGGGCCTTGTTCATTTCTGTATCTCCTGGGCCTATGATAGAAGCTTGCTACATTATATTGCTATGTGGGTATCCAACACTCAATAGATAGATAGGTGAATAAATGACAATCAAAATATTAAGTGAACATGAACACTTGGGGGAGTATTCTTAGCAGAATACGCACACAGACATACACATGCACACAGATAACTAATAATTATTGAGCACATACTATGTACAATTGCTATGTTAAGAACCTTACTTCATTTTATGTTAAATACAACCAGTTAGGTGATATCTCACCCCCACTGTACAGAAGAGAAGACCAAGATTTACAGAGATTAAATGTTATTACACAATTCATATGTATTTGAGCCAAAATTCAAACCCAAACTATCTCTAGTGTTTGTGTGCTTTACAACGACATTATAAAGTAAAATGAAAGGAGGGTGATTTTTTAACTGAAGTATTGCTAAAGTCACCTAAAACACAAAAATTATTTCTTTGGCAAAAGATACAGTTGAATAGAGTATGTTTTCTGGCATAAAACTATTGTAGCAGCATGTTGGTTAGTAATTGCTACAAAACAAAGCACCTTGAAACTCAATGGCTTGAAAAAACAAAAGTGATTATTATTACTTCTGCATCTGCAGGATAGCTGATGTTTGGTTGATCTAGGCTGGGCTGGATTTGACAGTTCTACTTTGCATTGTGGCTCTAGGGTTGGCTGAGGCAGTTTTGCTGACTGTGGTGGCTGGGATGGCTTTGCACCACATGAATTTCCTCTCCCTCCTGGGACTAGGAGTGACCACAGAATGCTCTTATGGAGATGACAGAGCTGCAAGAGGAGAAGGCTCCGCTGGGCAAGTCCCTGCTTGTGTCATAGCAAAGCAAGTTATCTGGTCAAACACAGAGTCAAGAGTTGAGGAGGTTTACCTTACCAGAGGTGGCAGGGGTAACTGTGAAGTCAACAGTGTATCATTTAGAGTGTGATTAGAAAACCAGAACAATAGTGAGTGATATAGCATAAGGGATTTATTACAGGGATTAAAATTTATGCAATTGTGGGAGCTAGTTAAGAAGCCCATGTAAGGCTGTTGCCTCTATATCTGATGTTGGACCCGAGGTAATCAGGGCCAGCAGTTGGAGAAGAAAGTTAGACATAATGTAGTTAGAACAAACGACTGGGATCCATATTAGTCTCTAACTGTCCTCAAATCTGAAGACATGAGTGACTTGCAGGAGAAGTTGGTGCCCTTGGTGTGTGTGGTGAGCTGCACATAGACCTGGCTCAGGAGCTACAGAAGGTGAAGGAGGATTTCCAACAGGAACTGGAAGACCTGTGGGGCTGGCCATGTCAACAAGAGGAGACAGCAAGTCAGTGGGAATGTGGGTGAGCTGCAGCAGTGCATGCCCCACACCCACCTTCAGAGTGTGGGAAATGGCTATTTTACTTCCCTATTCCAAAACTCCATGAAATTTTTCTTGTGGCAAACTTCATCCAGAACCAGATAGAGAAGGACATTTTTGGAAATGTAGTTCCAGTTTAAGCTGACAAAGCAAAGCTGCCACCCACAAAAAGGGTGTGGATTCTGGAAGGGGTCAAATGTTTGTGCTGATAATGCAAATTACCACATATAAGAGCTGTAGAGAAATTGAGTCAATGCACAAAAGAAGTACTTGCATGTCACTACCAATTATTGCTTATTGAAACTGAAGATTTCAATGCTCCTCATCAACTTTATAAATCTTGCCTCTACCATCTCTGAAGAAAGCAACACATGTGGATAATAGTGGGACTGTGAGACAGAAGACGGTAAGTTATATGGTAAAAATAAAAGGAATAGGCCACAGACCGATCATAGTACTCTTTGATAATTCATATTGTACCTACTTTCTGTGTCATACATTTGTTGGGAGTAAAGGGAAAATAAGGGCCACCTCATTTAGAATTTTCTGTGGTCAGGGCTACACAAAAGGGCTTGGAGAAAGTGAGTCAAAAAAATGTTAAATGGCCGTGAAGGAATAAGGCATTCAGGAAAGAGCATTGGCTTAAAGGTCTGGAGACCCAGGTACTATTTCTGATAGAGCACAACTAGTTATACTATCTTAAGTTATTGCACCTCAGTTTCCTCATCTACAAGCAGAAGTGTTGGACCAAATAAATCTCTGGCCACATTCTATGCCTTATGCGCCAGATCGGACCTTATATCCTATCCCTTTGACTTCCATCAGAAAGGCTGCCATGTTTCTGTCTGTCTTATGTTTTCAGCATTGTGCTTAGACTTTGGGGTAAGGGCAGAGGTGGACTTGCAGGTAATGTTGTCCAAGTCAGATACCCAAGTAATAGATTCTCCTGCTACAATAGCTGCTGTAACTTTGGTTAGTACAATTTATCTTTTTTCTGTTTCAATTTATTCACTCTCCTTCCTAAGACAAAGAGCTATGGGTATATGTGAATGCCACTTTGCTCCTTTGGCATAAATCAACTGTCCAAAACAAGGAATTGGGCTAATTCTTTCTTCCTGGAATTAGGGGTTGTACCTAATGAAGTGAGAAGGAAGGAAGAAGGATGGTTGTATGGTGTTAAGGGTAGAAAGGTGTTGAAGTGGCATGTTGGAAGGGAAATGGGGGAAAATAAATCCCTGTAAAACCTAACCTTTTCTTGCTGATTTGTCAGCAAAACTGGGTTTCTGAGTTGAAGCACAGAAAGTGTTGCCCGAGTAACAGTGTATATCTCTTCAACTGGGACTATTTTTTAAAATCATTTTTACTTCTTATTTGTACTTTATGGGGTAAATGTTCAATTTTGTTACATGCACAGACTGTGTAGAAGTCAAGTCAGGGCTTTTAGGGTATCCATCACCCAAAAGCATACGTTGTACCCATTAACCAATTTCTCATCATCCTCCCCTCTCTGAGCTCTCACTCTTCTGAGTCTCCATTGTCCATCATTGCACTCACTACATCCATGCAAACACATTTTTAGCACTAACTTATGAGTGAGAACATATGATATTTTCCTTTCTGTGTCTGGGTTGTTTCACTTAAGATAATGACCTCCAGTTCCATCCCTATGATAATTGACCTCCAGTTCCATCCCTATTGCTGCAAAAGACATAGTTTCATTATTTTTTATGTCTGAATAGAATTTCATTGTATATATATATATACATATGCCATGTTTTTGTTTTGTTTATCCAGTCATCCATTGATGAACACAGGTTGATTCTTTATCATTGCTATTGTGAATACTGCTGCAATAAATGTATAAGTGCAGGCATCTTTTTGATGTACTGATTTATTTTACTTTCAGTATATACCCACTAGTGGGATCAAATGGCAGTTTTGTTCTTAGTTCTTTAAGAAATCTCCATACTGTTTTCCATAGAGGCTGTACTAATTTACATTCCCAAAACAAATGTGTAAGAGTTTCCTTTTCTCTGCATCCTCACCAACATGTTGTTTTTTGTCTTTTTAGTAATAGCCATTCTTACTGGGGTAAGATAATATCTCTTTGTGGTTTTGATTAGCAGTTATCTGATGATTAGTGATGTTGAGCATTATTTCATATACCTGTTGGCCATTTGTTTGTCTTCTTTTGAAAAATGGGACAATATTTTAAATAGAAAATTTAAAGAGTAGAGAATGCATGTATATGCCTGGTCTGGATTAGAGATTGAGAGTTATAGAATCCAGGTTACCTAATGAGCTTCTCCTCTGAATAGTCACTATGGTGTATGAAAAAAATGAACACTGCTGTTTGTGCATTGTATAATGAGAAGAACTGTTTCCAGATAACCCTGGGGGCTACCCTGGCTTATCTGGACAATGGGCCACCTGGAATCAGGATCCCCATTCTCCCAGTGGAAGAGGTTACATTCATGATCAACTTCCTATAGAAGCAGAATCTGTTATCATCTCAATAGCCAATTTTTCCCCAGAATCAGAGCAGCTGGTTTTCTCAGACAACTCTTATAAACAGCTGGCATCCCAAACCCAGACTTCTTGGCAGATGATATTTCTTTATTTCCTTTACCCTTACTATAACAAGGTAAAAAGGGAAAGCTAAATAAGGGGGAAAGGCTACTTCCTCTGGAATAAAATCCACATTATGTCTAGCAGATGCCATGGCTGTATTCATCTGGATGAGATCTAGATGATCTCATCTAGAAAGCATAAGCAAAATCCAGTTACAAGTGCAAGAAATTTACTGGTGGTAATGTCTGTGAAAGATAAGGGGAGAGTAATCAGGGGAAGCAGGAAAAGACTTCAGACCACAGTGTGGATCTAAGACCTATGTCAAGAGAAAAGGAAGGCAGATTTGGGAGGAAGAACCTTGGGCTCTGACGTAGTTCTGGGATAGTTTTTGCCAGTCCAATGGAGAGAGCCAGCTCATATAGGATTTCTACATTGGGCAAAAATGGCCAGGACCTAGTACCAATATGATGCTCATTCATTGGTTGGGAGCTGTTCAGGAAGAGCACGACCTTACTGTGGTAGAACTCAGAGGCCTCCAAAGAGAAACCCATCACTAGTTGTACTCTTTATGGCAGGTCTCCCTTGAGGTGAGGTCTGAGGGACACATCTCCACACCTGCCTCACTGGCTCTGGCCTGCCTTTCAGTGGGAAAATGAAAGACTAAAGTACAACATGCATTTCTATATTGCTGACCTTGACCTTGTGAATTTTCTCATTCCTCAGTAAAATTAATTTCTTAACTTTCATTATGTGACCTTGTATAATAGAATTGGTCCTGAAACTTGGTGCATAAATTGGGTGGAAGTAGGAAACCTACACACCTATCATGATGTAATTAACCCAAGTAAGCAAATCTATGTTCCTCATTTCCCTGCTGCCCAGAGGCCACTGTGGTCATTCTGGGGTGGGTAGGAGAATTATTGCAGTACATGGTTGTTCCTACAACAGCAGTGGTCCTGTGAACCCCTTGGGTTTTAAAAATAACAGTTCATAGAAAGTGCTCCTTAGTACATGTAGATTGAATTGAATAATTTGCTTGTGTTTTTAGCAGTCACAAAAATGATCAGCTTCTGTGAAATGACATCTATTTAAGTACAGTTTGCACAGAATCTATAAAAGCAACAGAGTGGGTGGGTTGCCATTGTATTTAGAGAGGCAATGCTGCTCATGCTCTCCAAGGATAAAGTAGAGAAGACTCAGGGGTGTCATGATGGTTATTACCAAAAAACCTTTTAAAACCAATTTGAGAAAGAAGGGATGAGCAGAGTGCTATGGAATCACACTTCTTTATATTTTAAGCAGGGCCATGTAGCTTAAGGCCAAGTACACCCCTTCATCAGTCCCCCCAAACTGATACTTAAACCCTGCATCAGACATTGTCTGACAATCAGCATTCCCTGTCCTTCTAACTCTCTCCCATACTTCAGGGGCTAGATGTCTGTGAACTGTAGTTCCCAGAATCTCTTGTTTTCATCCCTATGGATATAATTTATGTCCTAATTATTAGATGTACTTTACATGAGGGTGGAGTAGAGGTGGAAGCCATTTTCTTCTTCCCATAGCAGTGGCAGCAGATGATTTTATGGGGCTTTGCGTATAAGCAATTTGTTTGGCTTCTAAGCTTTCCTGATATTCACCTGACTCAGGGCTGCCAAGAAGCAGTGGAGTCCAATGTGTTATTGTCCTCTGGGTGACAGCACATTTCTTTGGCTTGTGAGACTATGACTGTAGCAGTGAAGCTGAAATCTAGTGCCTACTTCCTGCCTTTAACTTATCCACCCCTTTTAACAATTTTGTGATCAGTGAATTATTTGTATTAAACTCTATTTTCTTTGAAACACCTCATCTGTCCGTATTAGTTTTCTTGAATGATTGAAATCTGTCCATAATAGGTGTCCTCTGTCCTCATGTTGGTCATCTTCAGAAACTTAATGGAACCCTATAAATCATAAGAAACCATTTAATTCTAGGGCAGCTATCACCACTAGGACATTTCTTCCTTAGGTCAGTCCTACTTCTGCCTGACTACAATGCTTCTTTGATGTATTTCTATCACTTGTGACCATTTATACTTAATATAATTCTTCTTCCATGTGACAGATATTCAGAGATTTAACGTAGCTTTCTGTCTCCCTCTTAACCACCTGCCCAATATTCTCTTCTCAGGTGGAATGATATTGGTTTCCCTGTAAGTTTCTCACCATCCTGCAGCCTTCTGAGGGTGAGTTGTCCAGCCATTCTTTTGCCTATGATTCTTTTAAAGTAGTCCCTATACATTTTAGCCAATGCTTGATGCTTTATGGTAGAAACTAAACCAAGAATGAGGTGGTCCATAAACAAAGTCAATTTTAAAAATCTGGAAAAAAAATAACTGTAATGAAGATGGCATTCAATGGGTAGCATCTATAATATACAAAGAGCTCTTATAAAATTGACAACAAAGAACAGTTAGAATAAAGTCATAAATATATGCATAAATAAAAGATATAAAAATGGCTGATAAATATAAAATAATATGCTCAAATTCAACCAGTAGCCAGGTAAATTAAAAAACAAAAGTAACACAGAGATATTCCTTCATACCCATTAAAGTGAGAAAATTACTAAAAGAGTGATAACAGTACTTCATAGTGGGAACATGGATAAATTTTTCCACCCAAGTTTTCATGATACGAAAATGAGTATTAGCATATTTTCTGAACATGCAGTCTTGTAATGCCTATAAAATAAAAATTACATACCCCTCGGACCCTGAAATTGTATTCCTGGGAATCTACTCCTAGAAATACACCACCAACATGTAAAAGCATATTTATAAGAAGGTACACTACAGTGATATTTGTGGGGAGAAAAAAGTGGAACATAAAGTGGATGACTAAATAGGGAATTAACAAATAAATAATAGCGACCCACAACACCACTGGATATTACATATTCACTTTTTTAGAAGGCAAAGGCTAAGCTAAATCTCTTTGAGGGATTTATATGAGATTGTGGAATAAAACAGGCAAGATGCAGAAAAATATATGTAACACAATTTTGTTTTCATAAACTGACAATGATTTTAAAACATCAGCCATGAGTGTATGTGTTTGTGTGTGTGTACAGAGAGCCAGAAACAGAGACACAGATACACACACACAGACATATACTTACAAACATATATATACATATATATCAATATAGAAGTATTTGGGTACAGAGAAAAAGAAAAAAAATACATACACTAGATTATCAACATGGCCTTGAGGGAGATAGACAAGGCTAGAAGGGAGAAGGAGAAATAGATGTTCAGTAAAGAAAAAGCAAAAGAAGACCTTTTGATAAAAGCATGTATTGATGCAAGAAATCTTTAAAATATCAAAATAAATGGAGAGATAGTCCATGTTCATTAGAAGACTCAATATTTTTAAAATGTCAGTTATTCCCAATTTTATATATAGATTCAGTGCAATCCTAATCAAAATCCCAGAAGGTTATTTTGTGGACATGAACAAACTGATTCTAAAATATGGAAAAGGAGAAAATTCCGAACAACTAATATAGTACTGAAGAAGAACAAACTTGACGGACTGACACCACATGACTTCAAGGCTTACTGTAAAGCTACAGTGATCAAGACAGTGTAGTATTGGTGAAAGGGCAGACTCATAGTTCAATGGAACAGAGTGGAGAGCCCAGAAATAGATACACACACTAATATAGTCAACTGCTGTTTGAGAAAGTAGCAAAGGCAATTTAATGAAGAAGGAATTGCCTTTCCAATGAATGGTGTTGAAAAACTAAATCTCTACATGCAAAAAAAAAAAAAAAAGAGAGAGAGAGAGAGAGAGAATCTAGATAGATCTTATCCTTTTCACAAAAATTAACTTTGAATAGATCTAAATGTAAAATGTAAAATTATATCACTTATAGAAGATAACATGGTAAATCATCTAGGTGACCTTGGGTTGATGGTTAAGTTTTTAGACACAACACCCAAAGCATGATCCATGAAAAAAATAAGTTGCACTTCATTAAAATTAAAAATTTCTGCTTTCTGAAAAACACAGTTAAAAGAATGAAAAGACAAGCAACAGACTAGGAGGAAATATTTGCAAAATATATACCTGATAAAAGACTTGTGTCAAAATGTATAACAGATAAAGAACTCTTAAAACTCCACAATAAGAAAATAAGCTACCCAATTAAAAAGTGGGCAAAAACATTTAAATAGACTCTTTACCAAATATCATATGCAGATAGCAAATAAGGATATGAAAAGATGCTCAACATCTGTTGTCATTAGGAAATTGCAAATTAAAACAACAAAGATACCACCACACACCTATTAAATGGTGAAAATATAAAATATTGATAACCTCAAATGTTGGCAAGGATGTAGAATAGGAATTTAATGTTCATTCCTGTTGGGAATACAGGATGGTGCAGCCACAGTGGAAGACAGTTGGGAAGTTTCCTGCAAAGACAAATGTAGTCTTACCATGTGATTCAGCAATCACACTTATTAGTATTCACCCAAATGAGATGAAAAGTTATGTCCACACAAAAACCTTCACACAAATGTTTATAGCAGCTTTACCATAAATGCTAAGAACTGGAAGCAACTGAGATGTCCCTCAATAGGTGAATGGATAAACAAACTATGGTATATCCACACAATGAAATATTACTCAGTGATAAAAAGAACTGAGTTATCAAGCTATGAAAAGACATGGAGAAACCTTACATGCATATTACTATAGAAAAGAAGCCAGTCCTAAAAGTTTAAATAGTGCATGATTCCAACGGTATGATATTCTGTAACAAGTAGACCTATAGAGACAGTAAAAGATCAGTGGTTGCCAGGGGTTCCAGGGGAGGGAAGAGGGTTGAATAGATAAACCACAGAGGATTTTTAGGACAGTGAAACTATTTTGTATGATACTGTAACAGTGTATACGTGACATCATGCATTTGCCAAAACCCATATAATGAACAACACAGAGTGAACCCTCATGTAAACTATGGGCTTTAGTTAATAACAATGTTTTAATATTGGTTTATGCATTGTAACACACTAAATACAAGATATTAATAATAGGGGAAACTGTGTGCAGGGGAAGGGGAGAGGACATTTATGGGAACCCTGTACTCTGCTCAATTTTTCTGTAAACGTATTTTTCTTGAAACAAAAATGCAAGTAGTGATTGCATTCACTTTTTCCCACTTACAGCTATGTATATATGAGATTATTTCTTAATTTAGTAAAATATTAACTTTAGAAGAAAAAATACTTTAATAAACCAGCAAGGTATTATTATTGACCACGATCTCTGAATGAGTGAACTAAATTTTTCCCAGTGAGTGAATGGTGAAGCTTATTTCTATCCCAACCTGAGTCTACAGCTCACCTTCTCTCTGAAGCATTAGCAGTGTCTTAACTTCTGCAGCACTTTAATGTTTATATTTCTGTGCTACACTTTTAGCATTTTAAAAAAATCTTCTGCCTTTATTTTTTGATGTTTCATGTGGTTAACCTTCACTTACTGAATGGATGGATAATGATGACCTCATACTATGTGCTTGGCACTCTTCTAAACATGTCATGTGTATTACCCCATTTAATCATCACAACAATTCTATAAGGAATATAAGATACCGGCTCCATTTTACAGAGGAGGCGACTGAGACCCAGAGAGCTTGCACAAAGTTATTCAACCAGGAAACTGCAGAGTGGGAATTAGGATCCAGGGTGCTTGGTCTCTCAGACACATGACACTGCCTCAGATCAGTGATTTTCAATCTTTACAATGACCTGGGCTATTTGTTACGAATATCAATATCTGCTTCATTTTAGGCATGAATCAGTGGGTTTGTGGTAGACCTAGAAATCTGAGATTTTTGCAGACCCCCTAGGTGATGCAAATATATGGTTTTTGGAGCACTCTTTGAGATACTCGGAAGCTTAATAAAGGAGAAAAAAATAGGCACTGAAGAAAAAATATAGGTGAAGAAAATTGTGGATGTACCATCAGCCCCAGGAGCAACAATATCAGAGACCAGAAACTGGATTTATTGAAATCAGTGGGAATGGCATTTGAATTATACAGCAACTAAATCCTCCTCATGACTAAATGGTATGATCCTGGTAAGGAGGTGGTGTAATCAAAGGAGGAAACATTCATGCTGAAGACACACAGATTTATGGCTCTGAGATACACTCTCCCCACCAATCATCAGAGGACAGGAGAGAGGGAATAGCACAGCTCAGTGATCAGGAGGCCGTTTTTCTGACCATTGCGACTGGGTGACAGTGCTGAGGAGCCTGACAGCCTTGTAGTAATGCTCAGGAATCCGCAGTTCCCTGATGGGCCTGGGTCTGGCTGCCTCCAACACACCCAAACAGCAGCAGTCATTTGTTTCCTGACAGTACCTTCAAGTTTGATGTAAGGGGGTTTCTATTACATGGCTGGACATTAAAGAGGAGGGAAATTCATGTGAAGTCTCTGTAAGGAGTGGCTCTTGGCATGAAGCAGGCAGCCAGCTAGATACTGGCATGCAGTGGGCTGCAGGCTGACCAAGGATGCCCTTTGGAGGAAAGAATGTAGTGGCTGAAAAAACGTGGAGGTGTTGTCAGCAGTCCAGAGGCCAGAGAGTTCATCTGATTTTATCTGTTCTTGTTTTCCAGGATAATCTCTTGTTGGCCTGAATAACCTCTCACCAGGAACTTAAACTTCCTAAAAAATATTAAAAGAAGGCTGGGCATGGTGGCTCATGCCTATAATTTCTGAGCTTTGGGAGGCTGAGGCCAGAGGATCCCTTGAGGGCAAGAGTTTGAGACCAGCCTGGGCAACACAGTGAAATACCATCTCTACAAAATAAAAACATCATTTAAAAAAATTAGCCAGCTGTGGTGGCATGCACTTGTGGTTCCAGTTACCTGAGAGACTGAGGCAGGAGGATTGCTTGGGCCCAGGAGTTTGAGGTTCTAAGCAAGCTATGAGTGTGCCACTGCTCTCCAACCTGGACATCAGGGTGAGACCTTGTTTCTAAAATAAATAAACTCAAGAGTTTAGAAAAGCAGAGTTTATAAAAATTCAGATGCCCAGGCTGTAACCCATACCGAGGAAACCAGAATCTCTGGAGATTCATGTGTCAGTATATTGTAAAACTATCCAGCAGATATCAAAGTGTATCCAAGTTTGAGAGCAAGTCAGTTATATGGTAACCTTGCCAAAGAAAGTTCTGGCTGTCCCTTTTTAAAACAATTGGGAAACTCTTATGTAAGCTTTAACCTAAAAAACATTGTTGGAATTTAAAATCATATCTGCCTTAAAAGGAGAAATAATTCTATTTAAACAACAGGGCACAATCCTAGCTGCTCACTAGAATCATCTTGGTAAATTAAAAAAAAAAAAAAGCCAAGACTCCAACCCAGAACACTTAAATCAGGACGTCAAAGTGTGGGGCTTGAGGTGCAAAGTGATTCTAATGACACCCAAGGCTAAGAGCCATGGTGGTGCATGGAAGATGTTCCTTTTGGGAGTTCTACTGAGCTTAATGCTGCTGAAGGAGGGGGTGGGCCCTTGATCCAGGTGAATATCTGACTGAGCTTTGGTTATGCATAGCAAAAGCTCATTCAGGATCTTGCAATCCTGGCATTGAGTACACAATAAAAGTACCACCCCTTATTAGCTAATGGTGAAGTCTGGGAGCCAAACTGGGTACACAGTTCTAAGATAGTCATTTTCCTTTTGCCACTTTGAAGTTGCCAATTCATTATCTTCTGGCCTTCAGTTTTTCTGATGAAAAGCCTATAGTTAGTCTTCTCTTCCCCTTTTCCTCTGTATGTAATCTGTCTTTTGTCTCTGGCTGCTTACAAGATTTTCTCTATCTTTGGTTTCCAGCAGTTGACTGTGAAGGGCTTAGGTGGAATTTTGTTTTTACATTCTTTTGGCGGGTACATTGAGCTTTTTGTATGTGGCTTGATGTCTCATATTACTTTTGGAAGATTCTCAGCCTTTAGCTCTTTAAATGTTTATTTGGCTCCATTTGTTCTTCTTATACCTTCTGAGACTCCAATTACATGTATGTTAGACCATTTGATATTGTTTTATAGCATTTTTAAAAACTTTTTTTCTATGCATTTTGGTCTGATAATTTTTCTTGGCCTATTAGGGTAGTAGTGGTCTCTTAAGACTTTCCACATTCTAACTAGGGGTAGAAATATTTTCGCTAAGCAATATTACTTGCCTCATTCTATAGACAAACAGAGATATAAAAAGTTTGAGGTTTGAGTTACTTTCCAGATGTCACATAGTTAATATTTGTCATTCAAGGTATGTGAAATATAATGGTTATAGCCAGTTTTTAAAATCTATTATAAATGTGCTTAAGAATCTCATCATCTTTCAGATATTCCACAAGTGATTGCTATTGAGGAGGATTATATGATTCCCTGCCTCCAAACCAGATGGGTATTTCCTATTCCACCCATGATTTCAGTGTTGTAAACCCTCCAATGGAGAGATCTTTTTTGATTCAAGTACTGAGATCTATAAGCCATTAACCACAGACTTGGGTCAACACTTCCTCTTAAACCGTACCCTGTATCCACATCTCTGTATTTTTTTTTTTAAAGATGATTTTATGTAAATCTACACTTCACTTGGTGGCACCAAAAACTTTATACAAATGGAAGGTGTCACTGACAAAGAATAATTAGAAACAAGTGACTCCTTTCTCAGATGTGAAAGTGGCAAGTTTCCACTCCAATGTCCCAAGCCCTGCCTGTGTCTACCAGGCACCTGTAGGCAAATCACCAGTGCAGGAGGAGGCTTGCCAGTAGCCCTTGTCTCAGTAAGGATCTATGAGTAGCTATTTAAGGAGCAAATGCTGGCCAAAGTGACAAAACTTCTCTTCAGGAAAGCATTACCATGTGTGTTCTTTCATATACCCTAAAGCCAAAGTCTCACAAATTTGGCAAGCTGAGAAGGACTGGAATATGACTGTTATTCTGTAAAACTTATTTTTCTTTTTTCTTTTCTTTTTTTTTTTTCTGAGACGGAGCCTCGCTCTGTCGCCCAGGCTGGAGTGCAGTGGCGCGATCTCGGCTCACTGCAAGCTCCACCTCCCAGGTTCACGCCATTCTCCTGCCTCAGCCTCCCGAGTAGCTGGGACTACAGGTGCCCGCCACCAGGCCCGACTAATTTTTTTTTGTATTTTTAGTGGAGACAGGGTTTCACCATGTTAGCCAGGATGGTCTCCATCTCCTGACCTCATGATCTGCCTGTCTCGGCCCCCCAAAGTGCTGGGATTACAGGCGTGAGCCACCATGCCCAATCCAAACTTATTTTTCTTCTAACATTTTTTCTCCCCCAGACCTTCTTATATCCCTCTCTAATTTGAGTTTACAGTCATTAGAGATTTATTCTTTTACTAATTGATGCTCTGAGGCCCTGTCCTATGCCATGCTCTGCTCTAGGTGTTGAGACATTAACGGGGGCCAGATCAGTGAGGTTCCTGCCCTCAGAGAGCCTTCCTTCTGATGGGCAAACCAGCAATGCACCAATTAACATGAGAAAGACTAAGATAAGTTCCTATGGTGATAAGGGCTTTGAGGAAAGTAAAGTAAGTTGTTTGGGGCAGGCCTGGTGGCTCATGCCTGTAATCCCAGCACTTTGGGAGGCCAAGATGGGCGGATCACCTGAGGTCGGGAGTTTGAGACCAGCTTGACCGACATGGCAAAACCCCGTCTCTACTAAAAATACAAAATTAGCGGGGCGTGGTAGTGCCACGCCTGTAATCTCAGCTACTTGGGAGGCTGAGGCAGGAGAATCGCTTGAACCCAGGAGGTGGGGGTTGCGGTGAGCCGAGATTGTGCCATTGCACCCCAGACTGGGCAAAAAGAGTGAAACTCCATCTCAAAAAAATAAAAAATAAAAAAATAACTTGTTTGGGGAGCAACTCAGAGTGAGGAGTATGAATTCAGATTAAGAAAAAATAATCTATGAATCTTAAACTGAAACTAAATAAGAAACTAAATGATAAAAAAAAAAAAATCTATGAATCTTAAACTGAAACTAAATGATAAGAAGCCAGTCTTGAAGATATGGGAGCAGAGTATCCAGACAGAAGACACATCAAGTACAAAGGCAGGAGAGGACTTGGTGTGTTTAAGGAATAGGGATAGAGACAGTGTGGGTAAAGCATGATGAACAATGGGGAGGGGGTGAAAGACAGAATTGGAGAAACCGGCAGGTCTCCTCTAGGCTCTGGTAGGCTGTGGCAAGGTATTTGGATATCATTTTAAGAAGCCATTGGAAGGTCTGAAGAACTGAGTGACATGATACTATTTATATTCTAAGAAAGTTATTCTGGCTGCGTGTGGAGAATGGATTGCATTGGAGGGGAAGTGGAGAGTGGGGTTGACTAAGGCCTATTGCAGCAGTAGAGCCAAGAGGCCAGTGTGGCTGAGGTCAGGGTGGTAGCAGGGGCATGAGAAGTCAATGAATTTGAGAAGTAGTTCAAAGGAAAATCTAATGGATTTGTTGTTGGTTTGCAGGTTTGGAGGTGAGGGAATAAGAAGTTAAAGGAAGCAAAGAGGATTTCAGATTTCAGGACAAGGGATTAGGACTAGGACTAGTGGCATTAACTGAAATAGAACCTGGGTTGGAAGGGAATTTGTGTGTGTGTGTGTGTGTGTGTGTGTGTGTGTGTGTGTATGTGTGAGTGAGAGAGAGAGAGATGGAGAGAGACAGACTCTCCTGGTTTCTTTCTAATCCCACAAGCCTGTCCTCAGTCTTCCTTGCTAACTCCCCCTCCTTTACTTGACTTCTAGATTTTGGACTGCACTGCTGGAGATCAGTTCCAGGCCATGTGCAAATCTCTCTCTATGAAAGAGAGAGAGAAGGAATCAAGAATTTTGTTTGACCATGTAAAGTTTCTGATGCCTTGTAGACATCCAACATGTCAAGGAAGCAGCTGTCTATATGGGTTTGGCACCAGAGGAGTGGTTGGTATGAAAGTATCAATTTGGGAGAGTCTTTGGCACAGCCATTGGTCTTAGTAAGATCCCAGAGAGCATAGAGGGAGACTTGCACATAACCTAGAGCTGATCCCCAGCAGTGCCATCCAACATTTGGAAATCAAAAGAGGAGTTAGCAAAGAAGATTGGGGAGGGGCTTGTGGAATTGGAGAAAAACCAGCAGAGTCTAGAATTACTATGGAAAACCAAGAGAAGGAAGTAGTCCAACAAGGAAAGAATGGTCAACTGTATTGAGCTAAAAGGGTAAATGAGATGAGACTAAAAGAGTGACTATTGGCTGGGCGTGATGGCTCACACCTGTAATCCCAGCACTTTGGGAGGCGAAGGCAGGCGGATCACAAGGTCAGGAGATCAAGACCATCCTGGCTAACACGGTGAAACCCCGTCTCTACTAAAAATACAAAAAATTAGCCGGGCGTGGTGGCGGGCACCTGTAGTCCCAGCTACTTGGGAGGCTGAGGCAGGAGAATGGCGTGAACCCAGGAAGTGGAGCTGGCAGTGAGCCAAGATCGCGCCACTGCACTCTAGCTTGGGTGACAGAGCGAGACTCTATCTCAAAAAAAAAAAAAAAAAAAGAGTGACTATTGTATCTGGAAATAAGGAGGTTACTGCTGGCCCTAAGAAAAGCATTGGCCTTCCTTAAATTGGGGTATATTAAAGAAGAAAAATGGAGTGTCAAAAATGGAGACAAATTATGATGAAAAATGACAAAATGGGACAGTAGCTGGAGGAGGATATGAGATAAATTAAGGGTTTGCCTTAAGTATGTTTGCTGATGGAGAAAGTCCCCTGGATGTAAACTGATGATGTAGGTGATACAACAATGAAGGAGCAGAATAAAAGACAGTTCGTGCTTGAATCAGAAGGAAAATGAGAGAGTGGAATAGGTGTGGATATATAAAGATGGGAAACTTTCTGTCTAAGTGCTTCTATTTTCCTAGTGATCTATAGGTAAAAACATAAACTGAGGGAGTGTGAGTGGAGGTTGATGACTTTTGATTGCCTCTGTGTGAAGAAGAGTGGAAACCACATAGCCATGGACATGGGCATTTTACTTCACTTTAAGAATTGACACAGGCAGTCATTTATATAAGGGCATAGGTGGGGTGAGGATGATTCTGAGTGGGGAACATGAATTGGCTTTAAGCCTACTGAGGAACCCACCTGACTGCTAATGCAAGCAGAGAACGGCATTGCATAACTCTGCATAACGCTGGGGACTGGGGAACCTCTAGGATGACTGTAGTTGATATTCCTGTCAGCTCAGTAGAATTAGAACTTAGAAGCAGTGCCAGCACGGTGTGTTCTGTCAGAGGAGAGCTAAGAATCAATGCAACCCCCATGAGAGGACTCTGTGCAGGAGATGGGAAGGCCTGTGGTCCCCTGGTAGGATTTGGCAATGTTGATAGCTACTTTTCTAGTTCAGGCAAACTGAAACCAATTTTCTACAAAGGCAGAGGTCTTAGGGTCTGAATGGAAGCTGTTGACCCAGCCAGGGCTGCCTTGAGAATGGTCAGAAACATCAGCCTATATGGGTGGAAGGAATGGGCTGAGATTCCAAAGATACATGTGGTTCTAGCAAGATAGAGTAATGGATTTGGGTGCGAGGCAAGGGTGAGTGGAGCTTGGAGACAATTCCCTGAGTCAGTGGAACAGGAGGAAGGGAGGCTTTTAAAGGATGGTTGTCCATGTGAAGGAAGAGAAGTGTTAGGCGTGCTGAGTTGTTTCAGATAGACAAAAGTGAGGCAAGACTACTTTTCTAGAAGGATTCCTGGGGAGGACGTGGGTTTTGAGAACAGGAGCCAGAAAATAGAAACAGATAGTAAACTCAGAAAAAACTAGTTAGGAAGGGGTAGGAAAGAGTTTCTGGGGCCAAGATCCAGGAACTGAGAGGATGCTGACCTTACCAAAGTTGAAAGATGTTTGCAGGCTTATGAATCAGTTAGGCCTAACCCATTTGGTCTATGATTAGAAGTCGAGGTTCGCTACTTGGCACCATATGAACTTGAAGCTTAAGTCTGTGAAGAATAAGCCAAATTCAAAAATATTCCTCAGCTTGGCCATAAATCTTAAAGCTGGAGCTATATCCAGTAGCCCCACTGTGATACTAAAGCTAAATTATACATTGAGTCCTAAGCTTGGAATACTGTGATTTTTCTGTCTCAGACAGGTGTTCATTAAAGGTCACTTGGCAACCCCTGAAACATAGACTTTCACACTTTAATAGCTGACAGCTTGAACTCATTTCCCTCTGTCAATGCTCTGGATTTTGGCTTCAGGCTCAAAGTTGGAAACATGGGGAAAAATGACTCTGTTTGTTACTATGTACTTGGTAGTTCTTTTTTTCTAATTTTTTCATTATGAAAGTGATAGATTGTTATTAAAAAGGTGAAGAAAATATATAAAAACTGGAAGTGTAAAAGCATTCCCAGTTCAATCCATCCACCGAACTTAGTTATTTGTTAATATTTCAGTATTTTCCTTCTAGTCTTGCTTTCTACATAGAGAGGCATTTCTAACTTAACTAAGGTCACACTGGATACATGATTATATACCCTGAATTTTTATTTAATCTTATGTCATAAACATTTTCCAGATGAGCATATTTTTAAAAACTTTTAATTTGAAAAATTTTAAAACTACAAATTGCAAAAATAGTACACTAAACATCCATTTCTCTATATTCATCAATTGTTAATATTTTGCAACAGTTGCATTATCTTTATCTTTACTATATATACAATATTATTAATATTTTTTCTTTTTCTGAATCATTTCAGATTGAGTAGAAGACTTTATGATCCTTTATGCCTAAACATGTTGGCGGGTATCTCCTAAGAACAAGGCATTCCCTGTATAATAACAAGGGTGATCAGATTTAGGGCATTTAATATGGATATCATACAAATTTTTATTTAAATTTTGCCATTTGCTTCAATGTCTTCTATAACAATGTTTTCCCCAACAAGATTCTATCAAGTGTAGCACATTGAATTTAGTTGGCACGTCTCCTTGGTCTCCTTTAATCTTAAAGGGCTCCACAGTTGTCTTTTGGTTTGTATGAATTAACATTTTTTCAGAGTATAGGACTGTTGTTTGGTAAAATGATGCTAAATTGGTATTTATATGATTATTTCTTCATAAATAAAGAGTCCACTAGGTGTATATAGCATGATTTACCTAAAGATTAATGCATAAACTTTCTAGTTTCCATTTGTTTTATATTATAAAGTTGTGATGAACTTTTACTTAGAGTGTTTTAGGAAATGTTTCTTTAACATGAAGTCTTAGAGACCATCTGTAGTCCCAGCTATTGCTTGAGCCCAGGAGTTTAAGTTTGCAGTGGGCCATGATCACACCACTGCACTCCAGCCTAGGTGACAGAGAGAGACCCTGTCTTTAAAAGAGTTGTTTTCTATTTCTTTAAAGATAAGCTCTCAAGGGTGAAATTCCAAGTTCAAAGTACAGGGACATTTGGAATGCTCTTGATACTTTGCTAAATTGCTTTCCAAAAGGGTTGTGCTGGCCTACAATGGTGCTCAGAGAGGCCTGCTTGAAATATTTGTTCAAAACAAGCTCTGTCCATATATTCTACATTATTTGAAATTTCTTTTCTTCTTTACATCCTATTGACTTGTTTTACAGGCATCAGATTTCCAGAATTCTTCCCTTAACCTCAGCCCTGTGTACTGTACTTTACGTTTTGTTTGTATTCTTAATAATTAAGATTTTTGGCTGGGCGCAGTGGCTCACGCCTGTAATCCCAACATTTTGGGAGGCCAAGGTGGGTGGATCACCTGAGTTCAGGAGTTCAAGACCAGCGTGGCCACCATGGGGAAACCCCATCTCTACTTAAAAAAATACAAATATTAGCCGGGTGTGGTTGTGAGTGCCTGTAATTCCAGCTACTCAGGAGGCTGAGGCAGGGAGAATAGCTGGAACTTGGGAGACAAGGGTTGCAGTGAGCCGAGATCACACCACTGCCCCACCAGCCTGGGTGACAGAGCAAGACTCTGTCTCGAAAAATAAAAATAAAAATAATAATAATTAAGATTTTTTTTCTTGAACTCTAAATATTAGTCTCATTGTCATTGAGCTCATAAAATAATCACATTATAGAGATGGGAAGGAGTTCGAATGTGCCTGTATATTCAACCTACCCAGAGAAACATTCATTTCACCCTACCTACAGCCACATGACATCAGGGTGATCAAAGATTTGGATGTGGTTCTCTTAAAACCCTCTATGACAGACGTAGTTACTGCTAGATAAATGTTCACATTCCCAGTCCCATTGCAGAAAATCTGGGTCATATGATTAGTTCTAATGAATGAACCACAAGTAGAAGTGATGTGTGTCATGTCTTTAATGAAAAATTTAATAGTGTGTGACCTCCTCCTCCTCATCCCTCAGCTCTCTACCCCTTTATCTGTGATTATGGAAACCACGTGCAGATATGATGGGGTCAAAATGTAAGGTATACCCTGCATTGTCGAGGTCAGCCTACCTGAAAGATGGTTGCTTGGGAATTGGCTAAAGATGGTAATACAGAGGATTTATGGATTAGCCACAATGCTGCCATGGATACAAGGAGGAAATGGGGGAGATACGTGCTCTCTCTAATTAATGTAGAGTAGGCATAAAGAAGAGATCAAAATTTCATGATAATTCAAGATTAAAATTTTTCCAAGTTGATGTTACCTTTTTGGAGTTTACCTGGTGATATTCAAAATAAGGCCTTGAATTAAATTAGGCATCAACATCGTGATTCTATAGAAAAGGAAACTGAGGCTAATGACTTGTCCAAGGATCTGACTCCAAAACATGTTCTCTTTTCTGTTATACCCTCCTGAGCAGAAACTCAATGAATGCAGAGCATAGTCAGTAGTAGAAATACTTAGCAGAGAATTAGAAACATCTTTCTTCAGTCCAACAAAATCCCAGGGCAAAACCTACCATTACTTTTATTTCTTTGTAATTTTGAAGGAAATACAAAGTACATAAAGAAAAAAAAAATGGGAGCAATATAAAACCGCAAAAGCCATGTTTTCTACTAGCTTACGGGATTCCAGTTCTTTCCTCAGATGATGTTCCTGGGAGTCAGGAAAGGAAAGCCTGGATTCCTTTTAATGTCTTGTAAAAAGCTAGAAAATTTATCATTTTTTCTGATATTTTTTCTAAATATAGACAATACATTCATGCTTTGCGAGATGGTCATCTGCTTTTTTTTCTTCTCTCAAAGAAATGATTATCTCCCTACCTTTGTCAACATTTGTAAGCTGTGCTCTTAACTTATTAAGAGAACTATACAGTTAAGGGCCTCATCTATTTTTCTGTTATTTCATCTAGTCACTGGTTGAGAGAGAAGGCAATTGAAGGCAAATGTCCCTTCTTGCCTTTTGAGTTCAGCGTACTTCAAAAGTTCTTTCCAAAGTGATATAGTTGCACTGAGCCAGACATTACGCACATAACGAGACTCTCAAAAAGGCTGCACCTGACAGTCCATGTAGCAGGAGGACATCGGCATGATGGGAGCCCATTGAATGTTGTACAAGCACAATTTCCATGTGAGAGCTTTTCATTGTTGTGAGTGGACTCCATACCAACTGTAAACTTAGATCTCATTTAAGGACAGTACATTATAGGAGTACAGATGTTCAAGAGGCCCAGCAGACAGCTGCACATGTTGGAAGTTGAAGATGAGGAATGCCATATTGCATATCTCCAAGAGCATAGATGACCAGTTTGTATGGAAGAGAAGTCAGAGCCTATGTGTCTGTAAGTGAGGACACTTGCAGACATCAGTTTAAAGGTATCTGTTTCTCCTCATGGGCTTTGATTTGCAATGATTGTGACAGATTCCATTATTGGTCAGCAAATATTTCCCACTTCTGCCACTTCCATGAGAAGGATATATATACTTCACTGTCCCAGTGGTATTGGGCTTGGCTAGGATGACTTGATTTGAGTTGCCATGTGCAAATTCCAAGCCTAGTCTTTAAGAGGCATCATATGTTCCCTTTGTCCCTGTTGCATTTCTGCCATCACCATGAAAAAGATACCCCCTGGGTATCCTGCTGGTCCTAGAATAATGAGATATATGGAGCAGACTGGGACCTGACTCATACCCTGAGGCCAAATTCTGCCTGGTCCAGCCTGGATTGGCCAAACTCCAGGTGTATGAATGAGAAATAGGTACTTATCATATGTTGCTAAGATTTTGTGGTTGTGAATAGCATGGCAACAGCTCATTTATTCACTGATTAAAGTTTGTCTGCCTTTTCCCAAACTTACCGGCTTATGGATACAGACAGGGTCACAGAACAATTAATATCTCATATTTTGTTCATTGTTGCACCTGCTTTTTCCCCAAAGGCTCAGCTCCCTGCCCCAGATATTTATGAAAACCTCCAGGGACTGAATGTGTAATCACAAACCACGTCAGAGCAGCTTCACTCATGTCTTCCAGACATCCATAGCATCTTGCCCAACGGGAACTGGTGTTGCCCTAAGTACATGAGCTTAGGTCAGGGCTATGTCCACATAGAAGAGCTGAAAATGAGCCTTTCCCCAGTCCGTGTGATAATTTTGTCATTAGGGCCCTGAAGCAGTACTATATATGTCTGTGTGTCATGGATGGCTTATGAAAGTGAGCTGTTTAAGTTTAGCAATATATGAACAGGTATGACTTGCCTGTGAGACTGCTGTGTGCAGCTCCTACCATCACCACTTACTAATCCCACCAATTGAACAAGTTGCTTCACCTCTGCAAACCTCAGTTTTCTCATCTGTTACATGTATTAAACATGTCTATTACCAGGGGTTTCTCTGAGGATCAAATGAGAGAATGCATGCCAAATGTGCAGCATTGGAAATACTCAACAATGTTGGTCATTATCTTCTCTCCCCTGTTGAGATTTGTAAAAGCAGTCATTAATTGCATTCCTCCTATTCTACCTATTTCTAATCCAATTTAGGAAAGCACAAAAGAAGTAGTTCGCACAGTGATCCAGAGGTTCGGCTCTGGCAGCAGTTGGCCTGGGTATGACCTTGGACAAGTTATGTAACATTTCCTGCCTCAATTTTCTCAACCACTAAGTGGAGATAATAACAATATAAGTTTCCTATTGCTGCAGTAACAAATTCCCTCAGACTCAGTGGCTAAAAATACCACAAATTGATTATCTTACAATTCTGGAGATCAAAAGTCTGAAGTGAGCCTTACTGGGATAAAATCAAGGTGTTTGCAGAGCTATGTTTCCTTTCTAGATGTTCTAGGGGAGAATCTGTTTTCTTGCCTTTTCCGGCTTCCAGAAGTCCCCTGTATTCCTGGGCTCATAGGTCCCTTCCTCCATCTTCAAAGCCAGCAATGATCAGTCACAAGTGTTTCTCATGTTTCTTTACTCTGCAACTAACTCTTCTGCCTTTCTTTTCCATTTTTAATGACCTCTGTGAGTACACTGGGCACACATGAATATTCTGATATAATCTCCTTATCTTAAGGTCAGCTGATTAGCAATCTTAATTTCTTAATTCCCCTCTTGCCACGCTATGTAATACATTCACTGGTTCTGAGAATTAGGATGTGGACATCTCTGTGAGCCTATTATCCTGTCTTACTATGTACCTCATAGGATTTTAGATGATTAAATGAATTAATACATGTAAACCATTTGGAATCAAGTCCGGCACATAATAAACATTATCTAAGGATTGGCTATTAGTATTTTCACACAAAAGTCAAGAGTATCAGTGTTATTGATAAAAAGCTAGATTTCAGAGTGTGAGATACAGACAAGGGACCAGATGGGCTTCTGTACTGTCTCCTCTGAATTGAATGTATACATCCAGTCAAAGACAGAACCCTTGGGCATATTTAGGCTTTTCTCTGCAAGGGGGGGTCCTTCCCACAGGGCTCACTGAATGAAGAAAGGACAGGTGAACAGACACAGAGAGAGGCACATGCAGCTGCAATGACACTTTCCCTTGTCTCACCACCAGAATAGTCACCTCTCCTCTGTGGGAAGGAAATAAGAGAAAAATACCTCTGGGAGAGTAGAAGATATTATATTATGGATGAGCAGGAATTCAGGGACAGGAAAAAAGCTTTTTGTCCAATGAGTCCCTAAGGCCAGGTTGGAAAAGAACTGTTGTTGTCTTTATCTCCACATCTCTTCACCCAGCTGCTTGTGATTGAACCTGCTGTTGCCACCTTCAGATCAGGTAGAAGGTTTTATGCAAAACACTTCACTTAAATTGCCTCTCTTGAGTTAGCCCTGTTAGTTTGTACAAGTGTCCAGACACTGCTAAACACCAGCTATGACAGCCTATGTTCAAGTTGAGATGCTTGAGACCAGGGAAATATAATGTCAGTGTTTGGACCATTAGAGCCATGGTCCCCTTCCTGCCCCTCTTATTTCCTTCTCCCTTCCTTCCTTCTTTCATCCCTTCTTCTTTTCCTTCCTTCCTTGTCACTGTTTCTCTTTTCTTGGTTGAATATATTGACAAGAATTTGTTAAAATACAAACTATACCCCACAGCATGTGTAGGTTTAGAAACAGAAGCACTTTTGTTTGATTTAGGTTTGTCGTAAACTTCTGTTAGGGAGAGAGATATCAAAATGTAATAGCCATGTCAAAAACTATTGTTTGAGAGAACAATGGGCCAAAGATAAGAACAAAGAATCTTGCGGAAAATTCATTTTCAGTTTTATTACATCAGTTTACAAACTATCACAATCTCTGACTATGGTCTGTTTTTGTTACACTGTAATCTAAACCATGACTATTCAAAAGTTGGGGTTTGCATTTCAGATAGGAAAACAAACTCATAACAAAACACTGTGACATCAAGGGATATCTTATATCTTGAATTGAATGAAAAGAAAACTCTAGCTTATGGTGGAGAACAAAGGAGAAGCAAACTTTTTTCTTAGTTCAGATTTTGTTGATTAATTACCAAGATGAAAGCTTTTTTCTAAAAAATAATTTACCAGGTGGTAAATTTTATTTTCTAAATCAGCACAGAAAAGGGAACTATTCTATAATATCTAAAAAATATAAAGTGTTTTTATGCCTGAGGCATTTTCATAGTTTGCATTTAATTATAGAAGAATCCCTTCTTACAGGGATAGACATAATATGGGCTTCATATTTACCCTTCTCAAAAATGGTAGCTGTTATGGACTGAATGCATATGTGCTCCAAACATTCACATATTGAAGCCCTAAGCTCCGGTGTGGCTGTATCTGTTGTAAGGACATAATAAGGTTAATTTAGGTCATAAGGATAGGGCCCTGATTTGATAGGATTCGTGCCTTTTTAAGAAGAGATTTCAGAAAGCACTATTTTTCTCCTTGTTTACAAGAAGAGGTCATGTGAGCACACAGTGAGAAGGCAGCCATCTGCAAGAAGACAGCCCTCACTGGAAGCTGACCATGCAGGCATCTTGACCTTGGACTTCTGGCCTCCAGAACTGTGAGAAAATAAATTTCTGTTTCTTTAACAGAAATTTATGTTGTGGCATTTTGTTATGGCAGCCAGAGCAGATGACAACAGTGGCCAAGGCAGATTATCCTCCTGGATATAGCCTCTGCAGCAGGCTTTTCTCTTTAGCCTCAGTTGTGGTGTGTGTGTGTGTGTGTGTGTGTGTGTGTGTGTGTGTGTGTCTGGGCAGAAGTCTTAAAAGCTAGGGGACAGTTCAATACCTTCTCTTCACCCTTGTGGGTGACTGTGGAAGCATGTGTTGAGATGGAGTTAGTGTCTGCCTTCGATCCTGAGGGACTGGATGAGCAGACCACCTCCATGCTAGACAAGCAGCATGAGAGGGAGAATGGGATGTTTGCTATCCAGATAGAGGCACTGTCTCAAAGATGTCATTGCAGAACACAGATAACAAGGATGTTATTTTGTGGTTTTCAGATTCAAAAGTCTAGGGCCCAGGTACACAAACAGCATATTTGAAAGACCAGCTGGAGATCCAGGCTGTCCTTTGCCAGACTAAATAAGGAATAGTTGGACTTAAAGAAAAAAAATATGGAGCATCTTGGAGAAAGCAAAGAGTATACATGCCAATGTATCCCTGAATCTTCTTCCCCTGTCTGTGTCTCTGGGAGATTGGAGGTTTTCCTGGAAACCCCAGAGAGTCTTGGAGTTTCAAGATTTGAAGGGATCTGTGTCCCATTTGTAGAAAAACCCTGCACTTATCTAGATGAGGAGTAGATTATGTTCTGCAAAGTATGTCTAGAACTGAGTCACTTCAGAGTTCTCAACCCTTCAGTGACACAGATCAAGAGAAGAGGCCTGCATGCCCAATAGAGGCATCGAAACAGTAGAAGATGTGGAGGGGAGGCCTGGCTGGCCTGATGAGGCCTTCTTTCTGGGAGTGGGGGCGGGTGTAACAGCTCTGTGATCAGCATAGCCCACAAGGCCTCTCCTGCTCCAGCGGCACCTACTTCTCCAGGAGCATTCCCCATCATTTACATGCCCTGTTTTAGCCCAAGTAAGTTGCTTATGCTTCCCAAGCTGTTCCATGACGTGTGTGACTTGCATTTGCTGTCCCTTCTACCTGACATTCCATTCCCATTCTTTGTTTCATTGAGAAATATTGATTCATCCATCGAGATGCAGCTGATTCGTCACCACATCTGTGAAGCATTTCCTATTCATTGGTCTCATTAGTCATTCTTCCTTTATGCTACCAATGTCCCGAACTCTTACCTTTATCCAACAAAATTAAACAAATGTTTGTGGAATACACACTATGCGGTGGACACTCTGTTCACCAGATTAAAAACTAGTGGACACAGCAAATAGGGTTCTACCTCTAAGGGCCTCATTCCAGTTACAATTGCTCCATAGCAAATCACCACAAAACTTAGTGCAACAGCAACCTTCTTGAATCTTGGGACTTCTGTGGGTCAGGAATTCAGGAAGGCCCTAGCTGAGTTGCTAGCATGGAGCCCTCATGGACTGCAGTTAAATGGTGGCTGCAGCTGGAGCAGCAGGGGAAGAGGGCATATTGGAGCATCTGTCAGCTGGCCAAGTATCTCCCTCTTTAGTGCAGTCTCAGAGCTTCTCCATGTGGTTTCTCTGCATGGCCTAGTTTGGGTTTCCTTGTGGCATAGCAACCTCAGCACAGTCCAACTGCTTATGTGGCAGCTGAAGACTTCAAGACTGAGTACTCCAGAAGACAAGGCAGAAGCTACTTGCCTGTAAAATTCAGCCTTGGAAGTCACAGTGTCACTTCTGCTGCATTCTCTTACCTATCATTGAGTCACTGGCCTGTCCAGATTTAAGGGCAGAGGAGTTAGATTCTACCTCTTGATAGGGAATTGCAGGTTCAAGAAGAGAATGTGGGATTGGAAATATTATTAGAGCCATCTTTGGAAGACAAAACTCTCTCAGTTTTGGCTAGCATTTACCATACTCTGATGCATGCCCATTTCCATATTCAGATCATAAGCTTGTTGAGGGTATGAATTAGAAATTATTTCTTATTTGTTCCTAAAACTTAGCACAATGTCTGGAAGAGAGAAGGCTCTCTCTCTCTCTCTCTCTGTCTATATATATATATATATATATATATATATATATATATATATATATATATATGTAGTGCATATGGAATGAATAAATGAATTTTCCATTTTTTGTCCAAGTCTAGAGAATCCTTATTTCTAAAAATAGAAATTATGTCTATTATTTTAATTAAGATAATGAACAGTTTTGCAAGGATAATTTAGTTCCTCAAAGTAGCACATTTTCTAATTTTCCAATAGAGTTATTTTCTTAGCTATCTGTATTAGTCAGTGTTCTCCAGAACAGAATATGTATACACACACACACACACTGCACACATACATGCACATACCTAAACAGAGGCAGGCAGGGAGGGAGGGAGGGAGAGAGATAGAGAGAGAGAAAAGAGAAGAGAAGAGAAGAGAAGTGATTATAAGGGTTGGCTACATGATTATGGTGGTGAGAAATCCCACCCTCAGCAAGCTGGAGAACCAGGAAAGCCAGTGGTATAATTTAGTCTGTCTGAAGGCCTGAGAGCCATAAGAACCAATGGTGTCCTGAAGTCCCAAGGCCTAAGAACCAGAAGTTCTGATGTCAGAAGGCAGGAAAAGATGAGTGTCCCACCTCACAGAGAGAGAGAGAGAGAAAAGTCACCCTACCTCTGCCTTTTTGTTCTTGTTGGGCCCTAAACAGATTAGATGATGTGTGCTCATATTAGTGTTAGTGAGGGAGGATCTTCTCTACTCTGTCTACTGATTCAAATGCTAATAATCTCTTCTGAAAACACTCTCATAGACACACTCAGAAATAATGTTGCATCAGCTATCTGGGCATCCCTTAGTCCAGGCAAGTTGACACATAAAATTAACCAACACGCTATCAAAGTCAAGTTTCTCTAAAATATGTACAGTAAACTCAATGCGGGCACAAAATTTGTTTTTCTCACGTAGTGTTTCTAAGTACTCTACTTCTTAATGTTAAAACACCTCAACTTTGGGAATTTTGGCTTCCAGATGAGAAATGTTAGGGCCCTTCAAAGGGTCAAGATTTCAATAAAACTTAGGCTTCCCCAGAACAATTCAGGTCTGGGTACTTTGATAGTTTGGAGCACCAAATTTATCTCTCCCTAGGATCACATAGCTCTGTACCCTTTGAAGCCACATGAGTGATACTCTGTATTCTTACTTCTGAATGGTGCTTTAGCAACTTCCATATACCAAGAATTTGCTGGAGTGACTTTGTTGAGAACAAATCCAAAATATTCCCAAATGCAGTTTGCCATCACAGTTAGATTGAAGGATATCAACCTGTGCTTTATGCTACATGTGCATTTTAGTCAGCTCCTTTCATGTACAAAGAATGATCCTGGGTTAAACACCCATCTCATTATTTATGAAAAACTACACACAGATGAAATAGGATTAATACTGGATATTTGTGTAGTGATACCAAAAGCAGTAGTTATTTGCAGAGCTTCCTTTGGTAGCTTTTTTGTTTCCTTGTTCTATCCATGTTTTGTTTGGGGTACACAATTTTCTTATATTTATCATGTTGTATTATTATTACAACCATATATCATATAAATTACAAATATTGATGATAGCTTCCATTATTGAGGTCTTATCCTAAGCACTTTATTTGCCCATCTCAGCTGATGCTCACAAATATTCTGTTAATATTCTCTTCACTATTTTGGAGTTCAGGGGTGTTAAAACTTATCCATGGTTATAGAGGCAGCAGAGCTGGACTCAAACATTCCTATGTCTGATTCCAAAGTGTTTAAGGGCCAGAGTTTTTTCTGATCTTTTGAGGGAATTGTGAGTATCTGGGGAAGATCCTCAGTCCCTGCATATGCAGCCTCTATTGCAACAGGCTTTTCTCTGATGATCGGCTTCTGCTTATTTGTTCACCTGTCTCTATGACAATCTTGTTGCTTAGTAGAGGCAGGTTGAGATGGCTTCCCATTGAGAGCCCAACTGTTACTCACTGCTGTGGATGTTGGTAGCTGAGGGTGGCAGACCTGGAACCAGGGAGTGCATGAGCTGGGGTCACTTGGCAAGCTGCCTCAGAAGTCAACAGGAGAGAACATGCAAAATCATTCAGTGTAAAGAGCTTGGGGCATGGAGAGAGAAAACCATGCTTTGAGTCTTTATTCATCTTGCAGCTGCATGATCCTGAGCAAATCACATAGCCCCTCTGAGTCTCGATTTTCTCATTTGAAACAGGAGTTAATGATACTTGTTTTGCCTTCCTCTCTGGGTTATTGTGAAAATCAAATGACTTTATCTTGGAAGAAATTGCTTTGTGAATTGTAAAGTTTTACAAAATGTTGGGTTTTTTTTGTCAGGGAAGATCAGCAGAGTGGTCTCCCTCAGGAAGAAGGCTGCCATGGAAAAAGGGGATACTGCAAGATGACGTAGGAGGAGATAGGTTCCCGAGGACTGCAGCTACTGGGGAAGATTTTCGAGATATGGTGTTTCGTTGTCGTAGCTGGGAAGAGGGGAGGGAGAGTGAAGTGGAATGATACACTGGAGATGAAAAAGCAAAGCAGCAAAGACATTATGAGAGTGAAATTTTTACCGGTTGTAAGTTGGAAAAAAAAATAGAAACTTTGTCAACATATGAAAAAAATATCAAAGAACATGTAGTACATTCGTTTGTTCCTTAAAATATTTTTAGATGCCTACTCTGCACATATCACATGAATTATTGAAGGAACATATTTAGATAGCTGTTTACATAAATTAATTTGATAACTGCTTAAATAAAAAATTAATTTGATAACTGTTTAGATGCATATTTAGAAATTATGTGATTTTAAGTTTGCCGACCTCAAAAATTCCCAATATTCTGTTTCTTACGTTTGTGCATTACATGGAAAGGAAGCCAGAAAAGGAGAAATCAGGATGTGGTGAAATATGCATTGTTTCTGGTGTCTGAGGATTGAGTCACTCCCTGGCTCTTGACCTTGCACAGAGGACTTTTCCTCTCCAAACTTAACTTTTCCCACCTGAAAAATATGGGTGATGATGCTTGTTGAGGCTGTCAGGAGAATAAATGGGATTATAGAACTGTGTTTGGCAAGTGATATACAGTCAACAAATGCTAATACTCTCTGCTGTGAAGGCTGGTGGCTTGATATGGCATGAAGTAAGCCCCTAACCATAATTGGTCCCACTTGATTCTATCCTCCTTGGAGCTCCCAATAGTCTTGTCATCATTGGCCACACTGGGGCAGTAACTATAAAGCTAACTTCTCTTTTGAGCAAGAGCCATAGATTAAAAAAATGTATCTTTCCTTGTCACTGTGCTTAGAGTTCAGTTGCAAATTCAGGGCTGATTTCTGCCACCTGGAGAGCTTTAATGTGTAATCTTAGATGGGTCTGTAACACCCCAGAGCCAATACACTGAAGATCTAATCCAATCTGTTCTCTCCATAGAGAGAAAGCAGAAACAATGCAGCCAAAGGGCAAAGATCAAGAGCCCTCTGTGTTTCTGAGATAGGGCTTTTCTTGCATAAACCAGAGGCTCTTTTGTATGTCTGCCTGCCTGTCATTCCTTTGTAGCCTCAAGGGCTTTTACCTGGCATTTCACTTGTTTTTATGAACCAGATAGTGATTCAGTGGCATTATGTGTTACCCACTGATCCCAGGATTTAAGCAGTGGATATGGCTGGCTGTATAAATATCTACTTTCTCCCTGTACTAGTCAGAATAAGCTAATTGCTGTAACAAATAATCTCCATATTTTTGTGGCTTAGAAAAATTTGTTTTATTTCTTGCCAATGTAAAGACAAATTGGGTTTTCCTGGCCAGTGAACAGCCTTCCATTGGTCACTTTAGGATTCAGGCTCCTTTAGTCTCATGGTTCTGCCTTTCTCTAAGGCTTTGGAATCCTCTTCATTCATCCATGGAGCAAGGAGGAGAATGAGATATTGCATATGGCAGGATAGCAGGCAGGGCCACACACATATATCCTTGGCCCCTTCCATTCAGTGCATGCCGGTTTCACTTCCAACACCAGGAACATCACCTGCATCTCTTTCCTGAGAAGTTTCTCTGGCCATGTGAACCTTCTCTGCTCATATGCAGAGCAAGCCAGAAGTGCCCAGAAACTAATTCATAGCCACCAAATAATGACCAATGATGGTTGGTATATAAATATCCCACATCAAGGGTCATTAGACTCTTAGGTGGAGGTGGAATGAGGGAAATCTATGCTGTTTACCAGTTTCCTGTAGGATTAAGCTCCAGTTGCCTAGAATGATAACTTTCTTAATTATACATCCTTTACTGGCTTCCTTCCCCAATTCTTTTTTTCACTCCTCCATTGGCATTTCCTGAGGTCATCTTCCAAATAAACTACTTGTACTCTCATCCTTATCTTATGATCTACTTATGAGGTAACTGAAACTAAGACAGGAGGTTTTTATGGGCCAGGCCAGGAAGGGGTGTGCCTTTCTTCCCTTTACATGCTGATGATCAGAACAAAGGAAGGTGATCTCACCTCACTACACAGGGAGATGGAAATAGAATTGGCTATCTGCTTAGGATAAGGAAGATAGAGTTTTGATGAGTAGCTAATTCTCTTTTGTAGATGAGGACACTGAATCTCAGAGATATTCAATAACTTGCTCACATTCCCACAGTGAGTGAGGGGTAGACCTGAGAATGGAATTCCATTAACTCCAAAACATTTGCTTTACCAGTTATACAAGAAGGGAGGTGTGGCTGACAGAGATGCACTTACAGCTGAGTAGGGGCTGCTCCCTTTATACGGGCCGGCCACACACTCTCAGTTCAAGATGGTCTTTCTCATTCTCTGTTGTCTGACACTCCTCCCACTTACACATTTACATGGTTTTTTGGTACTCTAGGTATTTTCCTAGGTGACCCTAGCACCATGAGGTGTTGCCTCAAATCCTAAGTGCAGTCGCTCCATCATGCTAAAAATCTAATAGCAATGGGGTACTGTGTAATAATGAACCAGTAATATCACATGGGACTATCATGGATTATGTCAAGGAATTTACAAGTTAATACTAGAAGTAGATATGTAAGAAAACAATTTTATCACAGAAATAAGTAGACAAAAAAGATCTGCAGAAGGTATTGTAGTAGGACAAAAGAGAGAGTGGCCAACTCTGCTTGGGGAGTTTAGGAAGATAACAGAGAGCAAGATGCTTGAGCTGGGTCTTGAAAAATGAGTTGGGGTTTGCCAGGTTGAGGGAACAGGGAAGGCTAGACAATCAGAATAAATAACATGAGCAAAGCTCTAGAAGCAGACCAGTGGTGGTTAAATGTGGTTAGAACATTAGGAACGGGGAAAGAAAATGAGCCATGAAACTGGTTTGAAAGGATGGGATCAGCTCATGAAAAATCTTGTGTGACAAACCAATAAGGGTGACCTTTAACTACTGGGCACTGGGAGAGCCATTAAAAAATTTAAATTGTTAGGAGTTTAAAGTTTAAGGGAAATATACAATTTATAAGTGTTTACATATTTGTGGATATATATATATAGTGTGTATATCTACTTTCTGCCCATCTATATGCCTACTTGCTTATCTATTTAATCTATCTATCTATCATCATCATCATCTATCTTCAGAGAAACCACTTGAAACCCCCTTTTGAGGCTTCACATCAGCAAATTTCAGTTAGGTTACACAAATTCAAATGCCTTGCTTGAGTCCATTGTTGGTATTACCCAAGGCCACACAACTGTTCTGCAACAGAGCTGCGACTTGATCACCGGTCTCTGAATACCCAACGTAGTCACATCTGCTTTCATTTTGACCTTTGGGTCAATTCAATAAGGAAAATAAGCAAGCCATATACAATGGGAGTTACAGAATGTTATTGCTAACCTTAAAAATGCTGAATGGTTTCCCAAAAACATGACTGACCATGGGAGCCTCAGAAGTCTCTACGTACCTGAACTCCTTTCTTTGCTCCTCCAAATCCTGACCCCATGTTATGTGTTCCTGTCTTGTTTCCAATCAGATTGCAGCTTTTCTCTCCTCCGGATTCCATCTCAATTTTCACTTCTAGATTCAGTTTTGTTATTTGTTATCCAGACCTGTCCCTAGGCTTAGATTTGCACCGTCCTCATTTTACTTGGAGGGAATACTCTACCCATGTTGATTCCTTGAGGGATCCATCCCTTGACTCAGGCCTCACTCCTATTGAATAATTCAGAGCACAAGGGCAGTTGATCTGGGGTTTAGAAGGTTGGGTGTTAGCCTGGCTTTGCCACTTAAATTCTGCAGTATTGCACAAGTTGTTTCAATTCTCTGGCTTCAGCGTTTTTTGTTTGCTTGTTTGTTTGGTTTTGTTTTTCATTTTTGGCAGGGAATAGGTCTAATTATCTCTAGGGTTTTGTGTTATTTAGAACCCCTATAATTGCATGTGATGGAAAACCTAACATAAACTGCCTTGAGTGATTAAGTGGATTTCACTGGCTCATGTAACTAAAAAGTACATGGTTAGAGCTGGTTTCAGACACGACTAGATTCAATGTCCAAACAATATCTCCTGTGTGTGGTTTCTCACATCTCTTGGTTCTGTCTTCTGCTGTACTGGCTTTGTTCTCAATATCCAAGTAGGATAAAAATCACTTCAGTGGCTTCAAGTCTGATATTTCTTCCTCTTCAAGTTGAAAGAAGAAGATAATGAAACTCTTTCTCAGGTTAAAAACAGAAACAAGAATCTGATTGTTTTTCATTGGTTCTCAATGGGTAAAGTGTCCATCTATGAACCAATCACAGTGGAATGGGTTGCACTGTGGTGATTGGCTTGACATTGGTCATGTTTTGCAGCACTCAGTATGATGTCTTCTAACCTTGTGGATAGAAGTGGCTGAACTGTAGATCTTTAAACAAAAACAGAGACTTGCCAGAGGAGTGGGGTGGATGCTGGGAGGCAAAGAGCAGATGCCTCTGAAAGCTCCTTCTTTCTCTAGGAATCTCAAGTTTCTAACTACAGATCGTGCTGTTGCTAAAATATTTCTGAGATTTCAGTGGGTGATAATGTGAACCATGTACAAGCATTGAGGCTGGGAGTCCTGGGTTCCAGCTCTTGCTCCACCAGCTGTGTAACTGAGTGAGCTACTTTTTCTCTCACAGCCTTAACATCATCACCTGTAAAATGCAGCATTTGGACAAAATCTTCTCTAAGACCTTTCCCAGCTCTAATGTGCTAGGTTTCTGTGAAGTCTGTATTGTTCATTTAAATGCCATCCAGAGGGAGAGGCAGTCAAATATAATTTCCCCACTGGAACCAAAGATGCCAATGTAAATTTCTTCTCGTATACTTTTTTTTCTTTCTTTTACCTAATAGAATACCAAGTGCTATATTTTAACTATAGTTTTTCTGTTCTTCAGTTAATCTTGCAGCGAAATTATACTCCTGCATTTGGTACCCCATTCCCTATCTCCATAACACCAGGCTGGATAAGTCTTATGTATAGAAAACTGATGATTGTTAACAAAAAATCTACTGGAAACCAATTCTTCTCAATTCTTTGCCCTTCCTTTAAAAAAACAGTCTTGTTGAGAAAAATTTAATCCATATGATCATGCTTTAGTTTCTATTGACTCATCATTTTTCTTCAGCAGCAGTGATTTAACTTCTAAAAAGTATTTAAGGAGAAACTTCAACATTATTTTTGCTAGCACTTAGAAAATCCTATTTCATTTTCCCCTAGAACAAATGAATTTGCAACCTGAAATTTGTACCACAAAGCTATGAATAGTCTTGGATTTAAACAGAAGAAATTAGGCCAGGCATGGTAGCCCATGTCTGTAATCTCAGTACTCTGGGAGGCTAAGGCAGGCAGATCACTTGACCCAAGAAGTTCGAGACCCATCTGGGCAACATTGCAACACCCAATGTCTACAAAATAATACAAAAGTTAGCCAGGCGTGGTGGTGCGTTCCCGTAGTTCAAGCTACTTGGCAGGCTGAAATGGGAGGATTGCTTGAGCCTGGGAGGTGAAGGCTGCAGTGAACCATGATCATGCCTCTGTACTCTAGCCTGGGTGACAGAGTGAAACACTGTCTTAAAATATATATAACAAATAAAAAAAAATTAAAAATAAAACAAACGAGGAAAACATCTTTTTACCTTGGTCAGAGAGGGGGCAAAGGTGATATCCACTTGGGACACATGGGTACTATCTTACTGGTTGTTTATGGCTAGTGTCTGTTCTGATGGGTGAGTCTGCCTGCCATGTTTAGAACGTCATTGCTTGGGAAGTCCTCGCCCTCTTCACATCTGGGAAACCTTGTGGTGTTTCCTTTTATTCCATGCCTGAATTCAGTGTGGCCCTTGTTGGCAAATACTTCTACTGCCATCAGGTACTTAAGAGCAAGAACTCTATGTGTCCTCGCCCACTCAGCTCTGTTCGTAAATGAGCACGTGAAGGTCAGTGGAAAGACTAGAGAGAAAGAGGCTAGGAAGGGAATTAAGGTGGGTCTCAAAGACCTGGGATCTAGGCTTGCTCTGACACTGACTCTCTGTGAGACGCTGTACAAGTCACTGACCTTGTTTATGTCTTAGTGTCCTCAGTTGTAAAATGAGGACATTGGGCTGCATCTGTGGTTCCCGATCCTTGTATGGTGAATGAGTCTCAAATCGTTACCGTTTGTTAGGTATAAATTTCCGTGCATTGACTTGAATAGGCAAGAAATTCATTTAACTTTCCTCTAAGTGAACTTTTTTGAACAGATTTTTTTTTTTTTTTTTTTTTTTTTTTTTTTTTTTTTTGCCAAAAATGGCTGCAAGAATGTTTCTGGTTCTATGTGATGTACCAGAACTTGCACTTTCTTCATCAAGAAGTCAAGTCTCTGTCTCCTGCTCGTGAGACTAGTCAGGCTTTTGTGACTGCCTCAGCTATTAGATTATGGCAGAAGTAATGCTGTGTGACTTCTCAGCCAAAGTCCTAAGAGCAGAACAGCTTCTGCCTGGATCTCTCACTCTAGCTATCATGAAGCTTCTCTATTACATGGAGATAGAGATCTGCTGAAGGAGCCCCAGCTGTTGGTATTTTCCAGGCCAGGCACCAGTCATATGAGTAAGCCAGCCATCAGACAACTTAGCCCCAGCCACTGTCTGCCTGCAACTGCACAAGAGAGCTGAGTGAAAACAATCTTGCTGAGTTCAGTCAAGCTCCAGAAATGTACGGGGTAAGAGTAAAATAATTGATGTTGTTTTAAACCAGTAGTTTGGGATGGTTATTCATGTAACAATAGATGACTAAACACTGCTATGTCAAATTCCTAGTCCACTGTTTGGTAGGAATGAATTCCAGTCATTTTTGCAATGCTATTCTTCTATCCGTGGAATTGTCTGAATTGGGAGTAGTTACATTATGTTATGCTGTCAAGGAAACATCTGGTGATGCTGTCCTTGATGCCATTATCTGTATGCTATGTCCATGGAGGTTTCCTTGTTTCTGTCTAGTCTGCAGTTACTAGTCTATGGTTTCACTTCTGTCTTTCTTTCTTCCCGAATATAAGACTTCTTCAAATCATTAACTTTTGGAACTATATACTTGCCACTCTCAGGCTCAATGGACACATTCTGCCACTCCATTTTGGGCTTTTAGATCCTCCACTCCCCTGTACCTCCTGAGTGCAAGAGGACATTTTTGCTGCTCCTGCCTCCAGTGTTGCACAAGAAAGTTAATGAGCCTCTTTTAGACAGGTTTCTAGACCAATATTTTTCAGATTTTAAAGCTGCATTCTTGGAGCAAGTCATGAAATCAATCCACTAGTTTGTGATCATCATTTAAAAAATTTTTCGGAGTAGAACAGAATTGAATGAAAAATGTCACAGTATATCAAATATTGGTAAGGCAACTGTGATGGCTAATTTTTTGTGTCAACTGGACTAGGCCATGGCACTTTGGCCAAACATATCTGGATGTTGCATGAAGGTATTTTTTTTAGATGAAATTAACATATACGTCAGTAGACCATGAGTAAAGTTGATTACCCTTCATCCGGTAGGTAATTCTCATCCAATCAGTTGAAGACATTAAGGAAAAGACTGATATTCCTGAGAAAGAGGAAATTCTGCTAGCAGATGGCCTTTGGACTCAAACTGCAACATCAATTCTTCCCTGGGTCTCTAGCCTGCTGACCTAACATACCCCTCAAATTTTGGACTTGCCAGCCTCTACAGTTGTGTGAGCCAATTCCTTACATCTCCTCCTCTCCCCTCACTCCATCTCTCTCTATCTGGTCGGCTTTGTGTAACACCACGAAAATAAAACAATACTTTCCTGTCTTCTGCTGATTGGCACCTGTCTTTCTCTTCTGGGTAAGATTGTTTCTGCTTGTTTAGATAACAAGGCAGTCATGAATGGTATCAAAATGTGTCCAATACTGACCACATTGCTGGTGTTCAATAAATTAAAAAATATTTTATTCTGTACCTGTGGTCTATACCCTAGAATTCAAACAGTTAACTGTCTTATCTGCATTCAGTATTCCACTGCCACTTAAAATAAATGTGAATTAATATAACAATTCCTCTCAAAATTATATCCGTTGGTTTAAATAGCTTTGCTGTGTGTACAAATACTTTGGGTGAATGCAGTTATTTAATAGTTTAAATCTAGTTTCATTTTGATAATATAGCATTGTTCAACTATTGAAATGACTAAGTTCCCTTTTTGTATGTCTTGTGAGAAACATAGTAACTAGGATATTGTGTTTACATGGTGTCTGTTTTCCTGAGCAGAGAGTTCAAAGCAGGTTATACACATTCCATCTATCTCAGCATCCTTCGGTTATTACAATAAGTCCTTCCACTTTCTGGTGTGATTCTGTCCCCTTTCATCTATCGAGCTTCTTTCTCCCCACTCCCTCCAGCCCTCACTTCCCACAACTTATTTTATGGTTTTCCTCTACTTAATTTCACTATTCTTTAATAGGGTTTGATTTACTGGGCAGGTCCTGCACCAGCTGAAGATTACCAGGGAAATAGCAAGGCATTGGTTTATGGTGTATAGTTTATGGTGTACACCCAGGCATTGGTTTACGGTATATAGTTTTGATAGTAAACTTATCCATTGGAATGTATAAATGACATATAGGCAGAATAAATAAGTGGGTTCTACCAATATTGCTTGTTTTGGAAAAAAATTAACATAAGATTCTAAACACACATTACTACATTTGTTTTTAGCATCAAAGGTCATTACAATAAAGGACAAAATTTAAAGAAACACAGTACATGGATTACAGATTGACATGGACTTTCTAAAAACCCACTGTGATTTATTCCTTCTTGCTGTGGACTGAGTGTCTGTATCATCCCCAAATTTAGATGTTGAAACCCTAATCTCCAATTTAATGGTATTTGGAGGTGGGCCCTTTGGGACGGAATTAGGTTTAGGTTAGGTTGTGAGTGTGGGCTCTTGTGATGGGATTATTGCCCTTATAAAAACAGGATATCTGTCTTTCTCTGCCATGTGAACATGCAGCAAGAAGACTTCAAAACAGAGAAAGAGACTTTACTAGGAATCAAATCATCCAGTACCTTGATCTTGCACTTCTCATCCTCCAAAACTATGAGAAATAAATCAAGTAACCCAATGCAACATATTTTTATAGCAGCCCAAGCTGACTAAGATACTCCCCAACCTGCCTTTGGTTGTGTTTTCTTAGTTTATGGTAACTGTTTCCTGACACCCTTTGTAAGATTCACCCTGTGTTTCTCTGCTCTGCTGGCTTCTAAAGTATTGTTCACAATAGAAAGACCTGTGCATCATGAGAGCTTCCCATTAGGGCCCTGTTGTTCCTGCTTCTGCTGGTCTCTGCCAGCCACTTCTGAGCACCAAATTTCTTCCCTCTGTTATTTTGCTTTATCACAGGGATGGTCAGCAATCCTTTATGAACTCTAGTAGCTATGCAATGACAGCAAGAGGATTTGGCCTTCAAAGGAGCCTCTTACCAAACTTTCTTATTTCTGGAGCCAAATTAACATCTCAACCATTCTGCTCTGATCTTTCCCATGGGTTCCTATGGTCCCATGGCATCTCTTGGTCATGTACACACACAATATGTTTCATATTTTTCCTCACGACTAAGGAGATTTGACTATTCTCCCTCACCAGCACCAGCTCAGTGAGGCACTGGCTTTGATTTTGAAATGGTTTAGCATACAATGGCTGATGTCTATCCATTTTAGAGGAAGCAAACACGTTTACTTCCTTTACTAAATTTCTTATAGGATCCCTGCCCTCTATTGTTCAAAAAACAAAACAAAGCAAAACAAAAAACAGTTAAATTGTGATTTCCTGTTAAACAATTTTAACAAGAACAAAAAATATATTAAGGTATAACTAGCAGGACTCAAAAATATTGACTTACAAATTTTAAAATCCATTTTCCTCCTTTCACTACTGTCAAATAACAGAAGATTCTATCCTGGGACTTCCTTAGTTGTACAGACATCAGTGAATTTGTTAGGATATTTTTGCTTACAAGTAAGAGAAGCCTGATTCAAATGGGCTTGAACAAGATTTGCTACCTAACATTTCTGGAGCTCCGTGGGTAGGACAATCAGGGCTCGAGGCTGTTCCTCTGGGCTCTTCCCTGCATTGTTTCAGATTTACTCTTACCCTGGTACAAGATGGTTGTAAACAGCAACTGTGGCAGATGACTTCTTAATGGGGGTTGAGGGAGTACAGAGAAGCGACAGATTCTACCGTTCTATGGAGTAGGGCAAGGAGAAAAGTGAGGTGCGCAGAGGGGCTAAGTGGACTGCCATGACAAAGGCCTGGGCCAGAGAGGAGATGGGAGAGGAGAGAAGGGAGGTGACATAGATTGAGTTAGAAAAAGGATTTTTTGAATCTTACACTGGAAAAGGAGAGGCACTTTAGGGCATCATCCATGCATGTATGAAATATCAACAGCAAGAGAAATGAGAAAGAAAATTTGAAAGAGGTTTCTGGAGTGTTAGAAATATACTCTCCTTTGGTGTTTTCATGAAAGACTGTAAATTAAGAGTTACATTGATTTTCAATTATTTTGGTCACTGGAGTACGACAGATACTAGAGGTTGGTTTGCTCAACACTTCAGCTGCCATCTCTATTACAGAAAGGTTAACCATATAATTTATCATCTAAACAGGGACACTGGAGGCTAAAAGGGTACCTTATTAATGATTATGCAGGTACTAACAGTGTTAACCAGGACTATCCCATGCAAACCAAGACATGATTTATTCGAATAATATTTTATTTAGAATTGCTATTATAATAGCTATAAAGTGAAATATTCAACCACCTCCCTCACATTTAGGGTGGTCAAGTCTCACTCTCACAGTTCCAGTCCATGAGATAGAGGCAGAAATCCCTGAAAAAGACTTGCCTTTCTAAATAAATCAACACTAGAGAATAGGCATGGCTTCCTTTTCCTTTCTTCTGCTTGGACTACAGATATGGTGCCTGGAGATACATCAGCTACTTCATGACCATTAGGATGAAAGACAAATATCTAGGATGGTGAACAGAAAGATGGAACGACATTGAGATGCTGATGATTTCATAGAGCTGATATACAGGCACAATCTGCTTACCTCCACACTTCTTGTAACATGAGAAAAATTAACCCTAACTTGGAATGGAGACAGTACCTAGCCTTACAAGGCAGTTGCAAGAATTAGATAATGATTATGTAGCTCTTTGTACAGTAATTGACACATAGGGCTCAAAAGCTGGTGCCTATGGCTATTATTATTAACTCAGTTTAACTTGCAGGTGTTTCTTCCTTTTCTTCTAGGATGGGGTGAGTGGGGAAGGCAATAGAGCAACCGCAAGAAATGTTAAAATGTCTATTTCTATAAGCATGATTAAATGATACTTTATATAATGGGGACTGGCAATCAAGACTTCATTTTCTATGGTTGGAGACATAGTTGCTTCTACCAAATGGAAAGAGGTGATCACTATGGACAAAGATAGAGAACTGATTGCAGATATATTTGTTCCAGGGTCCAAAAGTTTTTCACTTTGCTACAGCAATGAATACCTAGGGAGATGTTGATCTCTCAGGTCCAGTGAAAATTTTCCCCAACTGGATCCAGAAAAAGAGTCATTTGGTTTTAGAGATTTAAAAATATTTAAAAGTAACCATTTAAGTTTTTAGATTTTCACACAACCTGTAAGTCAGAAATCTTCATATTCAATCTGCCAGAGGTCTTTGGTAATTAAATCACATTTAGAAATATTTTCCAACATGTTCTAGAGAATGAGATACGTACATGTCTTTTATTCATGGTAATGGAAATAGAAGAAAAACTCATTTCCACAGATACTTCATTTGGGCCCAAAAGTCAGGCCCTATCTTTGTGCTGAGTAGGCTTTCTATAAATTAGGAGGGTGAAGTAGGTGTGGTTCCCTAGAAACACAGACTAAGACAGGCATTTAGCTGCATGTTGGGGTGTGCTCTCTGGAGAGAAACAATAAGGAAATCAAAATAAAGAAGAAAAGAATCTAGGCAGATGTGGTATCACCTGGAGTTTAGCTTTTGCTGATCCCATGGGATGCTTTGGGGTATGAATTGTACCCAAGAGTTGAGCCCACCTTGAGGCAAGCGGTCTAGGATTTTGTACCCTCAAGTCAGCCAGTCAGTGGCTGTGAGGTGTCCTCAGTTGGGTGGCAAAGGTGTTATCTCTCGTGTGGCCTGTCTTTTTTCTGAGGCCAGTTCTTCAGAGAAGGAGACATCCATGAGCCATTAGCAGCCATCATTTACCAAAGCTGGGAGACAGGTGTGCTGGCCTAATAAAGGGGATCTGGGAGATACTCCAATAGAGTCCCCTACAAAGAATGCCCTCATTTGATGTCAACTATGGGCCTCTTTTGCTTCTTCATGGAGAATGTGTTTGAAACCAAGGGATTAATGTCTTTAAAAGGGATAACCAGTGTTTCTGAAGCTTGACCAATATGTGAACAGTTTCTTAAGAAGGGAAAGTTTTCTTAGTTTCCAACCTTGGCTTAAATTGTTTTTCTTTTAACTTTGCTTAAATATATATAAACCCAAAAGTATTGATTAATGTTCTCTGCTTGTATTTCTTAAAATGGTATGAAACCAAAACAAATTAGAAAGTAAATCTTTGAAAGAATGAGACCATAAAAAATCAAACTGACAACATAAATTCAATGTGATGCATGGTGTTATTTTGCTGGAACTAAATTGCTGATCTCAAAGTAAATATGTAACTGTGAAATTGCACAGGAAGTCTCACATGTCTCATGTAGCCTATGTTATATGATGCCATGGGAAGGACCAACTTCCCACCACTCTTCTGTAATAGAACTTTTGTAAAACCCTAATTTGTACAGATCATGAGGATCTGTTTACTTTGAAAGAGAATTATTAACATTTACATACTGATGGTTTCTACTTTTGTCATTAGCTCACAAAAATCAAAAGTGTACATCTTGGCACTGTTGTGATCATAAACCAAAATGCAACACAGACACCTAAATGCTGTGGCCATCCTTAGTAAGTAAATCATCCATAATGCACTTACACAATTTTATCAAAATGAAAGCATCATATTTTGCCATTTATTTAAATAACTTTGTGAGCATTTAGGGACCTCAGAGACTATGTCTGCAACATTCTCTGATACTGCTCTTTCTCATGAAACAGGAACATGTACAGGTGCAGGGTGAGTTTGCCCACGTGATGACACCTGAAATACCCAAGAAAGAGAGTATCTTTCTGACTCCTGTTGGTTGGGACAAGGGGATAGCATGAGGAAGGTGAGAGAACTGGAGGATAAACCACTGACAGTTTGAAGGGCCACAGAGTGGGCTCTTTGCCTCATATCTCACTACAACGTTGACAATGTAATGACAGTGTCCCTGACTGCCTGGTGGTTCCGCATGCAGAGTCTGACCCTCATGCCACATGAATCTCCTGCCCTTACTTCTAACACAGCATGCAGCAAAAGCAGCAGGGAGCCATGGGCTCCTGCCTAGGAGAGTATGGTGAGCAAGCTGGGACACTGGAGTTTTTGCTGCATCCTCAGTGGTCACGAGCATTGCCATATTGCCTGTAGGCAGTCCCAGCTGGGAAGGCTCAAGGACCTGAGTGCTTTTTCCCTGCCGAGGAAGGTTCCTGACTTTCTTGCCTCCCTTGCTTTCTTACAAAGTGCCTGATTCCCTGAGGTAATCTGAATACATCTTTTTCTCACTACCCGAAGAGCTTAATGAAGACAGAAAAAAATAGAAGAGTCTCTGCTGTCATTGCGTGGGTGAAGTCTGCTCCCTAATTCAAGAACAAGAATCAGAAATCAGAATCAGGAACACTGAATCAGAAAGTCCAATGTGAGTCACAGTAGGTTAAATAGAATCTTGGGGTAGAGGGTTGGCATTAGTCCCTTTATGCCTAATGTTCCATTATTGGAACACTAATCATGTGGGAGTTATTTATATCCTACTGTTCAAGATCATAGCAAAGGTCTGATTGCAAAAATTCAAAAAATTGCAACCTCAGGCATAAATGGGTTAAAATCTACTGTGTCAATAGAGGTAAAAGCAAAATGGAAAACCATAGTGGGCAGCTATTGGAGCACAGCTGCAGGTTCACTCTATTTCAGAGTGTTTCTTAATTTAACAATGGAAAAAAGGGATTCAGTGGGGTTAAATGATCTTTAAGGTCTCATTCACTTACTGAACAAATATTTAGTGATCAGTATCAGGCAAAAACTGGACACTGTGCTAGGTACCATATATACAACAGACACAGTATGAGTAGCTCATGCCCTCAGGGTATTCCAGGTTTAAAGGGGAGATACTGGTGAGCAAACAGATGGTCCTGATTCAATGAGACCAGTGCCATGAAGAGAGAGGCATGGAGAGCACACAGGCATGCGGACCAAGCTAGCTTGGCACAGTCAGGGGGAGCATCCTGAAGGATAAGACACAAAGCAAACAGTGAATGCTGGTGTCCTGTTCCATTGTTTTGCTGATTCCACTGCCCAGGGCTCTCATAGGGATTTCTGTGCCAGGAGCTCACTGCTTCCTGGGAGTGGAAGAACAGCCAGGAATCCCGGGACAAAGCTGCACTCAACCTTCATGCTCTTTTCAGTGACATTCATTGAAAGAAGGAATTTTCTGAAAATGTTCTCCACCAGTTTCTCCTACTTCAATTTGTATGTACACCATGAACAGAATGTTTCCCAGATCTCCCTTCATAAGACTCTTTAACTCAGATTTTTTCCATATAAATTCCAATCTCCTGCCTACTTGTAAGACCAAGATCACCTCACCTATCTTATCTTACCTCACTGTTCCCAGCATGCCCTCTTCCATTCATTTAAGTCATAGGCATTAAGACAGCCCTACCTGGTAGTGATCTCTAACATTCATTGGAGAATGATGTAAAGTACTCTAGAAGAGCCTTCCCACTCAAAAAGTGGTCCCTGGACCAGTAGCATTAATGCCACCTGGGAGTTTGTTAAAATTTGCAAAATCCCAGACCCCAGTCCAGACCTACTGAATCAGAACTTAAATTTCAGTAAGATCCTCAGGTGATTCTTGCATATATTAAAATTTGAGAAATTATTTTGAAGAGATAAGCATAATTTAATTCTAGATGACATACAGGCCACCTACACTAGCTTTATTTGTAAGCATAACCTCATTTTAATTTTTTATCTTAAAAATAACAAAAACTTATATTTGTCAAGTTTTTTACTGTTGTTGAGTGAAAGTTACAGCATTTTGTTAATTAATTTGCATAGTTCTGGCATTCTTGCTAATTTTAAAAGCATGCTCAAGGTTCGTAAAATAATTTTAAAAATCAGCAACTAAATATCAACATTTTCTATCACAAAACATATAAACATAAAATTATAAATGCATTGAAAATATAAATGCTAAATATGTATTAACAGATAACATTAATAAAGTATCGTGCTAAAACACATTACATAAGAAATGAGAATTATAAAACATTTAAAAATATAATTTTCTCTTTTTTAAAAGATGAAAATGTTAAATCTTTTTACGATATGATATACATTGATTTTTCTTTTAAACTGCATATACATTGTGGCATAATCTAAATAGAAGAATCATGGTAAATGTTTCCAAAGTCTTAGTACTACTTCTAATTTCTGAATTTTTTTTTTCAGCTTTTATTTTAGATTCAAGGGTTACATGTGCAGGCTTGTTACCCGGGTATATTGCTTGATGATGAGGTTTGGGATATGAATAATCCTATTACCCAGGTACTGAGTACAATACCCAATAGGTAGTTTTTCAACTCTTTTCTCCCATTTTTCCTCCTCCCATCTAGTAGTCCCCAGTCTCTGTTGTTGCCATATTTATGTTCATGAGTACCCACCGTTTAGCTCCCACTTGTAAGTGAGAACATGCTTATATTTGGTCTTTGGTTTTCTTTTTCTGTTAGTTTGCTTTGGATAATGGGCTCCAGCTCCACCCACGTTGCTGCAAAGGACATGATCTCATTCTTTTTTATGGCTACATAGTATTTAATGGTGTATATGTACATTTTCTTCATGCAATCTACCATTGATGGGCACCTAGGTTGATTAGATGTCTTTGCTATTGTGACTAGTGCTGTGCTGTGATGAACATATGAGTGTGTGTGTCTTTTGGTAGAACAATTTGTTTTTAGTTGCATATATATTCAGTATTGGGATTGCTGGCTTCAGTGGTAGTTCTGCTTTAAGTTATTTGAGACATCTACAAACTGCTTCCCACAGCCACTGAACTAATTTACATTCCCACCAACAGTGTATAAGAACTCTCTTTTCTCTACACCCTTACCAGCATCTGTTATTTTTTGACTTTTTAATAATAGTCATTATGACTGGCATGAGATGCCATTTCCTTATGTATTTGATATGCATTTATCTGATGATTAGTGCTGTTGAGCATTTTTTCATATGTTTGTTGGCCACTTGCATATCTTCTTTTGAGAAGTGTCTGTTCATGTCTGTTGCCCATTATTAATGGAGTTGTTTTATGCATGTTCAATTGTTTAAGTTTCTATCTGAAAATAAGGCAAAATGAAGGCAATGTGTGCATTAATACATAATTGGGTAGTATATTTTTGTATACATTTTTCTGGCTGCTGAAACGGCTCTCATGTGTTCTCATCAGGGAATATGAGAAAGAAGATGCTTTATTTTCAAATAATCATATAATTGTTTCTCCTGCTTCAGGGGACTTTTGAACAACTTTCAGGAGCTAAAATTATATATATACATATATATGTATGTGTATATATATATACGTATATATGCGCACACACACGTATATATGTATATCTTCGTGTGTGTGTGTATATATATATATATACTCTTTCTATATGTTTATATGTGTGTGAGTATATACATATATATGACGTGGTTTGGTTTTGTCTCCACTGAAATCTCATCTTGAATTTTAGTTCCCATAATACCCATGTGTCATGGGAGGGACCAGGTGAAGATAATTGAATCATGGGACAGTTTCCTCCATCCTGTTCTTGTGAAAGTTCTCACAAGATCTGATGGTTCTTAAGGGGCTTCCTCCTTTGCTGGGCACTCATTCTCTCTCCTACTGCCCTGTGAAGAGGTGCCTTCCACCATGATTATAAGTTTCCTGAGGCCTCCCCAGCCATGTGGAACTGTGAGTTAATTAAACCTCTCTCCTTTATAAATTACACAGTTTCAGGTATATATTTATTAGCAGTGTGAGAACAAACTAATACAGCAAATTGGTACCAGGTAGTGGGGCACTACCATAAAGATACCTGAAAATGTGGAAGCGAATTTTGAACTGGATAAAAGGCAAAGGTTGGAACAGCTTGGAGGGCTCAGAAGAAGAGAGGAAAATGTGGGAAGGTTTGGAACTTCCTAGAGACTTGGAGAACTCAGGAGAAAAAAAAAAGATGTGGGAAAGTTGGGAACTTCCTAAAGACTTGTGGAATGGCTTTGACCAAAATGCTGTTAGTGATATAGACAACGAAGTCCAGGCTGAGGTGGTTTCAGATGGAGATGAGGAACTTGGGAACTGGAGCAAAGGTGACTTGTTATGTTTTAGCAAAGAGACTAGCAGCATTTTGCGCTCGCCCTAGAGATCTGTGGAACTTTGAACTTGAGAGAGATGATTTAGGGTATCTACTAGAAGGAATTTCTAAGCAGCAAAGCATTCAAGAAGTGGTAGAGCATAAATGTTTAGAAACTTTGCAGCCTGATGATGTGGTAGAAAAGAAAAACCCATTTTCTAGGGAGAAATTCAAGCTGGCTGCAGAAATTTGCATAAGTAACAAGGAGCCAAATGTTAATCACCAAGGCAATGGGGAAAATGTCTCCAGGGCATGTCAGAGACCTTTCACAGTAACCCCAGAGGCCTAAGAGGAAAAAATGGTTTCCTGGGACAGATCCAGGGTGCCCCTGCTGTGTGCAGCCAGGGACGTAGTACCCTGTGTCCCAGGTGCTCTAGCCATGGCTAAAAGGGGCCCAGTTACAGCTCGGGCCATGGCTTCAGAGGTGCAAGCCCCAAGTCTTTGCAGTTTCCATGTGGTGCTGGTCCTACAGGTACACATGAGACAATAATTGAAGTTTGAGAACCTCTGCCTAGATTTCAGAGGATGTATGGAAACACCTGGATGTGCTGCAGGGGTGAAGCCCTCATGTAGAACCTTTGCTAGGGTAGTGCAGGAAGGAAATGTGGGGTTGGAGCCCCAACACAGCATACCCACTGGGGTACTGCCTAGTAGAGCTGTGAGAGGAGGACCATCCTCCAGACCCCAGAATGATAGATCCACTGATAGCCTGCACCATCACCTGGAACAGCCACAGACACTCAACACCAGCCATGAAAGCAGCTGAGAAGGGGGCTGTACCCCACAAAGCCACAAGGGCAGAGCTGCCCAAGGTCATGGGAGCACACTTCTTGCATCAGCATGACCTGAATGTGAGACATGGACTCAAAGGAGATTGTGGAGCTTTAAGAGATTTAATTACTGCCCTATTGCACTTCAGACTTACATGGGTTCTGTAGCCTTTTTGTGTTGGCCAAATTCTCCCATTTGGAACAGGTGTACTTATCCAATGCCTGTACCCACATTGTATCTGGGAAGTAGCTAACTTGCTTTTGATTTTACAGGTTCAGAGGTGAAAGGGACTTGCCTTGTCTTAGATAAGACTTTGGACTTGGACTTTTGAGTTAATGCTGGAATGAGTTAAGACTTTGGGAGACTGTTGGAAGGACATGATTGCGTTTTGAATTGTGGGGACATGAGATTTGGGAGGACCCAGGGGTGAAATTATATGATTTGGCTCTGTGTCCCCACCCAAATCTCATCTTGAATTTTAGTTCCCATAAACCCCACATGTCATGGGAGGGACCAGGTGGAGATAATTGAATCATGAGAGCATTTTCCCCCATCCTGTTCTTGAGATAGTGAGTTAGTTATCATGAGATCTGAGGGTTTTATAAGGGGCTTCCCTCTTTGCTGGGCACTCATTCTTTCTCCTACCACCCTGTGAAGAGGTGCCTTCCACTATGACTGTAAGTTTCCTGAGGCCTCCCCAGCCATGTGGAACTGTGAGTCAATTAAACCTCTTTCCTTTATAAATTACCCAGTCTCTGGTATGTCTTTATTAGCAGCGTGAGAATGGACTAATACTATCTATCTATCTATCTATCTATCTATCTATCTATCTATGAATGGACTAATACCATATATATAGAGAGATAGAGATCTATATCTATGTAAATATATATAGATATATATGCAGAGAGAGAGAGAGAGCACACTGAATTTTTGCTACTTCAGCTTCATTTGTATCTTCTTTGGTTTTATTTTCTACCGCTAGATACTTTAAGCAGTTACCTTTTCCAATTTCAAAACTGTCAGATTTATATGCCACTTGTGCAGAAGTCCTTTGAAGTAGATAGGACTTATTCTTATGAATGAGAATTTACTATATCAATTGTCATTTTCTTCATCTTCAGGAATCTGGACTTTTAGAAAGAATGCTTTCTAAACAAGAACACTTAGTTTAATACAAAATTTGAGTGAAACAGAATTTTAAAATATATAATCAATATGCAAATAATTTTCAGATTTCAGATTTATATTGTAAAATAATAGGGTCACATAAACAAAGATGCCTGAATTTTAGTAGCGTATATCAGAACCCAAAATACCAAAACCATGAGGGTAGTTGATAATGACTGCAATAATTAGCAATATTGACAAATCAGGTAGAGGTCATTGTCAAAGGACTTATTGAAATAGAAGAGCAAGAGGTCATTGAAAAAGATGACACTGTGGAAATGATTTCTCCCAGCTTTTACTATGCTAAAAGTTTCCATTCATTCACAACAAATTAGAATAAAAAGTTTTGAGACTAATCACTCTAATTTTGAATTCAAGTCTGAGATGCCTAAAGCAGTGACATATGCCTATGCTTGCTACAGGGAAGTCTGCGAGGAAAAATAATTTACCTTCAATCCAAACTTCATTGATTCCTATTTTAATAACCTTCAACAAGTCTAGTATATGTAGAAACCAAACTTATGTAAAATGTGTAATGTAAGAAATGTTTATGAAAGCTTACATTTGTGTTTCTTTCATGTATTTTTGTGTTTATTTTGGTATTTTTTATTTGAATGCTTTTCCAGAAATAAACCTAATTTATCATGTTTTGCTATAGAAAATAGAAGTCTAATTTATAATGATATAAATGATATAATGATATAAATATAATGATATAAAGACTTGCAGCCTTTTTCCAGGATCTAATTGATCCTCAAGTTGAAGGTCTTGTGAAGGTTATCTGTGTAATGGGGTGTTAATATACACCTCTACTTTATCTGCATAAAGTTATAGTGAAAACCCATAGAGTGACTAGAAAAAGTCTCTGTGCAATATGGATTTCTTTTCTTCTGGGTTCTTCTGGTTATCTTCTTTCTGTGTCCCATGTGGGGATGTTTGGAGGCAGAATAGCTAAGGGCATCCACTTGGCTGCTACACTCATGGTTTTGAATCCCGTATTGGCCACTTACTATCTGTGTGGCTTTGGAGAAGTTCATGAACTCTCTGTGCCTCAGTTTGCTCATCTGTAAAAGGAGGAGTTTCACGACAATATTTCAGTCATAGAATTGTGATAGTATAGTGTAAGAAGTGTATTTAAACTACTTACAACAGTACCAAGTACATCTTAATTGCTATATAAGTGTTTACTATTATTATCATTATTATCATGCCAGGAGATATCGACCGTGCCCTTCTATTCCTTTCCCTCTACTCCAAGAACAAATGGAGATAAAAGCAAAATTTCTCATGTATATCTTTAGAAGCAATATAATGTGGCAGAAAGAGCATCAATATTGGTATCACTCAGACCTAGGTTCAAATCAAATCTCTTATTAGCTATTTACACTAGTGTATATTATTTGTTCCCTCTTGGCTTTGGTTTTCTCATTTGTAGGGGATAATAATATATATGTAAGAGAACTTTTGTGGTATTAAAATAGGTTAACATACTTAAGGCATCTAGAATTTACCTGGCTAAGTTATCAAAATGGTCAATATTGTCTATTTCTTTCTCACTTTCTGTCACTACCTACACATTTCGTGACTTTTGTTTGTTTCTTGCTTCTGTGAATAACTTTATGTTTTGCTCCAATTTCTTTTTGCTTTTGAAACTTATCCTTTATCCAAGTTATTTAATGTCTAATCCTTGCTCTTTTCAGGGCAGGCATGTATATCAATTCAACAGGGGCATTAGCCAATCTAGAAGTTGCATCTTTCATCTTCCAGTATAATCCCTTAATCCCTCCAAGAGAGACAGGGGAGGGAGGGAGGGAGGGGGAGGGGGAGAGAGAGAGAGAGAGAGGCTGTATGTGTATGTTTGTGTGTGTATATTTCATCTATCATGCATTCAACCAAAATTCTTTCAAGACCCACCATTAGGCTGAAACTATTCTAGGTTCTAGTAATAAAGAAATGAGTCAGGTATGGTCCCTCCCCTGGCAGAACTCATATATTCTACTGCAAGAGACAGACACATAAATAGTTGCTGAAAAAGCAATTCAGTGGGTATGAAGGGTGTGAAAGGAAGCATTAGAGAGGGGCAGCTAATCCATCTGTTGGAGCAGCTGGTCAAATATTTAGAGGAAGCAAGGATTTCTGAGGCTTTCAGGATAAGCAAGAGTGAGCCCTGTGGGAAAGAGGAGAAAGAACAGGTTAAGGTGGGTATTTGGGGCAGAAGGGTCATGAAAGCAAAGCACTGAAGAAAGAAATAGCCTAGTGATAGCAGGGTACCATGAGCGGGAGACAAGAGAAGAAAAACCTGAGGCTGCAGATAGCTCCTATCCCTCTGAGCTCTCCCTGATCTAAAACCATATCTGGGAAGCTGTAATGTAGGACTTTAAGCCAGAATGATATGGTCATATGTGAATTGTGGTTTTCTCTGGAGGCTACGTGGAAAATAGACTGGAGCAGAACAAGAGTGAAAACCAGGAGACAAGTCAGAAGTCTAGGAGTATAGGTGAGTCAGGAGGCAATGAGGGCCTTAATTAAAGCAGTGCTGGGAGGGAGAAAGAGGAGGCAATAAGCCACAGCACTGAGATGTGGCAAAGTCTGCAGGACTTTGCAACCACAGAGATGAAGGGAAAAGCGAATGTAGTGATAAGTGGATTGAGGGGTAAAGGAAATGGAGGAGGCAAAGATAAAAGTGTTATTTCTGGTTCCTATACCCATGTCAGTGTAGGGGAGGACACGTTTTAAGGGAGTTTTATACAGAGTTCTTAAAAGGGGGTTGAGTTCCTTACTGAATGCTAATAGGGGGCTATTTACCCTGTCTTCATGTCAAAATAACCCCGATGCTTGAATTTTGTCCTTAAATGGTAACAAACACAGATATGCCAGAAAAACTAATTAAAAAACTCCACATCTTCAATTCTAATTTGATTCATCCATTCCCTCTTTTCTCCCAATTTATTTGGAGTTCTCTTCCCCTTCGCTGGATTCTAACCTCCACGAAAGGTGGTCAACTGTCGAATACTTAGGGCTGAGGGGCTGAGAACGAATGCAGGGTTGGAGCTGACAGCTGCCTCTCTGCCATCAGTCTACACTCTTTCTCTTGATATTTGACCAGCAAAGTTCTTGATTAGTTTAGGCTTTTGTAAACCAAAGTCTGAAAGCCGATTTCTACCTTTTAAGCAGTATCCACCCTTGAGGCTTTAGATCCCTCCCCTGAAGCAATTGTTAGAGCCCCTATCACCTTCAATGGGAGAAAGAGGGGAGAGAAGGTGGAAACACACTGAAGAAATAAGATCATTTAGTATCTTAGAACCAAAACAAAACAAAATCACCTAACCAAAAATAAAATAAGCAATAGAACAAGAATTTTCAGTTTACATTTTGAGAAAGCCATTGGCTGAAGGAGGAGCAGCAAAGGCATAGAAAACAAAAGCATTTGGGCAAGTGATCATAGATATTAATATTGTTGCCTTTCTTTTTAATAAATTGCATGTCAGTCTGTATGAGAAGCCATAGTTTCATGGTGGTTTTTAAGGTGTTTCCCAGCTTTTATTTTATATTTCTAGTCATGTCTCATGCCGTCTTTCTAAAGGTGTCTGACCAGTGGGCTCACAGAATTGGGAGAATGAGATAATACAATAAAATCAGAGTGAATCCGAGAGTTGGCTAAGATTAAGTAAGATATCGAACAATGCTGCATTTTCTTCAAAAGAAATGAAAATTTTTTCTACTGTATTGAGACAAGAAAGTGAAGAAATCTCTGGCAACAGATGAGATGTCATATTTACTGTTTAAGCGTTTGTTTTATATTTCCACTCTTAATATTTTTATTCTGCCAATAAAGGACTTGGGTAAGTGTTCATACTTTGATTATAGTGGTCTGTTGACACAGGAACCAGTAGATCAAATATTTTATTCCAGCTTGAAAACATTTTGAACAATTATAATTCTAGCACTAGGATTAGTGTTTTCTAACTGGAGAGTTAAGGCTGAGAGAATTTAAATCCTTCTATGGTCTCATAAGATGTGAAGGGTGAGATTCAATTCACCTGAGGGTGTGTATTCACTTTGAGTATCATCAAAGTGAGTATCATCATGAAGTCACAGTGGAAGCTATTTGTATTTGTATTTGAGTAATAGAAAGGACATGGAATGAAGCCAAGGGACCCAGGTTAAATGTCACCTCTGCCTCTAATTAGTATGCTACAATTAGTCAACTCCCTTAACTTCTCTGGCTTTAGTTTCTTCATCTATATAATAATACTTTAGTTTAGATTAGGGATCAGAAATACAAATACCTACATGCAGGGAGCAGGTGACGTAAATGTATAAAATGTACATCACTGCATATCACAGCACCACCACTCACTTGTTTCACATTCACAAAATCAACTGTGTTAAAATTCCAGTCTCTTTTACAGATCATTAAGCTTTTCATCAGGCATCTTTTCCACATACCAGTCATGGTTCTTCTCATGGTTTGTTTTCCTAATGGAGGCTTAAGTTGTATTCTTCTCTCTACAGATGCACTTTGTTGGTATATTAAACTCAGAAATCCTCTTTATGGTCTAAACAAGCATGTCTGGCTCACATCTTTCTTGAAGCATGGGCCTCTCTGTCTTTGTTTCTGTTTCTCTTTTTGAAAGAGACATGGGTATGAGGATAAATTTCTCTTCACTTTTTGTTCTACTACAAGAAGAGTAACAGCGTTAATGGGATAATACTTGGCTGTTGACCCTCAGCCTCAGTATAGGGAGTAATGGAGAATGGTAGAGACTGGCAAAGAGCATGCTCACACCTGTGAAAATAAAGTCACTCACCCTCTGCAGCAGGCAGCTGCCCCTTAGTGCCACCTGTTCCTTGGCCGCTGAGAATACGAGTCCAACTGTGGTTGTGTCTTCTGAAATTTTTGTGAGAAAAGCTGTGCATTCTTATTATTTTACATGGAATTCCCCTGAATTTTAAATGTTGGCAACTAAATTTAAATTTAAATAAACATCAGTAATATCAACACTTTACAGTCAATGGTTAAGGCTAACCACGAGAACACTAAGGGACAGATGCCCACAAATATTTGAGACTGTGGGGCCACAGGATCTTCAAAGACCCTTTTCTCTATAACTTAAAAAACAAACAAACAAATATATATTCATTAGTATGCTCTGAGCACACTCTAAGGCACTTTGAATGTCCTAACTCCTTTAATCTACGCAACAAGCCTATGAGGTAAGTGCTATTGTTATCTTCATTTTCCAATGGAGGAAACTCAGGAACAGAGCAGTGAAGTGACTTGCCTGATGTCACAGAGAAAGAAAGTCTTAGAACTAGAATTCCAACAGCTCCTCTGGCACCAATGCCCAGAAATCTCATACCTTTCATACCTTTGTTCAGGTATGAAATAAGAAACATATTTCTTATTCTTTTTTTTTTTTTTTTTTGAGACAGAGTCTCGCTCTGTTGCCAGGCTGGAGTGCACTGGCCCGATCTGGGCTCATTGCAATCTCCGCCTCCCGGGTTCAAGCGATTCTCCTGCTTCAGCCTCCCGAGTAGCTGGGATTACAGGCACATGCCACCACACCCAGCTAATTTTTTGTATTTTTAGTACAGACGGGGTTTCACCATATTGGCCAGGATGGTCTCTATCTCCTGATCTTGTGATCGGCCCATCTCGGCCTCCCAAAGTGCTGGGATTACAGGCGTGAGCCACTGCGCCTGGCCTTCTTATTCTTTAAAAAATAAAATTTCTTAACATTCGTTTATAAAATTTGTCACTGGTGACAATGAGCATATTTATTTCAATGTGTATAAAATCGTAGTTTAGAGTATTTTATTTTGTATGTGGAGAAAAGATGGGCTTATTAGGTGGCTGAATACTAGTGTAATCACATCAATATACTGCCTACATCAGTGAGATTGAGGGGAATCAGATACTGATTAGGATCAGTCTCTTCCAATCAGGTCTCATATGCAAATAAACAACTGCCTTTTGATTGGCTGCTGATGATCCTCAGAAGAAGCTATTAATGTTTTGCTTTTCTGGCTGCCTTAGTACAGCCAGAGAATGTTAATACAAATAGAAATTCGGCCATATATTTAAGCAATCTGTCACAGCAAAGAGATTTCCAGAGCTTTTTGGTTAAAGAGGTTTTTGAATGTATGCATGAGCAATATATGGGCTGACTTTTTATACTAGCAAATATGAAGATGTATTATCCCCTGAGGTTTGTTATTAACCTCAGTTTCACCTCTGTTAATATTTACTTCACAGGTCAATAAATCTTGATATTCACTTCAACAGAAGCCAATATCTTCAGATTACGAGTTATTAATCTTGGCCAAGCTGAAAAATTGTGTGACTATTTTTCTTTTGCTAAAGAAAATGAGGACTTTTTGTCCGTTTTTCCCTCAGCCTCTCTTAAAAGGGAAAGTTAATTTTTATCTGAATCGCCCAACTTCCTTATCAGCTTTAGTGCTTGAGGTTGAGGTATGAGACTTCATAGGAGTTTCAGAAACCTCTCTGTCTCACTGAAGCAACTGCAGGAAGTAGGGGATAAACAAATCCTATCTTAAATCCTCCTGGGAAATACTCTGATTTTAGGAGGAACTAAGAGAGGGTTGTGGCCAAATTACTCCTGCCCATCTTTGTGTTATTTATGGCCTTTGCTTGATTTGAGTTAAAACAAATGTACTTCTAGAACCTGGCAGCAAAATGCTATATAATAGAGAAGAGCAGCTGTATCTGGCCCATCTCAGGATAAAAAGCAAGTGTGAAAAGACATCGGTGAGTGCATTTGGTTCTCAACAGCATAAATGTTAGGATTGAACTGTACAACAAAAGCAATTAAGTTGTTGTTTTGAAGGAGTGTTTTTAGTTCTGTAATTTGTAAAACCATGTCTATAATGACAAATAAATCCAAAACAAAAGGAGATGAAAAAATTATGGAAGAAGTTAGAGGTTATCTTTCCTGACGGCTGGTGGTTCCTCCTTAGAGGGTAGAAAAATGTGGCATTTGGAAATAGCTGCATAGAGGGGAAAGGGTCTTTCCAAAAACTGACAAAGGGGAAGATTTTCCAAAATGTTTTATGGGTGATACCAGGGACAAGGAAAAGCTGCTAAATGTGGCGAGGGGACTCTGCTCAGGCAGGCAAAGCCTCTAGAACCCTGCCTCTCAAAGGGTGGTCCTGGACCAGCAGCATCAGCGTCACTCAGGAACTGATTAGAAAGAAAAATTCTCAGCCCTATCCCAGAGCTATTGAATCAGAAGCTGTGGAGGTGGGTCCCAGCTATCTGCGCCTGATCAATCACAAGGTGCTTGTGATGCACGTTTAATTTTGAGAATCACTGCCCCAGGACATGGATTTTTCAATCTTATCTATTCATTGCAATTCCTTGAAGAGTTTCAAAAATAATAATGTCTCGGTTTTGCCTCCAGAAGTTCTGATTCACTTGGTCTTGCATATGACCTGGGCATCAGGATATTTTATAGCTTCGTAAGTGTTTTTAAGTGGCAGCTAGGGTTTAGAATTACTCTAAGGCAAGCTTCCATCCTAAATTACATTTTCAGATCTAATGATCTCTTTTCATACAAAATATTTTGCCGTGTTTCCCTTACTTTCCTGAAATAAAATTTGTATAAATATTACTATACACATATTCTTAACTGCAATGTTAAAGAGAATAGAAAAATAATTTATAATAATATAAATTTCAGATGTATTTTATTTCATTTTATTATTATTTTTTGAGACGGAGTCTCGCTCTATGGCAGGCTGCAGTGCAGTGGTGTGATCTCGGCTCACTGCAACCTCCGCCTCCCAGATTCAAGGAATTCTCCTGCTTCAGGCTCCCAAGTAGCTGAGACTACAGGTGCGTGCCACCATGCCCGGCTAATTTTTGTATTTTTAGTAGAGACAGGGTTTCACCACGTTGGTTGGGATGGTCTCGATCTCTTGACCTCGTGATCTGCCCGCCTCGGCCTCCCAAAGTGCTAGGATTACAGGCGTGAGCCACTGTGTCCATCCCAAATATTTTAATTCATGTGTCTGACTACACTTACAATGAAGCAGACAGAAGTCTGCATGAATTATCATGAATGTGACAGTTGCAAATGCAGATTAATCCATGTGTGTTGAATTGGCAACTTGGAAGCCATGGGTGCATTACTATGGGTGACATGTTTTTCTGCAAGGAAGAAGAGATCTTGGTAAAGTTTCTAACAAAATAATGAGTGATTTTTGCTTTTAAGCCCCAATTTAAAGCCTGCACTTAAAAAGAACAGTAACTTTATTTTAGTGGATATCATGATACCTAAGATCCCCCTCTAGGAAAGAGGCACTTATTTTCCCAGCTGCTGGAAGTGCTAATGGCTGATGCCCCTTAGCTGATTGTCCTCTTTGGGATTTGTGCTTGGCTGAAGAGAGTGTCTTGCCCCAAGATCATACCCATTTTTCAGGCACAAACTACATTCAGTGGCTGGTCAGTGCAGGGTTATAAAGGTGCAGCTCTCCTGCCTCAATTCAGAACAACTCTGAAGGGCCCTCTCAGCTCTAGATCTCCAGGTTGGATTGGCTGAGACCTTTGCTGCAACTATACTGTAGCTCAGCTTCTCTCCCTGCCCTCAATGACTTCCCTCTGTCTCTCAGGGGTGCTGATTCTGAGCATACTCTCCAATAAACCTCCTGCTGCTATCTCAGGAGCTGACCAGTGATACACCATCTTAGGGAAGACCGAAGTCCTTTACTAATCAGCTGGGTCACGGTTATCTCAAAAGATTCTTATCTAGCATTTGATCCCATATGGAGTGGCTTTGTTGAGACAGACAGGGAAAAACTGAAATTGCATTTAATTGAATGACTGCTGGTGGCATAAAAACAGGCAGGTAGAGGAGGAGGGGAGGCACAGGTGATGGAGGAAGGCGAATGGCAGCTGGAGACATGATAGGAACAAGTCTCTGGGGATTGATCAGGTAGAGGCACTAAATTCAGAAACAGGGCCAGCCTCAAGCAAAAATGTAAATTAGGCAACACTTGTTCTACTTTTCCCCAGTGCCTTTTTCTCTCCATGGAGCCTGTAGCCATCAGAACCTACTCTCTGGAAAAGATCTGATAAGCTATTTACCCCTTAGTGTGAATCTAAGTCAACAGCTTTGTTTTTCTTTTTTTTTTTTTTCCCCCACTTGCAGAGTTATTTGCATTTTAAGTATTTTTATGGAACAAAAATTTTGGTCCTTTGTTAAAAGGAATTTTAACAAACTACCAGTAAGTAGAGGGATTGGGGGTAGGAAAGAGGAATCCTTTCCTCTTCCCAACCACTCAAAATCAGTTCTCATTGAGGAATTTTCTTGGGTGACAAAGGATGGGAAGGTGGCACCTTAGTAGGAATGTCTATAAGCTGTTTGGAGATGGATCCCTCATAAATTCTATTTTCCCATCCCCATGGAATTTGCTATATAGGGTTGCAAAGCAAAGTCGCATAGTTTTCATTTTAAAGATAGAGTAAATTTGGAAATCTTCTCTTGTCTGGACAGATTCTTACAACGAATTTGGGTTTTTAAAAGGATACTATAAAATGTGAAAAAACATTTGTAAATTTTATTTATTTGTAAACTCTTTACCAGAAGATATAGAATGTTGGCCTAATAATTTTTTATCTCTTTCAGTTCCTTTTCTGTTGAACCAGATCACTATTCAAAAGATTCATTCCCCAAGATTCTTCCTCAGCTTTGTCTTCAATAGTCTCAATGAAATAGAAGAAATTTAAAAAGTAAAAGCAATGAGAACAACTTTAAGACATCTCTGTAGAGAATTCAGTCCTCTTCAGCAGTCCCATATTTTCATCTGTTCATTCATTCATTCCACGAATGTCAACTCTCCATACCGTGCTAGGCTGTGTCCTAGATGCAGAAGCAGAACAAATAAAGAGGCACTAGCTGATGTCCTTGAGCCCTTTCAGGGTAACAACATCCTTCTTGATCTGCTGACCTGCATGGCAAGATGTTATTTACTGCTCACATTAGTTGTGTCCTTGGCTATGAATTAACCATGACTTAAGAGCAGTGTGTGTGAAAGCCCTCCGCATTCTGTTGGCAAGCATGTTGTTTGCAAAAATTGATCATTCATTTTTAAGCAACACCTATGTGGATCATTAACACCAGGTACAGTTACTAAAATGAAACTCTTGAGAATATTTTCCATTTGTAATTTGAATTCTTGTCAATTTTTGAGGCTTTCCTGAAAACAAATGACTGGGTTTTTTAAAATCCATCTTTTTAAGTTTTTTATTCACTGAATTAGTTAGAAGTGATTCTGCTAATCTTTCTTAACCCTAAATGCAATATTTTCTGAGTGAAATAATGAAAAACCTGAGGAAAAAAAAACTATAGGAAATCATAATTTGCTGAGGCAGGGTTTTCTTTATTAATAAAATAATTTAATTGGTTGTTACTAAATGTGATGGTTTTATGACCAAGTATAAGATTTAGTTAGTAAGCATGAATTGCAATTATATACAGCAATATTTCTTTGCTGGGATGATTGGGAAGGTCATCTCTTTGGGCCTTAGTTTCCTCATCCATAAAGTAAGTTTGTTTGTACTCCATTGAAAAAAAAAAAAAGGGTGGGGGCTGGGTGCAGTGGCTCACACCTGTAATCCCAGCACTTTGGGAGGCCGAGGGGGTGGATCACTTGAAGTTAGGAGTTCAAGATCAGCTTGGGCAACATGGTGAAACCATGTGTCTACTGGAAATACAAAAATTAGCTGGGAGTGGTGGTATGCCTCTGTAATCCCAGATACTCAGTGACTGAGGCAAGAGAATCCCTTGAACCTGGGAGGCAGAAGTTGCAGTGAGCCGAAATTGGGCCACTGCACTCCAGCCTGGGTGACAGCATGGGACTCCATCTCAAACAAACAACAACAACAACAAAATAGGAAATTGGGATTTTTATATTTCTCTGGCTTCTTATGCTGCAATTCACATTCCCTAGGAGAGTGAATATGGGATTTGCAATTTTCCCTAAAATCTAGAGCAGAAATCAGCAAACAATGGCTCTTGGTCCAAGTCTGGCTCACTACTTGTTTTTATAAAGTTTTCTGAAATACAGCCATGCTCATTTTTAAACCTATTGCTTATGCCTGGTTTCATACTATAAAGTCAGAGTTGTATACTTGCAACAGAGACTGAAAGCTAAAAATATTAACTCTTTGGATCTTCCCAGAAAAAGTTTGCTGCTCCAGATCTAGGGTAAGAATCTCCAAAGTCAGAGTATATGCACCTTTAGGAGAAAAATGTTTAACTTGAACTTCCATGAAGATTTGTTTTTTTTTTGTCCCAACCTTTATTATTTTTGATATGTGTTTTACAATGTACCTAATAATTGACTATAGTAAATATGAAATTATTGCTAATAAATATACATATATGGGAGCATATTCTCAAAGTATTTTACTAATGCAAGAGGCATGGTCAAAAAGATGTGGAGGCCATTAGTCAGAAGATGCAGGTATTCCAGATAAAATACACGAATGCAACCCATAAAATGATAGCAAATATACATTGTGACTTCAACAAAGGCCAGGCTACATAGGATACTTTCTGTTTTAGTAATAAAATTCAGGAAACTTACAGAAGAAATCTGTACTTATTTATTTCAGACAGGGTCTCATTCTGTCACCCCGGCTAGAGTGTGGTGGCATAATCATAGCTCACTGCAACTTCTACCTCCAGGGCTCAAGTGATCCTCCCACCTCAGCCTCACAAGTAGCAGGAATTACAGGCACATGCTACCACACTTGGCTAAATTTTTTATTTTTTGCAGAGGCAAGATCTCACTATATTGTTCAGGCTGGTCTTGAACTCTTAGGCTCAAGTGATCCTCCTGCCTCAGCCTCCCAAAGTGCTAGGATTACAGGCATATGCCACCACACCTGGCTTGTATTTTCGATAATTTAAAAATGCACATCTTTCATTTATATTTTGGAACAGTCCTTCTCAAATTGTCTTTTTGTAGGACCACTTTTTGATTTTTAAACCATTTTGAACTTATATTTTTATAAATACAATAAAAATTACTTAAAAAAGTGCAATGACAAAAACAATCTCTATTTTTTAATTATTAGATTTAACAAACATACAACTACTGTGTCAAATTGCTATAGAAGTTTCAAAATATTTACTCTCGACTATCGCTTTGTGAATCACTAGCAAAAATGTTTGTAGACCAGGATTGGTTCACTAACATACGATAGCACTGGTGTACAGGACTCAAGGGCTTCCTGTAAAAGGCAGGGATCTGAAATTTCTTCTAGTGCCTTAATTTTTGGAGTGGATGCTTTATTTAAATGAGCGATTACAGCAAAGCGGCAATATAAAATGATTTGTAAATGAAAGCAAAATTTCTAAGTTCTGAGGATCAATTCAATTCAAATCATATGTCTTGGCCTATGTACAAGGCAATATGACAGCCCTATAAATAATAAAATATGATGGAAGACTTTCTTTGCCCTCATGAAGATTAAAGTCAAATAAGACATTGTTTTTTAAACTTTTTTTGACAGAAGTTCAGTGTTAAAAAATACATTTTATAACATAATCCACCATGCAGGTATATATATATTTGAAATAAGAATATTATTAAAGATTTACCATTATATGCAGTTAACTTGATATTTTCTATCTAGTCTATTTGTATTCATATTTTATTTATATTCCATTTCTAGTCTATTCTCTTTCATATTTTAAAAATTATAGTTGTTATATTAGTCTGTTCTCACACTGCTATAAAGACATACCTGAGACTGGGTAATTTATAAAGAAAAGAGGTTTAATTGGCTCATTGTTCCACAGGCTGTGTGGGATGCATGGGTGGGGAGGCCTCAGGAAACTCCTAATCATGGTAGAAGGTGAAGGGGAAGCCATCACATCCTACATGGCTGGAGTAGGTTGAAGAGAGCGAGCAAAGGGGCAGGTGCTGCCCACTTTTCAAAAAACCAGATCTCGTGAGAACTCTATCACGAGATAGCACTAAGGGGATGGTACTAAACCATCAGAAACCATCCGCATGGTCCAATCACCTCCTACCAGGCCCCACCTCTAACACTGGGAATTATAATTCAACATGAGATTTGGGTGGGGACACAGATCCAAGCCATATCAGTTGTGAAACACTAACTGATTTCATGACCCATTAATAGGTTGCTACCCACTGTTTGAAAACTCTGAAATAGTGGGCAAGTGACAAGTACAAAGATAGTTCTAGTTCAAGGAAGAATGTGTTATCAACAATAAGTTAAAAAAAACCTACAAATTATCAAACGGGGTAGATACAGTATTTGACTGGGGAATTAGCAGAAGCATGAGAGATCAAGAAAGTCATGATGGGCCTTGAAGGAAAAGGAATTCTTGAAGAAAGAGTCATGTGTTCTATATAGCAGGGTAGGATGGACTTTTGTTTACATAGGGGAAAAGAAAAAGGCAAAAGTGTGGCCAGGTGCAGTGGCTCATGCCTGCAATCCCAGCACTTTGGGATGCTGAGGCAGGCAGAACCTGTGAACTCAGGAGTTCAAGACCAGCCTGGACAACATGGGGAAACCCCACCTCTACTAAAAATACAAAAAATTAGCTGGCCATGGTGGTACACGCCTGTGATCCTGGCTACTTGGGAGGCTGAGGTGGGAGGATTGCTTGAGCCTGGGATGTGGTTGCAGTGAGCCAAGATCATGCCACTGCACTCTAGCCTGGGTGACACAGCAAACAAAGAAAAAAAAACCCCAAAAAAACAAACAAAAAACAAACAAAACAAAACCCCACAACAGGTGAAAGTGTAAAACAGGAATTGAAAGACTATGCTTGGGAGAACAGTGAAAAATGAACTAAAAACTTAGATACTTCAGAACCCAGGATACCTAGGATGGCCAATAAATGTATAAGGCACTCAATTTCATTAGTTATTAAGAAAATGCAAATTAAAGCTATAATGGGATAAAGTTACATGCCAACCAAACTGGCTAAAATGGGATTCAGACATATCCCATTTGTCTGAAAATATCAAAATGTGGTGAAGATATGAAGCAACTAGAGCTCTCATATTGACAGTAATTCGATACAACCACTTTGGAAACAATTTGAGAGTATCTATTAGAGTTGAATATACAAAAGTATACATACTTTATATTTCCATTTACATAAAATACTAAAAACTAATTTATGCAATGATATTGGATTCATAATATTGGTTCCCTTTGGGGAGAGGCGTTAGCGACAGGAGGTGAGCATGACAGAGGCTTTGGGGATGGTAGCCAACTTCTTTTTCTTGATCTGCATTCTGGTTTTATAGGTATATTTAGTTTTAAAAAATTTATTGAGCTACATTTATATGTACTTATGTGCACTTATATGTATATACTTATAGTTAATAAAATAGCTTAAAAAGTGAACATCTAAAATAATTAAGATAGTTTTAAAGAAAAACAAGGTACCCTATCAGACATCAACACTTACAAAGCTGTAGCAAATAAGACAGTGTGGTAGTGATGTGCAGATGGGTAACAGATCAGAATAGAGTCCCCAAACAGACCAATACATATACAGAAATATCACCAGTGATAGAGACACTTACCAAAACATCACAATCAGCAGAAGGAAAAGGGATGGGCTATTTAATAAATGATGTTGGGAGAACTGGTTTTCTATTAGGAAAAAACTTTGTTCCTTGCCTCACATTTATAAATCAATCTCTGATGAGTTTAAAACTAAATAGAAAAAGAAAAACTGTCCAATAGATAGAAGAAAATAGAATATCTTTATGGCTTTGGAAGTTAGGAAAAATTCTTAAGCAAAGTTCTAAAATGCAAACATCAAGGGGGGATATGGTTGAATTATAGCATATTAAAATTAAGATATTCTGTATACTAAAAACAACATGGAAAGAGAAACACAGACTGGGATAAAATACTTGCAAAGGATATAATAGGCAAAAGATCAATGTATAGAATTTTAAAAGTATTCATACAAAGCAACAAGAAAAAACACAAATAAGTGAACAAGATATACACAGAAGAACAAGACCAGATACATAAAGAAACATAGAAGAGATCTTCAACCTGAAGGTATCAGATAAAAACAAATTTAAAGTATAATTTCATACTCTTTAAATTGCTGACATAAAAAGTATGAAAATTCAGACTTTTGGTGAGAATATATAGAAATAAAACTGGCATATGCTCCTGCTGGGTATGGAAACAGGTTTGTCTACCTTGAAGAGCAATTTGGCAACATCTAATAATTTTGAGCAATTTTACTCTAGTTTTCTAGTCTAGCCATGCTTTTCAAAATGTGGTCCATGGACTGGCAGCATCTGCATCACCTGGGAGCTTGTTAGACCAAAAGGGTATCAGGCCTTCATCCCATCCTACTGATTTTATATTTTAACAAGATCCCTAGGTGGGTCACAGGCACATTAAAGGTTGAGAAGCACTGATCTAGAAGATTTTTTATACAAGCATGCAGGGAACATGTATACGATTCTTCACTGAAACATTGGCTGATTTAGAAAAAAAAATGGTTGACAACTTAAGTGTCCATTACCATGTGTATTAGTCAGGGTTTTCCAGAGAGAGAGAACCAATAGGATATAGACACAGGTATATGAGAGGGAATTTATTAGGGGAATTGGCTTACAGGATTATGGAGGCTGAGAAGTCCTATGATAGGCCCAGTGTAAGCAGGAGAACCAGGGAAGCCCACAGCTTGCCCCAGTCCAAGACTGAAGGCCCCAGAACCAGGGAGCTGGTGGTGTAATTCTCAGTTTGAAGCTAATGGCCTGGAAACCCAGTGGGGGGCTGCTGGTGCAAGTACTGGAGTCCAAAAGCCAGGGAACCTGGAGTACTGATGTCCAAGGGCAGGAGAAGAAGGGCATCCCAGCTTCAGAAGAGAGAGAGTGCAAATTCACCTACTTACCCTATCCAGGTCCTCAGCAGATCAGATGGAGCCCACCCTCATTGAGAGAAGATCTGCTTTACTCAGTCCACTAATTGAAATGCCAGCCTCTTCCAAAAACATTCTCACAGATTTACCCATAAATAATGCTTTACTTGCTATCTGCATATCCCTTAACCCACTCAAGTTGACAACTAAAATTAATAATCACATCATGAAAATAGAGAATTAATTGTGCCTTATTTCTTCAATGAAATACTATATAGCAGGGTTTGGTTGCTACACGTCCTGTGGGCCAAATCAGGCCCACCCCAGTTTTTACAAGTTTTACTGGAATACAGCCCCATTCACGCATTTATACGTTACCTGTGGCTGCTGTTCTACACCATAACCAGAGAGTCAAGTAGATGCAATAGAGACCGTGTGGCCTGCAAAGCCTACAGTACTGGTCCTTTACTGTTCAGCCCTCTGCAGAAAAAGTATGCTGACTCCTGCCATACAGAACTAAAGCTATGTCAACCAGGATGAATATATCACCAACATTTGATGTTAAGAAAAAAGATTAATATTTACATTATAATACCTTTTCATATGGAGTAGCAGCAGAAACATACAAATGTAATAACAAAACATCACTATATTGTTTATATAGGCATGTAGTACGTGTACTAAAGGTATAATGCTTCTATATAGTAAAAGGATAAAACATATGCTGGTAGGTTGCACACTAAATTCACCAGAGAAAGGAGAATGAGAATGAGGAGAACTTAAGGGACTTAGGAACTTAAGGAAACCTCCTCAAAATAAAATACCTGGCTGTAATACTGCTAGTGTAAGTATTACTTTCCTACATTTGAAGTATCTTGTATTTAAACATTAAGATAAAAGTTAACTTGGCTTATTCAAACCTGTTTGATTTTCCTACCCTCATTTTCATCATCTGTTTTCTTTTCTTAACCCAGATATTCAGATTTTAATTTCTATTGTAATGCTAGCTTAGTGATATAGATGTAAAATCCAAGCTGGTAATAAATAGCACTTTTACTATGTGCCTGGCAATTTTTGTTTATATACTCATTTAGCCCTCCTACAAGGCTGTGAGTGTCCCCTGTTTTACAAATCAGGAAACTAAGGCTCAGTGATTTACTGAGGCATAGGTAAGCTGGTAACTTGCCGGAGCCCTGTTCCAACTGCTCTACAATTACAGAAACTACATAGGAAAACCAATAGGCTGGTTTAGGGTATTCCAGCAAGTGCAAGCAAAGTTCACTGCATTCAGTGTTCATACTGCCTGGTCTTTATTACTATCACCTTAAAAATAAAAATCAAAGGCAATATATGTTTTCTTCTAAAATCCATGATGATATCATTTGGACTTAAAGTCTAATGCAAGAGCTTAGATTTTGGGCAAAGTCAGCAGACTAGGGACGTAGGTCAGGTTTATGGTTTGTTTTAGCATGAATTCTTGGCAGTGTAGCACTGCTGTTCTCAAAACTGAGAGGGTCCATAGGGTGAAATTTATCTGTTTGACTTAATAAACTAATGTCAGACGTGCCTCCTTCCTGTTTGCCTTCTGCCATGATTGTAAGTTTTCTGAGGCCTCCCAGCCATGCTTCCTGCAGAAACGTGAGCCAATTAAATCTCTTTTCTTTATAAATTGAAAAAGATATTTAGCCAACAAATGTGTGTTGGGAGCTGAGTGAGTGCCATCAGTAACCTGTTCTAGGCTTTGGCGTGTGGTAATGAACAAGGCAGAGATCCCTGTCCACTTGGGGCTGGTATTCTAAATGCACATGGAGAAAGAATACACATGGCAAATTAATACAGATAATGAGCACTATGAAAAAAAAGAATATGAGAAATGGAATCTAGATACTGGATTACGGGAGTAGTTGAGGTATTAAACAGGGGACGGAGGGAGCCCTCACTTCTCAGGTGAGATATGGGCAAAGGCGTAAGGAGGTGAGAAAGTGAGCTAAGGGGACGATGGGAGGAAAGGGCATTTCAGGCAGGGCTGCAAGAGCAAGTGCCCCGAAGCAGAAATGCTTGCCTGTTCCAGGAACTGCTGGGAGGCCCGTGTGGATTCAGCTGAGTGAGTGGGGGGATAGTGGTAGCAGAGCGGATCCCACAGGCCTTGAAGACCACTAGGAAGACTCTGGACACTGCTACAGGGCATATGCAAAACCACTGGAGACTTTTAAGCAGAGGAAGAACATAATCTGAGTCATATTTTAAAAGCTTCATCCTGGCTGCTTTGCTGAGGGTAGACTACAGGGAGTAGAGATAGCACAGGAGGATACTGCAATAATCCAGGCAAGAGAGGAGATGACGGTTGGTTCCATGATAGCAGTAGTGAATGCAGTGAGGGAGTCATCAGATTATGTGTATGTAGGTGGAACCAAAAGGCTTTTCTAGAAAATTGGATGTAGATACGAGAAAATGAGAAGAATCAACCTAAACTGTTGAACTATGGAGGGATAGTGTAACTGGAAAGATGCAGCTGCCATCAACTGAGATGGGTAGTGTGTGCATGGTGTCAATATAGTAAGAATTCAGTTTTAGACATTTTGAAATTGTATCTACTAGACTTCAAAGTGGAGATAATTTTATATATGAATTTGGAGTTCAGTTTAGGCTAGAAGTCTGAGCTAGAAATGCAAATTTGGGACTTACATTTAAATATTTTCTCTCATTCCTCATTGTCATTACTCTCATTGTTATTCTACTTAATAATAGAAGCAGAGAGGAGAGGAGATCTTGTTTTCTTTGACCCTATCTTCCTAAAACTGGCAGCCTGTTTTGAATAGTAGCTATTTTGACAAGATCTGCTTTGCTCTAAGAAAAAAAAAAACAAAACTGTCTGAATATTGGATCATGGAAAGGAAAATTAGAATTATTGGGTGGTCACAGTTTATGTGACAGACGCACTACTGGAAACATCTGATAATTCAAAACTCTTGTCATTCAAGACTCACCCTGGCCAAGAATGACAAGTGTTTTTGTTACTAGCTGAAGTGGTGGCTCCATATAGCAATAGTATAAACACAGTTAACAAACTCACTTTGTCTCCATCCTTTGAAAACTGTGTTTCCTTTTATCTTATATGAAATAATTGGCATTTTTTCAGGTTCACACATTAATTGAAATCTTAATCATTTTTTCCAAGTTAAAATCTGTATCAAATGAACTTATCTCATAAGCATTCATCTGAAGACATTAAGAGATTTGGCCCACCTTGTACTAAAGTAGTAAACAACGCTTGCTGTTCTCTGACATCTATTTTCCTCTTTTCTTTCAAAGTATTAGAAATCCTGATTTTTAGTTGGACATTTGGATGTTCAAAGTAAAGATAATATTTCCCAGATTGCTTTGAAGCTAGGCCAAAGGTTTTGGCCAATAGGATATGAGTGGAAATGATGTGTGCAACTTTCAGATTGGGCTCTTCTTTCTCCCTTCCTCTATCCTATTGCCTGGATTGTAACCCTGACAGTCAACTATTCTGATCTGTTCAGAGAAGAAAACTATCATGGATATGGTGATGCAAGAAAATAGCGGGAGCCCGGGTCCCAAAATGAGCCCTGCAGCAGAGCTGCCACAACAGTCCATCATTGCCTGTCTCCAGTCTTATGTAAAAGAGCAATCGCTTCAATGGTTTTATTTAAACCACTATTGTTTGGAGTCTCTAGAACATGCAACCTACATTCTAATTAATAAAAGTAGGTGAAATATTCACTTCTCCAAAGTGTAAAGAAATGCAAAGGGCATTTTCCTGGGGTGCATGGTTAGCAAAAACAAAAGCATAGACTTTGGTTTGGCATCAGATGACCTGAATTTGAATTCCAGCTTCTCCATCTATCAGCTGTAGGGCCTTTACCAAGTTATTCAAATTCTTTGATACTCAATACTTTTTTTTATTAAACAATATAAAACAAAACAGGTAGAATAGCTAACACATAAACTTCTGTGGAATTAAATGAGGTAATGAATATAAAGTCCCTGCAACCAAGTGTGCACACAATAATTATTGTCTTTCTCCCCAGCTCTTTCTTGATACATTCGACCGTCTACTCTAGCTCTCTACTTAGAGCTTTGGTGGATATTTCAAAATCAACATGTCGAAACTGAGCTTCCCTGTCCCCATGAATTTGCTGCACCCATAATTTTCATCTCGCTTTACAGAAGCTTCATAATCTATTTGCTCAAGTCAAAAATCCTTGAGTCATCTCTTTCTCATGACCTACCTCAATCTGTGAGAAAATCCTGTTGGTTCTATCTTGAAAATGGATCCACACTTTTACCTCCTCAGAACGTCTTTTGCTACCACCCTGGTTTGAGCCAACCAGCTTACTAAGAATTTCACAGATACAGTCCTGGTAGCATGGGCTATGCAGATGTTTACCAATTCAATATTAAGAAATTTATTACATTATAAATGGTTTTAGGTAAACTGTTCTTATTAGAGAGATATATGCGGGCATCTGAGAATTATGCACCATAGTTTTGCCTTATAATTTAATATATAGCACTTTGCAAATGCTCTGTTTTACCGAAATACGGGTGGACACTAAGTGGGATGGATTTTTACTGCACTCTTGACACACCCTGCACACTTTGTAAATTAATTAGTCTGTTTTCAGTTTTGTTTTTAAGAATTAATTGTTTGCAGCTGTCTGCAGCAGCACTTATCTCCCTTCTGGAGGCTTCATTTTGATGCTTTTAAAAATGAAACTGGCTGGGAAGAGGGAAGATTCTATATTCTGCCATTTATCCAACCTAAAGAGATTTCCTAAAGAATCAAAGTGAGGCAATTTTTTGTGATCAGAAATGGAACTTTAGTTATCTCTCTTTCATTAATTTATTTTTTCTCCAGAAAGAAGAGCAATGTTGGGGAGGTCGTGTCACCTCTGGAGCCTCAGCCATTGATCAAGTGAATTTAAACAATTTTTAAATAAATCACCAAGGTTCTGTTTACTTTCTTTGGCAAGAGTCAGATCCTAGTGCATCTCATTAGGAATATTCTACATAATTCATCTAACACATCCAGCAGTTTCAGCCATCGCTTTCAAGTTTTGTTAATTTTTGGCTTTTCCTAGTCATTGATCAGTTGTTTTCTCATTTAATTTCCCACCAGGAAAGAAAAATGTTTTCGTATTATTGATGAAGTTAATTTCTAGGATGGCACTTTCTCAGAACATCAGCACACGTAATTATTCAGAAGAGTGAAAGATGGCAGAAGAGCTGTGTTGAAGTAGGCCCTCAGGTGCCCTCTGCAGGGACAAAAGTTGTGTGGCAAAAAGGATACCAACCATCTCCTGGGAGAGAAGAGTTTTAACTGCCCTTCCCTGAAATTGTTTTGTACACAACTCCAAATAATCCTTGGTTTCCTCTTAGAAATGCCCTTAAAATAAAAGAACAGAATGACTCACAATCTGGCAGTATCAAAAGAGAAGCAGCCCTGGAGTCAAATAGATCTGCGTGCATGTCTAGGTTTTGGGCAAGGTTATTTCATCTCTCTGAGCCTTAATGTTCTAATCTTTAATTTATATCAATGACAAATAATTCAGTGTTACTTTCAGTATTATGTATAGTGATATGTATAAAGTAGCAAAAGTATACTAGGTTTTCAGCAAACATTAATGACCTACTCCATAGATACCAGTATTTTTAGGTAAAAACACTATATTCTAGAAATATTGCAGGAGTGAACCTCCAGAATTGTTTACGTTGGGAGATATATCATACTATAAAAGTATATTAATCATATATGTATAGTTTAAAGAAGAGTGGCAAAATGAATGAATACATCATGTACTGGCTTCTTTCACTCAACATCACATTTTTTGAGATTGATCCATATCGTTTGTATCAGTGGTTCACCAATGGCGTGCTTCTTGACATATTTCAGATGTTTACACTGAACTAGCTTTGTAATTCATGGAGCTTATTAACTGTACTCCTTACTGCCTTATCACATTTGTCTCTGTTACAAAATACTTTTTCTATTTGAAAAGATGAGGGAAGGGTTTAAGGGATGCCCTCATTGCCTGTTCCTTTCTCTACTCCTTCTACACAACGTTTATTCCTTATGGTCAACTGTTCTATGAAGATTTCATAACATTAAATTTTGACAATGTTCTTTTCAGTCTTGATTTTCTCAGACAGAAAGTCTTTGAGACAGAGTCTCCATCTGTTGCCCAGGCTGGAGTGCAGTGGTTCGACCTCAGCTCACTGCAACCTCAGCCTCCTGGGTTCAAGCAATCCTCCCACCTCTGCCTGAGTAGCTGGGACTACAAGCATGCACCACCCACACCTGGCTAATTTTTGTGTTTTTAGTAGAGATGGAGTTTTGCCAAGTTGGCTGGGCTCATCTTGAACACCTGACCTCAGGTAATCTGCCCACCTTAGCCTCCCCAAATGTTGGGATTACAGGTGTGAGCCACCGTGCCTGACCCCAGACAGAAAGTCTTATCTCATAACTAGCTCTGCTTTAGGGTAATGGGAAGAGCAGCTTGTTGGCAAAAGTGGTTCCCTTATCACGCAGCCGTTTCAATCCTGGATTAACATGAACCTCTTCTTGGGTATTTTTCTGCTTCAATAAAGCTTTTCTGAAATGCATGTGGAGTCTGAGTACAAGAATGTAGAGGCTGTATTTAAACAGTAGGTTGACACTTTCTTATTATTTTCCTTCTTTTTTTCTTCCAAATCTTTTTTTTTTTTTTTTTTTTTTTTGAGATGGAGTCTTGCTCTGTCGCCTAGGCTGGAGTGCAGTGGTGCAATCTCGGCTCACTGCAACCTCCACCTCCCGGGTTCAAGCGATTCCCCTGCCTCAGCCTCCCGAGTAGTTGGGATTACAGGCAGGTGCCACTGCGCCTGGCTAATTTTTGTATTTTTAGTAGAGATGAGGTTTCCCCATATTGGTCAGGCTGGTCTCGAACTCCTGACCACATGATCCCCCTACTTCAGCCTCCCAAAGTGTTGAGATTACAGGCATGAGCCACCACGCCTGGCCTTTTCCCCCCAATCTTTTGAAATGCTGGCTAGAAGCTGTCTTCGATAAAGGGGCAAATAAAACTATTTTGTTTTATTTGCTTCTGCATACATGCCTAATTTTTTTCTTTTATCATAATAATAGGTGTCATAGTTCTAAAAGTCAAATGGCACTACTACAATGTTTATCAGGAAAAACACCAATGGGAATGTACAGCACCTATCTCCTTTCAGGAGTCCCACTCCCTAGGGGAAACTGTTCTGAATTTTTGTAGCTCTTTTTCCTCATATTTACCTCCATTTCTAAGCATGCTTATTGTTAAAGTTATTATATATTCCCTAAACTCCCCTCTCCCATCTTCCTAATATGGTTACATCACAATTTCTGGTTAAATTAACCTTTTACATATTGTTATAGCTTTGCAAATGTTGTTCATAGTGTAGCCATGAATTATCCTGCATTATATAGCCTTTCTCATACAAATTTTTAGGTTTTTCATTAAAGAAAATAGCTGCTATAATTTTATTAATTGCAAAGTATTCTATGGATCTAAACTTTCTTTGCTAGAAACTTAAAGGCTCTCTCAGGATAATTTTATTCATCAATTCTAACATCTTGGCTTAATTCCATCTATTCTGGAACACTCTATCCTCCTCTGACAATCTTGACTGGTTGCTCTAGATCTGCTGCACACCTGACATCCAGAGACTTCCCTCTGTCCTTATCCTGAGAATTTTTTACTCTTCCAGTGTTGGATCTTGTGTTTCCCAGCCCTCCCATCTTCTTCTTTCTTGGTTTATTCCATCACTTTAATGGTCAACGTCTTTCAGTAGTTTTCTGGGAAAGAGTGCATGGTAGGTAAATATTTTGGTCACTTTATGTCTGAAAATGATTATTCCATCCTATTCGATTGCTAGTATGGCTGAGTAGGGAATTCTAGGCTGAATATTGTTTTTCTTCACATTTTGTAAGATAATTTTGAATTATATCTTTCAGTATTGCTTTGGGAATACTTCTTTTCATTCTGGAAATTTTATTTTGTCTCTCTGGTGTTCTGATATTTCATGATAATATATCTTGTGTGAATTTTTCTCCCTTATTTTATTGAACATTCAATGTGCACTTTCAAATGGAAACACATATACTTCAGAAAAAGCTTTTAATTATTTCTTTTACTCCTCTAATTTTCCTGACATCTTTTTCTTAAGCACTTATTATTAAAATATTTGGATTTCTGGATTTTCTAGTTTTCTATTCTTTTCTCCTTAATCTTCTTGCTTTCACTTTTCTGTGAGATTTCTTCAACTGTATATTTTAGTCCACAATCCCCCTCTTTTGTGACTACTGTATTTTCTTTTTTATTTCAAGGAGCTCTGTGGTTTTTTATTGTTCTTTTCTTTTAAATAGAAATCTGTTCTTTATTCATGGGTAAATATCTTCTTTCTGAAAATATCATATTTTGGAGTTTTCTGCTTCTAGTACATCAATCTTATTTTTTTCAAGTTACTTTATTCAGCCTGTGTGTGTGTGTGTGTGTGCGCGCGCGTGCGCGTGTGTGTGTGTATGCAGGTTGTTTACCAAAAGTTCATTCTTTCCTTCATCTATAAAACAATATTATTCAGGAGAGATATTTATCCTGTTGAAAGTCTATATTTTCCAACCTCCCTTGTAGCTAGATATATTCATATGAGCATGTTCTGGCCAACGAAGTGTTTTGTAGGGCTTCTGGGGAACCTGCTTAAAGGGAGTTGACACAAATAAAGGCTAGCCCTTTTACCCTTCTGCCCTTTTTCCTTCCTTACTGCTTGGAATTGGACATGGTATCTGGAGCTCTAGTCATTCCTCTTATATTTAAGGCATTGTTATTTCTGGTCAATGATTACATGCAGCCAACCCAGTCTCAGTCTTTGATGTTAAAAACTTTTCACAAACATCAGGTGATCCTTGGAGATGTAATCATATTTTATAAAGTACTAAAAAGCTGATTATAATCTATGCATATATGGGTTGGTCAAACCATTGTGTTTCAATGAAGCTGAATCAGGCATGACATTTGCAATAGGGAAATCTGTGGGTCTTTCTCCAGGGTTAATCTATTTCTACAGGAAATATTTCCAATCACCTGCCTAGTACTTACAGACTTGTAGGCTAGCATGCTGTAAACGGGTAGAGAAGGATGGGGATATGCCTGTTAATTATGTAGCTATTTCCTTAGCTCTCTGTTTTCAATATGGTGCCTCGCCATACAGGAACTGGACCTACCCTCATTGAATTTATTTAGAGAAAAATATTCTGTCTCTGTCTCTGGTAGGAGGAGGCCATTTGGTAGCTGAGGGTTCAGGAGAGAGGATCTCCTGATATAAGCTTTTTACCAGTTCTTCTGCTGTCTGCCCTACCCTTCATCTGGCAGCTCTGCTTTCGGGGGTTTTTGGGCTCCACAATCTGAATATGCTTTCACATTACCGGCACGCTTTATTTTTTTGCCAAGTTACTTAACACTCATTTATCATTTTCCACCTTTCTCTAATATTGTCTTCCCCATTTTTTGTCTTCATGGGCTGACTTTTTAATCATTTATAAATCAACGGGCTATAGAGACACTTTTGAAGTTGTTTCATGTAAAGGATCATTTTCCTGAAACATTTTATCAGACTCTCATCAATATTGAGTATCACCTGCCACTTTTTAGCCCTCGATTTCATGGGATCTTTCTATAGCTTCCTTATACTTGTTATTTATTACTCAGAAAACCTTAGTGTTATCCTCAGATGTGAAAATTTTCCTGTGTTCTGCTTCTTTCTTGGATAATGTCAAATAAGACAGGGACTTGAGAACTTAATGGCTAACACTCTTCAATCCAGAAAAGATCCCATTTTCTCTGCTTAAGACGTATTCCCATTTTTAAGCCCTAGCATCTGTACTGAGATCCTTGTCTCCATGTGCTCCTTTTCCAGTTTTTCTGGTCTCTTCTTCTCTTCTAGCTCATCACCACTTCCTTGTGCTCACGTACAAGGATTCCCCAGGATGAAATGCAAACCCATTGCCTATTTTTACCACCTATCACTGAAGTAGGTAGGTTTTATGAGGCTTCTCTAAGCTTATCTACCTTGATAACTCCCTCAGCCACTGTGAATCTATAGTATATAGTGCCACATTAGATGTTTGAGTTCCAAAAGAAAGTTGTAGTATTGGGCTTAAACAAAGGAAAGAGAAAAAGAACCCACAAATAAATCCTACTTAGGCTTTTTCCTCATCTTTCTTTTGTTAGACTCAGCTAGCCCCTCTTAAGGTCTCTTGTATCTGAATTCTAGCCACCTCCCAACAGATCTTTGCTCCTTCTGTCTGTCATCTTATTTTCTTGTGGTCTATTCTATTTTAGTAGCACTATTCCCTAGCATACGTTTTATAGTATAAAAGCTATGTTCTTAGTCTTCCAGGGTGCTACTTCTTGGAAACCATAAATTCTTTCCTGTCTCAACAAACTTGACTCTTGCAGAGAGAAAGAATGGTTTTGCTACTGTATATATACATATGCATTCAGCACATCAACTGATCTTTTTTCTTGGCTGTGTGTTTTCTCATCTGTAAGGGCAATACATATAGAGAACCATCCTCATGAACAATGGGAGAAGGTAATGCGTAAAGGAAGCTTGAGAGGCTATATCAGTTAACTGTGATACAAATCCCAGCACCATACAGCAATAATCACTTATTTAATTCACAAATATAAGGGCTGGCTGTGAGTCAGCCAATCTAGGTTGTGGTTGGCTGTGAGTGGCTCTGCTCTAGGTGTTTCTGTTTCTTTTCTTGGAATCAGGTGGCTAATACATGTTCTCACAGCTGTGGCAGAAGACTAAGAGAGCAAGCCCAAACATGCAAGCATTTTTCAAGATGTTGCTTACAGCATGTCTGCTAAACTCCCATTGGCCAAAGCATGTCAGATGGCCAAGTGCAGAATCAAAGCACCTGAAGTACAATCTATCTACTGAAAAGATGGAGGAAGAAGTGATTATTTTAAATCTACTTGTGTACAGAAGAACAACTTTCTAAAATCTCAAAATATCCCATTCAGTAACTTGCCTTAGTTGAAACAGAAGGGAAAATACAGAGTTTGAATTTAAGTCTGAATACTTTCAGAACCTGTGCTGCCTCCATCATGCCATTGGATGGCAACTCATTTTCAAATTTTAGAAGCAAAATCATGTTTAAAAAAAAGACAGTTTAATAGACCTCAGAAAAAAACAGTCTTCTCTGAAATCCCTAAACTCATTACTAGTGGCTTAATTGCTAAGAAAATTAAACAGTGACAAGAAGAAAAAAAAAGTTTATCTTCTTCTATCTCTTACCACAATACAAAACAATCAGCAAAGATAACATTTCCTAAATTTTTGTTTAATTATCTAGAAGTTTGATGGGAAAGAATGTTTCATAATTTATAAGCCAATTCTTGTTTAGCCAGATTAGGTCTTTAATTCTTGCATACTATAGCAACTATAAAATACAATTACATGTTACATAGGAAACAAACCTATAAAACAAAACAAACCAATCAATATAGCCCATTCCCCGTAGAATTCTGTTTGGTATTTTAATGAGGCAAACTCCCAAACTAAGAATCAATATCTGTTATGATCCTTTTGAAAGGACTAGTGGTCACATCTTTTTCCACGAGTATCATCAATAGAAATCTTCCTCTGGCCTGTTTCTTTGAGGCCTAGACAGTGGCCCATGGCAATCATGCTAGGATGATCTCATTACAGTGAGACTACAAATAATTTAATAGAAGCACATCTATCTTGTCAAAATCTTATGCTTCGATAGAGAGAAAGGATGAAGTTGGTGGAAAGACACGTTCAGCTTTCTGACAAAATTGAGAACTTTCCAGATGTTGGTGTGAGTAATATGGGCTTTTGGGCTCCAATGTAATAGTTATACTGTAATAGTAAACTTGGAGAGTCAGGGTAGTTTACTAGGAAATCCCAACCAGGAAACTCTCTGGTTTCCTCCACAGAGGTGGAGAGAAAAGGGAAAGAAGAGAAGAAAAGAGAGGGAAAGATGAAAGAACAAAGGAAAAAAGGAAGGAAGGAAGAAAGGAAGGAAAGAAGGAAAGAGGAAGAAAGGAACAAAGGAATAAAGAAAGGAACAAAAGAAAGAAGGAAGGAGGGAAGGGAAGGAGGAAGGAAAGAAGGAAAAAGAAGGGAAAAAGAGAAGACAAGGCAAAGAGTGACTGAAATTTTACAATTTTTATTTGTTTCCTAGAGGGAGATCTGACTGAAGATTAAGAATCTGATGAGGGCAATTGAACTTATTTGGGTCTTGGAGCATAAAAACTAGCTTTTATTTAGAACTTGCTAAGTGCTTAGGCTCTAGAAGCCTCTGTGGCAATGGAAATATCTATATGTGTTTTGTCCAAAATGGATGTCACTAGTCCCACTTGGCTATCAAGCACTTGAAATGTGGCTAGTATAACTAAGGAAGTGAATTTTAATTTAACTACTTTTAGTGGAAACAGCAACATATGGCTAATGACTACACTTTTGTACAACACGGACCTATATTGAGACTTTATGTGTATTAACTTCTTTAATACAACAGCTATTATCATCTACATTTTGCAGATGGAGAGGTGAGGCACAGAGAGGTTAGCAACTTGCCTAAGCTCACACAGCTGGCAAGTATCAGAGTGATATAGTTTGCATGTATATCTTTGTACAAATTATATTGAAATGTAATCCCCAGTGTTGGAGTTGGGGCCTGGCAGGAGGTGATTGAATCATGGGGGCAGATATCTCTTGAATGGTTTACCACCATCTCCTTGGTACTGTCCTCACGATAGTAAGTTTGTGTGAGATATCATTTAAAAGTGTGTAGCACCTCGCCCCTAGCTCTATTGCTTTTGCCCTAGCCATGTGACATGCCTGCTCCCCCTTCACCTTCCATCATGATTGCGAGCTTCCAGGGGCCTTCGCAGAAGCTGAGCTGATGCCAGCATCATGTTTCCTGTACAGCCTGTGGAACTGTGAGCCAATTATACCTCTTTTCTTTGTAAATTACTCAGTCTCAGGTTTTGTTTTGTAGCAATGTGAGATGGACTAATACACAGAGTCAGAAATCCAGCCATAATCACAGCCATTATGCTGTATACTGGTCTTTAGTCCCAAAGGAAGCAGATTCTATAGGGAAAGACAAAATCTTGTTTTATGACGAAACATAAAAAGCCAAGAGATATGAAAAAGATTTTTGCAATTTGAATGAAAAAAAGCCATGGAAGTTGATGTGGTTTTGCTGTGTCCCCACCCAGATCTCATCTTGAATTCCCATGTGTTGTGGGAGGGATGCAGTGGTAGGTGGTTGAATCATGGGGGCAGGTCTATCCCATGCTGTTCACATGATGGTGAATAAGGCTTATGAGATCTGATGCTTTTAAAAAGGGGAGTTTCTCTGCACAGGCTCTCTTTTGGCCTGCTGTCATCCACGTAAGATGTAATTTGTTCCTCCTTGCCTTCTGCCATGATTGTGAGGCTTCCCCAGCCATGTGGAAATGTTAGTCTATTAAACCTCTTTCTTTTGTAAATTGCCCAGTCTCAGGTATGTCTTTATCAGCAGCATGAAAACTGACTAATACTATAAAATTGGTACTAGTACTGGGGCGCTGCTGAAAAGATACCCCAAAAATGTGAAAGTGACTTTGGAACTGGGTAACAGGCAGAGGTTGGAACAGTTTGGAGGGCTCAGAAGAAGACTGGAAAATGTAGGAAAGTTTGGAACTTCCTAGAGACTTGTTGAATGGCTCTGACCAAATTGCTGATAATGATATGGACAATGAAATCCAGGCTGATGTGGTCTCAGATGGAGATGAGGAACTTGTTGGGAATTGGAGCAAAGATGACTCATGCTATGTTTTAGCAAACAGACTGGCAGCATTTTGCCCCTGCCCTAGAGATTTGTGGAACTTTGAACTCAAGGGAGATGATTTAGGGTATCTGGCAGAAGAAATTTCTAAGCAGCAAAGCATTCAAAGTGTGACTTGGGTGCTGTTACAAGCATTCTGTTTGAAAAGGGAAACATAGCATAAAAGTTTGGAAAATTTGCAGCCTGACAATGTGATAGAAAAGAAAATCCCATTTTCAAGCCAGCTGCAGAAATTTGCATAAGTAATGAGGAGCCAAATGTTAATCCCCAAGACAATGGGGAAAATGTCTCCAGGACATTTCAGAGGTCTTCAAGGCAGCCCCTCTCATCACAGGCCCAGAGGCCTAGGAAGGAAAAGTGGTTTTGTGGGCCAGGCCCAGGATCCCCATGCTGTGTGCAGCCTAGGAACATGGTGCCCTGTGTCCCAGCCACTCCAGCTGTGGCTAAAAGGGGCCAACATAGAGCTCGGGCCATGGATTCAGAGGTAACCAGCCCCAAGCCTTGGCAGCTTCCACGTGGTATTGAGCCTGCAAATGCACAGAAGTCAATAATTGGGATTTTGGAACCTCTGCCTAGATTTCAGAGGATGTATAGAAACACCTGGATGTCCAGCCAGAAGTTTGGTGCAGGGGTAGGGCCCTCATGAAGAGCCTCGGTTAGGACAGTGTGGAAGAGAAATGTATTGTTGGAGCCCCCACACAGAGTCCCACTGGGGCACTGCCTAGTGGAGCTGTGAGAACAGGGCCATTATCCTCCAGACCCCAGAATGGTAGATCCACTGACGGCTTACACCATGCACCTGGAAAAGCCACAATCAATGCCAGCCTGTGAAAGCAGCCAGGAAAGAGGCTGTATCCTGCAAAGTCACAGGGGTGGAGCTTCCCAAGACCACGGGAACCCACCTCTTGCATCCAGTGTGACCTGGATGTGAGACATGCAGTCAAAGGAGATCTATTTGGAGCTCTAAAGATTTGACTGCCCCACTGGATTTTGGACTTGCATGGGGCCTGTCTGTACCTCCATTGTATCTAGGAACTAACTCACTTTTAATTTTATAGGCTCATAGGCAGAAGGGACTTGGTTTGTCTCAGATGAGACTATGGACTTTTGAGTTAATGCTGAAATGAGTTAAGACTTTTGGGGGACTGTTGGGAACATGATTGGTTTTGAAATGTGAGGACATAAGATTTGGGAGAGGCCAGGGAGATGTGGTTTCACTGTGTCTCCATCTAAATCTCATCTTGAATTCCCACATGATGTGGGAGGGACCCAGTGAGAGGTAATTGAATCATGGGGGCAGGTCTTTCTTGTGCTGTTCTCATCATGGTTAATAAGTCTCATGATATCTGATAGTTTTAAAAAGGAGAGTTTCTCTGCACAGTCTCTCTTTTTGCCTGCTGCCATCCATTTAAGATGCGACTTGCTCCTCCTTGCCTTCTACCATGATTGTGAGGGTTCCCCAGCCACATGGAACTGTAATTCCATTAAACTTCTTCTTTTTTTTTTTTTTTTAATAAATCACGCAGTCTCAGGTATGTCTTTACCAGCAGCATGAAAACAGACTAATGCAGAGGTCCAATGGTAGCATCTGTAGAAAGCAGCTCAAAAACCTCACTTGCCAATGGCTTCTCTACAGTCAGAACTGGCCACTTTGAATGGATTGAGCAAGCTTTTCCCCAGTATATTTCTTGGAATATCAGTCTTACAAAAATGAAAGGGAATGGTAGCAGAATGGGGAATTAGAGGTTGAAAATACTAAACAAAAACTGCATATGTTACACTTATCTCTTTGAAGCACATTTTAAGACTTTTAAGGCATGAAATCACCTTAAAGGTTCTGATTCAAAACATTTTTGCCTTCAATTCTCTCTTATTCATTTGACCAATAAAACATTTTGGAGGTAGGTAGGTGATATGGTTTGGCTATGTCTCCACCTAAATCTCATCTTGAATTGTAGTTCCCATAATCCCACGTGTGATGGGAGGGACCAGGTGGAGATAATTGAATCATGGAGGTGGTTTCTCCTATCCTGTTTTCATGATAGTGAACTAGTTCTCACAAGATCTGATGGTTTTATAAGGGGCTTCCCCTTTGCTGGTCACTCATTCTTCTACTTGATGCTGCCATGTGAAGGAGGACATATTTGCTTCCCCTTCTGCCATGATTGTAAGTTTCATGAGGCCTCCCCAGGCCTGTAGAAATGTGAGTCAATTAAACATCTTCTCTTTATAAATTACTCAGTCTCAGATATGTCTTTATTAGCAGCATGAGAACAGACTAATACAGTAGGTAATATATTGATTGGATGAACATACATTGGGAAAAGCTGAATTGCAGTAACTCTAAACTGAGAGTATGCAGATATGCAGGAGTGTGCCTCTAATCAAAGCATTGTGACCAACCAATGTGCCAAGAATCAGACTCCTGGTCCATTGGACTTTGCTTTAAGACATCTTTCCTCAGGCTGCTGAATTGGTCAGAGTTCAGTTGCAAGAAACAGAATCTTACTCTAGTTAGATTAAATAGAAAGACTTTATGGTCTGGAGATGCAAATGTAGGTTGAGCTACTCCCAGAGGCACACTACAAAACTGGCTTACATGGGAGCTGATGCCACCACTGCTGACTCAAGAGCCATTCTGCCTCTGCTACACACAGAAAGGCTGCTATTCAGAAATCATTCACCTTGGCTGCTATCAATACTGAAGCTTAGGACTGCTCAGGCACCAGAAGCTTCACCACCACTGCCATGAAAAAACCCAAGCATTTCTGCACCACATTTCCAGACAGCCATCAAGCTACCACGTTCACTTTTTCTCACTCAGCTTGGAGCTGATGCACCTGCTTGGCAAAAGCTAGATCACAACAACAGGATACTCTAGCTGCAAGGGAGTCTAGGAAATGTAGATTTTTAGCTTTCCAGCCTCTATAAATAATGAAAAACAAGAAACAAATTACAGTAGCATTGGATGATTCAATCTACAACATTTGAGGCAGGAACATATTCAAAGAAAAAATAGTGTTATTTAATAGAACGTTCTTTCTTAACACCTTTTTTTTTTTCTTAACTAAGTTTTCAAGTACAGGATACATGAAAGTATGAAAGATAGAAAACAAAGCAATAGGCAGGGTTCCCAGAGAAGTAGAAACAATAGGATATGTGTGTGTGTGTGTGTGTGTTTCTGTGTGTGGAGATGAAGGGAGGGAGGGAGAGAGAAAGATTATAAGAAATTGGCTCTTGTGATTACAGAGACTGAGAAGTCTGAAAATCTGCAGTCAGCAAGCTGAAAATGTAGGAGACATGGTGATATAAATTCCAGCCTGAGTAAAAAAGCGTGAGTACAGAAAAGCCAATGGTGTTAAGTTCCAGTGCCACAGCAGGAGAAGACCAATGTCCCAGATCAGTCAGTCAGGCAGGTGAAGTTTCTTCTTATTCAACTCTTCAGTTGATTGGAGACCTATCTACATTAAGGAGGGCAGTCTGCTTTCCTCAGTCTGCCCACCCAAATGCTAATCTCATCCAAAGAAACCCTCACAGAATAATATTTCCCCAAATATCTCCATGACCCAATTGAGTTGACATATAAAATTAATCATCATACATAGAATAAATTTATTTTTAATAAATATTTTCAAACAAAATACTTGCATATGTTTTCAGATAAAAATGCTTGTAAATTGGCAGAGGGTCAAAATGTTAATCTGAAGGAAGTATGAAGAATGCAGCCTTTTCTTGTTTCCGGATTTTTGGGATGCTGTACAGTATATTCAAAATTAGATCCATTGTTTTAAATTTAGGGGCACTTTACCTGAAAAGGTGCCTAGAGGCTAAAGGAAAATATATTGAGCATATAATTTGGAGATGTGGCTAATGTGTTCTTTAAAGATAAGTTTAAATTTTGTTTCCTAATGTTGTAGCACTATATAGACTTTTTTCTTTTCTGAGCTCTCTCAAGGCCTGGATATATCTTCATTCTCTGCCCACCAATTTTCTTGTTTTTCTTTTTTCCCTGATTTGTCAAAACCTGCTCCTGGTACGATAATCGGATAACTGCATTAATTTCCTTATTTAGGCCAACTACAAGCATATATTGGCATTTCACTCAGTGCCTGGTCTCGTATCACATACTAGGGTCCAGAGAGGAGTCAGACCTTACCAGCCCTGGAAGCCTCTGCCCGAGAGGGACACAAACACTGCAGGAATGGAGAGGGGGTCTCAGGCAAAGCTCCATCAAAGGCATGGAGAATGAGAAATGGGAAACAGTTGGTGCTCTGAGTAGAGTTCAAACAAACTAAAAGGTCTAACTAGAATTTCTAGGGAATGCCAGCATAGGCAGCCTTGGGGGAATGCCTCGAGTATACTGGAATCCTGGCTGCCACTGCCTGGAGCTGCATGTCCAGGGAGGTCAGGGTGGGAGGAGGAAGATAGTGAGGTTCAGGGCACTGGACATTTCCAGAGATAGACTCAGACTTCCTCAGCTCACTGAGAACTTCAAGATAGCTCTCCTATGGGAGATAGAGCTTCTGCTGCTCTCCTGGGAGAAACCCAGTTCAGTTTCCTCCCTAACACAGATCACTCATGCAATTTATCAACCAAACCAGAATACTTTTGAGAATCCAAAGAGGAGCTCTTAGAAATTGTACCGGCACAATGTTCATAAACCAGATCTGCCCTGGGAAAATAGGACATATGGTCACTCTACCCTTGGGTAAGTCAATTTTTACATCAGTGATTTCCCATCACCTACTTGGAAAAGAGTCAGTGCATGAAAATAGTGGATTCATTTTTTTCTCAAAGAAAGCATGCCCAATTCACAGAGGGGCTACTAAAATGTAAATTCCAAGGACCATGTACCAGAGATGCAGATTCAACTATCTGGGATGGCACCTAGAAATGTGCATTTTAACACACTTCCCATGTGGATCTAATGTGATGGTCTGAAGTCCACATTTCGAGAAATGGTGGGCCTTGGGTTTAGGGCTCGATGTGTTTCCCAGCCTTTTCATAACTGGCTGGGTAACCTTGGGAACTTAACCTTCTTCATTCCTAACTTTCTCAACTATAAAATTACTTAATATCCACTTCATAGAGTATTTTGGGGATTAGAATAAACATTCGCAAAGTACGTAACACTAAGCCTGTTGCATTATAAGCACTCTCTAAATGGTGGATATTATATTATGTTGAAATATACAAAAATTTGCCATTGAAAACATTGAGTTGCAGTGATTTCATATGGTTCAAGATTTCATATAGTTCCTTAATAATTAAGGAAATATTCAGAAGGCTTCGTGAAGTTTGTTTCGTGGGGTGTTTATCTTTGAGTATTCAAATAGATTATGTGCATGACAGATTCTTTGGTAGAAGTGAAGGAAGCCATAAACTGTAAAGAAGCATGATGCTTCTTGCTAAAGATTTCAGGCTGCTGGACTGATCTATGGCAGCATTTTGCAGACTTTAGAGTGCACACAAATTACCTAATGTCTTTGTTAAAATGTAGATTCAAACTCAGTGGATCTGGGTGGGGACTGAACCTTTGCAATTCTATCAAGTTCCCAGATGATGCTGAGGCTGATGTTGCTGGTCCATGGACCCCCATTTTGAGAGGTAAGGATCTAGGAAGATTAAAGGGAGATCAATTTATAAAGCTTTTCCCAAGGGTCTTGACCCTCCAGTGAATAAAAATGAAGTGCTCATCTTCCTAAAATTAATGACATAAATGAACATCTCTGGGGCATCATGATGCCAAGTTAATTACTCTTTTGAAAGTATTTTTAGCAAAAAAACTGTTCATTTATCTTAACACAAATCCAGGAGTTTGGATATTTTCATATTCTGATAGATGAAGAAACTTCCTATTGAAAAGGGTTTTCTATTTCTCTTATTACTATGCTGAGAAGCATAATATTTTAGAGCTTAAGTGCATTTATTCATTCATCAAACATTTATTTTATTTTTTGATGGAGTCTTTCTTCTTCACCCAGGCTGGAGTGCAGTGGTGCGATCTCGGCTCACTGAAACCTCTGCCTCCCAGGTTCAAGCAATTCTCTGGCCTCAGCCTCCCAAATAGCTGGAATTACAGACACGTGCCGCTATGCCAGGCTAATTTTTGTATTTTTAGTAGAGACAGGGTTTCACCATGTTGGTTAGGCTGGTCTTGAACTCCTGACCTCAAGTGATGCACCCATCTTGGCCTCCCAAAGTGCTGGGGTTACAGGTGTGAGCCACTGTGCCTGGACATCAAATATTTATTATCAACCACGTGCTCTGCACTCTGCTAGGTTGTGTGATGAAAAAAGAGGCAGAAAGGGACCGGAGAGAAGGTCCCAGAGCTAGTTAGGATGGAGTGGATACCAGGTCACAGAATTCCCAAACCACAGAGTTTCTTTCCTTCCCCCAGGTCATGCTGCAAAGGTGGCAAAGTGATATAACAATCACTCTAAATGGCATGGTTTGGAAATTAAAATTCTGCAAGCCAAATTCTATTCTTTCCATTCTTTTTCAATATGTATATCAGAGAAATACTCTACGATAAAAAGAAATAGAAGGTATATAATTTTCTTCTACAGCATCAGTTTTCTCATGTGTAAGATTAAGGATTGGGTGAGGTAATTTCTAAGGCTACTTCCAACTTACAAAATTCTACAATTTGAAATAGAGGTGGGCATTTTGGTCTCAGTCTGCATTTTGTTCTCAATCTACATTTTCTCTGTGAACCTTTGGTACACTGTTTCAAGCTGGGACTTAATTCAGCTTTCTTCTTACTTCAGCTTTCTCCAGCATAACACCGTACTCTCTCCAGTAAAGTAAACAAAGGTGTAAAGAATAATACATTCCAGTCTAGTTGCTCTGTTGCTCCCAAGAGGTTTTTAAGCTGAAGCCAGGAATCATGCTCCATATCTACTGAACTGCACCTATAGATTTAAATTAATATATGTGCTCCTGGATTGATGTATTCTACAAATGAGAAGTCTGGTTTAATGGCCACTCCATATAGTATAGGAAGGGACCAGAGTATAGCTGCTGATGGTGGATGCCCCAGGCCTGAGGATTTAGCATGGCATGTCTCTTTGAGTACAATATGGGGCTGCTGGCTTATTAGCTAAAGTGTGTCAGTCTGGGTTGCTGGAAGATCACTATAGTGCCATCTGTTCCACCCATTCATTCACTCCCATTTGAGGCCAATTGCTCATTTGGCTCATTGTCCTGCCACTAAAGCCAGCTAGTGTTCTTTGTCCTTTTCGTGGCCCAGGATAAGTTTTTCTTTATTGATACAGATCTGTGTTTTCTCACCACCATTTTTATCTTCTTGAACCTGTGTTTCCTTGTCAAAATGTATGCAACTTTCCCTGAAACCTACATAGGCACATGAATGAATATAATACAATTGTGATTTCTCAACTATGTAGCAATCCTAATGGGAATAATGGCCTTTACCAGGGCAGAAGACACAATCTGGCTTCGTGGTGCTGGGTTGTTCATCAGACCTGGATTTTAACTATGAAATAAGCCTTCTCAAAATCATGCAATAGCTGATGTGTAAGGCCATGGAACTGTGATTCCCTGTAAGGGCTTCATTTACACCTGAGGGTGGCATGCCAAGGCTGTTACTGATTAGTTATCAAAGGGTAGAAAACGTCTACTGTCAAGACTAATATAACACCCAGAGAATGCCTAGAGATTGACAATCATTTACTACATGTCCCCTAGTCCTATGAGAATCTAATATTCCTAGCTTCAGAAGGCGCCTCACTGTCCATCCTAATCCAAGTCCTCCATGTGGAGCTTGTCTTCCTGTGTCTGTCCTGCACTAGGCCAAGCTAACCTTCGGGCAGTGCCCCCTTCTCTCTCCAACACGTCCAGTGCCCCAGCAGTCCCAGGGAGTGTGCTCTAGCAACCAGAGGCTGTGCTTTGACTGCTCAGGTCCCCTGTGCCATCCTTCCCTGCTCTGCTCCTCCAAAGCTTTAGTTCTAGATCTACTTTAATTCTATTTATTTGATCCTCTCTGGTTTCAAACTCTTGTTCACATCCCCAACTTAAAAGTTCACTTCCAGCTCCTGCCACATTCAGTAAACCTTCTAACCCCACTCCTGCAGCCTGGGCTTCACCATTTTTAAAAAGTTTTAAAAATTAAAAACATTTTAACTTTCAGCTTTGCTCGGTCCTCTAGCCTTTCTGGTTCTCATGAAGACTTCCTGCTCCAGCCACTGACCCCTAACAGATTAGTCCTGGACACACTGAGCTGGAGGGATCAGATACCTCACTGTATCAGACCCTAGAAACGTGTTGACAGCCCATGTTTCAATGGCAGAAAATTCATTCCCCCTTAAAAATAATCCAGCGTCTTGAAAACATCTTCCTTTCTTGAATCCAAATTTGTCTCTATTTTACTTCTTTTCATGACCTGGCTTAGTTCTACCTTCTCTGTCCACATACAACACTTCTAGTCCCCCACCTCTGCCCCAAATATTCCTAGGCAGATGTGGCAAATTGTATTTTCCAGAAATGGCTTCAATCACATTTCTGGTTCCATAAACTTTCTCAAAAACCTTTTCTCCAAACCTTTTCCCTCCCCTGTCAAGAGGTGGAGTCTACATCCCCCTCACCACCCCCTTGAAACTGGGCAGGCTTTGGTGACTGACTTGACAAACAGAATACAGAAGGCACACTGTGTGGTTTGCTAGGACAGATTGGAGAAGACAATACAGCTACTGCTGGACTCGATCGCTTGTGACACATACTTTCAAACCCTGAGTGATTATGTAACTTCCAAGTAGTTGAGTTCAACAGCTTTTGAGATTATTCCAGTGATGTGGTTTTGGACATGCTATTCCCCAAATATGGCATTTTGGCATTTAAGAAAATAGCAGAAGCAGGAAGGTCATTCCCACTTTCTCCTTGTCCTTCTTCCCTGAAGCAAGTCATAAGACACTTATTCCCGATGTGCCATCCTATTACATGAAGGAAAGAAACACCCTTATCGCTGAAGACACAGGGACACAGAGAAGAATCTGAACAAACAGGCCTTGCTAAATTCCCCCCAGTTTATTACCACTAGATGATCTACCCTTTGTCCAACCATACTTCTCCACAACTATTTACTTCTTTATCAAATGTAGCATAAAAAGATACAAGTTTATCTGTTTATTTGGGTCTTCATTTCTTCATGAAGGCTCCCATGTCATGTTAGACTTACTGTACTCTTTTCTCTTGTTAATATGTCTTTTGTTACAGAGGTCTCACCATGAACCTGGCGATGGATGAGAAGATATTTCTTTCCCCCCATACCAGCCCTCACCACCAACTGACTGCAAAAACTTGAGAGACCGAGTGAGAATTGCCCAGCTCAGCCCAGTTAGCTCCTAGAACCATGAGAGATAAAAATAAATGATGGTTACTGTTTTAAGCCATGTTTTTCGAACAGTTTTTTATGTAATGATAGATAACCAAAACAGCAGACTCCGTAAAATTCCTTTTTCAAGCTAAAGTTAGTCTTTTAGCAAACATTTACTAAGCACCTACCGTGACATTCTAAGTTGACTCTTCTATCTTTCTTCTAATTGGACCACATATGATGTGCTTGTTCTCTCACTGCCTTGATCAGTGAGACAGTCTTCTGGACACAGGCTAAGATTTTCTGATGCTCTCTTAAAGCACAGTAACCAGAGCTCAACCCTGTGCTTGGAATTTTTGGGGGGCCAGCCCAGACAATGTGAGAGCAAGCATTGCATTCCTAAGCTGCTGCTGTACCACAGAAGCTCCACTCGCATCTCCATTTTGATGCTCAGCAGCTGTGTGGCTTCAGCCGTCATTGAACCACTCTGAACTCAAGTTTCCCCATGTAGGAAATGAAGTTTTTAACACCCACATGGAAAGAATTATGTGGCTATTAAATGAGATAATGTATGCAAAATACTTGGTGCAATGCCTCACCATAGTAAATGCTTACTAAACTGTAGATGCAATTATTGCTTTTATTCCCTCTTCTCTTCTGGAGAAGTAATTGTTTTAACGTACCCTACAATAAAATTAGCAGATCAAATTGGCTTTAGCAGCCGCTTACATTCCTGATTCTTATGTAATTTACAATGAGAGATCTTGAAGTCAGTGCTTCCCAAACCAGTACAGGATGATGGCAAAATTCAGGGGGAGGAGTCCTGGCCGTCTGTAGCTAATAAGTACCCCTAGGTGCACGTGGTCCACTGAGAAGTCTTTTTCTCATTTTGAATTTTCCTGGCTGACTGATCAAAAATGCTATTAATTTCAGCCTGCTAACACTGGTTCTTAGCTGTAGCATGTTGATATGTCTTTAGATTATAATTCCGTTGTCAAATATATTATAAGGTAGTCCTTTAGACCTTATGCCCCCCTGTCAATTTGGCCAAAACATCTTGTTTATCTTCACCTGTCATTGATTTAAAAAACTACAACATGTTGAACAGGACTCCTTCAGTGTTCCACTAAAGAGCTGCCTCCAGCCTCATGCTGGCTCCTAATCTATTCCTCCTGGGGGTGGACATTCAACTGGTCATGAATCCACCTTGCCATGCTATCATCTGAGCCACAATTTTTGCCTTCTTTATAAAGATCACAGAAGACTTTGACAAATGCTCTGAATTCAGAGGCCTTAAATCTACAGGATCTAACATGCCTGTCAAAAAGCCATAATAAAAAAGCCAGAGTCCTTAGCAATCTGTCCTGAGAAGGACCCAGTGATCTCATCTTTTTCTGTTTTTAAAACTTAACTTCCACTATCTCAATAATATGTCTTAGAATATTACCTAGCATTGAGGTTGGAATCAGTTATTTTGCTGAACCTATTTATTTTTTTTTTGCAGGGAACTTGGATGAGACTATTCTCTCTGAATATTTCTCTTTCTCTTATTCTCCCTCTCTTCCTCTCTCTCCACCTCTCTCCTTTCCTCCATCCTTCTTTCCCTTTTTTGCATAACTATTTATTTACAACTTTAAATTTGGAAAATTTCAAATACATAGAAAAGCAGAAAAACTAGCAAAATAACCCCCCACTCCCAGCTCCCAGCTTCAGAACTTATCTCTCTGGCTACCCTGTTTTATCACCCACTTCTTCCCAACCACCACTGGATTGTTTTGAATAGTATTAGAATATTTAATTGTGTAGAGTTCAGTAGGTATTCCTCAAAACAGAGTTGTTTTTAGAAACATAATCACAATGACATTTTACAATTAAAACATGATCTTTTTAAATATCATCAAATATCCAGCTAGCAGTCAAAATTTTCTGGATTATCTCAAAAAAAGTTTTTTTTTTTTTTTTTTTTTTTTTTTTTACAATTTGTTCTGATCTTTGGGAGTATTTTGTCCTCTTTGAAACAGAAACTATATTATGTATATATATTTATTTTCCATGTATATTTATATATCTCATGCACCTATGTTTCTAAATGACTTCTGATCATACTTTAGGGCTTTACTTTCAGGTTTTCTCAGGTCCTTGAGTGGAATTTGTATCAGGACTTTAGATCTTATTTGAAGAATCCAGCTAGTACTCTAGATCCTTGCTACTCAAAATGTGTCTAGGGACCAGCAGCATTAGCATCTCTTGGAAGTTTGATAGAACTGCAGAATCTACAGCCTCTTGCAGAATTTCTTAATCAGAATCTGCCTTGTAGTAAGATCCTTACATAATTAATAGACACACTAATGTTTGAGAAGCTCTGTATTAAAATACTAGGCCCCTCCCTACACATGCTAAACAAGAAACTTGAGTTTTGAGGCATCAAAAATTTCTAATAGATGTTTATTAGTGAGTGAGACCCATGTTCTGTTGCAGCATAACTTGGTCATCTATGGACTGGAAAGTCTAACACTTGTCTTTTAATTTTCTCTTCCCCTCCCTACCACTCTTCCTATTTAGTTTATACTATACCACTCCTTCTTGGGTTTGAAATTCAGAGTCCATATATATATATATATGTGTGTGTGTGTGTGTGTGTGTATATATATCTATATGTATACATATGTGTATATATCTATATGTATACATATGTGTATATATATACATATATATATGGCAAAAGCAGGGACAAAGGAAATGAATGGAAGGGTGCATGTCTTCTTGTGACCCATGCTCAGAACCAGCATAGTGTCAATTCCACCACATTCTATTGGTTGAAGCAAGACCTAAGATTCAAAGGCAGATGAAAAACTTTGTCTCTTGATGGGAGAAGCTGCAAGCCACAGTACAAAGAGTACACATATAGGGAAGGATAAAGGATTGTGGTCATTTTTGCAAACAATGTACCATAAATACTTCATGTGTAGTAGTCTTATCTGAGGACAGGGAGTTGGAAGTAGATGCTTTTTATGGTGTCCTACTGCCTTCTACTTACATCTAAATAAATGACCTGTCAGCCAACAAGTGACCATCACTGAGAATAAATAATTTGAGAGTAGAACATTCTGAAATTTAATATGTGCAGAACCAAGGTGAAGAGTTTCCCAAGCTGAGGACTCAAAGCTGCAAATTCTCTCCAAGAGATTCCAGACAAGATTTAGGGGAGAGAGGCAAGACACGTTTCTTTGCATTGATCTTTGAATAATCTTAAGCAAGTCACAAAGACTCCCATATGATTGGTCCCCAGGCAGCCCACATCCCTTTGTGTGTTATTTCCTTCTAACGTAACATGCTTGTCAAAGCAGTGAGGTATTACAGAGAAATGGGCTGTGGAAATGCATGTAAAATAATATTTTATGTTTTGATGCACTGGAAGTCAAAGTGATCATCATACAAACCATTTAATTTTGAAACCAACTCTTGTGAAGCTTGTTTCATTGCTGTTCAAAATTCAATTGCCCTCTCTTTGAAAGTGCTTCTCCACCTAATGCTTTCTCCCTCACTTAGCATATGAGGGCCTTGTTTTGTGGAGGACATGCATTTGTGACCTAAGACAAAACCTCTCCCGGTTGTTGGGGAATTGATTCTGCCTGAGAGCCTCACTATTATAATATTTACCTTACAATAATCTATTTGATGCCTCCCAATTGAGTGCAATAACCATTTTATTATTTGTTGTTTCAATTTAGTGGGAAATTGTGCAAACTACTCCATCAGCTGCTTCTGCTTTTCTTGCTCACCACTTTTCCACCTCCCCCCACCAACTCAAATAAGCAGTCAGATTTCATTATGAGAGTGACTTTCATTTTGCTTCTATAAGGAAATGTCATCACATGTTAATGCATTTGGGTTTTGAGGGTTTTTAAACATCTTTTTATTTGTATAAATTTAAGGGTATAAGTGCAGTTTTGTTGCCTGGGTATATTGCAAAGTGGTGAAGTCTAGGCTTTTCAGTGTAACCATCACTCATATAATTTACATTATACCTATTAAGTAATTTCTCAGCCCTCACCCCACTTCCACCTCTCCCACCCTTCTGAGTCTCCAGTGTCTATTATTCCACACTCCACGTCCATGTGTGATTATTTAGCTTCTACTTATTAGTGAGGATATGTGGTATTTGGCTGAGTTGTTTCACTTAAGATAATGCCCTCCAGCTACATCCACATTGCTGCAAAAGATGTGATTTCATTTTTTATGGCCGAATAGTATTCCATTGTACATTTACACATTTTCTTTATCCATCCAACCATTGATGATCACTTAGTTTTATTTCAAATCTTTGCTGTTGTGGATAGTGCTGCAATAAACCTACAATTACAAGTCTCTTTTTAATATAATTATTTATTTTGGGAAAATACCATTATGGGATTGCTGGATTGAATGGAAGCTCTATATTTAGTTCAATTGTAGAAATCTCCACACTCTTTTCCAGAGGGGTTGTACTAATTTATATTCCCACCAACAGTGTATAAGCATTCACTTGTCTCCACATCCTTGCCAACATCTGTTATTTTTTGACTTTTTAATAATAGCCATTCTGACTGGTGTAAGATGATGTCTCACTGTAGTTTTAATTTGCATTAAATGCCTTTTATTGACCAAAGCTTTAGGTGTCTCTTTAGGATCCACTCTGCTATCTTGTGGGCCTTTCTGGGCATGAAAACATACATCACTTCCTTAGAGAAGCACCATAGTGTAATGGTTATAAGTTTGGCTTTGGTGGGTAACAGCCTGATTTAATACCCTAATATTGCTATTGACAAGCAGTGTGACCTTGGCAAGTTTCTTCATATCTCTATGCTAGTTTCTTTATCTGAAAAGAGGAACAGTATCCACTCATTGGGCGATTGTGGTGATTAATGAGATAATGCATAGAAGATGCTTAGTATGGGGTCTGGTACCTAACAGGGGCTCACTAAGTGTTCATTGTTGTTTGATGTTATTTCTACTGTGGTGGTAGTTATTCCTTCTGTCTCTGAGTGAAGTCACTGGCTAGAACAGAGTCTCAGCCAAAAGCCACCTAAAACCGTGTTCTTGGAGATATCCTAAATGTCAGATGATAAATTTAATTTACTTCAGCTGGTAAAATGTTATAAAATGCCGAAAGAGAGAAAGAATACATTGCCTCCCTTTCACTAATTATTTCTTCTTTCTGCCTTCTTTCCTCTTTCTCCCTCCCATTTTCTCTCCCCAAATCTTTATTAAGGGACTTCCATGCCACACAATGCTAAGCTTTGCTGTATACAGACTAACACAACACAGTCCATGTACTCCAGATGCTCCCAATTCCTAAGATACAAAGAATCAGCCAATACAGTTCAGCACTGCAGCAAGGGCTCAGTGGAGGTCCATCTCCTTAAGTTAATGTTACAGTTGAACATGAAAGATGAATAGAATTTGGACAGATAGCTGGGGTGAAGGATAGGCCTTATGAGGAAGAGAAGACATGGGCAAGGGAGAAGAGAAGAGTATTCTGGGAAGACATAACATCATGGCTTGCTGGAGGCAAAAGCAGGAGGCCAGAAGAGCTTCTTCCATAAAGATACTGTCTTGCTTACACCTCAATGTAGATCAGAGCTGCCCCCAAATCTGTGTCTTGGGGAAACAGACATTCCCCACTTAGAAAAAGCTCCTGCCCATTCCCACACCCCTGTGTGGCTAGGGAGGCAGTCTTAACAGTGGTGGTGATGGGTCATGAAACATGGAACACCAGAAGCAGATCTAGAGAACGGTTGAAGAAACTAAGATGGTGAAGGGGAAGAGCTAAAGGTCAGAAGAGGAACAAGCAGCCCCCAAATGGAGCAGCATCCAAGGGGACAGGCCAAGACTGAGTCCCAAGGCACGGAGACCTAAAGGGGGACAGAAAAACTGGGCAAATCAATACAAAATGCTGCAAAGCATGCAAGCAGGAAGTGGCCCATAGCAACTTTGGGGAAAAATGTCACTTTCTGCACAGGCTTGCTTGGGAATTTAAAGCCTTTAACAAGGGGCAAAGTGCAATGCATGGTCAAGGGCAAGTAGTTAAGAAAAAAGTGCTTTTAACATGAAAACCCCTTGAGGCTTTTTTAACCTATCATGAAACATAGGAAGTATCCAATTAATATTGGGGAATAAAGGAAGGAACTGATTAATCAAATTACTAAAGATCTGAAAGATTTCATTTTGTGTCTACATGAGATACAATGAAAGACAGTGAAGAGACTTTTTTGATCTACCTGCCAGCACATAACAGTAATGTAATATCAGGCAAATCATTTCATATCTTTGAGCCTCAGTTTCCTTACCTCTACAACAGGGATGATGGTGTGGGCCTTGCAGAGCTTTCTGGGAATTAAATGTGTTGTTTGTAAAGTGCCAAGCACTAGGCAGTTACTCCAAAAGTGACAGCTCTGGTTTTTTCATATTAACCATACAAAAAGTCAGAGCTGTCACTCTTAGAGTTGGCAACTGTTTTGTCTCAAATTGAAAGCCATTTAAAGAGTGGAAGAACAACTTTAAAAAAAAAAAAAAGACTTAAAAGGCATGGCCTAAATATCTTTCTTTTAAAAAAAAAACTTTCTTTAAAGAACTCACACATTGAGAGGACTAGCAATTTTTTAAGATTTCATCATTCTGCATTGCTTAGTCATTATATTAGTTAGAGCCCCCATCAGGAGACAGAACAAGGAAAGACCAGTATAAAAAATTATTAACACAGGAATGGAGTAACAGGGAATTGTCTAAGAGGAGGGAAAAAAGAACTCATAAAGACACCCTAGGGCTGAGAATGGGTACCCAGGGAAGAAACAAACTTGAGGGGGGGATGTTCTTTCCACAACTGGATGCCAGGGTGTGGTTTAAGTCCACTCAATGGTAGAGAATGCACTGTGTTGTCGCTGTCCAAACACAGTGGGATGAGGCTGAGGCTGGTAGGCAGAGAACCATCTGCTAGGATGCCAAAGACATTCACCAGGAAGCTGCTGAGGAGGGCAAAATGTGGAAGTCATTAACTTCCTGGAAAGCCAACAGGTAGATTTTCTAGAAAATTTCCTGGAAGCTGCCTGTGTGTGTGGTGGGATACTTTTGAGTCATCAGAAAATGCCCAGGAAATGAGCCAGGTGCCTGTGGAACTCATTAGCTGCCCTTGGGAGTGCACTAAACTCCAGCGTGAACAGGTGACTCTTGCTGTTAGCTGTGGGGCCATAGTCACAAAACGTCAGCCACTCTGCAGGAACTCAACTAGGACCACAAGAGGAGCACACCAGAACCAGGAGGAGAAATCCCCTTCCTTTTCCTGTGTCCCTCCAGTGTCCTCTACTGAAAAGTTTATTGTGTTGGCTGTCAAAGGAAAAATATCTATGAGGCGCCCCCTCCCTTATCACAGAGCATGCAAAGGGGTGAATTTGGAGCTGAGAGGTATATCCATGACTGGCACAGTCACATGGTAGGATGGAAGGGGAAAGAGAGAATTCAGCACCATTTTTTTTTTCTTCTTGGCAAAGGATGGTTTTATAGAAGATAATATGTATATCTTCCCACATCTCCAAATACCTCAGAAACTGCTTATACAATTTCTATAACCTGAATAATTCTTTTGAAATGATAAAATTAAAAATACTAGTACCGAGCACAACTACAAGTTGCTTGGACAATATTTTATTATTTATACAATTTTATCTCTGGTTTATGGATGTTAGAAAAACTGCATTTCAGAAAATGATTGCAATTGAATTTTTAGACTTCATGAACTGTAACAAAAAATTACTTTCAAGGCCCAACATTCAAATTTTTAAAAAAGTAATATAAAAAACCTCAAAAGCTATTTTAATGCGACAACACACCTTCAAAAACTTGTTTGGTTTAGATCAGTCTCTTCAGTCACACAAATATTTATTACCTAATTGTCTTAAAATTGATTCCCCAGAAGTGTGCAAGTGATTTATTAAGAAAATGTTCTCAGTGAAGACCAATAATGGAGTAAAGAAGCAGGACAGGGAGGGGAGGAAGCCAAGCAGAAGTGGGTAATCTAAGGCAAAGTTCCACAGAGGGGAGCTGTAGCCTGATCCCTCAGGGAGCTGGGGGTTACAAGCCACACCTCAGAGTTGTTGCTTCCTGAGGCAAGGAATCTGGGGCTTTTATACTCCTGTAGCCACTTCGGGAGGCTTTTTTAAAAAGTTTTTTTTTTTTTTTTTTTTTTTTTTTTTAGCATTTCCAGCTCTCTAATCAGGCCGAGTGGACTCCAGTGGGTAGAAAAGGAGTCCTCAGAAACAAAACTGTTGGAGACGAAAGCACGTCAATGTCAGAGTAGGGATGGAAATGTGCACATACGAAATAATCAATAAATAAGTGCTAAGAAGAGATGTGAAGGGATCTGAGCAGAATGGTGGTTATTCTCTCCACTATTTTATTTTTATTCTCCATTTCTTCCTAACTAGCCATAGTGTAAAATGATCTACCTTGGGAGCTGAGGGGCTTGATAAGGACTTTTTTTAAGAGATAGGTTCTTCCTCTGTTGCCCAGGCTGGAGTGCTGTAGTGTGATAATAGCTTACTGCAGCCTGTAACTTCTGGACTTAAGTGATTCTCCCACCTCAGCCTCCCAGGTAGCTGGGACTACAGGCATGCACCACCATGCAAGACTTTTAAATTCAATCCAATATAGGGAAATTCATACAAATGTGGTAAATAATAGGTTATTTACAATATACAAATGTATATTGTATATTTGTATATTTACAATATACAAACGTAAATAATAAGAGATTGAGGTCTACCTTATGTCATGATTTCAAATCAATAACACATGGTGGAATTGATTTTTTTAATGGGTGAGGAAATTGGATATTTTTGAAGGTAACTTGAGGGTAGTTATAAAAATTTGGGGTAACCAACGTGAGGAATGAGAAAAGATGCTGACCAATAGTACAGCTACATAGTACAACTTTAATTCATGTAATGACGTGCAGCATGACAGTCTGCTTAATCAGTCATGAGTAAACGGGTTGAAAGGCAACACAGACAAGCTGACACTGAATATTAAAAGTATTTTGGGACAGGCACAGTGGGTCACGTCTGTAATCCTGGCACTTTGGGAGGCTGAGGTAGGTGGATTACTTGAGGCCAAGGGTTCGAGACCAGACTGGCCAACGTGGTGAAACCCTATCTCTGCTAAAAATATGTGGTGTGGTGGCACATGCCTGTAATCCCAGCTAGTTGGGAGTCCGAGGCACAAGAATTGCTTGAACCCAGGAGGTGGAGGTTGCAGTGAGCTGAAATCATGCCATTGTACACCAGCCTGGGTGACAGAGTGAGACTCAAAAATAAAAAAATAAAAAATAAATAAAAATTTAAAAAGTATTTTTTAGGGTGCATGGTGGCTCACATCTATAATCCCAGCATTTTGGGAGGCTGAGGCAAGAGAATTGCTTGAGCCCAGAAGTTCTAGACTAACCTGGGTAACACAGAGATACCACATCTGTCAAAAAAAAAAAAAAAAAAAAAAAAGCCAGGAGTTGGTGGGACATGCCTGTAGTCCTAGCTACTTTGGAGGCTGAGATGAGAGGATCATTTGAGCCCAGGAGGTTGAGGCAGCAACAAGCCATGATTACACCACTGCACTCTAGCCTGAACAACAGGGCAAGTCCCTGTCTCAGAAAAGAAAAAAGAAAAAAAAGGTTTTAGTGGCACTAAGGTCTATATTTGGAAACATTTACTCCAGCAGAGCTCAGGTGTAAAAGTAGACTGGTTGGATTCATTGGCTATAGAAAATTTTCAAGTATAGTACAGTAAAAAGACAAAGGATCAAAAAGTTTAACATTTTAGAAGAAATGGATTATGGAGTCAAGCGGAATGGTAAGAAAGTGGTGGAGAGATAGAGGCAGAATGAGGAAAATGGCAGATAGGAGACAGGACTAACATGCAGCTCCCACTTGGATGGACAGAACAGCATGTGGAGACTCACATTGTGAACTTTTGCTACAAGAACCACTGTAGGAACATACTACGAAAACCGAAATAATTCACAGATGCTTTGAAAGAAGTGGCTTGCTGCTGTAGATGCTGCGACACAGCTGAAAAACTGAGCTCTCAAAGTGTGAGAAGGGGAAAATGTCTGCCTCCAAACATACATCCTCACTGGGGAACCTGAAAATCCAGATCATAGGAGAAAGATTTAACCTTACCTAGAATTGAAATGGATTTATGGAGTTAAGCAAAATATAAAAGTAGAGGAAGCTGTGGGAAGAGCCCTGTAGGCACTCCCAGTCCCCAGCGTGAACCCAGGGAAGGTATTCCTGGCCTTTTTTTTTACAGAGGTCCTTGGGGAAGGGAAGGCAGCCAGTGGAACTGGGGAGGGACCACAGTGTGAAGGAAGCTCCTAGCTGAGCTGTGTAATAATATTGACTGAACACAAATTTTCCTAAACATCATCCCGGGGGTGAATGGGAAGTACAGATACAAGCACAGAAGCTGCAGCCAAAAGTGAGAGGAGGCAGGGAGGGGTAAGATCCGAGAGCCCTGCTTGCTTTATCAGGGGGAAGCTTGTAGCCTAGGGTAATATTTCAGCCCTGCTCACTGCCTGCCTGGATATAAACTAAATGCTGTTGTGGGGGCATAGTGGGAATAAGACTGGCCTTGCTGGCTGTGTGGCAGCTGGCTGAGGCCTGTCACTGCCAGCTTTCCCCCACTTCCCTGGTGATCTGTATGCTGCAACAGAGGCAGCAATAATCCTCCTGGGAACATAACCCCACTGGCCTCAGAACCATCTCCCCAACCTCCACAGTGACAGCAGCAAGCCCTGCCCAAGGGGAGTCTGAGCTCAGACGCGCCTAACCCTCCCCCAACATGATGGTTTTTCTTTAACCACCCTGGTAGCTGAAGACAAAAGACATCAACTCTTGGGACATCTATGGCCCCACCCACTACCTTAATAACCCAAGTACTTCCTCTGGCCAACACAGGGCAAGATTATATCCCACATCCACTACTGCAGCTGGTGCTCTATTGAAAGCACCATTTTGTGGCTGGAGACCAACCAACTCAAGCCATTACAGCAACTCATAACAGAACAACCCTGCTCCAAAGGAGGAGAAAACAACAGCTAATTCCACTGCCTGCAACATCCTGGCTAACCAGAGGTCCTAAGTCTGTTCACATGTTAACTTCATTGCTGGTACAAACAGCATTTGAGAAAACCAGCACACTAAACAAAACTACAACCAAGGATCCTCAGAGTCTACTTCACTATTCTACCACCTCCATCAGAGCAGGTGCTGGTATCCACAGCTGGAAGACCCGAAGACAGATCACATCACAGGACTCTTTGCAGACATTCCCCAGCATCAGCCCAGAGCCTGGTAGCCCTGCTGGGTGGCTAGACCCAGAAGGACAATAGCAATCACTAGAGTCTGACTCTCAGGAAGTCCCATCACTAGGGGAAGAGATAGAGTGCCAAATCAAAGGATCACCCCATAGCACAAAAGTATCTAAACAGCAGCCGTTGAACTCTAGATCTTTCCACTGAAACAGTCTACCCAAATGAGAAGAAACCAGAAAAGTAATTCTGGTAATATGACAAAACAAGGTTCTGTAATACCCCCAAAAGGTCACACTAGCTCTTTAACAATGGATCCAAACCAAGAAGAAATCTGCAAATTGCCAGAAAAAGAATTTAGAAGATTCTTAAGCTACTCAAGGAGGCACCAGAAAAAGGTGAAATCAACTTAAATAAATGTAAAAAACTATACAGGATATAGATGAAAAAGTCTCCAGTGAAATAGATATCAAAGAAAAGACAATCACGCTTCTGAAAATGAAAGACACACTTAGAGAAATGCAAGACACACTGGAAAGTTTCAAGAATAGAATCAAATGAGTAGAAGAAAGAACTTCAGAGTTCGAAAATGAGGCTTTTGAATTAACCCAATTTGGCAAAGAAAAAAGAATAAAAAAATGGACAAGAAATCTGGGATTACGTTAAATGACCAAACATAAGAATAATTGGTGTTCCTGAGAAAGAAGAGAAATCTAAAAGCTTGGAAAACTTATTTGAGGGAATAATTGAGAAAAAAATCCCTGATCTTGCTAGAGATCTAGACATCCAAATATAAGATGTTCAAAGAAAATCCAGAAAATTCATTGCAAAAAGATCATCACCTAGGCACATAGTCATCAGTTACCTAAGTCAAGATGAATGAAATAATCTTAAGAGCTGTGAGGCAAAAGCATCAGGTAATCTACAAAGAAAAACCCATCTGATTAACAGCAGATTACTCAGCAGAAACCCTACAAGACAGAAGGGATTGGGGTCCTATCTTTAGCCCCCTATACAGAATAATTATCAGCCAAGAATTTTTTATCCAGTGAAACTAAGCTTCATAAATGAAGGAGAGATAAAGTCTTTTTCAGAAAAACAAATGCTGAGAGAATTCACCGCTACCAAGCCACCACTACAAGAAATGCTAAAGGAAGTTCTAAATATTGAAACAAAACCTCAAAATACCCCAAGATAGAACCTCCTTAAAGTATAATTTTCACAGGGCCTATAAAACAATAACACCATAAAAAAACCCCAAAGTATTCAGACAACAATTAGCATGATGAATGAAACAGTACTGCACATCTCAATACTAATGTTGAATGTAAATGCTCCACTTAAAAGATATAGAATGTCAGAATGGATAAAAGTCCACCAACCGAGTATCTGCTATCTTCAAGAGACTTGCCTAACTCATAAGGACTCACATAAACTTAAGGTAAAGAGGTGGAAAAAGATATTCCATGCAAATGGAAACAAAAGTGAACAGAAGTAGGTATTCTTATATCAGACAAAACAGACTTTAAAGCAACAACAGTTAAAAAAGACAAAGAGGGACATTATATAATGATAAAAGGATCAGTCCAACAGGTCCTAAATATATATGCACCTAACACTGGAGTTCCCAAATGTATAAAACAATTACTACTAGACCTAAGAAGTGAGATAGATGGCAACACAATAATAGTGGGGGACTTCAATACTCCACTGACAGCACTAGATAGGTCATCAAGATAGAAAGTCAACAAAGAAACAATGGACTTAAACTATACCCTAGAATAAATGGACTTAGATATTTACAGAACATTCTACCCAACTGCACAATATACATTCTTTTCATCAGCACATGGAATATTCTGCAAGGCAGACCATATGATAGGCCACAAAACAAGTCTCAATAAATTTAATAGAACTGAAATTATATCAAGTACTCTCTCAGACCACAGTGGAATAAAATTGGAAATTAACTCCAAAAGGAATCCTCAAAACTATACAAAAACATGGAATTAAATAATCTGCTCCTAATGATATTTGAGTCAACAATGAAATCAAGATGGAAATTAAAAAATTATTTGAACTGAACAATAATAGTGACACAACCAATCAAAACCTCTGGGATACAGCAAAAGATGTGTTAAGAGGAAGGTTCGTAGAATTAAATGCCTACATCAAAAAAGTCTGAAAGAGCACAAACAGACAATCTAAGGTCACACCTCACGGAGCTAGAGAAACAAGAAAAAAAAACAAACTCAAACCAGCAGAAGAGAAGAAACCAAGATCAGAGAAGAACTATTAATAAATGAAATTGAAAGAAATAAAGACAATACAAAAGATAAAGAAAACAAAAAGCTGGTTCTTTGAAAACAAACAAAATTGATGGACCATTAATTAGCAAGAATAACCAATAAAAGATGAGAGAAGACCCAAATAAGCTCAATTAGAAATAAAATGGGAGATATCACAATACCACAGAAATACAAATGATCATTCAGGCTTTTACGAACACGTTTATGTACAAAAACTAGAAAACCTAGAGAAGATGGATAAATTGCTGGAAATAGAGAATCTTCCTAGACTAAGGAAGAAATAGAAACTCTGAACAGACCAAAAACATGCAGCGAGATTGAAACAGTAATAAAAAAAAATTGTCAACAAAAAAATTCCAGGACCAGATGGATTCACAGTTGAATTCTATCAGACATTCAAGAAAGAATTGATACCAATACTACTGAAACTATTCCAAAAGATAGAAAAAGAGGTAATCCTCCCTAAATCATTCTATGAAGCCAGAATCACCCTAATGCCACAACCAGAAGAGAACATAACAAAAAAGAAAACTACAGACCAATATTTCTGATGAACACAGATGCAAAAATCTTCAACAAAATACTAGCTAACTGAATCCAACAGCATATCGAAAAGATAATACATCATGATCAAGTGGGTTTCATACCAGAGATGCAGATTGGCTTAACATACATAGGTCAATAAATATGATACACCACATAAACAGCATTAAAAAAAAATCTTATGATCACCTCAATAGATGCAGAAAAAAATATGTGATGGAATACATCATCCCTTTATGATTAAAACCCTCAGCAAAATGGGAATAGAAAGGACATATTTTAAGGGAATAAAAACCATCTATTATAAACCCATATCCAACATCATATGGAGCCAGAAAAAGTTGAAAGCATTCCTCCTGAGAACTCGAACAAGACAAGGATGCCCACTTTCACCACTTCTATTTAACACAGTACAGGATGTTCTAGCCAGAGCCATCAGACAAGAGAAAGAAATAAAGAGTATACAAATTGGTAAAGAGGAAGTCAAACTGTTGCTGTTCACTGAAAATATGATTGTACATCTAGAAAACTCTAAAGACTCATCCAAAAAGCTCCTAAATTTGATAAATGAATTCAGTAAAGTTTCAGGATCTAAAATCAATGTATACTAATCAGTAGCATTGCTAAACATCAACAGCAGCCAAGCTAAGAATCAAATCAAGAGCTCAACCCCTTTTACAACAGCTGAAAAAACAAAAACAGAAAAAACCTTAGGAATATACCTAACCAAAGAGGTGAAATTGAAAGAGTTTTCCCTGTAGATCTCTATGAGGAAAAATCCAAAACACTGCTGAAAGATGTCATAGACAACACAAACAAATGGAAACACATCCCACGCTCATGGATGGGTAGAACCAATATTGTAAAAATGACCATACTGCCAAAAGCAATTTATAAATTCAATGAAATTCTGATCAAAATATCATTATCATTCTTCACAGCACTAGAAAAACCAATTCTAAAATTCATACGGAACAAAAAAAAGAGCCCACATAGTCAAAGCAAGACTAAGCAAAAAGAACAAATCTGGAGGCATCACATTGACTTCAAACTACAGTATAAGGATATAGTTACCAAAACAGCATGATACTGGTGTAAAAATAGGCATGCAGGCCAATGGAACAGAATAGAAAACCCAGAAATAAAGCCAAACACTTACAGCCAACTGATCTTCAATGAAGCAAACAAAAACAAAGTGGGGGAAGGACACCCTATTCAACAAATGGTGGTGGTAATTGGCAAGCCACATGTAGAAAAAATGAAACTGGATCCTCATATCTCTCACCTTATACAAAAATCAACTCAGTATGGATTAAAGACTTCCATCTATCACCTGAAACCATAAAAATTCTAGAATATAACATCAGAAAAACTCTTCTAGACATTGGCTTAGGCAAAGACTTCATGACCAAGAACCAAAAAGCAAATGCAACAAAAACAAAGATAAATAGATGGGACTTAATTAAACTAAAAAGCTTCTGCACAGCAAAAGAAGTAATCAGCAGAGTAAACAGACAACCCACAGAGTGGGAGAAAATATTCACAAACTATGTGTCTGACAAACGATTAATATCCAGAATCTACAAGGAACTCAAATCAGCAAGAAAAAGCAAATAATCCCATCAAAAAGTGGGGTAAGGCCATTAATAGACAATTCTCAAAAGAAGATATACGAATGGCCAGAAAACATATGAAAAAAGTGCTCAACATTACCAATTATCAGGGAAAGGAAAATCAAAACCACAATGTGATACCACCTTACTCCTGCAAGAATGGCCATAATTTTTTAAAAAAATGATGTTGGCGTGGATGTGGTGAAAAGGGACTACTTTGACACTGCTTGCGGGAAGGTAAACTAGTACAACCACTGCGGAAAACAGTATGGAGATTCCTTAAAGAACTAAAAGCAGGTCTACCATTTGATCCAGCAATCCCACTACTGAGTATCTACCCAGAGGAAAAGTCATTATGTGAAAAAGACATTTGCACATGCATGTTTATAGCAACACAATTCACGGTTGCAAAAACATGAAACCAACATAAATGCCCATCAACCAACAAGTGGATTTAAAAAAAAAGTGGTATATATTTACCATGGAATACTACTCAGCCATAAAAAGGAAGGAAATAATGGCATTCACAGCAACCTGGATGGAGTGGAGACCATTATTCTAAGTAACTTAGGAATGAAAAACCAAACATCTTATGTTCACATTTATAAGTGGGAGCTAAGCTATGAAGACACAAAGGCATAAGAATGATATAATGGACTCTGGGGACTTGGGGGGAAGGGTGGGAGGGGCCGAGGGATAAAAAACTACACATTAAGTGCAGTGTACACTGCTTGGGTGATGGGTGCACGGAAATCTCAGAAATCACCCCTAAAGAACTTATTCATGTAACCAAACACCACCTGTTCCCCAAAAACTATTGAAATAACAACAACAACAACAACAAATAGTAATAATAATAAAAAGAAAGTGGTGGAGGAATTTTGGGGAGTGTTTCTTAAGTTAAATAACAAAGGTGTGAGAGCAAGTACTGAGGAAGATGGAAGAAGAAGAGATTGTAGACAGAGGTAGGAAAAAAAGGAGAGTTTAGACATGGTTTAGTCTGAAAAATGGTCCAGGAAGTGACCATGACATTGGGTTGACAGCAAATGAAAATGACGGTCAAAATGCGGAATAAGGATCTTGGAATTTTCAGGATTCGGAAATACGTGGCTTGTATGTTAGCATAACCCCCTCCTCACACATGACGGATATTATCATCCCATCCATCACGGCTCTGATGGCTTTATAATATAGCTTTATAATCCTTCTCAAACAGCATTTCATTTAGCCACTGCTAACTGGTGTCTAGTCATTCCAGAGCTTGGTTATTTCAGGCAAAAGTTAGTAAACACTAATTATTAATCTATGTCGCTGTTTGTATGAAGTGTAACATAATGGAAAGTGCCTGGGCTAGGCATCTGAAGGTTTAGGTTCTTTCTGAGTCTATTCCCAGTTATGTGACTTTGAGTAGGTGACTTAATTGATCTGCACACTTGTAAACTGAAGATAATTATACCCAGTTTCCAGCCTCACTGGAAATTTGTGAACAGACCGCTCTGATTAGCTGGGTGTGGTGGCAGATGGTTGTAGTCCTCACTACTTTGTAGGCTGAGGCAGGAGGATCCCTTGAACCCAGGAGTTAGAGGTGCAGTGAGTAAGATCAGACCACTGCACTCCAGCCTGGGTGACAAAGTGAGATCTTGTCTCTGAAAAATATAAATAAAAAATAAAACCCTGCTTTTAGAAAAAGTTGAAGATGCTATACAAAATTTATTATTAGCATCATTAGCCATGTAGAAAGCTACAAGTCGTGGCATAAAATGGACAAAATATGAAACTAATTGAAGAAGGCTATATAGACTAAAAATATACGGTTAGATTTGTTTTTGGTTTTTAAATGGTCACTTCCTGGGTATTTTTTAGTTTAAACTAGAGCATTCATTTCAAGTGACTTTAACAGCTATTAAAGGAAAACAAGAAAAGCTCAGTTATTTAAAGAATTGTTTAAGAGAAGGTTTAAGATTAGAAGAATTATACAATATTGCCACATCGTACAGAACTGGATCACTCTGGTTTTTCTTGCTTCTTATTTTTCCTACAAGTTTCCTCTCTGCTAAAGACCCCAAAAGTCCCGTCCCATTACTCGTGTGCTCATGATCAAGTGTGAATTAGACCTGTTGAATTTTACAGTTTTGCCATTCCCATGTCGACCTGCCCTCTATTTTTCCAAGGAGAAAATAAAATGTTATTATTCATGTTGCTCCTGCCATAACTCACAAATAGGAGGAACACCTCTCCTGTAAGCTGTGAAACTGTTCAAACGCCATGCTGATGCTTCCCCCTGTGGTCACAAAAGAAACTTGTTTGCTTTTTCTCCAACGTATTTGGAAAGGATGTTTTTACGGCAATGCTGTTTGAATTATTATAGCTAACCTTTTCCAGTGTACATGTCTAGAGGCATAATTGTATTCTCAAAACGAACTCCAACAACAGCTACAGAAAGATGCATCAGCTTGTTTATTCTTAAAATTAATGCTACTTTCAATCTCTTTCCCTCTCTCAAAAATGTGCTAAGTAAGCAAGACTTAGTTGAATGGCACGTTTGTTATTTACAAAAAAAACGATAACTAAAAGGGAGAGCGATAAGAAAACCGACCACAGCACCTGCTTCTCATTCCCCTTCTACTTTCATATGCATTATTTGGATAATGTGTTTAATCAGGTAGAAGAGGCCCCAATTTCTCACTGCACTAGCTATCTCTTATGACCTCTCAGATAACATTTAGTGGCATCAAGCTCTAGTACCCACTTTTGCTCCTGGAGGATCCTTATTCTTACAAATTGTGCATCATTATACTTCATGAGGGGGCAATTTTATGTTGTAAACAGTACAAACCCAGCACCTGTGGCTCAGCAGGCCACAGAGAGGGTACAGCCAGCCTAGTGGACAAAAGGATCAGGGGAAAAGCAGTTCTTCACCCTGACATGCACACACCTGGCTGCTGCAGGACAGATGCCTGTCACTTTGGGAGGCTGAGTACTGGGGTGGTAAAAGCACTGGTTTGCAAGCAAGGCAGGTGTAGTTTGTACCTCACCTCCACTGCTAATAAGCATGAACACATTATCTTCTCTGCTTTTCAGCTTCTTGAGCTTTAAAAGAGGGATAAAATTCCAGCCTCATGGGAGTGTGGAGTGTTACAGCCACTTTGGAAGCCAAGTTGGCAACACCTAGTGAAACTAGAAATATGTGTATCCTGGTCAGGCGCAGTGGCTCACACCTGTAATCCTAGCACTTTGGGAGGCCAAGGTGGGCAGATCACTTGAGGTCAGGAGTTCAAAACAAGCTTGGCCATCATGGTGAAACCCCGTCTCTACTAAAAACACAAACAATTAGCTGGGCATGGTGGTGTGCGCTTGTAATCCCAGCTACTCAGGAGTCTGAGGCAGGAGAATCGCTTGAACCCAGGAGGCAGAGGTTGCAGTGAGCTGAGATTGTGCCACAGCACTCCAGCCTGGGTAACAGAGCAAGACTCCATCTCAAAAAAAAAAAAAAAAAAAAAAAAAAAAAAAAAAAAAAAGAAAAGAAAAAAATAAAGAAATATATGTATCCTTCAAACTAGAAATCTCACTTCTGGAATCTATCCCATGGTAATAAAAGCAGCAGTGCACAGAGGTGTGTGTACATGGGTGTTCATGCAGCATGATTTCTAGTGCCTACAAAACTATCAGAGAAACAGATGAGTGGATTGGCACATATACACCATGGGATGCTGTGAATATTGTTCAGTTCTCAAGACGAATGAGTTAGAATTCTTCATGGAGACATTTTATGAGGTATGGTGGAATATGAAAAATAAAATGCAGAAAGGGGTGAATAATGTGTGTCACTTTTGTGCATTTAAAAAGCCCTTCTATATATAAATATAAATATGTATGTGTGCCTACAGATTTATGTGCATGTATGTTTATTATGAGTATGGAAAAGTAACATGGAAATATGCATGCCACGGATTACCCTGAGGGAGGAGAGAACTATGTGGTCATGAAAAACAGATAAGGGAATTAAGAAGAAAGGAGAAAGAAAGAAAAGGCCACAATAAAAGTGCTTATAATCTGTTGTGGGCTGAATGGTGTCCTCCCCAAAGTCCAAATGTTGAAGTCTTAACCCGTCAAGGGCTTCAGAATGTTATTGTATTTAGAGATAGGGCCTTTAGAGAGGTAATACGGTTAAATGAGGCCGTTGGTGTGGGCCTTAATCCAATATGACTAGTGTCTTTGTAAAAAGAGAAAATTAATATACAGATATACACAGAAGGAAGACCATGTGAAGACATCACTGGGAGAAGACAGCCATCTGCAAGCCAAGGAGAGAGAACTCAGAAGAAATCAACCCTGCCGACGTCTTGAACTTGGGCTCCCAGCCTCCAGAACTGTGAGGAAATAAATTTCTGTTGTTTAAACCACCCAGTCTGTGGTACTTTGTTATGGCAGTCCTAGCACACTGATACGTGATCACACCTATACATTTATATATAATTATGTTTATGTGTGGGTATGTATATAATTAAATATATGAAAATATTTCTGTTTCACATATGAAGTAAAAAATACTCAATACCATTATTTTTGTTATGATTACTGTCATTTTTACCATCATCACCTAGCACTGCTCAACTAATGTTTGTAATTATCATTATTTTATCCCGAAATTCTTAATTTTGATTATTGCAAGAGTTTATAGAGATTTTTCATTTTCGGGTTGAAATCTCTGCTTTAATTTTGTATTGTTATTTATTTCTAGCTTTATTGAAATGTTATCAGATAATGCTGTTATTTTTTCTGTTTTATGGAATTTATTGTGGTTTACTTGTAAGCTAACATCAGTTTTACTATATGTACTTGAGAAAGTGTGTTTTCAATTATTAGAGTCTAAAGCTTAATGAACATCTATATTACCTACATTAATGTTGTTTTTTAGGTTACCCTTACTTACGTTTTGCCCACTTAATGCTGTGTGCATTTTGTTACATATTTTTGTGGGATGTTGACCCTAGGTAGCCTGTCTTTGCTTTAAAATTTTTCTCTTTTTGGTGTTTAGGAAAAAGTTTGTATTTTTTTCCAGTATTTGCATATATGTTAACGTCTTTTATAATGTTTCCATTTTCCCTTTTCCTTACTTATGCTTCTACTATTTGATTTGTCATCTTTAAATGATATCCTTTGAGTCCCATTTATTACCTATAAGACAATCAGAAACTTACTCTACTTTCTTTTTTCTTTCACTCTCCTTCTTTCTGTCTACCAGGCAGGTCCATCTGAAAATATATGTTGCACAAATTCTTCAAGAGCATCTGAGAAGTGTATCACATAGTCAGCCCAAGTATTGGCCCAGCTCTTTGAATGCACTAGGTCTCCATTCCTGCATTGAACGTAGTAGTCATGAGGAGACTTCTTCTCTGGTACCTGAAGATATGTTCAGGGGTTTAGTGGGCTGGAGAAGGAAGACACATTTTCAATATCTAAGAACATCTAAAATCACTGGGTCACTGAAACACTGGAATGGGGGCTCTTCTTTGAAAGGAATAAGGGATAATTTTCTAAACTCTGCCATAGGGTGGGTCACCTACACATATGTTCATTTCTGCTTTGTCCCGGCATTCACCTGCTTCAGCTGCCAATATACTCTCCTACACTTTTGCTCTAATAGAAAGTTGGTCTCTTTTCTTTTTTCAAATTTTAGTTTAATTTCTGCGATACATGTGCAGAATGTGCAGGTTTGTTACATAGATATACATGTGCCATGGTGGTTTGCTGCACCTACCAACCCGTCATCTAGATTTTAAGCACCACATGCATTAGGCATTTGTCCTAATGCTTTCCCTCCCCTTGCCACCCACCCTCCATCAGACCCTGGTGTGTGACATTCCCCTCCCTGTGTCCATGTGTTCTCCTTGTTCAATGCTCACTTATGAGCGAGAACAAGCGGTGTTTGGTTTTCTGTTTCTGTGTTAGTTTGCTGAGAATGATGGCTTCCAGGCTCATCCATGTCCTTGCAAAGGACATGAACTCATTCCTTTTTATGGCTGCATAGTATTCCATGCTATATGTGTGTCACATTTTCTTCATCCAGTCTATCATTGATGGGCATTTGGGTTGGTTCCAAATCTTTGCTATTGTAAATAGTGCTGCAATAAACATATGTGTGCATTGTGTCTTTATAGTAGAAAGATTGACAATCCTTTGGGTATATACCCAGTAACGGGATTGCTGGGTCAAATGGTATTTCTGGTTCTAAATCCTTGAGGAATCGCCACACTGTCTTCCACAATGGTCGAACTAATTTACACTCCCACCAACAGTGTCTAAGCATTCCTATTTCTCCGCAGCCTTGCCAGCATCTGTTGTTTCCTGACTTTTTAATAATCACCATTCTAACTGGTATCTCATTGTGGTTTTGATTTGCATTTTTCTAATGACCAGTGATGAACTTTTTTTCATGTTTGTTGGCTGCATAAATGTCTTTTTTCGAGAAGTGTCTGTTCATATCCTTCACCCACTTTTTGATGGGGTCGTTTGTTTTTTTTCTTGTAAATTTGTTAAAGTTCCTTGTAGATTCTAGATATTAGACCTTTGTCAGATGGGTAGCTTGCAAAAATTTTCTCCCATTTTGTAGGTTACCTGTTCACTCTGATGATAGTTTCTTTTGCTGTGCAGAAGCCCTTTAGTTTGATTAGATCCCATTTGTCAATTTTGGCTTTTGTTGCAGTTGTTTTTGGTGTTTTAGTCATGAAGTCTTTGCCCATGCCTATGTCCTGAATGGTCCTTTCTTTCACTTTTTAGTTGTATTGTTTCAACTCTATCAAAACATACAACATTTACAAACTATTTTCCCCCCATTACCACCACTTTTTTGTCTCCGATATATGTCTTCAATATATGAGTATGGAAAGATAACATGGAAATATGGGGTCTATTGAGTATATATATACTCAAAATTTTGACAGCATTTTCCCAATCATCTCTTGGTCATACTCTAGCCAATTTTTCAAGAACATATGAATATTCTTTCAGTTCATAAATGTTTAAATTTATTCTTCAATAGCTTTGATTCTAGAACTTTGATTAAAAAAAATCTTGGCTGACTATCTTTGAGCTTTGAGAAAATGTTGCTTCAATTTTTAAAATTGTGCATGTTGCTATTGAGAAGTTTGATACACACCATTTTTTTCTGTCTTTTGCAAATGACTTTGCTGTTTTACTGAGAGATCCATGGTATTTCTTCTTTATCTTTACGATTTAATGATTTTCTAGGTTATAGCTTGAAATTGACAATTCTCAGCACACAGTGGGCCTTTTCAATACGTATTCTAGAATTTTTTTCCTCTGGAGTGTTTTCTTGGATGATGTTTTAAAATATTAGTTATATCCCATTGTTTTTTCTTCTTCATGGATTCCAATTATATTTATTTCAAGAATATTTGTACTGGCTCTTGGATCCTTTGTTTCACTTTCTTATAACTGTTTTCGTTCATCTCATCAGAGCTCCTTATTTTTAATCGATTTCATTTCCCCTTAGGGAGTTTGATATTTAGTCTGATATATATATATTATTTTATTTTATTTTGAGACTGAGTCTCACTCTGTCACCCAGGCTGGAGTGCAGTGGCACAATCTTGGCTCACTGCAATCTCAGACTCCCAGGCTCAAGCGATTCTCGTGCCTCAGCCTTCCGAGTAGCTGGGATTATAGGCGTGCACCACTGCGCACGGCTAATTTTTTTTGTTGTTGTTGTATTTTTAGTAGGAATGGGGTTTCACCATGTTTGCCAGGCTGGTCTCAAACTCCTGAACTATTACAGGCATGAGCCACCATGACCGGCCTAAATTCAAGTTATTTTCTGAGTTTGATGATTTCACATTCCTATTTTCTGCTTATCCTAGTCGACATTTCTTATTGGAAGTGTTCTCATATTTGCAAATACTTATTCATGACATATCACGTTGCAGTGTTGTTTTACAGTTTTATTCTGCTGTTTCTTTTTTTAGATCATGGTCATCAGGTAAGAACAATTCCCATTTTCTTTGTTCTTGTTATAATTGCTTTATATGGATGTTGCCTATCTTGTCTTTAAATGTCTGGATTTAACTGGATCATCAATTAAAAAAAACAGCAAAGGGTTTGGATGGCTCACAGGTTTCTTAGTGTAAGAGTGCCCTCAGCTGGGCACGGTAGCTCACGTCTGTAATCCCAGCACTTTGGGAGGCTGAGGCGGGTGTATCACTTGAGGTTAGGAGTTTGAGATCAGCCTGGCCAACATGGCAAAATCCTGTCTCTACTAAAACTACAAAAATTAGCTGGGCATGGTGGCATGTGCCTGTAGTCCCAGCTACATGACAGGCTGAGGCAGAAGAATCCCTTGAAACCAGGAAGTGGAGGTTGCAGTGAGCTGAGATAGCGCCACTGCACTCCAGTCTGGGCAACAGAGCGAGACTCTATCTCAAAAACAAATAAACAAACAAACAAAAAATGAGCGCCCTCTTCTGTCAGGGCAGTGAGGTGCGTTTTCTTTAATATGTGGCATTTGTGGGGGAGTAGAAGGGTTGAGGTACATTCAGATTCTGTTGTACCCATTTGTTCTATAAGTCCCAATTTCTGCCAGTTGGGTTTTTTTTTTTTCCTTCTAAGACACTTTTCTGTTCTCAGTTGCCTACTTTTTCCCCAGAAAGGGTACTTTATAAAGACTTCTAAACCATGCATTTCAAGACTTTAGATTCGTCCATAGCTAGAGTTCTGTGCCACCAGGTCAGAGGTGACCTGACAGCGAGCTCACTAGTTATTTGCCAACATTAGAACATGCAGCATTCTCCAGATTAGAGGGCATTGACATCTCTATCATATAGATTATTTTTCATTATTGAATATGGTGTGTCTATATATTAATGTAGGTCTTAGGTAATTATCTCAATAAAGTTTTCTAGATTTTAGTGTAGAGCACCTACATGTTTTACAAGATTTATTCGATTCTGATGATTATGTCTTTTAAAAGCAGCATATGGTAAGTTTTATTTATACAGTCCAACAACACAAATCATTATTTAGAATATTTAGCCTCTTAATGTAATTACTGGTATATTGGGATTGAAATCTACCATCTTTATGTTTTATCCCAGCATTTTTTTCTTTTTTATTAATAAAAAGTAAATAATTTTATTGTATCATTACTTATTTTGAGACCAAATATTTGAAATTGATTCATTGAGGGTTGTTATTCACTGCAAATTATAATTATTTTGCAGTTGAAAATATAAATGTAATCTTTAACATCAATGAATCTCAATAAAATAATAGATTTTTAGTTTGTTTTGTCATTGTATTTGGAAACCTTTTTCATTCAACTTTAAGATGGTAGCATAATCAACACAGGTTTTGAGGGAGCAAGTGAATGTCACAAACTATAGAAAAAATTTGTTGCATGCTAGGCAATGTGTCCTCATCCCTTTGCATCCTCTTTGAGACCTTAGTCAAGACAACTGTTTTTAGATTTTGGAAATGAAATTTTGTTTCCTTTGTGTGTAACTCTGATGAAATTGATCATAAGGTAGATCAATTTCTTTACACTTTGGGACTTGCGAAGGGTTTGAGTAGCAGGGTTCAGCCAGAAAATAGAATCTATTCTGAGCAGTTTAATGAAAGGAATTTACTATGAACACCTAATAATGAGAGTGCTAGAAGAACTGAAAAAACAAAGGAAGACGGTAAGACATCTCAGAATAGCAACTGCAAAAAGATGCTTCCATTGTCTGGGGAGGTGAGACAAAGGCAGGGGGCAGTGCCACTGGACTTGACCACCTTGCAGAAGCCTCAGCCCCCTGGTAGGAGCTGTAACCATCGTGGAGTCTGTCTGACCAGAGTTGAAACCAATCAGCTTCTGTTGAAGAGACAACTCAAGGCAAAGAAAGAGAAAGTGGAATTATCTTTATCTCTTCTTTCAACCACGTTGCAGTCTCCTACCAGTGTCCTCCATAGGCTGAAACTATGAAATGGAACTCCAAACACCATTAGCTAAGAGATAAGCCTTACTGGCTTTCTAGAACTTTGAAGTTCTGTAGGTGGCTATTTGTCTGTATTAATCTGTTTGGGGAAAAAACATAATCAATAGTTTAAAGATCTGGATCCTAATTTGTGTCTTTACTCTAATTAACTGTGTGACTTTATCACTTCACCTCTCCATTCCCCAGTTTCCCCTTCATTGGATTAGATGGGCTTTCTGCTGTGTGATCCTACCTATTGATTTGTAGAGGAATTTACAAAATGTACAACTTGATTTTTAAAAACAGTTCTGAATCTGGCTATATGTCACAATAATTAGATAAGTTGACTAAGTGTTGGTTTAATTACCAAGCTTGTTTCTCAGCCGTAATTTTCAGAAAACTTCTCTACCTTGCCTTTAGGTTTCCCTACCATCGACATATTTTCTGTCTTACCTTAGCACACTTACACTTGCTTCCTCTACATTTATGCCTCTTCCTTTAATACTGTGACTGTTCTTGTCCTTTTTTGATTATTTTATAGGGTGTAAGCTGTAGCTGACTTTTCTGAAGCAGAGCCACTTATTTATAAAATTAGTACCTCATTATTTGAAAACATTAATATGAGCATGTAGCTCCTTTTACCTAAAGACTCCTGAGAAACATCATCACAGATGATAAAATGGAGAGTTATTCAGCCAGATAGGTACGCTCCTTGACAGCTGGTTACCTGGATTAAGCGTAAGTACTTCTAAAGACGTAGTCCCAGAAGGCTTGCAACTGCCCACATGAAATATCCCCATGACGAGAATACAGAGAGGGAGGAGCTTGTTTTATAATTTTGTCAACAGGACAGCAGATCATGCTGTACAAGGAGGTGTCCTGCACGGCTGAAGTAATCAATAGTCTACATGAGAAACTGGTCTGTTTCTCTGCTCTAATCCCTGTCTGACCCTCCTTCTCCCTCAACACCTCCATGTGCACACACACATCATCAAAACTGGAGACCACTGGCCTGTACAGGGCAGGCTAAATAGAAGTTTGGTTGCACCTCTAGAGAAGAGGAGGTTGGAAAGCAAGTAGCCTAGTCACTTTTCTGGATGGATACCATCCACAGTGAGCGTCTCCTTGCTGAAAGGCAAAAGGGGAAGGGCAAAAGGGCTCCCTCGAACCTCTTTTGTAAGGACACTAATCCCATTCATGAGGCAGAGGTAAGGGTAGGTAGTATTCAGCCCCCAGAACAGGAACTTAATTTCCCCTACCATCCCCATCACTCAGATTCAACATTATCTTTTTTTGTGTGTACGTATTTCATCCATCTACCTCCCATGTTTTTTTGTTTGTTCCTGTACTATTTTAAAGCAAATACCATAGTCATATAATTTACCTGTAAATATTCATGTATTGCTAGAAGATAAAAACCATTTCATTTTTTGAGACAAGGTCTTGCTCTGTCACCCAGGCTGAAGTGCAGTGGTAGGATCCTAGCTCACTGCAATCTTAAACTCCTGAGCTCACGGGATCCTCCCGCCTCAGACTTCTCAGTAGCTGGGAGTACAGGTGCAAACCACTACACCTGGCTAATTTTTAAAAAAATTTTTTGTAGATAGATCTCACTTTGTTGCCCAGCCTGATCTCAAATGCCTGGGCTAAAGCAATCCAACGCGTTGGCCTCCCAAAATGCTAGGATTATAGGCATGAGTCACTGTTCCCGGAAAGAACTATTTTTAAATGTAACCGAAAGGCCCACTATCATACTTTAAAAATTTGTAATATTTTGTTAGTATTATCTAACGCCAAGTCTATATTTAATTTTCCAGTATTGTCTTAAATATTTATTTTCAGAATTGGTTTAGTCAAATCAGGATCCAAATAGAATCCTCATATTACATTTAGTTGACATATCAAAAATTGTAACCAAAATCTTGGACTTTCATCTCCGATTTTAGCTTGTTATTTAGAGCATAACACAGTTCTTTGAACCTGATTTTCCAATGTACTATCTATTGCTTGCATGACTTAAACATTTATAATCATGTGTCTTCATCCAAGTTATTGATTAAAACAACAAGGTAAAAGATTAAGTATGGATACCAAAAAGGCTGATTCTAATAAATTGTCCAGTCACAATACATCTACCCAACTATATAATTACCTAGCCTTAATCTTGTCTACTAAGATAGTGTGAGTTCTTGTCAAATTTATTACCAAAATCAAGTGGCCGTTTGTCTCATATTTACAAATTTTATACCTGAAATTTTAGCAGAAAGAATTATAAACATGCCCTAAGAACCATGATGGGTTCCAGTGAGCCTTTCTTTTCTGGGGATTTGTTTAATCATCTGTTTAGATATGAACGCATTGATCAATATAACACATTAGAAACTCAGAAATAGACCTATACTGGAAATTAACGTGTTGTATAGTTTCCCTTTTCCTTTGGAATAAATGTATAACTAGCAAATAATGCTTTTTATTAAATGCTTCTGCTGCCTTTAAATTAAATATGCTTTTGGTTTGTCTCCTACAGTTCCCTCATCCCTCCCTAATATCTAGCCACATTGATGCATCCGAGTGATCTCTGTAACCCGAATCTCTTTACAAGCTGCTTTCTCTGTGTACACTCTAGTTCTATTTCCTTCACATTCTGACCCACCAACCTCCCACCTCGCCAAATCCTTCTCATCCTTCAAGATGCTATGTCTTCCTTTCAGCATTCTTTTTTTTTTTTTTTTTTTTTTTTTTTTGAGACGGAGTCTCACTCTGTTGCCCAGGCTGGAGTGCAGTGGGGCGATCTCTGCTCACTGCAAGCTCCGCCTCCCGGGTTCCCGCCATTCTCCTGCCTCAGCCTCCCGAGTAGTTGGGACTACAGGCGCCCGCCACGACGCCCGGCTAATTTTTTGTACTTTTAGTAGAGACGGGGTTTCACCGTGTTAGCCAGGATGGTCTCGATCTCCTGACCTTGTGATCCACTCGCCTCGGCTGGGATTACAGGCATGAGCCACCGCGCCCGGTCTCAGCATTCTTTCATGGGCAATATAGTGGCTTATTTGCATTTCTGTCTCCCTAAGTAAATGGGAATTTCCCTAGACAGACATTCATTGTTACATCCACTGCTTAATATTGATTAAATTAATGAGAATTAATGACCAAATGACTCTCTCCTAAAATCAAGAAAGGACTGATAAACTTGGTAGTGTAAAATTTCTGAAATTGAAATGACTGTAGAATACATGACCTTTTGAATATCAGCTTTATAAATGGTCACCATTGATCTTTTGGAAATTCTTGTTCCACATATTTATGTCACATATGTTTTCAAATAAAAATTCTACAGTCACATCTGCAATTGCTATCACTATCCCATGTAGTTATCTGAGCACTAAACCAACTCTTCAGCAAATATGGGTTCATTTTTTATTCAATCACATTTATTCCAACCTTTCCAGCTTAAAGTTCTTTCTTTTTAATGGCGAAAATGGAAGCACGACAGAAAGGGAATAGTTCTGCTTTTCCTGACCATCTGCTAACATAACACTAACTGCTCCAAGCTTTGGCCTATCACTTCTTCCTTGCTCAGAACATACATGAAGAATGAAAAAATACCACAAAAAGATTGTCTGATAATAAACAACACTGTTTGTCTTGATACATTTTTCAAACCTCTATTTTTAAAAATTTTTATTCTCACAGATGTCTCCCATTTAGTTTATTCTTGATAATGATATTCTATCATTTGTATCTATCTTTTAAAATTCAAACTTATCAGATGGTTCCCTGTAGAAAAACATTGGTTTTCTTACAAAATTTGATACTTTATAATTATTTAAAATTATTTGGTTTTGCGTAATCAAAATTTTATTTTAAGATATTTAAAAAATATCCATCTTTAGAAATCTGTACCTTTGGATTTATATCTTGTAATAGATTATTGCTTTGACTTCCAATTTTTTCATGCCTCCCTATAGCCACATCTTAGGATGGTCATGCCCCACACATAGGATTGGCCATGTGACTTGCTTTGGCCAATGGAACAATAGCAAATTTGACCTGAGCACATGCTTGAAATATGCTTTCACATTGGAGACTGACTTTCTGCAACTTTGTGACCACTATGAGAACAAGCTCAGTCTAGTCTACTGAAAGATGAAAAACTATATGGAGAGTGACGGCACTCATTCCAACCATCCATGCTGAGGTCATCATAAACCCAGCCAGTCCCAGACAACTCCAGCTAATGTACTGATTGAGAGACACATGAGTGAGACCAGCAGGGACTGGCAGAACTAATCTGCTGAGCCCAACCTAAATTGCCAACTCACAGAACCATGAGCTAAATAATTTTATTCTTTTAAGCCACAAAATTGTGGGTGGTTTGTTACACAACAAAAGATAGCTGATACATGTCTCTATATCTCTAAAACTTTGAAAGGCTTTGTCTTCAAATCACAGGTACATTTAACTTAGTTCAATGTTGCCAAACTTTTATATTATAAATGATAGGGCAGCACAGTTACCATTTCCTAAAGTTCTACTCCCAAGAGAATCTTTTTTATTGGTTAGAACTTCTGGAACGAAGGAGTATGTTTTGATCTTCAGATGAAGTTTTGGAAAGCACAGCATTTAGTTGTAACAAATTAAAGAATAATTAAAATACCACTCTCCTTGCTTTTTTTGTTATATTTATTTTATATATTTATATATATTTATATATTAAATGAGATCCCCCCCTTGAGGTCCCTAAAGCACAAAGACCCTGGGTTATCCAACTCTTGGCTTGAGTCTGAACCCTAAAACCTGGCAAATACATCTATGTAGATAACCTGACATGTCTTCAATTGCAAATAGGCTGTTTCAAGTCATAATTTTTGATGCCAATGAAAGACAGTATATTAGCATGTTTAACAGTGTGGGCTCTGCAATCAGGTGAAACAGGTTGGAACTTGGGCTCTATCACTATCACATGTGGACCTTGAACAAGTTTCATACCTTTGCTAAGTTTCAGTGACTTCACAAGTCCAAAAAAAATTTGATATTACCTCATGGCATTGTTTGAAGATTACATGAATTAGCACATCAAAATGTTTAGAATATTGAGAGACACACAGAAATGCTCAATAAATGATAATGCATATGTTTTCATTGGATATTATCTATTACACCTAAATATATTGCTATGTGCCACTTCTATGCATAAAGTCTACGAAAGCATTGGTCCTCTAAGGATATGTGCTCACCACATTTAACAAAACCTGTGAGAATCATACTTTGAAAATAGAATAGAATCGTCATTGTGAAAAATATTATAGTGAGTGAATCAGATGATATTGAAGCAGGATATTTCCCTGACCCCTTTGTGGGACTCATGACAGGGGTGCCTCATTTACTCAGCCCACTGCTGTCAACTCCAGGGAGACAGTGTGTGACTGAACAAGGCAGGAGCTGGAGTTCACAACGGCTGGAACTGGCCAGCCATTTCAGCACTGGTGGGATCAGATTCAACTGACTCAGACCTGCTACATTCCACCTCTCATGGGAGGGAGCATGCAGGTGAGCAGGTGCAGCAGCTGGAGCCAGTGCTTTTGGGTGCTGGCAGGAGTGAACTTCATATGCAGGCCTATGGCAGGATCCAGGCAGGGTGCCTGTGACTCCTGAAGCCACAAAGGGCATGTTACAGTACTCTTTTAGCTCTGCCATCAGCAGATAGCTTAAGTGTTAACAGCCCAGTGGGCCCACAGCTGTCCTCTGCCAGCAAGGGTAAAGGGCCAGTGTGACAGCCTTTTGTATCCACACTGGTGGCTCCCAAGCTCTTGTCTGGTGTCCAGGAAAAATGAGGTCACACGAACAAATTGAAAAATGGTAAACGTGGATTTTGTTGTCAGTGAAAGTGGCTCTCAGTGGGAAGGGGAACTGATAAGGGGATGGGGTAGGTAGGTAATTTTCCCCCAAAGTCTGGCTGTCTCTGGCTGGATTCTTCTCCGAAGTTATGCCATCAAGCTGTCCCTCTGAAGTCAAGCTGCTTCTCTCCAATGTTCAACTGTAGTCTCCAATGTCTAGCTGCTTCTCCTTTCTGCCAGCTGAGTCTAGGGTCTTTATAGGCACAGGATGGGGTGGGGCGGGGCCATGGGTGGTTTAGGAAAAGGCAGCATTCGAGTGGGAAAACAGGGATATGAGTTCTCACTTCGGGCTATAGTTTCAGGTTTTTTGGCTGGAGGGCGGAGCTTCACCAGTGACCTGCCCCTGTCTGCCTAGAATTTCTATGCCTCCTGTTGCTATCAGTATCAAAACAACATCTTTTTTTCTCTGTCTCCAGAAAATCATATGGTCTAGCATTCCAGAAAAACAAAGAAATGAAGTTACCAGATCCTTTGACATCCGAAGGAAGCCTCTTAGATTACATGGAACTTTCTGATTTGTTTCTCATGGCTTCTCTCTGGTGGAATTCTATTCAAGCCAGTCATTGCTCTGACGATCCTGGTGTGTGTGTCTAATGAGCCCATTGATAGTTCTGAACATCATTTGTCCCATAAACCCTTTGTTTACCATTGCCTTTACTCCCAATGTGGGTAGACACTGATTATTTAATCTCTCTTCAGGAGTAGTATGTCTTATTATCTTGTTTGATTCTTCTATACAGATGCTGTTTGACTTAAAATGGGGTTACATCCCAATAAACTCACTATAAGTTCAAAATATTGAGTCGAAAATGCATTTAATACATCTAAACTACTAAACATGATAGCTTAGTCCAGCCTAACTTAAAAGTGCTCAGAACACTTGTGTTAGTCTACAGTTGGGCAGAATCATCTGGCAACACAGTAAACTGTAGAGTATCAGTTGTTTACTTTGGTGATCATGTGGTTGACTGGGAGCCACCGCCCAGCAATGTGTGAGAGTATCGTATCACTTTCACACCATCGTAAAGTCAAAAAATCATATGTCGATTTAGCATAAATTGAGAACCGTCTGTATAGAGTAAGATAGAAGCCAAATTTTAAAATAAACTCTGAATATATAAAATGTAAATTAGGCATTGGTTTTTATCCAGAGAAAATGTCAGGCTCACTCAAGTGTGTGAAGTCTATTTCTTTTGTAAAAAAACTCTGAGGTCACCCTGTGGGTGTTGACAGCCCCAAAGCTTCAGGATGGGGTCTGAAAATGAGAGCAAAATTGGGCCCAAGGAAGAATATGCATGATCAGTGCTGTGCATTGAGCAAGCTGATGAACAGCAGGAGGAGAGCAAGGGACAGGTCAGGAATAGGGAAAATGCAGCAAGGGGTTACAGTGTCCAGATTATGAATAAGACAGGTGTGCTCAGAATTTATGCTTACTTTAAGCATACTAGAAACAAGTGCTTAGGTTTAAGACAGATTTGGGTGATTTTATATCTAAAAACCTCAGTTTCCTTCTCTGTAAAATGGAAGTAATTGTAGTTTCTACCTTGCAGGATTGTTAGGATTTGAAATACTATATTTGCCTGGTTTGAGCAGGTGGTCAGGAATTAGTTATTTTTCCCCTAGAAACAGAAAGACTATTCCTCAAATGGACAGGCTAAAGATAAGAGTCTAATATCAGCAAAGGCAGTTAGTGGAAAAACCCAGAGTAGGAGCTTTAGAAACATTGAGTAAGGACTCAGTGTTATCTGGCTATGAAAGTCAGATTCTAAACACTGAGAAGCTTCTCATGTAGTGGATTCTGATATTGCATTGAGTATGGCACAGGTCCAATGGATGGTAAAAGCCTCATGCTGCCTCTTCTAAAGATAGAACAATGAGGGCAAGTCAATATGCACCCCTTTTCATCTTAGACTCAGTGTTTTCCTATCCCTTCTCCACCACATCCTGAGCTGGAGAATGTTATGTGTTACCTTTATTATCAACCCCGCTCCCTCACTCTATCAGGTAGGAATGGGTTTTGCTGACTCTTAGTGGCATAAACAGTAAGGGCATGTGATCATATTACCCAAAGAAGAGTAATCCAAAATAGGTGGTTTCAGATTTCATGCAAGGCTCTGAAATACCATTGAGAATATATATTTTTAGAGAGAGAGACATCCTGGCTCTCTGTACATGACAGGGTTTTTGAATTTTTTTTTTTTTATTTTGGTCACCTCATGGTCGCAAAGTGGCAGTTGTATCTCCAGGCATCATGAAATTACACCAATATCCATGGGAGAACAAATGTCTTTTTCTATCATGAAGCTCTGTCTTTATCTTCAAAAACAGAAGTCCCCCAGCTGACTTCCTTTTACTTTTATTGGAACCCCTAGAATTTAGGGCCTAGATCAATCATTAGTAACAAAGATTTAGACCACCAAGAATTGTTTAGACCAATCATGGTTCATCCCCTGGGACTGAGGCCTCCTCTCTCTGAGATGAAAGTAATCTCCATTTGCAGCCTGTATCAGTTGAGAACCCGACAACAACCAGATGGTCCATTCAAATGAGGACAATTCCAGGAGGGCGAATTTGCAAAGGGGGCTCATTATGAAGATGTGGCCAGGGTTTGGGGAAACTACAAGGGATGGTATAAAAACACAGGCTGCTACCATCCCTGGGCCAATGTAATGAGGTGACAGAGAGCTTATGAGATTCAAAAAGAGAAAGATTCTCGTAGAATCACCCACTTTCAGAGGAGCAGTGACCTTCTATCAAGGAACAGAGCCAGGTTAAGGTGGCCTTTATAAGAGAACTTGGAGAGTAAACACCCGCCTCAGTCCTTCCATTCTCCTGCCCAGACTCCTCACTGATGAAACAACTGAAAGCCAAAGGGCTTGGGACCTATTGATGTAATCCAAACAGGGCAGTCTCCAGGGGCAGAGCAGGGTGGAGAAAGATGGAGAAGAGGGGACCTCAAAGAGAAAGCAGAGGAAACACAGCACATCACCCGGACACAAAACCAGATTCTGATGGCAGGGAAGAAAGTGACATGTGCACATGGCAGAAAAAGGCTGCTACATTAGGCAACCTCCCCCACAACTCCAGTCAGAAGGAGAATGGAGCAGGTCCTGTTAGTTATTCTCAGTGATATGCAACAAAGGAGAAGAGAGTACATACTAGGCTTCATATCAAGGCCTCTTTTACTACCATGTTTCCTCAGTGCTAAGATGCCATGGATTATAAAATACCCTGGCAGTTTAACAAGAACCTCTCAGGTGAAGGAAAGTTGGAAGGGAAAGGAAGGGGAGAGAGAGGCAGGGAAAGCGGGGAGAGAGGAAGGGAAAGGAGACAGCACATTACATTCATTGTAGCCATCAATGGTATTTGAATATCCCCATTTCTGAGACATTAAAATGTGAAAAAGATATGGGTCAGGTGGAACACAAGATATTTGGGGGCCAGGGACAAATACATAACATACATTTGTGATGAATACATAAGTTTTCCAAAGTCTATAGCATGTGTAACAGAAAGAGTAGATCCTAACGTAAACTATGGACTTTAGTTAATAATAATGTGTCAGTCTTGGCTTATCAGTTGTAATAAACATACCTCACCAAATGCAAGATTTTCTGTCTTTTTTTTTTTTTTTTTTTTTTTTTTAAGACAGAGTCTTGTTCTGTCCTCCAGGCTGGAGTGCAGTGGCATGATCATAGTTCACTGCAACCTCAGACCCCTGGGTTCAAGTGATTCTCTTATCTTAGCTTTCTGAGTAGCTGGGACTGCAGGTTTGAGCCCCTTCCGAGTAACTGGGACTACAGGCAATGAGCCATTGCATTCTGCTATTTTTTTTCTTTTTTGTAGAGACAGCGTCTTGCCATGTTGCCTAGGCTGGTCTTGAACTTCTGGTCTCAAGCGATCCTCCTGCCTCGGCCTCCCAAAATGCTAGGATTACAGTATTAATGCTACCACATCAAGTCTTCAAGACATTTATAATAGGGGAAATTGAGGGGAGGGGTATGGAGAGGTGATATATGGACACTCTGTTCAAAATACTTTCTGCTTTTCTATAAACCTGAAACTGCCTTTAAAAAATGAGTCAATTAATTAGAAAAGAAAAGCCTCAGACTAAAGGAAACATAGCATTATACTAATTTTAAAATGTTTTTCACCCTGTCAGGATGTGGTAGGTGTGATGGGAATAATTCTAACCCTGCCAAATGGCATTTAACCAGATCATACTGTTCTGATATGCATGGATTTCATTGTATCTGTATAGCTTCATTGATGCAGTTACAAAATACACAACCTCCTGATTATAAGGCAAAATATAAAAACAGAGGCAGATTTTTCTTCTCCTTCAAGACCTTAAATTTGCTCTACAGACATTAACAATAGAAGAAACAATATCAATGGACTACACATTGAATACCTAGTTTTCCTGAACATTAATCAGAGCCTCACCAGGATCATAATTAGCTGCAGTGCAGGCAAACAAATGTCTGTGGGTTGGGTCCTACAGCCTTGGAAAGTTTCTAATTCAGTTTGTTCTTTAGTTCACTTAGCAGTTCTCAATATCTTTCTGTGTATAGAATTCAATTAATAGGATGGAAAAATAATTTGACTGCAAGATATAACAGTTCAACAGCCAATTAAGAAGGCAGCCTTACACAGTGGGGTCAGTGGCACTCTAGTTTATCTGCTCTTGTGGAAGCTAGTCTCCAAAGATAGTCCCTGCAATGAAGCAGGCCTCCCATATCCTTGCCTTGGTGTCATCACTTCCCAGTGAATCTGGGCTGACCCTCTGATTCACTTTTGGCTGCAGATGTGGTACAAGGTCAAAATTCTTGCAGCTTCCACCAGGATCTCTTGAAATGCTCACTCTGAGGGAAGCCAGCCAACATCTAAGACCTGTCTCAAGTGCTCCTTGCAGATGCACATGACTGTAAGATAATGTGTTTACAAAATGTTAGATGAAGAGAACTCTTTTTGTTATACTGTGGTTATCTATTGATGGATAATGAGCCACTTCAAAACTCTGTGGTTTAAAACAATGTATTTTTCTTTGATGGGTCCATGTGTTGACTAGCCTTAGCTGGGCAGATCTTGGAGACACTTATGTGGTCACGGTCAAATGAAAGCTAAGGCTAGAGTCATCTGAAAGTTCCGCTGCACAAGATGTCCAAGAAGGCTTCCTTGCTCGCATGCCTGGCACCTCAGCCAGGATGACTGAAAAGACTAGAGGCTGACTAGGCATCTCTCTCTCTCTCCATGCTGCCTTCAGGTAGTTAGTTTGGGCTTCTTCACAGTATGGCCCTTTCAGGGGAAAGGAAGCAAGACTGAGTATTTCAAGGATCCGCATGGAAGCTGCAGGACTCCTTTTGACCTAGTCTCAGAAGTTATGTAGTGTTAATTTTGCCCCATTCAAAAAAATTATTTTGAATGATGGGTACATACTAGGTATATATATTTATGGGGTACATGTGATGATTTGATACAAACATTGTCTAATGGATCAAATCAGGGTAATTGGTGCCTCCATCACCTAAGCATTTATCATTTCTTTGTGTTAGCAACATTCTAATTCTACCCTTTTCATTATTTGAAAACATACAATAGATTATTGTTAATTATAGTCACCCTATTGTGCTACCAAATACTAGATCTTATTCATTCTGACTATTTTTGTACCCATTAATGAACTCCACTTTATCCTCCTATTCCTCCTACTCTCCCCAGCCTCCGATAACCATCATTCTATTCTACCTGCATGAGTTCAATTTGCTTAATTTTCAGCCCCCACATATGAGAATATGCAAAATTTGTCTATTTCTGCCTTAGTTCGTTTAACATTTTTCTGCCGCATTCTACAGTCAAAAGTGAATCACAGGGCCAGCCCAGAGTCACTGGGAGGTGATGACAGGAAGACATGGATATGGGAGGCCTGATTCACTGGGGGCTGTGTTTGGAGAGGAGCTGCATGAATTAGAGTGTCACTGTTCTGTATTATCTTATTTTGTTTCCAGCGGTCCCCCAAGGTTCCCTTTAAGTAGCAAGTTCAGATCATAACAAGATGAAGCTTTCCTCAGGACTTCCAGTGTGCCAGGCACTGCTCTAAGGATTTTCTCTCTCACAAGTATTTTATACATCACAGTAACCAATAAATATGAGTTTCTACATATTTATCCCCATTTTTCAGATGAGGAATCAGCCTCAGAAAATATCTTGCCTAAGGGCATGTGGTTAGTCTGTGGCAGGCCTATGTGTAGTACACAGCATAATCACTTTCCAGCTGCTTAAATTCAGAGCACCAACATAAACTTGTTCAATTCTAGCCTGCTTTAATGCTTTTGTATAAAACACCTGAGAAGCCAAGGCAGCCTGGAGGCAAATGCCATAAAGCAAACCACCATTGGAGCAAGAAAGGAGGTTGTTGGAAGTCACCACTAAAAACAAAAAAATCATCCCTTCCTAAGGGATGCTCAAAGAGAATCCCTTAGGGAGGCACACAACTCTCTGTGATGAGCCATGCTTATACCTCTCCCTTGGCTTAGTCTCTTGTCTCAGCATTTGCCCTTCATTCTGCTTTAGGCCAGCAATTCTCAAACCTGGCTGCACATTCAAATCACCTGGGGCTGGGCATGGTGGTTCATACCTGTAATCTCAGCACTTTGGGAAGCTGAGGTGGGAGGATCATTTGAGGCCAGTAGTTTGATACCAGCCTGGGCAACAAAATGAGATTGTCTTTATGAAAAAATAAAAAAAGTTAGCGGGGCAAGGTAGAATGTGCCTGTGGTCCCAGCTACTCAGGATGCTGAGGCAGGAGGATTGCTTGAGAGCCCGGGAGGTCAACGCTGCAGCGAGCCGTGTTCACATCACTGTGCTCCAGCCTCAGCAACAGAGTGAGACCCTATCTCAAAAAACAACAACAAAAAAGAATCACCTGCAAGTTTTTTTAAAAATAATCCCAATTTTTGGCCGGGCGCGGTGGCTCACGCCTGTAATCCCAGCACTTTGGGAGGTCGAGGCAGGCAGATCACGAGGTCAGGAGATCAAGACCATTCTGGCTAACACGGTGAAACCCCGTCTCTACTAAAAATACAAAAAATTAGCCGGGCGTGGTAGCGGGCGCCTGTAGTCCCAGCTACTCGGGAGGCTGACGGAGGAGAATGGCGTGAACCTGGGAGGCGGAGCTTGCAGTGAGCCGAGATCATGCCACTGCACTCCAGCCTGGGCAAGTGAGATTCCCTCTCAAAAAAAAAAAATAAATAAATAAATAAAATAAAATAAAAATCCCAATTTTTAAAAACTCACCCCAGACCAATTAAACCAGAATATCTGAGGTAGAACTGAGTCATCTGTATTTAATCATTCTCCCTAGTCCCAGGGGAATCAAATGTGTAGCTAAATGGAATAACCAGTGCTCTAGTCATCAAGAAAAATTCGTATTTCACCAAAAACACCAAGATATCTAATATTACTGTCTTTTGCATTTCCTTAGCAAATTTAACTTTATATCGCCCTACTTCAAGGACACACAGCACCTCCCAATGCTTGTCATACCTCCGTTGTAGCAGCATTCAAAACAGTATTTCTCTAGCTTACTTAACTGGTCATTTCCTGCCATCGCCCATCATCACCATGAATTGTAATCCCCTCGAGAGCAGGGAATGTATTTTACTTAATTCTTATCACAGTGCCTGGGACCTAGTACAGTCTCGACAACTGTTTGTTGCCTGATAAATGAATGAATAAATAAATGAATAGATGGATGGAAGAATGAATACATGAATGGATTTTAAAAGCTGCCACTTGCAGTGGTATTTCTAGAGCTGGGAATAGGGGCATATTCTTGCTCTGTGAGACTGTATGAAGAATGTTAGAACTGCTCATATGCATATATTAGTACTTCTTCCTATCCTTAAAGAAAAAAAAAATCCTGGTCAATTTCTTCACTCCTATTTAGGTAAATTGTCAGGTAAATTGTCTGAATAATAACCCCCACAGATGTTCACGTCAGAATCTCTGAAACTTGTGAATGTTTCCTTATTTGGCAAAAGGGACTTTGCAGATGTGATCATCCTAAAATATTAAAATGGGAAAATTATCCTAGATCATCTGGATGTACCCTCAATGTAATCACAATGACCTTATAAGGAGGCAGCAGTGGGAGATGTGACTGCAGAGACAGATGAAGGCAATCTGAGGACTGAAGCAAGGTGCTAAGCTGCTAGCTTTGAAGATAGAGGGAGGGGCTATGAGCCAAGGAATTCAGGGATGCAGTTTTAGAAGTTGGAAATAGATTCTCCTCTAGCTCCTCTGGAGGGAGCACAGCCCTGCTGATAACTTGATTTTGGCCCAGTGAAACTCATTTTAAATTTCTGCCCTCCAGAAGCTGTGAGACAATAAATGTGTATTAAGTTGCCAAGTTTGTGGCAATTTTTACAGCAGTCATAGGAAACTACTACAGAGGTTGCCATGGAAAGTTTGTGCCATAAGAAGTCTAGCATATGGCCACTGGAAACCTCCTCAAACCTTTGGTGGGTGCATTTTTCTAATGTCTCCAATCCAAGCCATTATACTAGAGCAGGGGAAAGAGAGGTATCTTTGGGCAGCTAGTCACCTGCCCCAGGATTTCCTGAAGTGAAGCATTACCTTAAAATGAAAGTTGCTCGTGTAATGGGGTGGAAGTTCCTTCTGTTTTAAGAACATCACTGTCAGTTAGCACTTACTAAAGGCTTACTATATCTGAGACCATGTTCCATGCTCTTCATGGGTATTGTCTTGCTTAAGATTCACAATAAGCCCAGTGGTGCTTTTTTAAGCTTTTAAGCATGAGGATATTGAGACATAAAGAGGTCACATTAGTTTTAGGTTCTAGCGGAGCATTTCACAAAGAAATGTCTGTGTTTAAGACAGATGCTTCATAGAATCGTTTAAGTGTAGAAGATGAGACTCCAAGATATAGGGCATGGAAGATTGTAGCAGGACAAACAGATGGTTACAGTACTCTGTTTAAGAAGTAGAAGGAATTTGGGAGTAAAGAGGTGATTCCAGGAGGTACTTATCAACAAAGGTGGCCAGTCAGAAATCCCTCATGCCTTGGTGTGAAAGAAATTTCTTTCATCTTTTACTTTCAGTAAAAGCTACAACTTTTAAATACTTTGTGTAAGAGACTGGTAGGAAAATCAAGAGTTAGGACACATTGACCACCCCTGGGTCAGTGTGAAACCCAACGGGGAGAAGAGTTATAGAAGGTGAGAAGAGAGAGAGAAAGAAGTGACCAGAGGAAGAGAGGCATATGACTTCCTTCTTAGTGGGGATCTAATGTTGGAGAGAATTTTACGTACATCTCAAAGGACAAGTGGCCTCCACTGACATTTATGGTACACAGAATCCCTTTTCTACCTGGGAAAAGGGTTACAAATCATGTTCATATGTGGGACATGCCATGGGGTATGGCTCAAAGAAGGTGGCTACAAGGTATGTGCCAAGCATAAGCTCTAACCCTCCATTTCACTCTTATTCAATAAAGGCCATGGGTTGCAAGTGAGGGAGAGAGACACAGAACAGTTCTAATTTACTATTTCAAAAAGATGTTAATAACATTTGAATAACCCAGTGTATTCAAAAGAGCATAAATGTATATGTAATTCAAAATGTAATCAATATTTAGATTATCAATGATATATTTTGCATATTTTTCATAGATACCCTGGAATCCAGGGTGCATTCTGTACTTTCAGCACATCTCAATTTGGACCAGCCACAATTTAACTGCTCAATAGCAACACATGGCCCAGGGCCACCATAGTGGGCTACAACTCTACTCCTTCACTAACGAATTCATTGTCTCCTCCTATGTACACCTTCCCTTCACTTTCAGTTATGTAGAATTTTTGCTTATATTTGAAAACCTGAATATGTGAGCTCCATGGTTGGGGGCATAGGGTAGGAGCGGAACACGCTCTTAGCCCAAGGCATTATGGGAAGCACATACATGGAGGCATTTTTCTCATTCCTTCATGGTAAGACAGAAAAAAGTTCATGTGGAGTAACATTATTCCTCTTCAAAATTTCACCTTCGATAACATTATTTTGATTAACACATTACTCAATCTACTAATGCAACTGAGTAAGCATTGCTTAGCATATAATGATAAGATCAAACCCAAGAATTTACTAATAAGGACATGGCACAGAAGATTATGAAGGCCCTGTTCTTAAACACAAGCAGGGTATAAGTGGTAAACTTATCTACCATATAATATCCTTTATCAATCAGAGTTCTGGCAGGAAACCCATGCCTGGGTTGAAACCATTGAGAGTTTAATAAAAGGATTGTTCTCAAAGGTGCCAGTGGGCTTTAGGAAAGTCACTGACGATGGTGTGGTCTCCTTGGTCTGGCAACAGTGGGCATCCTTTGCCATCCCTGGACCTGCCTGAAGGAGAAGAGGGTGGAGCGCAATGACTGGAACTGAGAGAACACAGCTGATTCAAGAGAGCTGCCTGGCAGGAGCCCTGGGTCATTGGTAGGGAGACACAGCCAGGCTGCCGCAGGCCAGCAGCAGGGCAGCACTGCAATAAACACACAACCTCACCTTTTCTCCTCTCTCTCATCTCCCACCAAGCCTCTCATTGGCTGAATCTAGCTGAACACCCAAGGGCTGGGAAGCCAGTGAGAGCCCACACAAGCTAGCCTCTGGGGACCCCAAGCAGGTGGAAGGACGGAGAGTGGATCTGGGAAGACTGGTGGAAAATACCCAGTGTAGTAAGATGCGGCAATCCTGGTGACAAATAGAGTGCCACTCCACTGGGGTCTCACAACTGCCGCCGCATGATGGTTCCCACTCAGTATTTTTCAGGAGCACAATCTTGTCTTGAACTTTTTATGTATTAATACTTCCTCTTAAACACATGCCGAATTATTTGGGGGTTTCTAAGCATTCTTACTACTCAAAACCACAGGAGAAGAGATAGAGAATAAAAGAAAGGAAAAATCCCAAAGCTGCAAACTTAACCTACAAAGTTTAACGAAGACAGTGTTTTGAGTCTATAAATCATTACAGACTTGTCCCCTCACTTTTTTGCCCCTCAGCAAATTAGTTCTTGTTCTCCTCAGATTTTAAATTCCTTGGGGCCAGCTCTTTTTAGCAGGAAGGTGCTAAAGGCCCTCAAACTCCTCGGCTTTTTAGAAACGTTGGTATCTACTCTTTTTGGTATCTACTTTTAAAAATTTGTGAGACTTAGCAAGGGTCACAAATGCAAATGCATGTAAACTATGTGCCTGCCAGGAATTTAAATCAATTGGGCTGGGTGGAGACTGTGGCACTTATTAAATGCTGGGCATTAAGTGTTTTGCCTATATCAACTTCCTTGCTTATCACAATAACTACAAAAGAGGAATAACTACTATCCCTATTTTTCAGATGAAGAAACTGAGGCACAGAGAGGATAACAGAGAAAATACATGCCCTATATAAAGGGAGCAGCTGCTACACGGCTCCAGCTCATTTCAATCATGCAAGAATATAGGTCACGACATGATGTTTTTTAAGAGTTGAAATCTGAATTTAATGTGAATTCTCCCAATCAAGAGAAAAACCCTGGCAACTCTTTAGTTATTTTTAAAACATTGTGCAGGCCAAAAAGAAAACCTGTGTAGGCTTCAGACAGCCCATTTGCAATCTCGAGTCAATGGGTCTAAAAGCCTTGTAAGCAGCAAAGCTCTAATTTTTTTTTAAATCAAAAATACAGAAAATCCCGATAAATTACTATGAATCTGCTTTGGGTTAGATAACAGAAGTTAACCCTGTTGGCCACTGCTTTTCATCAGCAAGAGGACCCAGGACACCTTCACATCACCTGCAAACAACAGCCTTACCCAACTTAAAGCCAGTACTCACAGTACTTTAACTAAACGTTGTGGGGGAAAAAAAAGCCAGTGAGGCTCATTTGCATTGCACACAGGAGGCCAGACACCTGTCTTCTCCTTTACAATTACCATTCTTTACATACAGTTGCCAGGAGGAATCTAATTGCACCTCCAGTCACTCTTTCCATTATTTTTATTTATGTCAATAACGATCCTTTGCGCTGAATACTCAAGTTAAAATTTTAGAACCATTTACCCAATTGGAAGAAAACGTTTGGTTTGCTGAGCTCGTTTACATTTTAAGTTTTATTGTTCTTGTGTTTTGTAATGTTAAGTTTGAAACCAGCGCACATAGTAATGGCTGTGCTATAAATACACTAGAAAAATTGCCTCATGTCTCTGAAAGTTCCTACATATACACATGTATCTCTTTTCAAATTGCTTTCCCCCCAAAGAAAACACCAGTAGCAATAAAGGCTGACAAATGACTAATTTGGGTAAAAATACTTTCAGAGTCAAAGGTTTTTAAAACCAAAAGTTGTTTTAAAAATCTTCATAATTAGGCTGGGCGTGGTGGCTCACGCCTGTAATCCTAGCACTTTGGGAGGCCGAGGCAGGCGGATCATGAGGTCAGGAGATCCAGACCATCCTGGCTAACATGGTGAAACCCCATCTCTACTAAAAATACAAACAATTAGCTGGGCGTGGTGGCGGGCGCCTGTAGTCCCAACTACTAGGGAGACTGAGGCAGGAGAATGGCGTGAACCTGGGAGGCAGAGTTTGCAGTGAGCCGAGATTGCGCCACTGCACTCCAGCCTGGGTGACAAAGCAAGACTCCATCTCAAAAAAAAAAAAAGTCTTCATAATTAGTTCTAATTGACAGTCCTTTCTCTTCTCACCGTCCAGTGAGGGCCTTGAGAGACGTCAGGGCTATCTTGACCTTCCTGCAAGTAGGCAAAGCTGAGAGCAGGGGCACAGCTAGCCCAATGGGCACAATCCTGCAGAACAATGATTCTGGAAGTGTGGTCCTGTGCCCACTTACACTGAAATTATGGGGGCTGGGGAGAGGTTGGGGAAAATGGACTTGTTTAAAACACAGATTTTAGAGGCCCATCTCAGACCAATTTCATTAGCTTCTCTGGAATTTCAGCAGCAAAATTTGGAGTTTTCATGCATTTCCCCAAGTGATCCGTGCTCATACTGTAAACTGAGAATCATTATGACAGAAAATGTGAAATAAAAGCCATGTGTCCACGTTTCTTGTGTATTTACTATGTGCCAGACACTGTTGTGAGTACTTTCCATACACTCATTCATCTACTCCTCACCAATACCCTTTTGAGGTAGTTCCCATCATGCCCATTTTTCAAAAGAGGAAACTGGGGCACAGAAAGATTTAGTAAATTTCCCAATATCATATATTTGGTTATTGGCAGAGAAGATAGTTGAACCCAGGCAACTTGGCTTCAGAGGAGGCATAATTACTCTATCATTTCTCACATGGTGGCTTTCTGGGGTGCTGGTTTAAAATGCAGGTCCTGGGGTCCTCCTCCCAGTGATTCTGATTTGGTGGCTCCTGGGAGGGGCCCCGTGAGTCAGCTGGGGGTTCTCAAGTTCCTGGGGGAGGGCTTTCCTGCTCCCCACATCCAAACCTTAAGAAATGCTAGGATTTTCATGAGACATTCCCTCAAGTCAATTTCCCTCCCATTACTCATAAAAGCAGAGCTTGTGATCCTCCCCTCATTCCCAGACATCCCCAAAGTCCTCACTTGGAACATGCCCTGGAACCCTCTGTCTCTAGGAATTTTCATCTTTCTCTTTTTACTGGGCCTTTCCCTCTTGTTACAAATAAGCTCAAGACATCCCCAGCAATTAAGGCTGACAAATGGGGATGAAATACCACAATTGTAGCCTGCTTCCGGCCTCTAGCCTGTTGGGTTCGCTTTAATATCAAATTTACGAATTAGTAGTCCACCTTACTGTCAGAGGCATTTGAACCAGAGCGACTCCATCTTGAATAGGGGCTGGGTAAAATGAGGCTGAGACCTACTGGGCTGCATTCCCAGGAGATCAGGCATTTGTTACAGGACGAGATAGGAGATAGGCCCAAGATACATGTCACAAAACCTTGCTGATAAAATAGGATGTTGTAAGGAAGCCAGCCATCCTAAAAACCACCAAAACCAAGATGGCAATGAAAGTGACCTCTGGTCGTCCTCAGTGCTCATTATACACTAATTATAATGGAGTAGCATGCTAAAAGACTCTCCCACCAGTGTCATGACAGCTTACAGATGTCATGGCAATAGCAGGAAGTTACCCTATGTAGTCTAAAAAGGGGACGAACCCTCAGTTCTGGGAATTGTTCACCCCTTTCCCAGAAAACTCATGAATAATCCATTCCTAGTTTAGCATACAATCAAGAAATAACCATAAAAATAGCCAACCAGCAGCCTTCAGGGCTGCTCTGCCTATGGAGGAGGCAGAATAAATTTGTTTTCATTTTACTCTATGGACTCACCCTGAATTATTTCTTGTGCGAGGTCCAAGAACCCTCTCTTGGTGTATCAGGGCCCCTTTCCGGTAGCACTACCATCTCCACTTCCACAAACCCTCAGTTCATGCCTCAATCCACTACATTCTAGCTTCTGGCCATTCCCCTTCCTTTGAGGTGGCTCCAGCTAAGGTCTCTAATGGCCTCCTAATTGCAAAATCCTATGGATATTTTTCTGCATGTCCCCTGCCGGACACTAGGGTTGACTGCTTCTTGAAACCTCCCTTCACTGGTTTCTATCACTGTAGTCTTCATGTTCCCAATTCTCTGACTGTCCTTTCTTTCCCTTATTGTAGTATCCTCTTCTCGTGTTTGTCCCTTAAATTGAAGGTTCCCTAAGATTCTGTTCTGGATCTTCCTTTTCTCTTTCTGGCACTTTCAGCCACTCATGTGGCTTCATCAATCATTTATGATATCTCTAGTATCTTTCTTACTCTTAGAAACTCTAGTATCCTGTTTTTCAGCATCTTTCGGATAAGTCTATTTGAAGATCCCACAGTTGTTTCAAACTTGTCCTAAACAACTCACTCTCTACCATATCTCCTCAAACATGCTCTTTATTTTTTTCATTTCTGTTAAGAGTTTCAACAACCATCTAGTCTCCCCAAGTCAGAAAGCACCTTCGTCTCTCCCACCTCCTCGTTTAATGTAAGTCTTGAAATTTCGAGAGAATGTCTCACTGCTGTCACTGCCTTAGTTCAGGTTTGCAAACAGCTTCAGAGCTGGGCTGTCTGCCTCCAGTTTTTCTTGCCCAGTCTATCTTTAATATGCCATCAGATTTCATCTCTAAAGAAACAAAGTTGATAAGATCACATAATTGTTGAATTTTCACGCAACCAATAAGCTCAAGTAACCTTGATGTGAGGACATGACCTGACCTGATCTCAGCCCTTTCTTGGGTGCCTACCACTGTGTTTACTCACACTCTCTTCTTGCCATACTAAATTGCTGCTCATTTCAGTCAGCCTCCAGCCTTATTTACACAGGCTGATTCCTTTGGCTACAATGCTTTATTTTTTTTTCTTTATCTAATAAATCCACCTAATCTTCAAAGCCCAGCTGAGATGGCATCTCCTCCAGGAAGCCCCAAGTTGTCCGAGCAGAGATTATGTTACTCATGCTTTGGCTGCTTCAGGGTTTGGATCATCCTCTGAAATAGCATTCACCCAGTGTGTCCTGATTATCTTTTTACACAGCTGAATTCATCCCTCAGTGACAGCATCATAGGGTGAGGAGCACTGATTTGCCTCACCTGTTCTTGGAACCTCAAAGCCCGCACAGAGTAAATACCCACTAAGTGTTTTCCTAACAGATGACGGTTTCTCCTCGGCACTCAGAGGGCAATCAAGGTCACTGTTACTTATTTTCCTAAGATCCATTAAGTTTAGTTTGAGTGCTCACTTGACAGGCTGGTTAAACATTCTCTAGCAATCAAATTTGGGATACCCCTTGAATCTTACAAGACCAAATAATTAGTGATGGGAGAAGATCCTGCACACTAGCTAGTGAGGGACATTGCTGCCAAGACCAAGACAGACAAGTCTCATGGCTCAATTAATACAGTCAGTAAGATCAGGCTCAGGCAATCTTTTCCTACCTGTAGAGGTGCCCATATTGCTAGTCCCATCTGAAGCAGACCTACCTCCAAGACCCAGGACCTAAATTACCTAGCAACTGCAAGCACTTGAGCCTTTGACCTGCCCTGTCCCAGATTTGGACAGTCCCTGGTTCTACCATGTTGTATCCTCAAAGTCCAAATCCTCTGTCACCTCTATTTCTTCAGATGTCTAGATGAAATGCTCTGTTGACCTTGCCCAGGAATTGCCAACTCACATGGCTACATGGATCAGGAAGTGGAGCTGTCAGGAGACAGCAGAAGAGGGCTGAGGATGGCAGTTGCTTTTCAGCTCCAATGATTGACATTGTGAGATAAGCTAGGCCCAGTGTTGCCAAAAGGCTCTGATCTTTCAAGAGAAGCTGGCAATCATGATTTTTATGAGAAGTAGTTTTGTAATTAATTTTTAAAAAGTCAATATGTGAGGCAAAAAAAACCTGTCTGTAGACTAAATTTAACCGTGGTTAGGTAGTGTGTGACCTCTTACCTAGGGCTTTCTCTCATACAAAGGTTTTGAGGGTTTACTTCTAGGTTCTTTCCCCACCTTCCCCTCCAGCAAATTTTCATCTGACCTGGGAAAGAAAAAAAGAGCTACTTACTCTCACTGGAGAATGGGTAACCTAGTGCTGGCTGCTTCTTCCTTTGTAGTGATATGAGAATGTTAGAGACTTTTCCATGATGGGTTACAGAAATAAAACCATAAAAAACAAAGTCTAGTTAATTTCCTCAAAGTCATCTTGTAATGTTGACTGTGGTAGGGGGATGATAGACAGTCCAAGGTTGTACCTCTTCTTCTAAGGATCACTTCTATATTTTACAGTGACTTTCCCTCAGTGTGTTTTAAGCTATATATAGCGAAGGGCTATTTAAAAAACTCTGTATGAATTAAGAGCAAAATATAATAATGAATTACTAGAAAATGAAATTAAAAGACTCAAACAATCCAATTTTATTTTCATATTATTGGAGTCATAGGCATAACATTACTCTATTAAATTGTTATAAAGCAATGGTTCTCACCTGGGACATTTTATCTTGTGGGGACATTTGCCAATGTCTAGAGACATTTTTGATTGTCAAAACTGGGAGGAGAGTGCTACTAGCATCTAATGGGAAGACACCAGAGATGATGTTAAACATCCTTCAATGCACAGGACAGCTTCCACCACAATCATCAGGTTCCAGAGGTCCACAGTACTGAGGTTGTTTCTATTGTAGTGTCTAAATGACTCACCTCAATTTTTGCTCTCACCTTTCATGGGCCAGTTATGAGCATGTCCCAGATCAGCACTGGTCTGCAGAACACACTCTGAGAAGTAACATTCTAGAAGAGGTTTTCCCACTGCCTTTCTCATTAGCCCAAGGATGAGATCCCAATGTGGGGGAATTTTAGAAGAATTTGTGTATTACCCAAGGGTAATAAAAACAGATGGAAATCGTGTAACTTATAATATAGACATTTTCTTAAAACAACATAACTAACCCTAATGTAAGTGCTCTAGGATATGAATAGGAGTGCCCATAAACATCTCTAAACAGCATTGAAGAATGAATGCACAATCCCAGATTGAATCATGACACCTCATTGACATACCCAGCACCCTTGTCCTTTTTGACCACTAATATTTTAATCAGTTTAGCAGGATTTACCAAATGAATCATTAGTTTCTTACCACTAATCAATAGTTATTTTTAAAAATAGAGATTTCAAGGTTCATCAAAAGATGGAGGAGCTAGGTTGGGGGATTGCTGGGAATCTGTATATTTAGTAAGTACCCTGGGTGAGTCCAATAATTGAGAAGTCTGGAAAATACTGAGAGAAAAGATACCCCCAGCAGGTATTCTCCCACCATTTCTGAATCCACTCACAAGTCTTGTTGATACATTTATTCAACAACCCCTTATGCATTGCCTCATGCCACTCTGGGTTTGGGGCTTCAGCAGCCGAAAAGGCAAGAAGTCCCGGTGCACTCACAGCTCTGGCAGGCCCCTTGTATGCTACCTCCTGTCGGTCCCTTCCTCTCAGTTTTTACCATCCCTGCCTTGCTGGCAGCACTTGCCACCTCTCACCTAGATTATTACACAGAATAGTCCCCTCTCCGGGCTTCACCTTGTCCCCACCCCTGACCTCTGGGCATGTTCCATAATGATACTATCTCTCTCCATCTGTCCCAGATTAAAACTCTTCCCTGGGTTCCCATTGCCTAAAGGAGAAAGTCTAAGCTTCTAAATATGGCCTACAAGTCTTTCAGGACCTGGGCCCTGTTCCCTTCCCCACCCTCATCTCTCAACACCCTTTTCTCCCCACTTTAACACCTCCAGAAAGTACTGGCTCTATTGGTGCTGGGTCAGAGGTCACTACTTGGCCTATACTTGCCCTTCTGCCTGGAAAACCAGTATTCTACCTTATTAACACCATCCACGTGGAAAACTTGTATTCATTTTTCAAAATTCAGCTAAAATATTAGCTTTTTATGCTGATTGTCAACATTTAAGAATGTACTATGTATGATAGGCACTGTGCTAAATGTTTGTTTCATTTATTCTCTACAAGAACCCCATGAGGTAGGTACCCTTTTTATTCTACATTTACTATTGAGGAAATGGAAATGGCAGTTAGCTAATTTAGGTAACTTTCCAATGGTTGTACAATAGTAAGTGGTAGAAACTGGATTCAAACCCAGGATGAACCCAGATCCCACCTTCCACCGGACCACTTCACATTTCTTCTCTCTGGGAGAGCCTTTCTGGTTGCTCCTGTCTCCCAGATGGCTCATGTGGTGGACTATACTCTTGTTTATAAACACTCGCTGCCCCTCCCTGGGAGAAGATCAACATTATTATTTCCTGTCCTATTGGTGTCAATTTTGGCCATGTGACTTGCTTTATCCCATGAACTATAGGCAGAAATATGGGTATTCTTCCTGGATAGACAGTGTGGGAGCCAGGGCATGGTTTTGCTTACTCTTAACTCTCTTAAGTGAGCCTGTCCAGAGAGAGGTTACTTCAGCATCCTGGGTCCTGGGGGGGCAATGAAGTACAGAAGATGCATAGTGGACATTTAGCAGGAGTGGGAAATAAATCTTAGTTGATTTGGGGACTTACTTGCTGCTGAGCACAACCCAAGTGTTCCTGACAAAACTTCCAGAAAAGTTACTTAAAGGGGTCCAAGTAGCTGCCTGCTCAGCACTGCTTCTGTACATTTTTCTGTGCATACTTCTATCGTTGCACTTAACACAACATATTGTGATTTAACTGTCCACATATCAATCTCCCCTGCCAGTTCTCTAAGGAACCATGACTTATTCATGTGCCACGTTTAGCTCAGTGCCTTTCACATCAAAGCTCAATAAGAATTATTTGAATGAGTGCCTGATCATTGGAAAAATAATGATCAAGTGTCCACATTGTCTACTAGCTAAAAGAACAATGCTCCATGTCAAATGGCCTTGAATATTGCATTGTCATCCCCTCAAATCCTTTGACTTAGTCCCAGTGAGGCAGATTTTTAAAAATATGTCAAATCCAGATAAAATAAGACATGGAAGTAGGGTCAGATATTGCAAAACAGAAGAGCTCTTGAAATCCACGAACCTACGTTTGAGTCCCAGATCTGTTGCTTACTAGCAATGGGTCCTTAGATAAAAGCCTAATTTTTAATTTATAGAATAGTAGTTACAATTATTGCTTCCCAGGATCATGGTGAATATTACATGTCAGGTTCTCAACACAGCTTGGCTCATTAAGACACTGTGATTGATATTCGTCCCTCTTTTTTTGTTTCTTTGGCTGTCCTGCATCTAACCCTCCTTCCTACGTGTGAGAGTCCCTCTTGGAGGATGATAATGGTGGGGCCACTTTACTGCCCAGGGAAGCCAAAGGGAGGAGATTCAGGCTATCTCTATCCTTGGATCCAGGCATGACATGGGTAATCAGGCACATACACCTGATTGATTTGCTCAAGTGATACAAAGATAAGAAACTGGATTCACCCACTGACCTATCCTCCAAGCAAACCACCATGGCACATGTTTACCTAGGTAACAAACCTGCACATTCTGTATATGTATCCCAGAACTTAAATTAGAAAAATAAAATTAAAAAATAAACTGGATTATCTCTGAGTACTTGAGATAGCATCTGATGGCAGCAACGGGGCTTTCTTGCAGCAGTGGGACAAAGTGGGTATCCTTGATCAGACTCATCCCTATAAAAAATTACTTGTTATGCTTCCTGGTTTTTGAACTTCCAGAGCTTGGTTCTTGCTTAACTGCCAAGTCTGATTTTCCATCTTTACAACCCTTCAGTGAAGTCTGTATGGCCTTGCTATCCTCCCAAATGATTGCTGTAAAACCAGTCTTAAGATAGGCAGATGTGATTTAGGTTGTTTGCAAGCAATACATGTTAGATCCCTTTCTCATTTTTTCTCTTCCACCTTCCCACTTTTGTTTCTATGAATTGCTAAGCTCTTTCTTTCTCTTGGCCTAGAGTTCTTCTCTAGTAACTAAACTGTGTTCCTATTCATGTTTTTAGCACCAAAGTATGCAAAAGATTGTAACCTAAATGATGTTTCCGGTCAGTTTTGAGCTCAGCTTGAAACTGATAAAATTAACGAGTGTTCTACCTCTTTCATAAGAAGTAATATCTGATCAAAACTCTTTCTCACACTCAGCCTCAACACACACACACACTTAGACTAGTTCTATTATCACTTGTCAGGAATCTTTTATTTTCTAACATACTGAATTTTTTTTTGAGTATTTACTTTGTGGCACTGGATCAAATCTGTAACTATAGCAGATATTACTGGCTGTCTACCCAATCTCCATTCTCCTTTTCCTCAATAGCAGAACCCCCAAAGTGCCCATATTCACACACACACACACACACACACACACACACACACACACACACACACACACACACTTCCCAGCCTCTCTTGAGAGGAAGTGTCTATATTAAATAGATGTTGTTGAACAAAACCACTGGGAAAGTTATTTAAAGGGTCTGAATCAACTGCCAGATGCCACTTTCTCCCCTTTCCCCTTTCCTTTTACTTTCCTGTTTGGAAGACTAACAGGAGTCCTCCGGAGTTCTGGCAGCCATTACAAGACAAGACCACGAGAAAGTTCTGAGGCTGGAAGGCTGCATTAAAGATGCTACAGAAGAAAATTAAAACATGCTTGATTAAAATATAGAACTGTAATAACAATCCTAGACTATGTCTACCTCCACACTTTGTGCTAAATGATGAAAAAAACAACCTAATGTACTTAAATCATTGCTAATTTAGATCTCTGCCATTAGTAACTGAAAGCACTTTACCTATACAGAGATATCACTCAAAAGTTCCTTAAAGTTTATACGATTAATCCCACTTTACACAGATGTGAAGTCTTAGGTTAGTTTTATCACTTGCTCAAGTTACTCATTCATTGGATAGTATTGGACTGACCCCGTATTGAGTACCATTGATTGGGCTGGTCAGCATCTGAATGTAGTGTTTATTTGACACCAAAGACTGGATTCTTAATCACTGCATTTTGCTGCCTCTCTGTTGAGTATGCTTCCAGATTTTCAAAGCCACACAATTTGGGGGAGCCTCTTGGATAGATGTGACTGGTAGAGATTTTCTCATCCGAATAGAAGCTTGGGATCTTCTTTGTTCTCTTTCACTTCCTATTCGACAAAAGGCACATTTCTCATCTTTAAATAAATTGGCCTACTGGCCAACTCTGCATGGAGTAACGCTTCTTTTTTCTTTCTTTTCATGTACGTATCTAATTCCTTGGAGCATTCCTATGAAAATCTGTTGTTGAGATGAGGTCAGCTTCCATAAAAAGTATGTGCAATGCAGTAGGTAGGTGCCCAGCAAATGTTGAACAAATTTATAAATTAATGAATGCTGTTTCCACAGCAGTCCTGCCTGGGATGTTAATTTTCAAGTTTTTGTTTGTTTAAGACAGAGTCTCACTCTGCCACCAGGCTGGGGTGGAGTGGCATGATCTCAGCTCATTGCAACCTCCACCTCCCAGGTTCAAGCGAGTCTCCTGCTTCAATCTCCCGAGTAGCTGGGACTACAGGTGCCAGCCACCACACCCAGCTAATTTTTGTATTTTTAGTAGAGATGGGGTTTCACCATGTTGGCCAGGATGGTCTCGATCTCTCAACCTCATGATCCACCCGCCTTGGCCTCCCAAAGTGCTGGGATTACAGGCATGAGCCACCGTGCCTGGCCTTCCAAGTTCTTTTTAGAGAGCCATTCGTGTATTCTATCTTGTCATGACAAGTAGAGATTCCTCTGTGAGGGAAATGTGACTGCCTAGGTGCAGTCCAGTTTCCTGTAACACCAAGTGGCATATCTTTATACTCACAAATGAAAGGTTTATGTGAAAAGTTTTACACTACAAAGATTTTAGAAAGTGTCTTTGCTAATCAATGCAGTCTACTGTAGAGATAGGAAACAGGCTTTATAATAAGAGACAGCTGCATTCCGATTATGATTCTAAAACTCTTCACCTCTGGGTTCTTAGGCAAGTTACTTAATCTGAACCTCAGTTTGTCCATTTGCAAAATGGGACAGTAATTCCTATTTTTGTGAGGGTTATAAAAGGGAATGTATAAAAAGCATTTGGCGGAGTACCTAGTTCATAGTACATGACAAAAACTATCATTAGTGAATTTTTCTAAGTATTTCAAAATTGTCACTTCCTGTTGGAGACTTTTTAATCCCCCTATTAGAGTTAACCATCCCCCTCAGTGGTGGCTCCTCAATGCCCCTTATCTTTCACTGAAAATAAAACATCTAAGAAAGGTTAGCTGGTTTTAAGCATCTCTCTGTCAATTATACTAAACTATTCTGAATGCAGGATTTTTCTTTAAATCCTTGGTGTCTGGCACAGGGAAAAAGTCTAGTAATTGAAGAATATAATGCAATGCCTTTGTTACAGGAATAAATGTGATAGTTGAAATAAGTCAGTAAGGGGCGTGCTATAGGGCAGTTTCTAGTTTTCAATCTAAGAAATTTTGAAAGGCATATTCCCTGATTGGGGGTCTTGGTCCAGGTCTGTAAAATGACTGTGGCCCCTGCAGGCCCTGGTTTGTCACACAGAGAAATATGAAATTTAGCAGCAGCTGCCGCGGGTCACTATCCTAAAGTGGAGTGGAGGGGATTTTCTTATTAAAATGCTAAGAAAAAAGTGAAAAACTTGCTGGAGTGTATACGGTCATGTGCGCATACTAATGTCTTAGTCAACTATGGACCACATATATGATGGTGGTTCCGTAAGAATATAATGTAGCTGAAAAGTTTCTATCACACAGTGACTTTGTAGCCATTGCGATGTTGTTAGTGCAATGTATTACTCCTGTGTTTGTGGTGATGCTGGTGTAAACAAACCTACTGTGCTGTCAGTCCTATAAAAGTACAACACATACAATTATGTATAATACATAATACTTGATACTAATAATAAACAACTATGTTACTGGGTTTATGTACTTACCATACTATACTAATTATATACTAAGTTGTTTTATAGTGCACTCCTCATACATATATGTATTTTAAAAGTTAACAGTAAAGCAGCCTTAGGTCCTTCAGGCGGTGTTCCAGAAGAAGGCATCGTTATCATAGGAGATGACAGCTCTATGTGTGTTACTGCCCCTGAAGACCTTCCAGCGCGACAAGATGTTGAGGTGGAAGACCAGTGATATTGATGATCTGTATAAGCCTAGGTGAATATGTATGTTTGTGTCTTAGTTTTTAACCAAAAAGCTTATAAAAATAAGAAAAAAAGCTTGTAGAATAAGGATACAAAGAATAGTTTTGTACAGCTGTGCAATGTGTTTTAAGCTGTGTTATGAGGAAGTCAAAAAGTTTACCAAATTAAAAAACTTATAGAAACTTCGTTTGTTTTAGACGGAGTCTCACTGTTGCCCAGGCTGGAGTGCAGTGGTGCGATCTCGGCTCACTGCAACCTCCGCCTCCTGGGTTCACACCATTCTTCTGCCTCAGCCTCCCGAATAGCTGGGACTACAGGCGCCCGCCACCATGTCTGGCTAATTTTGTTTTGTATTTTTAGTAGAGATGGGGTTTTACCGTATTAGCCAGGATGGTCTGGATCTCCTGACCTCGTGATCCGCCTGCCTCGACCTTCCAAAGTGCTGGGATTACAGGCGTGAGCCATCGCGCCTGGCCTATAGAAACGTTTTATAAGTTTTTAAATTTGTTACAATAAGCTAGGATTAATTTATTATTAAATAAAGGAAAATATTTTAATACATTTAGTATGGCCTAAAGGTACAGTGTTTATGAAGTCTACAGTAGTGTACAGTAATTTCCTAGGGCTTTCATTCTCACTTAATACTGCCTGCCTTACTCAGAGCAACCTCCAATCCTACAAGCTCCAATCACGGTAAGTGCCCTATGCAGATGTAACATGTTATTTTATCTTTTATACCATAATTTTGCTGTATCTTTTCTATGTTTAGATACACAGTTATTTACCATTGTCTTACAATTGCCTACACTAATCAGTGCAGTGACATGCTGTACAGGTTTGCAGTCTGGGAGCAATAGACTATACCATGTAGCCTAAGTGTGTTGTGGAATTTACCATCTAGGTTTGTGTAAATACACTCTAGGATGTTCGCATGATGGATCGCCTCGATATGCATTCTCAGAATGTATCCCCATCATTAATCAACACACGACTGCACTTCTTTCAGTATATTTTAATAGAGTTACAGAAGATTAACTCCTAGTGTTATTTACGTTTTCATCACTAGATCTCAGTGATATTTCTGCTGAGACTGGATACAAAAGAGTATGTGGGGTTCTCAGAAACTTACACAGTCTTTCTGAAATTTATCTGCAGGGTCTTGACTTTAGTAACTCTGGTTGTTGGTATATTAGAAATAATCTATTCTTATTTGGAAGAAAGGTCTGCCCTGTCTTCACCGATGTGAACTATAATTATGCTTGCCAGAGGAAAAAAATTCACCTGCTAAGAAGTGACACTAGGCATTTGCAAATGTAAAGCGATTTTCTTTTTTTTAGTCCATTGAGATCTGGATTACAAATGCAGCTCCGTAAATGTAGTTGTCATAAATGTGCTTTGAAATGGCATTAACTGATTGTTTCTATCCCATCGACAGCCTCAGTTAAAAGCTCCTAAGGGAATTTAACTTTAAACATAAAGCCTGTTGGAGGAATGACAAAAATGCCGCATTCACTAATTAAATTTAAATTTACAATAGGAACGTGACTGAAACTAAAATTCCAAGGGCTTGCTGGAGCAAACACAGGGAGAAAATTTTACTCTAAAGACTAGACAAATATTGAGCCTTTTACAACATTTCACCTTTTACCACCTCCTTTTGCTCATTACTATAAGGTAACAACATGCCCAGCACCCCCTACCATTTCCCTTTTCCAAACTTAAAATTTTGCAGAGGCACACACACACACACACACACAAAGTTGAAAGTGGACTGGGAAAAGGGATTCACTTATAGAACTCTTAAATGTCAGGGCAGAGCTGAATGAATGGGTAGTGGATCCTGTTCACCACAGCTGCCCTAAAATAGGTTCCTTCAGCTGATGACCTGGTGCAGGCATCATATTTAGCCTGGGGCTCCTCCGGCTGGATGAGGCTCTGCGAAGTGGTTACTCCAAAGAACTGGACGCTGGAAAGGTCACCAGGCCAAGAGCCACTTATCTGCCTTGCCCAGCCTGTATCCTAGGAGGGCTGGTAGGGTGCTCCCTGCCTTTTCCTACCCAAATTACCCACGCTCCTACACACTTCCCCACCCCTTCCCCGCAAAGGCGGAGAGACCCTGGCCCTGGGTCAAGCCTGTGGCAAAGCAGCCAGCAGCGCTCCAAATATTAACAGAGAGCCGCGGGCTGCAAAAGCCTGGCACTGGAGCCTTGGATAGCAAAGTGAAAGGAGCACGGAGCGCGCGCGTCCTCGTCCCTCCGTTTGCACTGGTGTTCTCTCCGCGGCTGCCTGGTGCACCTGCGGGTCCCCCGGGGGGCGCTGCCTCGGCAACCACCGTCGCCGCCCAGACTGCGGGAGCCGCGCCCGGGGCAGCCTGGAGTGGGGGAGCGGAGATGAGCAGCGACTCGGACCGCCAGTGTCCTGTGGACGGTAACGACTCAGCGCGGCTGCGGTTTTTGTCCTTAACCTCCCCTGTCTGGGTTTTAATCTCCTTATTTTTGACCTGGGGACTAGAAGTTTGGTTATTTCTTTGTAAAGCGGCTGGGGTGGGTAGAAAGTCCCCATCTTCATGGATTTTTTCTCCGTTTTCCGTACCTAAAAGGTTATTATTTAGAATCAAATGAGTTAACTTTTATAAAGCGCGAAGAACCGCGCCTAAGACATAACGGGCGTTTGTTAAATAAATGCGTATTGAGATTTTACTGCTTGGCGAACTGCCGCATGTTTCCCTAGTTAGATTGGAAGTACCTGCCCTGTAAAAAAGATGATTTTGCTTCTTTCTGGGGGACAAGGACAGCATCATCTCAGTCCTTTCACCTGCAGCCAGCTATTCTATAAACAGGGGTTAAAAGAGGCCACCGTCATCTCAGAGTAGGTGATGCCCTTAATGTTCTTTGGTTCAGAGCTGCAGATTGAGAACGGGGACCTTAGTTGTTTAAAGATCGTATGCAGCAGAATTCCTCCAAACTGTCTTTATAACTCAGGTGCCACTTAGTTCTATTTCTGTAAAATAATAGTTGCTGCTTCTTTGAAAGGTTATCATTATTGTTATTCAGGTATTCTCACTAACTAGTTGTTGGCGTTTTAGGAGTGATCCTCCAGGAATAACTCCTCTTTGTATCAATAACTTTTTTGAATTGTGCTGAACACAGCTTAATGAAGTCTCAAAGTTGAAGCTCTCTGGGGGCATCTGCTCAACAGGTAGGTCAGGTAACTCAGCTGGGGTCCCCTGCGGATCAGTCATTTTCAGGGCTGGGAATTTTGCACAGTAGTTGGTGAGGCAGAAACCATTTGGCTGAAACAAATATTTCACCTTTTAATGTCCCAGGGAGAGTTTCCAGCATAACTGTCCTGACGCTCTTTTAAAAAAACTTTAAAACTTGTACTATCATTATTATTTTTATATATGGCATAATAAAACCTGGCACTTAGAAGTAGAAAGTTAGAATAGTGGTTACCAGAGGCTGGGGAGCGGAGAGGGCTGTAGAAAGGTAGGTCAATGGGTATAAAGCTGCAGTTAGTAAGAATAAATTCCAGTGTTGTATTGCACAGTAGGGTGAATATAGTTAATGATAATGTATATTTCAAAAAAGCTAGAAGAGAGGATTTCAGTGTTCTCACCACCAAGAAATGACAGGTGTATGGTAATTACCCTGATTTGGTCATTAAACAATGTATGTATGTGTTGAAGCATCATATTGTAGCCCATAAACAGGTACAATTATGATGTCTCAATTAAAAACAATAAAACTTAAAAAGAAGAAAAACAACTGACACTGAAAACTGCTAAGGCATTTTGTCAGACTCTTAATGTTTCTAGGGTCAGCACATACTTATTTAAATATTTGGTTAGGCTGGGCATGATGGCTCACGCCTATAATCCCAGCACTTTGGGAGGCCGAGGTGGGCAGATCGCTTGAGGTCAGGAGTTTGAGACCAGCCTGGCCAACATGGTGAAACCCCATCTCTACTAAAAATACAAAAAATTAGCCGGGCGTGCTGGTGGGTGCCTGTAATCCAGTACTCGAGAGGCTGAGGCAGGAGAATCGCTTGAACCTGGGAGGCGGAGCCTGCAGTGAGCCAAGATTCGCGCCACTGTACTCCAGCCTAGGTGACAGAGCAAGACTCTGTCTCAAAAAATAAATAAATAAAATAAATATTTGGCTATTTGAGAATGGATTGAAAAGTATAGATTATTTAGGAATCCTAATAATACAGGAGACTTCTTTATGTGAAGGAAGGATGGTTAAAATAGTTTTATCTGACCTTAACCCTGCTGTTTTGTTTTTAACCTTAATTCTTGTTTTAAAGCCATATAGCATAGTCTTCAGAAATATGATAGAAACTTTTAAAAACAGTAACAAAAAAACCAAGGTATCTACTTTTCTTAGATTAAGCATGTACCTTGTAACAAAGCATGTCTGTAGCTTGTGGTGGCTTTGGTAGCTGAATATATGATTTATAAATAGTAAAGTTCAAAGTTTGCCTTAAATCTGAATTTCTGAAAACACCACAATTCTTGGGTTGCTCTCTGGTTATCCTTGAGCAGGTGATAAGGCAGCAACACACCTAATTATGCCAAATGCTTGCTATGGTATCTTAAAAGAGTACAAGACAACTATCTGTCAGACTAAGTAATCCTCCAAGTATGTATGATGAGATCCTGAAGGTAACATTGAATTCGTATGTTAAATGATATCTTGTCTTAAATTCTCTTGTTGAATATCTGTTACAGACCTATACATTACGGAAGAATACCATAGGGAATCCTGTTGCAGATAAAGAATTCTTATTCTGCTCTTTATGCTTTGATATCTTTTATGATCTTGCTGTAGTACATGCAAGAGAGGTTTAAGCAATTAGTTATATCAGATTCAAATTTTCATTATATTAAAAATGAATGATTCTTCAGACTCAAATAATGTTTTTTCTCTATCACTTGAAATAATAGCACAACTTTCCATTCTTCCTGAATAGCTTTGATTCTTGTTAAAACATGTTTAAAAGAGAAGTAAAACTCTAGTTTTCATGGTGGGTCAAAAATTTGTTGTTGAAATGCTGGCTTTTATATACCATTATAAGACTGGCATGTTGTAATAAAATTGAAATCATGACATTTGGGACCAAAATTTCTGTATTTTTTTTTTACCCCACTCTAGATTTTCTCTTTTTCTCTGTGACTTTTTCATTTTTTGTTTATTTCTTATCATTTAAATGAAACCCCCAACAGGCAAAATTCATCACTGGGTGCATGGTCCCTACTATTGCTGTGCCGAACTACAAATACCATCTTATGTAACCTTCGTTAACAAGTCAATGGGGATACTATTATGATCTGCTTTTTATTTTTTTTTTTATTTTAAGGAAACCAAGTCTTGGAGAGGGTAAAGATCAGCTCTGGGCGTTAAACCCAGGGCTCTCACTCCAGAGTCCCGCACCCCTACACTCCTAACACCTAATCCCTGGCCCTGGCCTATGTTACAGAATATGGGCCAGTGACCTGGAACAGCCTCCTTTGCCTGCCTCTGCTGGGACCACAGGAAGAATGCTGGAGAAGACCCTGAGATGTGTGTGGCTTTAAGTTCCTTGAAATGACAGTAGCATTGTTTCCTCTTTGAGTGGGAAGGATGGGGAGAAAAGCTGTCAGTTTTGGGAGGTTCGCACTCATGGTAGGGCTGGATGTGGCAGTCCTGAGGAGGCAGCTCACTGCCCCTCTCTCAGGGGCATGTATATGTGCTCTGCTGTTTGGTTGCTAAGGATCAAAGCAGCTTGGCTCTGAGGGAAAAGGGCAGCATCCCAAGGGATGAACTCTCTATAACAGCCCTTCTCTTGGGGTAGGTTTACTGATTCTGTTCCTCTCAGATCATGACAGATGAATCCATTTTATAAGGCAGTACCCTGGGAGCAGGCAGACTCACCACAGCTGTTCTCTTGTTGGTAACCACAGGAAGGAAGGAAGGAAGGAAGGAAGGAAGAATGCAAAGTAAATACTCTAGCCGACAGCCTGTTCAGATTGGGTCTCTGGATACCAGATTTAACCTCTGTGAGCCTCAGTTTGTTAATTTGTAAGGTAGGGATAAAAATATCTACTGTTTAGGATTATCATGAAGATTAGGAATAATATGCACAATGCATGGCAGGTAGTAGGTTATAGACTTATTATGTTCAGAAAATTGTATGTGAAAGTTAATGAGGTTATTGAAATGTGTTAAGCACCATGTGATTTTACAGGAAGAGCCCATGGTGATGTTCACTCAACTCCACAATGCTACCAAGCACAATCTCATATTCACCTATTGATGAAGAATATCCACTAGCTGCATGATTACCCCACACTCTATACATTTGGTCTGCTGCTGAGTCTTTGTAATTTGGGCTTTCAGTTTTAGGAAAGAATGAGTAGTTAATTTACATATTAAAACAGGAGAATGAATTAAGAGTCCAGGTGATTCATAGGGAGGCGATTTTCAGAAAGGATTTTGGTCACTGGCATAATGGAGTTACCACCACAGATGTTTCAAGATTTTTATCTCTGTTCACTGGTTTTTCTAATGTGTTTGGTAAAGGCTGTATTGCCCATATCATCATTCTTTTTTACATGCTTGTAATTCTATATATCTATTTCTTCCCTGATGTCTATGAGGGTATGGAACACATCTGTCTATTTACTGCATCCCCAGCATCTAGCAAAGTGCCTGGCACATAATAGGTACATATATTTAACATGTGTTTGTTCAGTAAACTCATACATGAATGATTTAGAGTGACAAGAATCATGACAATGCATGATTCCCGAAATCTTAAGTTCTTTTCATTTTTGCATTTAAATCTTAAGTTTATATTCACCTTTGCCTCCTTGAAGCTGTTTGTAATAGTAAAAATTAGTAACCATTTACATATCAAACAAAGAGGCATTGTTTGGAACATCTAAATATCTAATAGCTGGATGGCTAAAATAAATTATGGTAGAGTATAGAATACTATGTGAATGCATTTCATGTTTGGACAATGACTACACATTGCAAGAGGTTCTAGGTGGCTAGATAGCAAAGAATAGGTGTTGTCTCTAGGTAGATGGGATTGTGAATATTCCTTAAATTCTTTTGATTATATTTCTGATTCTTATGTAGGAATTTGCATTGCTTTTACAAGGAGGGAATGCAGTATAAGAAATATAAACTATGTATATTATAAGATCACTTATACTGTACCACCTGTCACTGGGCACTTAAGGTTGTCTTCTCAGCTAATTTTCTAAATTTGCCCTCCTCTAACTCTTTTTGAACATTTCAGTAGTTTCCAACCTCTCAGCATTCCAAAATTGCATAATTGAGTTAAAAGAGATGCGTGATTTAAAAAGAAACTCAAAGTAGGAAAAAAAAAGTTAACTGGAATCCAGTGACTAAGAATATTAATTTTTCAGCATGTTGCCACGTTAAATACATTGCTTTGCTGTAAGTCATGGTTAACTTTTGGTCTCATTTCTGCTTTTGGCTTTTGCTTTGTTATGTATACATTTTCTGACAGTTCACGAATACCTCCTGTGTAAGTGTTCCCTAATTGTTTTGCACGTGTGCTTGAGGTGTTTGCAAGGTGGCCACCATTGAATATCATTTCTTTGTCTGCAAAGGCAGCTCCAGGAACGAGAAACTTTGTAAAGTAAGATGGCTTCTGATATGGTTTGGCTGTGTCCCCACCCAAATCTCATCTTGAATTGTAGTTCCCATAATCCACACATCATGGGAGGGACTCAGTGGTTTTATAAAGGGCAGTTCCACTGCACACGCTGTCTTGCCTCCCACCATGTAAAACATGCCTTTGGTCTTCCTTTGCCTCCCGCCATGATTGTAAGGCTTCCCCAGCCATGTGGAACTGTGAGTCCATTAATCCTCTTTTTTTTTTTTTTTTTTTTTTTTTTTTTTTATAGATTACCGAGTCTTCGGTATTTCTTCATAGCAGTATGAAAATGTACTAATACAACTTTTCTCTGTTTTTAAATTAACATTTGCGAATAGAGGTATGAATGAGTAAACTTTTAATATTATACATTTATATATATTGCAAAAATTTTACTGTTGGTTCCGCACTGTTTCTGGGAACATATGACATTGTTTTCTTTCTAACATCTGGTTGCCTCTTTGGTTTTCTGACAGAAGTGGAATTCAGGGTCCCTTTTTCCAGGATCCACCAGCCACATTACTTTTCATGTAGGGAACTCTTTTTCAGTCTTAAAGGAAAGCCCTACTTCATTTTTAATATCTTCCCTCATAGGCACTCTGATAAACTTGTTGAGTGCCCTTGAGACTGTCTCCTTGTTGTTATGCAGCCCTAATATACTCCTTCTCTTGAAGAAAGAATAAGAAGTTCTAATGAGAAGTCCTAATCTCTTGATTTGAAGGCAGTACCCCTATTGCGTCCCACTTGGGGATAATAGGTATGGAATGGGAAAAATCCTGAAAAAAATGTCTCAGAATCTGTCCCTACTAAATCTGCTGCTGACACTCAGGGATTTTGGAACACCCCTCTTCTCTCTCCTTCCCACTTGGCTTTCACTATGAGCTTCTGAGGATTCCTGAGGGTCTCCGCAACTCCACGATGGTGATTCTGTTTTCTGTTTATTAAACTTTTTTGAATTATGAGGTATGCACACATAGAACACCCAAATATTATTTTGTACACTCGTAACCACCACCCAGATGAGGAAATATAATTTTGCCATTGTCTAAGAAGGCTCTTCTATGTGCCCCATTCCCAGAGCTCTTTTCTCCCCTATAAGTAACCAGCATCCTGATTTTGATAGTACAGTTGGCCCTTCCTAGCTGCAGTTTCTGCATCTGCATATTTAACAAACTGCAGAAGGAAAATATTTTAAAAAAATAGAAATAAAAAACAAAAAATAACGCAAAAACAATACAGTATAACAACTACTTACATAACACTTACATCGTATTAGGTGTTATAAATAATCTTGAGATGATTTACAATATACAGGAGGATGTGCTTAGGTTATATGCAAATATTATACCCTTTCACGTAAGGGACTTGAGCAGCCTCGGGTTTTGGTATCCATAGGGGACCTGAAACCAATCCCCTGTGAACACCAAGCATTGACTGTCATTACTTTCTTGCATTTTTAAAATAGTTTTACCATTCATATATGCATTGCTAGTTATAACAATTTAGTTTTACCATTTAGAAACTATGATATGTCTTTTTAATGTATAGATTCTCTCTTTCTTTTCTATTCTTAAAATTTACCTGTTGAAGAACCAGGGCCATTCAGCTTGTAAAATTGACAATCTGGATTTCACTACTTTTGTGCTCACGGTTCAACATTTTTCCTGAAGACTGCCTCTTAGTCTCTTTTCTCTTGCTTATAACAAAATAATTCATAAAAAAAATAGGAACTTATTTCTTACAGTTCTGGAGGCTGGGAAGTCCAAGGTCAAGTGGGTGCATCTAGTGAGAACCTTCTTGCTTGTGGGGATTCTTTTCAGTATCCCAAGGTGGTGCAGGGCATTACATGGCGAAGGGGCTGAGAGTGCTAATGCACAAACTTAGGTCTCTTTTCCTCTTCTTATAAAGCTACCAGGTTCCCTTCCTATGATAACCCATTAATTCATTAACTCAATAATCTATAAATGCTTTCTCAAAGAGCCAGAGGCTTCACAATCCAATTACCTCTTAAAGGCCCCACCTCTTAGTACTGCCACATTGGGAATTCAGTCTCAACATGAGTTTTGGAGGGGACATTCAAACCACAGCACCTTCTTTTTAACTCCAGTTTGTACAACCCTAGTGTGTCCTCCTTCTCAGTCCTTGACTGCATATGCTAAGTACTCTATTAAGTAACAGCTATAATGAGGTGAGGTGACACACCATGTTGGAGTCCAGGCTCTACCAGTTACTGAAGTCTAGGCACTGTGGGCACTGAACTATGTCTTTGGGCATGCTGCCCAAGTTCTGAGGTCGAGCTTCCTTATCTGTAACTAGTAACAGAGCCTGCCTCCCAGAGTAGTGGTGAAGATGACATGAGATGATACCTGTAAACACTTAGCACTGGCTCATTCTGTACGTGCTGCTGTTATTATGATTATCATTATTAAGTAGAAAGAAGTAGCAGACTGCATTTGTGACCGAAGCTCCAATGTACCCTATCAACTCCATTGTCTGTGGTTTTGTCCACTGTCTATCTTATGCTGCCTGCCAGGAGCTCTAGGCTGTGACCTTGCACACAACAATATAGATTGGGACCCAGAAGCTCCATTCAGGCTGGATGCTGCAAAGCAATCAGAATTGTCTAGTCTTCTCTGTATAACGCAGTTGTGGTGAGCAAACAGTTACAACATGAATTATTAGCATAAAGCTAACCCCATGCTGAGAAGTCATTCTACCTCAACAGGCTCCAACAGCACTGGTTAGGTCAGAGTCCCCTCCTTCAATGATGCCCCTTTGTCAGACATTGCTATTCCACCCCACTCCCCATCCCTTGGCCTTGCCCTGTCCTCTTCTCACCAGCCCAAGTTTGCTCTTGTTGTGTCCATAGTTTGTTCTTTATAATGCAAAACTGCACAGTTACTCATGGGGGACGGTCTTGCTTACTTCTGCAGAAACTATGGATACTGTAAAAATTAGTGGTGAGAAATCAACACCTTGTCTTTTGGTGTGCAGAAATGGCTCCATATTGCTTCTTCTTTTGGATATATCTAGTCCTCTTGACTACAGTACATTCCTCAATCTAATCCTCAAATTCCAGAAAAAAGCATGAAGTCATTTTATCTATTGGGCTTCTTATTAGGCGATCAAGTACAGTTCTTGTATTAGCTTCATGAACCATTATAATGATTGGTAAAAATTGATGTTGTCATTTACCAATTAGTTCAAATATTAGTAATTTTCATTGTGATGCATTATGGGGCAGTTTTGCAAACTTTTATATTTTAAGCCTTTTGTTGATGTGTATTTAGAATTTTTCAAATTTATTGCTAATCTGTTTTTGATCTCTTTATTAATTTTCTGGCAATTATTTCTTTTCTCTGCCAATAGTAAAATATTCATATTCATTAAATTGCTTAGAAATAAATATTAGTTTAAAAACATAGGCTGGGCACGGTGGCTCATGCCTATAGCTCCAGTACTTCGGGAGGACAAAGTAGGAGGATCACTTGAGATCAGGAGTTCGAAACCAGCCTGGGCAGCATGGTGAGATCTCACCTCTATTAAAAGTAAATATATAAAATTTAATTTTATAAAAAATGTATAAAATAAAATTTAAAATAAAAATGTAAATGCTGTCTTATTTATAGTAGTTTGAAAGATAGTTTATATAGAAGTCTGTTTTGTTGAAAAATAATCATCCATTTATACATATGAAACTGGAATGGAAAATATTTACACCTAGGAATTAAAAGTAGTTGTGGGTGATTGGGTTGATAATAGAATTTTTCTTAGATTCATTCGCTTGTCTGTATTTTCTGTAATGAGTTTGTATTGTTTCTGTCAAAAAGAAAACAAAACTTGGTGGGGATGAAGCTTTTGTTTTGCTTAAATGCTTTTCTCACTTACTTTAGGCCAGGCTTTTTAGCTTTATCCATCTGGTTTGGTTTTCATCATCTTATACAGGCATGAATGTCATTCTATTGTTTAAAAAATTCTTACATTGGAATCTAAAATGTTTTCTAATTAATCCTCTGTTGCTGGATACTTATTTTAACATCTTTAAATCATAGATAAGACAGAAGAAAAAAATAATTGGCTGGAAATTAATTAAAAATATAGAAGCAAAAAATGGAGGAACAGTGCAATTCTGGAAAAAGATTAATAATGTTCTAAGGCATAATGAGGAGTTAGAAATTTGCTAAGGAACACGCCAGAATTACTAATCCCAGGAAATCAGTGACTGGAAATACTTATTTTTACAAATGATCATCTTGATCAATTTATATTTGGTTAAGTTGGTATTGAACAAATACTAGGTGCTTGTCAGGAGAGCAAAGGGGAAAAACAAAGTTTGAACATTATTCTGATATAGACTGAGGCTTGGGTTCTGACTCTAATAGCAATGAGCCATCAGTTCACTGCCCCCATACGATAAAGGTGATAAGAAACAACACTGCTTACCTCCTAGGGTTTTGTGAGGGTTGATAGAGAATATATGTTATTAAGTACCTGGCATAATAAGTATTTTCTACCTTCCTCCCTCAATAAATATTTATCACATTGAATTATATGTATACATATGCATGAAAATCTCTGGGGAGTATGATTTTTAATAAAGATTAGTTTAAATATATCCTCCAAACCAAATAACAAATGCAATGTATAATGAGGAAGGGACACCTTTGACTTTTATCACTCGTAATATAGTGTAACTGAAAAAGGGCGGTATCAAAGATTCTTTCTGCTCAGAATGGAAACAGCACAGATAGAAAATATGATAGAAAAATAAGTGTAGGAGGTAAATAGATTAAGTTTTTTTGGCTACTGATGAAGTTATAGTGGTTGAGGTTGGTAACTTCCTGAACCTGTGCTCAGATTCCATCTCTCGTGGATTTAGGGAACTGAATTTGGTTCTGCTTCTGTTGCCACCACCTCTTTAAGGACTGTCCCTTCGACAGGTGCTGCAGACTTGCACAGGAAGGGAATCAGAGATCACCAATATGAGTTTTTGCCTGATGCTAATTTTTGAAAAGTATATCACAAAGTTCTCATGAAATGGGATTGTCTCAGGGAAGGCATCTTCCTTCCCCAGCTGGGCTTCATCTCAGGTCACCATATGCGGTTCAAATATTCTACTTAATGTTGTCTGATCTGTGACTACTGTGGCTGTTGCTTTTCAAGTTAGAGACGGACCGTAGAAAGTGTTGTCCTCACACCCACCAAGATCATATGGAATGCATCCCTCTCATTCCCTTCCTGTTCCTTATTGGCAGTGGAATAGCAGAATTTTGTAGACTAAGACGTGGAAGCATTTGGAGTTGGATGAGCAAATAGGATATTTAGAGTTGAAGGACTTAGACAAGTGGGATACCAGTTGTCTTTCCACAGCTCTCTCACTGCTAATCTCTTAAAAAGCCAAGTAATTAAAATTTTTATTTAAAAACTTAAAATATTTACAATAGCATAAAAAATAGTAACAAACCCAATGAAGGAGATTAAAGACTTATACACTAAAAACTACAAAATATTGCTAAAAGAAATTAAAGACACAAATAAATGAAGAGACATACTGTGTTCATGGATTAGAAAATTGTATTATTAAGACGTCCATGCTACCCAGAGCAATATACAGATTTAACACAATCTTTATCAAAACCCAAATGGCATTATTTTTGCAGAAATATAAAAATTTATCCTTAAATTCACATGGCATTTCAAGGAATCTGAAAAGCCAAAATGATTTTTAAAAGAAAAAGAAATTTAGAGGACTCACACATTCTGATTTGAAAACACTACAAAGCTACAGGAGTCAAGACTGTGGTACTAGCATAAAGACAGACGTATTGATAAATGGAATAGGATAGAGAAATCAGAAATAACCCCTCACATATACAGTCAAGTGATCTATGATAAAGGCTAGAAGACCACTCTATGGAGAAAGAACAGTCTCTTCAATAAATGGTGCTGGGAATACTGAATATCCACATGCAAAAGAATAAGATTGGATCTTTTTATTATACTGTATATAGAAATCAACTCAAAGTGGATTAAAGAAGTAGTGCAAGACCCAAAAATATAAAATTTCTATCAGGAAACAAAAAGAGAAAGCCTTATGACATTGGATTTGGCAATGATTTATTGGATATGACACCAAAGCACAGGCAACAAAAGCAAAAATAGACAAATGAGACTACATCACACGTAAAACCTTTTGTGCACCAAAAGACACAATCAACAGTGAAAAGGCAATCTATGGGATGAGAGAAAATATTCTCAAATAATACGTCGGATAATATTGTGAATAAAGAACTCCTAGAACTCAAAACAATTATATCACTCAACTTAAAAATGGGCAAAGTACTTGAAAAGACATTTCTTCAAAGATGATACACCAATAACCAACAAATGTACGCAAAGATGCTCACTATCACTAACATTAGAGAAATACAAACTGAAACCACACTATCACCTTACATCCATTAAGATGGCTACTATAAAAAAAAAACCAACCACCTGAAAATAACAAGTGCTGGAGAGTATGTGGGCAAACTGGAGCACTTGTACACTGTTAGAGACATTGTACAATGGTGTAACTGCTATGTAAAATAGCATTAAAATGAAAAATCAAAAAATAGAAATAGAACTACCATATCCAGCAATTCTACTTCTGAGTATCTACCTTAAAAATTGAAAACAGGGTAAAGAGATATTTGCACACCAATGTTCATAGAAGCACTATTCACGATAGTAAAGAGGTGGAAGCTACCCAAGTATCCATCATTGGATGAATGGATAAACAAAATGTAGTGTATACATACAATGGAATATTATTAAAAAGGGAGGAAATTCTGTCAGTGCTATGTAGATAAACCTTCATCACATTATGCAGAGTGAAGTCAGTCACAAAAAGACCAATACTATAACTCCATTTATGTGAGGTATTTAAAGTAGTAAAATTCACAGAAACAGAAAACAGGATGGTGATTTCCAGTGGATTGCGAGGGGGAAGGTGGAATTATTCAATGAGTATACAGTTTCAGTTTTAGAAGATGAAAATATTTTGAAGATCTGTTTCACAATGTGAAACATTGTTATATATGTCCAAATAAACAATGTGAATATACTTAACACTACTGAGCTGTACACTTAAAAATGGTTAAGATGGTAAATTTTATTATTCATGTTTTACCACAATAAAAAATACCTAATTAAAAAAAATAAATATTTTAAGGATAGAAAAGTGTGTAAAACTATTTAGAAACTTGTCAAACTGTCTTAGTCTATTTTGTGCTGCTATAACAGAATACCACAGAATGGGTAATTTATAATAAACAATTTTATTGGCTTACTGCTCTGGAGCTAAGAAGTCCAAGATTGAGGGGTCAACATCTGGCAAGCCTTCTTGCTCCATCATTCCATGATGGAAGGTAGACAGGCAAGACAGCAACAGGAGGCTACACTCTTGCCTTTGTAACAACTTCAACCCCCACCCATGAGGCTGGAGCCCTCATGACCTAATTACTTTTTATAGTATTTAAAGGTACCACCTTTTAATGCTGCTATAATAGCAATTAAATTTCAACATGAGTTTTTGGAGGAGACAAGCATTCAAACCATAGCAGTCCCTTAACAAATTTATCATTTTTTTGTTGTATTTTGACATTGCTAGACAGCACTGATCATAACGTAATATTTTCTAAAGAGTAGAGATGTGTCCAGTTGTTTGTCCCTTCATTGAACAATCTCAGATTGCTGTTCTTGAGTTCTTATATCTTTTTTTATACTGTTGCCATCTCCCTCATCAGGGTCTCCCATGAAGGTCAGTGATATTTTCTTCCTTCTCTTGAATTCCAGTAGCATCCTTAATCACCACTTGATGCTTTTGTGTATTGCATTTAACAAGCTTAGCCATTGTTTTGTCTTCTAGTTTTTTAGCCCAAAAAAGGTTGGAATTACATATAGTGTAATTTAGGTTGCCTCTGAAAATGTTAAGATCTACTATAAGAGTTTAAGTATCTGTTACTTTCACATTGTTCTAATTTTTGGCATTCTTCTGTATTCTTGCATATGTTCTAGTTATATGATTTTGTCAGATAGGAAGCTTGCATACAAAGTGTATGTAAATGAAAATATTTTTATGTAAATGTATACAAGCATAATTACAATTTATGCCCATGATTTGGAAAAGCTGATAATATTTTATTGCTCAAGAGATACACATATAAACAGAATTGTGAGGTAAGTCCCAGTTGAAAGGAATATTACAGCTTTCTACTCACTTAACTGCACTGGGAATGTGATTGATCTCTAACCCTTAGGGAAAAGGACAATGCCTATGCTTTCTTTCCTTACTTTCTCCATTTGCACTGCTCTCATAAGCAACACCAGTAAGAGTCCATAGTACAGCTGAAAAGGGGGTGGCCAATTATGTTTCACTCTTTTTTATACTGCATATAATTTTTTAGGAGCTTTCTTGAGGTCTAATTTATATTCCACAACATTCATCAATTTGAGTACAATTCCATTTTTAACAAATTTACAGTCATTTAATCCTCACCTCCATAAAATTTTAGAGTACAGTCATCCCTCAGAATCTGCAGGGAATTGGTTCCAGGACCTCCTGTGGATACCAAAATCCTCCACAAGATGCTCAATTCCTTTATATAAAATGGCATAGTATTTGCATATGTATTAGTCCATTCTCAAACTGCTATAAGGATATACCTGAGACTGGGTTACTTATAAAAGAAAGAGGTTTAATGGAATCACAATTCCACATGGCTGGGGAGGCCTCACAATCATGGCATAGGCAAAGAAGGAGCAAAGGCACATCTTACATGGCAGCAGGCAAGAGTGTGGGCAGGGGAACTGTCCTTTATAAAAACCATCAGATCTCATGAGACTTATTCACTATCATGAGAACAGCATGGGAAAAACCCACTCCCATGATTCAATTAATTCCCACCAGTTGCCTCCCATGACACATGGGGATTATGGGAACTACAGTTCAAGATGAGATTTGGGTGGGGACACAGCCAAACCATATCAGCATATAACCTGTGCACATCCTCCTGTATACGTAAATCATCTCTAGATTACTTACAATACTTAATGCAATGTAAATGATATGTAAATATTTACTGTATTTTAAAAATTGTATTTTTTATTGCACTGTCATTGTTGGTTTTTAAAAATATTTAATATCTTAAAATATTTATTGAATCCATAGATGTATAACTCAGAGGCAGAGGACTGTGTTTTCAGGAATGTATTTAAAAAATTACTGTGCTTTTCTTCTGCTGCCTTTATGAATACCTCCTTCCTTTATGCCAGCAGTGTCTGGCTGTGAAAGATTCTGATCTTTGTAAGTAGAATGCAAAGAGAAAGGCAGTTACTGTTTAGATTCAGGCAGTCAAAATAGGAGTTTCAAAGCAAAACAATAATTTTATCATTCCGACTATTGCCTTGGGCTTTCTACATTCTTTTATTTTCCCTTTAACTTAACCAATTTTGCCTAGAGAACAAAATTACAGAGTTTTTTTCCTGGTGCAGAAAAGATATTTTTGTGCACCTTCAATGGCTACCCATGAGGCTAGCATCAAGAAAAAGTAATATTTAATGCAGGCAAAGTCACGGAAAAATCTCCATTTCTGGCAGGAAGTGACAATGAGAAGAGAAAGAAGGATTAAGCAAGAGAGACGAGTGCAGAAATTCACATTCTTGATTTCTTATTACTTGGGATGGAAGCAGGGGTGGAGAGACAGTGGATGGTTATATGATAGTTTTATGGAAATATGGTAAGCAACAACATAGGCCTTTATCAGCTTCTCTTGGAGGAGATCACCTTGCAGACTTATCAAAGCCAAAGTGATGGCTCACTAAAGTAGGATAGAGAGGGAGAGCCTGTATTGATCTCTTCAAGGGGTGGAAATGATTCAGAAAAGCCTTTTTGTCCTCAGAGGAAGGTAGATTAATTGAGTACCCTTGGTCCTCCCAGTGGGCTTTCTCTGATGAGGATGAAGGCAAAAGCTATGGGATGCATTTTCTCTACTGGGGAGCCAAGGAAGGATGGGGCATAAGCCCAGAAATGTCTATACCATCACCAAAAGCTAAAGTGAGACCACCTCATTCAGAGAGAACCCCAGTCTCTGACTAACATGAGAGATAAGAAGCCATGAGTATGCATCCCACATGACAGCCAGGTATGAATGCTCTAAAGATGTAGACAAGTGAGATTGCCCAGGGACAAAGGTACCAGTCAGTACACACTGCAGTGATCCAAGGACTCCACCACTCTTCCTCCACTCTGAGGTTGAGTGAGACATTCTTTACTCCCCACATACCTAGAAGTCATCAAGAAAAGTATTCAGAGAAGTGGAAATCTGAGATATCAAACATGTTTACACAGTTAAACAGAACATTGCCTAAACGAACTGTTTAACTTACTATATATCATGTTTTAACCAGATTGGACTAAATAAAATAAATGTTGTTACCTTTTTTTCAGCAATGTGGGCTCATGTGGAAGACAGGATTAATTAAAGAACATAATAAGGATACTATATTTTCTCTATATACCCTAGTGTCATAAAAATGATAGCACCACAATACGCTTAAAACAAATGGAATTGACTGCTTCAGCTAGTGCCACTGCCACTGGCACTGTCTTTGGATAAGTGCAGTTGCCAAAGGTAAATATGTTCAAAGCTGGGTCTCAGGCCTCTGAGTGGAGTGTCCTGTGATAAGTAAGTCTCAGTAGATAAGTTATGCATTTTATGAAGAGGGAAAAGAGATGGGTATCAAATGTCTATCAGTCATATTATAATTTAAGCCAAAGTATTCATGCATTCATTCCAGCCTGTTTGTTTAAGGAAAATAATTTACAGAGATACTTCAGTTAAAATTGCATTTCTATACCTAAAGTAGGCCTCATGGGCCAAAAAGACTACTTGCTCATGTTCTCCATCACTTCCTTCCCTGAGCTACTTCCATGAAGGTCCTGGACGATTTTAGAAATTTATGGTTCTGAAGAGCACTAATAAGGACCACTTTTAGAAATGGTAGAATGTGATCTTTGTTAGTTACGTAAATAAGAACTTAATTTTAAAATTAGGCTTTAGCCATAGAATCATTGTTAGAGTGACAAGGTGTTTTGTAGAGCATTATTTAACTGAGAGTATCATTTAACCAGAAAGGTTAAAGTACTTGCAGCCACAGAGCTACTTGGGGGCCAGAGTCAGGGCTAAAACTCTCACCCCAAACTCCAGAGGGTTCCCTTTTGTGCATATCACCAGGACAGGTAATTAAAAGTAAGAAACAAAACCTGTAAGACACTGATCAAATCATACTTGGAATTTATGTGTGTTTCTACCAGCATCTGAGATTTTTTGGTGTAGTGCTAATAATTTCAGCATTCAGGACCTTCTTCATGTTAAATATTGTAGAGCAACTATCTAAATTACTTGATGACAGCAAGCCACTGTTAAATATTAAAATCTATTATGGTTAAATATTAAAATCTATATGGTAATACTACACCATTAACCATCTTAAATTTCCACACTTCAGATTTTGCCCCTTTAACAGACAAAAGTCAAATCAAAGTCCTTCCTTTGCTGATGTTGTTAGCTGATAAGACTATTCCCATTTCAGCACTCTGTATGCTGTGTTGTTTGATCTTTTAATACTTTGTGTTGACTTACAAAATCAATAGAGACTTAGTTGGTATTTTATGATGTATCTGATTTTTCAGATGCTATGTGGGCCGAAAAATATACCCAAGCAATGTATTTCCTTCATATGCATTTTCATCATGGTATATTCTGTCATGACACTCAGTTTTATTTCAGTACCTAATTTGTATGATGCAGTGATAGAGGATAAAGAAAACTTATGAAAAATTGGATTCCCTAATATTAGTCAGTGGCCTTATTTTTCAAGTTGATGGCACAAAAAAGAGAATTTTAGAAAGTAATTGCGGAACATAAGTTTGATGACAGTTTTGCCCAAAATTGTTCAATACAATATGTCAGCTTAGCATTTAATTGTTCTTTTATTGTTTCATGTGTGTTAGTTCAATCTTTCTGGTGAGAGAGGCTGCATAGATTCATGGAAAGAGAAGAGATGTTACAATTGATCATAATTTGAATATCAGCGCTGCTATTTACTATATCAGCTATGTGACCTCCATAGAGTTAACTAACCTCTCTGATCCTCATATTTCCATATTTGTAGAACTGGGTATACTTGCCTTCTAGGGTGCTATGAATATTTGTCCAAAAACGTGTAATATAAGTGCCTAGTACAGTGTCTTTCTGGTCCATTGGGATTCAAAAAATAATAGGTATTTGTTAGATTTTTCAGAATCAGACTCTGAATCAAGAATTAGAGTGTGGTTAGTTAGTTTGTAAGGTGATTTCAGGGAGACAGCCAATAGAGGATGCATAATAAAGTAAGGTATTTCTCACTGTGGGTAACTAAAGCTTAATCCTGCTGGGTAACTCTGGGTGTTAATGAAGAAGACAGACATTAGTGTTACCACATGTGAAGAACAAGAAAGTTGGCTATTAATACATCAGTTTCTATCACTTATTGGTTGAAGGATGCTGAGCTATGGATATTTATTTTTTAGATCTTCACACTTGGCATGTAAGTGGGCAAGAGTAGGTTCTGACCAAAATAGGCTGCAGGCAAAAATATGAGATGCTAACATTTGGAAATTAGAGAGCCTGTGCATGGAAGAGACACCTGAAGAAACACTCTACTCCGTTTCTGTTATTTTTTCAATTGATGAACTTTTGTTTTCTTGGCTCCCCATGCAGAGGCATGCTGAAACCACCTCATACTTGTTCATTACAAGTGTTAAATATTCAGAAATGTTGTGAGCCAGTTTTAAAATTGGCCCTGAAATTAGCCATGATCGGCGTCTTTACACCATAGAAATAGGCGAATGCTACCAATCAGAGCCTTTTCTTCAGAAACCAATTTATCAGTACACATTACTGTCCCTATCCCATCTCTTTCCATAAATGGAAAATAGGGGTTACAATCATAGGTTTGAGAATCATATAGACCTATTTGAATTTGATCTCTGATACCTTCTAGCTGTGTAGCCTTGGGCAAGTTACTTAACTTCTCTCAGATTTAATATCCTCATTTATAAAACGGGGATGTTAGTATGTAACTTGCATGGCTGTTGTGAAGATTAAATACAGTAACATATTATATGTATAGAACATTATAGAATATGGAATGTATTATAGGAATTAGACCTTACACACAATTGTAGCAGGAACTGAAGAAAACATTCATAAGGGAGAATTGGAAATCAGAGAAAAGTCACGGATCAGCTTCCTGAGGAACTGGCAAGAATGGCCAAGTTGGAGCTTGTAGGAAAATCTGGTAATCCAGGCGTGTCCAATTGCCAAACTGTGATAGTGAAATGGGCTGGAGAAGCTTTTTCTTGTGTGTGAATGATATCTCTAGGATCAATAACCAAGCATCTAGATGAGAAGAGAGTGAGGATAAACTGCAATATGCTGGTATGTCTGTATCTACCCATCACGGCATTTGACTTCAGAGAGGCTGGGCCACTGCTTCACTTCTGCCAGAGTGTGGAGCCAAGGGCCACAGAGAATACTGGATTAGGAAACCACCCGAGAGGGCAAATCAGATCCTATTTAATATGTGAAGTATGTGCCCAGCGGGATTTCAGAACTGCTGTAAGACAGTGATTACCCTCTGCCTCCTATTCTTTCGTGAGAGTGTCTGCAGAAATTATCCTGGCCTGCATGACTATTGTATGTTGTGTGCGACATCTGATAACTTGTGTTTTTAGTTTAGGGGTCTCTGGACCAAGAACATAACTGAACAGTCTTGTCTGCCTATAGACAAGACACAGACCACGATATTCTGGACTTCAAGCCTAATTCTATAATGAGATAAGATTTTGGAAGGTCCTCATATGGGAATGAGGATATTTTGTGGATGAGAGGAATATGAATTTTGATCAGAGACTGGACTATGATAGATTGCAAAATTGGTTTCAGAATCCTTTCTTCCTAGTATGCTTACCACTTTGCAATGATGTGACAACTGCCTTCTGTCATCAAGAGGTGAGCTTTTTTTTTTTTTTTCTCTATATCCTTGAGTCTGGCTGCTTTTGCTACTTGCTTTGACCACTAGACAGCAGAAGTGATATTTATGACAAATCATCTGAGATCTCAAGAGGTGCTGTAGCTTTTGCCTTCACTGTCTTCAAAGCTGGTATTACTTTATGAGGAAGACAAGTCTTATCTCTTTGATAATAAAAGCCTACATAGAAAGACCCAGCCATCTCAATCTTCCTGGCTGAGCTGAGCTCTGAGCCAATGCACAGGTTGGATGCAGTTGTGTGAGTGAGCCCAGGCAAGACCAGAATTACCCCGAAGCAATTATGTACGTTGGTGCTGCTTTAAGCTACTAAATTTTGGGTTCCTTTTTTGGTACAACTATAGACAGCTGATATACCCTTCAAGCAGGTTTTTTTCTGCTTTACTTAACCAGAGTGAGTTTAGTTGTTTGTATTTTCAAAGAGTTGTTGTTTTGTATAAATGTGCTGCTGTTTACAAAGGACCTACAAAAACATGGCATAGAGTAAGCACTAAATAAATGCTAGCTACGATTATATGAAATAGGTTCTAGATGCTTACGAGTGGTGGAATGTAGATAACACTTAGTGGATCTGGTGAATCTTTAGAAGGGGTTACACAGGCTTCAAGCAATCTCTGTGTCATCAAACCTTGGTTCTCTCAAATTCAACATGAGGACATTTGCTAACTGATCTGTAAGTGCTTGTAAAGCTCTAAGATCCCAAAATCTTACACATAAATGGCCAAAAACATCCTTGGCCCATATCCTAGATGGTTCCAAACCCATCTCTCAGTGAGTTTCAGCTGAGGAATAACCCAGGCCAGTGTCACTATGATCTGTTAGGCAGTGTTCTGCGAGTACTTCATTTCTCAACATTACAGTAGCAGTGAGATGTGTGGGCATTCCTCAGGGCACCTGCATTTGCCACTCCAGCGGTACAATCTATAATGTAGTTTGTGTTACTGTGATGACTCCCAGGAAGCTACAATTTTTAGGACATTTGCTCCAATTTTATATAGAGGTGAAGCTGAATCTGTGTGGCATAAAGGGATGAGTTTCAGCCTCACCCTCTTCACTACCTACTTCACTAAGAAATTCAAGCTCTGGCCCCAGATTTGCAAACCCTACTCAGCAATGCATTTTTCTTGCAGGTAACAGTGTCCTCCCTCCCTAGAAGGCAGTTTGGACCATCTGTTTTAATTTAAATGTACCCCTTGGAAAGGTTTTACTGCCATTCCAATGAGCTTCTCAATATGTACTTTCCAATCACATTTAGTAACTCTAAAGGAATTTGGTAAGTACAGTTTTCTGTATCTGAAGGTGGCCACATGTGAATGTTACAACATGTGCATTGAGAAGCAAGAGAGCTGAGAGTAAGTGCCTCCTGTTCACCTAGAAAATGATTCACCAAAGCCCTAAGGAGGCAGAACCCTGGGCAAAGATAATCCCCATATCAGAGTAAATCAACAGATGATGCAAATGAGGCACCCATTTATAGCATTTATTTAAATTTTCATTTAAATTGCTGGTTAAATGGAATTCATTTAAAGTCCTGTAGTCAACACTTGAGCAAATTGGTTTTAAAACTATATATTAATTGTAACACATTGCAATTTAATACATACTTCTAAGATAATCGCTTATTGCTTTAGGAGTACAAAAATGTATCCAAATAGTTTAGTGTGGTTGATAAGACACAGAAAGCAATATGTTCTTCCTTGCCTTTTTTGGAAAAAAGGAGAATATGGTAATTATTAACATGGCATCTGGAATCAGGCTGCCTGGCTTTGAATTCTGGCTCCACCACTTACTAGCTATATGACTTGGGCAATTCTCTTTCTCTAACTTCAGTTTTCTTATCTATAAAATAGAGTTAATAAAGATATCTTCATCATAAGGCAGTTATGAGGATTAAATGAAATAACCTCATATATATGTATATAAATATATAAAGTGTATATCCCAATACCTGGTCCATTGTAAGTATCCATTAAATGTTAACCATTATTATTTTATAAGTGCAATTATATTTTTGTTTCATTTATGCCACACTACAACTAGAAAAGCTACTAGAGAAGATAGAATTACTCAGGTGGCTTGTGTCAGTGGCTTGCATTATATTTCTTTTTGGCAGCACTGCCCTGGACTCTTTTTGCTATGACTGCACTATACACACTGACCTCAAGCATCCAGAATTATACATGGGAAGAAAGTTAGAAAAAAAACAGCATATTTATTGTCTGACAGTAACTGGTTGACCTCCAAGTTTTGGAAAACAGTGTAAATAGATGAGAGACTCTGAAGGTCAAGAGAGTATACTTAGTAAGGTGTGTCTAGTTGGTTTTAATTTTCATCAGTTGGAAATGGCTACAGAATCCAAGCTACTCAGAGTATTCATATGGCTCTCTAGTTTCACAGAGTGCAGAATGACTCTTGCTCACCAAAAGGGGGAGTTTATTGAGAGTATCTTAGAAAGCTCACAGAATTAGAGAAAGATAAATAATTAGGTCTTAAATAAGACAGGAACCAAGGTGACTTGAGATCTGGAAAACTTAGAACTTGGAGATACCCACAAAAGGGTATTTAACTGACAGTATCACCAAGACCATGTCCTAGGGGAAGGGTGGTTCTAGTTGGGATGCTAGTTAGACCAAAAATGGCCTCAAGTAAACAAGCAAACTAAAAACAGGCCTTCTATTTACTCAGCCCTGAATCTCAGAAAACACAGAAGTTACCATTAAAGCAATGAGTGAAACCTGGTGTTTTATAAATGTATATAGACAAGAAAAGGATGAAGAATAAGAAAGGACAAACAGCCAAGATGTCAGAGGAGGAAAATGCCAACAGAAACTATGACTATGGGGGGTGACAGTGGTTAATGGAGAGAAGAAGGAAGATACAGCTCCTGAGGAAAATACTGCTCTGTGGTGCAGTAGCTACCACTAAGCCACATTAAAGGATATGATCGAGTAAAGTGCTCCAAACTGGGACTGAAGGACAGGGATAAAATTTACTAAATGGCTATGTTAAGTCAAATTTTTTTCATGGAGCCCAATTGCATAAGTGTTTTCAAGCTGAATTTGTACCCATTATAGAAGTTCAAAAGATTTAGAAATGGTTTGGTGGGTGGAGGTGGTTTGGAGAGCTGCCTTATTAATATGACAATCTAAGATATACAATTGCAGCACGTCATGCCCCTTATCAAGTAATATTTACTCAAGCAATAGGAGTAAGTGTCTCTGAAAAATCTACTCTCTTGAAAAGATTAGGTTATCTAATTCCTGGCCTTGTGCCCAGTGAAAGAAAAACATTACTGAAATTAAAATAAGCAGGGTTTATGATGTACTATGTATTTATTGGCTATTGGTAGGACACTGCCAGCTATTTTTCTGGCTGTTTCAGAGACTCCCTTCTGAGGAGCACGTTCTCTCAGAAGCTGGATGGTGTTTATGGACCTGGCTCTTTGGTTTGTGGGGATGCCTTGGTGTTTCAGTAGAATCAGAATTATCTGAGTGGTATCTGAGATTCTAACACAACGTAGTCTCATAATGTAAAACTCTGGGTGACGGGAACATGTTCCCTCCCAGAAATATTACATGTTCATCTGTGCTTTTCAAGAAAGGTGCTGATGCACAGAGTGATTTTCTCCCATCTTATTCTGTCACTTTTTATCTAATGATCATTTTTAGAACATAGACTTACTGGAGGAGAGAAAAGCTGTCTATCCATTGACAGTTGTAGAACTCTTTACAAAGATATGGGATACCTGGCTCAAATTCAGTAATGGTATTGTAGGAGAGAGTATAAAATAAAATGTAAACCTACCATCCTGTCTACTATTTAGTTCATTTCCTCCCTCTCCCTGGCCTGGATTATTGCCATCATTTCTCTCTTCCTTCAATTCTTGGTTTCACACCTAAACTTTACACCAGTCCCGCTTCATCTTTCTAAGGCAGTCTTCTTATCCCATCAACAGCTTTCAGTGGCCTCCTATTGCCCACTCAGTAAGTAACAGCTGAACTCCTCAGTTTCTACTGAAGTCCCTGCAAGGTTGGTCTCCTTGCCTCTTTCTCAAAAGCTCCTTCCCTCATTTACAGACCCTGCCCCTTGGACAAACAGAAGTACTTGAGTTTCTTGGACACACACACACACACACACACACACACACACACACACTTTTCTGCCTTAGTCCATGTTGCTTTTTCTGTCATGAATGTCCATGGCATGAATCTTGTCTCTATGTCATCATGACCAATTCCTATGAATTTGTCAAAATGTCGATCTTCCTATGTCCCAGCCACACATTTGTCTAACTTGCTTTTCCCCAGCATTCCCCAGATCAGTATAGAGGGTTCACTAGTCACCATCTGTCTCATTGCTCGGGTCTCAAACCTAAGAATTACTTTAAATTCTTTTGCTTTCTTGACCCCTACATCCAATCTATCCGCAAGTTCTTTAAGCTTTATCACCTAAATATCTCCCAAGTTGCAGCACTTTGCTCCATCTCGTCTGCCACCATCCAGACCAAAGTTCCCATTGTCTACTGCCTGGACTTCTACAGTTGTGACCTAAGCAGTCTCCCTATTTCCACATCTGTCTTTTGACAGTTCATTCTCTACACGGCATCCAGAGGAATCTTCCATAAATGTAAGCCAGTTCATGTTACTCCTCTGTTTAAAACCCTTAAGTGGCTTCTTGTTGATTTTAGAGTAAAATACGACCTTACCTGATCTGCTCCCAGTCCCTATTTCCAAATCTAATTTCACCCTTCCTTTCCCTTGCCCTCACACTTGGGCCACACTTATCTCTTTCCATTTCTTAAAGAAGCCAGCTTATTGATTGCTTGCATTTTCTGTTCCTTCTTCCTGGATCATTCTCTTTCCATATCTTTCGTGTCTGGCTCTCCTTCTCTTTTACAACTCAATTCAGATATCTTCTGTTCAGAAACATTTTTTCCAAATTATATCTACAATAGCTCCTTGTCCTTATTCTATGAAGTCATTCAGGTATTTCCTTTAGAACATTATAGCCTGCATTATTTTAATAATTTATCTGTTTGTCTTAACTGCATATATTATCCACCCCAACTAAATGTAAATTTTTCTTGTTCATTGCTCAACCTCAAATGCCTTACACAGAGTTCTATACATAATAGGCACTAAATATAAGTATTTGCTGATTGGATGAATGGAGGTCTGTCTCAAATGCCACCTCATCCAGAAGGACTTCCTGCTTCTCACATTGAGAAACAATACCCTTCTCTGAAATTTCAGTATGTTTTATCTGACTTCACCTATCAAACTTTATGCCTTTTGGATAGGATTTCAAGTATTAATAAACATGTCTAATTTCCCTTATTGGATTTTGGGGTCACCATCTGTGTGTCTTTTTGGTCTTGAAGTTTTCTATAGTGCCTGCCCTAATGTCTTGAACATAGTAGCAATTCAATATTTTATGACTATCTCATGAAAGTATGAGTAAGAGAAGTATCTGCTCACTGTGGATTTCAGCTAAGGAGAATTTGACCCCAAGATGAGACTAAAGAAATGATTAAAATTCTCGTCTTGCTCTTTTCAAAAAAAAATAAAATAAAATAGATACCCATATCTCTTGCTGACAAAGTTGTAAACATAGTTTTCTGTTTACTCCTTTGAATTCATGTTTGTGGATTGGATGTGGAAATGGTTCAATCCCTAAGCCTTCTTTATGATTCTATCAAATCACAGGGCTAGATCCAGGGACTAAGTTGCCACATTTGTCGCCATTACCCAAAGCTTCAGAGCTTCTGTTCTCACGGCTTTGTGTTATTGTTATTTCTTAATATTTCCCATAGTCATCTTCTTTGTAGGTTGTTCACAGTTACCCGCTCTCATTGGCATGTCATTTTTAAGACAACTAAAATAGCTTTAAAACCAGTGTGAAATTCAAAAGTGTGGCAAACAATCTATGAGGCTGATGTACCAGGTACATCAGGTAAATTAGGCATCCATTCTTTTGAGCCTGGAAGAAATGCCTGACTTAGAAACCTCCAGAAGAGAAAATATATCTTCAGTTTTTTTAAATCTCAATTTTTCTTTGCCCTGGTTTCTTAAATATTCGCTTTCTAGACTTTTAACAACTTGAGAACAGAGACTGTTTTTTACTTCTGTATCCACAGGCACCAGGCTGGGTGAGGCTCTTATTAATTTATTAATTAATACTACCCCAGCTCTTAAACTTTGCTTCTCAGACTCTCTTGGACCGGCCTACGGGATTCTCTAAGTCCTGACCCTTCTGCCTCCCTTGGTCCCCAGCGTCTTTGCACTAACTTTCTGAAGAGCTCCTTGGCCTCCCCCAACCAGATGTCTGGATTCACTTTTGATTCATTGTTTCTCATTTCTGTCCTTTGAAAGCAAACATTATTTTTCTATTGCTAACTTGCTCTGAACAATTAAAGAGACTTGGATGGGAAACTTGGCTTTTACTGGCAGACTTTCTGACAAAACCCTAAGACTGCTAATTATGACTTCTACCTGAGCCAACAGTGTAACGTGAGTGCCAAAAGAGAGTTCATATAGACTGAAACTCATTAATAGTTATCATTTATTGAGTTCTTTACACTGTCCCTGGCACTTTGTTTAGTACCTTGCACACATTACCACATTTGACCCTTTCAATGACTCATAGCTGTTTTCCCCATTTGCCAGAAAAGAAATACGGATCACACAGAGGTTAAATAACATGAGTAAGGTCACAGAAGCAGAGTTAGAATTTGGGCCAGGACTTAAAGCTCAGGCTTTGGAATCCACTATGGTGTCAATAAAAGCTTTATTAATGAAATCATGGTGACCAGAGCATGGGAAATATGAGTTCACCATGTTGAGAGTTGGTGAGATCACACCTGGAATTTTGTGAGATGCCTCATTTTATAAGATAAAAGCAAATTGGTCCAGACTACAGACCACGGACTATCGGAAACCACTGAAAAAACTGAGAGCAGTTTTAACTGACAATTAAAAGCATTGATAAAAAGTCTTCACATATTTGGATTACAGTCCTGTGGAAGAAAAATTCCATGTACTTAACTCATTTACTATAAAAGCCTATAGACATGACAGAAATGCATATTTGGAGTCACTCTCAGGAAAAGTTTTGTGACCATTGTGAAAGTGACAAGGTGGGAGGTCTGGGCAGCTGTCAATGAAGTTGTTACTTCAGAAGTGATGAGGTTTTAAAAGTATATTATTTATTAGTGCATATGTTCAAAGAGAAGGCAGGTCTTCTAATTTCAGAAATCTTCCCTGACACCTCAGCTTCTCCTATAACCACAACCCTTAATTTCAAATGTCTACATTGTTTACATTCAGCATATTTTATTGGTGTCTTCCACGTGGCACTACTTGACACTTATTATCTTCTATTGCTGTTATTCAGCACTTTGAGGCCCCCAATTACCCAAGTACAGTAATTCGTCTTGCTGTCATTATTAACTCCCTAATGATGCCTTGCTAATGGTAGATACCCATAAAGCAGAATCTCATTGATCCTTCATAGAACTTCAGCAAATATTTAGTACTCAGTAAAAATTTACCTCAGTTTCACTACTCACTAGTTCTGTGACCTTGGGCAAGGCAATTCAACTGAATTAAACCCTCTCTGTGCCTCAGTTTTCTCATCTGAAAAACTGAGTAACGAGTTTGTTACAATTACATTTGTTAAATCTGTAAAACTTTTAGAACAGGGCCTGGCACATAGTAAGTACTCTCTCTCATATATATGTATATATATACATATATGTGTATATATATATATATATGTAGTATTGTAATTTTTCAGTTCTTAACTTCTCGGAGATTGATGCATATTTAAGATAAATACATAATTATTAAAGGAGTAGAGAGAGGGGCTAGACAACTGAAGATTTGAAGTTTTGGAAGGACTTTAGAGGTCACCCAGAATAGCCATTTCCATACCCACTGCATATTAGTGTATTTCAGTATTATTAATATAAATGGGAATACTTCCTGAAATTTTAGATCCTAGGCTCCACATAGAATCCTTTTGGGTAGGAATCCGGATTCTGAATCTTCATTAATTTTCCCAGGAATTTTTTGGAAGCTAGCAGATCACTTTCCTCAGATGGGCTCCAATTTTTATAGATGAGAAAACAGGCACAGAGAGGTTGTATTATTTCAGGATCAGAGAACTTGGGAGTGATCAAGTGGGACTAGAAGTCAGCTCTTCTCATGTCTGGGCCACAGGTTGTGGAGGGAATTATTGGATTGTATGAAAAGGTTAGATAAGATGACTTCCAAAGTAAATATACAGTCAGCCAGTCAGTCCTCAGAGAGCTATTGAAAGCCAGTTGCTGAACTCTGTTTCTGGAATGGTCAGTAAAATGAGACATGGCTTTTTTCTGTAGGTTTATAATCTGGTATAAGAAATAAAACCTCTACACAGGTAAACACAGGGCAAGGTGGAAAGCAACAAGGCAGAAGGTCTAGGAAGCTGCCTACCCAGTGTGGGCTGAACTACTCAGCTACCATCTTGCGTTCTGAACATGGTGGAGGAAGCTCTGCTCTTCTCACAGGGGAACCCCCAACCACTGTGGTCCTCTCTTCCTGCCCTTCCAGAGGTGATAACTCACCAGCCACTTGGTCTAGAGTTTATTACCCTGGTCATTTGATCAATCTGAGAAGACCTCCCCTTTCTATTGTCACAGTTTACCATCACATGCAAGTTTCCTTTATGCATTTATGTACTATTATTACTATTATTTTTGAGACACGGTCTCACTCTTTTGCCCAGGCTGAAGTGCAGTGGTATGATCTTGGCTCACTGCAACCTTCTCCTCCCAGGTTCAACTGATTCTTGTGCCTTAGCCTCCCAAGTAGCTGGGACTACAGGTGTGTGCCACTATGCCTGGCTAATTTTTGTATTTTTTGGTAGAGACAGGGCTTCATCATGTTTGCCAGGCTGGTCTCAAACTCCTGGCCACAAGTGATCTGCCTGCCTCAGCCTCCCAAAGTGCTGAGATTGCAGGTGTGAACCACCGTGCCTGGTGTCATTTATGTATTGAATAAATATTGTTGTTATTTACTACTGTTAGCTAACTTTTATTAGTTCCCAATATGTACCAGACACTGTTTTAAGGCATTATCTGTATTAATTCACTTAATTCTATGTCAGAGGAAGAGGCTATCTCTCAAAATCTGAAACAATATTTGAAGCTGAATTGTTTGTTAATCAAGGGAGAACAATGTATCTCTCTGAACAAAGCAAAAGTTGATCCTATACAGAATTTTGGAAGCTATGGAGGGGAGGAATTGGTAAAAAATGCAGAAGTTGGAGTCTTTAGGAATTGACTGGCTTTCAAATTTGGAAGTGTGGTTTCTGGAGTGAGCCTGTGGTCCGTGCGCTGACTTCTAGAAGTCAAATGACTACCATAAAATAAGGGCACAGAAAAAGTGGCTGCGGTAACAAGAATCGAGAGGAAAGGAAAGGGAGGGTCTTGCAGCCAGTTTCCTTTAATAATGAAGAGAACAGAAACCCAGGTTTGCCTTGCTGACTGTTCCCGGGGTTCTTTCAGCCTCCACTGTCTCTTCTCTAGCCCATTAACTGTGTTCTATGTCTATTGCATCCCCAGCCAAAGGTTTCCCCTGCTTAATCAGGTCCAGTCTCCTTGCTGTGCTATCAGTTCAGAAAGGCATACAGACAACCTGCGACGGCATCTCAAGGGAGGAAGACATTATCACTGGTTGGTTAAAGGAACCAGGAAGAACTTTCATTTAATAGTCAAAAAATGTTCATCAAACTCCTGCAAACTGCCAGGCACTTTCTGGGTGCTATGGAAATAACAGTGAAACCGACAGACACAAACTCATGCTCTCACAGAGCTTAACCTTTCTTTATTGGAGAGACAGATATTAAAAAATATATATATATATATATATATTAATTTACGTGGGTATTATATATCCCATGGTAGTCACTGCTCTGGAATCAAAGCAGAGAAAGTAGTGCAGAGAGGTGATTGCAGCTTCATATGAGGTAGTCAAGGAAGGCCTCCCTGAGAAACTGATGTTTAAGGAAAGAATCAGCATGGTGAAAAAGACCACAGATGATAGAGCTGTGTGAGCTTGGAGGACAGTAACAAGATGAGGTTTGAGGTCCATGAGATAATAGGGAAATGGGCCTTTGAGGTTATTAGAAGGATGTTAGCTTTTAGTTTGATGAGGAGTCATTGAATGCTTTAAGCAGGAGTCATCATGTGATCAGATTTATCTTTTCAAGGGAACGTAGGAGGTACTGTGTTGAGAATAGTCCACAGAAAATGAGGGGAAAGGGCGAAGAAAGGTGGTTAGTTGGGAGGCTACTGCAGTAACCCTAGCATTTGAAGGTGGTTTGAACTAAGGTAGTAAAAGTGGGGGTGATGAAAAGCAGTCATATCCTAGGTATAGTCTTCATGGAAGATTCCTCAAATTGAAAGACTTCATTAAGAGCCACTATAAACTCTAGCAGTTAGAATGAAAATTCTGAATATCCTTCCTCAGGAGACCACAGCTTGACCTATTCTAGAGTCTCCAGAGGGCCTTTTCTGACCTGGACAAATGCTGGGGGAGAAAGAGGCACATTATCACATCTGGCTATAAAAATAAAATGTGTCTATCAAAGAAAAGACATCATCTAGACCCATTTCTGTATAGATTTTTACAGTATTTTCTCCTAGATAATTGTGTGAATTATGGGGATTTTTTTTAATTCATTGGTGTGAAGACAGTGATAATTTAAATTTCACTGCTATTCTGGTTACGAGTGGGTGTTGACATTTTTTATTTTATCGTGTGTGTGTATGTGTGTGACACACACACACACGGAACGGGGTGAGAGAAAGAGAAAGAGAAACATAATGAGCAGGCTATAGAGCTGCTGTTATTCCCTGGGTAATAAAAGCTTGAAATCCTACTAATGAGGTTAAAAAAAAAAAATCTTAACTTTTTCTGCGTGCTTAATAATAGCACTGCCTACTCACATAACCAGAGTTCCTGGAATAATTGCTCTCTTTCTTACTCTATTTTTAGGGCCTAAAAAATTTGGGAGGAGAGGAAAGTACCTTCAGGTGCAGAGCATTTCCATCTAAAAGCTCAATTCTAGGGTTTCAATATTTGGCCCTAAACCATGTTAAATGTTTCCTTTCATGTGAAAGTGAGGGCTGGAACTAACATTCTTCATTGGAGCTCTAAATGGCTTCTTTTTCAGTGAGAGGACAAAAGATTGATCCTTTGCTGCAGATTCCATCTTTCCCCAACTGGGGGATCTTCCTGTAACATTTTTATCTGGTGCTTTCATAGACACCATTTGTGTTTGCCAATAACAGAATTAAAGTGTTTGTGGAGCCATAGAATTTTATCAGAACGTTTAACTTTGAGGAGAAGGTGGAGTCTAAGAAATGATAAATGTTAATATTGTTAGAGCCCTCACTAAGAGTAGAAGTGTTTGAAATACATATATTTAGAAGGGTTTTTTTTTGTAGACCATTGGAATATTTAAGATGGATTTAAAATAGAAGATACTGTGTGAGGTACAGTGCTGAAAAGTACTTTAAAAATTGTTTCTGTCAATTTCAACAATTAAATGAACATATACATTATAAGGTGGAGAAACATACTGATTAGAAAAAGAGAATGTGATTGAATCAAAGCTTGTGCTGGAAATTGGTTGAATATCTGGATTGAGTTGCCAGAATTATTTTTGTGGAGGGCTATTTTGGGTAGGCAGTAACCTTTCTTCTCAGATATAGATTTTCATGTTGACTTTTAACATTTAGTCAATGATCGGCATGTACAGTCTTGAACATGTTCCGTCTCATCCTTTTGCCTGTGCTTAAGCTGCAAGGTTGAAAAGTTTAAAGGCATTTAATACAGGCTTAACAAATCATTGTGCTGCTTTCTTTCCTCTATCACTCTCTATGTAGAAAATGGCTGAAAAATTAGGGGCTCTCAGGGACAAAGCAGTATCTGTAATATAGAGGAACATTTAAACATAGAATTAAAACATACAATTAAGATTAGTGACAAGTTTATATCGCTGCTGCTTTTTAAGGAATGATTTGTTAAAAGGGAAAATATGGTATCCCTGACAAATTACGAGAGAGAGAGAGAGTGAGTGTGTGAGTGTGAGAGAGAGTGTGTGTGTGTGTGTGTGTGTGTGTGAAACAGACATGGGCTTATGTTTACGAAGATCTCTTTGTACATGTGTTTGAAAGGTGACTGCAAGAATGAGTAAAATAGGTTACATTTACATTTCTTGGTCTCCTCCACACTCCCTGATGCTAAACAAGATGCTGCAAGAATGAAAAATACAACTTTTGTGTAAACTTTGTAATCTAGTTCATAGAGAAATTGGCCAACAGCTACACGCACCTAAAGGAAGAGGGGACATACATTTGGAGAAACATATTCATGTGTGCTAGTTCAAGAAGGAAGCAGCTAGCTCTTTGCCTTTGAAGATTTCAATATTCACTTTGTTGAAGGTGACCAGGTGATCCCTCTTAGATACTTCGATAATTCAGATACATCCAATACAAGATGGATCTTCATAAAATTCAATTTGTTATTTCAATCTGGAAATGCATTATCTCTTCCTTGAGGAAAATAAATTGTGTAAGGACAGGTGCTATTTTCTTTATCTCTGCCCAAAGCTTCATCCTAGGGCTCAGAAATGCTAAAGGACTTTGTACAAGGAAATGAAGCTAAAAGCTTGCTACCTTAATTATAGGATTTGTCTACTCAATGCACCAGATTCTGAAAGTTAAAACCACTATTGTATGATATTGTATTATTTATATTTTAAGGGGATACTGACAGCATAGAGGTGGTGTTAATTCTAGATAAAATCTGAAGGGCTTTCTCCTCATCCTTTTCTCCAAATGCCTAACTCCTGTTCCTCCATCTCGAACTCTCCTGTGGTAGAGTGACGGCTGTCTCTGAGGAAAGGATTAGGGAAATCACTTAATCATTTGTGCATGTGTAGAAATGCCAATGAATATTTACTCTCTCCTAGGGGCAGTTGCTTTGTGAATCAGCATTCTAATTATGGAAAACATTTTTTTTCAACTTCAAACACCATCTAGCATGGGAATTGTATGTGAATGGTACCTTTCCCCATCAGACCTGAAATTGCACTGAATTAGGAGGTCATATACTCCATGACTAACTCAGCCCAGTACAGAGTGACATATATAATAAGGTAGATTTACTTAATCCATAAATTGTGAGCTTTCTTTGTAAAATTTTCCTTAACTATCATACCATGGTGTGTCATAAGAAATTGTCAGCTCAACACCTCAAATGATGCCTTCATGTATTAAAAGATGTGCCATCTGAAGCTGGGATAGTGATGCATTTTGTCCCGTGCTTTGTTATGTGGTGTAATTAGATTATCTCTCAAACACAATTTGTTTGCTTGCTTCCAGGAGATATTGATCAACAAGAGATGATTCCAAGTAAGAAGAATGCTGTTCTTGTGGATGGGGTTGTGCTGAATGGTCCTACAACAGATGCAAAAGCTGGAGAAAAATTTGTTGAAGAGGCCTGTAGGCTAATAATGGAAGAGGTGGTTTTGAAAGCTACAGATGTCAATGAGAAGGTAAAAATTAAAACCTGTAAGAAATTGCAGAAATGGGAAAGATAGATGTTCCCCAAATCAGTATGGCTGAATAGAAAGCAAATGGGAAGGCCAAGTTTTTATTTCTTCTATGCCTTTGTCTCAAAAGGATGTCCAGATATAAAAGTGTAGGCTGTCCTTCAGGCAATTCCTGCTGTCCTTGAAGGGTTGCCTCCTTACTCTGCCAGTCATCATTCGTGGGAAGATTGGCTGAGACCCTAGAGCTTAATCACATAAGGACATGAAGCACAGGGATGAAACTTCCTGCACCCTAGATAATAACATAGATAAGTAACCTGCTAATCTCACTTACGCAACTCTCTAATGCTCTTTGCTCCCCATTTTCTAGTGCACACTCTTCATGTTGTTCATGAAAATCAAGCAAAAGATGGAAAAGGATGTAAAAACATTTTAAATTTATCTTAAGGTCCTTATGAAGAGCTTGTCTAAATTTAGCCTAGAAATCTTAGGTGGTTAAGTCTGACTCCTTTCTGGTACCAATTATTGGTTGTAGATTTCAAATTCAGGCTCAAATTCAATTCAAATTGATATTAGAACCGCCGCTAATGACATCTACTCTTAAGAATACTTACTATGTTCTAAGGACTACTCCTTATGCATTTAATCCTTTCAAAAGCACTAAAAGGCAGATACTATTACCCCCATTTTAGAGCTGGGAAAGAAAGTCAGGCACAAAGAGGTCAAATATGTTGCCCAAGATTATACACAAGTATCAGAGCCGGGACTAAAATCCAGGCAGTATCACTTCACAATCTGCACTCTTAACTATTCCATATGCCTCTTAAAATTACCGAATCAACCTTTATCACATTGGTTTTCATGTTGGAGGTGGATTATCAACAAATGGATGTAAGGAAGAGATTTTTATTCCAGTTATATTAGTTAGAAATAAGTATCATTTTTAAAAGATTTTGAAAGTGAGGTGATATTTATTCTGAATTTTTGATCACATGCCTTTCGGAAAACTAGTAGGAAAATAGATTGATGCATGAATTTGGAAGTTATGTTCAAGGCAAAATCCTGATGGTGTTTGGTATTTGCCCAGATAGCATATTTATAATTATATAATTTCTGTTCTTCTCTGTACTTGTGAAATACTTTGGATCTGCTTTACATTGGAGTACACTGCTCCTCTGGCAGTTTTTTTTATTGGCCTTTATTCAGTCATTAAATATTAACTGAGTATTAGCTATGACTAAAGCTTTATATTCAGCCCTAGAGAATATAAAGAAAAACAATATAAAGGCCCAGCTCTGAACAGAATTTATAATCTAATTGGAAGGATATGTTTTCATTAGAAAAGGCAGCGGGGGGTCCCAGTAAGGATGTGATAAATGCTTTGAGACTGGAACAGATTTTTGGGATTTCACTCAGGAGCGAGTACTTTGAGCTCAGATGTGGAATGTAAGTAAAGGGCAAGTGAGAATTTTGGGGGGCAGTGGCAGGGGAAGAGAAAGTTTGGCGTTAGGGTACTCATTTCTGGAGGAAGAAAGCAGGAAGGTCAATAATGGAAAGAGCATTGCAAAAGGACAAGATGTACTTAACACAGCAAGGGGACCATTTTTTGCCCAGAAAAAAAGAGCTCACACAGGGGACTAATAAGATGAGAAACGGAAGATCTTAAGATCCTAAGTTGTCAATTAAGGAACCACAAGTCAATTACAATGTAATAGATGTGCAGGCTACCCACGGGAAGTTGGATTGAAAGCTATGCTAGAGTTGGGGGAAGGAGGTGAAGTTTTGATACCACTAACTTAGCCTACCTTGTTTGAGATCCAACAGAGCACCATTAAAAGGTAGCCTGCAGATATATACCCAAGCTTGGTGCAGTGATCACTGCTAGTTTCATTAGCAGAAAATTCTTCATCAGCCAGTTTTTAAAACTGAATTATAATTTATATTCAGTAAAATTTACCCCTTTGGGGTGTGGTTCTATGAGTTTCAGAAGTCATAACTATTACTACGATATGATGGAACTGTTCTATATCTTCATTAGAATAGTTATATAACTATTCTGTGCCCCTCTCTAATCAATCCTCCCCTTTCCTCTAGCCCCTGAAACCACTGATTTTCTTTCCCTATGATACTTGCCTTTTCTAGAATGTCATGTTGATGGAATAGTATTTTAGTAGGCTTTGAGTCTTGCTGTTTACCCTCAACAAAATGCATTTGAGATTCATCCATGTTGTTGAATGCGCCAGTAGTCATTCCTTTTGATTGTCTCAGGCATTTCCAATTTACCTCTGCCTGTCATGGTTATAGCATCATAGTTTAATTTCATACTACTTGCACAACTTGGTATTTCCTCCTGCTTCCCCCCAGCCTCCCAGTCTTTTCACTCCCTGGCTACTTCCCTATCTCTCTCCTCCCCTCCACAGCCAAAATTTTTAGAGATTATCTATATTCCCTCCCTCCGTTTCTTCACCTCCTACATTCTCACTTCAAAGCAATCTGGCCTCCGCCCCCACCTCTCTAAGTCAAGCTGCTCTTGCCAAGAACACCTCCTTGTTGATAAATTCCATGAGCACTTCAAGTCTATCTAATTCGGCTTCTTAGCAGTATTTGACAGTGGTGAACATCTCCTTCCTAAAGCATTCTTTCTTCTTGGTTATGGTAGCACTAAACTCTTAGGATTCTCCCTACCTCTCTGGCGTGCCCTCCACAGGACAGTCAGGCTCCTCTTCCTATGCCCATTCATAAGTGTTGGTGATGCCCAGAAAGATTCTGCTCCTTTCTGCCCTGCTGTAGGTTCTCTCTGAGCCACATCAACTACTGTTACATTATCATAGTGTCTCCCTGGAACTCTGTCCTCAATCTTTTGCAAGAGCCTCAGATCAACTGCTATACAGCTTTTGGATATTCTGAAGGTGCCTTGTCCTAAACCTGCTTTCACCTCATCATCCCCACACCACCCCAACCAGATCCTTCTCCTGCTATCCCCATTGCTGCCATCCAATCTTGTGTCCAAGCTGGAAACCTTGGGATGATCCTTGGCTCATTCATCTCACCCTCAAAATCTAACTGATTTCCAGGTTCTAGTGATTCTGCATTTTAAATATCTCTAAAAACTACATATTTAATACAGCATTGACTGTCATCCAGATCATCACCTTCTCTTGCCTGGCTTATTACAGCAACCTCTTATTTCAAATTTTATTGGGAACCTCCACATAACAACTAAAGCTATTGCCCCAAACACAAATATGATCCTTTCATTCCCCTGTCCTAAACATTTTAATGGCTTCCTTAGAGCCAAGTCCAAACTCTATAATATGTCACATAAAGCCCATTATGATCTGAGCCTTGCTTATCTCTGTTTATCCATTCAGTTATTCAACACATCTTTATTGAGCACTATTATGTGCAGACTCTGTGGTAGTCACTTGGGATCAGTGAGCAAAAAGACAGATCTGCTTGTATGGAGATTATGTAGGATACAATAAGTAACAGTATATTAGAGGGTGATAAGTGCTTTGTAAAAAGGAATAGTAGGAAATGTTAAAGGGGATTGATAGAGGTAATGGGTAGATTTTAATTTTAGGTAAGGGAGTCAGGATTGCTGTTGTTGAGAAAGTGACTTCTGAGCAAAGATTTGAAATAAGTGAGGGATTCAGTTATGAGGATATTTTGAAAAACATTCTAGGCAGAGGGCACACACAGTGCAGAGACCCCAGTATGGGAACCTCCCTCGTGTAGTTAAGAACAGTAAGGAGGCTAGGGTGTCAAGAGCAGAGTTAGCCAGAAGGAAAGTAGTCCCAGATGAGACTAGAGGAAAAATGAAACCAGGAGAAGCAGATCGTAAAGGATCATTTTATATCTTTGTAAGGACCTCAGGTTTTACTTTGAAAGAAACAGGGAGCCATCAGATGTATTTGAATAGAGGAATGGCCATGGCTTAAGTTTAGGAGGATCATTCTGGCTGCTAGGTCGATAGCAGACTGCATAGGGCCGGGTACACACAGAGAGAAAAACTGCTTCAGCATTCCTGTTTATTTCCTCTCCATTTCTCAAAAATCCATGTTCAAGCCATACCAAATGTACTTGATTTTACAGATGTGCCATAGGATCCGAATTTTTTATCTTTTTTAATTTTACTTTTGATCTTTGTTACTTCTGTCACTTCCATCTAGAACCTCCCTAAACTTTGATTCGCTCTACTCTTATTCTATGTAACAACTTAGATATCAGTATCACTAGGAAATCTCCCTTTACCTTGCAAATCTAAGATGGCGCCCCTCATTGGTCCCATCAACATCTACATTACTGTAATAGTTCTTTTCGTCTGAACTATAGTTGCATGTTTAAATCACCCGCTGCCCAGAAGCTTTGTAATGGTAGAGTCCACGTTTGTAACATCCTCTCAATACCTGGCTATGGTGGATACTCAATTTGTGTTGTGGTTGAATCTCCAGGTGTGTGAATGGAGGCCTCCTGAACAACTGAAACAGCTTCTTGATTTGGAGATGAGAGACTCAGGCGAGCCACCCCATAAACTATTGGAACTCTGTCGGGATGTCATACACTACAGTGTCAAAACTAGTAAGAACTTTAATTTACTTCCTTGATCTGTACCTCTGACAAGTTCTTATGTTTGCAAAGCCTCTCAAAGCTGAGTATAGCAATGCTTATGGAACGAGAAATCTGGATCAAAAAATTAGTAGTTCTGATGTTTTTGCAATGGTCCCTTTAATCCCTAATCCAGATTCATTGCCAAGGCCAAAGATAAGTTGACAGGAAAACTGTAGGTGTTAGTGTTTGTATGTAAATATCCTCTTCTCCTTGCCAACCCCCACATACTAGTTGTAATCAAGATCATATATTATCACTGCTACTTATCATTTCTTGTGTTAGACCAAACTGGCAAATAGTATTTTGATTATATAAATTTGTTAAGGGATTTTAAATCTTGATGGCCCAGAGTATGCAAAAAAAGTGTTCAAAAGGTATCTTTAATATAAACAGAAATGATTTATTTGGAAGACACTGATTAACTCTTGGCAGTTGGTAATTGCCAAACTATTTGATCAAATCTGGCTGTACCAAAAACAAATAAATAAAAGCCCTTAGATGGATATAAGACAAATGAATACATTCCAAGTTTTTGATGAGATTATTTCACAGTGATGTCATAACTACTGTGAACTTTGTACGTGCAGTAATGTGATGTCAATCTTACACTGAGGCACCATTCTAGCTTACCTGTTAATATCCTGTTCATCCAGCGAACAAGTTTCAAAAATGGGAGAATAATCTTCCAAAATATTTGTCAGTGTAATGTAAAGGTATCTAGCGCTTAAGATCATACAGGCATTACTTTGTAAATTCTGACACTGGACTAAGTTTAGTGGAAAGAACATAGTAAAATTCTGGCTAAAAATAATTGGATTATATTCCTTTGGGAAAGTCTGGTGTATGTATCAAAAACTCAGTTAGCATTTCAAAAGCAGAGATATGTATCTTATTATTACCAGTGCATGTCAAAAGTGCAGAATGACATTTAATGCAGTAGATTTTTCAGTTTACTGGATATTTTCCATGTTACCATGGAAATCAATCATAAATTAACACAGAACTAAAAAAAACTTATTAAAATTACTTGTAGCAATGCCGTTTTTTTTTTTTTTGCCAGATCAGAGGAAGTTTTCCATGTTTAAGCTGAAAAGACATTTTCTTTTGAGACTTGTTTTTTTATTGAACCCCTAAAGAGAGAAAAAAAAAACTAAAATAAACTAAAACCAGATGCTGTAAGTTGTAATGAGAGGTCACCAAATTAAATGATTCCCAAATACTCAAATGTAGAAATAGACCTCCTGCCTCTTTGTTCTGTCATGCTGAGCTTCCTGAGATTGAGAATGCCAAGCCAGTTAGCCGGGTGTATGGTGTGATTATTCACATGGTGTAAAGCCAAGAACCTTTATGAGACCTTTTATAGGAGGGGGGAAAAAAATTAAAATTGGAACAAGCCATTGTTTGTCTCTTAAAGGCGATTGCATTTCAAGCAAATTGAATCAGAAGTGTATGTAAGCCGCATAGTGAGTCACATCTTACTCCATCTATATACTGCCAGTCGCATGGGTCCAATCTGAAAAATGAAAAGGCTGCTCAGTGCCATAGCCTGGGGTGAACTCTGCTGTGAGTGAAATGTATATGAAGTGAGAAGTTAATATTGATATTTTCAGAAAAAAAGGCAGTACCCTGTGATCCTTGGACAAATAGTGTTCAAATAATTATTTAAGGGTTCTGGTTTGGGTCTGGGTTGTAAAAAAGAGGAGCAAGTAAATCAAAGCTCTTAAAAGACAACTCAGATTTTACTTACAAACACTGACCAGTAGAAAGGGCTCTACGATGTGTCTTCAACATGTTTTTCCTTGCGCATGATCCTGTTTTGGATTTTTTTAGAATGAGGTATAATTTATATTCAGTAAAGTGCACAAATCTTAATTGCTCGGCATGATGAATTTGTACGTAGCTGTGCATATGGAGCCATCACCTGGATCTAGATATAGACCAATTCTAGCACTCCAGAGGCTCTCTGAAGTCCCTTCCCAATCCATAATTCTTTCCACAAAGTACCTAGAATTCTAACCGCCATCTCCTTAGATAGCTTTGTTGGTTTTGAATGTCATATAAATGGAATTACGTTATATATAACTCTTCTGTGTGTGTCTGCTTTCATTTTCTGAAAGATTCATTTATGTTAATGCTGTATCAGTAGTTTTTTTTTTTATTGCTGCATAGATGAATACTCCATTTTAAATTTACAGACCACCCAAGATTTTTCAACCAATTGTATGCTGGACTTGATTATTACTCCTTGGTGGCCCGATTTATGACCGAAGCATTGAATCCAAGTGTGTAAGTGCCATGCTATAGAAATTTCACACCAAACGTGGATTAGAGACTTTAAGTAGATGAAATTTTATTTCAAAAATCTCTATTTAATGGTTTCTTTTGCATAGTGCCATCGCAAATAATGGAATAGTTTTATGATACTTATCAGTATTCAAATAGCTATTTGATTTAAATAGTGGTACCGTGAGATGGAAAAGGCAGTCATTATTATCTCATTTAATGAGATTTAACAGATGAGAAAATTGATTAGGCAATTTTTTATTTGTTCTTGCATGAAAAGTCATTTTCTGTGCTAAGTGATGGAGAGACATATTGAACACAAATAAACCTTGACTCTGCCCTCATGGAGCATAATATCTGGTATAAAAATGCTAATCGAAGTGGTCCACAAAAATTAATGTAAAATCCAAACTCTCATCTGAAGGAAAAGTACAAAGTGTTCTAAGTATTCATATGAATGGGACAATTTTTCCTAGTTGGAAGCTCAGGAGAGTGTGCTCTGCAAAGATGACAGTTGACACTGAATAAGTGTTATTAGGTGATAAGGTGAGGGATGAGTTCTAAATAGACAGAATGACATGTATAAAGGCCCTGTGGCAGGACACAGCATGCCATTCTCTATGAACTGAAAGGCCAGTGTGGGTACAGCTGAGAGAGTTACAGGACTGTAGTGGAGAATAAGACTAGAGAAAGAGAGAGAGAGATAGAAGCCAGACATATAGGGCCCAGGTGACCATGTTTATGAGTCTTTCTAAATGTAACAAAAAGCCATTGAAGGTTTCTAAGTCACTAGGTGCCATTTTCTTACTGAAAAAATCTCTAAAAATATAAATAGGTTGGAGGGGACCCGTTAGGAGGGCATTACTTTAGTCGGGTGAGAGAGGAAAGTAGCTCGGACTTGGAGAGAAGAGATAGGAATAGAGCGGGAAAGAATGAGTTCAAAAAATAAAACAGAAAGGATGGGATACACAGCTTGAAAATAACAGTAAAAGGGAGAAGACTCCTGGGACAATGCCTGGGTTTCTGGCTTTCATAGCTAGGTTCATGGTCATATCATTCATAGAAATAAGCACTGGGAGAGGGAACTGGTTTTCAAGTATATGGTGAAGGAGGCAAGAGCAAGCATTACATTTTCAGTTGTGGGCATTTGAGTTTGCAGTGACTTTAAAATATCCAAGAATGCATAGGAACTAAGCTGAGAAATATATGGGCTTGGAATTCTGATGTCTATATGAAAGGTATAAACTTAAGAATTATCAGTGAAATTATGGTAATTGAAATGGTGGACGTGGATGAGACTTCCTATGTCAGTGATTCACCACCCTGACTATTCATGAAAATCACTTGAGAATTTTATAAAAATGTATTGATACCTGGGTGCCAACCCAGGCCAATTAAATCTGAAATTCTGTGGCTGTGCCCCATGCATTGATATATTTAGAAAGTTCAACAAGTGATTTCAATGGGAAGCCAAGATAAAGAACCACTGCCTAGGGGACAGAGTATAGAGTGGGGAGAGAAGGCGGCTCAATACTGGGCCTTGAGGACATCTAACATTTAATGGTTAGGAGGAACAGGGTCAGCTTACAATGGCGAGAATAGAAGGAAAAAAACAAAAGGCTAGCTGTGGCAGCCACGAGGAGAGCATGCCTAGTGTCACATGTTGTTGAATATTCAACTAAGAGCCTAAACAGCATCCACTGGATTAGCTACATGGACGTCACTGGCAACTTTAGGGAGGTTTTGATGGAGTGATGACAGCAGATACCAGGTTACAATCAGTTACAGTGAGGGTAAGTCAGGAGAGACAGTAAAATTACACACCTTTTTCAATCTTTTCTTGTATATCCCAGGTTTTCTAACTCTTCATCTAAGTTCAAAAATCTCTAAATATTTCAGATTAAAGGAGTGTTAAATTGCTGCTAAGCTAAACCATCCACTCAAAATATGCCAACCCATGAGTGTGTTCTATCTTATCTTTTCCTCCACCCTCCAGGCTGATTCCTAGGTTTATAATTGAGCCAGTTTTCAAAGACAGGCTAAATACTTTTTTTTTTTATTATGAAAGTAACTATTTTATATATATTTGTAGGTTCACATAAATATATGCTTTTTTCATACTTTTTGTGTATGTACACTGGCTTCATAACGTGGTTAAGAAACAGAATCTATCTTTTTAAATTTTGTTTTGGAGATGAAATCTTGCTCTGTTGCCCAGACTGGAGTGCAGTGGCATGATCTCAGCTTACTGCAACCTCCGCCTCCCAGGTTCAAGTAATTCTCTGCCTCAGTCTCCTGAGTAGCTGGGATTACAGGCCCCTACCACCATGCGTGGCTAATTTTTGTATTTTTAATAGAGATGGGGTTTCACCATCTTGGCCAGGCTGGTCTTGAACTCCTGACCTATGATCCACCCGCCTTGAACTCCCAAAGTGCTGAGATTACAGGCATGAGCCACTGCACCCAGCTGAATCTATCTTATTTTTAAGATGGCATAACATCTGTAGAGTTGACACATATGTAGGTGATAAATAGTAGGTGATACATAGTAGGTGACCAGCTTTTATGCCTCAATCCAAAGTTTTCCTTTCCAGATGTTAAAATAATTGCATTAAATTCTGTGACTATAAATCTAAATGTGTCTGCTTAACTTACATATTTAGAGTACACATTTATTCAGATACAATTTAATGTAATCCCTCAATTGAAAAGGAGATCATAGATATGTAGTCACCCTCAAGTTGTCTGGAGAGAGAAAATAAATATCAAACAAGGCATGGTGACTGTTACAATGTGGGTTCCCAAGAATGCTGCTCTAGATGGTGTTTAGTGAGTGGGACGTTTATTAAGGAGTACCCTTGGGATCAACATGAGTGACGACCTGGGGAAGGAGGAGGAGGATGCAAGAAAGGGCAAGTATAGGAGTCAAATTGCCACGCAGGCTCCATGACAATCTTGGCTGACGCTCGGAGATCTCTGGAACTACAGTGGCCCTTCAAGAGGGGTCTGGAGTTAGGCCCAGACGGCTAGGCCTTTACATCTCCAGCAGTTATCAGGTGTAGACCACCACAAGAATGGGTGTGACCCTGGAGGAGGTAGCTCCCTGCAGCCAAGGCAATCTCTAAAGGGGCTAAAACATCAATGCTCTGACAACAGCGTTCCAGCCCGGAGCAACACATCCTTCATTGACAAGGGATTTGGGTAGTGCTTTGCAGTAAAATTATCACATAAGAGATGTCTCACAAAACACTCCTCATTTATACAGACACAGAGAGTGTAGTAGAGGAAGCCCTGGTTCAGGTGGAGTAGTCTCCACTTAGAATATCTAGAGGGGACTGTTAGCATACTCATGGCAGTAATCTGATAAAACTTGGTTACCATGACAATGGATTTTCTTTGACCATCAACAGCATCCAAGTCAGTGTTCCAAGCATCCACAGAGTGAAATGGCCACTGCTCATGGCTAATACATAGCACGCAAATGCATTGCCTTTATTGCTCCTCACGGAATTGAGGTTTTTCTCGAAAGACTGCTGCAGCAACTTGCAGATCCCTGAGGCCACAAGCTATTGGCATTTATCTAACCATGACTAGTGCTGTCACTGATGGAGTAATTCTCTATTTTCAATGGATAAATTTCCAAAGACTGCCTACACTTCAGCAGCCACTTGGTTTAATAGAACTCTGTGCATTTCTTGGGACACCAAAGGAATGTTTTGACTCTAGTCATAGAAGTGAAGTGTTTTTTATATCTATCTAGTTATACGTATGAGGTGTCCCCAGTGTTTCTGTTAGTGGAAGAAGCGGTTCTGAAGAAAATGATTGAATTTATTGGCTGGAAAGAAGGGGATGGAATATTTAACCCAGGTGAGTACAATTAGTTATTGATATCAACCTTCCAATACAACCACGTAAAAATTTATCCATGAGGAACAACTCCTTGCAGATTTATACACGACAAAAAGTTGGATATTAATAATTCTACTTGCTGAGAATCTAGCTTATGCCTTTCTCCAGAGTGATAATATTTTGTATTAATGCTAAATAGATGACATACATACTTAATGAATGAGGTGCCTACAGTTTAGGATTTATATCTAACACAAATGAATCGATTTGATGCTGGAAGTTTGGAAGGGCTGTAAGTCCTCTAAATTTTAAAATCAAATTTTACTTGAGAAGATTTCTGAATTACATTTGTTTATCCTGTAGTCCTTTTTTGTAGCCAGAGACCAACAAATATTATTTCAATTTTATTGATTAGGTGACAAAGAATATTAACTATGGAGACCTAGGTAAAGGCCCTAAGTCCAGAGCTCACAGATTGAGACTTTTGGTTTGAAAAAAAGCCTGTCATGGGAATAAACCAAAATTTATCTTCTAAGAATAAAAGTTCTAGAATTAGAGATTAGGGTATGTAATAAAATATTCAGAATAATGGGAGCAGGGAGGTCGGTGTTCATGTGCTTTTCACGGTGATTTTTCATTAGACTAGAGCAGTCATGGCCATTCATGCTTTCCACTGTATTCAGCATTTTGCGAGCTATAACTTCATGCTATAAATATGCCATTTTAATTTTGTTTTTGCAGGTGGCTCAGTGTCCAATATGTATGCAATGAATTTAGCTAGATACAAATATTGTCCTGATATTAAGGAAAAGGGGCTGTCTGGTTCGCCAAGATTAATCCTTTTCACATCTGCAGAGGTAAAAATTATTTTTGGTATTGAATATAGATTTTCTGAGAAAGCATATTTAAGAGGGCTTTGTTTGAAGATTCCTGATGTGATTTTGTCCTATACCCATGTGACTAATATGCTGCAGTATAACATAGTATTTCATTCCAAAGTAAATTCTAACGAGTTTGATGTTGTAACGCCTGGTCCAATTTTGTATAATTACCTTTATTTAAAATTTATAGTCTGTAACAACATTTTAAGAAAAGAATATTTAATTTGAAAGTGCTATCTCTGTGAATCTCTTTTTTTGAATGTCTTATTTGTTAGTACTTAGATGAACACTGTGGATCTCAGCTATGTCTTCTACTCACATTTCCTTTTAAAATGATTGCTTTGATTGGCTAATATAAGGGATGTGTATCTTACTTTTCCAGGGAAAAGAAAGATATACAGTAACAATGAAAACACACACACACACACACACACAGATATTGCCACAGTTCTCCATCTCTTATTTTACTCTCCACTAAAGTAGGTGGGTCAGACAGTAGATAAGCGCATAGGCTTTGAGTTAGGCTGCCTGGATTCAGTCCCTGCCTCTGTCACTTACTGTCTGAGTAACCTTGAGTGAGTTAATTTCTTTGTGCCTCAGTTTCCTAAATTTGTAAAAATAAGTTTATCACTTAGCTTTTATAACCAACAAATCACCCCAAATATAGAGTTATCATTCTATAACTGTATATTATCACTTATAAGTCTCAAGATAGCTGGGCAGATTTGCTGCTCTTGGCTGGGCCCCCTTCCATGTCTAGGGGTTGGCTGGCTGATGGCCCATCTACGAGTGGCTCAGCTGGGATGATTCCAGTGATGCCTCTCTGCTCCTTATGTCTCTCATTCTCCATCAGGTCAGTCTAGGTGTGTCCTCATGGCAATGGTGCAGGTATAAAAGGGCATGGCAACACATCAGGCCTCTTGAGTCTTAGCCTCAGAACTGGCCATTGTTACTTCTGCCTCATTTTCTTGGCAAAATCCCATCTGTGAGCCCAGACCCAAGATGTGGGAAGAAAGACCCCACAACCTCATGGGGGGACTTGCTGTAAAGTCACCAGGCAAAGGATTTGAATACACGGAACAGAGAACAACTGGAACCATTAGAACAATCCAGCAACCACGCAGTAGTTGCTGATTAGTGAGTTTTGGCAAATGTTAAATGAGTAATTGCATGTAAAGTGTCATCTGGGATATAATAGATTTTTTAAAATATTAACTATAATTGTTACTAGGAGAATGTTCCAGCTGCAACAAGGTGGGCAGAAGTAGATGGCACGGCTTAAGTGCAGCCTTTATTGGAAGAGATTTTTTCCCTTTCCTATTCTTGTGTGATTCTAGTGGATGCCTCCGTCTATTCTACCACTGCTTCATCACCCAGGTTCTTGGCAGAATGAGTTTAGCTTCTTACCTTCTGAGATAATATCAGGTATCCTGCCACTAACATGAAGTGGACAAAATAAAAAACTGAGAGTCTGTTATTTCCAGCTAGGCTTTCCTGTATCTATCATTTTCTTCTAAATACAAAAGTTAGTTTCTTATTGCAAAAGGACAAATTGTGCACTAATTTCTCCTCAGTAGGAGAAAATATGACCACTCTCATGTTTTCCTCTCACTCTGACCTTTGCTCTGGATCTTTCAGCACTAAGTGCAAAGTGGGAGTTGAGTGACAGGAGGCAACTGGGAGGAATCATCTAGCCTGAGATTCTTAACTCAGCCATTCGAGGCTCTTGTTCATAAGTCATTCCTTCTGTACCAAGAGAAGAATGTTTGGTAATGTGGACAGCTGGGAAAAAGTACTTGATTATTTGGGATTGTTATTGAATAGAGTTTCCTTCTTCATGCTTCAGCCCTGGATGTTTCAATGTGAGGGACCCCAGTGGATAATAAATGCAGAGTCTCTTCTGCATTCAAACTGCTATTTCCAAGCTTGGGAAAGCTGATTAAATAGCGCCCAGGTTATCAGCTCAGGTTTTTTACTTTTGCCTTTTTCATTCTTCATTTGGTTTAAAGCTTGCTGGAGTTCTTTTCTGGAATAATTACCATGGAAAGGGAAAAGATATTACGTGGAAGCCTAGAACAGAGATTACGCCTGGGAAAGATCAGTAACAGGTGGGGCTTATGAATTGGGAGTGAAAAGAAATTGAAACCTTATGTAGTTGTGAAACCATAACTAAGTGGTTTTTAAAAACTTTCCAAAGAGAGGCAAAATATATGCCTTGGCTAACATGTCAGCAGAAGCTGGAGCCAGAAAAACCAAGAACTAGGTGTGAATTCCACAGAAAAATTACATCACTTCGAGCACACTGTAGCCTTGAATTTATATTTTGACTCCATTGGTCAAGACACTACTTTGCAGCTCATTCCTTTCCCTACTCAAAGAGTCAGGTTATAGCATTTGCACTATTTTAATTCATATTTTATTGACTGCCTTTACTACTTATTACAACAAATCCATCTATTTCATTAAAGAATTAAAGAAGGTTGTGTTTAGTAAACAGTCTTAAACTCTGCGTTAGTCTTTTTGCTATACCTCCCTTATTTTCTTTTAAGGGTTTGGTCCATGGCCCAGTACTGTTATATTAGGTAGTCTTTTCCAGTTTTTGTGCTACCCCAAATTACTCCATTTCTATCTTGCACCATCCAGTGCAGAATATACGTACCCACCACTGAAGGTGTTTTTGCATGTGTTAGGCTTTTATTGTAATTTTACTATTGATAAAGACCTGCAAGGTCATGACAAAGACCTTTGCACTGTCAATATATCCAAGGTTGCCTCTCTAGTGCTAAATAGGCATCTAAGAGAAGGGGACTTTTGGAGAAATAAAAGTAATAAATCTATGTCTTGGTTTGCACTTTGATATAAATTTCTTGGGTGTATAGAAATCCCGTGTTTGTAAAGTTCCTGTATATTTCAGATCACTTCTGGAATTAGCATAAAGCAGTAATTATGATTTGCCACTAAAAAGTAGGGTAAAAAGAAACCCTTACCTCCCAGGCCAGTAATCAATGGGCTAGCTCCTCTCTAGCAGGGCTTAGGCCAGGAGAGGCAAGTGAGTTATGTAGGGTGTGTCTCAGGGTCATGCCTCTAAATTTTGCACTCTAGGTGCCTCTTTCTCTTCCTCCTGATTGCTGGGTGAGGGCTGAGGTTGAGTTGCGATGGGATGTGATTGCAGGTCTTCTCCACGGGCAAGCAGGTGCTTCGTAGGACATCCTGCAGAGCATGAGGCTGGGTTCAGTCTATCTGGCTTCTGGTTCTGGCCTCTTGGGGAATTAAACCAGCTGTGTGTTGTTAGAGACATCCCTTGGACACTCTTTTTGTTCATTCTCTAAAATGTAACATTTATGTACCCCATTCTACCAGCTAACTTGAGAATCAAATTAGTCAGCACTGGAGTCCAGGGCACAGTGTACATTTATATACCCCGTTCTCTCTACCAGCTAACTTGAGAATCAAATTAGTCAGCACTGGAGTCCAGGTGTCCAGGGCACAGTGTACATTGAGGAGAAAGCAGCAGTTCATTGAGAAGCTCAAGGTCATAGAAAAAAATCCTTGTGGGAGCCAGAAAGTAAAACTCCAGCTCAATGCTCTCTTTCATGTAGGCACTTGCTATTTTATCTTTATAGAAATGAACACCCGCTGAGAGTTTTTTTCGTCTTCTGTAGATTTATGAAACCTGTGGGGAGGTTGAGTCTTAGAACAACTGACTTATCTTTTGCCAATGATAGAAACGCCACTGTTTGTTTCTAAATGCAGTTGTTACTTCTGAATTCCAGCCTTCTAGGTTTTTCCTTTCCTTGAAACTACTCAGCATGTCTGAAGCATCACCTTCTTTTGTTCTCCCTTCCAGGGCTCTTCCTTCTCTGAAGCTTTCAGATGTTTAAACTTCAGTTTTGCAGTTTTTTGTTTTTTTTTTTTTTGATCTATCTATCTCAGATTGACATTGGGTTGTATTTTGCCCTCAGGTACTTAAAGATAGCTCCACTTTTCTAATTCTGATTACAAGATTTTTATTCAGCAGATTCATTGGTTGGAGATATTTTGCTATTTCTCAGGGGGAGAGCATTGTGCTTTTCCTTATAGTTAGATGTCAGTGGGGTAGGCTAGCATTTATCATTATGAAATCAATAGCTGTTTGGTTGCCAGAGCTCAACTCTCTGGTGAGAAATAATTCACCCGAGCTATGTCACCTTAGCTATGGCAGGCAGGTTACCGCCAGCCAGCATAGGCTGGTGGAGCAAGTAGAGAATTAATTACACTTTCTTGTACATTATTACTCTTCAATATGCATATGGTCTTTTAACAACCTGAAATAAAAGCATCCTACAGGCATTTTGGACATGTCCTATTTGATATTTGGAAATTAATTATTTAGAACGGTTTCATTTTTCCTGATGTTACTTCTGCATTTATTTTTACAGAGTTAAAAAAAGAGCTCCCAATAAAACTCTCCTGACAAAAGGAAAAAAATTACCACATTTGAGGGAATATATCAAGTGAAGTGTGAAGGCATGACTACTCTTTTAATGTATTCATACCTACAAATTACTAAGATTTTTTTTTGGTACAATAATGTCCTTTAGCACCTTCATTTTTCTGGCAAGAAAAAGAATTAATTGACCACCTGTCCTCACTAATGTATGAAGAGCGACATATCCAATGTTTGCATGCTAATTATTTTATGGGCTTCATGTAGTATAGAGAAGGCCCAATAATGTAAAGCACACACTACTATTTATCAATAAGAAATAGACCAGACTTAATTCCATATTCATCTATTAGCCTCACTCATGCCATAGCTGAGTAAAGTAGTTTGTCTATTATTACTTTTGTTCTTAGGATTTTAGCCACATTCTTGGGTGTTTCAGTCTTGTGTTCAGTATTAAACAAGATTGGTCAAGTGTCTGATCAGCACTTATAACTCATTGTTTGCTCTAGGAAATAATTAGATTCCTCTCTAGCCTGTGATTGCAATCTTTGAGATAGAGTCTTGCCCTCTCCTTAGAGGGTTTCAAGTCAGCAGTGGACTAGATTCTAAGTTTCCATTAATACTAAGTCTTATGAGGAGCATCAGGAGAAACTTTACTTTTCTCAATGGGATGGAAAACAACAGCCTCCGGTGTCCTAGTTTGTTCCATGTGCCAGGCTCTGTGCTAAGCCCTCTACATATATTATTAACCCATTTTTGTCTAGCACGAGCAGATGGAGTAGGCATTATTGGCATGATCCCTTTAAAGAGTAGGAAATTGAGGCTTGGAGAGTGTATATTATTTGTTCAAGATTCCATAGCTGTAACTGGAATACTTGACGTTCAATCCTGGTTTCTCTGACCCCAAAGTGAATGTTCTCAACCACTATGCTAAGGAGCTCAATTAAATTACTTTTTTATGCAATAATGTCCCAAAGATTGTGCTCAGCCATACTTTCATCTACCTTTGATAATAAGCAATGCTTTTTTTGTGCTATGTTTTCATGTCTCCCCCTTCCCCACTGTCCCTTTGAATTCAGTGTCATTACTCTATGAAGAAGGCAGCCTCTTTTCTTGGGATTGGCACTGAGAATGTTTGCTTTGTGGAAACAGATGGAAGGTAATGGGAACAGGATCTGGAAGCCTGGTGGGTGGAGGGAAAAGTTTATATGGTTTATAAAGCAGTATCATTATCTGTTAATTACTAAACATAACTGAAAGTCTCAAATCTTTGTCCCTTAGAGGTAAAATGATACCTGAGGAACTGGAGAAGCAAGTCTGGCAAGCCAGAAAAGAGGTGAGAGGGGAGAAAGCGAGAGGGAGAGAGAACGTGTGTGTGTGCGCGCACGCCCGCGCGCTTATGAAAGAGAGGGAATAGCAAGGAGAGAATGCAAACAGCCAAAACCATTTCTATGTGTGGGAGAGAGGAGAGAGAATGTTGGAATTAAAATAGGAAAACTCATTTACAGATGTTCTATTTCCAAGTGCTTGGCTCTCCATGTTCTGTGGAGTTTCCCGGATATTCTTGTTCCCAGGTGGCTGGAGACTATTAAAACACTGAAATCACCCGTATTCAGGATTCTTGGCTAGAAGCAGCTCTAAGGATCAATCCAGCCTCTCCAGCAGGGCCCTAGCCTCTCCTCTCCTTATAATTCCTCCCTCTGAGAAATCTGCAGGACAAACCAATTTTCTCTGGGCTGTATTCAGGGTGATTTTTGATTTCTTGACCAACCTATTCTCCCAGGTTGCTTCCAATCCCAAACCCATCTATTACTATCAACCCCTGTTGGGTCTGTATCTAGTAGTTCAGTGACAGAACATCCTTTCTTCCTTAGCTGCTAGAATATATTAGAACTGAAATATTGGAGAAGGCAAGGCATGGCTCTGGGCACCTGCTGTGCTCCAGCCAAGGCTGGCCTTAACACCTGCATTTTAAAAAGGGGTGTCATTAGGCCGGGCGCGGTGGCTCACGCCTGTAATCCCAGCACTTTGGGAGGCTGAGGCGGGCAGATTATGAGGTCAGGAGATCTAGCCCATCCTGGCTAATACAGTGAAACCCCGTCACTACCAACAATATCAAAATATTCGCCGGGCGTGGTGGTGCATGCCTGTAATCCCAGCTAGTCGGGAGACTGAGGCAGGAGAATCGCTTGAATCCAGGAGGCAGAAGTTGCAGTGAGCTGAAATCGCACCACTGCACTCCAGCCTGAGAGACAGAGTAAGACTCCATCTCAAAAAAAAAAAAAAAGGTGTATCATTATTTTGGTCTCAGCCATTTTGCTTTTTGGACCAAAAGCCTGCTAGATTTGCTGCTTCTCTCCCATCCCACCGCTGCCTGCTGATGGAGCTTCAGACCGTTCTCCAATAACCTTCCAATAGGTAGCAACAAAGGCAGGCATGACTACTGAAAAATAAAAAGCCTGGCTCCTGAGCTGGGATACAAGTGTATCTATCCTCATAGGAGTTCATACTTTAACAAGGATGGGTTTTTTAATGTTTTTAAGTTTGAATATTATAGTTCTGTTGTTGTACTTTTTTTTTTCAAGTTTTCATAAAAACTACCTAGTCCTGGAGAATGCTAGATCACAATATTTGGCTTGAACTTCTGTATTTAAAATTTCTGCCATTATTGCAGATGTATTGACTTCAGGTGTGTGTCCTACTTTTTTTTTTTTTTTTTTTTTAAACATTCCAATGACAAGTGAACTTTATTGTTATCTGGTGGTTTGCATGATCAGATTTCTTTGACTCTGGTATAATTCTGAGTAACAACTTGTAAGTTCGTTCTGCTGAGAACCACAGATATTGTTTTCTAGTTTTAGTTTCATTTCTTTTTACATAAATTCCTATCAAAAATAATTTGCATTATGTTGTTAATGCTTGTTGGTGGGGAATATTAATTGTGTCATGATTGTCTTTCTTCCCTCCCTCATTTCTCCTTCCTTCCTCCCTTTCTCCATTCCCTATTCCCCACTTCTTAAATTTTAAACTTCTCATTACAAAAAATTGTAAATGTTTCCTAAAAAACCAAAACACACAAAAACCAAGAGACTAATATCATGAGGCTTCATATACCCATTCTGTAATCAGCAGTCATTAGGCTCATGCTCCTATTTCATCTGTACCACATACCCTCATACCACCACTAGATAGGTTTGAAGCAAACCCCAGACATAATACCATTTGATCTATAAATAGTTGAGTATATTTATGAAGGATACGTACTTGCTTAAACAACATACCATAGTTTTGTTTAAAATATAATTTTTAATATCAAATCTTCAGTGTATATTAAAATTTCCCCATTGCCCTTTTAAAAAAAATAGTTGACTTGTCTGAATCAAGGATTCAAATAAAGTTCACAAATTGCATTTGGTTGATACGTCAAATGTAAATGTTTTCTGATCTATAGCTTCCTCCTCCTCCTCTTTCCCCCCACTACCATTGATTTGTTGAAAAGATCAGGTCTTTTGTCCCATATAGCTTTCCACATTATAGATTTTTGTGGATTACATCAAGAATTTGAGACCCTAAGTGCTCACCTCCTCTGCACCATCCGGTTTGTTCTTTATATTTTCTGTAATTTGGCAGTTAGATCTTGAGACTCAATGAGATTTAAGTTGTATTTTTCTTTTTTTAAAACCAGGGAGGCTTCATTGGCTCCTGCCATCAGGAGACATCCTGTGTCTCTTTTGTAATAACATTGATTGGTGGGGTCTGGTATCGTCAGTCCATCCATCACAATACCCTCCACTCCATCAGCTTCTCACTTAGTGGTTTTTGCTGCCATTGATGATCATTGTCTAGACCCATTATTTCATTAAGTGATGTCCTAATTCCTTCTCTCCTTCCTTCTTTATTGTCAGGCATTCTACTATAAAGAAAAATATTCCTCCTCATTTTGTTTCCCTAAGGAAACACTGCACAGGCAAGACAGGATAAACGTCTTATTCTTTCCCCTTATTTATCAATTTTTAAAATAGTGAGTTTGTTGCCTAGCATCCCCTAAAGATAATCCCCATTTTTTTTTAGTGTCATTAGGAATTCATGTTTCTAGCATAGAGGGTTTTATTCCACCACAGTCATTATCATTTTTGTCGCTCAAATTTTTGTTTTGACAGTGAAAGTACATGAAACGGACATAATACTAAAGTTGAGAACTCAAAAAAGTAAGTTTTTGAAAAGTAAAAATTGCTTTAGGCACATTTAAAAGTAGGGCAATGGGGTTAGAGTTAGTACGTCTCCTCAGTTTTCTTTCAAGTCAGCTAATACTTGAGCCTGGATTCACCAAGGACAAACCTTGCATCCATTCTGAGATAATAATACATGATGACTGGTTCATTTTTTCTCAGTAGCTTCAGGCCTAGTTGTTTTGTTTCAAGCTTTTAACTTATGTTGTTTCAGATATGAGGAATAGTACCATCAACTATTTTTTCTGCTGGGATTCAACTCCCTGGCCTATGACAATCCATTGAAAAACTGTTGCAGTGACCTTGTCTTGATGTCATTACATAGATGGTGAAAAACACAAAGCATCAGAGGTCCTAAAGGGCTTACTGACAAGCTCAAACTAGGATGAACATTGAATATTTAGAGACATTTTGTTAGAGTTGTGTTAGAAATGACAAATTTTCTTAGACAATACAGCTCACTGGCAGCATGCCATCAATACTGTTTCTACTGAATTCTCATTAACAGCAGGAGATATGGGGAAGAAAGTCTAGGTTAAATCCAGATCGCAAAAGTTTAATTTCTGGTCCTGTATTTTTAATGAGATCTTTTTTTAAAGGTGAGGAAAACTCATTAATAGGCTATAATAGCTTGCAAATGTATTTTCTCATGACTGTCAGGATGTCATATAGTTTATGAGGAAAAGCGCAACCATTAAAGACAACTTAAATGGTTTTAGTAAATTATTTTTCTATTGCTTTTAATGATTTTAATGATTGGTGTAAAGCTGGTCTTATGTCCTTTAGGTCACTGGTATGATAAAGCCATAGTTGTCAGTAGTTTGAATACAGGGAAGAAGTTTCAAAGCCTCTGGTTTCTCCAGGGCTCTGTCACCTACTGACTTGGCTCTAAAAGTTTTGGGTAGATGGGATTGATTCTATTTGCCACAGCTGTCTCCCAAGATGGCAAATGGATTTGTTATATACCACCACTTTGATCCGTATGCATCTCAGTTTAGAGAGGCGAACCACATATTCTTGCTCTGCCCCACTTTCCATTGAGAAATAACATCTTTCTGTCAAAAGTCGGTTAAATTGGAAAGAGTTGGTTCAAACACAATAATCCCTGGCATTAAAGGACATAAAAATGTATTGCAATGAGCATGCACTTTATAAAACTGAGGGGAAAAAATGGCTCCATGCTAAATGGAGAAAAAAATAACTTTTAGAGGCACTAAACTTTCAGAGGCAGTAAATATTCTTGTCTATTTCTCAGGTGCTCTAGAATCTTAATATTCTACTTGCTCCCCTCACCCCCACATTTGTCTGCAAACTTCACCTACACAGCGAGCAACACATCTCTACCACCATCCTGGAGCAATCCATTTGGAAACAATCTCATGTACTCTTCATCTATCTGATTGGCATAGAGTCCTTTAATGGGGACAAAGCATGTGACTAGCTTGACCGAGATAACCATTCATCTGTTTGTGTGCACCCACATTCTCCCTTTTCTTCTCTATTTCCCACCAGTACCCGTTCATGCCACAAGATGCAGTCATCAGCTATATGAGGAGGAATAACCATGATAGAAGTGACACAGATTTTCTTTTCCAGCACATGCCAATGGATTTCTCTGTTGCAGCACCTATTTTGGAGAATGTATCCCAGTGAGGTTGCCTTATCTCCTCTGATGCTGAATTTGTACCTGAGAATATTCTACATTCTTTGTTTTATAACTGCACTTACTTTACAAGGAGATGAGCAAACAGGCCTGCATGGTTTACTCCGGGAGCTCTGTCTTCCAACCTTTTTTTTTTTTTGAGAAGATGACAATGATGGCACAATGGAGGCTAAATGTATTTTTTCAGGAAGAAATTAGGAGTCATACAAAATGTCAGTTTGCTGTTGCAGCTGAAGTTATTAAATTTCTATCTGGACAATTGATAGAACAAAACATTACAAAAAACATGAGAATAATACTGAAGATGTACTGAGTTGGGACAGAAAATGCTATTGCCATAGCATTTTCTGTTTCCTTAATCTGTTTATAATGCCAAGAGGCCACATATTCACAAAATTTAAAAACACCCATTGAATTAATGACTACCTCCAAAAAACCCAAATAACTCTCTGGATGCATAACCCTTTATATTTTCCAGCTATTACAGGACAAATTTAGTGATGACAGTGATAATTTTGTGTGTGTGGATCCTTCTTACAGGGGGCAGCACCGTTTCTTGTCTGTGCCACTTCTGGTACAACTGTGTTGGGAGCTTTTGACCCTCTGGATGAAATAGCAGACATCTGCGAGAGGCACAGCCTCTGGCTTCATGTAGATGTAAGTTCATTTATGTGTACATACCTGTTTAACCTTTGGTCTTTTTGTAGCCTTGGTAGAAATTTTTCTTATTCTCAGAAACTAGATGTGGAGTCCCCAACGCTTTTGTTTGTGTCTCAAATTGGGGGAAATAAGTATGCCACTTTCTTGTAAAGTATAAATGAGAAGATTCCACGACTTTGTGTATATTTTGTTTTAGCTTTCTGGATTCCATTTTGCTTCTTTTACTCCCATGAGCCATCTTTGGTCCTCAAATCTACTGTCATTGAAGCAGCCTGGTGTAAGGCACCCATTTTAGGTTAGGGAGCCGAGAGACTTTGGTTTGAAATTCTGATCTGCCTCTTCTTCATTGCGATCTTAGCCTTTTGGATTTCAATTTCTTCATTTGTAAAGAGGGGGGATGGTAGATGTGGGCTGTAAGGTATCTTTCTAGCTCTAAAATTATGATTCCAAACAGCTGGAAAATGCAAAAAAGCTACAATGCATAATTGCATGCTATAACTAAAGCAAATTTTCTCTGGATCTATCAGATAGTTATTTGAGGGGGGTTGGGATAATATACTCCATTATTTTCTAGCAAAGGATTGGCTTTTTAAAAGAATTTTTGTAAGTCCTGCGGTTATTCAAAATACATATTTCCTTAAATCGAAGGTAACTTTAAAAATTCTACTTATCCCGGGTTAGAATGCTGAATTCAGCCAACTATGAACACTTGTGGAGCTTTTTAATTTTCTTTTTTAAAATTAATTTTTTTTGTGTGAAACCAGCAGTTAATTAGTTTGATTCTAACCAAAGAGACAATTGCACATGGTGTTTTGGGAGCTTTCCTCTGGTAAGTGATAGTTTCAGATCCTCCTTGGCAGAAGAAATATTTTTTGACTTGCTGAACAAAAGGAAACAGCATTTGGGGGGATATACCCACATAATTTTGTAGTTTAGATGATTTTATGCTTTCAAAGTGTTTATTTCAATCAAATCATATCACCTAGTAGAGTGTCTGTGATATGATTCAAAGTTTACATTAACTGAATACTAACATTTGTAAAAGCAACAGTAGTATAAAGTTTACTAGAGTTATTGCTTCTATTAGTATGCCAATGGCAATACTTGAGGTAGATTATCCGTGACTCGTTAACGGGATTTTAGCATTTGTATCTGTTCATATTTCAACTTATATCTTATTGATTTTTATAGACTTAGAAGCATAACAATACATTATATCCTAAAAGATAATATGAAGTGAGCATTTTTGTAACTGTGGAAATAAGGGGGAAAATCAAATACATCAGCAGTTCTACCTAAATATTGTACTCTCATAAAAGAAACATCACATATGGATTATATAGTTTATGTAGTTTGTATAAAATGGAGAAAAGTAAATAGTTTATGTAAAACAGTCACCACAGCAGCTTTTAAATTGGGAATGACATTAAGAGATTTATGGGGCTTAGAGAAAATTGTGATTTATGAATGAAAAGCTCTTCAGGTTTTCTAAAAATTAAAGGTTGAGTCTTTGAAGAAAACATCTTTATAAGGGAATGTAAACCACACCAAATTATCCTATTTGTGCATAGTATACATCTGGCAAATGCCTATAGTATTAGATTAAATTTGACACAAGCCTATCTGGCTTATTAAAGACATGTTTACCCATCCTTTAGTATTGTGGGTGTCAAATCAATAAAATATTACTACAGGAACATGTAGCTTATCTTGAAGAAACTTCATATGCCATAGGTACTTTATTAAAGAAAATATTAACAAATTGCAATAATTGCTTTGACCTGTTTGAAATCTTCTAGAGTATTTTAAAGCTTCTTTCAAATATTAAACTGATGTTTATCTCTTTTTAAAAATAAAAAGACATTTACTTGTTCTTCTGGGTTTTCAGTAAAACCATGCTGCTCTGCATACATACCATGTTTTATTAATTCTAAGATGCACTTACTTAAAAAAATTTTAACTCTGAAATTGATATTTTGATGTCAATTTTTATTAGTAGTACACAAAAAATGGGGGTGCTTACATTTGATACTGTCTTCAATTTGGTAATATAATGCGTTTTTTAAACAACCGAATAAGAAAAACTAGTTTTATTAGACTCTTTCACTCCAGTACTGTTCTCTTCCTTCATGAGGGCAATTGTTATGCTAGTTTCTGTCTGAGAACAAAACGTCGGGCTGGTCTAGCTCTTCTTCAAAATCAGAGGTTGTAGCTGCTGGAAAGCCTCTCATTCCCAACAAAGCTTCCTATTCTCTCACCCATTCCTCATTCCAAGTGCCATAGAAGGCACAAACGTATTTAAAATCATGGCCTTTAGAGGCTGCCAAATCTCAATTCCATTCTTACCTTCACTTCCCTTTCAAGATTGGTTCTACTATTAATTTATTAACTAATTAAAGACAAATATATATAAAATGATATACTGTGGTGCCTCACATATAGTAATAGCTTAATAAATGACAGTCTTTATTGAGATGGAAAGCCAAACTCCATCATTTAGGTGATAGGTTTGATAATTTCACAGTTTCTGGAGTTAGGAATTAGAGTGCAGCAAATTAAAGTAGGGCATTTACATCAGGGGTGTTTTTTTTTTTTTAAGGAATAAATTTATGGATGAGCTGTTCCTAACCCTGCCAAAGTACTTTGTGAAGTGGTGAACTAATGCCTTGGAAGGGTTCCTGTGATTTCAAAACTTAAATCCAGTTCACTAGAATTGGGAGATTATTTACCTTTTTGGAGAAGCAGTGGAGGCAGAGGCTAGCTCAGGGAGCATGAAGGAGTAGAAGTGTAGGGTATGAGGCAGGTGGAAAGTGTGAGCGAGCAAACAGGTGTGGCTGACTGGACTAATTAATCCTTCCTGTAGTTGTCACTGATAGGTTCTCAGAGAGGTTGGGGGATAAGAGAAGTGAGAAAAGTAGGTAATTTAGGATTTAGAATATGTAATGAAAGTCAAGAAAAATGTGATATGTAACACATCTTAATATTTGCAAGGACCAAGTTCTCAAAATCCAGATCTGGAGATCCTCAGTTGTAGGCTGGGGATAAAATTTTCCTAGATGCTGAGGGCATTTGCCTTTGTGGCTCAGCCTGAGTCACACGTGGTCCATTGTGAATCCAAGTAAGGGAGGAAATGCAGCAGGAAGGGAATTTGACTGATAATGCCAAGTTACTAACTCTTTACCTGGGAATCCTTGGGATTTGAACACCCAACACCCTTGAAACACATCAGAGCTCGCAGGCCTCTGGGGACCCCATGGAGTTGATGGAGCCTTTAGTCCATGGGACAAGGCTGGTGCTAATATGAGGCCAGTGGGGTTGGCAGGGCTCAAATTTTAAGAAGCATTCACTCTTAGGGCCTTGCAAGAGTCCAGCTCTGAGATGAGTTCTTCCTTGAATTATGCACCCTGACTCATTCACTTCACCCTAGTCTCAGCTGTCAATGAAAGTTGTTTTTAAGTGGGATTTAAGGCCACAAAGTTGCTTGTGCTGTACTTTCTTGTTATTGGCTACCAATGGGCCCAAATTTTGTAATACTCTGAGGATCGTGGAGATACTTCATTTTCTTTATCTTCCATATCTGTGGTGCAGCCAACCATGCCACTTCTTTTTACATGATATTAAGGTCTACCTATGCCTTTAAATTCCATAGCCAAAAATAGAAGTTGCTACATCCTAAGCAACCCCTGAACTTACCTATTGCCTAAAGCATCTCTGTCACCCTCATTCTACATGCTATACTCCCCAGTTTGGCCAAATTGTCACCTTCCTTAAGTAATGATGTTAACATGACAGGAGAATGGGCTTTGAATCTCAGATCTGATTTTTGTCATTGGCGAGACCTTGGACAATTTACCTGAACACCTCTGAACTTTATAAAAAGTGGAAGTGATCATAACTCCATTCCTAATGGAATGCTGTAAGGTTTAAATCAACTTGGAAAGCATTCAATACAGCCCAAGCTAGTCCCTTCAAATTCTCTCAATACAGTTATCCTTTAATGTCCTACAAATTAAAATTTATGTCTGCACCATTTTCAAGAAGCATACTGACTTTTGTATTTCTTACATCAATTTTTCTCCCTTTGCTCCAGACCTGTTGACTATGGGATTTTATCTGAGCTCCCCTCTCCTTTGCTCACAAAATTTACTTCTCCAGTGGATAACTTCCTTTTGTCCCAAGCTTGCCCTCTCTCTCATTTGTAGATATTTCTGAAAGCCATTTAGCTAAAATGATCTAATTTTTCATTAACAGATATTTCCGCCTAGCTCATCCTAGTTGGCCTTCTATCTACCTTGTCAATAATATGCCTCATTCATTATATAAAATACTAGTCCTTAGCCCATGTCTCATCATACACTGAATAGCAAAATGTTAGCATTGTGAAGATGTTGTCTATGTTAGAGTCTAAGCTTCAAGAGGGCATGGACTTTGAACCTCTTCCATCCACACATAGCTCAGTTGGTTAATATACCAATTTATGATGCATGAATTTATAATTCTAAGGGTCAGTGAGGGCCCATCTATTGTGATGAGGTTCTGGTTGCCTGAGTAGAGCCAGTGATCAGAATTTCCTGGGGTACAAATTAGTTAACATGACATAAAATATCAAATAATGCAGATTGAGGTCCTCACTGAGGGTTTTCTATGACAACCCACTGGTAAACAAATAACATTGAAATAACATTGTTCTGGTACTGTAAATATCTCAACAGGCTTCTTGGGGTGGCTCAGCTTTGATGTCGAGGAAGCACCGCAAGCTTCTGCATGGCATCCACAGGTAAATGTAGTTTCCTGGTGTACAGCCAACTTTTGTCAGGCAAAGGGATCTCTTTGGACTAAGTGATATTTTGAAAATAGGAAAAAACAAAGTAATTGTTTTCCTTAAATAAACAACAACAAAAAATCCCTCCAAATTCCTTAAACCACTCAGATAAGGAGTTCTATAGAACAGTAAACTATGTATGAGTACTGAATGCAGATATTGATAATGATAGTATTCCATTGCCTGTAGAAACTAATTGAGTCCTCTCCCTACTCTGTCCCTTTGTTTAAACAATAGGGCTGACTCTGTGGCCTGGAACCCACACAAGATGCTGATGGCTGGGATCCAGTGCTGTGCTCTCCTTGTGAAAGACAAATCTGTAAGTTTTCCTCTTGTGGTCCTTTGGGCTTCAAGGGGGTTAAGCCACTGTGCTTGCCAAGGGCTTCATTTTTGCTCATCTCTTGGTGACTTGGGCGAGGCGTAAATTGAAGGTGTTTGGGAAATGTGTTGATGGTCTCTACATGAAAGACAAATAAGCCTAGATAAAATATTTAGTGATTCTGCTCAGGTAATTTTGTGGATTTGATTTAGGTATTATATAATCTCATTAGTTACAGCAAAATGGTCTCTCTCTCACCATCATTTGGATTATATTTTAAAACTCAGTTTTAAACATTGCCAAGATTTTTTTCTCCTTGATTAAGTCTGGGATTTAAGTTATCTTGAAACTTCTGCTCACTGAGAAAGTGGAACAGATGTGTGTCATACATTAAATTGAATACTTAATACGCTTAGCTAGGGCTTAACAGCCCGTTTATATGGGAAGACATTTGTTCAGGGCTGATCTTCGAACACTAATTTATTAGGGGATTGCTCATCCCAAGTGGTTGGTACTTAGCTTCTTTTGGAATGCTAGGGAGAGTTGGAAACTGTCTGGATCACTGTGAGGCAAGTGGAAAAAAAGTTGAGGCTCCTCTTGGCCGGAGGTATAAACTCTGTGTTTTCCATGGGTTAAATAAGGATCCTTGTGGGAAGTGGCCCAGGCTGGGAAGTGCTACTTCATTCTTAGAAATGCCTCCTCAAGATCTGTGTTCAGCATGTGGGTGATCTTTCTCAGCCATCTGTTTACATTTTTTTCTTAGGGGACTCCCTTTGCCAATGTTAAAGTCATTTTCTGTTTTTAAGGAATTTTATTTGAAATGAAAACTATTTTTAAAACTTGAAACCTAGTCTTGCATGTGTAGCTATTTACAACTTTTTAAAGAAATTGTGATATTTATGTTAGTGCCCTGTGCGTTTTGACATGATCAGACTGTCCATCAGAAACTAGGAACAGGTTTTGCTTCTATAGAAATAGACACTACCAGAAATATGAATCAGTTCCTTAATGTTTTATTAGGTTGGATAGAGTTGAATGTATTCAATACCATTTAATTTTTAAATTTAAGTTTCAAAATTGTGGTATGACTATTTGTAACTAAAAGGTAGTTTAAGATTACCATATTGATTGTGAACCAAAGAACGTAATCAACTTGCCCATAGGTACACATTTAGGATGGGACAGAGATAGGAATAAACCCAAGTTTTCTTTTGGTCTAGGTATAAGAACAAAAATGTATCAAGCATCCTTTATGAGTGAGGTATTTTACATTTGCTTTCTACCTAAATCGGCCAATCTGACAAACTTATCTGTTGGTGTGATATGCTAAGGAGTGGAGAACTTAGACTAAAAATTTTATGACTACTCTTAAGTAACTTTCTAGCTTTCATATACTTTTCTTATTAACTGATATTTGAGTAATTTAGACAACAACTGAATTACATTTCTGTACTTGAGGCAATTTAAATTTTTCTGGATCATATAACTCCTTAACAGGGTTTTTTTTTTTTTTAAAGAATTCATTCCTGAATCTTAGTGACAATAAAACCCATGTCTATTTTCATGGCATGAATTAAGAGGTTAGGGGAATTCTATTCACTGTGCAAAGAACTGAGCACTTTCAAAAAGTTGCCAATTTTTTTTTTAATGAAAAGACCGTTTTCAATTTAAATGGAATAGGAAAGCTAAACCATGAGATATGAGATGTGGCAATCAGTTTAAGTTTTGTGTTGGCAGTTTTCTATCTCTTTTGTACCTGGTTTCTGCCTCTGTTACTCTCTTCCATATCATTAATTCATTCCATCAATCAGCATAAATGATCTGTGTAGGCTTGACACTGTGCGAGTCTAGGCTCTTATAGCATTGAATCAGACAGACATATTCCCCAGAGTCAAAGAGTTTATAATCTCACAGGGAAGACAATGAACAAAATGCAGATATTTAATTTTTTAACTGCTGTTTTGATAAGTGCACTAACAAATGTCAGACTCTGTTGATTGTAAAAATCAACAGGCATTCCAGCCTCCTTCTCTTCTTGCCTATCTCCCAATATTCACCTAACTAGCCTCCCCTGCAGTTTCTATGACATAGTTATGTCTAATGTGATGTAGGGAAATGTGGTGAGGACCTTGAGAATAATTTTATACGAGAGCATTCTTCTCGCATTTTTCTACCTTGAATGCAGTTGCATCAGACATGATATACGGGTTGTTACCATAAGGCAATTACCCTAAATTTAAAAAATTAATATGCACAGAATGACAGAAACAAAGGGAAAGTCTTGGTTTGGGGTAATTTTGAAATGTTGCACCCCCAAAACGTGACTCCTTTCAGACTTTGCGATATCAAGTGGTTAAAATTAAATGTTCTTACTACTGAAACCATCTCCATTGGGTAATCTGTTAGTTGCAGCCAAATGCACCCTTGTCTAATACAGAGAAGAGTATAGTACTTCAGTAATACACAGCAGGTGATGTCTCAGGTGGAAGGAACATCATGTGAAAATTCTTTAAGAAAGGAACGCCCTTTTTAAAAAAAATTATTTTAGAAACTGAAAAAAGCGTATTTTGGCTGAGGCATAGAGAATAATGTGAAGATTGACATAATATGAGACTAAAGGATTAAGCAGTGGGTAGATCATGAAGGGTCTTAGAGACCATTGTGATGATTTTAGACTTGATCTTTAGAACAACAGAAGAACTAAAAGAGTTATTGGAAAAAATTTTCATTTAGGACAATGAATTGGAGGGGAACAAGAATAGATGGAAGACTAAGAAAAAGGCTTGCAGTATCTATGCCAGAGTTGATGGCAAGAGAGATGGGAAAATGTGAAATTCACTATACATTTTAGCTATCAATTAGACAGGGCTCAATTATCAATTATTATCAATTATCAATTATGGGAGATGAGAGAGAAGCAGGTGTCATGTAATCATCCTGATTACTGATACAGCAACTGAACGAATGATTCCATTTAGGAAGATGAAGATCACTGGAGGAAAGAGTTGAGAGTGAAACACCTTTTAGTGCTGCTCATAGTAAATTTGAGGTTCTTAAGAGGTATATTCAAGTGAGGAAGTCACATAGGAAGTTGGCATATGGACCCAAATCTAAGAAAAGAAGTCTGGACTGGTAAAGTCTATTACAGAATTGTTAACACATAGATGATATCTGAGGTCATAGGAATGGGTTATAGATGCCTTGGGAGGATCTTTGGAATTAGAAGAAAATAAGGCCTAGAACTTAGCCCTGAAAAACTTTAGCATTGAGAGATTAGATAGAGGAGGAAGGATTCCCCATGAAGGCTGAGTCAGAATGGCCAGGGAGATGGTGGGAAGACCAGAAAGAGTGATGCTAACCAGACAGGGAAGAACATGTAAGAAAGAAAAAGTCATCTCTTTTCCTTACCCCAATTTGCAAGGTTCATGGCTGACTTCCCCATAACGAAAGACATTGACAAAAGAAAAGCATAACAAACTTATTTAACCAAAATTTTTTGTGAAACAAGAACCTTCAGAGATGAAGATCCAAAGGCCCAGGGAAAACTATATTTTTCTGGACAATCATGCAGAAGTATGGTCATAAGCTGGCAGGGGGGGACTTTGCAGGGCCTGTTTGTCCAGTCTTCTCGACTTCCAGGCATAGGGTAGGACCCCTCCAGAATGAGGTTCTTAACAGCCTCCTTTTAGGGGAGGTAGGTCAAATAATTATTTATGACCATGTTTCAGGGAAGAAAGGTGAGAGGAGATCAGAGAGTGACCTCCAAGGTGCCATATTTTGGATAACTGTGTTCTGAGCCATACAAAATGTGAGGCATGTGAATGATTTTCATCCTTCATGCCACAGCTTATTGTCACCCTCTTCTTTGAAGAGTCCCCAGACTTACCAAGATAAACTGGCACCTCCCCAGTGTTGTTTCTCAGACTCTGTTCCTCTCCTTTAAAGTGCTTATATAGTTACTATTTGCATAATAGTGTGTATAATTACTATTTGTAATTATGATTTTTCATGTAATATTCTCTCCCACTAGAATGGAAGCTACATGAGGAGAAAGAATGTCATTATATTCACCACTGTGTTGTCAGTGCCTAGCAAGTATTCACTAAAAAGGGGAAAAAAAACCCACTAATATCTATTTAAAAACTGAATGGTTGATTAAATACATTAATCATCCTCAGAAGTATCTGCCTTCATGTCAGCAGTAACTAAGAATTTGAATTTTTCCCTTACCCCAAATTATTCCTTTTGAAAACTCCAAGATACAATGATTAAAATTATAGTTGATTAGTTGATAAGCTCTATTGCCTAGGTCCTAACACAAGGCTTGTGTTAGGACAATAATTGATGAATAGTGATTCTAATTGGTTCTTCTGTTGATGTAAAAGGATAACTCTAGTTTAAAAGAAATTACTTAGTAAATATACTGCTGTTCATGGAAAAAACTAATTCCCCAATTTGTACCTACAAAGCCCTGACATCCACAATGCTGATTTCCTGATTGACTGGTAGTTTTTGCATTTTTAATTTCCTGTGTTAGTAAATAGGACTGCTTCAGGAACAAAGCACAGCTGATGCTCTCAAAGTTGTACTATCACTAATCCTCTTTGAATCACAGGAATAAAAAGAATCACAGGAATAAAAAGAAAATCAGGGATTTTAAAAAAAACCTGTGATTATAAATAGGTTGACTTCAGAGGTAAATGCGGGATTTGCGTGGCTGTTTTGGATCAAAGACAGTTTTGATGCTTTGATCTAAAATAAAAGGCAATATATTCTAAGAATCAGTTGCATAGATGGAGAAAAATGTCAGTATCAGATTTTTGATTTTTAGTGTTTATGAGACAGATTTTTTAGTTTAAAAAAAACTCAACAGGTATGAGAACATGAAACATGCTAATCAGATGGCCTTTTAAGTATAAATGATTCCTCTTTAGTATTCCTTTAGCATAAATCCCTATAGAAGTGGAAGAGCAATAGTTAGCTTTCATAATGCTTTTTAAATTCAGGTTTCCTAATCTTTCTTCAAAAGCATTTACATTCTCATGAGCAGAGTAGAGTATATATGTGCATATGTGTGTACATGCATACGTCTGTGTTCTAACCTTTGACATCACAGGCATAGTTTTGTCAATTTGATAGGCAAGACATTTGTACACTTAATGACATAGATGCAAACATTTTCCTTCTAATTTTATCTATTGACATTTTATACCTCCTTCTCAGGGATCTTTGGCTCAGTGTATTGACACACAATTGTAAATTGCCTAGGTTTTAAATGTGAGGGCTTGGAGATAAGCTTGCAATGCTTTTCCTTTCCTTTCATCTTCATTCTAGAGGAGGCTTGGAATATAGACCCTCCCCCGCACCCCCCCCACTTTTATTTTTGGAGAAGGAGTAGCAGAAAAAAGAGTGGGATAGTCATTCAACACATAGTTATTGAGGATGTGCTGAGCCACATAGTACAACGTAAAGGAAAAAAAAAGGAGACTAATGTCATTTCCCAGTGTGGTCACCAGGAAAAGACAGAATTTTTGCTGGAAAATATACCTGAGAAGCAGGTTACTTAGCCCCATTTTCGTTTCTGTTCTGAATGATTGATATTACAAATGACAATTATTACATGCCAGTTAAAAAGTGTGCAAGTAAAGAGAAAAAGGAAAGAAAGTACATTTTTCTTTTAAATCAGAGAAACTAGAACAAACTGAATCTGCTTTTGTGGGGATTTCTTTTCTAGCTCTTGCTTTTCTTCATAGAGCTCCTATGGAAATGCCATTAGATGGTTTGAAAATACTGAACAATCTGATCAAAGAAATTTTCTCTCCTGCCAGGGAACACTCACACTTTTTCTGTACAGGTACATTATAAATTTCTTTAGAATGACAGCCTACCAGCTAATGTAGCAGAAAAAGGGGAAGGTAGGTGTTTAAAACTGATTAGAAAAGAGAAGCATTTGACTTGTAGGAGAGAGATCAATCTCTTGTGCTTCGTGCTGCCAAAATCATTCTCTGTGTCTGGGCTGTTCTTGCTTGAGCTCAGAAAATTCTTCCCAGACCTTTTGGCAAAGTTGAGAAATCAAACAGAGAGAATTCATTCAATTCCTGATTGATAAATACTCTTAATTCTTGTATTTTTAAAATTATAATAAGCAACGGGTAATTTTCTTTCCACAAAGCTTTGTAGGTGCATCACGTTAAAAAACGATTTCATCAGTAATCACAAACACCTCTGTCATTTCTGCTTTCTTTCTCTATAAGGTAAAGGGATAATAATGTTAGAGCCTCATGTGTTCAGAATCCATTATCTATTTCTCCACCAAACAAACCAATAACATTTTTAGGATTTGTTGGTATTACCATTGCCATTCATTTTAACAAGGGAATTTGCATTTTGCTTTAGATCCATGCCCCATACAGCTCAGTATATTGCTTCTATTGCTGACTGTGGCCCCAAGAGATTTGTTATGTAATTGTGATTGTACTATCTGATCTCAATCATCAGTTACCACCTAGTCATAAATGTGTACTGGTCCTAATGCAGGGCTTGAACTGGGCACAGGTCTTAGAATCATCTGTGTAGTACACTGGGAGCTACTTGAGGACAGAATGGGTCTCACTCACCACTATCGCTCTACTACTGAGTATAAAACCCAAGCCTCAGTTAATTCTCAATTAAAAAATGTTTCCTGAAGTGACTAAATCTGTATCTATTTCCAATACCACCAAATGGCAATGTGTTTTAAATTTTTTACCCACAATGTGAAGTAGTATGTCCTTTATCATGCATCCTGATCTTTCAAGTCTCAAAGCATGACCCTTCTTGCTTTGGAAAATACATAGGAAATTTTTTGAAGGGGTATGGAAATTGTTTGTCTTATCCATATGGCTTGATGTAGCCATTACCTTCTCTCATCCCATCCCACGTTGGCACTTTAAAAATCTTGACTCTGGGTTGTGCCAGCATTTGGCCTTTTATCTACATGCCTCAGAGACCAATAATAAATCAGTGACTCATGGTTTCCTTTTTCAGAAAACCATATTGTCTTTCCCCTAGGAAGTTATTTTTGTTTTAGTATCTAATGATGCTGTCTTTTATTGGAGACTGGACAAGTAGAAGAGATACTTGCTTTTCTAAGGCTCCCTGGGTCCTCTCTTGACCCCTTCTAATGAACAGAATGACATTCACAATCTGCCAGTTTGCTGGAAATGGCTGTTTATAATGTTGGATCCAGCATCTTGGCCAACGGTCTCCCAATTTCATCCTTGAGTTCCTTCAAAACTCTTGGGTGGCTGCCACCTGGTCTTACTGATTAAACTACATTTATTTTGTCAGTTTGGCTTAGATGAGTTGGGGTTTTGCCTATTATTGGATTTTATATTTTCTGCCTATTTGTGCAGAACCCTGAGGGTGTAGATATCTCTCTAATGCCCTTCCCAGGTAAAGAATTCACTCATCTTGGCAGCCAGCCTGTTTCAGTATGGAACGCCAACCTTTGCTTCTCTGCCAGTCATCACAGAGGACTTCAGATTTGCTAAAAAATAACCAGAAAGAAAAATATGAAATTCTGCCTTTGTGTCCTTTTGTCATCTTTAATTTGATAAAGACCAGCAGTTGAAAAATATCCCAGAGAGAGGATTCTATTTACACACTAAATGTTTTCCATCTCAGCTTGAAACAAAACTGATTAGGGTCCCACAACACAAAGATTACATAAATTAAAATCTAAGAAAGGAAGAGACATAAGATTAAAGGAATAAAACAAGCCTGGAATGAACGTAAAAGAAAAATTTATGCCATAATAAGCATGCTGTGCCTGCTTCAGGTAGGCTAGAATTTGGTTTTACTATTTTTTAATGGATTCCAAGTATCTGCCTTTTTTGCCTTTTATTTTATTATTAACTCACGGCAACAAGGCCTTCTATTTTTAAGTTCTGGGATACATGTGCTAAGCATGCAGATTTGTTATATAGGTATACATGTGCTGTGGTGCTTTGCTGCACCTATCAACCCATCATCTAGGTTTTAAACCTTGCATGTGTTAGGTATTTGTTGTAATGCTCTCCCTCCCCTTGTTCCCCACCTGAGGACAGGCCCTGGTGTGTGATATTCCCCGCTCCCTGTGTCCATGGGTTCTCATTGTTTATCTCCCACTTATTAGTGAGAACCTGCAGCGTTGGTTTTCTGTTCCTGTGCAAGTTAAGGCCTTCTCTTTTATCGCTACTCTGATATGATAGTTGAGGCCCTTTTGAGTTCTTGGAATAAATCATTCTATTTGTTTTTCTTTGCAGAATTTTAGTTGTCATATTGGTTTCCAAGGAAGATATCTTAAAACATACCTGATAATTCTAATTAGGCTTTCTAGCTTTGTTGCTTCATGGGCAAAAGATTACAGGGAGTCAATTTTTTGCTGAATGTGTTGTTCCATAGTGATTCAAAGTGTTAATCCAAGTCCATGTGAATAAGTGTTCTAATTTTGTAAGTAGCTCAGAAGTTGAAAATAGATTTTATATAAACTTTTAGTAATTGTATTTAAACCCTAATTTGTTCAGAAATTGTTGGTGGCATATAATAAATAATGATTTGGGCAGAAAAATAAAAACTCTAAAATAGCAAGCTTATTTTTTAAGTAGGGATCCCAATGCCCACAGAAAAAATATCAGAAAATAAAAGTGGTACCCTGGTCTTGAATCTCCTGCTTCCAAGATGTGAAACTGCATATAATTCACAAGTACACACTCATGTGCATGTACCCTTGCACAGCAAACATACCTTTAGGTCATTATGATGCTGATTGAAAATCATAATTTAGAGGGTTTTGTTAATTGCAAAAGGAACTCAATGTCCTCCCTGGTAGTTCATTCTCTGGTAGGCTAGTTGGGAATTTGAAAGTTGTTTGCTTTACTTTAAAATTAAAATTATGAAGTATAAGATAGATAGATATAAAAACATGCATAAAATAAATGAACAGCTTGATTTATTATAATGTGAACAGGTCATTCTCACACAGATTAAAATAAAGAACATAACCAGAAACCCAGAGATCTTCACGTGTTTCTTTCTGATACTTTCTTGCTTGCTTTTATTAGTTTTGCTCTGTAGTTATACCAAATAATATAATTTACTTTAGTTTTTGAATTTTATACAAATAGAATCATATAGTATGTATTTTCTTGTGCTTGGATTTTTGTTGTTGCTCAAGCTTATGTCTTTAAGATTTATCCATTTTGTGGCACAATCTGATGATTATTTTCATTCTTTTATACTATTCTATGTGAATATATCACAATTTCCTTATTCATTCTATTGTTGACGGGCATTTATTTCAAGGCTTTTATAAAAATTTGCTATGAGTATTTTTGTGCACATATCTTTACTTCTTATCTCTAAGGTTCCATCCGGAATAATTTTCCTTCCTCTTGAAGACCACATTTAGGAATTTTCTTGTGGGTCAAATGGTAGCATATTGTTATATTTTGCTTCTTTAAAAATGTTTTTCATTTTTGCTGGTGTTAAGATTGTCAGTAATTTTCTTTCAATACTTTGGTGATATTTTTCTTTTTCTAATTAATTTTTTTTCTCTTTTTGCCTTTTGTTGTTGTGTTAAAATATCTGCTATTTAACTGTCATTCCTTTAATGATAAAATGACTTTTTTTCCTCTGGCTTCTTTTAAAATTTTCAAGCTTTAAAAATATTTCTACTATTTAACAAGGATGTTCCAAATATGAATTTTATTTAGTTTTTCTTGCATGAGCTTTACTGGGTTTCTTGAATCTGTAGATTGATACGTTTTGTAATTATTATCCCTGCTTTCATTTCTCTCTCCTTTTCTGGCATGTCAATTAAATACATATTAAGACTTCTTCCTTTCTTTTCTTCTTACTCTCTATTTTGTATGTTCCTTAATTTTGTTTTTCCATGTTTCATTGTGTACAGTTTCTTCTGACCTATCTTGAAATTCTTTCTCTTCAGCTGTATCTAATCTGCTGCGAAAGCCATCTCAAGTTATTTTGTCTTTCTAGCTTTATAATTTCTAATGGATTCTTTTTACCTACATACTGTCATCTCTAGGTTATTGGCGTTTTTAAGATTAGCTTTTATATACTTGAACACTGTAAGCATAGATTTACCATCTCTTCTGTTAACTTCAATATCTAGTTTCCCTTTGGTGTTATTACTATTTCTTGTGTCCATGATTCCTGGCTCTCCTATTGTCTAGAGAGGTACCTTATAATCTTTGGTGGTTTACTTAATATTTTATTTGAAAATTTACCCTTAGGAATAATTTGAGACCTGAATTGATCTTTCTTATAAAAATGGAATCTCTATTTTCATTTTTATGTGTATCTGAGGGAATTAGCAGTTCAGGACCAATGCTTGACATTTTTCTGGATCTTCAGGGTATAGCCTGTACCTCCACTTCATGGTGGAGACCTTTGGGTCCCAAACAAGAAAAGGGATTTCTTTCTTGGCCTTAATAACAATGAATACTTTTGAATTTTGTTTCCTGAAGTCTTTAGGATATCTGCTAGTGAGAAGTGATAATACTCCAGGTCTCCACACTTGGTGGACACAGGACCTCAATCTTTGTTCCCTCCCTTCTCACCATTCTGGTTCTTGTCTTGGCTGTCCTCCCTGAGTCTGAAAGTGTCCTGGAGTAGGAACGTCTCTAGCTTACCTCCCTGAGTTCCCTTTCCCTCATTGTACCTCCCAGTAGTTTATATCCCTGTCTTGTGGAGGTCTGCTAGGCTTTTCATTAGATGCAGTTTTTATATTTTGTTCCAGGATTCTTGGCTGTATTCAGTGGGAAGGTCTTTAATTCATCTATTCCTTTATTAGAATTGATATGTGCCACGTTCTGAATTTTTAATAATTAGCAGCTGTTCAATACTGCCACTGGAAATAAGCATTTGTTTATTCAGCCTTTCATTCAACCTGAAAATATGTAGAGACTACTGCGTATTCAGTGAATAAGACATGCTCCCTACCCTAAGTCAAAGGTTAGTAACATTTTAAGCAAACATATGCTATTATTTAGTTATGTAATGATTAAAAAGCAGGAGTTGGAGAATGTAAATAAAATGAGAACACTGCTGAAAAGGCTGGTCAAGAAACTTGTAGCAGAGGTGACATATCAGTTAACTGGTATTTTCTTTCCATATTTTAAAAGTATTATATGATCACACTGTCAGAGTCAAGCATAATTAAGAATGCGAAAATTAGTTGTAAAACACCAGCCAATATTAAATCATTTAAAATTTTCTTGAGATGCATATTAATATATATCTAGGCTGATAAGTATAGATTAATATATTTTGCTTATATAACCAGCATCTTGCTTTCTTTATCCACTTCTACCCCTTCTTATGATCTAAAAAACAGAGGCTCCTTGGGTTTAAAGAAGCTTGAGAATATTTCTTTAATCACGGCCATCATTACCACGAAAGCAGCTAATTCAGCACCTTCAGCCCAGCTCAGCAGTTTGCATTACATGAAAGTCCATATATGTTTTTAGAAGCTTTCCTCCTATAACAAAATTTGCAACACCTCCTCCCTCATCTCAGTCCCCATCCAGACACCTCTTACAACAGTGGTTACTGAGGTGATCAGTGACTGCCAGAAACATGGGAAGCTAAACCTGTCTTCTTCAATTAGGAGATATTGGTATTTGGAAATATCATCCAGCCATCTATTCTTGTTGTGGAATTTTGTCATCTTTTTGTGACACATGTTAACTATTCATCTATAGAGAAAGTTTCCAAGTGATACCAGACTTCCATATGAGCAAATTATCCCATTAGGTGTACCAAGTGAAACCTAATATTGTACAAAACCTGCATATCAACTACAGGAAATGTGGAATAGTCTAAAGTGAAAATAATTTGTAATAAAACATAGCATTAGTGTATAAACTGGAGGAGAAAAGTAGAGGAATTTTAATTAAGGGTCAGAAGACTGGATAAGGCAAGAAGATAACTTGATATTCCATTTCTGAAATAATCCCATTCATTGAATCAAACAGCTGTTGATTGTTTTGCCAAGTCCACCTTGCTGTAATCATTATAGCTTCAGAATATATTTCATCTAGTAGGGTAAGTCTATATTCACTCTTTTAAAAAATGACTTATTATCATCTATTTATTCTTCCAGTTTTCAAAAACTTAAGTTTAAAAAACTTCCACTGGGGATTTTTTCTAAGGTTTATATTAAACCTGTGAATTAATTTGAGAAGACTTAACATCTTTGTGTGATTTTAGCCTTCCAACCTAGTAATATTTATTCAGATCTTATTTCACACAAAGATTCTTTTTAACTTCTTATGATAAATTTCAAATATGTACAAAAGTAGAGATGAACTTCCACGAACCCATCACATGGTTTTAGTAGGGATCAGTTCATGACCAGTTTCATATCTACTGCTTCCTCCTCTGCCGTGTGTATAAAAAAAGAGAAAAAAAAGACACACATTATATCAGTTTACTTGTAAGTATTTCAGTTTCAATGGCTTTTCTTTTTTTCTTTATTATTATTATACTTTAAGTTTTAGGGTACATGTGCACAACGTGCAGGTTAGTTACATATGTATACATGTGCCATGCTGGTGTGCTGCACCCATTAACTCGTCATTTAGCATTAGGTATATCTCCTAATGCTATCCCTCCTCTCTCCCCGCCTCCCCACACCCAGCAGTCCCCAGAGTGTGATGTTCCCCTTCCTGTGTCCATGTGTTCTCATTGTTCAATTCCCACCTATGAGTGGGAACATGTGGTGTTTGGTTTTTTGTCTTTACGATAAGTTTACTGAGAATGATGATTTCCAATTTTCATCCATGTCCCTACAAAGGACATGAACTCATCATTTTTTATGGCTGCATAGTATTCCATGGTGTATATGTGCCACATTTTCTTAATCCAGTCTATCATTGTTGGACATTTGGGTTGGTTCCAAGTCTTTGCTATTGTGAATAGTGCCACAATAAACATACATGTGCATGTGTCTTTATAGCAGCATGATTTATAGTCCTTTGGGTATATACCCAGTAATGGGATGGCTGGGTCAAATGGTATTTCTAGTTCTAGATCCCTGAGGAATCGCCACACTGACTTCCACAATGGTTGAACTAGTTTACAGTCCCACCAACAGTGTAAAAGTGTTCCTATTTCTTCACATCCTCTCTAGCACCTGTTGTTTCCAATTTACAAGAAAAAAACAACCCCATCAATGGCTTTTCTAATAGAGGATCCTGCATGTTTTGCTAGGGTTATTTATACATTTTATATTTTATTTTTTAAACCTTCTAACTGCTAAGGCTGATGTAAGAAAAACTTTTGAAATATTTACTTATATTTAACTACTTCACCAGATTGCTAATTGGTTCTGAGAGATTTTAAGTTATTCTCTTGCATTTCCAAGAATATGATTTTATCAGTATAAATTGTCATTTTTTCATTCTAATATCTAGCTTCATATTGGTTACAATTATAATAGACTGATAGAATTTTCAAAAATATGTTCGGTAAACAGAAGACATTCTTGTCTTTGTGATTTTATTGAAGTTGCCCTAAGTTATACATTCTTTATAAATCTTGAGAAATTATCTAGTATTGAGTTTTACCACATACCTTTCTATTATCAAATAAGGTAATTCTATCAATTTACTCCTTAAACTAAATTTATGTTAACAGATTTTCTGTATTACTGATTAACCTCATTTTACTGCAGTAAACTATTTTAAATATATTAGTGGATGATTTTTGCCTCCATGTACATAATATAGATCTATTCTTTGTGTTTTTATCTTGGTTGGATAGTATTTTGAGTGCAGTTTTAAAACTTCTTTAAAAAAATAATTTCAATAACAGGCATCAGTTTTTAGAAATGTTCAGGAAATTTAATTATAAAACTCTTGCTCAGAAATTTTGGGGTAGATAATTCTGTGTTCAGTTTTTACATTTTCATTGAACTATTAATTTTCTGCTCTAGTTGAGTCCATTACAATATTTTCTCAAATATATTTTGCTAAGATTTTCAAAGATCTTAGCATAATATATGCCATGTCCTTATTTTTATCTCATTTTTATCTTGTATTCCTGCCTGAAATCTTAATTTTTAATTAAAATTTTTTCCAATTACTTTTCTTTCCATGAGGAATCACTTTTTGCATTTATTTTTCATGTCCTTATTAAATTTATGTAATTAATATTCATTTTCTCCTGATTTATGTTTTTGTTCTGTAAGAATGCTATTTTACATTTGAGGGCAGTTTTGGCTCAGCTCCTTAAGTTCCATTTTGGAGTGTGCTCATCTAAATTACTTTCCAATTAATCTGTAATAACCATGTTAGTTTACTCTGAGCAAAGGCTGAGTTTACTCTGAGCAAAGGCTGATTTATGAAAGTGATTTTAACCTCCCAAGTGCTTAAGATGTGTTATGAAATTCTGGTTCTTTTTATTGTACTCAATGATCAGAATGAAACCAGAGATAAAGAGTGACAAATTTTTACCTTTTACACTTCATAGTTATTCTTGGAAGGACATCTTATACAAAAAACCATTTTTAGTTCACACCCTCTTTCCCAAGTAGATAAACAGGCCTCAGAGTTGGGGAGGGAAGAGGACTCTCTGAAGAGAAAGCAATTCTTAAGTATAAGTGTAAACCCGGGGCACCAAGAAAGAATAGAACCTCCCTGTAAATGAAATGATAATAGGTTCTTTCCTCTCAGCTCGAATTCTAGGTGAAACTCAATGTGGGAAGCCTCCCCCTCAATCTCCCACGTCAATATGTTCAAGCAGAAACTAGAGATGGCCTTTTATCTAGGCATAAGAGTGCCTGGGATAGCCCCCTGTGTTCCTGCAGGCTTCAGAATGGCTGGTATGGAGGATCATCCAAAACTGACTGAACATGAACAAGACACAATGAAGCCTGGAAATAGGGGCATGAAGCAAGAAGCAGGCCTCAAGTGATCTGACATTCAGAGGCCATAGCAGATATTCAGGTATAAGCAGCAAGGTGGGAAGACCATCTTGGGATGAGCTAAGGGTGGAGCTCAACACACAACTGCAGTGACCAAATTGGACAAGGAAATTTCACACCTCAGTGTAGGGTTGCCAGATTCAGTAAATAAAAACACAGGAGGCTCAGTTAAATTTGATTTTCATTAAACAATATTTTAGTGTAAGTATATCTCAAATGTTACATAGGACATACTTATATTAATGGCTTTTATAAATTTATAATGTGCTTGAAATTCAAATTTAATGAGGTATTTTGTATTTTAACTGGCAACTCTTCTCAGCAGCATTTGAGAAATTCACAATAACATGAAATAGAGAACAAGGGGAGGCAGAAATTATTCTCAGGAAAAAAAAATCTTAATCAACCATGTTTTATTTCTGAATGGTCTGACTAGTCAATTTGAGTTTTTCTGAAAGTGACCAGACTAAATATTATGCATTAGAAGTAATGGTGGCTCCAAATCAGAAATGTTTTAAAGAAAAATAAAGTTCCCTTTTTGTACATCCAAAGTGATATAATTTTAAAACTTCTAACAATTATATTTGCTTTTAAGTTCTCACGACAGGTAAAATATGGCACCTCCACAGTATAATGTTTACATCTCTGCCCAAGAGACCAGCAAAGCTAAATTAGAATCTCTCAGTGTTAATTCCACATTTCTAGTCTTCTTAGCCTCTGGTCCAATTGGTAGGGCAGCGGGATGGAGCAAGGGTTCATTATGCCCATGTCTATGGATGAGAGGGGAAGTAAGGGGTCATTGTGAACTGGGCAAGGAGGCTAAATTGTGTCTACAATGAATATCTTCCATGTCTTGCTGTGGCAATTTACTAGCAGATTGCCGAATTTTAAATGTAGTCCAGAAACTAAAAAAACAAGAATTGTATCTTCCGTATCTCCAGTTCCATAGCAGTTATCACAGAAAGAAGTTCACCACTTCTCTTTTGTAAGGCTACTGTCTGTCTTCCCAGTACATTTCATTATGCCCTTGTCAAAGTAGCACATATGACTATTATATGTCCTTTTGATCTTACCTTGAAATAGTATTCTTCTGTTTTATTATCAGTCTTAGACAGCACCATAGTGCAGATTATACCCTCGACATCCAGTTCTAGAAATACTGGTGCATTCATTTATAGCACTGTCAGAATCTTTGTGCCATTTCAATATTCAACTTGCCAGAGAGGTAGTGAAATGCAATGAAATACATAGCTGTTTTCAGAGCTAGTGTGAACCAGAAATTTATATGTAATAAGGAAAAGATTGTTTTCTGCCTGTGAGGTAGCAACATCAAGCATTAGAGGATTAGCCACTGTAATAGATTTCATTTCCCAATTTTGAAAGATATAGGGCCCCTGCACTTAAAAAGTTCAATTGAAATCTAAAAGGAAAATCTCTAGGGAAGTAGAGTTCTTCAAATGTCTTCTTTGTTTAAAAAGCTTGTGATTGAGGAAATGACTTACCCATGATTGGTGGCAAGGTTAATTTCACAGAGCTGGAATCTTAAGTATATTCTAGAATCTGATATTGGATTTACAATATAACAATAAAATTAGTATGAACTCATGGAGTTTAACACTCCCTGTATGGGGATTTATTTTTCTCAATGCCTCTACAGCTTTAGACAATTTTGAGAAAGGTTGTCACTTACATTCAGGACATTTATCATAATTATTTAGAACCAAAAACAGACACGCATGCCAGGCTACACGAGACTATAGAGAAGACATATTGTCTCTCATCATTGTAATGGGTTCATGGATTTTGTAAGGCAGGGGAGAAAGAAAATGTCTACGGTTCATTTTAGGTCACTGGGGTATGGGCACTGTATGTCAGCCCATGCTGACTTTTTAGAGGGTATGCTGAGCAGTGATAGGCTTGGGGACTATATAAGTGATTGGATATGGGACAGGAATAGGTACTCTTCACCCTAAGATGCTATACAATACAGTTATCCCCTGATTTCTGACAAACACTGAACTGTCAGAAATTAGTATGTGGGCCAGGTGTGGTAGCTCATGCCTATAATCCCAGCACTTTGGGAGGCTGAGGCAGGTGGATTACCTGAGGTCAGGAGTTCAAGACCAGTCTGGCCAACGTGGTGAAATCCTGTCTCTACCAAAAACACAAAAAGTAGCCAGGGATGGTGGCATGCGCCTGTAGTCCCAGCTACTCGGGAGGCTGCAGCAGGAGAATTGCTTGAAACTGGGAGGCGGAGGTTGCAGTGAGCCAAGATAGCGCCAATGCACTCCAGCCTGGTGACAGAGCAAGACTGTCTCAAAAAAAAAAAAAAAAAAAAAAAAAAAAAAAAAAAAGAAAACAAATTAAGAATATATGGTCTTGGGGAGAGCAAAGTCAGATCTGGACAATGACATGTGCCAGGTGTCTGGGGCTAGGGAACGATGTGCTGGGAGATGAGGCTTGGAAGCAATTTCAGATCACATATGGAGGGATTTTAACATCACATTAAGAATGCATTTATTTTCCTACAGCCAAGTTGTTCCTTCTGTGTGGAAAACCAGAAACTCTTCTTTGCCCACTTGAGTCCTAAGTCCTACTGTTTCTCTCATGAAACAGTTGAGGCTCAAGCCTCAACTCTTCCAGGGGGCCTTTCTGCTTTTCCAGGATGCATTAGGGGTCTCCTCTCTAGCCAAGCATTTGTTCAGTACATATCGCAAATTCCTCTAATGGTGGAGCCATTAGCCTCTCATCTATACTGAAATAGAGGCTCCCTTACCTGTTCTCATGTCCAGTGCAGGCCTGGCAAGTTCAATAAACAGATAAAACAAGTGGATAAATATAGTAACCCATTAAATCCACATATCAAATCCCATGAGGTAGGGACTATTCCCCCTTCCCACTGTACAGACGAGGAACCTGAATACAGAAAGCATAAATAACATGCTCACGGCCATGAAGCTCATAAAGGATGGAACTGGGATTCAGTCAGTCATGCTTAGTCCGCAATCCATGCTTTTAACCACACAGCTTATGTGTGCCTAAAACAAGATGGCAGGTAATGGATCAACCCTGTTTCCCACCTAAAACTGAATTGTAAAGCCGTAACAGTGTACAGAAATAGAAAACATTGATTTAGAAAGATAAAACCTGATTGTTTAATCCCCTTTGGAACCTATACAAAATGAAGTAGTAATGCTGATGATTTTGCTAATTCTAACTCATTTCCACAGCCAGTCGGGTTAAACTGACCTATAAATCTCCACCTAACTCAATTCGGTCCCCAGACTCTTGCCTATAGGTTTTTCTCATTACACTTTCCCTCTTTCAGCCAAGGTTGTACAGAAATTCTGTAGATATAGTCACTCTCCCCCAGGATTTGCAGTCATGGTTGTTCTAAATACATCTGGTTCTCTTGTTCCCTTCGGGACACTTGCAATCTGTCAGACAACGGTTTTCTTGTTTGGTTTGGAAACCATAATTCTCATACCTGGAGACCTAGAATTGTGCCAGAGAATCGTAAATGTCATCACATAGCCCTCCTCCTAACCGACCAGAGAGAACTGTCTACTTTCCCTCCCTGCCTTCCTTTTTGTTCCTTTACTAGTAACTTCCACTTGCTGTTTGCAGTAAAACAGAAAATGAACACAAATTTAACCAGTTTTATCACAGAGTAAATTTTTTTTCTTCTTGGGGCATCGGGGGAACAATGAAAATTAGAAATTATAAGCCAGTATGGGTCTTGATTTTCAAATGCCATTCTCTATGGGAATTGTGTAAAATGTTTCTCAAATCCAGAAAGGCAAATAAACCATGGCCATTTTATCTCCCAGTTTAAGTATCTCTTTTAGTGGCTAAGTATTTACTGTGTAAAAGGGATTAAAAATTTGCCTTAATGAAAAAAATTTTTTTTTTTTTTTAAATGAGACAGAGTCTGGCTCTGTCACCCAGGCTGGAGTGCAGTGGCACAATCTCGGCTCATTGAAATCTCCGCCTCCCAGGTTCAAGTGATTCTCCTGCCTCAGTCTTCCAAGTAGCTGGGATTACAGGTGCCCACCACCATGCCCAGCTAATTTTTATATTTTTAGTAGAGGCAGGATTTCACTATCTTGGCCAGGCTGATCTTGAACTCTTATTCTTTTTTTTAATCAAGAATAATGTCTCTGGTTTTGCAGCCTTCATATAAATGTTTAACTTTTTCTGCCTCTACAAATTTGGAAATGACTATCTTATGGAATGTCTCTTCACTGGAATGTCTTAAAGCATGGGGTCTAAAAATTATGGCCCTTGGGTTAAACCTGGCCTGTCACCTGTTCTTATAAAGTTTTAGTAGAACACAGGCATGCTCATTTAAATATCCTCTATGGCAGCTTTCATGCTACAACCATAGAGTTCAGTGGTTGTGATAGAGATCATATGGCTTGCAAACCTGAAAGTATTTACTACCTGGCCCTATACAGATAAGATTCTATCTATCCTATATAGGATATATAAGGTGTACTCACTTGCTCATCCTTGTTTTAGAACATCCAGAGATGTGGGTTTGCTTTACCAGTCTTTAAGGCTATAGTTTGAACTGGGAAATTCTGGGATTAACTATGATTTCTCAGTGGGTAAATGAACCTATGGACCTTGAAACCCAGCAAGATTTGTGTTCAAATTATTCCTCTGCTTGGGACTGCCTTGTGTGACTTTGACAAGTCATTTAACCTTTCTGAACCTTGATGCTTTTATCTGTATAATGAAGACACCTTCTGTTTTGAAAAACTAATATAACATTAAATGAGATAATGTTCAAACGTGTGCAGTGCATTGTTAATCAAGTAGTAAGCACACGATAAATGTAATTTCCTTTTTCCTTGTTATGTCTATGTTGAGGAGTAACCCACATGCTAATGCACAGGCTCTTTCTGCCTGAACAAATAGCCATTAGTATAGTGGAAACGTTTTTTGTCATTTCAGCGCATTTCTGCATTTTATCATAAGTCCTTGAAAAAATGCTATTGTCCACTACATCTTTTGTTCTATCCAAAGATTCTGCCAAGTACTTCTTAAATGTTTAACTGCTATTTAAGGATAGTTTTAAATAGGACTGCTCATGATTATAGTAATGTCAGTAATATCCCACAAATCTTCAATGGGATTTATACAAAGACGACCAGGGAACTCGTGTTTCAGAACTTGCATTCCTGCATAGCATTTTCCTGTCTGTGAAATCAATCTCCTACCTATACTCCAGGCCTCAGAGGCCAGACCTCTCAAGAATGCTCAAACTCCAAGAAATGTAGGCCACAGGCCTTACTGCTACAGGTAAAATTGAAATGTAAAATTCTATTTGAGAAGGAACCATGCCTTTGTTGACAGCATCACAATAAGCTGGGGACATAGATTGATTTTGTTAAGTATTGTGCTCTTGGTGAAGATTTGCTCTTCCAGCCTCATTCCAAAGCAGAACACTCACTCTGTGTCTGTTTTGTCCAGTTTGAAAGAGAACATTTCTATATGTCTGCCTATTTTGGAGAGATGCAATTAATCCATCTAGACTGAAGAAATATGTCCTGTGTTAATAAATATATTTTTTCCAGGCATTTACTTAATCATGCCACAAATAATCCAAATATCTCCAGGAGGTGGGCTGCAGTGCAATATTATTATCCTCAATTTGCAGATGAATGAAAATGTTATATGATGAAGCAAGGTGATGTAGTTGACAGTTACATAGCAAATACCTGAAGTTCAGAAGGAGCAAATGACTACTGAATGCCTTTGCTATACTATGCATCAGTTCCCAGATATGCCAAAAATTTGTCAAATTCTGTAATCTCTTCTGTTTCCCTTCTCATGTGCCTTCTCATGGAGTGTGTGTGCAGTCACTCCAGGCTTCCTCACTGCATTTTCTCTTGGCTTTGAACCTCATTTCTTCTGTTCCACATTCTCCCCTTTTTATTTCCCCTTCCTTCTCTTCTTCCCCGATCTACCCTACCTCCCTCACTTCTATCTCTCTTCTCTCCTTCCTCCTGTCCTCCTCCCAATCCTACCATATTGTAGGCTACCTAAAATCCCTTTCTCAACAAAGTAGGGCCTCAAATGGATCCCAGAAACTCAGAGTTAGCAATAATATGAGAAGAGGAAGGATCACAGTTCTTCCTATCAGAGCCAAGTGAGCAAAGTTCCCCTATCTGTTGATACTAGCTTCTGAACACAAGTTTTTCTTCTTCCATATCACAGTAACATAGTGATACAGTTTGCCTCTATCCCCACCCAAATCTCATTTTGAATTGTAGCTCCCACAATTCCTTTGTGTTGTGGGAGGACCCAGTGGGAAGTAGTTGAATCATGGGGGCAGGTCTTTCCCATGCTATTCTTATAATAGGGAGTAGGTCTTACAAGATCTGATGGTTTTAGAAAGGGGAGTTTCCCTGCACAAGTTCTCTTGTCTGTTGCCATGAGCAATGTGCCTTTCACCTTCCACCATGATTATGAGGGCTTCCCAGCCACGTGGAACTGTGAGTCCATTAAACTTCTTTTGTAAATTGCCCAGTCTCTGGTATATCTATGAGCAGCATGAAAACAGACTAATATACATAGCAAAGCAAAAGGTTGAATAGGTTAGGGTTCTTGGTTTTGTTTGTACATAACCCATAGACTTAGGTTTTATAGTTTGGAGCTTCTTTTTTTCCTTCCACTGATTAAGACTTCAGCATGGACCACATGTAACCCACATTCTCTTTGGGTTGCACGGAATAAAGCCATTCTTCACTTGTATTCACACAAATAAAACTCTTATAATGGGTACTAGTAGCAAAAAAGTAAGTCAGATAATCACCCTGGTTTATGTTATCAGAAAAACTCAACACTTCAGACTTCTGTAGTCCCAACATGAATGTAATGTTGACTTAAACTTCTAGATCAGGATTTTTCAATGTGAGATCAAGACCCATCAGAACAGTGGTTTCCAATCCTGGCTGCACCTTAGCATCACTGGGAAACATTTTAAACAATAACACTGCCCTTACTTCACACTGAAAATTCTGGTTTTTTGGCCTTGAGTAGGAACCCTGCAATGTTATTTTGGGGGGAAAAAAAACCATATGATTCTAATGTTATCCAGGGTTAACAATCACTGTACCAATTGTTCTTGAGTTACACAGTCAATTGTAAGTCATGCCAGCTTTTTATTTTTTTCCTTTAAATTAACAGAACAGAATAGACTGAAATAGAAAAAATCAGTATGCACTCCATGTGGTAATAATGTGTACTATTCCATGAAATTTTTCTTTCAGTTTCATGTGTGGTAGGGCGGATACTGTGTCACTATTTAAAAATAATTTCTTACTGTGAATTCTAGTCAGAGTTTGAAAAACACTGTTTTAGATTATCTTTAATAGAGAAGGTGTGTGGATTGTTGCCTAGGGAAAATCGAAAAATCTCCATCTGTCCTAAGAGAGAAGACCGATTGTACTATTTTTAAATGCTTGTAGGGCATGCAGAGGTATTGCCAAGTGATCTCTGCACTATCAAATGTTTCTTAACTATTTATAGAGGCACTTACACATTCTCTAAGAAACTGAGTCCAACTTTCCTCTCTTGTAGGCAGCGTTATGGTTTAAAATTATTAAGTTGCATTTCTAAAAATATCTTAGTTCAGTCTCCTCATTTTCTAAGCAGCTCATTCTAACCCTTAGTTAGGGGTATTTAAGGAAGATTTACACTCTGGGAGAAAATATCTCAGATCTTGTACTAAAGTATGCTAGCAGTTCTCTGAAAATCCCTAACGGGTCTGCAGCCCTGAAACTTAAAGCTTTCTAGAATCTTCCAAGAGGGTTTCTGGAAGGGGAAGGGGAGTCTTGATCTCAACACTAAGTGTTCAGAATATTTCAGAAGTCAGTGGTTTTTTACAGATGATAAACTGATCCAGTGCCTGTGAGCTCTTAGCAGTTCATAGCTGGTAATGCGTAAACCACTATCAAGAAGGCTGGTGTGTTTCCAGCCCCACCCTTGTAGCAGGAGGGGGAGGGACTTCCTTCCCCCTCCCCCTCTCATTTTGCGTGGAAGGCTGCTATTTCCTTTGCGCATTTTGCTGTGAGACTACTGTGGGTGACTGGGAGAGAGAGTAGCTAGGATGACAAGCGAGAAGAAAGGCGAGCCAGAGGAGGGTGCGGCCAAGAGAGGACTGGGGGCTCATGGGAGGGACCTGGGGAGTATTGCCCACTGCACAAACATGCCCTTTCCTGCCCTTCTGCCTTGAGCTGGACACAGGGCTGTAGGATCTCTTTGATAACTTATTACGTAAAGCAATATACACAGTGGGAAAGTGAGGATTTTGAACCACCACAAAAACGTCAAATGTATTAAGGAAAGAAGCAACTGACCTCAGCTTTGTAAAGCAACTTAAGAATTTTTAAGAGCATATCAACCAAAGGGCCAAAGGTGGAAGACAAACACAGATCTCTCTCTCTATATATATATCTCTATATCTACCTATGTATCTGTCTGTCTATATATATCATGTAACTTTTCTTTCATAGTCTCATGAATTGAAATGCTGATGTTTTCTCAAAGAACACATTTTCACAGATAGCTGTGAAGTTAAAAGCATTATATCAATTAACTGAAGCGAGAGGAAATCACATTTCGTGGGAAACCTAGCACACAGCACCCAGAAACTTTCTGGAAACGGCTTGAACCAGGCAGACCATCAAGCCAGTTTGTGAAAGGGCTGATAGCACACAGTTTTTGAGAAACTGGAGATCAAAATAAACTCGAGGAAAGGAGATGTCAAAATGGCAAGACAACAAGCTCAAACATGTCACTATATGGCAGAAGAGAACAGGGCAGACTGTTCACCAGAACAGAAATTCAATCACAAGCACCTCATGTATCAGCAAACTTCATTACATAGCTTATAAACTTCAGAATATTTGAGAAAATATTAGAGCAAGATTGTTGTCTCCTTATAGCCTCATGCTCCTTAAATTGAAATAAGACAAAAAATATGTATATATCCCCACAGAATATGCATAGAGACCCTTCTTGCAGTATGAATGTTATGCAATGATTTTTTGGAGGAAAAGGTGTGTTTAAAAATTTCACTTTTTGTTAATATATACTTGTAATAAATCCAAGTAATATAAAAATATGAACTTAAATGAAAGTTCTCTACAATCCCACCTCTAAACTATTAAAACAAGTATCAGCAAACTTCTGTACAAAACATCTTCCAGAAAGTACAAGAGATCATGGGAAGGAAGTGAGAATTGGAGAACAAATTGAGGATTTGAGTGGAGATTGATCTATAGGTGATACCAGTGATTGGAAAATGCTTGACTGGAATGGGAAAGATAGCTGAGTCAATATCAAAAAATGATTCAGAACTGGTAATAGAAGCAAGCGTTTATATCATGATTTGAACCTCCTACATTGAAACATCCAATGGAGCACAATGTGTCTGCCTCTTGAATTAGCCTCTCAAATTGCAGATGAAAAGGCAAATAGGAATTCAGATTTGATGGTAAATTCAAAAAATAATTGTGACCCTTTATAAAAAATAAGTTCTCTCTCCAAGCTGTATGCAAACCGGATGATTTTAAATATTTTCTACTCTGACAAAGAATGAAAAATCTACAGCAGAAAGAAAATGAACTAACTAAATAAATCCAAGTAAAGAAATGAATTAAAGACATGCCATAGGAAAAAATGCAAGATGTTTATTTGAAGATGTCAGAAATGAAAGAATACCTGCTTTGGATTATAGGTGAACATAAATACAGCAAAATGCAGAAATATTGTGAGTAGACACTCAGGAAATGAGTCCTGGCTGGTTAAAGTTGAAGGCAAATTCCCAATTATAAGTGAATAGCTCTTACAGTAGAGTTGAGTATATGAAGCACACTCTCCACCACCGTTTAGTCACTGTGCATGAGACTGGGAAAACAGAGGTTACACAGAAGAACAGACACAGGAGAGTGAGGTGAACATAAGTGCAAAGATGGTGAGTTTTCGAATTATTTTGATGACCTGCTCTCATTCTTATCATAGGACTTGTAACATGTTGTATACATTTGAAAGCCAGAAAGAGGGAATATTTATAACAGTGAGGGAAGAAAAAAGAGAAAGATAAAAGTAGTGGGTGGACTTGCATTTAGAGAAATGAAGAGAGGGTTATTTTTCCCACTTGCTAACTTCATACATCAGCATTTTAGACAAAAAAGGCAAAAGATTCATAAAAGTAGTGGGCTAATGTAAGAATCTGTATGTTAGATGACATCCAAATAGTCTGCTGGTTTCCACAAGCTCAAAATGCACCCATTTACACAGACGCTTTGTATTGACCTATACTTTAGCACTTGAAATCTCACATTTGAATGATATCCTCATTTTTTTTTTTTTTGAGATAGAGTCCTGCTCTGTCGCCCAGGCCAGCGTGCAGTAACGCTGTCTCAGCTCACTGCAACCTCTGCCTCCCAGGTTCAAGCGATTCTCCTGCCTCAGCCTCCCAAGTAGCTAGGATTACAGGCATGCAACCACCATGCCCAGTTAATTTTTGTATTTTTAGTAGAGATGGGGTTTCAACCATGTTGGTCAGGCTGGTCTCCAACTCCTGACCTCAAGTGATCTGCCCACCTCGGCCTCCCAAAGTGCTGGGATTACAGGCGTAGGCCACTGGGCCCGGCCGGTTCATCCTTTGCTTCTCTCTTCCTTTTTCCACCTCTCTGCCCTGCCATTCCCTCGCTCTTTCCCTCCCCTCCTCCTTTTTCTTCCTTCTCAGACTATTCATGGCCCAACCTAATACACTGACCTTTTACATGGGTCAGTCTGATTTGCTTCCTTTTGGGAAAAACACTTTTATTTCCCCCCCGAAGGGGTCTCTCTCTGTTGCCCAGGCTGGAGTGCAGTGGCACAATCTCGGCTCACTGCAATCTCCACCTCCCGGGTTCAAACGATTCTTCTGCCTCAGCCTCCCGAGTAGCTGGGACTACAGTCATGTGCCACCATACCTGCCTGATTTTTGTATTTTTAGTAGAGATGGTGTTTCGCCATGTTGGCCAGGCTGCTCTCAAACTCCTGACCTCCAGTGATCTGCCCGACTCAGCCTCCCAAAGTGCTGGGATTACAGGCATGAGCCACTACTGCACCCGGCCGCACATTCACTATTGTCCTCTGCTTACTCTCTTCCATCCCCCACACCAACTACACAGGAGTTAACCATTTTTCCCTCTTTGCTTAAGGAAACTGGAGAAAACTCAAGTTACACCTGGCCATTTGATGGCTCCTTAGCTCTCAAGTCCACCTAGCATCCCTACCCTGGGTCATTCTTATTTTATGTGATACCTTTAGAGTGTTCCATTTAAACTACACTGAGACTTGTAAAGACCCACAGCATCTACCAAGGACATCAAGTATGGGAGCTTAATTAAGTCAGGATCCATTCCATTTGAAGGATGTAGAGCATTGATAACTTCCTATTGCTTTAAGATTTCTTGTAATATTTTCGTCAACTCAGCCTACTTCTATAACTGTATAACTGGCAAATACATTCCATTAAAAAGGAAGGTGGGTGAGGGTTGTAATATGTTCATTTCATAAACAGTGGGGAAGTCTAGAGCTGATGTTCTGTTCTGTAGCTTGCCTGGGGAAATAAAGTAAACCAAAGGAAGAACAGGCAGTGACAGCTGGGAGGGGTCAGGGGATACTGGAATGTTCGAGAAGAGGAAGAGTGGTGGGTAAGATTTTTGGCTTAAGACTAAAGAGTATTCCCAGTTAACATTAGTTCCTTTGATTTTCATAATACTTATGTATGATGGGTAGAACAAGTAACAGCATTTTCATTAGGCCAATGAGAAAAATGAAGCCCAAGATGTTAAGTGACAGGCTTTGAGCTCTGACACCAAGTAACTAAATCAAAAGCAGAATTCACATCTGCTGATTCTCACTTTATTCTGCCAGATTAGTAATGAAGTTTTAAGTTGTAATATCTGTAGGAGCCTTGGAAGATTCCATCACTAATCATTCTTATTGTGGCATTTAAGATGCGTGGTGACTTGGCTACTCTAGATTTCTAGCCTGAACTCTCCAGCTATGGCCCACCTCCTTAATTAGCTCCAGTTGTACTCAATTAGTTCTGTTCTCTCATCTGTCCAGCTGTCCCTCACTTTTCAGCTCTCAGCTTCTTCTGAAAAGCCATCTCTCACACCTCTAAGGTGGTGAATATGACCCTCGTTTGTGCTCTGTTGTGCCTTGTTCTTCCTCCTATTCTAGCACTGGACAGTAGTGGCTTGTTTTTTCTGCTCCTATTCCCATCTGAAATGCCTTAAGGATGGTGACTTTTTTATTTACCATTACATCTCCAGTGCTTAGCACAGCTTTCAGCCTATATTAAGGTACCCAAATATTTGATCAATAAAGAAAGCCAATATCAGATGGCATAATCATTTTAAAAGTTCACTTTTATATTTTAGATTACAGCCAAGTCTTTTATTTGCAACCTAAATTTGATTTTGCACATTACGCCAACAAATATTAACCCAGACACTTAGCACCTTCATGGGCTTGTATACCGAGGCTCCTGGCATGATAGTGCTTGTTATATAATAGGTCCTCAATACATAATTTTTAGATGAATTATTAAAAGATGATTAATATTCCTATTTTCTAAGTCATTTAGACCATTTTTTTTGCATGTAAATATGGTGACATAGGACAGAATATAGGAAGGGCCATACGGGAAGAGCTTTTGGTAGCTTTTCTTTGATGAGCTGAAAAACATCATTGCAAGGAGGAAATACAAAGGTTTGTTGTTGTGGACAGCAAGGATCCTCCCACCCAGGCCACAGACCTGTACCGGTTCATGGCCTGTTAGGAACCGGGCCACACAGCAGGAGGTGAGTGGTAGGTGAGCAAGCATTACCACCTGAGCTCCTCCTCCCGCAAGATCAGTCTTGGCATTAGATTCTCATAGGAGTGCAAACTATTGTGAACCGTGCGTAAGAGGGATCTAGGTCACGTGATTCTTATGAGACTCTAATGCCTGATTTGAGGTAGAACTGTTTCTTCCTGAAACCATCTCCCCCACACCACACCCCACATCTGTGGAAAAACTGTCTCCCATGAGCACTGGTCCCTGGTGCCCAAAAAAAAAAAAAAAAAAAAAAAAGGCTGGGGACTGCTGGTGCACAGAATCCTGACTTAGTAGACCCATGGGATCACTGACCAAAAAGAGACCGCAGATTCTGATCTGGCCTATAGAAATCAAAGATGGCTTGGCTAATCTTGGTCAGGAGAATATACAACCTACGGATTCATTCTTTCACATAATGAGTGAATATTTTCCATAATGTTACCAGATTCACAAGTATTCATAAAGATCTCAAAATGCTTTAAAAACAGGATATTACTGGTGCTAAGACCAGAGGTCATGTTTATAGGAAAAAATAAGAGTTTGAAACAGGATCTTAGTTATTTTGACCTCTAGCTCAGTGTTCTCTCTTCTGCCATTTTCCTTTTCACCAGCCTCTCCAAATGGAGCACCCTCTTTCACACGTATTTAAGTGCCCACTGTTGATGCAATAAAGTATAATAGGTTAGCGTTCAGGCCCTGAATCTAAGCATTTTTGGTTTGAAACCTAGCCCTATCATGTAGTAGCTACATGAACTTAGGTAATTAACTTGCTGTGTTGCAAAATGTACAATGGAGTTGACAAAAATAGAATTTATCTCACTGGGTTGTGAAATTTAAGTGAGTTATTACATATGAAGTGTCTGGAAAATAGTAAGAGCTCAATAAATGTTAGCTCTGGTCATTATTATGTGCGCTAGGTTAGGTGTTGTGATTGCAAAGAGGGAAAGTAAAAGTTGTGGTTTCTGTGCTTGTCATTGGCTTCTCTTTACTGTATAATCCAATCCATTCTTTATTTCCTCTGCTTTGCGCTGCAAAAGGTCCAGACTCCTAAAAGCCATATTCTCCAGGCTCTTTTGCCAATTGGCTTCCTGCTAGGTTTGGTCACAAAAAGGTTCATATAAGATAGTGAGGTTAGGAGGCCAAGAGTCTCTCTCTACATGGGTAATGTTAAAGAAAACCAGAACCAGACAGTAAAGTAGTAAAAACAGACTTTGTTCAGGAACTACTGCAATGAGGAAGATAGACCTCAGTATAACCGGATTCACTTCTGAATATAGCATGGACAAGTAGGGATTCATAGCCAAGGGGCAGGTTGGGAGTCAGTGGGTGGAAAATGACTAAGAAAACATTAGAAATAAAAGGATACAGGTTAGACATCTAACAAGATTCTTGCTGAAGGCAGGCTAGAATAGTCAGATAAGTAAGAAGGATGAAGAATTTGGTCAGATAAAGGGAGATATCGGGGTGGGGGATTCTTTCCAAACTGACTAGCAAGATTCTTGCTACAATAGGGTGATGCATTTACAGAAAGATAAATGTCAAGGTGGAGACCTAGAGGACGCAGACTAAGTAACTAAATGTTAGTCAAAAACAGAATCTTTGTTAGTAGCACCACCAGCAGAAGTTGTCTCTTTGTCATTTCCTGTCTTCAAACAGAGCCTCCTCTCCATGCTCACAGATTCTACCTGGAAGCTTTGGTTTTCAGGCTTCCTACCAGCTTTCCATATGTAGGGAGTGAGGCCAATATAGGCTACAATAGAACAAGATGAAAGGACATATTCCTGATGATGGATATTACTTAGTACCGGATTCAACTGTGCCTGAAGATTATATATGACTAGATTTTTAAATATACAAAAGCCTATAAAAATACTCCCTCCTTTTGCTTAAACCTCATTTGCCACTGTACAAGTCCTAATACAATGTCTACTAATCCGCTGAGGAGAGTTGAATTAATATCAATATAAAGCAATTTGTCTTTTCATTGGATACTTGTCTCTGAAAGCCATGTTACTAATATTTATTGTCCTGCTAGGATTAAGAGTATGAAGATGAGCAAGATAAATATGGTGCTTCTCTTTGATAGCACAATAATAACTATTTTCAACAATGTTACGTTTTACTATACTTATTCTAAAATGTTTTCTCTGGACATCTGAGCATCTTCTCTTAGTTGATGTCTTAAAACTAAAGGACATCTCATCCATTTTAATACAAGGACATAAACTAAAATGCAAAGTGAAATCTTTGGGAGGAAAGTTTATTTTTGATAAAGTAAATCCCAAGCCTCCAGTTGTTCTTTAGGAAACCTTCCCAAGGCAGAATTTTTTAGTGCCATAAAATTAACTGTCACTATTGCAGGACAATTGTTTATTCTGCTATTTGCTTTCTTGGCTCTCTTGTTCTCCACTTGCTTATGATGATACAATTTGTCTTCTGATAATGGATGAGCGTCCTCTCCCTTTCAATCACTACCATAGGCCCCTAAAACTTGCTCAAGAAATGTCCAAAGTTCGTTTGCTTTGGGGATTTTTAATCTTTCATGGTTGGTGACAGTAAATTTATAATCATAATGCAAGTGTGTGTGCCTGTGTCGTGAACATGTGTGCATGATTTGTCCTTAAAGTACATGCAGTGGCCTTTTAGTGTTATAATATATGGTCAGTGTAGTTGCTATGGAAACAACCAAATTTCCTGACTTTTGAGGGCAGGGAGATGCAGCAGTGGCAACTGTGATCAGAGGAGAGATATTGATGATAAAATCTAAGACTTAAAAGTAAGGGATTTTTCTACTTTAGTGTTCAGGTCAGAGCAATCTGCTCTTTCCCTGTATCTCTCAAGAATACCCATCAGAACCAGGCTGAAGGCATACTAATATTTATTTTTCTTATTATTCTAGAGACAGGGTCCCACTGTGTTGCGTAGGCTGGTGAGCTGTGGTGTGCTCACAGCTCACTGCAGCTTCGACCTCATGGGCTCAAGTGATCTTCCCACTTCAGGCATACGCCACAACCACAGGCACATGCCACCATGCCCAACTAATTTTTATGTTTGTAGAGATGGGGTCTCACTATGTTGCCCAGGCTTGTATCAAACGGCTGGCCTCAGGTGATCCTCTTGCCTCAGCCCTCCAAAGCGTTGGGATTACAGGTGTGAGCCACAGTGCCCAGCCTTATCAGTTTTATACTCAGTTTATTGTGGATACTGGATGAGGGGCATATTGTAATTCTTGGTTATATTTGGTATATAATTTCTCTGTAGTATAAAATCATACTTTTTTGTAATAGAATATATTTAGATCCAGAGTAGTATCTACACAAGACAATGTTGCTTACATTAAGTCAGCAAACTTATGCTTTCATTTGAAATGTGATATCTTGAGATTTCCTTTTCATTCAGCTAATTAGCACAAGCTGATTAGTCAAATGAAGCACATTTAATACATTCTCTGATCAGAAGGAAACATTTTCTAGGACCGCCATGTCTACTGAGAAGCTTTTTTGTAGCTTCCTGTACAGCACTAGTAGTTTTGCATTGTTAAAGTTTGGAAAATTCACCAAATGAGAAGCTCATCCAACTGTGTTTATTCTATTCATACCACATGTCAGGGCATTGAGAGTGGAATCATTGTCTTGATAGCTTAATGAGAGTGCTCTGTGCCCAGCACAGTGTTAAACTGCATGGATGTAACAATGGATAGGAAATGATTCCTGCTCCCAAGAACCTGCTTGACCACACAAGGAGAGAATATAGGTAGTGACTGCTCATTGCATGCGGAAAGCACAGGACCAAGGCCAACAAATGCAGCCAAATACCAGTTACTCCTTTGAGCCCAAGGAGATGGGCAGATGAAGCTGAAGGGGAAGAAAAAGTTGAGATGGGACCTGATAGCAGGGCAGACCTGGGAAAGAAGGCAGGCTATGTTTAGTGTCAGTAAACTTCGCAGCTTATAAGTAGACTGCATATATTCTTTTGAAAGTGTCAAGTATCATAATAAAATAGAGAGTTAGATTCAAGCAAATGGTATAAGACAAGACATAGATGAGACAGGATGTAGTGGTTCAAGGACATTGAGTACATTGGCTCCACTGAGGAGCATAAGGATCTAAAATATTTTGGGGGAGTTGTCAGGGCTGTAAATGATTGATTAGGAAATCTTGGCTTTTGTAGACACTAGATGACATTGAAGACAACATGGCTTCAACTTTAATGATTTGAGGTCGAGGCAAAGGCCCTATAATCGTGATGAATAGTAAATTATCACCCATTTCTTAATGATAACAAGTCAGTAAATGCAAATGGAATTTGGTTGCAAATAAAACCAGCATGAGACAAACACAAAAGGCCCTGTGGGATTATAGCTGATGTTCTGTGGTAGTGAAAACTTGTTGGCTCTTGTTTACCTCTTCCATAGCTCTTTCACTGGGTTTTTATCCCTGAGTTATGTTGGGTCTAGCCTTTTCAAATGAATATGAAGGAGAGAAGGTCTTAAAACCTAGTTTTTTTGCTTATGAAATTGTATAACATATGTAAATATGTCAGTTTTTTTTTTCTGGCCAATGGAGAGCACTTTGAGTTATAGACAGTTTTATTCACACTGAAAAACTGGGCCACCTTGATGTCATAATGATAATGACATGGTCTTCTCAGCTTCTCAATACTCAGTAAAATTGTGAAGATGGATTTTAGCATTGTCAACTCTGAAGTTTTGTTTGGTAACACCATGGGTAATGTGTATCTGAAAGTCAATGTACACTGATTGTGTCTGATGTAAGGCAGTCAAAGTGAGATGTACACTTGGCACAGGTAGAATATACACATTGTGTGTGTACATGTGTTTGCTTTCAAAATCAAGTTATATTCTAAAGTTTAACAGTCTTGTAATCTTTTCTTTTTCGAAGGATCTTCTTAAAAAATGCTACTCTGCCAAGGCATCTTACCTCTTCCAGCAGGATAAATTCTATGATGTGAGCTATGACACAGGAGACAAGTCTATCCAGTGTAGCAGAAGACCAGATGCATTCAAGTTCTGGATGACCTGGAAGGCCCTGGGTACATTAGGCCTTGAAGAAAGAGTTAATCGTGCTCTTGCTTTATCTAGGTACTAGCCTCTCTCTCTCTCTCTCTCTCTCTCTTTCTGTGTGTGTGTGTGTGTGTGTGTGTGTGTGTGTGTGTGTGTGTGTCTATCTGTGTCTGTAATAGGAAGACCTAAGGAAAGTAATACTTGAAATGTGTTGCAAGTACATGTTTTCATTTGTGCATTATTTCATCCAATACACATTTTCTCAGTACCTACTAAGTGTTAGGAATTATGAACAGAGCAGTCCTATCACCTCCCTCCAAGATCCTAGCCTACTGAGATGCACAAATGACCCTCATTTTTGGCAAGGTGAGGTATAGAGTCCAAGATCAATCAGGAGGGCTTCTCTAGTGTGTTCTTGAGGCACACTGGCAGAGGCTCCTTGGAGGAAGTGACTTTCAACTGAGATCTAATGAAGAGAAGGTGGTATTGTTTGACTCTGTGTCCCCACCCAGATCTCATCTTGAATTGTATTCCCGTAATTCCCAGGTGTTGTGGGAGGGACCTGGTGGGAAATAATTTGAATTATGGGGGCTATTTTCCCCATACTGCACTGATAGTGAATAAGTCTCACAAGATCTGATGGTTTTATCAGGGGTTTCTACTTTTGCATTCTTCCTCGTTTTCTCTTGCTGCTGCCATGCAAGAAGTGCCTTTCGGCTTCCGCCATGAATTGAGGCCTCCCCAGCCATGTGGAACTGTAAGTCCAATTAAACCTTTTTCTTCCCAGTCTTGGGTATGTATTTATCAGCAGCATGAAAACAGACTAATATGGTAAATTAGTACCAGTAGAATGGGGTGCTGCTGAAAAGATACCCAAAAATGTGGAAGCGACTTTGGAACTGGGTAACAGGCAGAGGTTGAAATAGTTTGAAGGGCTCAGAAGAAGACAGGAAAATTCAGAACTTCCTAGAGACTTGTTGAATGGCTTTGACAAAAATGCTGATAGTGATACGAACAATAAGGTCCAGGCTGAGGTAGTCTCAGATGGAGATGAGGAACTTGTTGGGAACTGGAGCAAAGTTGACTCTTGTTACGTTTTAGCAAACAGACTGGCGGCATTTTGCCCCTGTCCTAGAGATTTGTGGAACTTTGAACTTGAGAGAGATGATTTATGGTATCTGATGGAAGAAATTTTTAAGCAGCAAAGCATTCAAGAGGTGACTTGGATGCCATTAAAAGCATTCCCTTTTAAAAGGGAAACAGCATCAAAGTTCAGAAAATTTTCAGCCTGACGATGCAGTAGAAAAAACCCATTTTTTGAGGAGAAATTCAAGCTAGCTGCAGAAATTTGCCTAAGTAACAAGGAGCTGAATGATAATCCTCAAGACAATAGGGAAAATGTCTCCAGGGCATGTCATAGGTCTTCATGGCAGTCCCTCCCATCAGACCCAGAAGCCTAGGAGGAATAAATGATTTCATGGGCCTGGGGACACACAGGGTCCCCAAGCTGTGTGCAGCCTACAGACTTGGTGCCCTGCATCCCAGCTGCTCCAGCCATTGCTAAAAGGGGCCAAGGTGCAGCTCAGCCCATGGTTTCAGAGGGTGCAAGCCCCAAACCTTAGCAGCTTCCATGTGGTGTTGAGCATGTGGGCACACAAGTCAAGAATTGAGGTTTGGGAACCTCCACCTAAATTTCAGAAGAGGTATGGAAACCCCTGGATGCCCAGATAAAAGTTTGCTGCAGGGGAGGGGGCCCTCATGGAGACCCTCTGCTAGGGCAGTGTGGAAGGGAAATGTGGGGTCAGAGCCCCCACACAGAGTCCCTACTGGGGCACTGCCTAGTGGAGCTATGAGACAAAGGCCACCATCTTCCAGACCCCAGAATGGTAGGTCCACTGACAGCTTACACTGTGTGCCAGCATGTGAAAGCAGCCATGATGGGGGCTATACCCTGCAAAGCCACAGGGGTGGAGCTGCCAAAGGCTATGGGAACCCACCTCTTGCATCAGCGTGACCCAGATATGAGACATGGAGTCAAAGGAGATCATTTTGGAACTTTAGAATTTGACTGCCCTGCTGGAATTCAGACTTGCATGGGTCCTGTAACCCCTTTGTTTTGACCAATTTCTCCCATTTGGAATGGCTGTATTTACCCAATATCTGTATCCCCATTGTATCTAGGAAGTTACTAGCCTGCTTTTGACCTTACAGGTTCGTAGGCAGAAGAGACTTGCCTTGTCTCAGATGAAACCTTGGACTGTGGACTTTTGGGTTAATGCTAGAATGAGTTAAGACTTTAGGGGACTGTTGGGAAGGTGTGATTGGTTTTGAAATGTGAGCACGTGAGATTTGGAGGGGCAAGGGGCAGAATGACATAGTTTGGCTCTGTGTCCTCACCCAAATCTCATCTTGAATTCTACTCCCATAATTCCCAGATGTTGTGGGCGGGACGCAGTGGGAGATAATATGAATCATGGGGGTGGTTTCCCCCATACTGCTGTCATGGTAGTGCATAAGTCTCACAAGCTCTGATGGTTTTATCAGGGGTTTCTGCTTTTGCGTTTCTTTTTCTCTTGCCACTTCCACGTAAGAAGTGCCTTTTGCCTCCCACCATGATTCTGAGGCCTCCTCCAGCCTCAGGGAACTGTGGAACTATAAGTTCAATTAAACCTTTTTCTTCCCAGTCTCGGGTATGTCTTTATCAGCAGCGTGAAAACAGACTAAAACAGAAGGGGAGAAGAATGACCCAAGTGGAAGGAGCAGCAGGCCCAAGTCTCTGGATGTGAGGTGACACAAAAGTCTGGATGTGACATTAAGGACCTGAAAAGCAAATGATCTGTGAGTTGTGGCGGCAGCTTAAGTCTCGAAGGGAAAGGCAGTGTGGAAGCACCATGTTTACTTGCCTTGTAGTAAACATTAGAAATAAAATTGTTGTCACACTTTCAAGAACATTAGAAAAGCTCAAGATATAGGTGCCAGACATTGCTACTTGAATAGGACTGAACTGCTAAACTTAGATCAGTGGTGGACAGGCCATAGCCAAATTTAGTTTTAAATGTGTTTTGTTGAGCTTATACTGTTCAAGGTTAACTTTCATGGTGTTAAACATTCAAACATTTCAATATTTGAAATGCTTTTAAAAAAATAAATTTATAAAAAACCTGGATTTTTTGCTTTTCTCAAAGCTTAGAATGCTCTCAATCCCACATGGTAACAACTAGCTGAACATGATGATGCCTGACTCTGGAAAAACACAGTCCCTATCATTTCTTACAGTTTAAAAAACAAAAAAAAAACAAAAACAAAACAAAACAAAACGCAAAAAACAAATCTAGCCTAATAGCATAGAGGTACAGACAACCTGGATTCAAGACCTAAATCCTGTGTGACTGGGGCAAGTTTCTTAGTCTCTCTGCACCTCAGTTTTGTCCCAGGAAAGTGATAATAACACGTATCTCAAACAGTTACTGTAAAGATTAAAGGAATTGATACATGTAGAACACTTAGATCAATGCCTGGGATGTCCTACATGCTATTTAAGTTTTAGTTATTATTTACTTAACTGCTTGGAAAATCATGTAGGACCTTCTTAGAGATTTATAGCAATTTCTTCTTTCTATACTGGGAGTAGTGTGGGTATTCTGAGCAACAAGCTGTCTGAATGTGTTAAAACAACAATTGTTTTCCCCCTAGAGGTCTAAATGTTGGCTAGCATGACTTTATACTTTATATCATATCACAGCAGCTGGGGTGTTTGAGTCTACTCGCCACGTCTTTCATATTCCTTGATCAGCATACTAGCCAGCGCATTCTTGAGATGGCCATGACAGAAGGCCAAGAAGGCAAACCAATTATGTAAGCCCACTTTAAACTCCTGATTGTATTATATCTGTAGCTGATTGCGTTATAATACTCCTTTGGTCAAAGAAAATCATATGGCTAAACCCAATGTGAGGAGGTGGGAAGTGCCCTCTGCCTTTTAGCAGGAAGAATTGCAAAGTTACATAGCAAAGGGCTTGGATATAAGGACAGGTAAACACATGGCTTTGGCATTTTCAGAAGACTTTTAGAAGTCAGTAATTCTGGTGATTATGGGTATGAAGTAGTTTGAAAAACCTGTGAATACTATATGAGGACTCTCGGTAGTAAGCGATGGAAACATTAACTCAAGGTATTATAAACAAAGGTAATTTAAGGCTTTTAAGACTAGTGTAGTGATGACTTTCAGAAGGCTTGGTCTAGGTGCTTCAACAGTATCAGCAGTCCTCAGTCTCTCTGCATCTTTCAGTTCTGCTTTCCTTCAGGTTGGGTTTATTCCTATGGAGGAAGATGGATGCAAAGAGTGTCAGATCTATATTCTTTCGGGTTCAAGTTTAAGATCAAAAAGATAAAGTACTCCTCTCTCAACAATCCCGAGGAAAGTTTAATTATTTGAGAGTGAAGTAAATATCCATCTCTGAATCAGTCATGGTTTCCAGGGCAATGTGATGCTCTCAGTAGTAACGATGATTCACCTGCTCTCTCTCGGCACTGGGGAGTGTGTCAATTCTTCTTATAGAATGTGTACTGATCCTAGATGAAGGTACCTTTGTTAGAGATAGGGTTGAAGTGCTTCTATTAGAAGTGGGGAGATAACCCAGTGGTGAAAAAACAAGACAGTCTACGGTCTACCATAAATTATTTATAGCTGCTCACTAAATTAGAAGTCCAGGAAGCTCTGTTCCCTTTTTGTGGATTTTCTTGCACTATTTAAATGGGGTAGAATCTCTGCATTATTTTGTCTAAGCTTTGAAATAATTCAATGGGAGGTGTCTTGAAATAAGGTTATAGATATTTTATGATTGTATTTATTATAAAGTTAACATTCATCTCAGGGTGGAATTTAGTTTACAGTCTAAGAATACTTTCTAATTTCTGCAGAGAAATATCACAGGAGGATAAATGTTAACATTTCAATTCAATTCAACAAACACTTATTGTTTGTAAATGTTTGTCAAGTTGAATTGAATTAACATTTTAGTGAGCATTGCTGCAGACTGTGACCTATGTTTAAGTATTTGAAAAATAATCCCTCCTCTTTCCTGCTGTTACTCATAATAGTTTTTTTGCCTTAACTTTCCACACTCTTGATATCCAACAGTCTATTCCTGGGGTGGGCAAAAGTCTACCTCCAATGCCAAGGAAAAGGGCAGAGTACTTTGAGGCATGTAATTTGGTATGAATGTGAAATTATAAAACTTGGAAAGAGTTTCTCTAGAATTAAGATTTATAGTAAATTAGCAACAGAAGGGCTTTATTTTCATGATTTCTTTCTTTTCAAATTACTGATTCATTTGTAGTTCTGCTTTTTAGGAAAGATAGAATATTTTTCTCAATTCTGGGGTCTATTCTGTTTGCTTAAGCCTATATGCAGTGGTATGGCAGTAAATTTTCTTTCAGAAGTTAAAGAAAGCCCCAGTTTGTAGTGTCTGCCAATTTTCATGGTGTAAATATTTCTGTCATAGCAAATTGCAAGCTACCAATGGTTGTAGTTGAGGAAATTCCTGAATATTTAACAGTGGACTCTCAACCACTACAAAGTAGCTCTAGAACACCACTGGTTCTGTGAGTCATAATCTTAACTCTTCCAGCTATAATCGTAACTCTTTCAGTCTTCTAACCATGTGCATAATGTGAAGTAGCATAATCTGTTCAAACCACCGACAGGGTCAAGATATTTCCCATGAAGCCCACTGATGCCCAGCAACTTGCTTCAGAGTTTACCAAATCAAAAGCATTTCACCCATGGTTGGAAGGCTCCACCTGGAATAATTCTAAGTTACAGAAACATTGTTTTGTTTCCAAGAAGCGTAACTTCTTTCAGTAGATAACTCCAGCAAAGTAAAGCTGCACGTGATGATTGTTTTAGTATTTGAGGAGCACGTTATTGGCAGGCTCTTATAGCTAAAATATCCACTTCCCTAGGCCCTAGGGTCAGGTCTCTAAAATACTGGAAAAGCTGTGCAACTCTTTTCCTTTGATAATGATACAGGAAGAATTACACTGATTCCATAGAAATAATGTTTCCATGTTCCTGAATCTAAATGGAGCTTAACTTTGAAGTTTTTATATTGACTAAGATTTAAGGATGAGATTTTGATAGACCAATGATCACTGCACCGATCAGATAGCCCTCTTCATATTCCCCTGGGAAAGTAAGAGCAGACACTTTCAGGAGGACAATGATTCCAATTTTATGGGTTGTCAGAAATTTAGCAAGGAAAAATTTAGTGCCTAGGAGACCTCTAAGGCTTTTCCTAATTTCCATTTGACCCTGTCAACCCAATTGAAGAGAGAACATTTCTCCCAGAAAATATTAATTACTAAAATGCTTTTGTTTTTCTTTGGTTCGAAAATCAGTGACACTGAGAGCCTAAAGCAACATGTGATTACTGGGCATAATTGAAACCCAGGGGGCTCAGGTTTAAAACTACCACTATGGCACAAAGCCAGTGACTGTACATTTCTGATATCTGCCTAGGAAAGTAAAAAATGTTTTACTATACAAGGTTACCTGTTGCTGAGGGCACCTTCTAGGCCTTTGTTATGGCATTCAGGTTAAATGGATATCCACTAAGGGATTTTTCAAGCAGGCTAGAAGAGTCATGTCTAAGTCTTTTCAACAACAAACAGCTCAGGAACTCCCACTCTGCTACTTTGTTTGGTCTCCAGAGTATCATTTATCTATCTATTCCCTTGACACACAATCTCTGCAATCTCTCAAATGGAAATCATTTCATAGACTTGCATGGATACCGAGGGGTGTATTGTTATCAGTATGGAAAAGGTGAGCAGTTACACAATGGTGCTTTTGTGCCAGTGTATTTCTCTAGGTGATGGGAGGTACAGAGTCTGGAAGACTAGGGAACAGTCTTTGTTTTCATTTTATCTTTATATTGGTGATCTTTTTAAAAGTTACAATTACAGTAGAATAGAGCACGTGGGTGTCTGTGATGAATTCCACAAGTCATGTGACATGTGCTGATCTATGCAGAGCATACGGAAAGCAGATGGAAAAATCTCAGGAGTTCTGGGAGGCTCAATGCATCAGAAGAGATTTCAAATGAGAAGATGAGACTAGGAGAGAAACTTGGTCCAAAATGGTTCAGGGAGGCGCTAAGCGGCTGCTGAAGTAAGAAAGGGACTGGAGAGGCTATTTGCAGAGAGGAAAGAATGTCTTGCAAAAGGACAAGAAAAATAAAAACAAAGGGGGAGATTTATATAACCCAATCAGAACTGAGATTCTTTGTAAGGAAGAAAAATTGTTTTGCAGCAAGTTTATCATTAATGCATATGCCAAGATCAAGCCAGAATACTAATATGTTCTTACCCCACAGTAGGATTGGTGAAAACTCAATATGTATTTTTTTCTCTCTTTTATGCCAAGGTTAGTGGAAAGGACAAAGAGTTTCATGAAGTTATTACTGCTTTTCGAGTCCACTTACTTGAATGCCTTTTGATAGTAGTTTATGGTTTCTGCATTATGTCCCCAAACTGAACGTACTTTTTTTCCGGCTTGCACCATGTATAAGATTAGTTTATTAAATGTATTTTGTCTTTAGGCTGTTTTCATATATTGAAAAAAAAGTTACGAGGAATAAGTCATCCCTAGAAACATAAGCAGAGGTGACTTAAAACATTTTGGCTTTCCTTCCAACAACACATTTCATTTAAGCATTTATTTAAGAAGAGGATAGGGTACTTTTTAGTAGAAACACTTATAAACCAGCATTTGTGAAAGTATGCTGTGGCCAGTAGACTTCCAAGAGATCTTAATAGATCATCCCTCAAAAAATAGTTCCATGGTTAAATGTGTCTGGGAGATGCTAACTACTATATTATTCCTCTCCTAGAGATTCGAAGTACTCATTAGGATATTTAAAACTTTGAGAGGGCCTGTAATATAGAAGCATTTTTTAACTTTAATCAATATGCAGACACTGTTGATTTGCTCACCAAGGACCATTCTCTCTTGCCTGTAGAACCTTGATTTTGTTCACGTAGCAATGTTCAATCTGGGAACATTGGTTTAGTCAGCCATCTTCCCCAATTATTAGTTTAGGGGAGGGTATGTGGCTCAGTCAACAAGATACTGTGAAGACTTCTGGGGAAAATATTCTTACCTAAATAGAACTTAAAGTGCTTTTGCTATAGCCCCCTCTGCTCTTCGGACACTGCTGTATAAGGATGGGACATATGGAGCTGTAGCAGCTGTCTTGTGAACATGAGAGGAAACCTCCCTAACACAGAGCATGGCTAGCTGAAATTAAATAACTGGTTCCTGATATTATTGAACAATCCAACCAGCTTGACAAATGGCCTTATGAATTAAGGCAAGTATAGTTTTCTGTTGGAGAAGATCTTGCTCTGTCACCTAGGCTAGAGTGCAGTGGTACAATTATGGTTCACTGCAACCTCCACCTCCCAGGCTCAAGTGATCCTCCTTCCTACCTCAGCCTCCTGAGTAGCTGGGACCACGGATGTACACTTCTACACCCGGCTAATTTTTGTATTCTTTGTAGAGATGGGGTTTCACCATGTTGCCCAGGCTGGTCTTGAACTCCTGGACTCAAACAATCTGCCCACCTCAGCCTCCCACAGTGCTAGGATTATAGGCATAAGCCACCATGCCTGGCCAAGTGTACTTCTAAGCATAGACAAAAATCAATCTAATTGATATGCCTAGCAGTGTTCAAACTTATTTGATAGTGGGACTTTTTATGTGGAAAACCTATTAAGGTGGTATACCACGGATCACAGTTTGAAAACTCTGGTGTAAGACCTTTGTTATAGTAATAGCTGCATCTCCTCTTGCCTCAAAATCACCTCTACTTTCAACTCAGCTGGAGTGTTACACTGGGTGTATCAGTCCGTTCTCATGCTGCTAGTAAAGACATACCTGAGACTGGGCAATTTATAAAGAAAAAGAGGTTCAGTGGGCTCACAGTTCCATGTGGCTGGGGAGGCCTCACAATCATGGCAGAAGGTGAAAGGGGAGCAAAGGCACATCTTACATGGCAGCAGGTAAGAGCATCTGCAGGGGAACTGCCCTTTATTAAACCATCAGATCCTGAGAGACTTATTCACTGTCATGAAAACAGCATGAGAAAACCCACCCACATGATTCAATTACCTCCTACCAGGTCCCTCCCATGACCCATGGGGATTATGGGAGCTACAATTCAAGATGACGTTTGAGTGAGGACACAGCCAAACCATATCACTGGGCTTTACAGGCTCTGAAAGTGACTGCGATAGGAACATTACCCCAACACAAAGCCCAGATCTACATGGTTAGCAAAAAGAGTTTTAACAGAAATAATTCAGCTCTGTTTTAGGATGCCTTTCCTCTAGGAGCACATTTAGCCAGTTTGACAAGCATTTTAAAATGATACTATGGTTAATACATGCAAGTTTTGTGTAGCCATAACTTGTAAGGGAAGGATTTTACCAATTTTTTTGTACATCTTTACGTGCATGAGGAAGTGGAGGCAGGCTCAGGAAGGCTTAGGAATTTGCCTAGACTCACAAAGTTATTTAGCTGCACAATTAGAATCTTCTAAAGTTATTCCCAAGATTTCTGGAGAAAGCTTTCTTCATAGGCTCAGTTCAGGATGAAATCATAACAAGCTTTTGAGTTAACAGATTGCCAGTACATTTGTGCCTGAAAAGGGAGAAAAAGGATGGTTCACAAAGCTTTTCTCCTATAGGTAGGAAGTATATTCATCTATTTGTTTTGTATTTTTAAGTTCTTTTTCAAAAACTATATAAGTAACCACATGTATGAAACTTTGAAAGGAGATATAAAAAGGGAATGGAAAACCACACACCCTCATTGCATCTTGTTTCCCCCTCCCTCAGGTAAACAATTTATGACGTATCCTTCCATACTTTGTATATACATGTGGATAGAGATTTAAAAAAAAAAAGTGTAAAAATTGAATCAAATCATCCCCATTTCTCAGAACCTCACTTTTATCTTTTACTAATTTATCATGATCATCCTGTGCTTTAAGTGGATATAATTCATTCATTTTAATAGCTGCATATTACATTATGTTGCTATAGTCCGCATTTTAATTCCCTACTTATGAATATTAATCTTGTTTCTAGTTATTTTGTATGGAATATACCTATATACCCACAGTACAGACATTTAGATAGTACATATAAATATATGTGCACATATATGCTGTTATATCTATCCTTGATATTGATAACTTTTTTCTTTGTAGACCAGCATTTCAAAACTGGTTTGCTTGATAAGATATGAGTATTACTTAAAAGGTTTATAGCAACTTTCTATCATATTCTTACCACCACTGGATGTTGTCACTCTAAAATTTATTTCTGGTATCATTGGGAAACATGGTTAATACAGGAAATACTTCATTTTATGTGCTTAACCTTATTTTCCAGATATTGTGTTTTGGGGGTTTTGTTGTTTTTACAAATTGAGGGCTTGTGGTAATCCTGCATGGAGCAAGTCTATCAAGTGCCATTTTCCCAACAGCATGTGCTCACTTCATATGTCTGTGTTATGTTTTGGTAATTCTCATAATAAAAATGTTTGAGTCATCAGTTCTGTTTGATGTTACTGTTGTAAATTGTTCTGGGGCTCCATAGAATGCACCCATAGAAGCTGGAAAACTTAATATTGAGTGTGTTCTGACTGCTGTCCAACTGGCCATTCCCATCTCTCTCCTCTTCAGGCTTTCCAATTTCCTGAGACACAGCAATATCAAAATTAGGCCAACTAATAACTCTACAATGGCCTGAGTGTTCAAATGAAAGGAAGAGTCACATGTCTGTCACTTCAAATAATCTAGAAATGGTTAAAGCTTAGTGAGGATGGCATGCCAAAAGCCAAGACAGACAAAGTTAGGCCTCTTTTGCCAAATAGCCAAGTTATGAATGCAAAGGAAAAGTTCTTGAGGGAAATTAGAGGTTCTACTTTAGTGAATACATGAATAATAAGAAAGCGAAACAACTTTATTGCTGCTATGAAGGTTGTAGAGTTCTGGATAGATCAAAGCAGGCATGACATTGCCTTAAGCCAAAGCCCAATTCAGAGCAAGACCCTAACTTTCTCCAGTTCTATGAAGGCTGAGAGAGGTGTGGAAGATGAATAAGGAAAGTTGGAAGCTAGCAGAGGTTGGTTCATGAGGTTCGAGTGCAGAAGCTGTCTCATAACATAAAAGTGCAAGTTGAAGCAGCAAATGCTCATGGAGAAACTGAGCAAGTTATGCTGAAGATCTAGCTAAGATCACTGAAGAATGTGGCTACATTAAACAGGTTTTCAATGTAGGCAAATCAGTCTTATATTGGAAGAAGCTGCCACCTATGAGTTTCATGACCAGAGGGAAGTCAATGCCCGTCTTCAAAGCTTCAAAGACAGGCTGAATCTATTGTTAGGAGCTAATGCAGCTGGTGACTTTAGGTTGAAGTCAATGCTCATTTACCATTCTGAAAATTCTAAGACTCTTCAGATTTACGCTAAACTTACTCTGCCTGTACTCTAAGTGGAACAAAGCCTGTGACAGCACATCTCTTTATGGCATGGTTTACTGAATATTTGAAGCCCACTGTTGAGACTTGAGACTTACTGCTCAGAAAAAAAGATTCTTTTCAAAATATTACTGCTCATTGACAACGCACCTAGTAACTCAAGAGCTCTGATGGAGATGTACAAGGAGATTAATATTGTTTCCATGCTTGCTAACACAACATTCATTTTACAGCTCATGGATCAAGGAGTAATTTAGACTTTCAAGTCTTATTTAAGAAATGTGTTTTGTAAGGCTATAGCCGTGATATCAGTGATTCCTCTGATAGATCTGGGCAAAGTGAATTGAAAATTTTATGGGTTTACCCTTTTATACACCACTGAAAACACTGATGACTCATAGGAGCTCAAAATACTAATAATGGGGATTTAGAATAAGTTAATTCCAACTCTCATGGTTGACTTTTAGGGGTATAAGACTTCAGGGAAGGAAGTCACTGAAGATGTGGTGAAAACAGCAAGAGAAATAGAATTAGAAATGAAGCCCAAAGATGTGACTGAATTGCTGCAGTCTCATGATAAAACTTGAATGGATGAGGAGCCTCTTCCTATGGATGAGCAAAGAAAGTGGTTTCATGAGAAGAAATCTACTCAGTGAGCATGTTGTGAATATTGTTGAAAGGATAACAAAGGATATAGAATATTACATAAACTTAGTTGGCAAAGCAGCAGCAAGGTTTGAAAGGATTGACTAATTTTGAAAGAAGTTCTGTTGTGGGTAAGATGCTTTCAAACAGCATTGCCTACTACAGAGAAATCTTTTGTGAAAGCAGAGTCAGGCAATGTGGCAAACTTCATTGTTGCCTTATTGTAAGAAATTGTCCCAGCCACCCCGACCTTCAGCCTTTTGATCAGTCAGCAACCAACATCAAGGCAAGACCCTCCAGCAGCAAAAAGATTACAACTCACTGAAGTCTCAGATAATCCTTAGCGCTTTTTAGCAATAAGGTATTTTTAGTCACGGCATGTGCATTGTGTTTTAGACATAATGCCATTGTAAACTCAGACTACAGTATACTGTAAATGTAACCTTTATATACACTGAGGAACTTTCCTGCAGCATTCACTTTATTGTAGTGTTCTGGAACCAAACCTACAATACCCCCGAGGGATGCCTATATTGTTTTAATTTGCACTTCTTTGATTATTACTGATTTTGAATAACTTTTCTGATATCTGTTGAGCAATGGAATTGCTTTTTATGAAAGCTAGCCAGTGTGATAGATGGTTTAAAAACTTTATAGCTACATGTCTTCTGAAAAAGTGTTCAGAGAATGGCATATGTAGAACATCTGGTACTTTGTGAGCATACGTGCCCATGTGTATGCTCACGTTATCGCTCAAGGATTCCCATATTACTAGTTAATATTGACAATTTTTAATACAATTGCATATAGATAATATCTTTGAAATATACAAACATCAATATTTTAATATAAAAAGCTGTATAAATTTGCAAAAAGGAACATCTTAAAAACTAGTGTATTCCATATTCACATTATAGAATGGCCTTCCTAAAATGACGTAATAATCCCTTTCCAGTTTTTATAGTCTGCATTTATGTTTATTATTTTAAAAAACCATTTCAAATTGAAGAAGATTGTATTAGTCCAGTTTTACAGGTAAGAGACTTGAGGCCCAAGAGGAGCATGGTTGTGTCTTTAAATATTAGTTGAATATTTATGATTTAGTGACATGATCATAGGATCATAACTATTACTGGAATCTAGTTTTCAAAGGCATTCCTGATGTTCGGTGTGATTTTTTGCTATTATATATAAAAATCACAATAAATGCTCTGACAAACACATTTCTGTCAGCGTCTCTATTATTTCCTTATGTTTGAGTCCTAGATTTGAAGTACTGGGTCAAGTGTTGTGAATATTTCAAAGGCTCGTGAATCACTAGTTTTCAAGGCCAGCCATTTCAGACTTCTCTTTTGGTACAGACAAAAGCCAAGCCTAGAAGAGAGGAGTCAATATTATATAGGGCACCATGTTCTCAATGTTGTTTTAGTCTTTTCTCACTCATATTCCATATTTCATCTATGCCCTTTACTTAGGTGTGACAATTCTCTTTCCCCCAACATTCAAAATGACTTTATAGATATTATATCAATGGCTACAGCCCACTTTTTTCCCCTCATATTCAGGTAATTTTTTTTCTTGTATTTTTTAAGTTTTGGGGTACATGCGCAGGATGTGCAGGTTACCTAGGTAAACATGTACCACGGTTGGCTGCACTTAACCCACCACCCAGGTATTAAGCCCCACATGCATTAGCTCTTTTCCCTAATACTCTCCCCTCATCCTCCCCTGACAGGCCCTAGTGTGTGTTGCTCCCCTCCCTGTGTCCATGTGTTCTCACTGTTCAGCTCCCACTTATAAGCAAGAACATGCAGTGTTTGGTTTTCTGTTTCTGTGTTAGTTTGCTGAGGATAATCAGCCTACTTTTAACATGATACTGATTATCAGTCCTCCTCTCTGTGCTGGACTTAGAAAAGATTATGTTGATCTTTCTTGATTTTAAGTGAACTTACAAGCAGGATTAGACACCAAAAACAAAACAAAACAAAACAAAAAACTCTTTCCTCCAAGCCAGCTATTTAATGTAAGTACCTATGGTTAAATCCCCCATTTACAGTATGAATGTAAGACCCACATGTTCAGAGATATATATCCAGCCTGCTTTATCTGGCTTTTCACACCAGGGTTAAAGCCTGATGCTAACATGTGAGATAGATATCATCATCAAAAAGATGCATCCTTTTACTCAGGCCAAGGAAATTACAGTAGGTCTGGAGTATTTATCTATCCATAGCTCTGCCTGTTCCTTGACCTTTATCTGTATCTTTCTTATCTCCAAGCCCTGTCTGAATCAGTTTTGTCATATCAGTCATGTTCATGACACTTTTACATTGCAGATTATAAATATTATTGTGACTTTTAATTTTAGGTACCTAGTAGATGAAATCAAGAAAAGAGAAGGATTCAAGTTACTGATGGAAGTAAGTGATTGCATAATTGTGCTTGTGATTTTGTCAGTTAACAGTGATGAAGGTGGTAATTTTCTTATCTGTTATATGTTTCATTGGTTTTTGTGTTGCAGAGTTAAAAACAAGTCATTAGCTTAATTCATAGTCTATTATGTTAATTTACTCTATTAGTGAGTACTTTTCCTTTGTTGGATTCACAGAATATACTTGCCTTTAAGTATTGAAAATTAAAATGCTCAATAATAATTACCAAGGATAATATTGAATAAATTATGACCTCTATCTTGGTATATAAATTGCATGATTGTACTGCAAATATTCATCTGTGATGTAGTGGTGCCTGCATGTGAAAAATCAATTAAGTGAATGTACAGTACTGCATACAGTTTTCTCTTTTTATAAAATAATGAGCATATTAGCTTTGGAGCAATGGGAAAATAAGTCATTTTGCTGATGTTGGATTGTTTGCTATGTGTAAGAAATTAGGTGGTTACAAATGTAGAGAATATTTTTTTCTAAAACATGTTTAGAAAATATAAATATTTAATGTGTAATTCTGGTTTTTAAGAAATATAAATTGCAAACTTCTTAGATTTTGTTATAGTATATGTATTATAGCAGTTTTTAACCTAATGTAAAAATAACCTAGAGATTCCAGTCTTGGAACCTGTGCTATACATAAGAAATGTAGCTGGCTAGGCACAGTGGCTCACGCCTGTAATTCCAGCACTTTGAGAGGCCAAGGCAGGCATCACAAGGTGAGGAGTTCGAGACCAGCCTAACATGGTGAAACCCTGTCTCTACTAAAAATACAAAAATTAGTCGAGCGTGGTGGCTCATGCTTGTAATCCCAGCTACTCGGGAGGCTGAGGCAGGAGAATTGCTTAAACCTGGGAGGCGGTGGTTGCGGTGAGCTATCGCGCCATTGCACTCCAGCCTGGGCAACAAGAGTGAAACTCTGTCTCGGGGGGAAAAAAAAAAAAAGAAAAAGAAATCTAGCTTTTTTGGTATTTATTCAATAAGATGCATTGAACAATTACTATGTCATGCATGGTTCTAGGCACAGGAGATAGAAAACAGAAAAGGTCCCCCAATTTCATGTTTACATTCAAGTGGAAACTGAAAGGCACTAATTAAGCAAATTAATTAACAGGGAAATCAGGTAGTCTTAAAACAATAAAACATGTTCATGAGATAATCTAGTATACAAATAATTAGACAGGTTATAGATATAGTACTGTACTGGGGGGAAAAGTGTAGAATGCTGAAATGGGGACGGCTTATTTGGTTTGAGTAATCTGGGTAGGGGATTTTAAGGTTATCTTTGAGCTGAGACCTGAATAAAGATAAACAGCAAGCCATGCGGATGTTTGAGGGACAGATATTCTGGCAGAATTGGTAAACAACTGCAAGGCTTAAAGCTGAAGAGAGTTCTGTCTTTGAGCAGCCAAAAAAAGTTGTATTGAATGAAGGGGAGTGTGCAGCAGGTGATGGAATTGCAGAGGTGGGCAGAGACCAGAGCAGGTGGTGGTCAGGTAAGTCAAGGTGAGGCCTTTAGCCTGTATCCCGAATGTAGTCACTGGAGATGTTTTAAGAAGACAGGAGTCTGACTTGCATGTTAAAAGATTATTCTTGATGTCATGAGAAGAGAGGAATGTTGAAAAAGCAATAGTGAAGAGGACAAGAGAAAAATAAGCAAGACAAACTTGGAAACTGTTTTTAGTAGCCAAAGTGAAATATGACAATAGTCCTCAGGGAAGTTTGGGAAATACTTTCCAGAGAATCTAGAGCATGGATTCCCCTAGTATCTACAAAGGAAGCATCAGACTAGAAAGTTCTAAGCTTCCAAAGTGCTAGAAAGCTAGACATATGGAAGATCTTGCATGCATACCAAAATGATTAAAAATTAAACAACTTTCTGGTAGTACTATAAAGACAACAAATTTAGAGTGCGAGAAGTTCTGCAGAACAACCTGGTTTCTTTCAACAGGCCGGTGATGTGAGGAAAACAGAGGGAGTAGTGATAATCTCTTTAGGTTCAAAGAGACCGAAGAGGCATAACCAAATAAGGCATATGGACCTTGTTGAAATCCCAGTTTGAACAAGCCAACTGTAAAAAGTAATTCTTGTAACAGTTGGGGAGTTTTGAATATGAACTGGCTATTAGATGGTGTCAAGGAATTGTCAATTTTGTGAGGCATAATGGCATTATAAACATGTAAGAAAATGTCTATAGTTTTTAGTGGTGGATAGCTAAGCATGTATGGGAGAAACAGCAGTCCTATTTGAATTGAGTTTGATCACTTTATATTTTCTCGGGTTTGAGTTTCCTCTATTTTCTCAATTTGAGTTGTGTTATTTTCTCTGGTGTTGGGAGCTATAGTGCTTATGAAAAGTCCTATACACCTTGAAACTGTACAGTCTTTTGACAGAGCTGGAAGTGATGAGAAAAAAGATGGGCCGATTAAAAAGTTCTTTATATATTCTTCCTAAAGTCTTAGAAAAGAAAAACCACTTACCATCGTCATTAGGAAATTGCAAACACTCATGTCCTTGCAATGAAAGCTAAGGTGGGATTTTAGTCAGCCTTCTGCCCCTGGATTTTTTCATCTGTGGGAGCCAGCTGGCCCACAAGCAGTGCAGGTGGTTTTCTAAATGGTTTTCCAGAATTCCTGGTGTAAGGATTTTTGTATGTGATCTGCATTTGCCGCTTTTCTTTTTATTACACTGAGAATAAAGCAGAATTAGACCCTGAATGTCACATATAAAGTTGATAGTCTTTTTGCTTATATGCATTTGTATGTCTATATATGTATATGTACATGTATTTGAGAGAGTATGTGTCACTGTTGTCTAACAGCAAGGAGAAAGTGGAACATTGGAAATTGTAAGTGAACATAACAAGACAATACCCAGTACTTGAGTATTTTTTCCTGGAAAGAATAAAAATAACTTTCAATCATCTTCAAGAAATGTATTATTTTAAGTGAATTCTGAATTATTCATAGGCCCCTGAAAATCATCTCTATTTTTCTGTGTTGGATCTAAGATCTAATAGATGTTTTCCTAGAGGTATATTCATTCTTACACTGTCAATTCACATATTTTATTTTTTATCTCTTGGGAGAGTCCTAATTATTCAACTTTTTCTTTTCTCAAGGTCTACACTAGGAGGAGTTATTAATGTTTCATCAACTGAGTTATAGAAGATCTTCGAGGACATATAGTCAACTTCCTGCACAATGCAGCAAACCTGTCTTAATGTATCTGTTAACAGGTGGTCAACCTGTGATTGAATACTTCCTATTTGCAGAGAATTCACTAGTTCATTCCTCTTCCAGATAGCTCTAATTATTCATGTTCTAATAGTGAACCTACTAATATGTATCAAGCACATTGTGATTTTTCTTACATTGTTATCTTGTAATCTAATAAAACTATATAACTACCTCCTAATTGCTAAATCCAAAGCACATTATTTTAATCTTCATCTTGCTGAAATTCTGTAGCATTGTATGTTACCCATTCATCACTCCATCTCTTGATAGTCTCCCCTGTCTTAGTTTCTTTGATTTCCTTTCCCAATTTCTCTTTTCCATGTGACTTGTTCTTTTCAGTCTCCATGTAAGGGACTTTTCATCAGGGCACTCCCTTAAATATTCTTCTAACACTTTGTCTTTGGCCACAGTCTCCCTGAAATGTCTTCACATTCAGAACTTTGTTATCAATAGCCTCTTTGTATGTCTTCATCCTCAACTTAGCTCCTAAACTCCAGGCCTTTGTATATGAATATTTCCTGAAATTTTCACCTAGATGCCACAGACACCTCAAATTCAACATTTCTAAAAACTTAAGTGTAGTATTTTCCTTACCAAAATTCTACTTTCTTCTTTTGGTCATTAGAACTATGATCCACTAACCAAAAATCTTGATGTTTTTACTATCTCCTTTTCTTCCCCGCTAAGTATATCTTGAATGCTTAGTCTTCTCCACTCCCAAAGCCACTGCCTTAGTTCAAGATCTCATCACTCTTCAGGTTGGTACTATCTAGGTACTGTCTGCTAACTTGTGTCCCACTTCCAGTCTTAGATCCCTCCAGCCTAACTGCCACACTGCTGCTAGAGCAGCTTTTCAAAGATGAGATCTATTTCCTATAGTGAAACTCTCCAGTGACTCCATGTTCCTCTAGAATCAAGCCCAAGCTTCCAAGTACATCATACGAGAAGTCCTTCATGACATGACTCCCATCTTCGTTTCTAGCTTCACCTCTCTTCAGTACACCCTGTCCTCTATTCATTCCAAGTTCAGAAAGTGTCATTTTCTTGTCCTGATGCCTAGTCAATATCTATAACATAGAAAGCTTTGCTTATTAATTTGAACAGCTTGGTTACCCCTCGCTGGACATTATTTCTTAATGTTTCCCTTCAAATATAGTACCAAGAAATTAACATAGTGATGTACCTCACTAGTGCACATTTTAATGGAGCTACTCATCCACTTTAAAAGACATCTCTTTTTGCCATTATGGCCCCAAATAATAGTCACTAACTGACCAGTGCTTGCTGTGTGCCAGACACGGTACTAAATTTTGAAAACACGTTTTCTCTTTAATCATCAAACCAACCCTGTGGGGCAGACATCATCTACATTTTATAGTTTAGGAAGCAGAAACAGAAAGTTTGATACTCATCCCAAAGATCTGATGAAGTTGAAATTCAAAGCCACATCCTTGCAACTCCAAAACTTAGGCTTTTTTGCTATCCAGTGCTGCCTTTGAAATTTTTCAATAGTCTAATCTTAACACCTATAAGCTTGAAGTCAATTAAAATTCACCATTCCAGCTTTTCCTTCACTCTATATTTGCATGATTGTTTGAATCTGTGTGCTGGATTCTGCATTTACATTTATTAAAACAGAATAGTGCTAGCTTTAGCTTTTGTTACCTATTATTCTGATCTAATGACATTGTAAAGCAAAGGAGATGAATTTCTTTTGACATAACTCAGTTTTAGAGAACGTGAGCTGCTACCTTAGTGACCACTAATTTCTTTCCCAAATGGTCTCAAAATTTGCTAAATAATTCTTCCTGAAATTGATAAAGAACTTTAGAATGTTTTTTGTTTGAAAACCGGTATAGAATGTATTCATTCTTTAATGGCACATTACTCCTTTATCATGAATTTTTTAAAGATTATGACAATGCACTTGCTGCTCCAGAGTTTTTGTACCCTTCACTAGATACTTGGACTCCTGTAAATACCTTCCTAATTTTGTGGATTTTAGAACATAGACTAAATGTGTTCTCAGGACACCCAAGAAGTCAGACTTTCACATATGTAGGCAATTAAAATTAAGGGGTATACAAATGATTTACTCTGAAAATACTCATTAGTGCTTTGAAGTCTCTTTAAGAATTATGTAAAATACAAGCTACAGAGGCAGAGACAGGAAAAAGTCAAATATATTTTTGCAAAAATTCAAAGACTTTTTCAACTCTTAATTTTGGAAATGACCAAAGCAAAGATATTCCAAATGAAACATCAAATTTCTTCCAATGAAGTGAAGTGTCAGAAGGGCTTTATAAGCTTTCAAATGTTGTAGCACTGAAGCCATTCCATTCTAAAAGTGCTTAGTGATAGACCTTTTGCATTTTTTAGTAAGTTTCTGTTTGGGCAAAAGGAATCAGATCTAAGTCCTAACTTGTAAAATATAGAACCCATAATAGATAAAACATCGTAAACTGTTTTGTAATGTTCCTATGCAAATGAAAGGGAATAACAAATTTGGTGACATATTAGAGTCCACTCAGAAGACAAGAACTGCATGGTAAAGTGGGAAAGTGTAATATCAATAATTATTAGCAAGGGATTGGAGTAATGGAGGATTGCCTCATAGAGAATGAAAAACCTAAAAATGAACAGGAGTAGCTGATATAGAGAGCAGCCACCACACCTGGCACTGAGATAGAGCGCCCAAGGGAGAGTCCATCCCTTCCCAGGACTGAGGTCTAGACCTCTTCAGAGAGAGTATGACCTTGGCTCATGGGATAGCAGAAAAGTTTACTGAGATGTTACATTGGTGGTACTCACTAGAAATCTAGTCTGGAGTGCTGAGCTGAGGGAAGCCATCTACAGGGGCCATGCCACAACTTGGAAATCACTGCAAGCTACCTAGAAGGAGTGCCAGAGAAGTCATCCAAGGCAAGGTGCCTAGCTGGCATCTCTCTCCTTTGAAACCACCTGAGGGGAGTATGCCAGGAAAAGCCATTTATGGGCTCTCCACTTGCTGCCTGTCTGCTGTGATGCCACGTGATGCCACCTGAAAGGGGTGTACTGGGGGAAGCTACTGGGGTAGATGGGTGGGGGTGTACTTATGTTTCTGGTCACCAGTACTGCTGAAATGAACCACAGATTCTGTAGGAGACCCATGAAAGTGAGCACACCACACCAGGAAAGCATTCCTTCCTTCTCCAGTGTCTCTCCAGCACCCTCTGCTGACAAAGTCTAAGATTGGACCACATGTCATGGGAGAAATATCTGCAGAGTCCACCTACATTATTTTAGGACACTCAAAAAGGGTAGATTTCTGGCTGAGAGGCAATAAATTGATAACTGACATAACACAATCTAGTGACAGATAATTACTATATTTTTCTTCTACTTTCTAGTCAGGTATAGTTACTTCATTTGAAAAATGTGTTCACATTAAATGCTCAAAGAATTTGGGAGTTCAGTACAGTCTATCCTAGATAAATCTATTATATTAGGTTGCTGCAAAAGTCATTGTGGTTTTTGCCATTACTTTCAATACTTCAGAGATCCAGGTATAAATTGTGTAGATTTGTAAGAATGACTGTAGTCTCAATAGATGTTTGTGAAAATTGAGTTGAATTACAGTGTTTCATTTTAAACTACTTTTTATTAAGATATGAGATGATGGGTCTTTCCTCTTGATGAAATGCTTTGAAACTTTATATACTGGAGCATAATTCTGACAGTTATTGAGAACTGTTGCAACATTGGTTATTACAAACTGTTTATGGCAGAAAATGAAAATCAGTTCAAATATTGTCAGTGTGAAGCATCAAATGAGGAAGATGCATATGACACAATCTTTCCTGAATACAATTCTATATGTCTAATTTGTGAACCCCCAACATAATGTCCCAGATCTCCTAGTCATTGAGTAGTCATCGCATTTCCTATGTTTTTGTCCAGTGAGGACAAAGCCTTGTCTGCGTGACAAAGGCTGGGCTAAAGCCTGTTACAATACAGTCCCATGTTTAAGCAAGTCATGTCTGATAGAAAAACAGACTGGCAGGGAAGATAACTGGGTTATGATTACTTAGTGTAGATGAGAGTTTCTGATAGAACATAAACTGCCCGCTTCAGAATCACTTGACATGCTTCATAAAATGCCAATTCTTTAGCCTTTTCTAGGATGGACTTAGACATTGGACATTTTGAACATAGGAACCTGAGTTCCTATGAGAATCTACATTTTGAATAGGTCCCCTAGCTAATTCGCACTTTTACTGATATTCGAGAGCCGGGAGTCAAGGTGATGTTCTTTTTTCAAAAGCAGTATTGGCTAGGGTCATAGTAGTGCTGGTTAGTGAAGCCCAAGCAGGTCACGCTGTTATCATCTCACAGGTAATCAAAGCTTTTGCATTTGCCAGGTGTAGGGGCCAACTTTGGCTGCCTTAAGAAGAATTATTGGAAGCCTATGATGGTATAGCAAATAACTTAAGGATCAGTGTTGGAGAGAGAGGATCCAGGGCATCTCTGAGCATGTATGTAAGCAGGCACTAACTGACGATCAGAGCTGGGTTGAGTCAGCTTCAAACTTTACTGTTTTTTCCTGATCTTTGCACATTTAAGATGAAAGAGAACCTGCTAGGTGCACGCTATGGAGTAGAAAATTTTTAAATAGGATGTTATCAAGAAGGCAGAAGGGATTGTTACTCTATAAGATTCTGATGTTAAAATTTTATACACATGATAACTCTTGAAGAAACTAGCTAAGAGTTTTAAAAGTATTTCATTGCATTCTAAGATAAATCTTAAGATAACAACTTTATATTTTTTCTAATTCTCAGCCTGAATATGCCAATATTTGCTTTTGGTACATTCCACCGAGCCTCAGAGAGATGGAAGAAGGACCCGAGTTCTGGGCAAAACTTAATTTGGTAAGTAATAAGTAAATGGTATTTTTCTTTTTGATGAAGTAGATTCAGTGTACATTATCTGTTGATCCTATAAATAAGAGGGCCTAGCAAGCACAGAATTATCTAGAGAAGTGTCTTCTAGTTTGTTAAAAAGTAATGACAGGCCAAACAGTTGTAGACATTGTTTACATTTAACAAATTAACATGGTTGACACACACCCAAAACAATTAGGTTGTCTGTAAGGTAGAAGTTCTGGCTCACAGTGTACTTCAGGAAGTGACATCTGGTCATGGGACACAAGGTTAAAGTTGTGTGATGAATGACTATTTATTTCAACTCTGCTACTGCATCTCTGACTGTTGTACCACCTTACTTGGAAATAATGTTAGAAGTCTAAATCTGATACTTTTTGTAAGCGTGAGACTGTCTTCAACAAAGGCCCTATGTCTTACACCCAAGGGGATTACATAAAAGAAAAGAGATGCTAAGCAGTGGGTTTCAGCTGATCATCGAACAAAATGTGCTTGGAAGTGTCTTCACACACAGCTGTTGGGGCTGATGATACCGTGTGAGGAGAGGCCCCAGGCTCCAGGGACTGCTTGTGTCTCATCTACTCCTCGCCTAGCATGGCCCTGCCAGTTATAATCCTGCCTCTAATCCAGATTTCCAAGCACTATGGAGTCTCGTGAGTAACACTACTTGATCCCACTTTCTGGATGCATGAACATAATGCATACTGAAAGTGAACCCATGGGAGTTTCACTGGGGATTATGTGGCCATGACATGTAGAGTCCAAGTTCTTATGGGCTAGCACCATTAAAATCAGGCAATTCCCTACCTCTTGAGTGGGATCAAGTCAGCACAGCTGACTTTATGACCCTGGTTAGTAAAAGCTCTGACTTGCAAACCCCTCTCCTTACCCTCAGGGGGAAAACGTTTTTTTTTTAAAAGCAATTTTCATTGTCCATAGCCTATTTTCCCCTTAGAAGACAAAAAACAAAAGACTCCCTACTCAGGTAAGCAACAAACATTTGCTGAGTGTCCACTATACTATGCACTGGAAATACAAACATCAAAAGGACGTGTCTCTGCCCTTGAGAAACTCAATATTCCTAGAGACAATGAGTAAAGAGACAATCACAAGGTAACCAAGAAGTACCTGAATGGAGATTAACTGTTTGCAGTGAAAGTAGAGAGAAAGGGTATCTACCCCAATGTGTGATACTAGAGCTGAGTTTTTAACAATAAGCAGATGTCAGTCAGGGGACAATTTTAAAGAAGCAGATTCCAGGAAGAATCACAGCATGAGAACTCAGAGGCTCAAGAGGGGAGAATGTGATTCAAAGACCACAGGGGTGCAAAGAAGCAGTGATGGGAGGTGAGAAGAGTAACAGGCAGAGGGAGGGTCATGGGAGCCTTGCCTTCCACGGCAGAAAGCTTGGGATTTTTGCCCCAGTCTAACTAGAAGGAAGAGGGCAGAACATAGCCTTTAAGTCATGGTCACTGATTGCCTCACTTGGCAGCGTGTCCTTTTAGCTTCAGGTCATTTTCTGTTTATTCATGGCTCAAACCTCCTAACCTGTAACATAATAGATGACCAATACAGAATACACCTCTTATCAAACCCTCTCAGGGAGCAAAGATGTGGAGAGATGGATGGTGTTATATCTGTGCCCTTATCCATTTCAGGCAGGTAGCATAGACTTTGGGGATTTGTCTTGTATTTGTCACACACAAAATAGCAAAGTGCTTAAGAATACATTTCAGATGTTAAGTAACCCATAAAGAGAAACAGGAACTGGACAATGTGAGAATTTAGTGGTGAAGTTTAGAGGAACATTTTTTCACTATGATGGGATGTGGCTGACATTTTTTAGTAGGGTAGAGAAAGAAATTACAAGTTGAGAAAGATAGGGTCACCATTTTTCTCACTAAGCTAGAAATTGTTTACGAAAAACAATGAAGAATGTGATATTTGTGTCTAACTCAGTACTGTTGGACTGACAGGGATTAGAATAACTAGACAGACTCATGTTTGTTTTTAGAGAAATTGAAATTGAGTATGGATATATAAGCTAATCTCAAATACAGAATATAATGCATTTTTTTTTTCCAAGACGGAGTCTTGCTGTCGCCCAGGCTGGGGTGCAATGGCACGATCTCTGCTCACTGCAACCTCCGCCTCTCGGGTTCAAGCGATTCCCACATCCCTAGTCTCCCGAGTAGCTGTGATCACAGGCACCCACCATCATGCTTAGCTGAATTTTTGTATTTTTGTCGAGATGGGGTTTCACCATGTTGGCCAGGCTTTGACCTCAGGTGATCCACCTGCCTCGGCCTCCCAAATTGTTGGGATTACAGGCGTGAGCCACCGCACCCAGCCTGTAGTGCACTTTTTATCTTAATTGGGAATTGAACAGGAATTGGGACATTCTCTTATCCCCAATATTTGCCAAAATGGATGATCATACAGTAAATATCCAGTTTATTTTTTTTACTGTCAGCCATCTTGGACTCTCCATCCCTTAATTTTGGAAATGCTTTTCTGCCATTTACAACCATGGTTTCCCCTTGCCTGATCTAGTAACAACTTCATTTGTTATAGTTGCTACTGAATAGAAAAAATGCATGCTGCAGACAAATTATCACTGGTTCTGAGTTTCTTAATTTCCTATCATTCTCTCCCTGCAAGTCAGGAAGTGTGCATGAATTTGGCAAGGGGGAAGGGAGATTATATATCACATAGTTTATGAGGTTTTATGCTTACTGTAGAATGAGAATACAAGTATATGATTTATAACCTGTAGTGTACTTAAAGCACACTTGAAATTTATTTCAGGGTTTATCTTGGATAGAGAATCACAAATCAAATAAGGCTTTGCCCCTCTGATTCAGACTAACGTCAGGTTGAGCTGTCACATTTCAGAATCGCTGGTGCGATAAATCTTCCATTTGGCGGCAGAAGGGGAGAGGGATTATTTGGTAATGAATCTGGAGAGTTGAAGGGTATGAGCGCATATGTATGCTTGCAAGTATGTGCACGTACGTGAGACTATTTGAGAACACAATCACTGTAGCCTAACAATGCAATGACACTGTGATACTGGATGCCTGAGTTCCAACGACTTCACTTTTTCAAGACGCCCTCCGTAAAATCCTCCTCTGACTCTCACTCATTATGATATCTTAGGTCTTCATTACTTCCCTACCTAGATTGTATTTGTCTCTTTTCTGGTCTCTCTGCCTCCTGCCATCTCCTTTTCCAGTTTATTTTCTTTACCGTCAAGCCCCTCTTTACCTCCGTCTCTGCTTCTTCATGTCACTCTTCTGCTGGAAGTCTCTGACTTGCTTCCTGTTCCCTAGTCCCATATAGCAACAGTTCTCAACCCGGTCAGAGTCAATGACCACTATTTATAGTAAATATAATATTTAGGAGAATAATATACCCTTTACTCTCCTAAAATGAAACCAATGAAATACATGACCTCCCTATACAGTTTTGTAAAAGGCAACATAAGACTTTATATACAATATGAAAGAGAAAGTTTATAAGAAAAGTTTTATTATATAAATACTTGAGCATGACAGTATTGGAATACATAAGGAAGTGATAAGATTCTTGCATATACTCTTAGAAACACAGTGAATGTAGTCTATGAATGCAGACTATTATAAGTAGGTGATGTTAGTGATGAAAACAGCAACAGTGTGGTATTAATGATATACTTTTCAAAAATTATGAACTTTTGCGAATACTCTGAAGAAATCATTTTTCCCTTGCTTTACATGGTAGTAGAAAACTATTAAAAATGGCCACAAAATATTTGGCATTGGTATGTTAAACAGTTAGGTTCTGCGCTTGAATAATTATAACCAAGCTTCTTACCTCATACATTTCTACTAGGACATTTGAAAGTTGTGTAAAACATGGGACACAGTTCAATGTCACTCAAGATTGCTCTACACAGTGCAGGGCAGCTGACACCTCTGGTTTCCACCTACTAAATGCCAGTAGCAACCCTCTCAAAATCATGAAAATCTGAAACATTTACCCAAATTTCCTAGGTATTCCCTAGGAATGTTGTACCATTTCCTTGAGAACCACTGTCTCACAGGATAAAATCTTACCATATCTTACCAATCGAATCTTGTCTCTTTGGCATCCAAAGCTCTCCATGTCTGAGTAAATTGGGCCAGAGGAGTTAGGAAACACTGGAAATTGGGTACTGGATATCTTTCACTAATCAAATTGACAAATCACTGTAGTTTTTAATGTTGATGTCTACTGTTGGTGAGCGTCAGGAGATTCCTGTAAGCTATTCATGGGTAAATTTTGTACCATTTTTCTGAAAAGCAACATTATAAAACATATCAAATATCTTATCTTTCAGCAATTCCTTTTCTAAAAATGTATTAAGTTATAGAAATATGGAGGAGAAGCTACTAAGACATTCATAGGCATTATTTTAAAATAGCAAATATTTCAGAAGAAACTATTCAACTATAAAGAGCTGGCTAAATTTTAGTACATAACTTATAAACAAATTTGTAGTGTCCAGACAAGATTGTGTTTCAAAATAATTCATATTAAAAAGGGGTTTAAAACAGCCACTGTAGTATATTAATATCGAAATTTTATGCTTAAGTATACTTAAGTACATGTAAAATACTATGTTTTAAGGGTGCATAAGAGGTGCCAAAATATTTTTAGAGATAAAGTTGCAGGCGATTTCTTTTATATTTCTCTGCAATTTGAAAATTTTCTATAATGTATGTTTGTGAAAATAAGATAACATTAAAAAGATACCTTAGTGGAGTAATTGATCCAATGAAGCCAGATTTCCTTGAGTGCTTTATCTAGACAAAAAGTTATCCAGGTTTTAACCATGTATTCCCCCAAGGGCCAGAAAAAAATAAGCATTAATCCCAATATGGTACGTTTTTACCATTTAAAAATTATCTACATGTATTACCTTAGAAATATAGCATGTAGATTTAACAACAAAGTTTTTATAAGGATGAATTTTAAGGTTTTAAATATTAAAATGTTTTAATCTTTTCTTATTGTACCACTCTAAGGATCATGATTATACAATAATTAATTAGTTTGCAAACTATTTTCTCATGATGTGTTCCCAGGTATTGTGTCCAATATGTCATTCCTCCCTATCTCTCCCCTCCTTCCTAACACACAGTATCTGCATTGGTTTTAAGTTTAGACGCATTGCTAGTGGTGGTTCCTAGTGATCTTCAATAGGCTTCCTAGGTTTCCCTGAAAGCTTCGGGCATTGTGGTAGAGTTACACTTCGCTTTTGTTTTGTTAAGACAGAGTCTCACTCTGTCACCTGGGCTGGAGTGCAGTGGCACAATCTTGGCTCACTGCAACCTCCACCTCCTGGGTTCAACCGATTCTCCTGCCTCAGCCTCCCAAGTTGCTGGGATTACAGCTGCTCACCACTATGCCCTGATAATGTTTTGTATTTTTAGTAGAGATGGGGTTTCACCATGTTGGCCAGGCTGGTCTCAAACTCCTGACCTCATGATTCACCCACCTCAGCCCCCCAAAGTGCTTGGATTACAGACATGAGCCACCGCACCCAGCCCTATACACTTTGCTTTCTAAAGTAACTTCCTGAAATAAGTTTGTATCTTTGCTTCTTCTGAAGCTGCCTTATAGTGGTCAGATATTGAGGATGAGAAAGTTGAGGATAGAATGCAAAGATAAGATGGGAAATGTTAGACCCCAGAGAATGTAATTGAAAATTCCACTAGTTTGTTTTGCCCCATCATTACTCAGTATTCTGATGTAGAATATTTCTTATTTTGTCAATATTTCATAAATAAGTACACTATGCCAACACAATTTACGTTCTTAAAAGTAATTAACAAGCTGTCTTTTCGTATTCATGTATGGTTATTTCAATTTTTTCCATTTGCTGACCTGCAGATTTGTGACTAATGTTAGTCATTTATAACAGGCTCCTTTCTCCTTAATAGTAGAGGAGAAATAAATCTTAAAATCTACTTGACGGGTTTGTTTTATTGTTTGGTGATAAAACTTGATGATATTCCAGATATCTTTAGAAAGAGTTTAGTATTCTCCCTGGCAGGTTTCTGATTAACGGCACTTGAAGATGAGACTGCATAATCTGAGTAGGGTGATGTGCTTCCGTGGAAACCTCACAGTGAAGACATCTACACAGGCTGCTGCTTTGGATTTTAGGGAGGGCTTCAGTATCTCTTTCCTTGCCCCATTTATTTCCTGAATGTCTTTTTGCATGTCTAATATCTGGACTTAGGAGCGGCTAGAAATAACAGCAATCCTGTGTATAACGTCTCCTGATCTCTTAGGGACTTGTAGATATGCATACACACATGCACACATGTTCACAAATTAATTGAAAGCTGTGTATTTTTCAGAACTCTGATTTTGTCATTGTCTTTGACATTAGTATATTCAGTCACTCATTTTTGGACTGTGAACTAAAAGCACCTGTGTCTTTAAAGGTGCAGCACTTTAAAAAATGTTCAAAGATGAGGTTCTTTTTTAAACCTTATGCTACAGAATTTATAGTATATCCTTCAAAAATCCTGTTTCCTAGTAGTTATCACTCGCTTTCAAGCTGTACTTTAAAATTTATGTTTAAAGAGTCTAATATCAAAGTGCCTTTTAAAGAAAATAGCTCTAAATGTGACTTAAGAGGCTCCCCTTACTTGGATAGTGGCTGGCATTGTAGATTTCAAGAATGCTTAACTAATGAATGTCCTGAATTTTGTAGATACCGTATGCTCTTTCCCCAAACCATTAAAACCTAAGATAAAATGTTGTTTTAAGTATTCTGTCAGGTAGAGATATTATGTACAATTTGTCATGCATTCTAATGGTTATCAGTTTTGTTCTTATGCCATTCTGCAACTAAGGGTCAAGAAGCCACTTAGGTACTTCTGATAATTATGGCCAGCTTCAGCAATCAGCTGAAGAAGCTGGAGTGTTCCTTCAGCTGAAGGGCAGGGAATACTCAGTGCTTTTCTCGCTTTTATGCTCAATCTCTTTTCTAGTTAATTATTGTCTTTCTAAATATACTCCACTGGATTTATACAATTCCAACCAACAAAAAGTTCCAATAAAATTCTTGTTGTATGCGCATGTTTAACGGGAAGTTCATGATGAGTTTTCCTTTGTATTTAATAGCATCTTTCAACGCATAAAATTTGTTATTACTTTGCTTATTTGCTGATTAATATATTGTTTTGTGGTCTAAACATTTTCATAGATGTGTTTTGTGGATAGTAACTTGAACTCTCCAGAAAAGCCAGATAAGTACAGATGTCCTCATTATAAATTTTTTTTTCTTTCCTTGAGCTTAACAGCCTCTCTTCTCTTGTTTCTGTTGGATTGTTCTAATTTATTGTGGCATAAGTTCTGAGTTTAGCCTATCTCTTGAAAATTAAAATAAAGAATGAAGCTGGCATTTCTGCAGGCTGAGGCTGAGCTCACGGGCCTGAGGTCAGGATGAGACCAGTTCTCTGAGCTCATGGGCCTGAGGTTAGGATGAGACCAGTTCTCAGGAATTTTTGTGGGAGTGGCCACCCACAGCTAACAGTAAACACTTGTTCACTTGTGACCTACTGATCCACTGGGCACCCTCGATGACAGTCATGGGAGATGAGGCCAAGGAACACAGCTAAATCTGCATTTCATGAACATCTATTGTTCTGCACACATACATGAGGCATGAGTATACTATTCTCTGTACGGAGTGCCACTGGCTTTCTGTGTAACATTTGCACATGAGCCAAGTTTATCATTTAAGTCTGTTTCTTTAGCGTCTGTTCGTGTAAGGTCTACGTGAAATAATTCTGAATTCCCAAGTATATCAGAGTGAACATCGAGGAAAGGCAGAAGCTTAATTAATGCTTATAGGCCACTTACCACTGTGTCTCTGATTTTATTTGGTTTACTCAGTCGAGTTGCAAACCCAAGTACGTATAGAAGCTAGACAAGTAGCATAAATGAGAGGAGCCTGAGCATAACATAGTAGGGAGTGATGGGGACTGTGATACACTGAAGTATATTGGTCCCAGCTAAAGGGAACAACCTCTACTCAGCTCCTAATCATGACTGCCATGCAGGAATGCAGGCCAGGGTTGCCGGGTCTTATTTTTAAGAGAAGCTAGATAATACACAGATGATTACGTGAACCCTTTGTTTTTAATGTTTTCAATATTGGTAAGTGATTTAGAAATGTGTAATATCTTACCTAAATTCGTCAGTCCTTGATTACCTGTGTGTCACTGGAAGCTCCTTGAGATGAGAGTTTGTCCCTTCATCTTTGCTCCTCCATGGCAGCAGTTCTGGGATTGGCCCACTATCGACTGAGGGATGCTTGAGCTCTCTCATCTACTAGAAGATAACGGTCTCATACTGTCAGATCTGTCAAGTAGTGGGTGTTTTAAGGACGGTGACCTTGTGGCAAATGTGGCAACACAGTTTAGACATATGGGTGTGGGTGCATTTTGATCTTGTGTTTTCTCCTTTCCGGATTCCAAGAACTAGATGGGGCCTCTGGGCTTCAATGCCTCTCCTGAAGTTTGTGTGTTCTGAAGATGTCTATCTTCCTAGATGTTCTTTGTAGCCTAAGCTGGCCCATGATTAGACCATAGAGGAGACAAAGAGGCAGGCACAGGGGGGAAGCAGGAGGAATTTCCCTCAAGCCAGAAGAGGGTACAGGAGACAATTTCTACAGATAGGAATCATCCTCAGCTTCCCTCTTTGCGTAACCTAAGGAGGTATCTGGGTGTGTGTGTGTGCGTGTGTGCATACGTTCCAGACATTGGAACTTCTGCCCCTATCCTAACAGATAAGGATACAGCACTGTCACCATGTACCAAGACATCATGTTGGTTCAGGTCATAAGTATTTCACTAGTCGCTGGATGGACCGATGACCTAAATACGAGCACTGAATAAGATCCTCATCTCTACAGAATGCTTTGGGGCTGTGGGAGCTGTAATAATGACTGAGTGACTTTCAGCCTTGCCTAGGATGGTGGCTTGCAGTTGAATTTAATTTTATTTAGAGAAAATAAAGTACAGTACTGTGACATTTCTTGCACACTTGAGTTCATGGAGCAAAATCCATACCCACAACACAACCATTAAGGAAAATGCTCTGGACTTGATGCAGTTTGTTGTTGCAAAAACAAAGAATAGACCCCTGGGCTGAAAGGAAAAGACTTTTTCCATGGTCTCTTTGAAGTGCTTTTGCCAGTGCCCAGCCTGCCCCCTGGTGGCACTTTTGCTCATGTTTTCGTTCACAGCTGGAAAATGACACACTAAATGCGGAGTGAACAAATGCTGTGAAAATGTTATAGAGTTACAGCATCACAGGTGTCAGGGTATCCGGTTCTGCCAGACCAAGAAAGACTCACCTAAGTCAAATTCTCAGAGATCAAATTGTTCCTTCTCTTCACTTCAAATGTTTCTTTCTTCATCTTTATCTCAGAGGAAGTCACATCCCTTCTCCAAAGCAAACTTTTCCACATTTGCCTTTGAGGCTTCTTTGTGCCTCAGAGGTCTTTGCACCTCCAGTCTCGCCACTCTTCCTTCTCCGCCTCTCCTCCCCCTCCCCACCCCTTCTCTCTCCCCCTCTTCTCCTTCTCAAAATTTCATTCTTATTTCCTCTAATATCTTGTTCCCCCTCAATTGATAAATATGTCCAAGGCTTCAATGAAATAAATGACAATTTTTCCTTAATGTTTTCCCCTCAAGCTACTTCACTGTCTCTTTCCTCATCCCTTTGGACCAAACTCCTGAAAATAAAAATCTTCAAATGGCTTGCCCTCTATAACAAGTAGTCCCTTCTCATAATTTATAAAACCATTCTCAATTTGGGGCATTTAGGTTTCCAGGGTTTTGCTATTGTAAACAATAACAGATGAACATCTTTTGCTCACATCTGCTTTTGCTATTATTTCCAGACGATAAAGTGCTCAAAATGTAATTGCTGCCTGAAAAAACTCATGCAGCTTTGAGCCTGATTAGCTTTGTATTACTAATTTTTAAGAAGTCTGTATACATTTGCAATGCCAGCAGTAAGGAATGAGTACACAAGCTTCAATCTAACTAACATTGGGTGTTATAAGGATAAGGGGGGGGGGGGTATGGGGAGTTATTTAGAAGGTAAAAAATCCTATCTCAAGTTTATTTTGCACATATTTATTAATTGTTGGTAGGCTGAACAATTTCTCTTTACTGATTGTCAGTGTATTCATTTTTTTCATATTTTAAGTATTTATATTTTGAGATCTGATGTTTTTCCTTATAAATTTGAATAAGGGTAACATGGTTTGGGTTTTAAAGCTGTCTTTGTAGCATGGAATGCAAATATGGCCTTCAGTAATAATATCCTTTGTATTTAGTCTTCTGTACGATGAAAAAACAGCAAGTTTTAAATTTTTTATGTATTCAAATCTGTCAATCTTTTCCTTCATAATTTATTCCACTGCTTCAAAGCTGAAGTTACTGTTTTCTTATAAACCTGATATTCTATTCCATCTCCTGCTGGCTTTACTGTCATTCAATTTTTTGTATTTAAATCCTTAATCCATGTAGAAGTTATTTTAGTGTATCATGCAAAGTATGAATCTAACCTGATCATTTCCTCAAAGTATTATCAAGTTTTTCTAATTAATTCCTCCTAACACTTTATTATGGGGTCTTATGTTACAATTTTAAAAACTATTTCAGTTTTCCAATCTGTTCTATTGATCTGCGTTTCTGTTTTTGTGCCAAGAACCAAAGGATTTAAATGGCTTTCCTTTACGATAGGTTCTCAAATCTGCTAATACTCTATCCTCCTGGATCTTTTGTAAAATAGCATTCTTTAATATTTTTCATTTTTATATGTTTTAGAACTCTTTAAGTTAAAAAGGGCATCTTTTAAATATTCTTATTGAAGATTAAATCACTGATTCTGAAGTAAATAATGCCTCTGCCACTCACTGGCTGCATGACCATGAACAAGTTACTGAAACTTGCTTTCCTTTTCATTTTTTCCATCAATAACAGGAGGATATTTAAAAACTACCTGCACCTCACAGAACTTTGATGGGGATTACAGTATTTAAGCATTATACCAAAGTGCTTAGAATAGTGCCTGGCACAGAGTAAATGCTTGATAAACATTAGCTTTCATTATTATTCATCCTGTTACCTCATATTTGAAGGACTATATGAGCCCCAGATATCTTCTCCATGCCTTTTTGTTTGCTTAACAAAATACCTTAACACTATCACAATAATAGACTTCCTAAAGTCCAACTCTCAATATGTCACTCATGTTTCCCCCCTTGTCCCATAGGAAAGTCTATGATCATTCAGGGACTACAGTGATCTGATTTACTCAACCTTCTTACCTTGTCCTCTGCTAATCCTATTTATGTCCCCTGCAGTCTAGCTGACTGAGCCACCTGCTCTCTCCTGTCTTTACTTGGAAAGCCAGCCTATCACTGTCATCAAAAACACACTGGCTTGGCAGTCAGAAAAACCTGGATGAAAGTTCTGGCTTCATCTTTGTGGTGTGCCTTTTGGTACAGTACATTACCACTCCATACCTGTTTCCTCATTAAGAGAAAAAAAATCACAGTAATGATATGTTATGGATTTTCAGGGACTAAATAGGATAGTACATGTAAACCACTTCACATAGTGCTAAGTGGGACAGGCTACATAATTTGCAGAGCCTGATGTGAAGTAAATGTGGGGTTCCTTTTCCAGAAACTACTAAAAATTTCAAGATGGCCACAGTAGAGCATTACCAAGCATGGGGCCCCTTGTCAGCTCAGGAGCTTGTGTGACTGTGCTGGTTGCACATCTTCAAGACATCCCTGATGCTCAGGGTTAATGAGAGTGAATTTAGCATTCCTACCTCCTAGTATTTTCTCTCTGCTTTCATCCCTGATGCCTTGTGCCTATATTCTACCACCTCTTCATTCTTGGTGCCCCATGTTCAATTTCCTCCTGGAGGCCTCAGATATATACTTGTTTCTTCCTCTGAATGGGGAATGATGCAGTCTTTTGTAAGCCATTTATAACTTTTAACCAATATCATTTAACCAATACAGTCAATTTTTATGTCTGACTCCAATTTAAAATTAGAAGGTCAGCCTCTCAGCTTTCCCAAGACTTATTTCCTGGCACCTGAGCATGAGTACCCCTTTTCATATACTCTTATGACACATTTTCTTCCCGTCTTGCCAGTTACGATAATAAAGCAATATTTGGGAGGGGAGTTGGGAAAGATTATGTCAAGCTAGAGGCGAGAGAAACAGACAAATTATGCAATGCATAGGAGAAAATGGCTGATGAATTTTAAGCATAGGGATGATGCATTACAATTCCCCTATGATACAGTAGATTGCAGGGGAGATGAAGGTGGGGACAATGTGTCACATTAGGGTCATATTTGAGTTTCAACCCTTCCAAGCCTGGCTAGTACAAAAACTCATGCAAAATAAAAATGTGGGGCTCCTTGTTTCAAAATTACCCAGAGTTTTAAGATGCTGACAGCTGAGCATTAAACCAAGCATGCCCTTCTGAGGGCAGGGCCTTGTTCAGCTGCACAGGTTGCACACCCATGAAGCAAGCCCTGGTACTGAATGTTTAATAATGGGGTTGATTGTCCTTGTATGTTTTCACAATGTTATCACATAGTAGATGCATAGAAAATAATTTATTGATTCATTCAGCAAAATAAGGCATGAACTTCATTTGGGCAACTTATATGCTTATTGTGGCTTCCTGAAGACATCATGGTTTGTTCTTTGTCCATTATCCCACCTGTAGTTTTACAGAATATGACTACTCATCCTGAAAGTGTGAGTTGGTCTGCAGTAAAAACCTAGGATCATATTTTTATCTGGCTTTTGATGTGCAGGAAGAGCCGAGAGCCACCACTTCTTATGAGTGGTGATCCATGTGGGGAATTCGGGATAAGGACAGCTTAAGGAAGACATGTTAGGGGAGATGAACATTTTGATGGCTCTTCTAATGTTGCCTTTGAGGGAACTACCTCTGTCTTGCGTAAATCTAGCAGTTAGTGTTGTAAGTTGCTATTTAGTTTTGGTTCTGCTGGTCAAATCATCAGTTCGGAAGGAAAAAGTCAATTTGCAGTTGTGACTACAGATGGCTAAACCTGCATTGTCAGACTTTTCCTGCAATCTGTCCTTGGATTATGCTGTTTCTTATGAAAATGTCCCCCCTCTTTGCAGGATGTTCTAGAAATGGTAGTGCCTCACTGTTTTAGGGGTAGGTAGGGATAATTCAAATGTTGGCAGTGCCACAGCAGAGCTTGCTTTAGTCAACTGTAATATCACTTGCCTAATTCCGAATGGAGATTGTCAGTACAACCTGGGGTGAGCCGACACTGAAGTATACCGAGGTGGACTAGAATACTGTGGCAGTTTAGTTTGGTACTAATCATGTCTATCATGTGAGTTAACAATTCTTAAGTGTAAGATGATCAGAGAATTCACATGGGAACTTGCCTACTCAAACAATATATTTATTGAGCATCTATTGTGTTCCACTGTTCTTGGTGCTTGGGACATGCTTCTCGAGTGATTTCCTCTAATAAAATGCTCAGCAAGGGGCTTAGAAAAATAACAAGGGACCAAGTAGTACGAAAGAGTTGGAAAGAAAATGTAACTACACTTGGCTCTACTTCCATTTTTACAGGAAAAAAAGCTCAGTTTGATTCAGTTTATAATGCACTGGAGTCTTGTAGTTTCGCTTTTCTTATGAGTTACATAACTCAAGAGAATTATGTTTTAAGTGTAATCTAACAAATTTTGCATGGTTTCTCTTAGAGTCTACACACCAGAATCTATCAGATCATGTCTTAGAAATTAGTTTCTACTGTGTATCTTCTTACAAATTTGAGTAGGGAAAATGACTCGGATCTAAAAATCTCTTAAGAGAATTTTTCTTCATGTCCTCAGTTACTTAAGAACTAAGTTTTGAAAAACTTTAAGTATAAAATCACTTCAGTAAAGCGTTAATATATTTAATAAACATAAGTATATATAATGTACATTTGCATTTTTATGAATGTTAAAACTTTCTATGCTATTCTGACCAAATTACGGAGTATTTTAAATCCTGTATCCTCATTTAGAGATTTGAGGTTTGTTTAGTAGAAATATTTTATGTATTTTATTCTTTGTTAAGAAAAAAGTCAATGGGAAGATTTTTTCCTTTTTATTATCAAGAGAATTTATAAAATCATTTTTCAAATATGGATAACCAAATTATATCATTTTAAGGTGATATTTTCTGATATCTTCACATTTAGAATTTTCTGGTCAAAAGCTGACTAAGGATTATGTTATCTATATCTCTATAGATGGAGAGATAGATAAAGATATGGTCTTTAAGACTTACAATGCTTAGACCTAAGGATTTTTCAACTTTACAATGTGAGAAACTGTTGCAATTTTGATGTAACGTATGGTATTCAATAAATTCTGAGATACGCAACACTATTATAAAATAGGCTTCCTCTTAGACTATAGTTGGGCAAAATCATCTAAGTCTGAGCATATTTAAGGTAGATTTGGCTAAGTGGTGATATTTGGTAGGTTAGGTGTAATAGTTTTGACTTACAATATTCCCCCCCACCCCCACCCCCCGCCGCCGAGACGGAGTCTTGCTCTGTCGCCCAGGCTGGAGTGAGGTGGCATGATCTCGGTTCACTGCAAGTTCCACCTCCCGGGTTCAGCCATTCTCCTGCCTCATCCTCCCAAGTAGCTGGGACTACAGGCGCCGGCCACTATACTTGGTTAATTTTTTGTGTTATTTTTAGTAGCGACAGGGGGTTTCACCGTGTTAGCCAGGATGGTCTCAATCTCCTGACCTTGTGATCCACCAGCCTCGGACTCCCAAAGTGCTGGGATTACAGGCGTGAGCCACTGTTCCTGGCCAATACTTTCAATTTATGATGGGATCATGGGTATGTAACCCCATTGTAAGCTGAGGAGTATGTATATGTATAAATACACATACAGAGTTCTACTTGACACATGACTTTACCTATTTATGGTGCTAGATTTTTAATTGTCAACCTAAAATGATATCAGTATATGGAAGAGATAACTGCACTCCCATGTTTGTTGTAGCACACTGTTTACAATAGCTAAGATTTGGGAGCAACCTAAGTGTCCATCTACAGATAAAGTATGGTACATATACACAATGGAATACTAGTCAACCATAAAAGAATGAGATCCAGTCATTTGAAACATGGATGAACTGGAGATTGTAATGTTAAGTGAAATAAAGCAAGGAAAAGAAAGACTAACATCACATGTTTTCAGTTATCTGTGGGATCTAAAAATCAAAAACAATTGAGACTAGAAAGATAGTTACCAGAGAGTGGGAAGGATAGTGGGGGTCTGGGAGGTGGGCATGGTTAATGGATCCAAAATAAAAAGAATGAAGGAGACCTATTATGACTGCACAATAGAGTGACTATTCAATAACTACATTTTTAAATAACTTAAAAAGTGTGGTTGGGACATTTGCAACTCAATAGATAAATGCTTGAGGGAATGTATACCTCATTTTTCATGATGTGCTTATTTCAGTGCATGCCTGTATCAAAACATCTTATGTACCCCCAGAATTATATACACCTACTATGGTGCCCACAAAAGTTAAAAGTTTATTATAAAAATGTTAAGTTTCTAATCTGACTTTGAAGTTGTTTGTTGAAGTACATGAGTTCAGATATGCTTTGTGTATTTTTTCATGCTTGACAATTCAAAAATCGCATGAAAACTTCAGTCTTCGAAGGACCCTTATATATTGAACTACCAGGTAGAAAAGGAAGCCTTTTAAAGCATATGTCCTCACTTCTCTTTTCTCACCTAGATTACTGCCATGAACCTTCTCAACATAATTCACTTACTCCTAGCATCGTCACTACCCCAAGCCCCTCTTCTCTTCACTGTTAGAGGCCTTGCATAAACAGCCATTGACTCCTTCAAATTCCACTATGTAAAGACTTTCCTGCTGCCTTCTCTATAAAACATGGGTTCCTAAGCAGGGCAGTCAAGATATTTGGTGATGTAGACTGTCTCCTGCATCCAGACCTCTCACCTACCCACGTCACATTGCAAGACCTGTACTCACTGTCTCGGCTCTTTTGTGCCTTGGTTTCAGATACTCTATTAGATTCTCACTCCCACGGCCCCAGATATTATATACATATAATACATATACACATGCATATAAACTTCATATTATATATCCTGTGAAATGCAGCATTTGTGTTGTGCTGTTTCAAGATTGCCATTCAAAATATTGACCATAGGTTTGAATCTAATTGGTAGAGCTACTAGGTGGAGGGGATGCTCTAGTGATAAGGTAGAAAAAGTGTTCCAGATTTTTTACTTACTGGTCTAATGATGTTACTTTGTCTACTTCCCTCACACACAAATGGATATGTCTAAAAAAATCTCATTCCTTTTTTAAAAAGTTACTACAGACTGATGAGGATTGATAGTTTCAATTGGATAAAGTTTGGTTTAGACTCAGACTTCCTGGACACAGAACAAAGATCAGCTTCAGATTCAGGGAAGGAAGCTTACTCAATAATTCTTTGCACTAAAAATTTGGCTAGTATAGGAGCTAAAATATACCATGCAGTAAAAATAAACATATCTATCCCCCAGGTTCTGTAGTTAATTGACTGCGAAAATGTGTGTGCGCCACCGACACTGGGTGCCTGGAAGAAGACTTGGCTACTTGTTTTGTCAATAAGTCCCACATATATTTGGTTAACTTAGTTGTTTGTGTCTAGAATTCACCAATATTGAGTCAATTTTAGCTTAGCTTGTTGAGGAGCTCTGAGAGGCTCTAGCTGTCTTCTTCCCTGGAGACTCAGAATTCTCATTGCTATCCACGATAGAACATCTCTCAATATATAATGTGATAGAAATATAGCCTGATTTAGAGGAAAGCTGGAATTTTATTAAAGTAAATAAAGCATACAATATAAAGATTTACGTCCAGGGTCTCTTCAGAGATCCTTCATTAAATGCCTATATGAAACCCGATAGCTTTTTTCCATTCAAAATATACAATACTAGTTGCAAAATGTTTTGTGGGTTGTGTTCTGCATGGTAAATTTTAATCCTTGTTTTGCCAGTCTAGGTAAATATTTATTAGCCATTGATTTTTTAGAACAGCACAGGACATCAGCCTTTAATTTTCTAGTTGAAGCAGGAATGGCCAGTTTCCCTATGTCCTTTCCTTTCTACCAAATGACTGCTTGACATCTTTATCAGTATATTTGAGGCTCCACAGGCTGCCCATCATCACCCTGCCCCCACCTGAAGAAAAACATGTGGAGAAGTCCCAAGATTAGAGAATCAATTCAGGGCCAAGTCACATAACCAAAACCACTCATTGCTTTACAAGAATGATTTCAAATAGTATTCCTTCAAATTAGAAGCTTCACTAGCCTAAATCCTTTGGAATGTTTGTCAGAGCACTTAAGATACGTAGTAATTATTAAATTTGGAGTCTGGTATGGTGAGAGGAAGATAACAGATTTTGTGTATAGATGGCCTGGAAGATGGTAAGAGAAAGAGGAAACAGAAGGAAATATTGCTGGATGTGGTTTGGAGAGTTTTATGTAAGATGTTAGGAGGAATGCCAGCTAGACACAGTCTGTTGGTAGCTAGAAGTTGGTGGCTATGACAAGTTCAGGGTTGGACAGAATTTAGGAGTTTCACAGAGTGATACAAGTCCCTGAAAATGATATTTAAAAGAGACTAAAGCTTAATGAAGAGAAGCAAAAATTGAGGAACATCTATTGATAAGGCACAAAGAGATGTAAGGTCAAGCCAGTAAGTAACTGGGGTATGAGTAATATGTATTGCTATGGAAACGAAGGAGATGAACCTCGAGGAAGATGATTGTGCAGGAAGGAAGTGTCCTACAGGGAAGCATTAAACTTCATACCAGGGTATGCCTTCTCTTTCTGGTACATCCAAGTTTTCTTTGAAAGAATTATTTCTCTAGAAACATGACTTATTGACAATACTGTGAAACAATCACAAAACTTTAGTGATATGAGACAATAAGCATTTATCACTCATGAATCTGCAGGTAAAAAGGAGATATTAGGTAGCTAATTTAGGCTGGACTTGGCTGGCAGTGGCTGTGGCTCCGTGAATCTTTCTTCAACTTACTGAGGCATGTTCTTATGAGTGACAGAGGCATAGAGCACAAGTCCACCTGCATAAGAGCATTTTGTGAGTCTGTTATATCTGCCGACATTAGCTTGGCCATAGTGAATCTCATAACTAAGCCCAACCTTAAAAGATATTGGAGACTATGCTACAGTTAGCCAAATCCAGCCATATGCACAAACCCAGTGGCAGTCGAGCAGGGAAATGTTACTTCTAAGGAAGTGAAGTAGTGAGGATACATATGCGTATTTCTGAAGAACCTAATCTACCACAAATAAAGATGGTCACTTTTAAAAAACAGGTTTAGGCATAGTTCAGCAATGTACAAAATGTGGAATAAAACCTAGTGACAATTCAAAATTAGGCTTTAGCTTACCACAGTGTTACTGTGGGAACGTGTCTCAGTTCAATTCAGCAAATGCTTTGTGCCAAGCACTATGGGAAATATCAAAGGTGAAAATGACATAGCACCTTCCATCAAGCTTTCAACTTGAGGAAAAGATAAATGTTTCTAAGAGTTACTGTAATAAAATGTCCAGTGTAACAAGAATTATGAGCAGGAACAAGTACTGGAGGTACAGAAAGAAGGGCAAGAGCTCCTCTTAGCTATTGTTTAGAAATCAAGTGCAGGGAGTAGAATATACTCTGGCTAATTTTGGAAGAAAAAGATTTATAGATAATTAAAGATTTACATAATCATTGTGAGAGCTAAAGAGACAGATGTCTAAGTCCTACCCTAGAACTGGGCTGCCCAGGGAGCTGCTGCTTCTGCTCCAATCTGCAGAGGCCTGTCGAATTGTGGATTTGCCTTACGAGATGCCAGCACTAAATCCAACCAGCTCCATCGTGATCTGCACTGGAAAAAAAACGGATTTTTAATCATTATGACTCTTCTCCCACCTAACTCAAGTTTGAAATTATGTGCAGGTATGTCTGGCTGGCTCACTTTAAATTACATCAGACTAACTGCAAGAGAGTTTTGGAAATGTGTAAGCCTCTGCAATATAGGAAGGGACTTTAGAAGGAGATCAAATGTTGACTCAAATCCCCTATATATTCCACTGGAAGCTCAGGGAAGACTATCAAAAGGGCGACACTTGTACCAGCTTTTACAAAGTGCTGCCTAATGGCAAGGATGGCATAGGATTCTGTTTATGAAAGTACTTCATTATGAGGCAATAAATAAATACTTGCTTTATGGAAATACAATGGAGTCCTCTTGAATGGAGTCACCATGAAAACCTTTATCTCAGTGATAAGAATCCAGGAATAGTTTTTACTCTCTTCTTCCACCAAGTTGATATATTCGTAGAAGGTCCACATTTATATTTAAGCATTTACCATGTTATCTTATACTGTGCTAAGCCCATTACATATATGATCTCATTTAGAGTCCTCTCAACCACCCTCTATGAGGTAGTTACCATCTCATGTTTTTTTGTCAGTTACTCAGAGCCAGTCTGATTCTAAAGTTCTCAAGCACAATCATTGTGGTTCTTCCTGAGAAGAGGGGAAGACGGGAAAGATAAAAGGCAATACGGAGCAAAGTGTAGGAAATGGAGATCTGACGGAAGGAAGAGCTGGAGGGAGGCTGCAAAGAATAGCCCAGAGAAAACTCATCAGCTAAGGAGGGGCTCTTTCAGAGAGTGGAGTGCTCCACCAAGCTGTCAAAGGTGTTCACTAAGAATACATACTTGGTGCATGCAACTGTATGTGGATAGTACTTGGCAGATAGGAATGTACTACAAAGGCAAAGAATGTTGAGTAAAGCCAAGGCATGATGTTTGATGGTTGGAGAGAGTAGTTTGGTATCATCCAGATTTGGTTTTGCTCTTGGCTGTGCAGGAAACTATGAAAGCTATGAAGCTTTTGGGGCAAGCTGCTGCATCTTGAGAAGTTTCGTCTATAAAATTAGTTTAATACTTAACTCATGGAATTGAGAAAACAAATTTGGATTAATGAATAAACACCATGGTACTCAGCACATGGTAACATGCTCAATAAGTGTTATCTGCATTTATTGGTACTGGGTAACTGACCCATCTTAAGCTCAGATATTCCTTTTGATTTTGCTGAACTGCTGATAATCTGAGCAGCTTTGCTATTAGTGTATTCTGGTAAGAGAAGAGGGAAGTCTTGGGATCCAGAAGATACGGACTAGAACTGTTTAAACAGGGGAGGGGACTACATTTGTAGGAGTTGTAGAACTCCTTCAAATTCTTGTGATTTTGTGAATCTGATCTACTAATCCCAAGAACTATTTGGATGATTGGAATTCTAGGTCCTTCTGTGTTTACTCATTCTCTGTGGGGGGGTTATGTGCCCTAGAAAATAAACAGCAAACTTAAAGCAGAAATCCACTAATCCATGGGCCTGTAATCATCCTCAATATTTACTAATAGCATTACATTAGCTTTAAGGCTGTACACAGCCAGAGTTCTGTGAGCAAGGATATACCTGCTCATAAAGAGACTAACTGGTTTCCCTTTCATGTCTTTAATTCTTTTCACTTTCCATGCGAATTGTCCTAAGCATTTATGCTTTTTATAGGCTTCTGATGATCTAGCCTCTGATCTATTCACTTTCCCACTTTTGCTAACTAATCCCTTCCTGCCTTTATCAGCTGATTTTTAAATGTCAGGCTGGGTAGGTTGATTTCAGAGGCTATATTTAAAAGGAGATCTGAGTATTTGACTCTTGATTGAGACAGCATACTTAGATATTTGATGAAGGTCCAGGAGGCCATTTCTTATTTTTTCAATCACATTTTGGGAGCAGAGGTATAGCGGTTCACATGGCACTCTGAATTAAGAGCAGTCTTTCTACTGAGATCAGAAGTTCTCAGCCTTAGTCTCGAGGTGAGCCAGAAGTTGTGACTACCACCAACACCCTGGAAATGGAGGAAGCTGAGGGGTAATGCTGAAACAGCTGTCATTGATTCTCAAGACCCACACATTTTCTACTTATTACCCCTCTCCTTTGACATGTCCCCCCCATGGACTCTGGTTGGAGGCTAGTGCTGAGTTATTGCTACATAAACTACCCCCAAACTCCAGTGGTTTAAACACAATCAAGCCTATCTTTCCTAATGAATCTGGATGGATCTACTGGTCTTGGCAAGTGTAAGAGAGACAAGCCATCAGCTATGGGTCAGGTAGGGAGCTCTGCTGGATCTTGGCTGTGTTTGCTGCTGAAGGGTGGACAAGGATGGCCTCATCTGGGACAACTAAACTCTCCTCCGCATGATCTCTACTTCCCAATCAGGCTAATCCAGGCTTGTTCTGCCAGTGGTAGTGTTCCGAGAGCAAATGTATTTGCAAAGGAAGTTACCTTGAGGCCTTGGGTCAGAATTTAGCACACGATTACTTCTGCTGTTTTCTATGAACCAAAGCAAATTCCAAGACCAGGCTAGATTACAGAGATGAGGAATAGACTTCACCTGTTGATAGTAGGAACTTCAAAGGCACAGTGCAAAAAGTGGTAGAAGGATAATTGGTACCATATTTGCAGTCATTCTACCACAAAGATGCCTTTATAACTTTATACATTATAGAGTGTTTTATGGCTTGACAAGTGTTTACACATCCACAATCTCACTTGGACTTGGCAACGAATCCTAGATAGTCAATTTCCTTCTTATTCTCATCTTATGTAGGAGGAAACTGAGGCCAGATCAGTTGAGTAGCTGAGTTTCAGAACTTACGTTTCTCTTGTTACCAAGCTCCATGTTCATTGTCATGGTCCATAAAAACATTTTATCAAAATAAAGTGAAAATGAATGCTTGACATAGCTAGATCCTGTGCCCCGAAGAGTGGCGAGTCATTTCATCTCTGCTGCTGCTGGTTCCCTGCTGCCAAAACATTTGTGAAACTCCTCCTGCACAGCCCTAGGTCTCCTGCACAGTCCCAAGGTTTCTCCTGCGAGGCCTGGGTGAGGTGACTGTGTGAACTATCAAGCAGCTGAGGTCTTAATCTGCATATAGGAGGCAGCTTGTGGGAGTCTACCACCAGGGACCATAGCAGTGGCTCACACAGAGGAACCAGCCATTTAAAGCTGACTTGGAACTGTGTATGAATGTTATGTATGCAAATGATGACCTCTTGGTAGGAAAAAAAGTACCTTTGGCATTTGTTTAAATCTTTTTCTAATCACAACATAGGTATCTAGACATTTGCCTTTTGTTTCATTCATTCGTTTAACAATTATTTATTGAACATTTCCAATGTGTCAGACACTATTCTAAGGAGGACTCCCAGACCTGAATGAGTTTATAGTCTAACAGGGGATTCAGACATTTAAACACTACCGCTATTAGGCTAGTATATATTTTCTACAACTGTCACACACACACACAAGCAAAAATGGACGATTTCCTGTCGTAACATATTGCAAAGGAGATAGCCCTCCTAGGACAGGCCCAAGAAATTCCTTAGGGGGAGAAGTCTTCACTTATCTTTCAGGTTACTGTAATATTTTTAGATGTGTGAATAATCTTTGTATTTATTCCAGTGCTGGCTTAGAGAAGTTTTTAGCTTATTAGAATATCTACATAGAAAAACAAGTTTTTTAGTAATAGTATCTTCTTCCAAGAAGCTGGCTTGGAACTCTCCATTTATTGTTGCTATTTAATAAGAAAAGCATCCAGGTTAATAAATCAAGCTGATGGTTTCACCATGTAAACATCTTTGAATATTTTAGTCAGTAATTATCTCCTATTGCATGCAAGACAAATATAAATGATATGATTTACAGTAAGGTACAGGTTAGTTTTTGTGGTGGGAGGTCATCTGTATGACATTCACTATAGAGTCCCAAGTCAGCTTTAACTGGCTAATTTTCTCTATGTGAAGCACTGCGTTGTCCCTGGGTAGGCTAAATCCTCTGGATATCTTGCTAGATCAAACAATATTCTTCAACCAGAAATCTTTTCAGAGATGCTGAAAATGCTAAAGTGCTCCCCCGTTTTGGTCTGCTTCCTCAGTGAAAGTCTCTTGGTTTTTCAATATTTGACCATTTATTATCAAGTTACTGAATAATTTAAAAATCCTACCCAAGCACATGAGACTTTCAGAAAAAAAATCAGTGCCCTGCAGTTTTTGCCCCCTCATAGAACAGAGTTAAAATTCATTTTTAGAAAAACATGCTGGGTAATTACATCTTCTACATTTGCCAGTTTATCTCTGTTAAACATAGTAAACATCTCACTGCTTAATTTGCTCTGTCAGCCACGGCTTTTAGAAGAACCAGAGCTCTTAGGCAGTTGAGATTTTATGTCTGCAGTATAATTTCACAGGCAGTTTTTTTTTTGTATTCTTGGCTCATTTACAGTCAACTATCTTCCAAACTCCATGAAGCTTAAATATTTAGCCATTGAGGTAATACACTCTTTGTCATCTGTCAGCTTAGCGGTAGAATTTGGACTCCATATTCTTGATGCTCCCAGAACTCCTGAAGATTCGAGAGTCCGTCATTGGCATTCCTATGAGGCTTTTTTCTATATCCCTTTAGGATTCATGCTTTTAAGGCTTATGGTTGAATATATCCTATCAGAATGTAGCCCCAACATATTCTTTCCTGAAGGAAGCTAAGATATTACTTGATAACTTGTTTCATCAGTTTGACAGAATTATAGTTTGTTCCCCCACAAAAGGCTTGCATGTGGTTCTCCTTTACACATCTTGAAAAAATAAAATGGTAGGCTTTCTGCCCCTCACATTGAACTTGTAATCCATGAGGAAAGCAAAAAAGGATGAAGCCATACTTCAAAAGCCAATCCACAACCTTGTCTATTTTTCTTAAAAGGGTTTTTACTTATTTGGGAGGCACATTAGCAATCAGACGCTTTTTCAGGAAAGCCTGTGTGACTAATTTAGTTTACTATTTGAAGGTGGAAAATATAGAATACAATTGGTAATGCAAGTAGCCCTCACCACCTCAGTCCTCCTTGGGAAAATCCGTAGGTGGCCATGGCTTTTAGCGTGCTAACAGTAGTGATGTCATTTTAGGCAATTGCTTCCCTCTTCTGGATTCATCAATGGTCTAGTTACCTCATTTGCAGGGTCCACTAAAACAAAAGTTGAGTGAGGAGCCTCAGAGATTTAAGTGTACAAGGAAGCTAGCCTGTTTTCTTGCAATTTATGAATTAGATAAATCTTGCATAGGAACACATGTATTTGTAAGTTTAGTTAAAAAGCAAATTAAGTTTTCATTTATTGTACTTGTGCCCACTGGATTCACGTTGGTTTCCTCATATTATCTAAATATGAACTGGGATTCTCTAAGCCACATCCCGCAAGTAAACAAGAGTGATCTTAAGTACTGTAAGAAAACAAGTTATCTTTAAGTCTGTTGGTCTTCCGACGCTTGTTTGAAAGAGCTCAATGACAGAATAGCAAGAACAGGGATTTTTCATTAATCACCTTTCTACAAAGAAACTATCCTTCCTTAAATTTGGTTTTTTAGGATTGAAAAAACCTGAGAATTTTTTCCTAAAAATTAAAAAATAAACTAAGGAAAAACCTCAACCAAGGTAAATAAGCAAAATGCAAATTATGCACAAACCTGCCATGGATATTTTCAAAGACATATTTGAAACTAGAATTCAAAATACATGGTTTTGAGGAAGAATTTCTGAATCAAAGGAATAAATGTCAGAAAACATACTATTGTGTATAGATCATGTAACGTAGATTGGAACTATCTCCATTCACACAATCTGAAGGGAATTTCTGCTTGCCTGCAGTCAGGGGTGGGGCCTGTGTAGCGTGGTTAATATTTCGCAAGGTTACTTAGAAGATTGAAATCAGACTAAATAACTGACTCACCCATAAGAAAAAGACACTGCACTTATTTATTGGCAGTGACAGCATTTTGATTTTAAAGAGTAGCTGGTTTAAGAAGATGCCCGTTATGACTCTCCTTTAGGAATCTATTTTTAAAATTTAATATTTAAATACTGCTGACAATGAAGTGTTCAAAACCAAGTTAAAAAACGAGGATTGTGTTCTCAACTGAATTCAGAAGCCCTACCAGCTTGCCATCATCTTATACTGATTTGACTTCTAGCCACTTTTAGTTATTTGAGAACTTAATTATCTTGTTAACTTAAATAGAAAACTCTTGTCTTCCAGCAGCCTAGATTGTTTTAACCTGCCATTAACATCTCAAATGCTAACAAATCTTTGGACTCCACTTTCTAAATACTCAAAGGAACTAAGAGCTGGGGGAAGTTCCTCTAGAACAGTCACTTTCTCCCTTCTGCTACTGTCACAGTGCTATGAAGTATGCTCCAGTGGACGTTTTCTTGTAACGATATTTAAGGGGAACAGGTTAAGAGAAAGGACAGAGAAAAACACTCGCATAACTCCTCGAGACTGGGTTTATGAGTGGTTATGGTGATTTAAAGAAGCAAACAGTGTCCCACAGCATCCTCATCGCCAGGGCTATCCCAAATTTATAGTAACTAGATACAGAGCATTATCTAAAAGCAGAGACTGGCTGCGGCACAGACTCCATTGTTACTCCCATCCTCTTTCACCATACATGTCTATCTCCATGCAAGGTGCACCACTTAAATAGATTGTGCTTAAACTGCACCCGTAACTGTCAGCAAGAGAGATAGGCCCCTACAACGCCTGAAATGAAAGTTAAGCTGTGTTTCGTGCCAGCCTGTGCTAGTGCTCGGTTTGTGGATCTAGCCTCCCTTAAGTTTAAAAGGAAAAGCTGTCGAAAACCCTAAAGTTACCTGAGAGAACTTAACAGCACTACATCAGAGCCGCATCTTCTGCTCAAGCTTCTCAGTGAAGTACTCAGTCAGGTACCACTGTGTGTGTGGAATGAGAAACCACAGCAGTACTTTAACGAAATAGGTTTCAGCACATGGGCCTGGGTAGCCTTTAGAAGCATTCTGCCTACTGGGTTTAATTTCAGAATCGTCCTATCTTATTTAGACAGCCATCAGTAAGTCTTTGCTGTTGTTCTTTTCATCTTCAGCCTCATTACCCTTTGCCATTCAATGGGATATTGGGGAGAGAAACAAGATTGGTTGGGGATGAAAAGGGAAGCTAGATTTAGCCCTGCCATTTAATCCTACTTCTGTGTTTAGTCAGAGACAAAAAAAGCTTTCCAAGGGACTTTCCTCTAAAAACTATGAGCCATGAAATGGCGAGACCATCGGGGGGCACCAGCGCAGCAGAAATCTAGTTCAGTTTCTCAGTGCATAGATCTCCGTGTCTATGAGACACGATTGTAGTTAAGACTAGATGAAGGGGTGGGCTTATAGGGAGATAATTCCTCAAACTGTTTCAGTCTTTCAGTTTTCACATTAGCCTATCTTCTATAGATACCTCCACTCAAGTTCTAGAAAGCCTTTTTTCTAGTCTACTAGATATTTCCAGCTTGCCTATTTTCATAGGCAAATAGCATTACAAGATCTAGTTGCCCAGGTTCTAGTTACCCAGGTTCTCGGAATGTTGAACAGAAGACACGAAGGAATAAAAGAAGCAATGAAAGACAAAGCAACAGAAGAACGGAGTAAGGAAAGAAAAAGCACAGACTGAGCGAAGACAACTCACAGAATAGAAACAAACACCAGCAAGCGGCTCAAGAGTCTCCTTACCACAATGGTCCCAGGGCTTTATAAAGCCAAAAGAATTGGCAACACCCCCCACGTGCCCTTTAGAGGCCTCCAATTGGTTATGCCCTTTGAAGGATTGGCCTGTGACCAATCAGAGGCTGAAGTGAGGCTTGGCCCTCAATCAGAGGCTGAACTGGAAACTCCTGTCTTGTTATCACAGGAGCGAGGATATGGCCCGTAAGCTGCCCAATCTTGCCTAGAACTGGCTGCACCTGCTGTTCTTTTGCTTATGCGAATTGGCTGCACCTGTTGTTCTTTTGTTTATGCCTTAACCCCGGTTACCCTAATTCCTATTCTCCTGTCTCAATAGTTCTTTACTTCTTTCTCTCAAAGCACGCTTCTTTTATATTTATTACAAAGGTTGACTTTGTGTTTCAGATAATGTCCTCTGTCTTTCAAAAATATTTAAAATGTATAATGCTTTATTATAGGATCCACCAGAGACTAATGTTCATTGAAAATAAAAAAATGAGCTAAGGCGAATGAATTAGCAACTTTTTAGTCAAGCTGAAAATAAGTTAGTTTGAAGAAGATATGAATTGAAATCCATATGAAGCCGCAGGACAAATTACATATACGTATATGTATATTTTATATTGTGTGTGCGTGTGTTGTTAATATTGACAATTAGCTGTAGCAATTGTGTTAAAAAAAAAAAGTGGCTGCAAGAGGAGAGAAGGGATAGACGGAAATTTTTATACAGTGGGCGTTTGCATCATTTCATTACACTGGAAACATCAACTGGTACTCTTTCCACAGCTAGTGTGGCATTTCTCATAACCTTGCCTTTGCAATGTTGTTTGGGCATCTCGGTAGACCTGGTGTTTTGGAAGCCTAAGCAGAGGGAGGCCGACAGTATCGGTGATGTCAGTGGATGTGGACGATGCATCATACCCACTTGTGCCACTCCGTGTGCTGTTACAGCTTTCATGAGATAGACTGTTGGTGCGTGTCTGGTGACCAGAGGATGAATTGCCCAACTCAGGACATTTTTGAAACTGAAAAGGATACTATCAATAATCACACCAGAACAACAACATAAAGAAATAAGTACTTTTGTAAGAAACCAGCATCTCCAGTTATGTGCTCTTCTGATTGTAATTTTAGCGCCTTCTGTCCCATTCATTAAAATATTTCAGAGCAAGAGTGAGAGGAATATTATATGGGGATAATCTGCAGTATTTTCTAATTTACTTTGATGAAGAAGGAGAAAGAGGAGGAGGAGTCACTTGTAAATTCTTGTACTGTAACCTGAATGATAATAAGTTGCCTACACAACACACAGCTGATTGAATGACAGCAAAATCTGACCTTTGTCTAAAGTACAAAACCTCCTGCCCAAAGCACTCTTTTCCATTGGCCCTCATCATTGGCTGTAGAATACCCTGATTTAAATCTCCATCACAGTTTATTCTTCAGTTATGACAGATAGCCCATTTCATTTTATATCATAGTTGTTTTCATGTTTTATTGCCGGTCCCTGAGTATAAGTCTAATTATCCTCAGTAGAGTGCCTCGGGAGCTCGTGTCAGCTGTTCAGCTGGGGCGAATGAAACCACTCAGTAGAGGACTTCTGCCTGCCTTCAGGTGCTTCTCAGGTGTTGCCTAGCAGATTGAAAATGTGTTGCTAGGTAAAAACCTTCCTTCTCTATTATTTCAAGGACCACAAACACAGACACACAAAATCAGGGAAGCACAGTTGGAATGTTTGAAAACTGTTCTGTTCTCTAAGATCAAAGTAGGTCCCATTAGTCTAAAGTGCTGGCTTCTTGAAGAAATGTCCTAAGATTCACCTGTTGCTAAAAATAGGCATGAGTTAGTCAGTACATTGCTGGATTAAAGATAGTGACAGCTAATTAGTCATTGTTCAAACAATAGAAGAGTTGAAAAGAGAAAGTGAGAGACACTCCAGCATTCTGGCCAGTCTTCTTTTCTTCTGATTTTAGAGAGAAGACCAAGAGTGTAATGGGAGGTCACTGTGTTCCTAGTGGCCTATGATTGAGGCTTTCAGACCTTATGTAACCTTTTCTGCTTCACCTAAAAGGAAAATTTAACATGCTGAGCAATACAAACACAGCATTTATTTCCATTTAAGACTGGATAGAATCAATTACTCACAGAAACTATGATACCCCAAATGGCAGGCTGACCATGTGACTTCAGAGCAACCGCTAGAAAACACAAAGCAAGATTCCAATCAGGAACAGTGCAGTGAGGTTTCCTGAAAGTCAGACTAGGGTACATGAAGGCAAGATTGATTCGGGAATTGATAATTATAGTAAAAGAACCACAACATTGAATGTGAGGGATTGTGTTGTTGTTTTGCTTTGTCTTTTTTTCCCTCTGTGGGAAGTTTAGAGGCAGTCATATAATATTTATTCAGTGCTAACAGCACATGGATCAACATCCCAAGGGGTAAGACATTGAAATGTGGAGTTGAGAAGTTCAATAAATAAATAAATAAATTGAGGACACAGTTTTATATAGAAGAATTCAAAATGTAACGGTTGAATTATATTCAGCTTTCTTCCCAGGTTAAAAATTCTAGCTGCCACCTCTAGTTATTGAACAATATTATATTTATTGAATGTTTTTTGTGTGCAGCACACTGTGAAATAGGTGCTGTTGGTACCGATTTTCTGACGATAAAAGCTATTGAGTTCCAGAAAATGTTTAAATTTTTTGATAGCTAAAGCCTCTTACACATATATTGTTTAACTGAAAAATACCATGGCTGATAGATGCTTGTTTGAAAATCTGGTGTCCTGGCATCATTCTTCTCAAATCCTTTGGTGCCATTCCAGATGCTGACATTCCGGCAGAAGGAAACTTGATTGTATCAACTCTATGGGGGTGTTTCTTACATCCTTACTGTAGTCAGTGGGGAAGTGCTAAGAGAAAAAGAGGCAAGTGGACTCATTAGCTGAATCTGGTCAGTGCTGGAGTACACACTGGTCATTCTGTTTTGTTTTTTTCATAACTTAAAAAAATTACATCCTTATTCATTTCAGAACCATTTAAAATAGTCTAAAGGAAATGTTAAATGAATCGAACCAGGAGTTGATGTGGGATTTTCTACGTCCATGCGCTTCCTCATATCCTTCACTAGATGGTGTTCCAAATCAATCCATAGTGTCTATGCCATTGATTTGGTCCAGGAGGAAGGTGAGAAAACACCAAGTCATCCCTTTCTAACTCACCTAACTTCCCTTCTCTGGCTTCAAGAATAAGTGGACTTTTCATCACTGTTGAGTAATTAAGTTTGCATGCTGTTGAATTTTTTTGTAGGCTGTACTTGTAAATATTTGGGGGGTTAATTCAGACAGGAAGCATTTTTCAGCCATTGAATGGTTTCATGTTATTGGCAGGGAGTTTTGCTAAACTCATCATTAGTGGCCCTAGTGATCTAGCTGGTGCTGTGAATCAGGAACAGACTCGTTTTAACTCTCTGGCAAAGGCAGTCAGTTAAACCACAGGCCACAATCCTGATAAGAGCTGGAATCAGGAGAATGGAGTGACAGATGGGTAGTAGACTGAAAATATTTACAGGATAGGATAAACAAAGGAAGTGGATTGACCATGAATGCCCCTATTTAAATCTTTCATTCATATTCTCTTAGATATGGCCATGTCTACAGTCTTCATTTCAAAGGAAATTATAAATTAACTTTAAAAGCAAACAAACAAACAAACAAACTAAAAATCCATTTGATTCAGAAAATATATTGGAGACTGTCTTTTCCAAAGAAATTGGATTTGAGGATTCTGCACAGATGTCCAAAGAAATGTATGGGTAGATGTGAATTTATCCTTTACCAAAATTGCTAAGTTTGTGAGGTGTCAGACTCTACTCAATTCCACCTTTCTTTCACTCTCTCCTACCCTTCCTTCTCTAGTATTCAGATAGACAAATGCACCATCATTTTGACAGATATATTTATGCAGTTGATTCATTATTGTCAGTAGCCAAGGAGACATTTTCTCGTGGTGTGTCTAAGGTCTGGAGGCAGCTCCCTGGAAAGAACTTCAGACAACCCAAGGTGCTGGATGCTAAATCCCTGGGAGGTAACAAATGGCCTGGGTATTCTCACGATCATTTGGCTGTTGACATAAACAGAAAAAGGCTGATTCTAATTGATTGGTCTGCTAAAATGCTTCATGTGCAAATCACTTTCCCCAGGCCTGTGATAGTAAAAATCATCTGAGAGGCAAAAAGAAAAACGCAGGAACCTGACAGGCACCATGTTGCAGAGACATCCCTATATGTCTGCTATAATTACACAAGGTACCAAAAAGGGCCTGTGAGGATAAAGAGTGGAAAATTCCTGGCCTAAATTGCGTTGTTTCACTGAGGGATTTCTCAGTATCCTTCTGCCCTTTAATGCTTAAACTCTCATATCTCATTTTCACTCCCCTGCATTGCTGGCCATCAGGAACACCAAAATACAACATTGAATTTATAGACAATAATTTTGTAGATATGATAGATCTGGTTCACTATTTTCAATTATTTTAATGGAAATTTTTATTGTCAATTATCTTAATGTCCATTGTTTTCTTGCATCTCCAACTTATATGTCACTTTTATGTGTTGGCATTTCTGTGTGTAAGAAATCTGATGGCCCAGGATTAGACACTGTTCTTAGCTAAAGGAAAGGTACAAAGTAAAAAGAGAAGAAAACTCCTCCTAACAATTGTTGGCCCACCTGTCACCTTATCACCCCATCACCTGTCTCACCTGGTGCACCTGTCACCTTATTACCCTTATCACAGCCCTAGTGCTGTTTTTTATGCCCCTGTGAAAATATTGATGGTGATGACTATTAGCATCTCTCATGTTCTTCATGTTCCTTTAATAAGGAGGGTCTTATACTTGGTTTCACATTAAAATCATGGGAAAATTTGGTAAAAATTGTATTTCTAGAAACAACTTCTTAGAGACTGGAGGCTCAGTAGGTCTGCAGTGAGTGGTACCTTAAAGTGTGTAATTTTAACAATGGAGAAGAAATGGAGGCTGGGTGCAGTGGCTCATGCCTATAATTTCAGCACTTTGGGAGGCTGTGGCCTGCCAGACCTCTTGAGGCCACTTGAGGTCTCGAACCAGCCTGGTGAACATGGTGAAACCCTGTCTCTACTAAAACTACAAAAATTAGCCAGGCATGGTGGCACACACCTGCAATCCCAGCTACTCGGGAGGCTGAGACAGGAGAATTGCTTGAACCCAGGAAGCGAAGGCTGCGGTGAGCCAAGACCCCACCATGGCACTCCAGCCTGGGCAACAGAGCTGGAGTGCAATAAAAGGAAAAAAGAAGAAGAAGAAGGAGGAGGAGGAGGAGCAGGAGGGGTGGGGGAAAGGGGAGGGGGAAGGGGAAGGAGAAGAAGAAGAAGAAATGGAAAGAATAAGGGAAGAGAATTTTAATATTTTGGAACAGGATGAACTCCAAGTAGAGGCCTAGGAAGATAAATTTTAAACGTTAAATCAGGCAGAGAATGTATTGGAAAAACAAATATATTTTTCTCTGGTGGCATTTAGATTTACAAAAAGAAAAAGTTCAGGTATCTCAACAATTGTCACTATGGCCCATGCACCAAAGATGATGAATATTGGCCATGAGCTTCTGAGCACATTTGACACTAATTATTCATGATGGAAGGTATTTAACAGAACACAGAGCAACATATTGAGATCCACTGCTTTCTGAAAGAAAATTTGATGTCTCAATCTGAGTTTAATGAATAACAAAATTGACTTCTGTTTAATTGAGCAGCTTCTTAATATAGCAGATAGCAATAGGGTTTTATTTTCTATCCCTTGTCCATGCAGGAAAGAATTTCATGATTTGGGTGTGGAACACAGATAATTATTTTCTATCATTCCAAATGTACCCCCGCAATAAAAATAAAGCATTTCCATGTCAAATCAATATAATTAGGGATCTAATTGATAGACATGTAAATCATGACATATATTAATATTTATTCTTCATTACCGTAAGTTTGAATTGCTCGGCAAATGTCGACTTAAAGGATTCTGTGCTTCACCTTATTACTGTTTGACCTCATTCATTAACTTGGCATGAATTAAATAGGCCTTCACTAATAATCTACTTTGAGTCCTGAATAGTAGCACACAGAAAGATTAAAGAAGCTGGAATTCATTAAGCACTTGCTCACTCATGCACACTTTATATTTCATCTTAATTCCTACAAAAATCTTATGAAATAACTTCTACTGTCTCTATTTTACATATAGGAAAACCAAGAACTTAACCATGTTCTTCAATGGCTCCTGGATAGCTTTTAATTTTAAAACCATATAAACATAGTTGTAGAACATGCTACATTAGGCTTGTTATTTAGATTTCGTTCGCCGCTGTTCGTGTTTCTTATTCTACAACAAGGGTCAGCCTACAGGCAAAACACATCCCATTGTCATTTTTTTGTAAATAAAGTTGTATTGGAACATGGCCACTCTCATTTGTTTTCTATTATTTATGGCTGCTTTCACTTACAACCTGAGTGGTTGCCACAGAAACTGTATGGCCTGCAAAGTCTAAAATATTTACTATGTAGCTTTTTCTTTTCTTTTTGGAGACAGTGTGCCACTCTATTGCCCAGGCTGGAGTGCGGTGGTGTGATCATGGCTCATTGCAGCCTCAAACTCCTGGGCTCAAGCAATCCTCCCGCCTCGGTCTCCCAAGTAGTTGGGACTACAGGCATGAGCCACCATACCCGGCTAATTTTTTTAAAGTTTTTGGTAGAAATGGAGTTTTTTAATGTTGCCCAGGCTGGTCTTGAACTCCTGGTCTTAAATGACCCTCTCCCATCAGCCTCCCAAAGTGCTGAGATTAGGGGTCATCATACTCAGCTACTATCTGGCTCTTCACAAAAAATTTTTGCCATCTCCTGTATTATTGATTGATATTATCTATATGACTAAACCACCTTTATGATGGTAGATACTCCTTGAATAATAGCTTAGAATCATCAGCTTGTTGCCTTGACTTTGCCTAAGGAAGTCTAAATGCATAGTATCTGAATGCAGGGTTTGGGGGCTTTGAATACAGGGAAAATTAATTACAGCTATAACTTACAAACAAACAACAGTTACCAGGATTTCCTCTAAAGTAGAACTCACCTAGATCTAACCAAATATACCTTAGTTTGAGTCATATGAATTAGGTTTCACTTAGTTACACTGCAGCAACAAATAAGCCTCCCTCTCCCCACCCACCTTTCCCAGCCAAATCTCAATGGTTTATAATACAAAGGTGTATTTCTTGATCATGCTTCATGCCCTGGGGGTCAGTCACAGCTCTGCTCTGCTCCATGGTCTTCCCCCCAGCATCCAGACTGATGGAGGAGCCCCTGTCTGGGAAATGCTATTCTTGCACCAAAGGGAAAGGAGAAAGCCTGGCAGAAACACACAATGACTCTTAGAGTTTCAGCTCAGAAGTGGTCACTTAGCAATGGAACAGAGATATGTACTCCTCCTACAGCAGGCCCTGTGTGTGGGTTATGAGGCAAAGGCAAGAAGGACATTTAAATAATGAAGAACAATAATAAAATTTATTTTTAACAGGCAATAACCATAACAATCAGTCTCACATTTACCAACTAGAAAACACCCATGCTCCTAACCATCCACTCAGGGAATCAGAGTGTGTTGTGAATTCTCAGAGTGGTTGTGTTCTGTAAGTACCTCACCAGCCCACTCCTCTGGATGGGCTATTGTTCTGTGTTTTGTTCTAGCAACCCACTTTCCTTGTCTTCCATACGTGTGTTTCTGTTTTTCTTTCTGGGATGAGTGCCTTTCACCTGATGAATAATCAATGGTGAGGTAAAAGCAGGCGCTGTGACAGCTTGTGTTTGCTTCCATCAATTGTTATGCGCTATTCTGAGGCACCTTGGTCACTCCACATATCTCCTTCACTCACTCCACATCTCTGCTTCCTATTTGCTGGAGTTATAAAATGGAAAGTAAAATCATCTAAAAAGCTGCCTGGTAATATAAGTTTCAATTTCCTTTTTAAAGAAAGCCAACCCTTCTGTGAGCTTGAAGATGAAAGTTGCCTGTTAAATGCATATATTTCTGGCTATTCTGCCTTGAGGTCAGTGAAGTAGAACAAGATATTAAAGATACTCTCTCAAACTGGGTCAGAACTGTGTTAAAAGATGAGAGGATTATTTCAGGAAGCCACAAAATAATCCACTCACACAGGTTGAAAAAAATTTATGTAGCATTTTTGGACTCTGAAAAACCATCTGAGGAGATGGATTAGTCAGCTGGTGTAGCATACAAGATCATGCGCAGGTTCTGTTTTTATTGCTCCATTCAGCAGAATGTCATTATTTCTAAAGCTAAGCAGAAGCATGCTTTAAGTAGCAATTTCACCATTTTCTTCCTATCTCTGAACAAGTAAATAAAAAAAGTAATCCAAAATTACTTCTCCCACTTAAATGTAGCAAAAAAAAAATTACTTGAAATATGCTAAAATATATGACCTTCAAAACTAATAGTAGGGCTTAGAGTTTATCTCATGATTATATTATTTTGTTTTCTTGTATGATATTTAGAACTATATATATTAAACATGAAATACCTTCCCCTTAAACTCAGTAACAAATTAGGAACGTCTGGCTTGACCACCATGAGTTAATGATGTTCTGAGAGTACCAGCCAATATAATGACCAGAAAAGACCTGAATTTTATAATATTTAAATGGAGAAGACCCAAATATGTTCATTTTAAATTGTGTGATTGTATATCTATAAAACCTAAGAATATCAAATAAAATACTTTTAGAAATGTACTGCAGTAGATGTACAAAGTTGAATAACTACACAAAAGGTAAGAAACTGGGAGCTAGAAAATGAAAAATTACATCAGAAGGTAGCTTTTTAGTCAGAATAATTTTATCACCATAATAAAAAAAATATATTAAATAACTAAGAGTTAACTTAAATAAAGTATAATATCTATGGAAGAAAACTATAAAAGTTTAAGGCCAAAAAAAAAAACCACTTAATGTTCCAATAACTATTTCTGTTTTACAAATCACTCCAAATGTAGGAGCATTAAGCAGTATTTTATTATGCTCATGGATTTTGTGTGTCAGGAATTCTGACAGAGCACAGAGGGAATATGATGTCTAGAGTCTCATCTGGGAAGACTAAAATAGCTGAAGGTGATTTACTGTCCGGGCCAAAATATTCTGGAAGCGTCTTTACTCACATGTTTGGTGGTTAATGCTGGCCCTTAGCTGGGACCTCATTTGGAGCTGTCAATCAGAGCACCTACAGGAAAGCCTCTCCATGTGGCCTGGAATTCCTCATAGTGGGCTTAGGAGAGTTGAACTTGGGAAAGTCAGTGTACCTGAGAACAATTTGGACAATAGTCCACCTCTCCTGACCTTGCCTTGGAGGCCACACAGGATCTCTTCCACTGCACCCCACTGGTGATTAGTGTGCCACAAGCCCTCTCTCATTCAAGAAATCTCTTTGAGAGAAGTGTCAAACAAAATTGCAGTCATATTTTTTAAATTTACCTCATTTTGAAACTGAAAAACACCATAATTTTAGGTGAGAAGATTAATTTTTCCCTAATTTATACATGGGCTTAATATAATTCTAATCATAATAATTAAATGATTTTTTAAACTCATCAAAAACACTTCTGGATGTCCTCTAGGAGACTAAGTTGGTAGTAACCGGCAAGAACATTTTGAGAGGGGAGTTCTCTAGGAACTGAATATATTATAGAATTATATAAATAAAACAACTTGGATTATTCTGAGAATAGACAGATCAGTCTTACAGAATAGAAGGCTTAGGCCCAAGTTATTTATAGGAATCGAACATGTTTCCAATACACACTGGGGAAAGGCAGGCTTGTTCCATCAGCAGTGTTGAGACTACTGGTTAAATGTGGGGATGTAGGAGTGTATCTCTATGCAAGGTAAAAAATTGAATGTTTAAATGGATTAAAAGTTTAAGTGTCATAATCAAATCAGAAAATAACACACATTTTTGTAATCTTGGCGTGGGCAGAGAGAGCTTAAGTATAACACCACAGTGTTGGAATACACACACACACACACACACACACACACATAATTATATAATATATATAATATTTATACAAACAAACCACCTATCTCACACATATATATATATATATATATATATATACTAGGAATACATATATATAATACAAACACCTATATATATTTATACAAACATTTATATATCTGATATATCAAATATATATTATATAATATATTATATAATATATAATATATATTAATATATAATATATAATATATATTAATATATAATATATAATAAATATATTTGATATATCAAATATAATATATTTGTTTTTTATATATTAGATATATATATGTTTGTTTGTATAAATATAAAAATTGTTCAGGAAATAACTAAAAACAAAGTTAAAAGCAGATAACTTGCAACACGTAAAGTCAGAATTAATGTTCTTAATAATAAAGGGTTTTTCTAAATTTGTAAGAAAAAGATGATCACCCAAAACAAAAATATACAAAGAACATAAATAGGCATTTCACAAAAAGAAGACATTCAAATGGCTGGTAGATAACTTGAAACCCTAGGGGCATATATGGGAGAGTAAGAAAGTAGGAGTTGAATAGTGATTACCTGGAAGAAGCAAAAGAGACCTTTGGGGGGAAGGTGATAGTGTTTTGTTATGTAACTGCTTTAGGACGTACGTAGAGGTTCAATTGTGTGAAATAGTAATTTATTACTATCATTACTTGACTTGAACATAACTTGACGTGTATCACTTACCCTAAACTCTTAAGCAAAAGAAGCTTGGTTTCAGCAGAGCCACATGTTTCTCTAGGACCTTTCTCACAACTTCCCCAACTTGGGAAAGAATGCCAGACTCCAAGAGCAACTTTCTCCCCTTAGACGTGGCATGTAGGAATTCCCTTAGCTGACATCTTGAGGGCTATTTTGCAGTTATTCCCAAAAAAAGATCTTGAATAATAACAAAAATACATTACCAGTCGAATTCAAACTCTGTCTTTTTAAATACCAGAGCCCTTTTTGCCAAGCAAACTCTTACGTAGAACTCTGACATACGAAGCAGGTAAAGCAGAGCTTAGTTTAGGCAGAGGTGGGTCCTGCCTGCTTTGCTTTCTTCTTACCCCTTGTGGGAGCCCCTCTATCCCTCTGTAGCCTGTAGCCCCCTGGACACAATAGAAACATCATGATTTAGAGGAAAGAGTAATTTCCAACCTTAAACACTAGGAGTGTTGAGCAAGCTCCATAAAAAATAATGTGTAACTTGCTTTCATTAATTTTCTCAAAATGTGCAAATCAAAAGCATTTCATTACTCAAGTAAATGGTCTGGATTGCTTTTAAAAACCGTTGGTTAATATTTACAGCATTAATGGTAAAGACTCTTTATTAGTATTTATAAAGATTTCCAGGAGGAACAAACACCTCATACTTAACATTTTCTCAATATTTTTATGAATAATACAGGAATAAGAATTATTTTAAAGTATCCTCATGGTAGCTTTCTTTGATTCAGCGACAGAAGTAAAGTAAGGTACATAACACTTGGGACTTTAAAAGTTCAGGTTTTGCCTCTGAGATTGAAATACCAAGGTGTTTTAGGATGCACTATAGCTGAATAAAGAAGTGCAGTAAAACATGAAAATGACATAAATAGAGATGCAAAGAGAAGGTATAGGGAGAGCTGAGAACACATCCTGTGGTGTGCAACTAACTTTGTATGGATAATGAACAACTGTATTCAAACAAACAAAAAGGTCAAAAAGACAACTTAGACTTCAGTTTACTCCTGAAGCAAATAATCAGTGGAAAAAACCTATAAACAAGATAAGATACAGGTGCATGGGTGCAGGCAGGTGGGCACAGGCAGGTGGGGGCAGGTAGATAGTCACACAGGAGGATGGGCACAGGAAGGAGGGTGCAGGATGGCGAATACAGGAATCTCACCAAGGCATAATTGGAATGTCTCGGCAGCCTGTATAGAACAAGATGTCTCTTAGGTCAAAGCAGCATAACGCCATGGGCTCCCTTCTTTTTTCATCCCCTGCCTTGTCAGGCCCCTGCATCTACTATAAAATCAGTAATTCTGTAATTCAGGAAGCTAGGCCTCCCAAGCCTGATATGCAGGTTCTACAATGTAAAATTATTGCTGTGCCAACACTGGGGCCGCTTCCCACATCTGTGCCTGTGCTGCTAGGTAGGAGTTTTGCCTTTATGCCCAGAAGAGCCTCGTTGGCTGTCAGTGGCTTGTTAGAGTGGAATAAATCAAAAGAGAAAATTGTAGCTGCTAATTTCCCAATGCCAAATATTGAAAAGTAATAGAATTCTCAGAGAAAGTTGCCCTGAGAAAACCCGTGAGAAAATGAATCATAATTTTCATCTTCTATAGAGTGTATTTCAGGTGCTTCTCATCTCACTAAGTGTGTGGGTAAGGTGTGAATGTGACATCTGTGTGGCTAAAAACTCATGAATATGACCCACTTATTGTAATAGGCAGTAGTGCCGAAACTAAAGCATCGTATGCCTGCTGAAATGGCCAGACACAATATTCAGAAATATTGGACCACTGCCCATAGAACCTAAAGAAGAACCTGGGATTGTACTCATTCTCTCCTCTCAGATGGAGTGATACTCATTGAATATGTTATGAATCCTTGGAAAACAACATGAACATACCTTTAAGCACTGAAGATCCCATTTACTTTGCTCTGGGCCAAAGCAAGGTTAATGACTCCCGAGAAAAACTTAAAGGTCTCAGGATATGTCAAGAAAAAGTGTAGAGATGTCGGTGGGAATTATGGGGCTCCTGAGAAGTGTTTCTCAACAGAGGCACTACTGGCATTTTGGATAACATGATTCTTCCTTGGGCAGATTTATTTTCAGCATTGTGAGGTGTTTGGCACCCTTAACCATGAGACACTAACTGCAAGTAGCACTCCACAGTCATTGCAACCATCCAAAATGCTTTGCCATGATTCCAAATGCCCCAAGGGAGTTGGTAGCACCTCTGGTAGAGAGCTACTGAATAACTGCATTTAGGGAGCAGTACAGGGATCTCCCAACATAGGCAGACATTTGGGAGTTGGCCCACAACAGTTACTCAGGAGCTATTAGCTCAGGTGGCTGCTGAGACACAACTGGGTATTAAGCTTTTGCTTTATAGAGTGTATAAAATGTTTATTGTGTCCATTGTTCAGCTAAAGCTTTCAGTTCAGTTTCGTTTGTTTTTATGACTGTTCATTTCAGCTGCCTTGAATATATGACTGACATTAGGTTTATTGGAAGTGCTGTCATCATTGTCACTATGTTGTAAACACCAAATGTGAAGCTCACTGTGTTTTTCTGGCTTTTGGGGTTTCTAAACTCTTTGTTTCTGTAGCTTTGCTCATCTGTATTGGAAAGAACATGAATGAGGCAGTTCTTTTATTTTGCGCATGTCTGATTTTCAGATATACTCAGGAGGAAAATAAGGGTAAAATTCATATTTGAAAAAGGTATGTCCAATCAAAGTATGGCTTTTTTCTTCATATTCTGCCAAGCTAAAATGATCTCTTGGATGCACATGATTTCATGGGCTATAGACCACCAATTTTACATAATTTAAACTTGAGAGACTCATACTAATGCATTTTACCTCTAAATTATGGATTGGGGAGGTATCAGGGGAAATGAGTAAGGTTGTATGAAGGAGTAAGAGAAGAATTAGATAGGTTTAAAAATGGCAGAAAATATATTAGAAGAGAAAAATTGATTCTTTGAGCAATCAAAACTAAGAGGCTCATTGTTTCCTGGGCCATGGTTAAGTGTTTTAAACACTTTATTAGATTTTATGATTAACAAAAAAGTTGGCTAACAACTTCTTTGAAGGTCACTGGTTTGTTTTATTACAAAATCGACATAAGCAATGCGAGAGGAAATTCTCAATTTCCTCTCCCCTCTTCTGTCAAAATTGCTTTTCCTTTACTAAACTCCTCTTACCTCCAACCTCACCTTTGCCTCTCCCAAAGTCCTAAGTAAGAGATCATCATTCACCAAACTTACATCATGAAAAAGAGCATTTGGGTGGCCTGGTAAATATACAGACCACTAGGCTTATTCGACTGAAATTCAAATTCAGCTGCTCTGATTGGGGCCTGAATCTAGGTGATTTGTATTTTCTTGTACGTTTGGGACATACCAAATAGTATTCTTCAACCTTTCTTTGATAAAGACATAAGTGACAAGAAAGCACAAGGAGACTGCACAATGCTGGAAATAAGCTCATGAATTTTAAGTACATGGCCTTTTCATGGGTCCAAGAAAAAGTAACTTTTTTTACTTTTAAAATGTTTTTGTATTCTAACAACTTATGCAACAGATAGAAATTTCTAGAATATAATAAAAACTCATCCCTGCCCACAATAAATTTTAGTGGAAAACTTCCCTCCAAAAAATCTGCCAAGATTATCAATGACTGTGTTACTTTGTAAAGGAAAAATGTAAGTTGACTTTATCAACGTTTGAAAAAATCCTGGAACTTAAATGGAAGATTAATGGCATACATGAGTTGCAATATTTAATTTCTGAAACTTCAAACTTGCAGCCTGTCTCATAAATATTTAAATCCAGTTTAGACACTTCGGGGAGAAAATAAATTATTTCATGTTTTTCATAGCACTTGCAAATGTTCATGTCTCAAGAGATAATAATGAAATAATGTAATAAAAGTCCAAGCGGGAGTGTAAATTGATTAAATACAAATTTATTTTAAGAAATAAATAATATTAGTTCCTATTAGTGAGTGCCTAGTATGCCAAGCACTATGCTTATTGTGTTCTCATTATTTCATTTAGTCCACATAAGGACCCTGCAAAGGATTATCGGCTCTGAATGGAAGAGAAATATGATTCCCAGAGGAGTTAAATATTGGCCCAAAGTCACAGAGAATCTCAGGAATTAGGTCACAAGTCAGTCTAAGCTAGTCTGTTGGTCTGTGTATGGTCGGTCTAATCCATAAAGTTTATCATCTGAACTGGGACACTTATGGCCATGAAAAGGGGTGTTATTGATAATTACAGGAAAACATGTATAAAATGGGTGTCTCCTGAGCAAACTAGATATTTGATCACACTAGTGTGAACAGAGCTTGTTTATTTAATCATCAGGCAAAATAAACATTGAGAGCATGGAATTCAATAGGGCCACATTAAAATACTTGCTAGTTTTAAAAATGGATCCAAAATGTAAAAGGAAAACTGAAAAACAAACATAATGAAAGATTATGTTAATTTAGTCCATCACAATTCAACTGAAATCTTCTATGATTGCATATGAATTATATTTAATAAGTATGTTGGGTACATTTAAATATGTTCAATCTGATGTGTGGTAGAGCCCCCAAAATCTTTGAGCCATGCAGTTCCCATTATTCCACTCAGCCCACCAGGAAGAAAAGCTTCAAGTTCCACCATGTTCAAAATGCCTTCTTCCTTTGCACCCAAGAGTGCAAAGGCCCAGCTTCGAACAGAATTTATTGTCTGCTGGTGTTTATATACCCACCGCCATGACACAGTGTTCATCACTCACCAAAATTCCCTAGGACTGACCCTTTGTAGTCAACCCTTCCCCTCAGCCCAAGTCCTGGCAACCACTCATCTCTTCTCTAGCCATTTGATTTTGCCATTTCCAGAATGCCACATAAATGGAAACATATAGAAGGCAGCCTTTGAGTCTGGCTTCTTTCTGTTAGCATAATCTATTGGAGATTCTTCTATGTTGTGTTGGTAGTTTATTCCCTTTAATTGCTGAGTAGTATTCCATTGTATAGGTATACCACAGTTTTGTTTATCCATTCTGTACTTGAAGTACATTTGTGTTGCTTTGAATAAAGTTGCTGTAAACATTCACATTTCTTTTTTCATGAAGACTATACAGCCAAAACACCAATGTAAAGAAGAAGAAGAAAATAGAGTGAATGATTTCATTCGATTTGGCATTTTTAAGAAAAATGTTCTAAATTTTTCATTAACAAACAATTGCCGTAGAAGGTTAAATTGTATAGTGTGACCCCTTCTACACAATGCAATGGGAGATTTAGTTTTCTTTACTGCATGGATCAAGTAGCTTTCAAAAAGGGCAGCACCCTTGCTATTTTTCTATTCCAGAAGGAAAATGTGTAACTTGATGAAACAACAGAGAAATCAGATCATTTTACCTAAGACTAAATCAGGAAGAAAAACAACAACAACAAAGTAGAGAGATTTAGATGGTACCTGAACACAAACTAAGAAGGCTATTATTTTCCCCTCTTTACATTGTCAGGTGCTCTAAGAAACATGAAGGTGCTAAAGTACTTGTCTGTCAAGTACTGGTTTCTTCCTTAATGGGGAGCAAAATTGACTATATGATGAAAGATAATCAAAATTTCTGCAGTTTATGGCTATGGACAAAAGCAAGCTGTGTTGGGAGGGCAAATGTCTGGTATGTAAGATGTCTCATTTGGGAGAAGAGACAAATTACTCAGACATATTTGGAAATACAAAGAAAAGCTTCTATATTGTGGGTTAGCAATTTTTTTTATTTGGTGAAACTATCCGTTTAATACATTTTAAAGATGTAAAGCTAACCATTACCACAAAAATTTTTTTATATAAGACTAAAACAACCACTTTCTTTTTTGCACTATCATATGTTTGGACGATAAGGAAATGCTTTCTGTCAACAGCTGTTCATTTAGTAACAACCTGCCTGGCTAACATGGAGGTTACACACTAGAGGATATATATTTAGCTGAATCCAAAGCCCATTTCAGCTCTACATGTTGTGAGCTGCACGTGTAAAGGAAAATCCAGTTCATATTTACAGGCAGAATAATTCAGTTCATATTTATGGTCAGATATGTAGTTCAGAGATAAGAATATTCATTAGGTTTTAAGAAGTATTTGTATGAGACATATTGTTGAGCTCTTTCATCACCAGAAACAGATGAAATCCACTTTCCACTGAAGAATATACTTAAACAAAAATTGAAACTAAAAGGCAAACAGAGATGTAAATCGATGTGAGACTTTGTGATCTAACATGGTTCTGAAGACCTTAAATTCACTGGCAACCATAATGCTTTAGTTATGGAGATAAATACCAGAAAAATTAATAAAGCAAATAAAAGAATTTCATGCTTTCTCACATGTCTAACTTTTCACATCTGCAGAAGCTGGCATTCAAGACTCTCTAGGTTGGCTTTTCTCAGATGGTTAATCAGCCTTCAGCTTTTGAGGACTGTGGCTAATTTCTCCTGAGTACAGTGAGACAGGAAAAACTCTGCCTTCTAGATAGCCACTGCATTGGAGCACCCCCTCAGAAGGGGGAGGCACGGGGAAAGCCCATCAAAGTCTGAATTGTCTTGACATGTTAATACTTCTCTTGGACTGAAATCCTTCCACTTAAGCTCTCCCCTTGATGCTGTTCATGCCCTGAATTCTGGCCCCTGCCTTGATCCGTGGTGTATCTCCACCTGGCTTCAGAAAATCTAAGATGACCCCAAACTACAAAAAAAGAAAGAAAGAAGAGAAAGCAAGCAAGCAATCAAGAGAGGGAGAGAGGGAAGGAGGGAGGGAGGGAAGGAGGAAGGAAGGAAGGAAGGAAGGAAGGAAGGAAGGAAGGAAGGAAGGAAGGAGAAAAGGAAAAGAAAAGAAAAGAGATGACTTTACAGGGGAGGGAGGTATGTAAGTCTCAGTGATAGTTTTGGGTGCCAGATACAAAGTATGAACATTTCATGCCAATTTTTTCCATGAACTAGATTTCAATATCCCACTCAGCAGAACTCTCCTCAAGTTGACATAGAAAGTGGGACACATTGGGAACCCAGATTACGTGGGAGGAAAGTATAAAGCAAATTAGTTTTTGTGATTGTTCCAGAAAAACTATACTGGAAGAAAGCCACAGCAGCAATCCCAACCCATCTGTGTCACCAGTCTGCAATAAGAAATTTATGGAAATCCACAGTTTCCATTTAGAAACTTTTATAGCAACCTTAACAGATTAGCTTTACTATTGAACTTAAAAATAAACAAAATTGGGCTTGTATTTTTATTTCATTTTGCTAGTAATTGATTTTTATTGTATTTTACTAAAGTATTAGTTTATAATGCATTGAAAAAAATAAAACTGATCCTTCCCCACAGATAGTTTGAAAAACACTTTGTATTTTATTACTTTTTTTTAAGACAGAGTCTCACTCCATCACCCGGGTTGGAATGCAGTGGAGTGATCTTGGCTCACCACAACCCCTGCGTCCCGTGCCGCAGCCTCCCTAGTAGTTGGGATTACAAAGAAGCAGCACCTCACCCAGCTAATTTTTGTATTTTTAGTAGAGACAGATTTCACCATTTTGCTCAGGCTGGTCTCAAACTCCTGGCCTCAAGTGATCTGCCCGCCTTGGCGTCCCAAAGTACTGAGATTACAGGCGTGAGCAACCATGCCCGACCCTGAAAAACACTTTGTATTTTGAAAAACTGTTCTTGTTAACACTGAGTATATAACAAATTCTTAAAAAGAAATGTCATTTTATGGAAATTATCATTTTATTTTAATCAAAGGCAATAATGATGCCTGGTCAGAAGCTTTTTATCGAATTGCCCTGCTTGGTCAGAAAGAAAGTCATTTTATTTTATTTTTCCTTGGGTTTAAGCAACTTTTAAATATCAAATCCTATTTGGTGCTACAGCGATGTGCAACGAGACTCTATTTAAATGACTAAATCACTGATGGAACATAACTCAGGGGTAGGGAGAGACAAATTCCACAGAAATGTGTACATTAAGTCACCGTGTATCCAAATAGAAATGTCAGAATCTTCCTCCACTTAAGATGCAGGGACCAGTGCACTGAGGCACAAGAAAAGAATTTGATTTACAATTTGAAGAAAAAACAGCAGAAAAATAATTGAGAGCTGGAAAGCAATCTCACTCCTGCCAAATTGCTTTCCTCTATGCGCGCCCCATTTAGGGGTGGTATCTGGATACCTACATTTAGTTCATGCATATTTTCCTTCCCCTGTGACCATGCCATCCTGTCAGATTAGGACTGTCTCTGCTGTGATCAGCAAAAAGGAATATCCAAATTACCTAGCATTGGATTATGCCTGGAGCTTCATAAATAAAAAATGGTTGATTTTAAGTGCAAAGGTGATAAGCTGACTGTTAGTGAGAACGTGCTTGGTCCCTAAATTGCCAAAACATGAATTCCTTTCAAATAAGCTTTAATTTGAATTTATGGGAATCAGACAAGTGAGAGGACATTGCAAATTGTAAAGAACTGGTAAAATACTTGTTAAAAACAACAACTACTACTACCAGCAGAATAGTTTGTGATAAAGATTTGATGAATATCAGCTTTGATGTTATTACTTTCTTTCCCGCGAAGTATTCATAGACAAGGGAGACCTTCCTTTTTTACCTAGTAGTAACTGCCTGTAGGAATTAATCTTATAGTTCATAGACTCATAAATAAAAATGTGTTGTACTGTTAAACCCTTGCTTAGCTAGTTCTCTGAGTCATATATTTAGTTATGTCTTTATAATCTCAGAAAGTCAGTAACAAAATTTGTCCTAGAAGTTTGGTTTTTATTCCCTGCGTTTTGCCCATGGAAGTACAGTCATGCGCTTTACACAAGAGCAAGAATTTAAACATCCAAAGTATCTTTATATTAAAACATCTGAGGTGCCCTCTTCCTTTACCTTTCTTGTTCACGTTAGAAAGTATTTCTGGCTTCCTCACAAGAAATACAAACGTGACAGATTCATTTTGATAATTGCCTCATGTGAGCCTCAGATATATTATGTACTGGAATCAAAATTCTAATGCTCTCCAAAGATAAGGCATAAAATACCATTTTGGGAGAAAAAATGGAAGTATTGAAAAGTAAACAGGAATACACTATGCAAATTAGGCCTGAGCCAAGAGCATGCCTGTTTTACATTTAAAATTGGCTACAAGCCAGAGCCAGTTATACCCTGGGTACCTGGAGGACGAAGGAGAGGAACATGAAGAGAATTTTGATTTCAAAAACAAGAACCACAGAACCGCAAGCTGTAAGCTCTAAAACTGATAGTCTGTGGCCCTTCTAGCTAGACATTTGGTCCATGTAAACCAGGTCTTCCCAATCTTGATTCAGCACTGGCACTACTGTTGTCTTTTTCTCACAGTTTGCATTCAGAAAGCCACTTGTTCTTTGAATTAAAAACAAGTGTACTTTTATGATGAACCTAAGTCAAAGCGTGGTTCTCCATTGCCCTGTGGCCAGAGAGATTTTAAAAGCAGTACAATATGGTGGGTCAGAGGTTTAAATTATATGTGAGTGTGTATATTAACATGTGCATATATGCACAGGCACACACACACACACATGCTTATGCACGCAGACCCATTTATATCCACATATGCACGAGAAGCCCTCCTACCTAAGGTGAGGAGGATTAGTCAGGTAAAGCAAATAATTCTAGAAAATAATGTGATACATACATAATGTGAGCATTTTCCCATTTAATATTTGTATCTTTATATTTAAATTTTTAATGTTATATTTGTATATCAGTGTACATTTATGTTACCATCTTTTGATGGAAAGGTTTTTTCCACCTAGTGAAGATTTCCAAATGCTTTTTATAAACAAGTGAAACTTTTCTTAAGTAGAGGTCTGATGATGAGAGGGCCCTCCACTGTTCTTGCATAAACTACATTCTTCAGGAATCATCTGTCTTATGCAGCTCGGGTTTCTTCAGGTGAAGTAAGTACTCAGACACCTGTGTAGCGATCTCCGTGCAGAATCAGTCTGGATTCTCAAAAGCTTTTACAGTTCTCTTGCCTAGTGTGATCACAATGATGTTTAGCCATCCCCCTTTATCTCTTCTTTCCAAAGGACTCAACTTAGTTTTTACAAAAATCACTTTTTTTGGCACTCATCTATCTTTGTTTTACATATTTTTTTACTAGATTTTAGAATTACTACTTGCATACATGGATTTGGAAGAAAACTCAACCAATGCATACAAATTCATGGGTTTGAAGCAGATATGTATAAGCATAGTAGAGAGTTACTTCCTAGCTTCTGGCTTCCAGCATCAACTGGACATTTGCCACTCTTTTCAAGTGAATGCAGGCTGTTGTTTAGTTACATTTTTCTAATCTCTAGAAAGCTCAGAATAAAATGTGTCACATATATTTAGAAGTTTGTAGAACCTGATGGCCCATGCTTTTTTCACTAACTTGACCTCTAACATCACCTTTTCTACATTTTTTCTTTTACACTCATATATTTTCTTTTCATATCTTGTGATAATGTAAGAAACTTCCAGTTTTTTGCTAGAATGGCAATGTGATTTTCCTGAATAGGTGTTTGTTTTGTTATTGCAAGCACTGTGTAGTCCATGTTTTGCAAGACTTATATTCTAAAATTAGTACATGTGGAAAAAAAAGTGTTGAGTTAAAATTAACCTTGAACATCCTTTGAGAAGGCTCTGTGGTTAAGTTCAACACATAATATCTTCAGAGGTCTAAAACACCCAATTTTTTCATCAGCTTTGGAACAGATCAAGATTGTGTTGAGTGTCAGATGAAGTCATTTGACTTGCTGACAAAATGTGGGTATGTTCAAAAACTGGGCTGGTGTGGGATTATCACATTACGAGAGAGGGAGACTCGTGGGAACCCAGATTCATGCCCCTCACCTAAGGAGTTTAAAAGCACACTCTGCCTGGTGTTCTTTCTATATGTACTCCTCCCTTCTGGAGGAGTAAGTCTCATCTTCCTGAGAAGGCAAGGATAGAAACTCATTATATTCCCTTTCCACATATTCACATAGGACACACTCAAAAAGTTTTCAGAGTTAAAATAAAATTCAAGTGGAAAAACTTTGCTTGTATTTCCAAGACAGTAAAAATGCATTCTTAATATTTTAACTCAGTGTATCAAAAATGAACTTCACTATTTTAAAAGTTTACAACCTAGCTCTTTGGTGGCCATACTACTGATTAGAAAATGGACTGATTTTCCCATGTGGTTCTTAAATTAGACTAGTTTCTTCAAACATTAAACTTTTAGAAAAATCTGTGTATCTGGATTATCAGGGCCTGTACTTCTCATGTCAGCTATAGATCTTTAAAATATGTGCTTCCTAATTTTATTACCACATTTACATCTCTTAATAAGAGACAGGGTGTTTATATTTCATATATGAGAATAATATCTAACTTTCTTTTTTTCTAGGATGAAAAATACATGTTCTATTAATAAATTAATAAACTTAGGCTTCAAAATAGAACTGTACATAATATCCATATTTGTTTTTTCTTGGTAGACAACTGGAAGGGTTTCCTTCTTTTCCATCTATGACTAATTTTCTTTATTCAAGATACCTGAACTGGGGTGTTTTTTAGTTAAGACAAATTTGAGAATGAGACTGTAATCCCTGTGGACACCTGATTTGTTTTTAATGAGGCAGCATTGAATAATGATTTACACTTAAGAGTATGGGCTTAGGGAGAAAATGCCTGGGACCTTGAGATACTGATTTACTCGCCATGTACCTGTTTTCTCGACCATAAATGGGCACATTAGTAGCATCTTCCTCACTGTTATTGTGAAGATTAATTAATATGTCTAAAGCACTTGAATCAGTACTCATGAGTCCTCCATAAATTATTATTATTATTAGTGTCAACCTTGTGTGAATGAGAATGGGATCCAAACCAGTGGATGCCCAGTAAATGTCCAATGGCTGGTGAAAATGCTATTGAAATGCCTTGATGTTCTGGTCTTTCACCCCTCTCCCCTTTTCTCCCCACACAGGTGGCCCCAGCCATTAAGGAGAGGATGATGAAGAAGGGAAGCTTGATGCTGGGCTACCAGCCGCACCGGGGAAAGGTCAACTTCTTCCGCCAGGTGGTGATCAGCCCTCAAGTGAGCCGGGAGGACATGGACTTCCTCCTGGATGAGATAGACTTACTGGGTAAAGACATGTAGCTGTGGCTTTGGTCCCCCAGAGGCATAGATCCTATCCTGGGAGAGTTTAGATCCAGAACATCTTGGAGATACACAGTAGATTGCAGCCCTTCTGATGAGAAATAGGGAATACTCCCAGTCCAGGCCCAGCAAAACCAAAATGCTAAGCAATGAATATTAAGGACTCTCTAGCTGCCTGGGCATTACTGTTGCTAAAAGAAGAAAGTTTAAAAAAAAAAATGATTTTCTCAAGGAATGCCCCTGGAACACAGCTCTGAAGAGAGTTTAGTAAGTACCATGTAGGTTCTGGATTCTAAGCTTACATTGCTCTTTAAAGAACTTATAAACTAACGGTTTAAAGCAGTGGTTCTCAAAGTGTGGTCCCTGGACTATCAGCATCAAAGCATCACCTGGGAACTTGCTAAAAATGCAGATTCTCAGGCTTTCTCTAGACCAACTGGATCAGAAGCTCTGGGGGTGAGGCCCAGTATTCTGTGTTTTAACAAGCCCGTCAGGGAATTCTGATGCACAGTAAAATCCGAGAAACACTGGTTTAAGAAAAACCTTGTAATGATCGAATACCCACTCTGATGTTTTGCCAGCAAAGGGATATCTAATATTTCAGAAGCCTCTGAGCCAGTCTTTGAAAAAATACAACTATGGCATCTGCAGCACAAATATTTAAGGACATCAGAAGCATGTCAAAGCTATTTTTAAAGAGAGAAACTGTATAAGATGTTTACTTCATAGAGATTTATGTTTTATGCAGGCTGAATGTTTATCTCAAAAGTTAAAATTATCCATTCTCAAAAGTTAAAATTATATATATATATATATATACACACACACACATATATATATATATATAATTCAAAGCACAATAATTGAAAGCACAATAATTGACAGAAAAATACAGGTTCTATTAATAAATTAATAAACTGTTGGTCTTCAAAATAGAAATGCATGTAATATCCATATTAGTTTTTTCTTGGTAGACAACTGGAAGGTTTTCTTTTTTTTCGTCTATGACTAATTTTCTTTATTCAAGATACCTGAACTGGGGTGCTTTTTAAGAAAAATTTGGGAAATATATATGTTTCTGTGATATACATATATACATATATATGTATATATATACACACACATACATATGTGTGTGTATAGTATATATATATATACACACATATATGTTTCTGTGTTCCTCTTTTAGCTTGAGGGGCTTGTTTATTATCTTGCTCTGTGCCTCATAGGGAATAAACACAATGAAGTCCAGGGTTGTACAACATTCCCTTTCCTAAGCTTTGAAATGTCAGTATAGATTATTAAGTGGTTTATATTACAGAATCTGGGATTCAGCAGACTTTCAGTGTAAATGCTTCCTCCATTTCTCCTGAGAGTGGGTGATTTTAATTCTATCTCTGACCCTGGTCCTAGGTTTCTAGGAGAGTTTTGTTTAACTAAGAAATTGACAGAATTCATAGGTGTGGGTGTAGAGTTCACCAAGATAAGATTATGAATATAATTAAAGGTCTGCATTAAAAGGTGAATGATTGAAGAGTGTTAAAGCATTAGACTTAGCACATTCAATAACCTTTTCGTACTCCATTGTTAACCAATGTCATTTAAATTTTGAGTACTATTTGCTTTTATTGCTTATTTTCATTTTAGTGTGCACAGTTTCTCGGTATCTCTATTGGTCAAAGAATATTAAATCTGTCTCTGAATTACTTCAAATTCTCAGGTGAAACCTATTGGTGTGTGTGTGTGTGTGTGTGTGTTTATTTTGCATTTCTTGTTGCCTTTTTGTTTTAATGTCTACATAAAATATTTCTAAAATTGATGTTTGTAACAATTTGGGTTTCATGAAACAAAAAGGAACATTACTATACTTAGTGTTGTTGACTTTTCTTTTCCTGTCATCTCCTCTTTACTGGATTGTACCAATACATTTTAGAAGTGAACTGGACTTGGTTGGCATTTTAGTTTAATGACTGAAAAAGTAGGTTGAAAGCTCTCTGTATTTTAGTTAACACCTTGAATAAAATGGAAAAAGCAGTTATAGCAAAGAGTGGACTCTCTTGTTTAGTCTTTCTCAATTACTGGGTAAGCCATGGGTATCTCAGCCACAGTTCAACTCCTGCTGTGCCTTTTTACGAGAGAGGGCAGCTCCTTGATCAATGTAAAAAAAAAACTGCTGCCAGAAATTTTGAAAATTTCATTATTTTTTCTTGAAATATTCAGACATACCACACTCAATCAGGTATTTGACTAAGTGGTCAAAAATAATTTTTTGATAAAAGTATGATTATAATGCATTTATTCTTTCATTAAAACATTTATAGTGTGCCTGCTATGTTCTAGGCAATTATCTAGGTACTAGAAATATTCAGGGAATAAAATAGACAAAGTCCTTTCTCTTCTAACATTTTCATCCTAATGGAGACAGATGACACATAAATATATAACATGTCAGGTGGCAATAAATATTCTGAAGAAAAACAGAGTAAAAAGATAGAGCATGGAAGGGAGAGTGTGGTGGGCCGTGCTATGGTAGAAAAGTTGGTTAGTCATGGCCTCTGTTGAGGTAATATTTGAATGGAGACTTCCAGGAAGTGAGGGAGAGAGGCACAAGGGTAGCTGATTAGAAGATCTTCTAGATAGAGGGTATGATAAGTCAGACGCCTGAGGAGTTGGATTCATGGTATGTGTCCAAGGATCAACATGGAGGTGAGTCTGGCTGAAGCCAAGTGAATGACAGAGTGAGTGGTGAATGATGAAGTAAAAAAGTGTCTGGGAGTGAGCTACACTGGGTTCTGTAGGTGAAGACTTAGAGTTAGATGGATATACACTGGAAAATTTGGACAGGGTATTGATGTAATTCCATTTATATTTGAATCAAGATCACACTGATTACTGCTTAGAGAATTGGGTGTGCGTGGGGCAAGAGTAGACTCAGAGAACTAAAATAGGAAGCAATTGAAAGAGTTCAAGCAAGAAATTGTGGTAGTTTATATTACCATTTTAGTGGAGGTATGGTGAAAAGGGGTCAGATTCTGGAAGCATTTAAAGGTGGAGTTGATAGGGTTGGCTACTGGTGTGGAGTGTTGAAAGCGAAATGAGGAATTGTGGCTAGTTTCGTATGCTTTTGGCCCGGGCAACCATTATAAAGGAGTTGCCATTTACTGAGTTGAAGATTGCAGGAACAGTGGTTTTGCCTGGTTTCAGCCATGTAAAAACTGAGCTGTCTAAAAACCAGCCAACCACAGATGGTATATAAGTAATAATTATGAGTCTCAACTTCAGGGGAGAAATTGGGATTGAAGATGTAAATTTAAGATCTATCAACCTAGGGATACTATTTCAAATTATGGGATCAAATGATATCATGTAGAGCATGCTTGTTGATAAAAAGGAGACACAGGCCAAAGATTGAGCCTAAGAATACCAGCTTGAGATGAGGGGAAACCAGCAAAGGAGACTGGAAAGAAGCAGCCAGTGAGGCAGAAGGAAAGCCAAGAGAGGGTGGTTGCCTACAGACCAATTAGAGAAACATTTTTCAGAAAGGAGGAAAGGACCAACTCTATCAAAAGCTATGGATGAGTCAAGTAAGAACTGAAATTTACTAGTTGGCAATGTAAAGCCATTTACTTGTTGAAATTGTATTTGCTAAAAGTAAACATTTAGAATATAATTTTCAATATTTATTTTAGTAGGCATCAGATTTTATTAAATCAAAAGGCTTTTAAATTCTTCTTCTGGCTTTTGGTTTTTAATAGTTTTTCTTCATTGGAAAAAGGACTACTAATAATAAAGAGATTTAAGCTTAAGAAATTATTACATTGCTAATCAGATCAGATAAGAAAGGGTTTAGCAGCATATTACAGAATACTCAAATAATTGTGATTTGATTAAAGAGGCTTATGTTTCTTTATTCAAAAGAAGTTCCAAGATAGACAATCCAGAGATGGTCTTATATTTGGTTACCTCATAGGCAGGCATGAGACAAGGATTTGAGAGCAAGTATCCTATTCATTTGGTGATGCCAGGAAACACTGTTTTGGGAGTGGTACAGTGAGACAGGAAAGGGAAGAGAATCAGTAGTGATTATTAGTGAGCAAATTAATGCTCTGAGCAACTGAGGCTTGATCCTACCCATGACATCGGCGAAAGGGTATAAAATATACCTTGGAGATGTCCCATCTGAGGGCTGGGGAAGAACAGGTGTTAATCCATTGGTTGATAAATTGGTTGAAACTGATCCCAGGGGCATTAGCTCCCTGACAGTCCCCCACCATGCTCCCCCTATGGCCCTAGTAATCCTTTGGACAGAGAGTACAGATGCTTGAAGGTAAAGTCTTCAGCAGGACTGGTGAGTGCCTAGGAGATTTGGAAGGAGCACTGACCACTTTGGAAACAGGAGATGGTACCTTTACCATGTTACCCAGGATCCTTATATATTTTTATTGTGCCATCCTTAGAGATGAATTAAGTCACCATGTTTTACCCATGGTTGCAACTCTGTAGTTCCAGCCATTTTTTTCCACAATTCAGGCACAAGAAATAGAAAAGAACTTATTTTTCAATGCCCACTCCATTTGCCATATTTCTCTTCAGGAGAGATGAGAAAATGTAGGTTTTTGTTTGTTTTTTGCTTTGTTTTAGCTAGACACATTGATGACCACAACCACATAAGTAGTTCCACTAGTAGTGAAGAAAACTATGAGAATGGACACTGGCAAGCAACTCATCGTTTTTGCCACCATGACACAAGCATGGAGTGACACCAGTTCTTAAAGCAATGTTTTGTTTCCCAGGCAGCACAGAAATTAACTTAGATTGATAAAGCTTGATTCCAATTAAACTGTTTAGAATTCAATTTGTCTCATTCTAGCTGATCAGAGCCAGCTTGCCTGGTTCATGCTTATCTAATCCAACTAGAAATGGATTGATACAACTTGAAATGTCTTAATCCCCTTGACTCAATTAGAGCCAATTTTGAACTGGAAAAAAATTTGACTCAATTTAAGCTCTTCAGGACCAGTTTGATTCCTTTTAATTTAAACTGGTCTGAAGTAGCCTAACATAATTTGAACTGGCCTGATTGCAGTTTGAAGTAATTTTATGTCTCTCTGTTTTGATCACATTCTATTTGAGCTAGATTGACCTTGGGCAAATTTATTTCAACTAAGTAGAACTTGTATGATTGTTCAAATTTGTATAGGATTTATTTTACACAATGTAACTCAAGAAAATATGGATTAAATTGCTCAATCCAACTGGATTCAGAAAGAAGTTCCCTTTTCATGAATCTCTTGGCTTTAGGGACCACAGTTCAGTAGCAACAGTGCAATAAAGGGACTCTTGACTAGCTTTTCAGGGAAAACTCATCTAGTGATACAAAAACAACCCCAGGTTAAATGTAAGTCACAAGGGAAGAAAAATGAGAGCTCTCAGTCTTCATTCTGTTTTCCACTTCTTCTCAACGGGCATGAGATTAGTCAAATGAAGCACTGGATACTTAGACCCTTATAGTTCCATGGGGTTGGCGGTGAGTTTGGGTGTGGGCATGAAGTACATTAGAAAATAGTATAAGTTTTCTGTTTCCTTAACTCTCTAATTTTGCAGGCATGGCATTTCTTATGGCCAAAATTCTATAAGCTTGAGAATCCTCTAATGCCGGAATCCAAGGATAATTATAGCAAAAACTAACATTTATTGAGTCCATACTACACACCAAGTACTATGCCAGCCACACTACATGGACTTATTTGCTTCTCATAATACCCTATGAGGTGGTAGTTATTATTATCCTCAACTTATAATTGAGGAACCTGAGGCTCAGTTTAAGAAAATCTCTTAAGATTATCGATCTAGTAAGTTATAGATTCAAGAGTCAAATCTAAGTCCGCTTCACCCCAGAGCCCAGGCTCTTAACTTCTTGTTAGTATAGCTATATGGAAAGAAAAGGCCATTAAGAACCAAGTTGCTCTTAGAAGGCAATAATTACATCATACCACCCTGCCATCTTTCTCAAGCCTGAATACAAGAATTTTCCTTTCTGCTTTTTGCCACTGAAGTTGGAGGATAGCAGTATAAAGGGCCCTTTGAGTGCATATACTACGAAATTTAAACGGGAAACACAGTGGAGATGAAATAATTATTTTCTGAGTATTTGGCCATTGCTTTGTTTCTCAGACCTTTTCTGATCTCCATGACCACACGTCCAAATGCTTACTTGACATTGCCACTTGAGTATCTCAAAGACAACTCAAACTCAGCATGTCCAAAACTGACTCATGATTTCCTACCCCCAACCTCACATTCCTCTCCAAACCTGCTCCTTTTCTATGTTTTCCATCTCAATAAGTGGCACCATTTTCTATCTAGTTCGGCAAACCAAAAATTCATAAATTAATGCTTAACACCTCTAACTCCCCCTGTCCTCCACTATTAGCAGGGCTTGTTGGATCTACCTTCAAAACACATCTCTAATCCATCCATTTATCCTATCTCAATTGTCATGTTCAAATTCCAAGCTTCTGTCACGTTTCTCCTGGACTATAGCAATAGCCTCCTTACTGCCACATCTGTACATTGATTCTGTGCTTTGTCCAATCTGCTCACCAAACTGCAACCAAATTAAAATGCTGGTCCTATCTTCCACTTTTCTTAAAAATCCTCAATCGCTTTTTGTTTGCTCCCAGGATTGACAACTACCAACTCTGCCAAAGACTACCAGAAAACTTGTTAGTGAAAAAAACCTAAGTCTATTTATCCTATGGCCTTGAATGAGTTTTAGTGGTGTCCCAGAAAGGGGGAAGAGGAGGATGTTTATAGGCTTTGGTCTTGAACACGAGTAGCTTAGAAGACAAACTGACTGGAATACAATTTATCATGTAATTGTTTAGGACTGGTGAGCACAGCAAAGTGAAAGTCTTGATGTGAGTCTTGACAAATAAACTGCTGTTTGATAAGCAAGCTGTTTCTGCAGGTGAACATTCTTTTGTCCTGATGGGAGAGATGAGTCAAGTGTTTGTTTGGATAAATCGGTTAGCAGGAATTTCCTAAAGTAAACAATAAAGTTATTCATTGACTTACAGCCTTAACTTTCTGAGCAAGAATCTCCAGTTAAGAATAAACAGTTAAATCTTGTTGGTGTAAGTGATCCTCATTCTCATTCCTGATAGTTAAGCTATATGGAAGGAAGTGATTTGAATTCTCATAAGGATCTAATTCTGCAAGTGGCTGCCAAAGCTCTGCATGCCTCCAGGTTCCATGAAGTTTCAGCTTTATGTTTTGGTGCCTTTCTCATGCTGGGGTCCAGAAAATTCAGTCTTCTTTCAGCCTCCCCTCTTCTTTCCCCTGAATGTCAAAACCTTTGGATGTTGCATGTACTCCCTTTGCCTCAAGTGCGATTTCCTTCTTCTCTCTCTACGCCTAACTAAATTTGTGCTTACAGTTCAGATCTCAGCTTGATTCTCAGTTCTTTAAGGATGGCTTCTCTGCCTACCCTCTACCCACGCAAATGGCATCGCACCAATATAAGCTGCTGTACTTTCCCTAAAATATAGGTGTGACTATTTGTAATTACATATCTCTGTGCATTTTAAAAAATTAAACTATAATATTTATAGAGGGCTTGACACATGGTAATTAATTGCTCAATATATAATTAGGGAAGTAAGGAAGATTGGCAGATGGGTGCTTTTGTATTTGGAGATGACTTTTTAATTTGAGCGGCATATCATAAATGTAAAACAACTAACCAATTGCCTTAGAGAAAGTGCTAAAGTCACCTCTAATTTTAAAACACATGCTACAAATTGAGACATAATGTGTTCTGGTTAGTAAATGTGCCCCTACAGGAAAAGAGAAAAGTTTCTTCTTAAAAATAAATTTAGACTTGACTTATCTGTCACCCAGGCTGAGGTGCAGTGGCGCAATATTGGCTCACTGCAAGCTCCGCCTCCCAGGTTCACACCATTCTCCTGCCTCAGCCTCCCATGTAGCTAGGACTACAGGCACCCGCCACCACACCCGGCTAATTTTTTTGTATTTTTAGTAGAGATGGGGTTTCACCGTGTTAGCCAGGATGGTCTCGATCTCCTGACCTTGTGATCCACCTGCCTTGTCCTCCCAAAGTGCTGAGATTACAGGCGTGAGCCACTGCACCTGGCTAGACTTGACTTATCTCAGAAAATTTTTCTTCTTAAGCATGATTTTGAGTTGTAAATATTTCCTCACGATAGAGTATGACAAGAGTTCATCCATCTTAAGACTTCGCAAATCATAGATGGGTCGGTTAACACCTCACTGACACCATATAGACTCACATTTGAAATATTCTGGAATTTGAAATTCTAACTGATAACAATGTAGTACACAAATAGTTCAAACTATGGTTCATGTGGATGGTGAGTCCTAAACAATTTTTATTCTGTTATTTGAAAGCTTTGAAGTTTCTCTGGGTAAGTCATGCTCTGCCGGAAATGAAGGGATGAGAAGATTGTTAAACCGTAATGGAAACACAGCTGTTCTCTCTGCAGGTGTGGTTCCTTTCTGCTGATGGGCTGGGTACAGAAAAGGATGAGCAATGGATGCTTGAGCAAATGTCATTATCTCAACTCCCCTCTCTTGGGACGCATTTAAGAACCCATGCTAAATAGAAAAATATGTCTTTCATCTCATATCTAAGTTAACATGTGGGTTGAATTTTTAGTTGAATGACTAGATCAAGTGTTCAAAAACCCCTCTAAGGCCTCTAATTTGGATCTATAGGAGAGAATTTTCTCATTCTGGGACGAATATCCCCAAATCAGTGTTTTACTGTCCGTTGTCTGGAGCCTGTGAATCAGTTTTGGTATTCTCACATCTTTGAGGGCAGAGCTATGCAATCCAACCTGAATGGCTTCTGGGGGGCTTTTACATTCATGTTATAGTGACTTGCTGGTTTGCATATCGCCCTAATCTGGTATGCAAATTGTGAGGAAATGTTAAAAATCTTTACTCTCTGCAAGCTCAGGATATCCATATGTAGTTGTAGCTGAATAAGGTATAGGTGAGAATTTCTGCATCTCTTCTCCTAATGTGAACAAACAAGGGTGAAGAACAGATCCTAGAGATTATGAATAAACTAATTGTGTGGCACCCAGGCCTGTTCCACCCCTACTATAGCTAGCTAAATCAGTGAAATAACAGTCACGTGATTAATCCTGCATATTTATGCTCTAGCATAGTGTTTCCAATCTCTATTGGTCTGAGTTTTAAGATCATGGAAACATCTTAATAGATATAGGTTTCACACAACAGCTCTTCTCCTGGCCTATGGTGTATGTATGTAGTTACAGATCAGGGACTGGATTATAGGTTGAAGGCATGGTACTTTTAGGGATGGGGCTGACTTGGTCAGGATGTTTGTCAAGTGTTGGCAGCAGGTCTGGGTTCTCCAAAGCCAAAAAGGAAGTATAAGATTTTTAACTGAAATGCAGTGACCACCACTATACTTTACATCTTGGGAAAAGAGTAGATTGAATGCTGCATAGGCCAAGCCTAAACAATAAAATCCAATTTCCAAAGATGGAGAGTAAAGCAAGAGTTAACAGAGCCTGGTAGAGCTACAAATACATAACTTCCGAAAGAGATCAAATTGGTACCAAGGTCATTGACCTGAACACTACAGCCAGTGTTTAAGCTTCCCCTTCACAGGTCAGCAGTTTAATATACGTGATGTGTGTGGATCACACTATTCTAAAGGACCAATAGTAAGGGTGCACTATTATGAGTAAGGGCATTTGTGGAATATTGATGCAAGTCTTTGACTATGGGTAAGTGGAAAAAAGGATTGTCATTACCAGAGAAATTTGGAAGGAAGCTTAGTTAAGTAGGCAAGTGGTGAATGAATTTGGATGAGCAAGTAACTTCCAAAAAGAGATATGATAGAATTCAGAAAACTGAAACACACTGACAATCATAACTTACTACTGCATATGAAAACCGAAGAAAAACTGGATCACCAGCCACTGTGCCAACTGCCGTCTTCTAAGAAGCGCCTGGTAATTAGAAGTCAATGGTTGGCATTTATGCTGCTGCTGCTGCAGCTCTCAAATCCCGTGGTTGCTGAATGTTCTGTGATGCTGCTTTCTGTAATCATAACTAAATGTCTTAAAGTCTTAGGCCTGATGCTCTAAATGGGTTGCCTTTGGTTCTTATCTTCAAAATAAAAAATCCAATGAATATTCTTCAAAGAGTTTGCTGAATTAAGAGCACTAGCTGCATGTTTGGGTGACTTTGGACCCCATTGTGAGTTTCATTGCTTACAGATGATTTTTCTTAATTTGAAGAGTAATTGCCCATGAAATCCCTTTTCTCTCTTTTTCACCAAAACAGCCATTAAATGCTGAAAACGAGGAAAAAATACTTAGCCACAGTTATTCCGGATCACAAGAGTCAAGCATATTTTAGGTTTCACAAAGATTAGATATCAGTTTGCTTCCTGGTAGAGAGTTGACCTGAGTAAGTTACAGTGGTGAAGTAGAGCATCAAACTCAACCAATTTAAGCTGCTGTGGGCTTCTCACGAACTTAAAGGACAAACCTGAATCACCAGGAAAGAAATGGAAAACATCCATAGCATATTGGGAGAAAAGGGAGTAATAAACTGACCTCACAGAGTCAGAAAAAGAGAGAGAGAGATTAAAGGGGGTAAGATTTAGTTGTGGGTAGAAAATATAAACAGTTATTTTTTAAACATGTTATAGTGCTTTACGTTTACCCAAATATTCTTTCTTAAATAATCCTGAGAAGTATTATTTTATTAATTCAATCACTTATGTATCCTGCATATAATTTTGTGCTTCTGTAATTCAACTCTGCACTGGAAACAGCAGATATTAGCAATGATTGTTGGATATATAGATAATAAATGAATAAATATAAAATAATTTGATGTTTAGATGAATTAAGCACAAGATTGACTTGAGAAAACTGTCAGAAGTAAAATAAATGAACAGAGAGATAAAAGGATTGGGTGATAAAATAATAGATGTAAAAGCTAGAATTAAAGTATTTAAAGAAAGTGTTCCATTTCTACAAGATGGAGTAGCAGGAACCAAATTTATTCTTTCACATGAAACAACAAAACAACAGGGCAAAATATATTAAATAAGTTTTTAAGACATTGGACATCAGGTAATGAAGGACAGTGATCCCTGAGAAATAGGAAGCTAATGAGGTGAACCCAATGATTGCTCCAGCTTAATGAATGAGAGGTGTTTTTTGTTTGTTTTTTAAGTGTGGCACAGGAAGAGAAGCCAAGATGGATCTCAGAAGACTCTTTGAGTTAAAGAGACGGATTTGAAACACTGGGAGACCAGGTAGCTAGAGGATTGGGACAGATTACTGAAGAGAAAAGAGCTACATTGAGAGAAAATTCTGATCCGCAGAGAGTCTCCCTTGAGTCTTCAACAGAGTACTGATCAGCACATGCATGTAAGAAAACTACCTGAGGCTGAAGAAAGAATTCCCTTAGAAGGTTTAAGGAAACAGTGTCCAGTTCTCATACAGGGCCTGTAATATTGCCTCCTTCTACTAGCCAGGCTGAAAAACCTCATGATTTACAAGACATTGGGTAGAATACTTAGAAAAGCATTGGGTAGAATACTTTAAAAAGCCTTGCCTCAATAGTAGGACAAAATTAGCCTTAGACTAAGATGTCTGGGTTGTGTCTGGTCTTATTACTGATGATGTTAATGTTGATCACTTGGTTAAGGTAGTACCTGGCAGGTTTCTCCATTGTGAAGTTTACTGTTTTTCCCTTTTCATGCACTATTATTTATAAGTGAGTTACTTATGGAGGAGAATTAAGCTCCATTTTTGGAGTGAGGAGTATAAAAGAATCTGTAGACATAAAGTAAAACCACTAACAATAATTAATAAATATTTTAGGGGAGATTTTTAAGGCTATGCAAGTATCCTATTTCTCCTTACAGTTTTGCTCACTAATTTTTGCAGTCATCAGTGGATGCTGCCAGCTGCAATTATTCCTGTGGTGTTCTACTGCTAACTTTTGTTTGTTTGTTTTTTGAGACGGAATCTCACTCTGTAGCCCAGGCTGGAGTGCAGTGGCAGGATCTCGGCTTATGGCAACCTCCTCCTCCCAGGTCCCAGTTCAAGCAATTCTCCTGCCTCAGCCCCCTGAGTAGCTGGGATTACAGGCACACACCACCATGCCCAGATAATTTTTGTATTTTTAGTAGAGACGGGGTTTCACCATGTTGGCCAGGCTGGTCTTGAAGTCCTGACCTCATGATCCACCCGCCTCGGCCTCCCAAAGCGCTGGGATTACAGGCATCAGCCACCGCACCTGGCCCCACTTTGTATTTCTGTCATCTCTTTTACATTTATCAATTGGAATTATTTTGTAAGAAAAACATGCATTTCTCCATAGTTATTTATGTATTTAATTTTGTACTTATATCAGTGTGGACTCGAGGATATTCATTTTATGCTCAGGTGGTTCCAGGTTTGATCACTGGGAGCTTTCACAGATTGACTTCTGTGTCCTTTTGACATGCCCTCACCTTAGAGGTTTATATTTATATCATTGATCAAATTTAGAAAGTTTTAACTCATTATTTCTTTAAATAGTCTATTTTTCTCTCTCTTCTCCTTCTAGGACTTTCACAATGTGTACATTGATTCACTTGATGGTGTCCCAAAAGCCAGTTCACTTTTCTTTAATCTTTTTTCTTTCTATTTCTTGTGTTAATAATTTCCATTGTCTTATCTTCAAGTTCGCTGATTCTTTCTTCTGCTTGCTCAAACCTTTGAGTATCTGTAATGGATTTCTCATTTCAGTTATTGAAACTTTTGGCTCCAGAATTTTGGTTTTTGTTTGTTTCTTTCTTTTTAGGTTTTACATGTCTTTATTGCTATTTCCATTTTGTTCATAGAACATTTTGTTGACTTTCTACACATCGTCCTTTAGTTCTTTGAATATCTTTAACATAGTTGTTTTAAAGTCTTTGTCTAGTAGATCCATTTTGAGGTATGGTTTTTACTGTGGTTTTTTTTCTTTGAGTGAGCCGTTATTTCCTATTTCTTTATTTGTCTTATAATTTTTTGTTGTGGTTGAAAATTGGCCATTTGTAAGTAATAACATGCTAACTCTGGAAATCAGATTTTCTTCTTTCCCTGGGATTTAAGTATTTTTGTTATTATGGTTTTTTTAGTTGTCATTTTTGCTATAGACTGTATCTTTGCCAAAGGTCAACCTCCAATGTGAACTTAAAGTCTTCTCAGATCTTTTCTGAACTTCTGTGTTTCCCTGGGCATATATAGTGATTTTCTAATTTCTTTCATATATGTGTTTGCTTTTGAATGCCATAGTCTTTAATATCTGGTTTCCAAAAAAGGAAAAAAATAAAAATGAAGGGGAGGGGACACCAGCTTTATACATCTCCTGGAAGTCACTTCAGCTGGAGAAGAGGCTTGCACAATTGGGGAAGGTACAACAACAATGCTATCACCTCTGTGTCTGCACCCCTGTGATCAGAAGTGGCAATCAGCAACTAAGCACGGATCTCCACTATTTAAAGAGTAGAATTAATTTTGTCCACCCTGGGTCCTACAAGCTGTGTGCAAGTTGCTCCAGGAACATGTGCAAAATAGCCTGCCATGTGGCTGAGGTGTAAAGCAGGGTTTCCCAACCATTTTGGCATGAGGAACCAGTTTTGTGAAAGACAATTTTTCCACGGACCTGGTATTGGGGATAGTTTCAGGATGTAACTCTTCCACCTCAGATCATCAGGCATGAGTTAGATTCTCATAAGGAGAATGATAGCAAGATCACTCACATGTACAGTTCACAATAGGGTTCATGCTCCTGTGAGAATCTAATGCCGCCACTGACATGACAGGAGGCGGAGCTCAGGCGGTAATGCTTGCTCACCTGTCACTCACCTCCTGCTGTGCTGCCCAGTTCCTAACAGGCCATGGACCAGTACAGGTCTGTGGCCCAGGGGTTAGGGACCCCTGGTATAGAGCATAGGTAGCTACTACTATTTTAAGAGCTGAAATTGACTAAAATAACAGCAATTTGCCATCTAAGCTTTCCCTTGAAAGTTGCAAGCCTTCAATAGACTTCAGAATTCCAAAATAGTTACATCAGACAAATTCTGCCAGTGCAATTGTTGACTTTTGAGGAGTCAGATTTTGATGCTACATACTCCACCATCTTTGCAGAATCCTATGCCTTCTTGTAGTTTTAATTTGCATTTCTGTAATGACTGATAATGTTGAGATGCTTTTAATATACTTATTTACCATTGTATATTTTATTTGATAAAGTTCTTGTTCAGTTTTTTGCCCCTTTTTTTAATGTTTTTGTTTTCTTCATATTAAGCTTTAAATGTTCTTTATATATTCTGGATAAAAGTCCTCTATTGGTATATGATTTACAAATATTTCCTCCCAACCTGTGATTTACCTTTTGTCTTCTTATTAGTGTCTTTCACAAAATGAAAGTTTAAATTTTAATCAACTGAAATGTATTAATTTTCTATTTTGGTATCATATCTTAAAAAAAACTCATTTCTAACCTCAAAATCACATGGATTTTCTCCTGTATTTTCTTCTATAAGTTTTATAATTTTACACTTTTTCATTTATTTTTATAAACCATTTGAGTTCATTTTTGTATAAGGTGTGTGGTATATGTTGAGGTTCATATATTTTGTATATGACACGTAATTTTTCCACTATTTAGAAAGGACTATTCTTTATCCACTCAGCTGTCTTTGTATATTGTATAAAGTATAAATATAAATCCTAAAAATGTAATTTTTCTCATGCCAAAAGAGAGAGGAAACATTTCCCCCTTTCTTTCTGATAGGCACTTCCTTTAGAAAATAGATTGCAAATGTTTTATGTGTCAGGTTGAGACGTATTTAAATCTCTTTAAAAGCTAAATGAGTCTCTTGCTAGTTTTTCATTTCAGTTATTTTTTTTTCTTGGGGATGTTTGGACCTTCTTTTTGAAACGCAAACATCGAGGAAGATGAGCTCTGTCTTCCTGTTCCTGTGGGAGTTTCAGCCTACGTGCTTGACTCCTAGTGTAACTTCCTGCTTTTCACAAAAATATAAGAAGTTTTATTATTATTTTTGATAAAGACAATTCACATGTATGTAATGGATTGCATCTGCTTTGCTATACAAAATGGTGTGATTTCTTTCCATTTTTACAATCCCCTTAGCCAGTTGCATGTGATGCTCCTTACATTATAGTTTAATGCTTATGGAATAATAAAATTGTTTTTTTTTCTTCTACCTTTGTTTTTTGTTTTGTTTCATTTGAGATGGAGTCTCACTCACTCTGTTGCCCAGGCATGAGTGCAGTGGCACGATCTTAGCTCACTGCAACCTCCACCTCCTGGGTTCAAGTTATTCTCATGCCTCAGCTTCCCAAGTAGCTGGGGTTACAGGCATGCGCCACCAAACCTAGTTAATTTTTGTATTTTTAGTAGAGATCGGATTTCTCCATGTTGGCCAGGCTGGTCTCAAACTCCTGCCTCAAGTGATCTGCCCACCTTGGCCTCCCAATGTGCTGAGATTACAAGTGTGAGCCACTGCACCCGGCCTCTCTTCTACCTTTGTGAAGGGAGAGATTTTATGGATTGGTAAGAGATTTTTTTTCCATTTCTTTTATTTAGATTTCTCTGAAAATTATTAAAAAATAAGTTACTGTATTTGTGTAGTCTATTTCTGGGTTCCTTATTCAGAGGACTGTAACTGTATAGGTATTTTTTAAAAATCAGATAGTATGAACCCTCCAACTTATTTCTTTTTCAGAATTGTTTGGGCTAGTCTATTTCCTTTGCATCTCTACATAAATTTTAGAATATTCTTGCTAGAGATATATGATTAGAGTTTAGCATTTCTTTTATGTTTATCTTTCTTTTTTCATTAGTTTATTATAGCTTTCAGCATACAGATTCTAGACATATTTTGTTAGAGCTTAAACTGACAGATGTATCTCCCTTTTTGAGGTTACAATTACACTGTCTTCTACTCTTTATACTATCTGTTTCTTCACTAATTATGTTCAATCTTTACTTTTCAGTGAATTTTATAATCTAAATTGTTTTGTTTCAGTTAATTAACCTTGATAGTTCCTCTTCTAGTAAAATAGATCAAGTCTGTCTACTCAGCACTTTGTAATTATAAAAAGCATTGGAAATAACCCAATGTCTTTGAGTAAGGCAAGTAAAGAAATTTTGTTATATTCGTGTGATAACGCTACACAGCAGTTAAAATGAATAAATTAGACTGATATTGATCAACATAGATAGCTCTCAAAAGTGTAATCTTAAATTTTAAAAAAGTTGTAGAGCAATATATACAAAATGCCATTTACATAAATTAAACAGAACATGTACAGGAAGTAACACTCTAGATTTTAGACACATATATCGATAGGAAAGATCCACATTTAAGCCAAAGAGAACTGGACTCTTGGAGGGTCAATAGAGACAGGACTAGGAAGTAAAGACAGTTACTTAGATGTTCGTGTATTTGTAATGTTTTGTTACTTTTCAAATGAAAGGCTAAGTTCTGAATCAAACATGACAAAATACCTTTATTAACTCTGAATACATGCTATAGGCCTGAGTATGTGATGACTTTTTAATTTTTTTCTAATAAAATAATTTATGATTAGATAAAAAAGAAGCATAAGAAAAACAAACACAAAAACATTAACAGCCATAATTTTTCTGTTGTTCTGGAATTAAAATATACAAACATTAATTAGAAGTAATATTATCTACAGCAGACTTGTACTGAAATCTGAATTATGGAGCAAAATAGTCCAGAAGAAGTTTCCATTGCAAGGACAAATGTACTGCATCTTTAAGGAAGTAGCACAAATTGACAACAAATGAAACTTCCTCATTCTTACTCCACATTAAATGATGTTGGGGGCATCTGTTTAGCAATTAGAAAACATAAATAATCTTCCATCAAGCCCACACTATGCACCTGAATAAATTCTAGAGAGAATAAGCAATTAATTGTTTTAAAATAATGCCATAGAAAATCTTTAAGAAAATAGAGGTGGATGTTTACTGGATCTTTGGACAGACACTTTTCTTCTAAATATGAATGCAACAGGAGAATTCATAAGGAAATAGAGTGAGCGATTATACTCCACGAATATTTTTCAGTTTAAATGTTTTAAGTACACATTAAGAAAATTAAAAAGCAAATGAAAGTCTGGTGATAGGGTTTAATACATGCTACCCTCAAAATATGTCACCTTGACATTTGAGAAAACAGAAGAACCAGGAAGGCCCCTCTCAACTTTCGCTCGCCCTTCTCCCCTGAAGTGGGTCGTAAGACCCTCAGAGAGGTACCCTTCCTATGCCCAGAGGAAGGAACATCCTTATCTCTGAAGACACAGGGAGAGAGAAGAATCTGAACAAACAGGCCTTGCTTTGTTCCCCGCAGTTTATTACCGTAAGATTATGTCTTCTTTGTGCAGTCATACATTTGCAGAACTGTCCACTCTTCGTCAAACTTAAGCATGAAAATACATAGGTTTCCCTGTTTCTTTAGGTCCTCCTTTCTGAAGACTCCCATGTCACAAAAAATTTATAAGTGAATAAATTTGCATGCGTTTTTCTTGTCAATCTGTCTGTTGTTACAGAGACTTCAGCAGTGAAGCTAGTGATGGGTAAAATAAATTTTTCCCCTATACAGTGGGAAATTATTTCTGGCAAATATTATAATTCATAAAATCACTTCAGTGTCATAGACAAATATATAAAGGATTGTCAGGGCTCAGAACACAATACCCATTGGCAATATGTCACCTTGGCATGATGAGTGTTTTAAGCTGAAGGAAATTGACAAAAACGCTCCGCAGAAACAGGAAGGTCCTCGCTGATCTTCTCTTGCCTTTCTCCTCTGAAGCAGGCCGTAAAAGAATTCCCTACACTACCTCCCTTGAAAGTAGGACATAAGACTTTTATTCCAGAGGGGCCCTGCCCTATACCGGGAAGCCAGTAAGACTCTAAACAAACAGGTCTGGCTGAGTTCTCCCCTGTTTATTACCATTAGATCACACTCCTTTGTCCTCCAGCCACGCTTCTGCACAACTTTCTACAAAAATACATAGATTTCTGTGGGTTTTTACGTCTTCATTTGTGAAGGCTCTTGTGTCATGTAAAACTTATACTAAATAAAAATGTTATGCTTTTCTCTTGTTAATCTGCTTTTTTGCTATAGGGATCTTAGCCAGTAATCTTGCAATGGGTGACAATAAGGTACTACCTGTTCTCTCCTACAGGAAATTACATATAATTCCCAGCCCAGAAATATAATTTCTAAACAAGTATATGAAAAAACTCAACCTTCTATGAATAAAAGAGATACAAATAATAACATTAGTGAGGCATAATTGTGGACTATTACAATTTAAAAATGCTAATATGTAAAGCTAGTGAATGTTCTGTGAAATATATGTCTTGTCTTACGTGTTGTTGGTGGGAATCAAAATGGATACAACACTTTTGAGAAATAATTTGGCCAGAGACCGTAAGTATCATAAAAATACTCATAATCTCTTATAGTATATCTTAAGGAAAAATAAAACATAGCAAACTTATATGAAAATATTAATTGCAGCATTATTCACGATGGTGGAAAAAGGGAAATGGGAAGCAATCTAGCACACAGAAATACAGAAACGATAAAATAACAAGCATAGATATGTAGGAACAGAAAGGTGTGATGCATTTCCTGAGGATGTTAAAAGTAATAGCCAACACCCCTATTACAAAGGACAAGTTAACAAGAGAAAAGCATAACAGATTTATTTAATCTAAGTTTTACATGACACAGGAGGCTCCAGGTTAAATGACCAAATGATATAGGGTATAATGGTTAATATTAAGTGTCAGCTTGATTGGATTGAAGGACGCAAAGTATTGTTTCTGGGTTTGTCTGTGAGGGTGTTGCCAGAGGAGATTAACATTTGAATTAGTGGACTAGGAGAGGAAGACCCACCCTTTATGTAGGTGGGCACCATCCAACTGGCCGCCAGTGTGGCTAGAAAAAGCAGGTGGAAGAGAGTGGAATAAGCTGGCTTGCTGAGTCTTCCAGCTTTCATTTTTCTCCTGTGCTGGATGCTTCCTACCCTTGAACATCAGTCTCCAGGTTCTTTGGCCTTTGGACTTACACCAGTGGTTTGCCAGGGGCTCTCAGGCCTTCGGCCACAGACTGAAGGTTGCATTGTCATGTCGACTTCCCTACTGTTTAGGCTTTGGGACTTGGACTAAGCCACTACTGGCTTTCTTTCTCCTCAGCTTGCAGATGACCTATCATGAGACTTCACCTTGTGATGGTGTGAGTCAATTCTCATTAATAAACTCCCTTTCCCATGTACATATATCCTATTAGTTCTGTTCCTCTGGAGAATCCTGACTAATACACAGGGAAAACTATCTTATTTTATATTTAGCTTCTGTGAAGCAGGGACAGCTGAGTAGAAATGTGATTGGCCAATAAAATGTATGATCTAATAGTAATAGACTGATTGGAGGAAATTCATTTCCTTCTGTCATAGGGCAGAATTCTGGAATAGGGGTGTTATGACTCATAATCAAACAAGGTAGATGAAACACCTTCTTTATGGCCATTTCCTACATGGAAGGAAGTGGGTGGGGAGAGTTAGAGTAACAATTTTAAACTTCATAGCTGACTTTGGGGAAAAGAGATTCTGGTTTCTATGATTTGTCTTGGAAGAGAATGAGGCTGAGAGATAGGAAGGCAGAAGGTCAGAGAGAAACTTTGATTCTGAGACTGCTTCTGATACTTTAATTTGGGGGATATCATTTTCTGAGCCCCAACAGATGCATATGTAAGACATATAATCTTTTTACTTAATCACTTCTATATTGTTGCCTTATAAAATTTTGAATGTTCTATATTTAAGTTATTAATTTCATATTAACATTTTAAGAAACCACATTTAACATCAATTAGTGAAAATATATAACATAAATAGTTTAATTTCTTACAATACTTGTATATGAATGGTTTAATTTTCTAACACAATATCTGTATATTAACACAATTACCTGTCTCATAAAACAAATTAACACGATTACGTGTCTCATAAAACAAAACCACAAGGTATGGCCACATTAACAGCTTTTTCTTGGACCATTGTGCCAACAATGGAGACATTTGTTGCAGAAAGCATGACTCAGCGTAGTCCATAGGGGAGCTATAGTGAAAAAATATTCCAACAAATCGAGCTCTGTCCCAAATGTAGGGTCTGTTCCCTGACCAGAAAGAATGGAAGATAATATACTTCTTTCCTGGTTTTGGAGGAGATTTTCTTCTGATTGCATTCAGTTCCCAACATGTTCAACTGTGAAGTTTGAGGACCTGGGAAGATTTCACCTAAATATCATCACCATTATCCTTCTAGATATCCAGTGCTCCACCCTCTAACTTGAAGGGCTTCTGAGTGCTCTGGGAAACTGAAAAGCAGGTTACCCACACAGGACCTCAGTTAATAAATTATAGTCTATAACTTACTTTCAAATAGTATAGCACATGCATTTGATATATATGTGTGTGTATGATGGCTTTAATGCACATTACTAGGATGCATGGCTGCCCAATCTCAAAAATTACTCTATGGATGGTGAGTTAGTATATTAAAAGTCACACTTCAGAGACTGTAACTACAAGCATTTCACCTACCTTTATATATCAATAGTGGAGGTTTTGTCAATTATCATGATGGATATGCAAATAAGTGCTCATTGTTGAAATTACTGGTGTTCAAGGTGTATGTCTTAGTCCACGTTAGTGTTGTTATAAAGGAGTACCTGAGAATGGGTAATTTATAAAGAAAAGAGGTTTATTTGGCTCACAGTTCTGCAGGCTGTACAAGAAGGATAGTGCCAGTATTTGCTTCTTGTGAAGCCTCAGGCTACTTCTACCCATGGCAGAAGGTGAAGGCAAGCTGGCATGTGCAGAGATCACAAGGTAAGAGAGGAAGCAAGTGAGAGGGGCATTTCCATCCCTTTTTTTAAAATAAACAACCAGCTCCCTACTGGAACTAATAGAGTAATAAATCACTCATTATCATGAAGATGGCACCAAGCCATTAATGACAGGTCTGCCCCCATCATCCAAACACTTCCATTAGGCCCCACCTCTGACATTGGGGATCAAATTTTATCATAAGGTTTGGGGGACAAAAATCCAAACTATAGCAATATGTGGATGGACTAAAAATATTGTGAAGATCCCTTCCATCTTCAGGTGAATAGAATCCAGCTAGCTCAGACATCCAGATCTTTTACAATGGCATTTGAAGCTTGTTTCTGAAACAATGTCCAGGTACTAATTTACTAAATTCTGGTTGTTGAACACCAACTGTAAAGTTGCTGCCTCCTAACTTTAGAATATTGTTGCTCTTGTCTCAGGTGTGAGGTCTGGTGATGGTACCTAAAGAGAGAGACTTGGAACTTCCTTGAGGTTGTGGTAAAGGTTGTATTATCAAACCTGCCAAGACCAGCTCAATTGGGGAGGCCCTAACCCAGCAATGCTACAGGAATTAAAGACACACACACAGAAATATAGAGTGTCGAGTGGGAAATCAGGGACTCTCACAGCCTTCGGAGCTGAGAGCCCCGAACAGAGATTTACCCACATATTTATTGACAGCAAGCCAGTCATAATAAGATTTACTAAAGGTATTCCTTATGGGAAATAAAGGGATGGGCTGAATAAAAGGATGGGCTCTGGCTAGTTACCTGCAGCATGAACATGTCCTTAAGGCACAGATCACTCATGCTATTGTTTGTGGTTTAAGAACGCCTTAAGCGGTTTTCCTCCCTGGGTGGGCCACGTGTTCCTTACCTTTATTCCAGTAAACCGACAACCTTCCAGCATGGGCGTCAAGGCCATCACGAGCATATCACAGTGCTGCAGAGATTTTGTTTATGGCCAGTTTTGGGGCCAGTTTATGGCCAGATTTGGGGGCCTGTACCCAACAAAACCAAACCGGGGTCTGCTAATCCAGTGCAGCAAAGCCAAAGAGTGACACTGGGATGGAGATGAGAGAAAATGAGGTATTTATTGTAGGGTACTGAGCAAGAAGATTCAGGCAGCTCATGTTTAAGACCTGAACTCTGAGATGGTTTAAAGGTAGGAGTTTATAAAGATGGGGAGGCAGAGGTTACAGAAAAAGTCATAAATCAATACATTGAGGCTATACATTGGTTTGACTAAAAATGTGGGACATCTTGAAGCAGGGCCTCTAGGTCATAGGTAGATTCAAAGACTTTCTGAATTGTGATTGGTTAAGAAGCAAAGCTTTGTCTAAAATTTGGGATCAGCAGAAAAGAATGTTAGCTTTAGCTCATGGGTTTAACTGCCTCCCTCGGGAAGAAATTTAGAACGAAGAATGGTGATCGGAGTTCAGTCCTCAATTGCCCCTTATCTGAGTTCTATGTGCCAATGGATCCGTTTGGTGGGAGTTTGGATTTCTGTAAACCAACTCAGGAAGAGAGGTTAAAATGTTATCTTTAATTTCTATAGGGAACAAAACATCTTGTGATGCTAACTGCTTTAGCTATTGTTTTAAGCTACTTTTGTCTTCTTGCTTATCAAATCGCTCATTTACTTCCCAGGGCTAACTAGGTGTATGGAATTTCCCTTAAAGGAAGTCAAAATATTCCCTTATTATCACGCTTTGGTGGTGAGGGGTGGGCTGCAGGCCTTTAAGAGGGGTCCCTGCTCTGTCTCAGTTGTGTGACTCCTTTCTTTGCAATCTGAGATTGTTTTCAGTGAAGCCTGCTGGGGAGGTTTTTGGGAGGAGTCTTGTATCCTTAGTCTGCTTCTAAGCATTTGAAACTACTGATAACCAAATGAATCTGATAATTTTGACTGGCAAAATTGAGTTAGGTTAATTCATAACAGTCAAGGCCTGAGAAAATTATCTTGGGCCACTGGAGCCAGTACTGATTAACATTAAGTAGGCAGTAGGCTGCTATGGATGGGCGCTTCTTACCAGTTGCTAGTATGAAAGACTATTGATGTCATTCTTTGGCACAAGCGACATGATTCTCACTTGAATGGATCCAGAAGTTTTAGAGTTTCTGACTTAGTATCCGTGGTGTTCCCATGGGCTGACAGTATAAAGTGCCACTCCAGTGGGGGCTGGCTGTTCCCTGGATGATGACTTACCTTCATTCTGCATGGTTCCTTCAAGTCTGCAGCACATTGTCCCTCAGCCCCATGAACATCTTATCTCATCTTAGTTCCTTGGTCTCCCTTCAACTGGAAAATTTTAACTAGACTTGGTGATGGGGAAACAAGAAGCTTTGTTCTTATGTTTCCTGTCTTCTTTCTTGCTTTGAATCTCTTCACAGATTGCCTCTTGATGTTCAGAAGCACAAGCATTTGAAATTTTAAAAAGCCTTCCCTGGTATTCAGCTTTAACGGAAAATCATCCTGCCCCATGATTTAGCGTGAATGATATAGGAGACCAGAATATGACACCCCAAAATATGCCTCTTTAGCAGAATTATTTTGAGAAACAGCAGACACAGGAGAAGCTCTGAAAATAAAGGAGAAGTAAACCCTTTTCTATGGGAAATTTGCATTTATAAAGTAAATCTCAATTTTTTAAGTGTGTCTCCCTCTCTGTATAAGAAAGAGAAAGATGGGTAAATCACTAGAGGCTCTTAGCAGTGGGGAAGGTATTGACTTACATCTGCATTACAAAACTTACTCTTCTTTACTGTACTTTTCCTAGTTACCTCGTCCTCCCTGACACCATTCTCTGTTTTGTCTTTAGCTGAAGATAGTATTTATGCTTGAATTCTAAACTATCTCTTTGAGAGTTCCTCATTTGTCCCTGGGTGTCTCCCATGTATACATTTATTGCAGGGTACCAAGCAAGAAGATTCAGCCAGCTCGTGTTTAAAACCTGAAGTCCCAGATGGTTTAAATGCAGGGGTCTATAAACATGGTGGGAGGGGGGGAGGCAGAGGTTACAGAAAAAGTCACTGTATACATGTTAATAAACTTCTATTTGTTTTTCTTTTGTTAATCTGTCTTTTTATATTGAGGCCCCAGCTGAGAATTTACAAGGGTAGAGGAAAAATTATCTTTTCTGTCCCTGTAATGGGCACATGAAGAAATACCATGAAAAAGAAACTTTCTAATTCATATATATATATATATATATATATCCCAAGCCTTATCTCAAATCCCTAGAATAAGATAGGTTTGGAAAGCTAGAATTTTGGAGAACTTTCCAAAAGATAATATGGTACATATTATGTGTGCAGGGAAGCTTACACTTCTCTTCTGAAGGTTTGATAATTGAGTCGGCTGAAATAAACTGATAATAGACAGATTAACAGGAGAAAAGGCATACAAATGTATTAAGATGAAAGTGCACAGAGTCACAAAAAGTATGAAAACTCAAAGACAATTCAGATGATTGAAGCTTAAATCCCCTCTTATAAACCAAAAATAAAATCCTAAGCCCCCTCAGCTAACTAAACATGTAATCGCCTGGTGGGTTCTTCCTGCCCATTACATGGACAAAATTAATTCACTGAGATTGTGGTATTGCAGTAAAGAAATAGTTTAACTGACATGAGGCAGACCACACAGGAGAACTGCAGTTGTCACTCATACCAGCCTCACTAAAGGCTCAGAGGTTAGTTTTTCAAAGATAGTTTGGTGGACAGGGGACTAATGAATGGGTGCTGCTGATTAGCTGGGGATGCAATCACAGGGGCATGGAAAATAGTCCTTGTGTGCTGGAGGGGCACTCTGGGTGAAGGGCCACAGGACCAGTTGAGTCCTGAGTCTGGGTGGGGTCAGTGGTTGCCAGGACACAAAAGTCTAAAAAACATCTCAAAAGGCCAATTTAGTTTCTACAATAGTGATGTTATCTAAAGGAGCAATAAGTCACAAATCTTGTGACCTCCAGCCACGTGACTCCTGAGCAGTAGTGGACTACAGAAAGTAGATCTTAGCAGAATTCAGTCCCCTTTCATGGTTAGCTTGGCCTATAGCCAAGAATGGGTAAAAACAGCCAGCATGTGAGGCTAGAAGCAAGTTGGAATCAGCCATGCTAGATTTGTCTCACTGTCATAATGTTTGCAAATGCAGCTTTAAACAGACCCTCTCTAGTTCAGGGAGAACCCAGAGAAACCTGAAAAACTGAATTCCCAGCTATGATGGGAATGGAGGTCTGATATGCCTCATCATACTCCCACCCTTTGCAGTTTAGGCGCAACTGACCAGCATTAACATTAAAATAGAGATCATAAGACTGAGTAAACAGACTATGGCAATAAGACACCAATTCCAACCTGACTGGTATAGCATGTCATGGCACATGACAGATAGCAGACCCTGAAGGAAATAAACAGATTTTACTTTATTTTTCTTTAACATGTTTTGAAATGGCTCTGCAAAGCCATCTTTTGTGGGGGAAATTTGCATCTGTAGAGAATCTCCATTAATGGAGTCAGGCCTTCTCTTTCTAGGCTTTTCTTGGATCTAGGAGAGATTAACTGAGAGTCTGATACCTTTAAAGTCTGAAAAGAGACATTTATCTTCTATTCTCTCTGAAGACTGTGATCTATGAAGCTTCATCTACATACCAAAAACCTTGGCCCTCACAACCCCCCTTATCTTTACTCAAGCATTTTTGTTTCTACTGACTTCAAGTCTTTAGACAAAACTTAACTCTTTCAACCAACTGCCAATCAGAAAATCTTTGAATTTACCTATGATCTGTAAGCATCCCCTCCACCCTGCCTTCAAGATATCCCACCCCTTTAGGCTGAACCAATGTATACCTTCTATATATAGATTTATGATTTTACCTATAATTCCTGTCTCCCTAGAATATATAAAACCAAACTGCAACCTGACAAGCTCAGTCACAACTGTTGAAGGAGCTCTTGAGATGGTTCTCAGGCCATGGTCACTCATATTGGGTTCTCAGGCCATGGTCACTCATATTGGCTCAGAATAAGCCTCAACACTTTTCATGGGGGAAAGGGAAGTGGAAGATAATAGACAATTTTTGAGGAAGAATACATGATTTTTAGGGGAGGTGAATGGGCTTGAAGAACAGACAATAGCCTGGGAAAAAGTTTGTATGAGCTCCAAGTGTGGAGTCAGCTTCAATCTTCTTTCCTATGAGTTAGTCTCATCTGTTTGATGAAATTATGGGGATGAAGGGTGGGGTGGGGCAAGACAATTTAATGCCTTCTGAAGGAAATTCTCTTAGTCAAATAAGGAACTCAGCATTTGCTGCTCCTCAGGTCCTCTCAGTTGGAAGTTCAAAGCAGTATATTTCAGGGTATCATTTTCTGAGTCCCAACATGTGATACCCTGCAGCACGAAGTAGGTAACACTCCCATAATCAGTCATACTAATATTTCTGGTATATAACATAAAAATATGCACCGTAAGTGTGGTAAATAAAGACTTAAAAGTAGCCTCACATTAGTTCAGGTCAGGTTTAGAAGCCTAATGAGCTAGAAGTTATTTTGATTTTTCTGAGCTTTTGAATGTGAAACAGCACATAGGGATTATGAACCTGTATTATCTTATCCCAACAATAAACACTAAATCTGCCATTTTGCTGTTTCTTTGGCACTTCTTCAGTGTCATCAGCCATGAAAGACGCTGTTCTCCTGTTAGACCCAGAAGATTTAGGAAGCAGTTAAACACAGACTCAAAAAACTATCTGATGGAAGTGCGATTCCCTTTATATATTGGAGAATATGCAATGCATATAAATTAGCCTTATGTATTCTTTTGTAGCAGGATGTGAACATTCACTCTTATTGTGGAAAAATAGTCATTTGGTTATTCTTTTCTCTGAAGCAGTAGAAAGATGGAACGCAAATATTTCCTTCTCCAGGGAAAATTTCAGGATGAAGTGAAGCAGTTATTTGGTTGCTAATGATTTTGGTAGGCTATCAAAAACTACTAAGAAACGAGCAGGAATAGAGCCTGGGTAAGGCAAAAGGCAGAGGATATGGAATCTGTAGGACCTGAGGGAGAAAGAGTTGTGGGGATCTCTGGAGCAGAGGGCACCTGCCTACTGTTCCATGGCAGGACCCTGAGGACATGGAGGATATAAGGAAATTGCTTGTGGTGCACCAAAAAGCAAGTCTAGACCTGAGATATTCTGTTTCCTGGAGAATAATCACAAACTCCCTGCAAGGCAACGAACCATAAGAGAGGCAGACCTGAACAAGCCCAGCAAATAAGGATAATGGTCATTTCAGGGTGAATTTGGTTTCATGGATAATTGAGAACCAAAACCCTTCAGCCCCCTCCCCTTTGTTCCAACTGTGTGAGACCTGGATGAATGATATAACCTCAGGAGTTAGTGGGGAAGGTTGTCTCAAAAATGAAGGGCTATATTTCCTACCAGCTCAGCAGGACAGGGGTTCAGAATCAAAATTAAAACAGATTTATTGTAAAATAAGACATTTCTGGCCCACCTGAGTTTGTAATCTGAGGTCAACAACTACTACAATTTAATTGGGATATTAAATGTTACTGTTGTATAGTATGTTTAGTTATAATGGCAACTGATGGTCTTTAAAAACAAACTGTCAGAATGTCTTCCTGGCTTGTTTAATTCTGAGAAAAGATGCCAAAATGATGTACTGGTAGGTTCACCACACTCACACACACAGACACACAAGCACCACAAACAAACAAACACGCAGAAAACAACTCGAAATATGGAAATACATAAAGATTTAGGCATTGAAACTAAGCCTGTTTTTCTATTTTTAAAAATTCTATGTACTACGGTTATTTTATGATAGAAAAGAATTGGAATACAAATACTAATGTAAGTATCTATAAATTAAGATTATTAAAGGGAAGTGCCCCATAGACTTTAAGCCCTAGAGGAGTCTTAGAGACAATGTAGTCCCATTTTATAGAGGAGAGCAAGACTCACATAGTATAAAGTACCTGTGGTGGTTTTAAAATATTGCTCCCAAATTCTTTGTCACATCTCCCATTGAGAGGTGGGGAGCTACGTCCCATTGCTTTGAATTTGGGTGACTTGCAACTGCTTGGCTCAATCGAGTATGGGAGAAGTGATCTTGTATGATTTCCAAGGCTATGTCATAAATACCCGTGTAGTTTCCACAGGTTCTACACTCACCCTAGAGGAAGCCAGATGTCATATTAAAAGTATTGTCTTAACACTGCCACTTGGAAAAGCCATGTGCCGTTGTCCTAGATGACAGCCCCAACTGAGATCCCAGTCAACTACTGGTACTAACCACCAGAGTGAGGCATCTTGGATATCTAGCCTAGCTGAGCTATCAGATGATTTAAGTCCCAGTTGACATATGACTGCAATGGTAGAAGAAACTCCAAGTGAAAACTTTCCAGCCTAAGCCTTTCCCAAATTTCTGACCCATAAAATTATGTAAAATAAAAAGATTACTTTAAGCCGCTAAGTTTTGTAGTAATAATAACTAGAATATCCAAGGGTCATGGAGCTAAGAGACTTAGTAACAGGACTTGGGCTAGAACCCAACTTTCCCTTCTCACCTAGGGTATTCCTGTGGCCCAAGGTAATCAGATAAGACACTGGATCAAGACAAATATATATACTTGTTGTTAAATTCCATAATATTCTTTGAGTACCATGGATTGCTCCTACATTGTGTCAGAGGCTGTTAAACACAGGGGGTGGCATTAAAAGAGGATACAATGCGTGGGGGAAAAGTTGTCAATTTCACTTCATTCCCATATTCCTGGGAAGAAAAAATCATAACTGCTGGAAAAATGATGGATGTTCAAAGAGTATGTGCAAACATTTAGATAAAGAGTAATCTTTACATGATGTTTTAATTATCATACAGTATAAACATTATCATTTTTTTCATTAAGATAGGAAATTATCATTGTTTTCGTTAAGATAGGAAATGAAACCAAATAAAATTTGTGAAAATGTCAGTCATCTTTGGGAAGGCCTCAAATGAACAAGGGAGAGTCTTGAGCTTGGTATCCTTTCATCTTGGAAGAATTCATAGCTGGGAATTGGCTAAAGCTTTGCAGTGGGTTGAATGATGGTTTCCAATGAGATCTGTCCATGCCTTAGTCTTCAGAACTTGTGAATATGACCTTATTTGGAAAAATGGATTTTACAGGTGTAATTAAGTTAGGAATCTTGAGATGATATCATCCTGGATTACCCAGGTGGGCTCTAAATCACATGAAAAATGTTCTCATAAAAATTTCAGAGAGAGTGAAGCCTGCAGACACCTTCATTTCAGGCTTCTAGCCTCCAGAACTATGAGATAATAAATTTCTGTTGGTTTAAGTCACAAGATTTGGGCAATGCATTACAGCAGCTCTAGGGATCTAATACGAGCTCCTTAAAAGAGAGTTGTAAGAGACCTGGAGGAACAAGGCTGTCCTCTTAGGGTAACAACAGTGACTACAGCACTACGACCACATAGGTAGATGTGGGACAGCAGTCAAACTCATATTAGGAGTTTCTCTGCAAAAGTCAGACATTTTTTGCTGCCAGCTGTTTTATTCCAGAGACAGTACCAATTAGAACATGCTGATCATATGCTGTTGGTTAGTATGTCTGTCTCCTCAGCTGATTTGTGAATTTCTAAAGACCAAGAGCCTTCATTTCTTTCTTCGACAAAACTTAATTGAAAGACTGTTATATTCTCCACTCTTTGCTAGGTGCTAAGATGCTGAGTAACACATAGTTATTGTTTTCAAGATGCCAGCCGACCTTGGGTGATACACCACATTGCATTCAACTAATGTTTGATGGAGGAAATAAATATGGATAGATAAAATGGTTTGGAAGAGTAGACAGTTTTTTACTGACAGAGACCTGGGTTCAAGTTGTGTAAACCTGGATAATTTCCTTAATGGTAAAATGGAAAAAAGTAACACCTACCTTGTAGGGCTTCTAGGATGATTAGCATATATTTAAAATATAGGTCCCATATAAAGTACATAATTTCAAATGCCTGTAATGTTACTAATAAATGAGGAACTAATGTTCCAGCAAAGATTATACCTTGCATCCTTGCATTAATATTTTAGTACGTTTTCCATGTGTTTTTACTTATTTCATTTTTCTCCAGCTTTATAACGTAGGCAGGGCAGGGATGATTCTCACATGGAACAAAAGAACAAGACACTGAATCCATAAAAGAAGAGGATGGTAATGGAGCTAGACAACCCCCTAGATTTCCTGTCTCACAGGGCCCTGTATTTCCCACCACAGCCATGCCATTCACCTGGTTGAGAAAGCCCTTCAAGGATAAAGGGTGGTCTACTCACAATTACAGTTTAAACATGACTCATCTTCCTTAACAGTCAATTTTACCCAAAAATTTGGGGAACAATATATCCTTAAAATACTGCAACAACACAGCTTCACTTTAAAGAATGCAAAAACTGAATTATAATAATGAATACTTATGTGCATCAGTCTCTGTTCTAACCATTTAAAAAACCAGTATTTCATTTAACTCTTACAACTTTCCCAAGTAGATCTCATCATTATCCTCCTTCTACACATTAAGAAACCAGGAAATAAAAACAGTTAAAAGACTTACACAAAGTTACAGTTAGTGGCAGAGCTGGGATTTGAACCCAGGAGATTTGGCTCTAGAGGTTCCAATTTTAACCACTTTGTTATCAATGTTTAGACAATTTATTATGAATATTTTAATGGACCTAGGGTACCAGGGCCACAGTTATTTTATTCTATTGTCTATCATTGTGGGCATAGGTCAGGGGAAGACACAGGAGAATTTCAGAAGCACTGTGCTACACAGGCAGTTTACAGAAATGATTTTTAAGGATCAATTGTGTGTGTGTGTGTGTGTGTGTGTGTGTGTGTGTGTGTAGAGAGAGAGAGAGAGCATGAGAGAGCAAGAGAGCAAGCATTTCACAGTGTGTGCAATTTTAGCTTAATTAGAATAGGAAGACTATTAACAAGTTATTTTTAAATGCACCAAAGATCAGGAGGCGTATTAGAATTAAATTACACCATGTGAGGCTGATTGGCAGCCCATGTAATGTGGGCAAGTTCACAATCTTGTCTTTTATCAGCACAGTTTGCAAAGTAGGCCTGAAAGGCATGGCCCCAAACCCATAGAGGGTGGAGCTATAGTTATTCAAGTAAAAAAAAAGAAACTAGTTGGAAATGTGATAAGCAATGATTAGCTAACCTATTTCAGGAGGAAAATGAACAAAATGAGCAGATGCCGACTGTAGTGGCTTTAGTGAAAAAGGATAGATACACTTGTTTAAATGAAAAGTTCTCTGTCACCTGAAGACAGAATTTCCCTTAGGACCAGACCATTAGTGTGTCATTTGCATAGAGAGCTTAAAACAAAAACAGCCACCACAAATAGAAACTCCTGGGCACAAATATAGACTGCATTCAAAGGATGCTGACTGGTGCAAGGGACTGAGTCCATGCTGAGGGCACTTGGAGACCAATTGCCAGTTGGGAATGTTCCTGACCTTGCAGTAGCAAGAACTAAAATAACCCCAGCAAAACAAAGCGTGGAAGAAGGGAGAGGGGTTAGAAGACCTTGGCTCCTGTTTTGGCTGAAGCTCTTGGGCTGCAGCCCGGAGCCCATGTGCATTTGAGGAATAACTTTTCCTCCCTGGGTTCCCTCATGGGTAACTCCCTCCTCTCCAGTGCTAACTGCATCTGCCTCCTCATTTTGGACTGTTGAATCAAAAACCCTTGAGCTCTCCAGAGGCTCCACGTTGTTACCCCCTAACTCCAGCTTTATCTTGTGTTCAAGGTGGGGGTTTGATCCCTGGAGTCCAACTGCTTCAGTTCAAATTCTCATGCTAATGATTGCGACCCTTAGCTAGACCTTGCTCTCTGCCTCAGTTTCCTCCTCTATAAGATGGAGGTAAGATACTTCGCAGGGTTGTTGAGAGGATTTAAGCAGATAAGGTAAAACAGAGAATAGTGTTTGGCACTTACCAAGTACTCAATAAATGTTAGGAATTAATATGAATTTGCCTCCTTGGGTAGAGCTCCCTAACTTCAATTATTCCTATTAACACCTCCTGTAGTTGTCATGCATGAGTGTCGTCTACTTAATGTATTTTAATAATCAATTCAAGTTTTTAAACTCAGCCATATTTCAAGCAATATTATTTGTGAAAGCCCAGGCTGTGTTAATGATTTTTTTCTAATGTATGTTAATGATCCACTAAAATAAAGGTGGATCTATTTTTATAAAGGTGGCACAATCTTAAATCATCTCAGATACCAGTACACATTTCACACATTAGGAAACACAGTCTACACACATTCACTCATCTTCCAGTTGTTCTCTCAGCAAGCATGTAGACAACACTTACCATGTGAATGGAGAGGAAGTCAGGCAATAGAAATGGAAAAGCACCTTTTCTGCCTCCACTGAGCAGAGACCCAGAGAGAGATGAGAACAATGATCCAGTAGCAGAGCTTTTCTTCATGGGGTAGCCTTTTGGTCCTGCTTGGGCAGGTCAGTTCCCTCAGGAAACAGCAGGAAATAAAGAACCAAGCATGTCAGGTGTTCCAAATTCCAGTTCCAAGACAACTTGGCCCTGCATCCAGATTCTACATGGTGAGACCCTGGGCTTCTTATCTGAGCTCTCTGACCATCTGTTTCCTCATCTGTTAAATGGGCATAGTATGTACCTCACCGAGCTAGTGGAGGATTCAATCCGATGGCATAGCGAGTACTCAGTGAATGAGCGCTCTCCCCCGATTATGTGTTCACACAGGACCCACGTTTCCTGTCCTGCAGACCTGGGGACTGTACCCATTTTCCTCTGTTGTAAATGCTCTCTAGGTTTGTACCTAAAAATCTGCTTCTTTGCCTAAGCAGTCCTTGGCATACTAAACCAACTTAACACTGGCCAGCATGTAGTGAAGGCTTTCCAAAAAGTTCAAGACCCATCTTCAAAAGCCTAATGTGTCTTCTTACCACAATTTTATCTTGTATAGGATGAGGCTTGTAAAATCTCATTTTACACATGATGAAACTGAGGCATGGAGAGGTTAAGTAATTTGCCCAGATCACAAAGCTGGCAAATAGAGGAGCAGGTAACCTCTACAGTTAGTAACCACTAAAATTGCTACTAATAAAGACAAGACTATAACTAAGGCCCACAGTAGGACCACATCATCTAGCTCAGTGATTCTCCACTGAGAGGAACTTTGTCTTTCAGGGGACATTTGGCAATGTCTGGAGAAATTTTTGGTTGTCACAGCTGTGGGGTGGGTGCTACTGGCATCTAGTGGGTGGAGGCGAGGGATACTGCTAAACATCCCACAGTGCACAGGACGGCTTCCCTCCCTCCCAACACACAATTATCCAATGCAAAAATAAGTCAGCAGTGCTAAGGTTGAAATACCCTGGTGCAGGCACTATGACATTAACTATTTAGAACCCAGTCGATAACTAAGAAGAAGCTACAGAATCTCTCAGATTCCAAAACAGGTAGCATGAAGTTCAGGCAGAAAATCTCGTGCACTTTGTCACAAGAAATGACCAGGAGACAATTTCCTAAGGCATATTCATCTCACCATTCATGTAAATCAATTAAAAGCACCAAATGGATGTGGTATCTGGGTAGAAAAGGGAAGCATGGAATATGACAAGAGTCAAGAAGAGAGCCAACAGCTTGCTAGTATGAGGAATAGAGAAAATAGAAGAAGCGGTAGAAACACTGGCTGTGAAAATCCCTGCAAGAAACAGCCATGTGGATAGAGGCAGCTCCTGAGACTGTGGGAAGAGGTCTTCTGGGCATTCAGAGGGACATCATGCCAGGACGCCAGCATGGCAGGCAGGCCATGAGCAGCATCTGCTTCATCTCATATTACTGAGCTTCTGTGACTTTTTTTTTTTTTTTTTTTTTTTTTTAAGGACTGTGAGACTGTCAGTTGAGAAAGACAGTATGAAAAAGTTGGAGATTATTTACTTGGTGACGTTTTCTGCATAAATTGCAAAATAACCAAATGAGGCAAATGGATTTAGCTACTAGGAATGGGAACAGGAGGCAGGATGCTCACCTGAGTATTTTGCTTTATTCAATCTAATAAACATTTTATTTATGTAAAAGACAAACAATGCATAGAATAAAAATAAGTGCTTGAGACTTTTGATATAAAAAGAGTATATAGCATTCACATTCCTATTTTAATACATGAGTACAGCTGAAGTGTTCCATAAAAGAATAAAACTTTCCCTTTATGTATAGTAGTGAAAAAAGTCAGTATTTTTAGGAACTACAGAATGTTATTCCTTGGTCTTTTTTCTTGAATAAGAAAAAAAAACATAAACAAAACAAGCCACAGTATCCTCTGACACTACATTCCAGTTTATGCTGATAACCCAGAAGTGAGAATACTCTTGAATCTTGAATATCTCATGAATGGACCAGTATTCTAGAAACTCACCACTAGAGGTCAATGGGCAACAGCTATTGGGATGGTATCAGCATGCCCTACGGTGCAAGTGGAATTTCTAGGCGCCTCTATGCTACTGCAGCCACACTGTCTTTAACTCTCAGCCCACCCACACTGAGGAGGGTGCCTAGAGGTTCTATTTCCAAACCTTTGCATGTATCTTAAAAATCTCAATAAAATGAGACCTTCCACCATCCAAACAGAGCTGATATTCTCACTACCAGTCCCTCTCTAATATTCCTATTTGGCTGAAAATAAGTAGCTTCAAAAAGTTTTAAAAAAGAGATTACTTGCAGCATTAACACTTCTTTGTTGATTAACAAGTTTCCTATGGAGTTTTAAAGCTCATACTTTGTTCTTGTCCTTGTGGACACAAATTTTCTAACTGCAAATGGGACCTTTGTGTCCCACATTCAAATCCTCTCTAGTAATTTCTGCAAAGGTTGAGAAGGCTGGCATGATGGAGAGAACGGTAACCATGAGGAAAGCTTCTTGGAGTAAAGCACTCCTCTCTCCAATGCAGAGGGTAAAACTATTAACATATAAGCAAAAGAAACTTGGGCTAACTGAGACCCTTAAAGGAGTTCCCCTTTAGTCCAATAAAAGGCCAACTTCAAATCTTAACACCAGATAAGGTAGTCAAAATCATATTATATACCCAGAGAATGACTGCTTGAATGGACATTTCTTACAAGGGACCTTGGTTAGGTGCAGATTTAATTCCTAGACTGGGGTCCAGGTAGGCAGTGGAAAGAGCTAATGTTTACAGTGAGAAGTGAGGCAGCTTTGTAAGTGTCTCCACACCTTCACATTTTGTGAACGTGGACTGGAGATAACTGAAAACCATCTGCTATCCTTACCTGGGGATCCAGATTTTCCTGCAAAATCTCCAAATATTTATAAAGTGGCTTCACTTTTTGAAACGCTGTGCTGACCAAACAAAACATATGTTTAGAGTGCCTGAGGTCATAGTCCTGACAATGATAGTATTGTGTAGTTGAAATCCTCTTCATCAGGCCAAACTGTGCTTGAGCAATCAGGAGCCCAGAAAGATGGAACCCATTGGTGTTTGTATAGAAAACTAGAAAATCAAGTCAAGTGTAATGAAAAAGTAAACACGATAAAGCCTAGAGTGAGAATTTGCTCCTTTTTAGAAAAGGATGAAGGCTGGGAGCAGAGAATAGTAACATAAGTGCAGGGGAAAGATGAAAAAAAGAACAATTTTTCATTAGTAGATGGTGGGGCAATCGCATGGATGGGGACATCTGTTCTGATTTTTCTGCAACCCATGAAGGTAAAAAGTGGGGTTCAAAACATTCAAGGTATTAAAGATGGGGTAGAGTTTCTAAACTAGGTTGAGGGAGAGTTTCTAAACTAGCCCCCCAGATTTGGGGCTTGGAGCTTAAATGAAAAGTCCAGGAGAAATAAGGGCACACAGGAACCCCGGGAACACTGGTCCTCAAACAGTGCCACTGTACTTAGTTCCATGGCCAGAAGAGAAGTGCTAGGCAGGGAATGATTATTTTGCAAAAGCAAGTGCAATGTGGTCATAGCTGGCTGTGAGACATGGAGCCTCTTTCCTCATGCAAAGTTCACTGTTTTACAGTCAGAGAACCACTGCATGTGTGATTGTCAAATGCTAATGCTGTCATGGGTCCCTTCCTTCTCTGCTTGGTTCTGGAGTTCTCCAATAAAACCAATTTCCTGGGAATATTTGATGTTTTTCCTTGTCTCTTTTCAAGGTATGGCTATATATATAGAGCTATAGACATATATAGATATATATATATATATATAAAACATAGCTATTCATATTTATATACAGGCATTAATAAAGTGCAAATGTTATTGGCTATTGTAAAAATCAATCTCATTTCCTGAGGAAGTGCTAACACAGCTTATCCTATGACAATGTCAAAGGCATAGAATGCTCTATGTCACCCACTCCCTGCTGCTGTTGTTTCTGCTTATCCCCACAGCTTACAGGGAGGGGAGTGACCCCCTTGGTTTTCCAGGAAGCATCAGTTCAGGGGCAGCTTCCTGCTGCCTCTGTTCTTTGGTGAGAGGGGCAGCCTCTTTGGACATGGCCCAGCCTGCCCCAGAAGAGCTATTTGGTAGTGTTTAGGGAGCCGTCTTCAGGAATCTTCTCCTCCGAGCAGCTCCTCCCCGAGAGCCTGTCCAGATGCTCCAGCTCACTGAAGCGTTCTGCCACACACTGGGCTGTGAGACGGGCCTCTGGGTCGTGGTCCCAGCACTCAGTCAACGTCTCACACACCATCTGGATGCCCTGTAGCGGGAAAGAGATCCAAAGGGCACCATGAGTTGGTGGGCTCCGCGGAAGGCAAGGTGGCCTGCTGACCTTGTTGCTATAGTGAGTGCAAGCAGGGTCCAAAAGTGCCTGTGCATTTAACATGTGCTGACTGAGTGCCTGCTGCTGCAGGCCAGCCAGTTCCATGTGGAAAGGGTGGTGGGGGGTTTGTGCTGGTGGCAGCTGTGCTCAAAACCTACCATACTTTTTGGCTCTGGTGCTATCTGATCACAATAGGTCCTGACAGCACAATGATCCTCTGCTGGGCTTCTGGGGTACACTAACACTCCCAACACCTGAAAATTCCCCATGTAGTGGCCCTTAATATCATTTCAACACCTTTCTATTTAGAGAAGTTCTCGCTTCACAGCAAAATTGAGTGGAAAGTACAGAGAGTTTTCACAAAACCCCTTCCCCATAAAGGCACAGCCTTCTCCACCTTGACATCATGCATGCATCTATGAGGTACATTTGTTATAACTGATGAACTAACACTGACGTATCATTATCAATCAAATTCATAGTTTACATTAGGGTTCACTCTTGGTGTTGTATATTCCAGGGGTTTTGACAAATGTATAATGACATGTATCTACCATTATAGTATCATGCGGAATAGTTTCTCTGCCCCTCAAATTCCCTGCATTCCACTTATTCATCCCTCCCTCCATTCCCCTAAATTTCTGGCAGCCACTGATTTTGTACTGTCTCTGTAGTTTTTGCCTTTTCCAGAGTGTCATATAGTTGGGTCATATACACTGTTCTATTTTAACAGGGCTGATTACCCCCGTCAGAATTGTATGCAGGCATTAGCATGGTTTCATTTTCTATAGGCCACACATTTTGTAGAGTGATTCAGTAGCAGCTTCTACGAGCTGCCAAGGATGACCTCTGGGATGCTCCATTCCTCTCCAACAACATTGGGTTGAACCCTGTGAAACAGCTGCCTATGTGGGTCAGGCATGCTTAACTCTATGCCATTTCCTAGGGTTCACCCTAACCGAATCAAGCTCCCATCCAAGGAGACCATCCAGGAGATCCTGCCCAGGAAGGTGGCAAGAGTTTTCTCTCACTGGCTTAATTTTTATTTTGCATTGCAAATATTTTTGTTATCATTTCAAATCCTTTTTGGAAATAAAGCAGGCAGGAGTTAAGTAAATGGTCTGATAGGTGGAAATAGAGTGTGCTCCTCCCAATTGTAAGATCAACATTGCTAATGGGATCCCTCACACAGGTGGCTGGGAGTGGGATGGATAAATCTCAAAACTACCTGGGAGAGCTGGCACTTTTTCTACTTGTTTTCTAATACCAACAACTTTCCAAACACACCTAGGAGCCTATCTCTCCCTCCCCACCCGATGAGTTCATGATGTTAAATTAATTGCATAATTCACCTAATTGACAGTATTGACAGATGGCCCTGTTAAGAGTAGAGTGCTATTGTTGGTACACAAGTAACATTTATTTTATTCTGGCACTGTAATTACAGGCAGTAAATTAAATTAAATATTAAGCATTAACTTGAAATCAATAGGGCAACAAATCTCATTATGAGAAAAAATGTATTATGCAAATTCTTTTCAGAATTTTATCATCATGAATAATGGCATCATTACGAGAACTATACAGCAGAGGAGGCAACAGAGTTTGAAAGAAACATAACACTCCAGCACATTCTGATTTCAGAATTTATGCAAAATATTCTTACAGTTTTAGTGTCAAAGAGGATTTGCTCAAAACTCCAGAGAAGCCTGTGACCCACCACAGCCTGGTTCCCCCTCGCCAACCTCCTCGGACTTTATTAAGGTCTGTCTGCTGAAGTGGCTCTGGGCCAGGACTGGCACAGACCAGACTTCCTGCTCCATTTGTCTTCCCGATTGTGCCTGATTTGTTGTTTCTGTTTCTTATCTGAATTTGCCTTGCCCTTAGGGAAACCAACAACTTAGCCTCGGCCTTCATGGTTGAGGGAATTCATCCAAAAGAGGCAATAAAAGGTTTTAGTCAGTAGAAAGAACAGTCTTCTCAGTGAGATAGGGCCACACTGTTCTCTCTCATTCTTCACTAAGGGCTCCTTCCTGGGTGTGTCAGACATATAGCTGGTTCTGACTCACTCACAACCTATCGTTTTCTTTTTTCTCTGACCATTGCCCTCATCAAAGTGCCCCCAAACAAACAATTTGGATCAGCCTCTTTATGAGTCCAGAATGACTGCCCTGCTATGGACAGCCTTAGCTAGCATTTCTTAACAAGGAAAAATAAGAGGCCATTAGGATGTTCCCAACAGACAGATTTCTCGTTCCTTCCAGGGCATTCTCCTCTTCTTTGCTTTCCTTAATTCCAGAGTGAGGAGTCGGTCTCCTCTTTCCCACGCGTGCTCACTCAGGCCTCTCCCAAGTCTGTGAGCACAGCCTGCAAACACCTGTACACAGCCTTCTGCATGCCACAGTCACTTCTCACTACAGCTGCCTGACAAACCCTGCTTGTTTTGCATCTGCTAAGTATTTCCTTATGGAGCTGAAGATTCCCAGAAGAAAACATTTGGAATCCAGAGGGAATCAAATATAAACTCCTGACGTGAAGGCCCAGGAGTAAGTAGCAGAGGCTGCAAACAAAATGTTTTAACCCAGGACCAAGGGGGCTTGGAAAATGTGGCAAATGTCCTCCGAATGGCTATTTGTGAACTCTCAGAGTACATATCAGCTGGTTGGAGCCTATAATAATTGGGTTATCCACTGTATTGAAATTTGCTTTATAAACAAAATTTAACAGGGCCATAGAACACAATGGGACCTTCCCTCAGATTTAAGCTCAATATTCCAGAATTCTCTGCCACCTAAGAGGCAACTTGGTTGAATCTTACTGACCTTTGTAAACACTCACTCCTTACCTGGTGGTTGAGCCAGAAGCTGGGAATTTCTGGTCGCCCTCGATCTCTCAACACGTTGTCCTTCATGCTTTCGACACAGGGGTGCTCCCGCACCTTGGAACCAAATGGAGGCTCATAATCTTTTACTTCTGTGAAGAAAGCCAGCAAACACAGGGTCACTGAGAATGGCATGTGCAGCCAAAGGAAATGAGCATGGTGAGATGCCTGGCTGGGGAGCATGAAGCACTAAGTAACAAATACATACGTAATTACTCTAAGAGCAAATTTTAATAATAATGGCTAAGATAAGAAGGAAGGAGTGGTTGGGGAAGGGCTAGAGAAGTATTCAATAAATGATTGTTGAGTACTTAAAATGTGCTAGGTGTTACGCTGGGGGACACAGTGGACAACAAGATAGAGAGGGTCACGGAGCTTAGGTTTTAACACAGGCATTTTCTACAGGGGGATATTGCAGCAAAAGGGTGAAACTGGTTCTTGGGAAGTGGAAAAATCTTATGTATTACAATGGTTTGTGAGCCTCCAAAGGCCCAGAGTATACAAAGAGATTTAAAATGTGGTATTAAATTTCATGTAGGTATTGAGGCATAAAAAGGAATGAAACTCTGGCACATGCTACAACATGGATGAATCTTGAAGACATTATGCTAAGTGAAATAAGCCAGACACAAAAGGACAAATATTGTATCATTCCACTTGTATGAAGTACCTTGTACAGGTATATTCAGAGACAGTATAATGGTGGTTGTCCAGGGGGCAACCTGGGAGGAAAGGGTACGAAAAGTTATCCTTTAAGGGGTAAAGAATTTCAGTTGAGCAAATTTCAGTACAGAAAAATGAATAATGGTGATGGTTGTAGAGCACTGCGAAGGTACTTAATGCCAGTAAACTGTACACTTAAAAATGGTTAAGATGGTACATTTTATATTATGCCTATTTTGCTACAGAAAAACATCATGGAGAGTAGTGTTTAGAAAAAAAGTTGTCTACAGGCCAGGTGCTGTGGCTCATGTGTGTAATCCCAGCACTTTAGGAGGCTGAAGGAGGATATCTTGACTCCGGGAGTTTGAGACCAACCTGGGCAACATAGCGAGATCCTCTATCTATACAAAATAAAAAACAAAACAAGCAAACAAAAAAAGTTGTTTAAAAAGGCTCCTTACGATATCACTGATTTTAAAAAAGGTTGAGAAATGCTGTTTTAGTGGGAAGACAGAGGGGACAGATTAACAACATCAACAAAATTTTAAAACGATAATTTTCCTCTGATGGTATATTCAATAAAGAAAATGATAAAGGAGGAGGTAACCCTTCACCGGGGCCTCAGGCTTCAACTAAGGTCAAATTCTTTATAAAAACTTCCTTGAACATCCTTAGGGTCAATCTTGGTTAGATATCCTGGGCAGGGCTCTATTCGTGCATATACCATATTTTATTTAATATATTCACCTGCTTATTTTTCTCACCTAACTGGACTGTGAGCATTTGGGTGCAAGTTGAGTCCCTTTCTCATTCTTGTATTCTTGGTGCCAATTGCAAGGGTCTCCCATGCCAACAGGCTGTCAACAAATGCTTTGTTGAGTGAGTGAATGAATGAATGAATGAATGAATCTTAGATTCTCTCCAAAGTGGCAGTGCATAAACTCTGGCCAAACATTAAAACAAAACACCAATTTAAATGAGCAGATTAATATAGTGTAAACAGAGCACAGGACACTTAAAAAGATAGAAAACATCCCAGTACTAAAACATGCCTGGGCTGAAAGGAGAGATTGGGCTGGATTCAACACTGTTCTCCAAAGTAAGTAGGATCTTTGGCCTTTAGCTTCAAAATAATCTTATTTAATGAGTAAAACTTTCAATACATTTGCACTTCTAGGTAACGAATTGAAGAAGCTTTCATGGCAAGATGACATTTTGAAAAGGGACGGCTTGTTTTTGTTCTTTGTTCATTTGCTTTTTTCCCCTTTTCCAGAACTCTACTTGAATATTTATCTTTTTCAGCTTCACCAAATAGTAGAGCTGCCAGGATATTTTCTTTTTTATAGTTTTAAATACAGGGGAATTTGGGATGAAGGCCTCCCATCACATTAAGACAAACCACAAACTATCCTCCTGTGTGTCATGCTTTTTGCCTCAAAGGACCCAAGCATTTAATCCACATTGCTCTTGGGTGAGATCTGAATTGTGATTTGCATAGCATTTATACTCTTATTTTTTTCTTTCATTCCTTATCTTCAACCAGACTGTAAATGCCTAAGGCACAAGGCAGTGGCTGAATTTGGTGTCTTTCACTTATCTGCTCAGTGCCTAAAATCGTGCCTTATACGTAGTAAGAATTTAATAAATATGAGTTCGGTTGAATTCAAGCAAAAGAGAAAACTGAGAATCAGATCTGGTTCCCAGTAAGTGTTTACTCTCATGTACTTCTTCTCTTCTATAAAATGAATATACTGAACTGAGCTACCTCCATGTTCCTCTTCAGATTTATCTTGTAATCCAATCTAATCAAATATGATGCCCCCTTGGTACCATACCTTGAGATATATGTACTACCATATAATAGTAAAGGATAGGATTTGTATATGATATAAATTGTTCCTTAGATAAGGTACAGTCCACAGACCTTCCATCTTCAATTGTTTTGGCTTATGTAGCAGCTGCAGTTGGTGCCTGCCAAGGTCCCCTTGACCAAGCTAGGGCCAGCAGCCTACAGCTGCCACAGGTGTTGGCTCATAAGGGCTCACACCTTCACCCTTTTCTGGGGGATTGTCCTTGGCCAATGGGAGTTGCCTATCCTAGAGATTCGTGGACATGACCGCCTTACTCTCAGAGGCAGCGTATAGCCGATGACAAATTAATGTTGAAGTTTAACAGTCCAATTCTCTTGGCTCTTGGTGGGTAACTATGGTGCAATTCACACTCTCCAGAGCTTCCAGTGAGATCAAGCTGAGGTTAGACCTCTCTTGAAATACAAGTTCACTTAACTCCTTCCATGCCTCTTCCTGCTTCTCTTACTTCCTTCTCATGAGAGCTTATCCTCAATAAATCATTGCACAAAAGTGTGTCAGACTCCACTTCTAGTAAAGCTGGCCCAACACAGCCGCCAAGGAAGTGCTTTCTCCTCTCTCCCTAGGCCTTTGTCTCAGTGAATCTGCACAATCTGACTGTAGCTGCAAAGCTACCCTGGGGAAGCCTTGATGTAGCCCCTTCTTGTGAAGGTGAAATTACTAAACCAGGAAGAACATTCTGAATCTCACATTGTATTACCGTTACTCTGATGAAACTCCTTTACCTTTCTAGAAAGCTTTCATGCTTTTTCCTTTCTACCAAGCATTTCAGAGAGTTCTTTCTCCTCTGACTATCAACAACAATCCCTATACTCATGGTCAGAAGTGACAGAGGAGGACATGACCAACATCAGAGGAGGAAAATGTTGGGATCAGAATAAACCCCAGCTGTCAATCTCATGGCTGATAGTCCTTGAGAACAAAGACAAAGTCTTTGTCCTTGAGACTATAAACGCAGAGCCAATTCATTCCAAGTCCTAATCTTCCTAGTTACAAACACTACACAATTTATTGTAATTTTTTTTATAGGTACTCTGTGGATCAAAGCAAGTTTCCATGGGGAATGAGAGAAGATGGCATTGGGCATATTTTTACTTAAAGAAAAATTAATGAATGCTATTTTAGAAAGGAAGACAAAGGCAATAATCCCTTCCCAAAACAAACAGACTTATAAATAGGTTACTTCCTACTTTTCCTAAAATCTTGGAAAGTTGTGAGACTCCCTAATATTCCCAAGGGATACAAGGCCTGCTTCCCATCTTCGACTTATGGGTAATTTCACAAGGAAGGGAGGTCACGGGTAGTCTGAAAGGTGCTGGCAAAAGGACTGGCTCCTTGTGCCCCACTGGGAGAATTTATGACTCTTCTGCCTCCTCCTAAGCTTAAAATAGACAAGTCTGGGGAGGGAGGATCATCATTTGACCTAAACTGTCATACTCTAATCCTTTAATATTAGTTTTTCAGATTAGGAGTACGGATGGGGATCTGCAGTGTGTGCATGATTTAGGCTGACCTTTCTTTAACTTCTGAAAAATGTCCTATTTATGTAACATAGATTTTCCAAAACAGCTAAATGCATGTTTGCTTTTTTCTTTCTAATTATGGATTTTTGCAATTCTTCTTTCTTTACCCTTCTCTCTCATTTTGGACATCCTACTCCCAACCTCCATTTTTTTTTTTCTCATGCCCTGCAATGTGTAGGAAGATGGTTTAATGTTTGGCAGTGTGTATACATGTGCCTCTCAGTTAACATCTTTGATATTCAATTGCAGCGATCAGGCAACATTGCTCATTTTTCCTACTATGGCCATTAAGGCAATGCCATTCTCAGGGCCTCCATTAGGACTTGTAGGATGACCATGTAACATGGAGGCCAGTCCCTCCTGGAGGGCATTTCTTAATTGCTCCTCAGTTCTAAGTGTCCCTCAGAATGCCTCAGATATTTGCTTTGACTCAGCAGAAGAAGGGAAGATCGTGGCCAGAGATAGCCTGAACCCTGCGAGAGGAGGTTAGAAAGCAGAAAGCCCTCTGCCAGCCAGGTGGGTACCAATGGTCGTTCCTAGGATGAGACCTCATGTAACAGAGCCCAGGCAGTCCTGGGGAACTGGACAGAGCTGGTGATTGGCAACAAGTTGATGGCCTGAGACCTTTGACACTCCCAACTTTTTCCCCAGGGTTTCAGGCAGCTGGAGACTGGGATGTTTAATCCACTTTGGCAAAATCTTTGGGTCCAAACTGTGTATCTTATTTATTTTTCATGATGGTGCTTAAAATATTTTTATTTTGGAAAATGCATGTGATTAAAACTATGAAATGACTAAACAAATATGTATAAAGAAATGTAAATCTCTCCCCAACTCCTAACCACTGTTTCTTTCACAAAAGTGGCTTAGGTGGAATAGTGAGATTAAAAGTGATTAAAATTTTTCCCTTATTACTTGCAAATGAGCACTTCTCAATCAATTTTTTATAAAAGCCCAGATGTTTTGCCCTCAATTCATTGGGAATAAAGGCTTTGGTAAAATACAGTAGAAATGAATTACAAGAAAAATGAATCCCACTTGAGTGTTGTGGCAACATCAAACTGCTATTAAAGGCACAAAACACATCTTGGTTTCTGTCCTTATATTGCAAATCTGTAACAGAGAGTTTGAGGACCAGCACCTGCCAAAGACCACACTTGGAGCAACATTGCCCTAAATGCTTCTTAAGGAATGTGAGATGCATTTTGACACAGGAAAAAAGAGCACAAGTTATTAAACATATTTTAAGGGTTTCAAATGAGTCAGACAAAGAATATTGAAAAGGTCTTCAGAGACGGGATCCAACATCCTCATTTTACAGTTGAGAAAACTGAGGCCCAAATAGTACACTGGATTCCAGGAAGAGCATTTAGAATTGTGCACTTTATTACTGTTACTCTGAAGAAATTTGCCTTTGCCTTTTTAGGAAGCTTTCATGCTTGCTCATCTCTGCCAAGCATTGCAGAGATTTCTCCCCTAACCAGAGCAAGTACAGCTGGGGCAGTCCCTGGTATGAACATGCCCTTCCCAAATGTGACAAGTGTGTCCCTCCCTGCCTTGATGGGGCCCTCCTCAGCATACAACCTTGAGAAGGGGAACCTTATGGGATCTGCTGGGTGGTTGTTATTTGTAATTTCTAAGCCAGCTATGCAAAAAAACAATTACAAAGAGCAGCCCTCTCCTTAGCTGGTATTATTTACCCACATTAAACCCAAACACTTGTCCTTTCTGGGTTTAGGGAAGTAGATGTGACTGGTGGTGGAGGTGAGGTAAGGATGAGAATCTCATTTTAGCTACAGGCATCAGATTGGGGCATAGTTGGCAATAGAATTAATGCAGTTCCTCTTTGCACATTTGATCAAATGATGCTTGACCTTGGGCCTCTCTCTTGTGAAGAACTGCATAAAAAGCAAGTTCAGGAGTGTGTGGGCTGAGTCCAGAGAAAATGTTACACCTGGCTAACCTATAACAAGAACCACCTTTTTAAAAAAAATTGGAATTGCCTCTAAGAGAAAAAGCGAAGGCTTAGAGAGTATGACTGAGTTTAGCACTTCAAAAGTGGAAGAGCTAACAATATGCATTGTAAGTATTATTTGTTGTTTTTGCCCTGACTCCTTTAAAAAGTAGATATGAGGACTTAGAAAAGAGATGCCAAGAGTTTGTGCCTCACTTCCTATATCCACAAAATAAGAATAGTCACATATGCCCCCTACAATTATTCAGTGTGATGCTGCAGGGCCAGCTGCACCGCCACCTCCCAACCCCATTGCACTGGCTCTTCCGGTTAGGCTGGCCCAACTCCAGGAGGAACAGGCAGAAGGGCTGGAGTGAACCCTCCCAGCTCGGCCTGGAGCAGCCCTCCAGCAAACTGATGGGAATTGGAAAGATAAAACACCCAGCTTCCTTTGAGTCAGGTGGTATGACACTGAGGTGTGTGTTCTGCTCGTAGTTATACTCCAGTTGCCCATGGTGGTAACCCACTTGATAAGATATCCTTTACTGGTTTCCTTCCCTTTCCTGACTCATTTCCTCATTCTCTTACTGGCATTTCCTGCAATCTCTTCCCAAATAAACTACTAGTACTCAAATTCTTGTTCCAGGGTTGGAGGCACTCCACCCAAGACATATGCCTACACAGCAGAATTAGTTCATCAAACCAAGTCTTTGTCTCACCCTCAGACTGTTTCTGAAGCCAGACAGACGGGGCTGAACACCTCAGAATTTCCCTGAGTGCCTCAAACGGCATCTTTTCTAAAAAACCTCTTTATTTCACTGCTTGAGAACGACTTTCTCTTACTTCCATCTCCCTCCCGCCACCTCTCTCTGCAGTCTTTTCACTGATGGAAGCCACCCGCAACCGCCCGGCCCTCGCAGCTTCTTTTAATTTGTCTCAAAAGGCTCTTAAGAGAAAACTACGCTTGCCTGTCTCTTCCCAGTTCCACAACCCTCAGAGGGCAGGTCTCTGGGACAGCAATGGTATTCCTCGGAAAGTCAGCATCTGGTGCACAGCTGCTGTTTTGACTGTAGTCCCAATGTAACAGGGCAGCAAAGTTGTTGATGGTTTTCCCCAAAGCAGTACCCCCGAGTTTTCATATCTGCTTTCCAGACTGTGCTCCCTTGAAATCCAGGAAAATGAAGCGTTTCAATCCTGGTCTCTCCTCAGCCGTCTCTCCAACGCCTCCTTTTTTTCTGTCTCTTTCTTCCCCCAGCCCCTTCCCTTTCTTTTTGGTTCATTTGCACTTTTTTTTTTTTTTTTTTTTTCATCTCACAAGGCTGCAGCAACTTGACAATACACTAAGGAGCCCTTCTTGGAGTTGTGTTGCTCCTCATTAAATACTTGTTCAGCTGGCTGCTACGTGTCAGCTTCTATTCAAAGGCCTAAATGCTAGGGATGTGGAAGTCAGTGTGCTTGCAGGCCAGTTTGGCTGGGGATGACGAGAGTATTTTGCCTGCTGTGTTCACCAAAGGGGGCCCTGAACAGGACCGCCTTCACCCGCCTTCACCCGCCTTCCACACAACACACAAACACTTGTATGAACACCAAACAGACTGAAAGCCTGGGACAGAGATTTCTTTGTAAAAGAGAAGCCATCTCCAGTTCTGTCCTTGCTGAATGGCGATTTCATGAAGCTTTTTCTCCTTTTTCGTAGAACAGTAACACACCAATCACCTCCTCTTGTCTTGTTCTTACTTCAAACAATTCTGAAAGATTTGTTTTCTTTTTTTTTTCTTTTGTATTCTTTCAGAGGATTAAAATGTCTGAAATGACAGCCTCTTTCATTATCTATCCCCCAAGTCTATTTTTCTTTCTAAAATCATCCCACCCACCCCACCCAACTCCAACATTATATTACATAATCTCTTTGTTCATTACCTGTCCCTAAAATACTGGCTCTTCACTAGACTTCCTGTCTCTCAAAGAAAGACACTGCTTTTTAAACTGCTGTATCCCTGGCATTTTAAACAATGCCTGCGACACAATAGGTACTCAATAAATACTTTTTGAGTGAATGAATGAATAAATATATCTTTAGGGAAATAAAGATAAAACAGTTATCTCAAATTTTAAGGTATCAATACTGTGACCTGCTACACAAATTAACAGCCTTGGATTCTGTTAACAGGGATTCACCCAGAGAAGTGAGGCCATCACTGAATGTTCCTCAAACATGTGATTGTCTCCTCAGCTTCTGCTGGAAGGCTTCATATCTACTGCCAGGATGCACAGAGTAGCTCTGACTATCGTATCCATACTGATCATAGGAATCATAGCTACTATTTTTTTTGGGGGGCGGGGGGGATGGAGTCTCGCTCTGTCGCCCAGGCTAGAGTGCAGTGGCACGATCTCAGCTCACTGCAACCTCCGCCTCCCGGGTTCAAGCAATTCTCTGCCTCAGCCTCTTGAGTAGCTGCGATTACAGGCACCCGCCACCATGCCTGGCTAATATTTTAATTTTTAGTAGAGATGGCATTTCACCATCTTGGCCAGGCTGGTCTTAAACTCCTGACCTCATGATCTGCCTTCCTCAGCATCCCAAAGTGCTGGGATTACAGGCGTGAGCCTGTACCTGTACATGGCCATAGCTACTATTTTAAATACGTTCTCCATTGGCCAGGCTAGCAGTATACCAGGAATACTAAGGCCTGTGAGCTACAGAGTCAGACAACAGGGCTTTGATTCCTGGCTCCACAACTTTCGCACTTCCTGAGCCTTCAGTTCTCTTATTGTAAAATGGGATTAATAACAGTACAGGCCTCAAAGAGTTTTGGTAGATTAAATGAGTTGATGTGTGGAGCAAGTGCTTAAGAAGTGGTAATTATTCCTTTATGGCTTTCTTTATCTGGACCAAATGTACTTTCAATAAGAAGCCTTTCTCTCTGACCACTCTCTTCACCTAACTGCAACACATCTCCCGAGGCCCCTGGTGGAATTTTGTGCGAAATGAAGCTGTACCACCTGGCTTTTGAAGAGCTCTATTATCATCTGTTTATGTTTTCTCACCTGATAAAAGTGAGGCTTCTCCAGTGTAGTGCTGTTCTTTCTCTGTTTTCCCTGTGCTCCCCTGCATTCAGGGGAGACTGGCTAGTAAAGAAGTAACTCAGAAGGATGCCCCAGAGTCTTCCTCTTCCTTTAAGAGCTGACCTAAGTCTCATTCCCTGACCATAACACTGCACTCCCTGTAGCCAACCTGGGCATTCAGTCCTTTGAGCTCACTGCCTTCCCTTCCTAAGCATTTATCACAACTGAACCACACTTGCCTGTTAAAAACAGACTAGTTAAGTGTTCCAGTGCCAGTAAATAGCATGAGACAAAGCCTGGAGGTAAGACCTAAAAGACATCCATCATGATGAAGTGATGAACACAGAATGAGAATGTGGCGTGGAGGTGAGCTTGGAGCCTTAATATCCATGTTTATGAGTCACTTAAAGGCAGGCTAGGTGGGACTTCACAGTTTTCTGTGAAATCTTCTGTCCCTAATCCTTGTATCCTACTTCATTCAGTTAGACCTTCTGCTGCTTAGAACATTTTTCTTCAAGTAGTGAGTACTGTAATGTTAACATCCAAGAAAGTAAAACAAATAGTCACCTCTGCAATAGCTCATTAACAACTGGGAACAGAGAGGTTAATGTTCCATAGCTTAAAAAAGTATCAATACAACTAGGGACTCTCTCAGTACAGGATGGGGTGCTATATCCATATTACCAATGGCAGTCATCCCGAGAAATCCAAGCAGCCACACTTACTCTCCTTCAGTGGGTAGATCCACTATACTTGTCATGTAGATTAGCTGTTTTCACTGGAGACTTGCATCCCATCATCCTTCTGCACACAGTTGAGGTGGACCATACCTCTTTTTTTTTTTTTTTTTTTTTTAGACGCAGTCTTGCTCTGTCGCCCAGGCTGGAGAACAGTGGCATGATCTTGGCTCACTGCAAGCTCTGCCTCCCGGGTTCACACCATTCTCTGGCCTCAGCCTCCTGAGTAGCTGGGACTACAGGCGCCTGCTGCCACGCCCGGCTAATTTTTTTGTATTTTTAGTAGAGACGGGGTTTCACCATGTTAGCCAGGATGGTCTCGATCTCCTGACCTCATGATCCACCCGCCTCGGCTTCCCAAAGTGTTGGGATTACAGGCGTGAGCCACCGCGCCCGGCAGGACCATACCTCTTGAGCAGGCTTCTCTGCAGGTGCTTGGTAGCTGGCTCGATGGGTCAGATCATAAGCCTTTCATGTCACAGAAGTGGCCCTGATCCATGATCCCACAAGCACACAGACTCAGAGCCTACAGAGAAGATGACTCTGGAGATCTGGTTCCCTTTACTGTCCATCTATGATTCATCATACAAAGGTAAGCACATTCCACATTTCCTTTTTTGAAATAAGACTGCTGATTTTAAAAAAATGGTAATTACATCTGCTATACTGCAAACTGCAGAAGTTCAAGCTTAAGGAAAGACCTTTTACATCCTTCCCTCTTCCTTATACCTTAAAATTAAAGTCTAACATCAAACAGGGGGATTCATTATTTAATTTGTAAGATAAGAAACATATCTGCATGTGTAAGTTTTTTAAAAAGAAGGGAGAGGAAACAAACAACTGTTTCCTGTAGACTACAAGCTTCTTGAGGTCAAAACCTGTCCTTCCATCTGTGTTTCTACAAAAGCTACAGCAGGGACAACATCAAGATGAATGCAGTTGGAGGGAATCCATCTGTCTTCAGGCTTCGTGTACTTTCCAAAGGACCTTTTGAATGTAAAAGAAAAGCCTCTGAAACTAAGACTAGGCTGAAAATCTGTCTTTAAGGTTTTTGAGACATGCCAAAAAGAAACAAACAAAAACCACTAATGCTTTTAAAAGAAGAAGTCAAGGTGGGAGAAGGAGCTTACTACGTGAGTTCACACGCTTAATCAAGTGAACGGCTTTGTGTCAGGACGAACGTGAGGATGGATAAATAACCTTGGTGTCTGCAGCCCGAGCAAAGATGGGAGAAATAGGACTGTGGGCTTAAGATCAAACGAAATGAGAACTGGGATGGCCTCTTTCCGGTTCCCCAGGGCTGTCTCTTCTTATCCTAAGGTTATAAAAGGTTTTTTGAGACTAGCTGAATAAACCATATCCTGTTCCTTCCTTGGGAAAACTTGTTTATATTCTAACTGTTTTTAGACCTTGTAAAATTTGGTGAACTCCTTCCTCATTAGCTTAAATTCTTCCACACTCAGCAAATATCAACAGGCAAGGGTTTTAGTCAGTGATAACAATGAAAGCTGGGAGCTCACCTAGGGCCTTAATAAGCTGGCTGCACTGACAGAGGGAAAGACAGAGACACAATCTCCAGCTCATGTTTATAGAATAACAGAGTTGAAAGGATAGGGAATGATACTGAAATCTAGGTAAATTTATTCTGACAGTGACAACAGCATTGTCTCTGATACAACTCATACCCGGCTAAAGATTCATTTTGGAACTGTCAAAGCTTTCAAGCATAAAATTATTCTCAGTGGCTGAAACTTGGTTAAACAAATTTCACTGTGCAAGGAAAAACAAAGTTAACTTTTGGAAGTGTTTTGGGGGAAGAAATCTCAGTCAAGAAACTAGATAATAATAACTATGTCAGCTAGATAGGAAGTGCCATCCCCATGCGGGGGTCTCAGGAAAACATGTGAGGTTCAGCAGGGTGCAGGATGGGAGGGGGTGACCCGGACCCACGCTGGAGAATTGGCTATGCATATTCTGAACAGGATGAAGAATCAGAGCCAGCAGTGGTGCCAACTGAATCTGCCTTGGGCAAAATGTTGGGTAGTTTGGACCAGTGACCCAAGCTGTGGCAACCTGAGCAACAAAATAAATAATGACAATACTGGATACTCATATAATGAAACAAATACCCCAAATCCCCTGCTGATATAAATACATAATTAGTAAACAAAGAACAGGGGATGGTGTCAGAAGAGACAGATCTTTTTTAAAGGAGAATGCATATTAATAAATATAGAAGGAACAAGAAAAACAGAAAATCTTCCTTAAGTAAACATTATAGTAATAATTGTTATAGGCAGGAATTAGTCATAGATCATCAAATTAGTGGGTAAATGATGAATAAGAAAGTTCTAGTACCTTTGCTAAACAGGTATTTAGTATCTTTAGAAACAGGTCAAAGGCATGTATTACTTACAAATGGACAAATAGCAGCAGGTCCCACTTTAACCAAAGGACCAAATTTAACATTAATAACCAGACACATGGACATCTTATTCCCCCTGATATGACGCACTGAAGATAGGCACACTATCATTTCTGTGGTAATTTTGCCCAAAATATGTAATCTCAATCTAATCATGAGAAAACATTAGTGAAACCCAAAGTGAGAGACCGTCTAAATAACTGTCTTAAACTTTTTACAAGTGTCAAGGTCATAAAAGACAAAAATCGACTGAGGAACTCTCACAAGGTCAAGGAGACTAAGGAGGCATGCACATTAGATCAATGCGGGATCCTAGACTGGATCCTGTTTCAGAAAAGAACATTACTGGGGACTTGGAAGTACAAATACGTATATGGATTAATTAAGAACACTGAATCCAGGTTAATTTGCTGTTTTTGATAGCCATACTATGGTTTAGGTTAGATATTAACAACAGGCAAAGTTGAGTTAAGAGTATACAGAAACTCCACTATTTTTACAACTATTTTCTAAGTCTAAAATTATCACAAAACAAAAAGTTAAACATGGAATGGAGGCTGGGTGCAGTGGCTCACGCCTGTAATCCCAGCACTTTGGGAGGCCGAGGTGGGCAGATCATGAGGTCAAGAGTTCGATATCAGCCTGATCAACACGGTGTAACCCTGTCTCTACTAAAAATACAAATATTAGCTGAGCGTGGTGGTGCATGTCTGTAATCTCAGCTACTCAAGAGGCTGAGCTAGGAGAATTGCTTGAACCCGGGAGGCAGAGGTTGCAGTCAGCCGAGATTGCGCCATTGCACTCCAGCCTGGGTGACAGAGCGAGACTGTCTCAAAAAAAAAAAAAGGGTGGAGTTAGTTTGGCTTCATTTGGCAGCCAACCAGGATGAACTTGGGTGCACAGATTTCTCAGGTGAGACCTAAGACCCTGTCTCACCTAAGAAATAAGAAGGACATGAATAGAAACACATAGTGGACAGGAGACAGCGAAAGGCAGTTCTAGTTCAATGAGAGCTTGCGTTGGGCTGCTTTCATTGGACAAGCATGCCAGAATTCTATTGCTTTATGTGTCATGCATCTGTCCTCCAAGGTACTGAGAAGAGAGTCAGGAAAGGGTATAGTAATGTAGACCTCAACTGTTCTTGCCTTCTGGACAACAAGGGATAATACTTCCTAGAACAATAGCCTCACCCTGGCACCCCAGATGTTTGTTGCCCATTCTATCTACAGTCTCATGGTCAATAGTAGTAACAGCCTCTAACAGTGAAAAGGACTCAGCATACAACTGCAGAGAAGACATAGCAGAGGGCACCTGGGAGGCTATGACAGTGTGTTCAGGGAAAAATGATCCTAAAAGAAAAAAAAAACAGTAGGTGGCTGAACTTGGGGATAAAAAGAGCAAGCCAGCTTTTCAGGAGAAAAGTAGGTCTCCTAATCAGTCTTGCAGGCTTAAGCAGTAAGAAGACGGCCTTCCTCAATAACCTCTTCACTAGAATTTTCAAAACCTAAACAAATATCTCAAACAATGATTTTTTTTTTGCCCAATAAAACAATGTCATGTCCATAAAAGTAAATTTTGAATCAAATCTTTTTCCCAGACATAATTCTGAAAAATCTTAAAACACAAAGTAAAAGAAATCAGATGCTTATCTGAATATTACCCACATGATCATTAGAGATAATTCTTATACATTTATTAGTATTCGTCTCTTGCCAGATATTTAAATAACTGTGAAGAGATGTGTCAAGAGAAGAGTAATTATACAAAGGTTTATAAAAGGAGATACAAAGCTTTATGCTCCAAATGTGGCTTTCAGTTTAAAAACCTAGGCTGTTTAGCATAACCCCAAATAGTTCTGGGATGGTTGTATAATATCAGATCTCAACTAGCTCTAATAACTGCTTTGTAACCCCTGGAATAATGCTCGAAGCAACACATGATCTTATTTTGAAGACAAGTTTACCACTACACAATGATGCTGGTCCACACCTACCTCCCACTGCATTACAGCGAGATGTCATTTCCCAGAGCACCAGAGCCATGGAGTAGACATCGGTCTGCTTGAAGGACTCAACATTCTCCAAATTCATCCTGGATTCTAGGACTTCTGGAGCCATGTATCTTGCAGTTCCCACCTATAGCAAAAACAGACAGTGAGGCCCATCATTTAATTCCAGCTGCCTTTTTATTTTCACAATATAGCTGATGGTGGCCCCTGACACGTGCAGAGGATTTTTTTAAAAAATCAAAGTGCTGTTTTAAAGAATGAGAAATGCACAGAAAGGTACAGATAGATGGTTATTTTTTAAAATAGATGTTCTCTCCCTGAAAACCCTCTAAAGACCATAAACAAAGCATGCCAAAATAAGGAAGTGCCAAACCCCAGAGCTGCCTTATCTAACCCCATGACTTATGTCATCACATTTTTCAATAACATCCTTACAGATAACCTGAGAGACAATATTTGTGATATTTTAAATGTTTATTTTTGCTTTCCAAAATTGAATTTTTTTTTATTCCTGAAACTCCAAGACTTATGGTAAAAATAATAATTGCTATCAGTTTTGATCACTTTAGGACTGAGTCTTAATCTTTGTTTATCCCATGGCACATTCCAGTGTGCAAAGGATATAGTACAATTGCATAACATCTCTACTAAATTAAATTGTATAAAAGCATTTTCACAGTAAAAGACCAAATCTGGATCACTTTATAATTTTAACTTGTGGGCCATGTAGTTTTATTTTGACTTTTAGGCCTGTGCTAATCTCTATGACTGATAATATGCAAACGTCGGATCCATATGAAAAAGGAAAAAAATATTCCAGAGAATGGCTCACTTAAATATTTAGTGTTGTAGTATGTATAAACTGACTAAATAACAATAAAGTCCTACCTTCCCAAGGATCTAGGGAAGCCAAGTGAGTTGATATTATCATTCCAAGGAATGTTTCTTATTGGCATGTATTAGAGAGTTTTTTTCTTCTCAAGAGGTCATTGCATGGCTCATTACTCTGGCACATTAGTCTGTCCATATTTCGATGTTTACCTCAACACTGCGTGCGCTGCCATGGACACAGGGCTGACTGAGCAGTAACCGAGTGCTTCAAAGTGTGTCCTGCCACCTGGCTAAAGAAGACAGTGCTGCTCTCCATGGACTCCACTGTGTGAAAACACTGGGCTCATCATTTATAAGGGATGTTGTGGTGATTTCCAATCACCTTCCAATAGTTTCTTAGCCAAAAACATTTCCATTTTAATCTGTGAGAGTGCTTCAAGAGTGGAAGTGCTCACTCAGTCGACAAGTACTTATTTTACTTTCAATGTTCAAGGCATTGTGCTACATATCTTGGGTGACCATGTGGATGTAGATTTGGACTTCAGGGAGATTGCCTTCCACGATGCTTTTAATACAAAGAAACCAACACAACTACAGCTAGTATAGAGCAGAAAGGACTGAGTACAACCATAAGAGAGGGAAAAAATAGAGGTAAAGTACTAACAGTGCTTGAAACAAAGAAAAAACATTTGCTGGAAGAGAAATGAGGATTGATCCAGGAGGAAAAAATGTGCTGAACTGGGAAGGATTTGAAGATAGGAGGAGAAATGCTGTCCATTAGCAAAAATGCTCAGGCAGGACAGAGCAGAGTATGCTCAAGGCAGACTCCATACTTTGGCTAGATTCCCTAGACCAGTGTCCAGAGTACAGGGCTGTTTGAGATAAGAGCCAGGAGATATGGATCAAGAGGTAGGGTGAGGCCAGGCTCAAGGTAAAGGGGATCTAGCACTAGCTCTAACTTACCTGCCCACTGTTAGCCAGGTCATCCACAGACAGAGTAGGGTCCAGACGCAGGGAAAGCCCAAAGTCACACAGGCAGCAGGTTAGGTCGTTCTTCACGAGGATATTGGAGCTCTTGAGGTCCCTGTGCACGATGGGCATCTTGGGCCTCCCACATGGAGTGTGATCACTGTGGAGGTGAGCAATCCCCCGGGCGAGGGAGCTGCCCAGCTTGCGCAGGTCCTCCCAGCTGATGACATGCCGCGTCAGGTACTCCTGTAGGTTGCCCTTGGCGTGGAAGGCGGTGATCAGCCAGTATTGTTTCCCCAACTCCGTCTTCCGCTCCTCAGCCGTCAGGAACTGGAGTATGTTCTCATGCTTCAGATTGATGTCTGAGAAGATGTCCTTCTCTGTCTTCCAAGAGGCATACTCCTCATAGGGAAAGATCTTGACTGCCACTGTCTCAAACTGCTCTGAAGTGTTCTGCTTCAGCTTGGCCTTATAGACCTCAGCAAAGCGACCTTTCCCCACCAGGGTGTCCAGCTCAATGGGCAGCAGCTCTGTGTTGTGGTTGATGTTGTTGGCACACGTGGAGCTGATGTCAGAGCGGTCATCTTCCAGGATGATGGCACAGTGCTCGCTGAACTCCATGAGCTTCCGCGTCTTGCCGGTTTCCCAGGTTGAACTCAGCTTCTGCTGCCGGTTAACGCGGTAGCAGTAGAAGATGATGATGACAGATATGGCAACTCCCAGTGGTGGCAGGAGGCTGATGCCTGTCACTTGAAATATGACTAGCAACAAGTCAGGATTGCTGGTGTTATATTCTGATGGGGAAACAAAACAAGGAGAGAAGGAGTTGGATGTGGTAGGTAAGTACTGTCAGGAAGTGGGTTCATGCCTGAGCATCTATAGATTTTAGCATCTGCATAGTTTTTGTAGATACGATATTGTTAATTTTTATTTCAGGGATGCAAGTGCATGCTCGTTCAGCCTTCCCTGCCTCTGGCCATCTGTTCGTCATCCCCTGCTCTTCCTTCAAACTTCAGCTTAAATGTCACTGCTTAAGAGAGGCCTAGAAAAACTTGGAAAACTGTCTTATTTTATACATTTTCATAGCACCTTATACTTTTCCTAGGTAACAATTCAGTACAACTTAAACTAAATGAACTATGACTCTACCTCTTGATTTCACATCTGTCTTTCCCTACTCTTGCCATCCCCCACGGACAGGGAACTCCATGCTGGAAGGTACCATGTCTTCTTCACTACTGTAAACTGCACTTAGCACACAGCAGGTCCTCAATATTGCCAAATAAAAAGACAAACCATTTACTGAGTGTTATCTAAGCTCAGGACATTGGGAACATGAAAAAAAATGACACAGCTTCTGCCTTCAAAAAATCTGCATGTATGACATCTGGTAAAAACACAGAGCGTGCCACAGTTTGCACCAAAATCTTTGCTCTTTTTCAAACTCCAACTTGTTCTGCTCTGATCAGCATTCAGGCTACCCTGGGCCCATGGGTGACAGGGAGAGGAGTCCATGGAAAGGATCTCTTTGGACAGTTATCTTACATCCACCCAACATTCCTCTTTTCAGTGTGCATACGAATTGTAGTTTCATGGAACTGAAATATTTAATAGCAACAATGGAAACATGGCCGCAAAGGTAAAACAAGTTAAAAATGGAAATGCTGCAGTTTTTTGACTTGGAATTCTGAAGCAGGCCCCTGTGGGCTGACAAGGAGAGTCCTTAGCACCAGATATCTAACTATAATATCTTGTGCCTCAAACTTTGTTTCATGTGCTGGCCTTGTTGGCTCTGGTGAAATAGTTTTCCTTTTTGGAAGAAGGACATGAATAGAAACAGACAGTGGACAGGAGAGAGCAAAAGGCAGCTCTAGTTCACTGGGAGCTTGTGCTGGGCTGCTTTCATTGGGCAAACATGCAGAATTCTATTGCTTTATGTGTCATCCATCTGCCCTCCAAAGTACCCATTAATGAGCAGGCCTCATGCTCAGATCCTAGAATCATTCATTAAATATATCACTACTGAGTGTCTATGATGGGCATGGCACTGCCCTCAGAGAGTACCCAGTAGAGGACTTAGGGCATATATACAAGTAAGCAATATATGGCATCTGGGATAGGGGCTAAATGTACAATGTAATCTATATATTAGTGGAATGTGGAAAAGCTTAGAGAAACATGGAAGGCACAGTAGCAAAAAACTGCCTTTAAGTTGGTCTCTGAAGAATGGGAAAAGTCAGTGATGAGTGGAAAGAGTGCTATGTTAAGGAGAAAGAATATATGATCTACTTAAGGAAGAGCAATTATCCCATACTGACCACTCTGCACCTGCGGAATAGAAAGGAAAAAAATGGGTAGGTGGTATGGAACCAAACTCCGTGTCAGAAAAGGATCTTTTGATTATTCATTTGTCAGTTTTCACCTACAGTAGGTGTTTAAAGAGAAAAAAAAAAGTGATGAGAATATAGTCCAGGTAGAATGAGGATATAACCAAATTCTCTCAAGGGGAACCCATTACCTAAATGATACTGATAAAGGAGTTAAGAAGAAATTACTTGGGCAGATAGTAAGGGTATGGAAGTCCTCGGTAAGGTGTTTCTTTTTAATGAAAAGCAGCCCCAAATCATTTTCTAACAAAGAGCAGCCTGTAAAGTTGAGCTTCAGACATAGACAGGCAAGCTGGGAGCTTGCACGGGTGAATGCCAGCAGGAACTAAGGACATGTTCAAGATGGCAGCTCCATCTTCCCTTCTCTTTGTCAGCCATGTGTACAACAAAGAACAGACCAGATGGTGCTGATCAACTGGAAAGCCCATTTGCATAATAAGATTAGGGTGGGGTGACCAGTCTTCCCCATGCACTATGTAAACGTCATACCTGATTGAACCAATCTGTGAGCCCTATGTAAATCAGACACCGCCTCTTCAAACGGGACTATAAAATCCAGCACATTCACCACTGGCCCGTCCTTTCCGCTTGGAGACTCCTTTCTCTACAGAGAGAATTGTTTCTCTTTCTCTTCTCTTCTGCCTATTAAACCTCCACTCCTAAACTCCTCATGTGTGTTCATATCCTAAATTTTCCTGGCTCATGATGATGAACCCCAGGTTATATACCCCAGTCTACATAGCTACTTCAGCATCTGATACTTTCTTTTTTTTTTCTCGAGATGGAGTCTTGCTCTGTTACCCAGGCAGCAGTGCAATGGCACGATCTCTGCTCACTGCAACCTTGCCTCCTGGGTTCAAGCCATTCTCCTGCCTTAGCCTCTATGCCCAGCTTTTTTTTTTTTTTTTTTTTTTTTTTTTTTTGTATTTTTAGTGGAGACGGGGTTTCACCATGTTGGCCAGGCTGGTCTTGAACTCCTGACCTTGTGATCTGCCCGCCTTGGCCTCCAAAAGTGCTGGGATTACAGGCGTGAGCCACTGCGCTTGGCCCAGCATCTGAAACTTTCATCTAACGAAACAGTGAGAAATGAAGCTGGTACATATCCATTTTTAAGGTTTATGTGTAATATGATTACTTGTTCTTAAGGTAAGTCTGAGTGGAAATGCCAACTTCCACTGACTATATATTCTAGATGAAAATCTTGGGTCTAGTAACCAGAGAAGTAACCCCAAGATATCAGAATTCCAGCAACCAAGAGGGAAAAAAAAAATCACCATTTTTTGGAAAGATATATGAATGCATTTTAAAAGTATAGGGAAAGTGAGAAAATTTGGTGATTGATCCTTAAAAACATAAATTCTTACACTGGGAGGCTTGGATTGGGACAAAGAACAGGCAAGAGTAGGGCAGAAATGGGGTGGGACAAAGCAATTACAGAATGATTGAATGCAAAAGAAAAAAAAGATGCTCTTGTGGAGATGTATGGACTGTCCCTGTTGTACAGCAAACAAAATTAAGGGGGCAGATGAACACAACACAAATTCAAACACAACAGCCGATCCAGCAGTCGGCATTTCCACTTAGGCTTACCACTTCCACAATGCTCCCTGCCTGAAACTCCACCTCTATTATATGTGGTATCCAATGAATGTGTTTGCTTGAAGTACCCACTTGTCTCCGGTCTCTGTGTCTGTAACTACATGGAATGTCTTATAATCAGAAATCCACTTGATTATCTGATTGCTTCTCTCCTGACAAAGCAGGGTAGTGGCCAGGTCTGTTTTGATCATCATGATATACACAGCACCTGGGGCAGAATGGGGCAATTTATGGTATTCAACAAACGTTTGTTTTAGAAGCTGAATGATTACTTACGTGGAATGATACTTCTCAAATTTTTTATATTTTACAGCAAGGTTTGACAAACTATGGCTCAGAAGTCCATGGCCTGCTTTTGTATAGTCCTATGACCTAAGAATGATTTCCATCCCCATTTTTAAAGAGTTGTTTAAAAAACAATAAAACTAAGAGGTTCATGCAACAGAGATCTTATCTGGCCCAGAAAGCCTAAAATATTTACTATCTGGCCCTTCACAGAAAAACTTTGCTGACCCCTGTTCTAGAGGTGTTATTTTAATAACCTCATTGGCAGAATCTGGAGAGACTTCACTTTGGCCAAATGTGAATATGTAGTCAATTTTTTTTCACATATGAGAAATACAATTTGAAAAAATTTAAATATTAACTGCATAATTACTTAGCTTTGTCCTTAATTCACTAAAACGTCCAGATGAAATGTTGATTCATCATGGATAATTTTATTTTACAATTCCTAAATATCTATAAAAACAGTCGTATTTGCTAATTTCAATTCCTTTTTAGCCTAAAGGAAACACAAAAACAGAAATCCCCTTAAGTTTATGTGTGGCACTGACTGAAGAAGATTCTAGAAATCCCCAGTTCAATGTCAGAAACCAAAGTTTTACTTTCTCCTAAAATTTCCTGTTATTTCTTTAGAAGACTTACACTTAAAAAATTTGAGGGGGAGGAATTCTTGAATAACATCTGTCAATCTTGAAACTTCAAAGAGGTGGTGAAAAACTCTAACAATAGCAACCAGGGCTGGAAGGAAGCTTTGGGATGTGGCTTTATCTAAACAGGAGCCACCCACACCCTCTGGCAGTATTAACCCTTGGGTTGCTACTAGAAAACCCAACAGCTGTTGGTGTAGGTACAAGCCAGCATCTCCTTTAGTCGAAGACCAACAGGAAATGCTTCTTTTCATCAGCCGCCAGTTACAGAGAAACTCATAAACTGAACACTTACTAAGTTCCTGGCTGTGTGCTAAGGATTTTATAGAATATTTAAATTTAATTGATAGAAAAACCCTATGAGGTAGAAACTGCTATTATTATAAACCCCATTTTACAGATAGGGAAGCTAAAGATCAGACAGTTTAAGTAATTTTCCCAGATGATAAATTTAGGCAACAGCAAAGCTGGTATTTACAATGAGCATTGCCTGATTGGAGAGACTTCTGATCTCAACCCCATACCTGATCTCTAAACTTCATATTGGTGAGAGCCAACTAAGAATGGCAATGACCTTAGGCTGGGTGTGGTGGCTCACACCTGAAATCCTAGCACTTTGGCGGGAGAATCACTTGAGCCTAGGAGTTTGAGACTAGCCTGGGCAACATAGTGAGACTGTCTCTACACAAACTTAAAAAAAAAAAAAATTAGCCAGACACTGTGGTGCTTCCTGTAGTCCCAGCTATTACGGTGGCTGAGGCAGGAGGATTACTTTACTTGAGGCAGGAGTTCAAGGCGGCAGCACACTATGATCCTGCCACTGCATTCCAGCCTGGGTAACAGAGCAAGACCCTGTGTTTGTGCGGGCGGGGATGGGGGGGTAGGGGTTGCGGGGGAGGGGAAGAATGACTTTATATAAGCTCCCAATTTGATAAAGTGTTTTTCTTTAGTGTAGCCTGGACTAAGTGATTTTACAGCCATCCACCGACTGACATTGGCAATTCTTGTATAATGTGTCTAAAGGAGTATATTTTGGGTATGGGGATTATATTCCTTTGTTCTGAACTAAGAACCACAGTTTAGTAGTGTCTCTGTAAATATGCATCTTTTTCCTGCCAGGAAATAAAAAGTTTTATGTGAAGGAGAACCCCCAAATCTTTTTCTTTTCTCAGAGCCTATTCTCATGGCCTAGATCTTAGCAGAGCTCAAAACATAATTGTTGCACTATTGGGACCTTCCATGAATAGTAATAACATTGAACCAGATATAGCTCTGAAGGGCATTAAAAATAAGGGTGGAATTTATCCAAGGCCCATAAAAAAATGAGGCTATAATAGTAAACATTTTTAGCCTGGGTTCCATAAATAGAGTTCAGTGGGTCTGTGAATTTGAATGGGCAAAAATTGCATCTTTTTTTATTTTCTCTAACCTTTAATTAAAAATTAATATTTCCTAGTATCAGCTGTACCTATGAGTTTGTTGTTGCAGACGTCTCAGCATGTGACTTACGCTCACCATTTAGACATTTCAATTGTTTAGATCTGCTGCTATTGTTATTTAAAGCATTATTATAGAAACATATATTACTATAACACAAATTCATTTTTAAAATATTTGGTCATTGTATTTCAATGTAATTGGTTTTCTTTGAAATACTCCATGTTCTATTTTATGCATTTAAAAAACATCACAGTGAGAAGGGGTCCACAGGCTTCCCTACTTCAAGAAGTCCATGGCACAGACACACAAAAAGGGAAGCTCCCTTGGCAGAGTGAAGGCATTTGGGCTCTAGTCTCTTTTCCAGGACTTGCTAGAGCAGGAATTTTGAGATTGATGGGTTTCTCTAGGAAGTTGGTAACTAGTGCCAATGGGAGATCTGCCTGGCTTGATTTGTTGTGCTGCACATGGACAACTGTGGATGCTGTCGGAGCTTCTGTGGAGTGGGAAGGGAGCTCCGCAGTGTAGAATTTGAGGAGAAGCCCTCCTTTGAAATCTTGTAACAATAAGAAAGATAACTCATATACGATGTGCTTTGTTGGGTTAGGCACCGGACAATTTATTTTGTAAACATGATCTACTTTATTTCTCCAATAACCCTATGTATGAGTTAGATTCTCTTACCCCCGTTTTACAGAGGAGGATACTGAACCTTGGTTGCTTCTACAACATTTTTGTCTACTTAGTAAATAAGTATTCTTGTTAAGTAAAAGTTGTTCCTAGTAAGTACTCAATAAATGAATGCTGTCCTTTTAATGTTATAATTAACATGACTTGAGACAGGAAGTTCTTCCTTCCCCTCAGCTATCTCTCTTTAGCACAGTTTCCTTCTTTGGATCTCAGCCAGTTGCATATATACTCTCGCTTTAGGTGAACATGCTGGCATGTGAACATCCTTGCGGCTAGAGCTTCACTGCCAACTTCACAAGAATCTCTCTTGGCATCTGAGGCTCATTAGTGCACTAATACACCAAGGTGTGCGAAAAACTGTCATCCACGTCCCTTTCTATTGCTCGGATAAATTAGTATCCCACTAAATGTTCACCCTAAACTCCTTTACCGAGTGGAGGAATTGCCAAACTACTTCAAATATTAAAGTAGGAGCCTATCTCCCAAATTCAGCTATGTTGATTTGCTTTTTATCAAGACACATTAACTGATCCACATAGGATTTTATTTACCAAGTTGGCCTTAATTTAATGCTTTTATTTTTTTAACCAAGTGACTTTTATTTAAAATAGTGGATTAGGGAGGTTCAGTTTTAAGTTCCTTTTAGGAACTGGTGTCGGCATAACAAAGGACATAAAAGAGGCTGAGAGCAACGTGTGTGTGCGCGCACGCGCGTGTGCATGTGTGTGCGCACATGCATACTCAAGTTATAAGACAAATTGTTTACTTTTCAATCACTCCAAAGGAAAGTATACCACAGGATTTCCCCTTGAGGTTTTCTGCCAGTTTGTATTTTTTTTTATGGCATACTAACATTTATCTTTGGAAGACAGAAAAAAAAAGAATTTGACATTTGTCTTTAAAAAAATATTTATGTAACAAGACTCTGACATTTGCAAATGGCTCCTTATTTGCAACTAAGTCTGGCCTCTATGAGTGACAGAAGTGACTGGAAATTTTCAGAATTATTAAATGGATCTCACAGTTCATTGTTAAGGAGATAGCTTGGTGGTATGGAAAGAACAAAAGCTTTGAAGCCACTCAGATGATTAAAAAAAAATGGGGGGAAGATATGGTGCCTCACACCTGTAATCCCAGCACTTCGTGAGGCTGAGGTGGGAGGATCACTTGAGCCCAGGAGTTTGACACCAGCCTGGGCAATATATTGAGACCCTGTCTGTATAAAAAAAAAAAAAAATTAGCTGGATGTGGTGGTGTGGGCATGTAATCTGAGCTACTTAAAAGGCTGAGGCAGGAGGATCACGAGCCCAGAAGTTCAAGACTGCAGTGAGCTATAATGGTGCCACTGCATTTTAGCCTGGGCAACAGAACGAGAACATCTCCCCCTGCCCCCCCAACTCCCCCCCCCAAAAAAGTTAGCCCTCTCTTCCTCTTTCCTTTCTCCTAAGGGTATTTAAAATAATATACTTGGCCCAAGAGCACAGTATGGCCCTCAAAACTAGAGAAATTACTCTGATTTCTCTCTTGTGAAAAAGAATTCATTCCAAAATAAAACACAGATACAGAAAAGTGCATAAAACAAGTGTCTGGCTTAGTGAATTACTATAAGATCAACACTCTTGTAACCACTGGTCAGGTCAGAAAATATAATTTTGCTGGCCACCCCAGAAGTCTGTTCATGTTCCCCAACTCAATCGGAGATCCCTCCCTTCCTCTAAAAAGTAATCACTATTCCTGGCTTTTATAGTTATCATTTTCTTGAGCTTTTAAACTTGTTTTATCATCCAAGTATGCATCTGTAGTCGTCTTGCTACTAATATGACTGAATACAAATGGCAAACCTTGCTTTTTTGCAGAATTACTGTTTTAAAAAAACTTCCTACAATAAAAACACCAGAATCTTTAAAAAATGTTTAATCTGAATTAATCAAATCATCAGACAAATCTACAAAGTGCCTTTATAAAGTACATGAAATGGTCTGACCTATTCAAATCAAAGTCAATGTCATGAAAACCAAAAAAACACACTGTAGAGGCAAAACAATCAATTTTAATGTGTTGTCCTTGACTGGATTCCGAATTTAAACAATAGACCCATTAACCTTGAAGAAATCTGAATATGGACTGTACTGTATATATATTTAGATGTATATATGTGAATGTATCTGTGTCTTAGTATCTGTATACACACACACACACACAGAAAGAGAGTGAAAGCTAAGCACTCACATATATGCTTCATATTGCAGAGTTCAAAGATCTTGCCATCATTTTCTGTACCTTTAAAAATTTTGTTGGCATGTTACATAAAGAATAACTTGTCACCTCGTTATTCTAAGTGTGCCCGCAGACCAGCAGTCATCAGCATCCCCTGGGAACTTACTGGAAATGCAGAGTCTTAGCGCTGTCCTCAACTAACTGAATCAGAATCTACATTTAAAAGTTCTCTCAGTGATTCATTTACACATTCAAGTTTCAGAGGTAAATTTTATTCTTGCTAAACAGTTTAGCAAAAATAAAGTTAAGTTCTTTGGTACTCTGCCATAGAGATGCTTTCCTCCTACAAAAAATTTCTTAGTGGAATTGTTTGCAAAGCTCTGGTACAGCTGTATTCAGCACTAGCCAATGAGAAAATGGCCCATGATAATTTTCTAGTCAATTAACTGGTGGAGGAGTGTAGAATGAGATATGCTTCCCCATCCATCATCCTAGTAAAAAGCACACCAATTTAGGCAAACAATAAAAAGTCATTTCAATTAAACAACAAAAGGACAGTAAGCTCACTAGCAATGAAGGATTTAATTTAACTTCTAGCTATTGATAGCACTGTTTGACATTCTGGATATATTTTGAGAGTATTTTTTCCTCAAATGATGAAAGAAGTCTTCTCTCCAATCAATGTGGTTGTTTTATTCCAACTGCACATATTTCAGAACAAAGCTATTCGCCACCTCTCCTATCCCATGGCACAGTCTCCTTTGTATTATTTCCTTCTTATCTCTCTCCCAGATGGAAAAGCCTTGCATGTATTCTAATCCAGTATGATAATCTCTTTCTAGAATACCCATGAGAGGTAGAGGTGAAACCTCTGCCTGAAAATGTTATGGTAGAAGGACATCATTCCTTTGTTATCATTCCATAATCAAATCACAATATTTCTAACTGCAGATATATTGGGATAAAGTCTAAATATTGGGATATGTTTAAAATTATTCTTTACATTAAGTCAAATGTAGCCTCTGTGTGCTTCTATTATTGGTCCTTCTGCTGTTCTCTAAAGCAAAAAGTAACAAAATGAATCCGTTTTCTATGGGATGAGAACTATTAAACTCCTGCTGGATATGAAACTCACAACCCCTAGATCATTTCATTTTCAGGTTGAACAGCCATGTTTTCCTCGGTTACTTTTCAAGAGATACATTGATGAGACTCTAAAGTCTGACAGATTTATCAGACCCTAAAATCAGCCTGCCCAGCATATAGCGCCCAATAAATGCCAGGACCTTTTTTCTAAGGGTAAAGTGATCTGTTCTCTGAAACCACGCTTGCTATTTAAGATTCTTCATCATGTGTTTTGATAGACACAGATATAATACTTGGAATATAACTTGTGTAGCAAAGATTACAGCAGGACTCTCACCTCCTCTTCCACCAAGTGGAGTTTAAGGCTCCTGATGGTTTGTTCTTTCTGTTTTGTTTTGATTCTTTCAGCCAGATCATCCTGATTTCAAAATGACCTTAACTCACCTCTAAACCCTGGGGTCTTCATCACATGAGCAGATTCCCAGCCAGTGTTTTGACAAGTGCTCCTTTGCAATCGATTGTTTGAACCTATATGTCTGATTTTACATCTACCTGTCAAGTTTTAGAAAATTGGTCATTTCAGGCCATTAAAACCCTGATTCAGCCTTTGCTCTTTTAGGCATCCCTTCCACTGTGCTTTTCACCCTTTATGTTCCTCCTTAGGATATAGATTCCTGCTACTTCTCTTGCTCTGACTTTAAAAGGAGGGCAACCAACATTAGGAGGGTGCCTACAAGGTACCAGGCTTTGTCCAGGAAATGATGACACATCTGTCCTCCCACAAAGAGAGTTTCACACCTGATATATGTTCTTTGGAACAAGATTTTTTTTCATTTTCTTTTCTGTGTTATTGCAGTTTTCTGACTACTAAAAGCTTAGGTTTTGTTAGGATCCCCACACCTGCCCTGATTCTTTAATTCTTTTTCTGGCTGGCTGTCTGAATTACACCTTGTACTCTGTCTAGGGGCCCTCATGTTCTCAGGAAACCTGAAAGCAAGGTACATTTCTTAAGTTATTTCAGGATGCTCTCCAACAGGGAGACCAGATCGCTTTGGAAAAGCATATTCATTATTCACAATACCTGTTAGGTCACCAGAATACATCCTCTCTCTCTCCCTGGCTTTCCAGGTGAACCACAGGCTTCTGCAATTCCTTCCCACCTGAGTTTCTCACCTCCTAAAATCATGCACACAGCCTCCCTGGTCCCTGCCTTGTCTCTGCCAAGGCAGTAGCACCCAAACCTTGCCATCCAACCTTTTGGACACATTAAGGTTTAAAATGTGCTTTCCTTTAACGTATAATTTAATCAGTTTTAAAAGCTAAGATGCCTATTCCCAATGAGGCCGTTGACCTTGTTCCAAAGCAATTGCTTGTAAATTGTTGTAGAAAACAAAATAATATCCCCTCTTAAAGTGTCTTGCTATTCCTCCAAGGATGGGGTAAAACAGGTGTTGGTTTTTCTCCTCCTCTAACCTTCGAAGGCATAATTTTGGCTCCTTCCTGTGGTAGCTGCCATTCTTTAATTGTTACCGTCCCTTTCCAGGCTACAGGGGGAACGTGACGAAAAATATAAAAAGATTTGGCAGAACAAACTGTCTTGAGTCCAGTGGTTCCCAATGTGGGCTGCATATTAAAATATCTTGAAGAATTAAAAAATAATTCCTGATACCAGGCCCCAGACCAATTAAGTCAGAAACTGCAGGAGTAAGACCCAGTTAATGAGTAGTTTTTAAAGCTACTCAGGTGTTTCCAATGTGCAGCCAAGCCTAAGCATAACTACATCAGCCTGGTGGAAGAAACAGGTATTTCGAATAGGATGGGGCCTGGAAAATGAAAGACATGGGAATAATTTTAATGACTACATTTCAGAGAAATTGTTCTTGACATTGGAACCAACTATATCCTCTAATTAGGCAACAAAAGGCATATATATGTATATTTTTAAAAGTAGATAAGCAAATATAAATTATTTCTCTAAAAGTTAACATGTTTTTAAAAAAAAGCATAATTTGTAATGGCAAAATTGATATTTTCCACAACAGGTAACATGCAGGAGCGATTTAGAATACAAAAGGACTTTCCAAAGGCAAGTCATCCAGATGTCCAAATGGTGGTGAATACAGCCTCTGGAGTATACGTGGGTGGAAATAAAAGTCAATTTCACAGTGGTTAGCCACCTCCCTGAGCCTTTTTTTTCCCCTGGTGGGACACTGAGACACTCGCAAAGCAGCAAAAGGTCTCAGTGGACCCTTCTTGCCATTACTCATGGGTGTGGAGTTTATGGAACACATGGAGGCCGCAGTGGGAGAGACCTGAGGCTGCAGAGGAACCACCCGAACCTTGCTACAGCACCAGCAGTATGGGTCCGACTGCTTTCTTGGCCACTCATATCCAGTGGATGGAATTTGAGACAGCCTGTGTCCATACTAGATTCCACTCTGCTGATTCATACCAGAATGAGGTTCTAGAGTACAAATATTCACAACCAGAAAGCACATCTGGCCTCAGTGCAGCTTTGTTTACTTTGCTACTTAGGAAAAAAAAAAATCTTGAAAAGCGAGTTGCTTTTGCCTTAATTCAGTTCAAATACATTCTAAGCTTCCTTCAACTGAGTCACAGTGTCCTCTATCATGCAAAATCTTTATTATTTCCTTGGCCAGACATAGGGCCATATTGATGAATTCCAAGTGTGCTTTCTAACCAAGGCTGGTTCACAACAAAAAGCTGCTTCAGCTCTGAGTCATCACCTCAAATAACTGATTTCTCTTCTCAGGAATGAGACTAGCAACTTTAATCCATAATTTTCTTCCTCTTCTAACAACTTTTCTCAACCATATTTCCACACTTATTTTTTCTTCTGCATTTAGACCAGAAAGTAAATCTGGTTTGTTTCTTTTGAAACAAAAATGCACAGCTGGAAAGCCAGCTATTTTGAGGCGTGAGTGCACAGTTCCAAGGCAGCATACCTAAAATCCCCCAGAGCTACCAAAACACCATTTACTCTTTTCATTTCTTACATGCAAGAACTAATCATTTCCCCAAGAAGCCAGCTCCCTGGTGTTGGAGCTGAACAAACATAAAATGAGATTTGGGAGAAAGAGGGCAGCATTTCTAAGACTTCCCTTACTCGGAAAACAACGGAAGTCAACAAAATGCTCAATGCATGCGATCAGTACACAGAGTGGGTTTGCTGGATGGTGTAAAGCAACGACATTAAGGACACAATGGGTCCAGAGGGAACCAGCTGGCTGAGATGTTCTGCTAGCAAGTTAAACATAGACAGGAAACCGCGTGTCTGATACTGTAAAAAAATAATTTGTCTTCCTGCCAGAGATAGGCTAGCAAACCAAAAAGGCTGTTTTCACTTAAAAGAAATGCTACAACAATGAGAGAGGAAGGAATGAAACTTTGTGGCTACAAGAAGTCTTCTTCTCTGCCCCTCTCTCAACATCTCAGGTTAGAGGGCACACATCACCACACTAAATGCTAAAGCCTGCACATAGCTTGCGAGTCAGCAACGTGCACCACTGGGCATACATCTTATGGTCTGCTTCCCTATTTAACCACATAGATTGAACTTTGAGTCAGAAGTGGTTACTCAAGTCCTGGTTTCTAAGCTAGCAAGATATAATTGATTTATTTACTTACAGTCCTATCCCATTCCCAAAAACAACAACAACGACAACAACAAAAAACACAGTGAAAGAAGATACAGTCAAGACAGGAGCTATAATTATGACAAATGGAATATAAATGTGAGAAAACAGGGTAAAAACTGGTAAGCAAGAGTGATATTAGTATGCTAAATGTGTAGGTACATATTTGCTAGAAGCATGATTCAGATTTGACTCTAAGCTTTTCTGGTAGTTAGCATTTGAGAGAGAAACACAAAAACCATGAATATCTCTATCAGGGGTTGGCCTGAGCCCTGTTTTTGTAAATGAAGTTGTACTGGAACACAGCCACGTCCAATCACTTACACACTGTCTGTGGCTGCTACCACAGAAGAGTTGAGTAGCTGTGACAGAGACTCTGCCCTGCAAAGCTGAAAATATTTACTATCTTGCCTGTTATCAAAGAAGTTTGCAGACCCCTGCTCGGTATGCTTCAAAGTGTCCTTAAGATCAGAGGCAAACAGGTCGTCATGAGGAGAACACCTTTCTAAAACAGAGAGCCAAAATAAATGTCTCCTGGCTTCCTCATGAAGATAACAATACAATGCAGTGAACAGCATCCTCCACATTCTTTACAGTAAACATACCACTTTGATTCACAGGACTCCTTATAATGGGGAGCACCTCAATAGGACTCAGGTGGAGGAATTTGCAGGGAAGAGGAGAATACATGACGTTGGTACAAATCTCCTCACTCATCCAGCTAAAGGCAAAGATAAGAAATTTGAATCTAGTGGAACAGTAATAACTATTTACAGTCAAAATTCATTAAGTGCTCACTCTGTGCCAGGTGCCGTGCCAAGTTCTCTACATAAATAAATACATTTATCCTCAAAATAATCCTATTAAAAGTATTCATTATTTCTACTCCCATTTTTCAGAGAGGTAAACAAGTAGTTACCCCAAGAACCAAGAGCTTACACACGGCTGAGCTGGGATCTGAACACAGGCAATCAGCAGGGAAGCCATGCTCTCAGCCCTGCCCTCTGTTGTCTTCCCAACAGATGAGCATCTTACTGGCCATCGTTTATACACATCATTTCTCACGGACATGGAAACAGTGTCAGCCTGAGGTTGTGCCTCTTGCCAAGGACATGCTCAGTGATGGGTCTGGGCTGCCGTTTGGCAAACAGAACAGGTAGCCTCTTATGTAAGTTGTGCAGCCTCCCATGGGTTAAGACTGATAAAAAAGCAAACACACCACCACCACGGGAATGTGGAAGGGTAAGGGTATTCCTTCTATAAGAGACAAGATTATCTGGTTCTTCTATGATTCTCCTACGGACAAAAAGTGAGGAACAAACTATGAGATCTTGGAAAATCCCAGCTCCTCTCTGGAGACCCACTTTTTTGTCATTAAAATGAGAAGTCTGGAGGAGCCAATTCACGGGTTTCACTTCATCATAAAAATGTAATGAGTCTATGAAACAAGACAACACACCTGAAAGTAGTTAGCACAGGTGCACACATTCAGAGTAGGCTGCAATCCAAGGCAGCGATCATCACTATAGTTGTTCTATGAGTTCCCACAGCCTAGGCCATGGGCTTGCCACCACCTTGCCTACATTTCAATTGGAAAAGGGGTGGGACCCTGGTCCTGCAAACAAACTACTGAAAGTCTAGGACTTGGGTCCAATGCTATCCCTTTCCTATATGGCCCCAGTGCCTCTCATTTTCTAGAATAAGCAGTTCAGTTCTAAGTTAGCAGGAAAAGCAAGATGGCCAAGATCCAGTCATTTGGGAGCTGGAAGTGGTCCAGCAGCATGCCTCCCTTCATCCTCCTTGGCTTACCATCTTGTTTTCCACGTACCCACCTTCAGCAGACAATCTTAGCAAACAACCCAAGAATGAACTGATTCAGGCCAACTCTTCTTAGAACCACACTATTACTCTCCAGGGCTTTCCAAGGCCACCAAACATCTCCTTCATTGATCCAGTTCAAAACAGTATCTTGTACAATGCATCTTGAAAACATTCGCAAATGTCTTCTTGTTTTGGGAAATATTAAGGGATAGTCCCACAGATAAACTAATACAAATACAATAAACTAACATGAACATGATCACAGAAACAAAAGAAATGCTTACTGAAAAGGTGTCTGATTTTCTCCACATTAAGATCCACACCAGAACAACATTTGTGGAGTATATTTAAAAAATAAACTATTGTCACTGCTGAAAAAGACCCACATGCCACTGGAGAGCTCTGTTACACAAGCTGACTGAGTAAAGTATATTTAGTTCATTTCCAAATGACCAGGCTTTAGACCAAATTTATTCCTCATGGGCCCATTAGCTCAGGGAGTTACCAGCATGAAGTTAATAAGACCTCCATCTCTGGTTCCATCCCTACCTGGTGAGTTCACACCAGTGCTTCTCACACTTCAGTGTGCAAACAAATCACTGAAGGCCTTGTTACAGGCAGATGCTAATGCAATAGGCCCCAGAGGACCCAAGGTTGTGCAGTTCTAATAAGCTCCCGGGTGATCCTGCTGCTGCTGGTCTAGACACTTTCAGTAGCAACGGTTTATACCGTTCAGAAGAGGTATGTGTCTTGGTGTAGAGTGTTCTCGTTAATCAGGGGAAGAAGAAGTAAGAAAGGATGCACCTACTGTGTGCCAGCCACTGTGCTGGGCGCTCCCAAGCATCATCTCCTTAAATCCCACAACAACCCACAGGTACCATTTATCAGCACTACTTGGCCAATAATGGCGCAGTCATTCAAAGAGAAGGCCTTGTGGCCCAAAGCAAGCTTTCCATGGAAAAAATGAAGAGGGAATGAATCCCTTTGGCAAGTACAGAACTGCGATTACCCTAATCACTTATGTGAAAGGCACTTGTGGGTTGTTTCAGTTTTATTTAGCTGCTTCCTGCTGTGATTCTGAGTCAAAACAGGAACAACGTGTCTAATTTGTAATATTATCCAACAATGACAGGGATGTGGTTAGCTTTGATTAGAAATTCTAGACTCAGCATGCTCCCCTTGCCTCTGTGAAGGCATGTGGAGAAAAAGAGAAACTGGATGAAACAGGGATTAAAGCAAAGTGAGCCCCTCCAAAACCTTGTGGTGTGATATGTAGGTATCCAAATGCTCAGTTTATGCACCACAGTCAGCACTCAACTACAAAACTTCAGTGTTAGAACAGACCGAAGGCTACACAGGCCTGGTTTCCTGCATTCAGACAAGCACAAGTCACCAGCCCTCTATAAAAAGCCCAACTACTGCTAACAGCTAACAGACAGTGACATGTCAGGCAACGTTGCAAGCACTTTACATGCATTAATCTACTCAATCCTCACAACACCTCCCACCCGCTTTGTATTTCCATTTTACAGATGAAGAGACTGAAGCATGGAGATGTCAAGTCACTGGCCCAACATAGCAGAGCTAATAAGCTGTAGAATAAGCCTTAAATCCAGGAGATCTAGCTCATTCTTGAGTATTACACTAGACCGTTTCTCTCTTACCTAAACCAGCAGAAATCACCTCTTCGCTCAGTGTTCCACAAATTAAATGTCTGACTGCACTTGGAAACCATTTATGAAATGAATAAAACTGAGTTGTTGTGTTTGATTCTTACAGGTTCAGTGAGAGATCAATAACCATATCATGTCTTTGCAAAGTGGGGATGTCATTGGCAAGTAAACAGCATGGCTATTTGCTCAGGATTCCTTCCTCTCCTACCTCCTGTGCTGCTGCCTTCAGTCCTGGTGCCCATCAGGTCTCGTCTGACTGACAGCTGTCACCAGGCCATCCATCATGACCAATCCAAACAACTTCTCTTCTAATTGGAATTTTATATGTTGGTTAGTACAGGGATAGACTCTGATTTCCTTAGAATTCTACACAAAATGTTCTGGCAGGAGGGAATCTTCAGAGACTGGGAGGGAAGCATGAATGTGAGAGAACAGTTGTGCAGTGCAGACCCCAGCCCCATTCTAGTTGTTTCTTGACCCCTGCCTGCCCTTGGTCACTGTAGGGAGGCAGGGGAACTGGCACTAGGCCCCACTGAGGGATTCCAGGGTTAAGGGTAGGTACCCGGTTCAAAGAAAAAAACAGCAAGGTTTCTTTAACTCTTTCATTCTAAAAACCATGATCTCAGTCCTCTGAGGAAAGGGCATCTATGACACCAGTGTCTGATGTCAAGATGTTACCGTGTTCCTCTGCCTCTACAGACAACCAAGCCTCATTTACAACAACAACAAAAGGAACAAATGTTAAATCTCTGCACCATTTTGTCTAGATGTTTGAATTTGTCTAGCATTTGAATTTTTTATCATATGCATATATTATCTCTTTGGAAACATACAGAGATATAAAGAGAAAGAAGGAAATAAAAAGAGGAAAAAAGGAAAGAATTAAAAAAGGAAAAAAGGAAAACCTTCACAGGTTTTAGTGCCTTACATATCCCATTATAAATCCTAGCTTTGATACCCACTAGTTGTTTGATTGTAGACAAAGTGTTAAATTTCTCTAAGCCTGGTTTTCTCATGCATAAACAGGGATCCTAACAGTGCCTACTCGCATGGGGTGGCTATAAGATTAAATGAGGTCATGCTTGGAAAGGGCTGAGCTCCCTGCACAGCGACAGTATGTTTTCTCTGAATATTAACTATCATTAATAGTAGCACTAGAAATAAAGATCCATACTTAAAATCTTGTGGCTCAACTTTTTTTTCTTACATATTAAAAAAGGTAGATGTACATAATTATCATCCATTGTGTAGCTGCAGATCAGGAACTTGCCAACAAGAGTACTGTACTACTAATAATACAGCCACAATGCACTTCATAGCTTTTGTGTTCACCACCTTGTTGGACTTGGAGTAGACAAATCAACATTAAGAGTTTTCATTCTGGCCGGGTGTGGTGGCTCATGCCTGTAATCCTAGCACTTTGGGAGGCTGAGGCAGGTGGATCATCTGAGGTCAAGAGTTTGAGACCAGCCTGATCAACATGGTGAAACCCCGTCTCTACTAAAAACATAAAAATTAGCCGGGCATGGTGGCAGATGCCTGTAATCCCAGCTACTTGAGAGGCTGAGGCAGGAGAATTGCTTGAATCCAGGAGGCAGAGGTTGCAGTGAGCCGAGACTGCACCATTGCACTCCAGCCCGGGTGACAGAGTGAGACTCTGTCTCAAAAAAAAAAAAAAAAAAAGTTTTCATTCCTCAAGATAAAGAAGAGATGGTGGCAATAAGGGGAGAAATGGAATATAAAATGTTGCTCCTAATGTCTGCTGTTTTAGGTGGAAGAAATATCCCACCACACAGAAAAGAGATGCTTAAAAAGCAAACACCCCCTACCTTCTGGAGCATTTTAGAAGACTCTGAAATCACCCAGACATTTGAGTCGTCAGCTGTGAAAGGCTTCCTGTACTGTACAGTGAGAAATTGTCTTTATGCTTATTATCTCACTTCATAAGAAAGTCTGAGAATAAATAAGAGGAAAAATATGAGGGATGCCCATGATGATCACTTGAGTTGAAAGACTCTGAAAATGGAAGTCATTAGTATCTGAAAGGCTCATAGTAAAATATAAAATGCATGATATATTTTGACAAAGATATTCAATGATAAAATATAGATCCAACTTGCAGGCCATTTATCAACTTTTGTCCTTTTGGAGGAAATAAACTTGTCTACTGTAGACAAGCTGGTATACAGAAGGAGAGAAAAGTTTCTTCAATGCTAGTAAACATGCCTGGGTATTCTACTGTCAGAGATTAATTCCTTTGGCTTAGCCTAGGCCTTCTTTTAAAAGGTGATCTACTTGAAGAAAGCTGACCTGGTAAGTCAGAATATCAGGTGTTACCATGTTTCATGTGATTAAACTATTTAGATTTCCCTCCTAACTCAAATCACATAAAGAACATGAGGCCAAGCACAGTGGTTCATGCCTGTAATTCTAGCACTTTGGGAGGCCAAGGCAGGTTATTCACCTGAGGTCAGGAGTTCGAGACCAGACTGACGAACATGGTGAAACTCGTCTCTACTAAAAATACAAAGATTAGCTGGGTATGGTGGCACACTCCTGCAGTCCCACCTACTCAGGAGGCTGAGGCAGGAGGATCACTTGAACCTGGGAGGCAGAGGTTGCAGTGAGCCAAGATCGTGCCATTGCACTCCAGCCTGGGCGACAGAGTGAGACTCCGTCAAAAAAAAAAAAAAAAAAAAAACAACCAGAAAAGAAAACGAGAGAAATGGACCATTTACAGGATGAGGATGAGAACATAGGAAGGAAGAGTAATCTGGAAAGCGTTGCCCTGACAAGATGTGCATGCCTGCCTTCAGTTCACTGAGAAGTTGGCCTGGGGGATGTTGGACAGGAAGATAGGGAGAATGGCAGTAGGTGAAGGACACAGGAAGAGAACAAGCTGGATCTGCAGTGCTACTGAGCACCAAACACGAAACACGAGGACACATAGCTTCTCGCAGGTGGAATGCACATGGCCGCAGAGATAGGGTGTAGAGCCAGCATTTGTATTTCAAAAAGATTTTTTAATTAAATCAGACCTATTGTTGACTAAACTAACATTTACACTACCACGCTGGTAAAATTAAAAGACTTATCCATTCCCAGTGTTGGAGAAGGTACACGGAAATCCATATGCTTACATCCTTTTCAGGAGGAGAATAGTTTAGTAGTGCTTATTCAAATTTAAAATACACATATTTCTAATCTAGAAATTTCACTTCTGGCAATCTGCCTTGCAGAAATATTAGCACAAATGCATGAGATATTTTTACAAAGATATTCAATGTAGCATTAAGTGGAAAAACTGAAGACAATCCATCAACAGGGACATGATAAGATCCATCGTGGGAGATAATATGAAATTCGAGACTAAATTAAAAGATGTACAGTATATCTATGTGTTCTATCTTGTTTAGAAGGAATTGTAAAAGTGGTTGGGTATAAAAAAGTGTTGCAAAATAATATTTATAGTATGATCAGATAGTTGTACTGAAAGATGGATGAGTGGATGGAAGGATGGACAGATGGATGAAAGGAGGGAAAGAGAAAGGAAGACAGGGAGAGATTGGGAGAGAGGATGGAGTGGGAGATAATATGAATGAATGATAGAGACGTGTGTGCATCTAATACATTGTCAATACAGATGATCTGTTGCATTGGGAGTGAGGGGAGGACGAAAATGTACTTTCATTTTTAATTTTCACACACTGTTGGATTGTTTGAAATTTTTGATGACGAGCATATACTACTTTTGTAATTAAAAACCACTGAATTCTCTTCTTATTAAAAATTGAGGGAATAGTGTATGCCTTCCTTTCAAGCTGAGTAAACGCTGAACTTCAAAGATGGAGGCTAGTATCTAATCTACTCTTCTCCTGGCTCTAGGGGTAAACTTTGGCTTATTATTTCCTCTCTGTATTGCAATGTTTCTCTCAAATGGGATCGATGACAAGTACCCTAAAGACAAATCCTGGGACTATGTACAAGAAACAACATCAGTTATAAAGAAAGTCCTCCTCCAAGATTAAACAACCCCATCCAAATCTTTAGAACAATAGTTACCAAATTTTAGCTGCACAGAATTACTGGGAGGGCTTGTTAAAATACAGATAGCTGGGGTTCACCCTCTATGTTTCTCATTTAGTGGGGCCTGAGAATCTGCATTTATAACAGGTTCCCAGGTGATACTGATGCTGGCTGCTCAAGAGGCCGCACTTTGAGAAACACTGCTCTAGGTGAAAGAAACTATTTGTCAAAGACAAATAATAATGTTTGCCCCAGTCAACCATATTTGATGAGAACCAGAACAAACCCTGCTACTCCCCAAGCCCCTCTTTCCACCAGCTGAATGAGCTCCTAATCCACTGTATGCAATCCACCACAGGAGGAATGTGCTCTATGACACTGCAGACCAAGGATACAAAAAATTGGCACAGATCTCAGGTCCCACACCCTTAAGAGAAGAAAACTCACCTTCTGAGAAGATGATGTTGTCATTGCACTCATCAGAGCTACAGGAACACATGAAGAAAGTCTCACCAGGCTTTTTTTTTTCCTTCATAATGCACTTTGGAGAAGCAGCATCTTCCAGAATAAAGTCATGGTAGGGGAGCTTGGGGTCATGGCAAACTGTCTCTAGTGTTATGTTCTCGTCATTCTTTCTCCTAGAGTGAAGAGATTCATTGGAAGCGAGGGGAGAGGGAGAGAGAGAAAGAGAATAAATGAATAATATGGCCTCCAGACAGAAAGGCAATCTGGAATACTTTTCCTTCATGAAGTTGTTCCTAACAACGGCAGCTGGTTCCTGTTCTCCAGCATTCGCAGGCTGTCCTATAGTCTCCTATGCTTTTCTACTCTTTTCTGTTTTTCCTTTGTTTATTCTTGGAACCCATTTGTGATTATAAACATCACCTGGAGCAGACAGCGTTCCACGGGGCAGTCCTGGTGGAGAACTTTACATATTTAAGTCTTAATTAAATCATTAAAGGGGAAGACATGGAAAAAAAGAACATTCCTAGGTACTCAGGATAATTTTAAATCTTCCATCCTGAATGTAATGCAAACCTCACATCACACCCCTAGTTTAAGTGGCAAAATCTGTCCTGTCTAGCTATACTGTTTTCAAAGAGCATGCCTGGGGAAATAGTCACAGTTCCTCTTTTTTTTGTTTGCTGGGCCCCAGAGCATTGCGTGTAAAGGGTATACTCCTTGTCAACAGCTGGTTCTGCTGAGAAAAACGGGAAGAAACATCGCAGATAAAGAACTGCAGTCTTTCCCAAATTACAGAAAGGAGCAATTCAGAAAAAACAAACAAACAAAAAAAACAAATAAATAAAAGAAATGGAAAGGGATGTCAGGGTGTTCTTCATTTACAGTTCAATGAAATATTTTATGCTGTCATAAACTAACTACTTTGACAGTATCACTTCATAGCACATATTTGAAGACTAATTTAGCCCAGGGCTCAGAGAATTTCTCACATAGCATTTTCCTTGGGCCCTAGGAAATGCTCAATTGGCCGTCAGTGTACATTAGATTTTTAAACAACATGATTAATGCCCACTATTATAATTGAACAAAAGAACATTTTGGCTCTCTTGGAAAAGGGTATCACCTCTCTATCTACCTCCCTCTGCTCCCTCATGAACATACTATCTTGGATGACTGTCCAACAAGGCTAGTCTGACATCCACCCTTTCACCTCTGTCCTTTTTAGATGCAAAATACCTGTTGTCTTGAATCGCATTCTCTCTGTCTAGAGAGGGAGCGGAAGGAAGGGCTAATCTGGTCCAGTCAGTTTTGCTAGAGTAATCTTCTATGAAGATTCTGAGTGCACACATGAGCCAATGCATGCATGTACTCACTCACCAATTTTCCCCTAATCCTCCCTGCCCCATGCACAAAGGCTCACTGCTCACAGCAAGGAAAACGGAAGGCAGGCTAGAAGCAAGAAGCAGCTAAGACACAGCTTGCACCTATAAAAGATGCGGGGCCATCCCCATGAGAGAAAGAGCAACTTTGACCAATACCACTTTTTTAGTGCTTAAGTCAAGGACATTAAAGGACAATATGTTGACAAAGGGATAAGGGCAAGGGTATGGGTTAGGACAATCCAGGCAGGAATGGTGCCAGTGTCAACATCCATGCAGCCCAGAGTTGACTCCAGTGGAGGTACATGTGTCTGCTTGTGAAGGGGCTCAAGGGTTCTTAAACTAGAATTCCGAAAGACACAAGAGGAGCAAGGCTTTGCTAAGTTGGTCCCTGCTGTGACAGGAAGAGTGACAAGCAGAATAATTGGTTGAGGGTGGCTATCAGGACACCAAATGAAACTAAATGAAAGTTGGCATGATCATACAACAAATGATGTATAATTTGGAAATCTACCCATCTTTAACCCCAAAGCTACTTGGCAGTCTTCAAATCAGCTGTAGTCATGGAACAAGAACACCTTCCTCCCTGCCCCCACAGTTTTGTGTGTGTGTGTGTGTGTGTGTGTGTGTGTGTGTGTGTGTGTAGGTTGTTTTTGGTTTGGGTAATAAAACGAAGGTATGCTGTGCCCACAGAAAGGCATGGTCTCTTTTCCTTGTGACGCTTATAGAGGCCTAAGAAGGAACTGTGAGCCATGAAAGAAAGCTGCTCTATAATTATTGGGCAGCTCTTCCAGAGCCTCCGGTTTTCTACCTCTTAGCTACTGAGAGAACTAACATCACAGAGAGAAAACAACTGTAATACTTGAGACCTGGTAAAGCCCTTAACTGCTTTCTCCACTCACTCCTGTAACAGCCAGGCACAGCTAACTTTTCAAACTCTTTTTGGATATAGCTGAGCATAGGAAAGGTAAATACAAAGAAGTAAATACGGACTTCTTTTTTTGTCCTGCAACATTTGCTCTGAGCCACTGAAGAGGTTGTCAATTTCCACTGAAAGAAGAACCAACATGATAAAATTAATTTTGGAGGCTGGGCACGGTGGCTCATGCCTGTAATCTAAGCACTTTCAGAGGCCGAGGCAGGCGGATCACAAGGTCAGGAGTTCGAGACCAGCCTGGCCAACACAGTGAAACCCCATCTCTACTAAAAATACAAAAAATTAGCCACGTGATGGTGGTGTGCACCTGTAATCACAGCTACTCAGGAAGCTGAAGCAGGAGAATCGCACGAACCCGGGAGGCAGAGGTTGCAGTGAGCCCAGATCACGCCATTGCACTCCAGCCTGGGCAACAGTGGGAGACTCCCTCTCAATTTAAAAATAATAATAATAATAATTTTGGTTATAAAATATTTCTATCCTTGGAGGCAGCTTAAGCATTTTATATGGAATGGGCACACAACTGACATTAGTTAAATGAATGAATGAATGAATGAATGAATGAAAAAACACTAAAACTGATTAAAAAAACAACAACACTGAAATCTACAATCATAGTAGAGCCTTTCAGTTTCCACACTGGCTATTTTTACAATAGCCTCCTGTCTTAGTTTAGGTTTCCTGGAAACAGACCTTGAGGCTGTGAGAGTTCTGTGCAGGAGGTTTTTGGAGATGCATCTGTAAGCGACTAAAGGCAACAGTATTGCACAGAAGGAAAAAGCTAAACTATAATGCAGGTTGCAGCAAAGGCCTCAGTGAATGCCTTGGAAACTCTGAAAATGGGATGTCCTTCAAAGATGTACCACATTATGGCAAAATAACCAGGAATTTGTTTCTCTGCATCAACTAGCCATGGGATGATGGCTACCCATGAAAAGTGTCCAACGTGAATGAGGCAGCTCCCATCACTGGAGGGAAGGCTCAGCAGTGATCCTTCAACAGCCAACACTCCCAGGGAATGAGTGCCTTGGTCATGAAGGAGGATCAAGGAGGGCACTATAGCGTACCCTATACTTCCCCTTCTCATTATCAACACCCCTGGCTTCACGGGAGAATTTTCTTTGGCCAGCACAGGTCAAAATAATGTTCATTGTATTTACCCTTTATAGCTGGGACACAGAAAAGACAGGGAGGCCTCCTCTCTTCGACATGCTCACATTTTTTTGAGGCTAGCAAAGCCTCTATTCTAGAGAGACTTGATTCACATTTAATGATTTGGGCTTGTATTACTGGTCAGGAAAACAAAAATCTTAATTAAAAGAGCCTTTTTGGGTTGCAAAAGCAAGTGCTCACACCACCGTAGATATTTAAGAAACCACGGAAGGAAGCTTTGAGGCCATCTAGTCTGGTGTCTCAATCTTTCCTGCATTCTATTTGACATATGGTCATCCAGCCTCTCCTGAACTTCACTTGGTGCTTACAGAAAAGGAAGCCTGTTCTGCTGTTGGGAAACCATGATTGTGAAAATGTCTAAACTTATGCTGAGCACAAGTCTGCCTGCCTTGCAAATGTTATGGATCCTCCCTCTACCCTTCAGAGTTATGCAGAATATGTTTATTATATTTTCTACCTGAGAGCCTTTCAATTTCATCAGCAGAACCCACGATCTCTCTTCACTGTACTAACCATGTCTAATTGCCCAGGCCATTCCTCAGACAGCATGATTTCTAGGCCTCTAACCACACTGGTCCCTCTCCTCTGAACACATTCTTTGTCCAAATCCTTTCTTTGAAAGCGTTACCTAGAAGTGGACATGGACAGGTATCATATCATATTGGCAAGTATGTCATGACAAGTCTTTGCTGTTAACATTCCTTCAGTTCTTAAGAAACCAGTTCATCCCGTGGTATGTACAGAAGTTTGCAAGGTTTCCAGATCTATCATCAAGGCTAGCTTTACATGGTCTAGGGGTCTCAAATGACTCATTCCCAAAAAAGGGGGAGAGATATTTGGGTTTATATTCTTGTTTGTCAACTAGCCAGGAGACACATAAGTTACTTTTTTTAAAATGGCCAATAAATTAAAAACATCAGAATAAGTCTGCAAAATGTCATATCTCATTAATGAATTTATGTACTTTTGTAAAATTACAACTCTTCTAAAGATCAAGGTTATTTCTTGTTCATGCTCACAATCTATAACCATGAATTAATCAAATGATTCATGAGTATCCACTGTGTATGTATAATTATTATTTGAGATGTATGTATGAGTTGGAGGGAATGAGAGAGAGAGAGAGAGAGAGAGGAGAAAATGTGATCCGATAAAAATATATAGTTCTGGTCGGGCATGGTGGCTCATGCCTGTAATTCCAGCACTTTGGGAGGCAGAGGCGAGTGGATCACCTGAGGTCGGGAGTTCGAGACCAGCCTGGCCAACATGGTGAAACCCCGTCTCTACTAAAAATACAAAACTTAGCCAGGTGTGGTAGTGGGCACCTGTAATCCCAGCTACTCGAAAGGCTGAGACAAGAGAAACGCTTGAACCTGGGAGGTGGAGGTTGCGGTGAGCCAAGATTGTGCCATGGCACTCTAGCCTGAATGACAGAGCAAGACTCCATCTCAAAAAAAAAAAAGAAATATGTAGTTCTGAGCTGAGAGAAAGAAGTCATATCTATCCCAATGGTTATATGAATAATATAACCAGAATTTCTGACTAAAAAAACAGGTTGTTTTTGTGGTTCTCCAAGTAGATTCCCCATTTTTGGCTGGTAGTTTTCTCTTCCAACAGCCAACCTTTCATCACCTCTTCTTCCAGACCTGAGATTGCCTCAAGAGAACAAAGCTCCTGGTCTCACTATGGGGTGCTGAGGAGGTGTCGGTTAAATGACTACTAAGCGGCAAATCCCTCTTCTTGATACAAGAAAGAGTTTCCAGATTTATTATATTAAAGATCATTTTATGATCTTTACATTTATCATGATCATTTTATAATCATGATACGTTTATATACCCACATAAACGTACACATACATGCAGAGAACACCCCTAGAAACTACATTTAATAATCGAAAGAGAGATGGTCTAAAGGAAAGGGAAATGGAACAGGTGTTTACATTTAGGAGACAGAGATACACTGACTGTGTGTACTATGAGAATACATTATGTAAAAAGGGGAAAAGAAAGAATAACTTCTTAAAAGGCTTGCTTACCATACAGCCACACAGACTTCCTGTGGCTTCTCACAGATGGAGGTGATGCTGCAGTTGCTCATGCAGGATTTCTGGTTGTCACAGGTGGAAAATCTCACATCACAAAATTTACACAGTTGTGGAAACTTGACTGCACCGTTGTTGTCAGTGACTATCATGTCGTTATTAACTGAGGAGAGAGAAAGATATATTAAATGATTATCCAACTGCCAGGCAGCCTGCCAATGAATTCCTGAAGATGTTATGCAATTTCAAATGAACTTGATGTCATGAGAATGAATCTGAAGAAAGGCAAAATAATTCCTTCACATCAGATTAGAATTATCTGGTGTATGCAATTTGTAATAAAATCCATTGTACCGTGGTGAGGGGTGGTGAGGGGTTGGGGTGGTTGAGTAGCCATTTGCTTTTGTCAATGGTTGTCATAAGGTCCACTTTCTACAAAAATCTTATCATTCAATAAAGAAACCTAGATGGGCCCACTGCATAGTACGGAGTGCTGGGCCCACAAATAAAAGTACCCTTAAGGAAATTATAGTTTAGCTGGTGAATAAGACAGGAAACAGACCAAGTCAGGGTGACCCAAAATAGAGGGCAGCACAGAGGATGTGGGAGCCAGGCGAGCATCACCGCTCAGCTGGGCAGGGAGGCTATAACCTCACAGAGTCATGAAGTGCCACACCAAAGGAGGAACCGTTGCTGGAGGCACAAGATTTTGCCGCCATTTTCCTGACCTACTCCTGAAAGAGCTATAAGGGTCTTCTTTTCAAGGGACTAGTTCTACTGATCTCTCTCTGTGTTTGAGGCAAATCAATTGATTAACTAACACTTACTGAGTGCCTCCTAGACACAATCCCAAGCATTGGTGAGGCATTGGAGTTATGATCGCAGCAAATAAAAGCTGAATCCACCTCAGGATCTGCCTTCTGTACCTCTCCCTTATCACCACCATCACCAATCTCCTGCCCCCTTCTGGGAAGAAGCCAAGTTCATTCCCTCCTCAGGCCTTTCACTTGCTATTACCTTTGTTTAGCTTCCTGTCACTTTTCTGATCTCTGATCAAATGCCACCTCTTCATCCTATAGCAACTCTGTTTTATTTATTGTCTGCACAAACTATCTGCATCGCATACTTGCTAATAATCTATCCACAAAAATGTAAGCTCCATGAAACTTTCTCCACCTCACTTACCTACTATATCTCCAGTGCCAGGAAGAGAACCTTTCACATAGCAGGCATACAAAAATGTTTATTGGATAAATGAGTGAACACAGGATGAATACAAGGAGTCCATGTTTGGCCCTTGATGCCATGTAGGATAGGATACAGAACTTCTTCACTCAGATTAGAGAGGAATGTGATTATAAATGTGATATTCATTCACATTTATTCAATAAAATATGGAAGACAGACTATTCTTTGCAAAATACAGGCTGCAAACTAGGGGCAGTTCAAATAAAGGTGTAACACCCCATTCCCCATTTTCTTCCTCAATGAGATGGTGATGATGTTTAAGACATGAGTTTGGACAGTCAGTGAAGTATGACAAGGCTACTAGGCACTCAACCAGCAAACATGAATTAATACTTACATGCTAGACTAAGAAACATTAAGCACTTAGACCGCATGGGGTGCTGGAACAGTTGCTGGGCCACAGAAAGTTGTGAGGTACTTTTCCAAGGCATAACCCTTAGAGAGGCCTAAGAAAAGCCTCATGTTCCCTCCGCTCTTGCCTAGAGAGGAACACTTTCAATGCCTTTCCACAGTCACTCTCTGTCCTGTGAATTTTAGGATTCTGTCATAGATACTTTGCCCTGCAACTGTCTTTGTAGCTTGGGCATAGCACCTGTTTCCTGGGTCTCTAAAAATATAAACGTATATAAATTTAAGATTTGCTTTCTTGTGGTAACAGTAAATATAGAAGAAAAAAATAAAGCCATTCATCCCTCTCGGGCCTCAAGTTCATTTCAGGAAGTTTATTTTTAGGTAACAAGCTATTTTGAAATTCTCAGTGTCTCCCAGACCAAGAGCTCTATGCTTAGCTAAAAATATAGGCAGAAATACTCTCTGAACTGTGTGAAATTTGGGAGAAACACAACAATTAATATGTATTTTTTTCTAACATGGTTATACTTGGATCAATTTTTGAAACAACTAATAACACTTTAGGTTTCTTTAACATTGTTTAAAGCAAAAAAAAAGTGAAACCACGTTTTGTTTATTTCATACATACGTATTTTTTGTATAGAGTATGTTTTGGACAAGCATCTATTTGCTGATTAGGAAGGTTTGTTGTTTGTAAATATAAAACCAAATTTCCATTACTTGAAATTCAGTCTTCCAACATCTTAGGATTTTAGCTTAGATTGGTGGTTATCAACTTGGAGAGCATGTTGAAATCCATCACCTGAGGAAATTTAAAAAATACTGAAGGGGTCCCACTCCCAGATAGTCTGATTTAATTTTTCTGGAAGGTAACTGAGGCATCAGGATTTTTAGAAGCTGCCCAGATGATTCTAATGTGGAACCAAGGTTGAGAACCCAGACCTATAGTTAGTTGGAAAAAACACAATAAACAGAAAACAAAACAGCAACCCCCCCACTCCCACCCCACCACCACAAACACATATACAACTTATGCTGCTGAGGGGACAGCACCTGGATATAGCTGGAATTAGTTCCCTTGTGAAAAACATGCACCTAAGGAGAGGTGATTAGCTCTTTCACACCTCAGATAGAAATTCTTCTCCGTGCTGGCCAGTCCTTTTCTAGCAAAACCTTAGAAACGTGAGAATAGTGACAGGAGTGAGCAGCGATAGATAAGACAGAAATGAAAACAGATGAGATGGGTGCTGGGAGCAGTGGTGGCCACAGATGTATTGACAAATGCAAGTGGTTTAAGTCCGATGCTTGCAGAACACAATCAACAGGGAAAAGAAAAAAGGACCATTAGAAGAAAGAAAGGGAGAGAAAGGGAAGAAGGATGTAGGGAGAGAGAGAGGAAGGAAGGGAGGAAGGGAAACAAGGAGGGAGGGGGAGGAGAGAGAAAGAGAGAGAAGGTCCACCAATTTGCACAGCTCCAGGAGCACCACTGTAACGGGGCCCCTGGCGAGATATAATACATGTTACTTGATGGGTAGACCCAACAAGAGAAAGCCTTTCCATTGAATGTTGAAGAAAAGCCAAACAAGCAACTGTACTGCATATAGACACAGGCATATGGTGGGAAGGGCAGTGTACAATAAGAATTTGCACATGCTGAGCACCCACTGTATATGAGGAAAGTTGCCTAAGATACAGCATATTACTTCACAAGAACCCAGCCAGGGATGCCACATTTTTCTCCTTGTTACAGCAGAAGCTACCACTGCAAGAGCTTAACCAGAATTTTTTTTCAAAAGCCTGTATGCAGGACATGTTCAGCACCAGCCATCGACTCCCTATTAGTTGACCCTAGGAGACTCCCCACCTTAACAATTCCAGGTAGCCCTTGAGGTCATATACATTCCAACCTTTGTTTTAAACCAGTATTCTTTTCCTCTATATGATATAGGTCCTCAGGTCCTTTTATGCATACCATATGTACTGGTGGAATAGGTAGTTAAGTTCAGAGGGCAAAGCTACTCTAAACCTTTGCTGGAGTCACCTAAGTTTGATAAAAGCCTTATGAACACACTTTGGAGTTGGGGAAAAGAAACAAATACAAAATTTGTAGATCATCTGAGAAGGTTTGCAGATTCTCTGAGGCCCGTAAGATCCAGTTAAGGCATCCCAAGCCAACCCCGGAATCCTCAAGAGTCACTAATAACATGCTAAGTGGTATACTGCTGGTCAGAGTGGGATGAGGGCCAGTGGGAGGGAAGGGTAACAGTCATTTGCTGTATGGGACATTGCATCTGTGCACTCCAAACCACAGGAAAAGATGTTACCAGCCACGACCTCAGATATCAAACAACATCTCCTTACGTTTAATACATAATGTTTAAAAAGCCAAAGGAATGGGAAGGAAAGTAAGTGCATACATGTGCATAGCTAGGAATAAAGATATTCCTCTAAACAACGATACAAAACCCACCTAATTAACCCTATAGCAAACCCTAACCCAACTTCAACATTACTTTTAATCCAGATTGTTATATTAGTCTAAGTCTCTCTAGTTAAGATATTCTTATATTAAGGCAGTATATAGTCAGCCTTCTGTATCTGTGGGTTCCACATCTGCGGTTTCCATCAACCGTGGATGCAAAATATTTTTTTAAAAAAATTGATGATTGTGGCTGTACTGAATTATGTACAGACTTTTTTCTTGTCATTATTCCCTAAGCAACACAGTATAACAACTATTTACATAGAATTTACATTGTATTATGTATAAGTAATCTAGAGATGATTTAAAGGATATGGGAGGATGTGTGTAGGTTATATGTAAATATTACACAATTTTATATAAGGGAGTTAAACATCTGTAGATTTTGGTCTCCTCGAGGAGTCTTGGAACCAATCCCCCATGGGTACCAAGAGATGACTGTACTTCGATTCCTATAGACTCTCTGTGAGCAGCTAACCATCTTTAGAGAATTTTCTACCCCTAATAGGCAAATTCGTTATTCATAAAGTTCTCCAGAAAGAAGTTCCAATAAGAATATCTGTCACCTAGAAAGCCATCCACTAAAGGAAGTGAACATGGGTAGCATCTCTCAGCATATGATAGTATCACATGGCCCATAATATTTCACTTCTCTTCAAATAAGCCCATGAGTAATATCAAAACCTTCACTCTAGGTCATACCACCTTCCCCATTTTATCTCACATTTTCCCCACACTCACTGCCTACAGACAGAGGTTCCAGGTCTTGAGAATATGAATTGACTGCTTAGCTGTGTCTATTTCTGGAACTGTACTATTGTCTTTGAGGGTCAGATGAGCAGCCTAATAAGATTTAGACTTATTTCAGATAAATATTAGAAATTCTGAATATGACCTTAGTCCAAATCTTTGAAATAGTGTCTATTATTAGCTGAACCATTAGGTAAAATCTCAAGGTTTAACAATAACCATAAACACTTGTCAGAAATGCATTCATGTATCACTGAATTCATGCATTCGTGTATCATTGAATTCATGTATCTACCGACTGTTGTTTTCTGGAGTGTTTTTTGTGGGGGGAAACTCAGAAATTTATTTGTTCTACAAATACCTGTGGATGTCTTGATTAGTGTTATATATTCATAGTAAGACCACTGAAATTGACACAATTAAATAACATCTCAAAGAATAATCCATGGAAACTGGTGGATAGAATTTACTGTTTTAGAGTACTGCTTCTCAAATATTAATACACAAGTACTTTGGGAATATTTTTAACCTGCAGGTGTAGCATAGTGGTATTGTGGGGGCTGGCAAGTCTGAAATTTATAGGGCAGACTGGCAGCCTGGGAACTCAGGCAGAAATCAATGCTGCAGTTTTGAGGCAGTATTTTTTCTCTCAGAAACCTCAGCTTTTGCTCTTAAGGCTGTTCAGTTGATTGGATGAGGCCCACTCACATTATAGAGAATGATTTCTTTTACTTAAAGTCAAATGATTTTAGCTGTTAATCACATCTACAACATACCTTCACAGCAACAATGAGATTAGTGGGCACCAGAACCTAGCCAAGTACACACGAAACTGACCTTACAGATAGGAAGGGAGCTGCTGCCCTGGGTGATGCCAGCCCACTATATGTTGAGTGGGAAGGCTGTGGAGAACCCAGTTTTTAATAATTGTTTCCCTTTCTCCAGTCATTTTGGAGTTAGTGAAATTAAATACCTATTCTTCACCTTTTTACAGGCATTTCTCATCTTCCAGTTCTTTCCATATGCTTTTCTCTTGAGCCTGACCTCTTAAATGATTGCAAACCCAGAGGCCCTGATCACCATATGGGCCCAGAATTGAAAGACATGTTCTCTGAAAGGAGGTTTTTAATTGCCTGCAGCATTTCCGAGTCAGATACTGAGGCAGCCATCTGGCAGAAAGCCGCTGTGGCCTGTGATGCTAGCAACAGCAGCTCCGACCCTTGAGACAAGGTGGGACAAGGCTATTGGCTAGTCACACACTTCCTCCCACCCAGAACAAAGAAGAAAGTCAAGCAATCTGAGAGGATTCCCTGTATAATTCTTCAGGAAAGACATCCCCAAGCCAATCAGATACCTTGGCCAATTACTACAACCAACCAACCAACCAAACAAACACCTTGTGATTAAACCAAAGATAGGAACATTTTAGGAATAGTTCTTTTTGCTGAACATCTATTGCACACTCTAATTGGAACTTCTAATACAATACCTTCTTTTTAGTTTTTAAAAATGTGTTTGAACCCTAATGCTTTATCTAATTATACCTTGAGAGAAGAGAGGTATCGGGCTTTCCTTCAACTGACAGTCCACATGGTCTCTGGGGTACCAAGGTCAATACTAGAGATACCATCATTTAGCTAACAGGGAGACTATGGCGTGTGCAGGAAGAAAACAGAGACAAGTGACCTGAAGGCATCAATTCTCCTTCTTATGCAAATATTTTTGTAGTAATAATACTTTAAAACCTTTCAGAGATGACAAAGTGAATACTCTAAAATCTCTGTGAAATGACAATGCCTTATAATTCTTGCTTTTAAATAGTAAGTATTCTACAAGTGCCAGAAGAATTAATGCCATTTAAAATCATTATCAATGCTTATTGGAAACAAATAACAAATCATATGAGTTCTCTATATTGTGTTAAAAAAACGCTACTTTAAATATTACTTCCTGATCATATCACCAGAGAATAAGCTCTAAAAGCGAAGCATGTCAACCTCATTGCTAACAAGTGAAATGCAGATTAAAAATGCATACCATATTTCACCTAACTCATTTTGAAAAAGATCAATAAGTCAGATAACACAGTGAGCTGGGTAAAGTATGGGGAAACAAACATTCTCATAATGCTGTGTTGTAAACAGGTATAACATCTCAGGAGTACATGTTATTGATATCAATCAACACTGCAAACGCAAATAGCCTTTTGCCTCGCACTTTCGCTTCTAAAAATTTATGATATTCATTGATAAATTCGCTGCAGTGTTGTTTGTAAGGACAAACAGGTTTTTTTTTTAACCACTCATCAAGAGAAGACTAGTAAAATAAATTAGACAAATCCAAACAAGGAACACAACGCAACGACTAAAAAGCAGAGGGCAGCTCCATGTGGCTATCTTTATAAGTGTTGAAGCCCAGGCTATAGCATTCAAGAAAATAAGCAAGGTAGAGACCAATGTATAGAGTTACTTGGGCTGGGTGTCTTCTATTGCCCTTAGAGATCAGTTCTCCACCCTTGGTCACCAGACTGTCTGCCCCAGGAGGCTCATCTTTATGGACTACATCAACCGGCTCTCTTGCCCTCAAGCTTCCAGTAAGTTTGGCCAATGGGGTGACCCAGCGGTATCTAAGGGAAGCAATGAGGAGCACATTTAAGGTATCTGTGTTCTGGCTCCCTCTGTGGAATCTTTTCCAGCTGGCCAAGTCCCTCACTTGGAGGTCACAGGTTCTCTTCAGGAGGTCATTTCCAAGATTTACTTCTTCCCTCTCCTTGCCACTTTGGGCCTAGCAAGTCAACATAGCAATTACTAGTCCTAAGTATCTGCACTATGGTTTCTCCCATTTTGTGGTGGTTTCCCTTGACTCTATCCATACCTTTGTAAGTACTTGTTTTACTAAACTCTCCTTAAATCTCCCTAATTTGAGGGTGCCATCTGCTTGCAACTGGAACCCTGGTTGACACACCACCATTTCTGTTTTGTTGTTATTGCTTTTATTGCTTTTTTTTTTTTTTTTCAGACAGAGTCTTGCTCTGTCACCCAGGCTGGAGTGCAGTGGCGCGATCTCGGCTCACTATAAGCTCTGCCTCCCAGGTTCACGCCATTCTCCTGCCTCAGCCTCCCGAGCAGCTGGGACTACAGGTGCCCAACACCACGCTTGGCTAATTTTTTGTATTTTTAGTAGAGACGGGGTTTCACCGTGTTAGCCAGGATGGTCTCGATCTCCTGACCTCGTGATCTGCCCACCTTGGCCTCCCAAAGTGCTGGGATTACAGGCTTGAGCCACCACGCCTGGCCTGTTACTGCTTTTTAAAGGGAATACACACACACACACACACACACACACGTGCACACACATGCATGCTTATATATTTAGACGGTCTCTGGGAGTAGATGCAAGGACATGAGAATCAAACATTATTTGGCCCTGTAAAAGGAAAATAAATAGGTAGAAAACTGAGGTTGAGAAGCAACTTTTTATTTCATACCCTTCTGTTACTTTTGAATTTTCTATTATTTTTCTGTACTTAAAAAATGTTTTCATTATAAATGAGCAAATGCAAGGCAGATTCTGTCATGGCAGATGCATGCAGCTTTCATTCAAGTGACAGCCCCACATAGCCTCTGGGCACCAGGATCAGAAGTGGAGAAACAATACCTAATAGGGAGACCACCATGTGGGCAGAAAATAAAGAGATAAGCTCAAAAGCATCAATTTTCCTTTTCATGCACATGTTTTTGTAATACTAATATAGTTTTTAAAACCTGTCAAGAATGACATAATCAATACTCTAAAATCTCTTAGAGCAGGAAATAATTCTAGTAAAATACCTAGTACGGGCCGGGTGCGGTGGCTCACGCCTGTAATCCCAGTACTATACACACACACACACACACACACACACACACACACACACACACACATACATATATATTTTCACACTGAAACTACCTACCATCTGGCCAACAATTAAGGATATCAAATGTCTGGGATACTCTCCACACAACAAGACATCTAAAACAAACACCAGGTTGGTCCCTACCCTCCTATGGCTTATATTCTAGTTTGAGAGGCAACATTAACAACGGCAACCTCATGTGAATCAGTTACTTGCCTTTAAATGCAAACATGAGGTCAGAAATGGAGACAGAGCTGATACGGGAAGTGTGTGTGTGAGTGTGTGTGTTTATGCATTTATGTGTGTGATTTCCTCATTTGGACTTGTTCAACTGAGGGAATTTAGCTTTGTAGGTTTGAGTTTCACTAGCATTTTGGCTCATGAATTTAGTAGTTTGCTATGATTGCTTTAAGAAAACTGCATAAACATAAATTTGTATTTACCAAACAAATTAAGGGATTAAGGAATGATTACTTGTGTCTCAAATGAATTCATCCAATGAGGTACTTTAAATTGAAATCTTGGCTGTACCTTTAAACTCAAATTTTTTTAAATGCAATTTACAAGGAAGTTTTTTTAGTCTTCTACGGAATGAAACAAGCTGTAGCTGAACGGAAAAATAATTGGCTTTCTCCAGTGACAAACATAAAATAACTGAGCTGGAATTTCAATTGCATCCTTTCCTATTTAACACTTACCAGCCCCAATGACCCCAAATAAATCCTAAAAATGCATACTTGGTTTTCTTGCTTTCTTGTATCATTGAAGAATGAAGTACAATTTGAGTCCCCCCAACGCTTGCTGAATTTTCATTTATTTTTCTGTTTTTTGTTTGTTTTTGTTTTTAGTGGCAGGGGACCTCTCTGAGATACAGGCCACATAACAGGAGACAAAATCTAAACATTTAAAATGACTCTTGCAGGTGGAAATATCTACACATTGTTGCCAAAGGCAGTATTTCAGAATTCTAGCACTTGTGCCATATTCAAAAAGCTGAAACAATTGTAACTTTCTCAATCATGCTCTTTCAGCTCTAATAGGACCCAGTGAATAAAACAAATTTCTGAAAGCTGGGGAGAAGCAAGCAGTTTATAGTAAATACTGTCATCAATACATGAAATTCTTAAGTTTTTCATTGATAAAGCTCACTTTAACAGTGCCTTTATCTGGCAAAGACTGACTGCAGGGACTATGAGATGAGTCAAAAACCAGAATGTAGGGTTTGGGGCTGAGAAGAACAGGAAGCCAGTTAAAAAAGTTAAGCCATATAAATGCAAATGGTATATTAGATCAAGTGAAAGAGTAGAATGGAGCACTATTTCATGAACTCTCAAAATAATAACTTTATGCCTCTGCTGAGAAGTGCTTTAAAGTTGGTACTTTACCTAAAGTGACAGCAACTGAGAAAACAATTCTCCCTCAGTTGACAGGACTTGGAGTGCTGTAGCAACAAGGAAATAATTTATTATTGAAAATAAAAGATGATTAAATAACTCTCTTGGTGATGGTCAAAACATTGGTAAATGGCACAGACTGATAGAGGCAAGATAATGATACACGACTGACGGAGTTTTACAACATTCCAATTCAACTAAAGTAATTTGTTACTTACCAGCAAAATTAGTCAACCTAAACGAAAATGTGCTGCTTTCTGACAGCCCTCATATTTAAACCCTTGAGGGAAGGGGGACAGGATAAGACATGGTCCTTTCCTCAAGATCTTTAAGTTCTTCTAGGGAATTTTTAAAAATGCACGAAATGATTTTCATCAAAAGAGCTTTGGAAATAAGGATGGTCTAAATGAAGATGTGCTTTTTAATTAAGTTATTCATTTAGGATTTAAACAATTCTTTATCTCAAAGTACTGAGGCAGCTTAATGGAAAATGCAGAAACTAACACAAAATCTGGTAAGAACAGATTTTTAAAAGATAGTGACTATTAGAGAATCTGAAAAATCAGCCCCTGAAATGAACCATTTGCCTCAACTAAGCATGGGATTTGGTCCGAATATCAATGTTCTGTGAGAGCAGAATTTTCACTGATAAATTTCTCCGTGGAGGCTTTTGCTTCAGTTTTTCAAAATATGCTGCGGGGTTCTTGTGCATGCCTGGTACCTGAAAGGTTTTTCAATTACAGTTTTATTAAACATGTGAAAATATTGGTCAAAACAGATGATTTCCATATTTTCTCTGGAAAAGGGCCAGAGTACTACCATATTTGGGAAAGGCATCCCTTTAAAAAGTAATATAACGAGGTCCAAGGCGCTTGGTTTCTAACAACCAAATAACTTGGGCACAGACTGAGAAGCTAAAGCAGAAATTGCTACAGTGGGTACAAGAGCTGGACACAGAGCACAGATGTGTTCTGTTTGGCCTGAACTCTTTTCTTTTTAAAATATAAACCAAGTTTTAAAATTCAGAGATTTCACATGCAAAACTGGTTTTCTAATTCCACTTAAAGAAATAAAAAAGACTTGGAAACAGTGGGCCCACACCATCCCAAGACAACAGTCAGCTGACTGTGAGCTGAGATGCTCCTCTTGAGAAAGTCTCTGTGTCCTCAAATTTGCCTCCTCCCTGACACTCCTTCATGTCACCTACTCCCCTGCCAGGCCCCTGTGGCCACCTGAATGTTTACAATTAATGATTATTTCACCTGCACATTCAATTCTCTCTTCTAATATTAGGGTTTAACTAGAATGCAAAAAGTCATGATTTAACTCTCTAATATGAATATTTTTAACATGCATGTAATTCTCTAATGTGTATAATCACATTTCAGTTCAAGGCCAGAGGACATCTACTTTAGAAATCAGATCTATGTGATGTTAATAATTATTATTACCATGATCATGATTTATCGAATGCAGACCAAATGCTTAGTCCAGTATTAAGTACTGTGATGATTATTTCATTTACTTATCACAACCACCATGCAATTTTGTCATTAACATTTTATAGATGGAGAAATTAAGGGTCAAAGAGATGAAATAACTTATCATATCATATCAATGAGAGAAAGCAAATAAAAGACAAAGCCAATGGTGACACACAAGCCCTCATCCTTCCTGATACTCCACAATGAAATAGATATTCCATCAAAAAGTTTAAGAGTAGAACTTTACACACATTCCAGTACAAGGCAAAGACACAGGTGTGACTACTAGGAGTTGAAGAAAGTATACAAGGGGTGGGGAAGCAATAAGTTTCTTAGACAAAAGCTTTGGTTCTTTGTAATTACTTCACTTATTTTAGGAGACATATATAATAAGGTCAGCTTGGTGAAGCCCAAGAGTTTTAAGGTAAAAACTTGAGTGTGAATTCAGGCTCTTACATGTATTAGCTGTGGGCCACTTAACTTCTTGAAACCTCCATTTCCTGATTTATGAAATCGTCCCATGTAGGATCATGATGAAGAGCAAACATGCTTGAAGTACCTGTGAAAATCCTCTAGACAGTAAAAAATGCCACACAAGCATTCACTTGCTAGAAAGGTAACATTCCATGCAATGCTCTCTCACACCAAAGAAAATTGCAGGAAACAAATGACAAGATAAGTATGAGTTTGGTAAATCTATTCCTACTCATCAATAGAATGTAGCAGTTTGATGACTTCTAAAAAACCTTTCAGGAAATTTGAATGAATAGACAAATTGAAATATAATAATTTTTTGTTACCACTGTGCCCTGATGCTTTCAAATATACAATGGAATCAATCATCGTTACAATAAAGTTGCCAAGAGTGTTTAGGATCTAGAACCAAATAATCTGGTTTTGAAATATTGTTCATAACCAGCATAGGTCTGGCAAACAGGCAGTAACTTGAGAATCCAGTTCAATTTTCAAATCCTCTGCTTACTCCTGCACATTTATCAGGCGAGAGCTGATCTACTTTGGCTTTGAGACACTTAGTGTGTTATTTCGCAACATGCTAATAAAATTAGTAAGTTTGACATGCAGAGATGGGAAGGCAATGATGTGTCTTAAGATTGTGGAATTCTAAAATATTGAAATAAAATCATGTTTGGCTTACTTTTCAAGGAAATAAAACTGCTGTACTTTCATTCACAGCTGATGAAAGAATTACAGAAGAATATGGGCAACAACAATTGTAGTAGATTTTTAAGTACCTAGTTAAAAAGTGTTCTGGGCCATCCAGATATATGGAAAGCAATATTCCTTAATCTTCTCTCCTGGAGCTCATTTGCTCACGTAAAAGTTAATTATAAAACATTGCTATATGACTTCTACTGGAGGAGAATTCACCATGCTGGGAATGGCAGCAGGTTGCAGTGGAGAAGGCTCTGAATCGACCATGAGGGGGCTTTGAGTTCAAGGGCAATTACCCAACCACTCTCTGTGCCTGTTCTCCAACCAGTCAAACAAATGGGTTGGACATGATGAACTTAAAGGTCCCTTTCATTTTGAAAAATGACACAAAAAGGACAGAAAGACACATTCAGATTCACTTTGGTTTCTAAGATAACACCAAACACTTTGAAACTTCCCCCTTCATGTTTTTCAAGCAGAGGAAGTAAAAAAAAAAAAAAAAAAAAAAGAAAGAAGTTGCAAGTATTGTTAAGGCTTCTAGAAAGGACAACAAAGGGCAGGAAATTTGAAACAAAATCTGAGAATCTGCCCTTAAACTGGGCAATTTTGCTTGTTTTCTCACAGTGCAGTTAGATGAAAAAGTGTAAGGTTGATCTTCGCCTTTCCTGGGCATTACTCATTGCTGTCATGACCTTGATGCAATTTGCAGTAAACATCATAAAGGTCTCTCTTGTGGTGAGTAGCTGCAACTTTTCTGATGCTACCTCCTGTGATTAAAATATCTACTCCCGGCCTGGCACGGTGGCTCACGCCTGTAATCCCAGCACTCTGGTAGGCCGAGGTGGGTGAATCACGAGGTCAAGAAATCAAGACCATCCTGGCCAATATGGCGAAACCCCGTCTCTACTAAAAATACAAAAATTAGCTAGGGCTTGATGGTGCGTGCCTGTAGTCCCAGCTACTCAGGAGGCTGAGGCAGGAGAATCACTTGAACCCAGGAGACAGAGGTTGCAGATGGCCAAGACTGTGCCACTACATTCCAGCCTTACGACAGAGCAAGACTCTGTATTTAAAAAAAAAAAAAAAAAAAAAAGGCTACTCCTTTCCAAGTCCTAGCAATCCCACTAAGGTTGGTAACTTAGTCTGTTTGGCTGCCATACAAAATATGTGAGACTGGGTGATTTATAAAGGACAGAAATTTTTCACAGTTCTAGAGGCTGACAAGTCCAAAATCAAGGCACTGGCAGTTCTGATGTCTCGTAAGAGCCCCCTTTCCTGCTTCCAAGATGGTGCTTTGTTGCTGTGTCCTCTAGAGAGGACCAGTACTGTGTCATCACATAGCAGAAAATGGAAGGGCAAAAGGATCCAGGCTGGTTACCTCCAGCCCTTTTATGTGGGACTAATCCACTCATGACTTAATCACTTCCCCCAAATCTCCGTCTCTTGATACCACCACAATGGGGATTAAGTTTCAACATAAATTTTGGAGGGGAGACATCAGCCACAGTAGTTGGTGAGAAAAAAGGACAGTATTTACATAATGACAGTTGTCAATGGGCTGTGGAAAAGTCAAGATAGATTCCAGCAGTGATTTTAAGATGGAAAATGAGAACCATGCACACAGTCTTCAAGGTGCAATCTTCCAACATAGTTCTGGAACACAGCTGGCTCCTTCCATCCATGGGGAATGACCACATTTGTGTGCTGAAATAACATTTAGTACTAGAGATAAAACTGGAATAAGTGATCTAAACTTTGAAATGTTTTGAATGACCTTTGGCTACAAAGTCAAATTATAATGCTTTCTATTTCTTAAGACAACTCTTTATGGAAGTTCTAGTATGTACCTAACTTTGGCACCTTAGATTTGCCCCACACTGAATCTTATCTATTAAACCTATCTCATTCTGGGGTGAGAACCCAGATGTGTAAAATCGTATGGCCAGAGGTGACTGAGAAGTGCATTTTGACTATGTTTCATAGTCTTTTATCCATCTTAGCATAATCTTTTTACCAGCACCAGTGGAGTTGTGAACTCGCTCAATTTCTTGTGATGTCCAGTGTAAAAATGTATGCCTATAAATGTAACTCTTAGAAAGAGAAGCAAAAATGAGAAACCATGGGGGAGGAGGGGAGGAAATGACAAGCACAGTCTGTTTTTAGGACACTGTACTTGCTGTTCCCTCCAACTAGAATGCGCTTAACCCAGAGATCTGCCTTCTTCATCCCGATTTCATACCAATTACTGCTCAAATATCACATTATCAAAGATGCCATTCTTGACAACCGCTTCTAAAATTACAAGCATCTACCATTGTTCTCAGACCCTCGCGCTGTACTTATCTGCTGACATGTTGATAGAATCTTGTTTATTAGCTTGTACACATGGACTTTAATTCACTCTGTATTCCCCAAATCTCAAACATTGGCTGGCACACGGTGGTTGGTACTCTATAAACACTTGGTGATGGCTTTCCTATCCCTAAGTCCTCCAAAGCCAAGTTTCATACCTCTTCCTTAAGTTCCAAAGGAAACCTTATCTGCAGAAAATTAATGCATATTTGCTGTTGCTGGATAAAGAATAAGGATATAGTCACAGAGAAAAAAGGACATGTTGAGGCCAGGTATGGAGGGTATAAACAGTTGGTGAAGAGTTTTAAGCTCAAGGCCTAGCCTGTCTAACTTAGCAATAAAAGGAAGTCAGTTCTGAAGTCAAAGAGAGTTCTTCTTTCCCCACTGGGAGGAGCTGGTTCATGAAAGTGGAGGGCCAGAGCCAAGAGAACTCTCCCAAGACACATTGTTCAAAAGTCAAGGGCATAATCTAGATAGAGCTACACAGTAGCCATGAGGACACATGGATTTATAAATTTAAATTAACTAAAGTTAAATGAAATCATACATTCAGTTCCAAGTCAGACCAGCCATTTTCAAGTGCTTAATAGCCACATGTGGCCAGGAATAGACAGGATACTTTCATCATTGCAGAAAGTCCTATAGGACAACACTGATCTAAAGAAATTCAAAAGGACCTGCGTTCCTCGGCTTCTGAGGAGATCTGAAAACGAAGGCCCAGAGGGAAATGGAAGGAGAAGCAGGGCAGAGCTTGAAAAGTAATCGCATTGGAAAGGGCCCTGACTGCTGGCTTGGATGCCTTGTGTAATTAAAGTTCTATCCCAACTTCTTAAGGAATGAGTCTCGTATTAAATGACTGGCTGTCTGTAGTGTCACTGCTGAGGTAGGGAGAGAAGACAATTAGGGACAAGGAGTAGTGTTCCATGGAAAACACGTTAGCTATGAGTGGCAGCAGCAAAAGGTCTCAGAAGTGAGAGAAATGGACCCAACTAGGTTTGCAACAAGCTGAAACCTGTAAAGGCTCATGTCAGCTGGCACAACCTCTCAAAATGCAAATCCCTGAGCCCAAGATAAATGTAAGGCTCGTCTGACTCCTAAGGTATCAAGTAATTCTTATTAAGCCCCATTTCAATGACTGAAACCTAATGCAGAGCCCAGGCACACAGATTAAGTTTCCAGTCAAAGCCCACACAAGCCTAAAGAAAGGAAATTAACATTTTAGAGAAAAAAAAAAAAAAAAAAAAAAAAACCCACAGGCTTTTTCAAAGGCTTTTTTTTTTTTTTGGAGGATTTAAGTCACAGCATGCCAAATAAAGGTGAGTTTCTAGGAGAATACAGCACAGAGGTGACCAAGGTGGGTGAAATTTATTCACAGGGGAAAATCCAAATGCCTTCAGGGAAACCACTTTTGCAGGGTTCTTCTGATAAATACTGAACCCAATTAAAAGCATCCCTTCAGGGCAAGTTTTCTCCTAGGAGATTTCTATTGGCCGCTTTAACTTCCCTTTCCCCAGAATTTCCAGGAGAAGTTTGTAACGGTTTATAATCCCTACCACTCCATGCTCATAGACTTTAAGCATATTTTTCTCCCACAAGGCAGTACTATTTTTATAATCCTTTTAAGATTAAAACTAAAAACACAGATGATTAAAAAAAAAAAAAAAAGGCCTGGCTGCATCCTCCTACAATAAAGTATTATAATTGCAGTGCACTACTAAGTAGTATTTCCACAAACATTAGACTATCTGGTTTCCAGGACAAAGAAACAGCCTATAATTCCAAAGCACAGGAATGGAAAAGTACAAGTAATTTAATCTGTCCCACTGTGATTATAGGTGCTAAGAAATTACCTGAACGGACCTCTTTGGGACTTGAGAAGAATGGGGACTTTAATGATGCTCCATAACTGCCCTATTCATTATGATACCCAAGAGCCACCTGTGGCTATTTAAATTCAAGTTAACTGAAATAAAAATATATCTATATTTGAAATTCAGTTCCTTATTTGCACCTGCTACGTTTCAAGCCACATGTATCATCTAAGATGGTCTCAGACCCACTGTTCAATAGAACTTCCTGCAAAGGTGAAAATATCTTATACCAGTGCTGTCCTTAAACCTTAACACAGCCCAGGTATAAGATATTTTCATCTCTGCAGAAAGTTCTATTGAACAGTGGATCTAAGACCATCTTAGAGAGATAATTACATAATTTTTCCCAATTTCATAATAGAGATTATGAAGTAACAGCCTCCAAAATACAGGGTTTTTAGGCTACTGGCTACCTTCTACACTCAGGTGAACTTTTTGTAGTGGTTTACACATGTGTACCAATTGCCCTCATCTCCCCAGTTTCAAGTACATTAAAATGGCATTAGATGTAATAAAATACATGCCACTGAGACTCAGCTCAATTGAAACTTGAGTTTCTTCAGAATTCCAAACGATGGTGCATCTCTTTCTGAAACCTGAAGTGGGGACTTGTCAGGAAAATGTCTATGAGGGAGGCCTAGGAAAAAGAAGGCATTTTCCAAAATTAATAAATTTATTTCCTTGTTTTTTGTCACACCTTATTCCAGAGGTGTCTCTAGGCTACTGTGTGCGGAACGAGGTCTGGACAGAACCTAATGATAAATTGGGGGATACTGAAAGTCCTGGCACTCTAAGGAGCTTCCCCACACATCTTTAGATTTTTATTTCCCATGTGGGAAAAAAAGAAAGGGATTTCCTATCTTCCCATCACAAACTCCTGGCTTTGCAGTGGTTTTATTACGTCATTCCCCTACTTACAATCTGCCAGTGACTCAGAGAATTTAGCCCAAACTGGCACTTAAGGCTCCCATAATCTGATTACCTTTCTGCTGAATAACTCCTTTTATCAGAAACCCTTTGACCTGATAATTGCTGGCTTTCCTACCACCAAAATTTCTACCTCCCTACCAGATCTATCAGGTGGATTTTAAGGTCAAGAAGAGCATGCCCAAGGCAGCCTGCTCAGCCCCTGGAAGGAGTTCAGTGCCTTCACTGTTGGCTGTGAGGTTTACGTGATGGAGGGAAGAGACTCCAAGAATGGTGTCTGAAAGGATGCCTGGTGTCTGATGCTGCCCCTCAGGAGTGGTCCAAGGTGGTTCAAATACTGCCTGCTTTGGCCATGGCTGACAGAGCTGAAGAACTGCCTCTATATGGTGTGTGGACACACACCCCAGGCAGCCACTTGCCGGCTTCCCTCTGTTTCCTTGAAGGAAGTGGAGTAGCATGGCCCTGGGGCTAACAAGTGAACAATAGTGCCTGCCTTAAATCATACCCAGCCTTTCAGACCCAGGTCAAGTGTTTTCTCTTTTGGAAAATCATCCATTCCCCCCACTACCAGCCCCACCAAGAGTACTCTGCCTCCTCCGGTTTTGGTTTTTAACCATCTTTACTGTGAGGTATGCTTTTAGATAGGCCTGTATTTGCTCTGTTCTGCAGATGAGTTTCCAAAACCTTCTAAAACCTTGCTCATATTTGTTATGCTGGATTTAAAGTCAACAGATGGGAGTTTTCAACCCAGTAAATGGAATTTCTTTGCTGTGGGAAATCAAGTACTTTGACCTCTCTGGTGAAATTCTTCATTTGTAACCTCACTGGGTTAGGCTAGATTAGTGTTTCTCAACATGGTTCCACATCGGAATCATCTGGGGATCTTTTAAAACAATAATGATGCCAAAGTCCTACCCCAGGGCAATGAGTCAGAACTTCTAGGTGCTTGGCTCAGGCTTTGGAATTCTTTTAGAAGTTCGCAGGTGATCCTAACGTGCAGCCAGGGTTAGAAAAATAAACTGAGTTCAGGAAGGGACTTATGCTACATGGACTGGAGAATTCAATAGGAAAAAATGTAGTAGTTAGAGATGGGGCATGGTAGTACTGGACAGAGGCAGTCAGGCCCATAGGTGTTGCTTCTCATCTTTGCCTTGAGCTGTAACTAGAAAAACTGCAAACTGCATTATAACCAGAACATTATTATATACATATACATGTACAATCAAGCCCAACCCAATTAATTTTCTCATATGACTCAAACTCTAGTACCATTTGGAGATGAGGCAGGAATCATAAACATAATTGGCTGCAGGGCATTTAGTTGCCATTGTATAAATTCTTCCTGAAAAATAATTTTAGATTAATTTTTAAGTGTGGATTTTACAATTTCCTATCTTTTTAAAGGGTGGGAATCCTTTGCCAATTCCCAAGAGGACAATAAGCTTAAAGGAAGATAATGTCTGAAAGATCTGAGGACCAAGTTTCCTGAGAAAGCTGTATTTCTAAAGTTTTGACCCTACAAGGCAACATTAAAAGTAAGTTCAAGGAAACAAATGTGAGAAAGCATATCTCCCTTTAGATAACCTAGCAAAGAAGTTAAGAAGGGAAATAGTTCCTTAGATCAGAATTAACAGTTGTGGATAGCCTTCCCTTCAGAAAATTGCAATGCTAAACAGACGTTACACAAGCAATATATCCCTGCAACTTAATTTCTCTTCCTAGGATCTTTAATATTTTTCTTTTTTTATTCCATTAAACAAATATATATTGAGCATCACCTATCCACCAGATCTGAAGAAACACTATTTTTAATATGTTCAAAATTTGAGTCTTTTCTTGATACAATAACATCTGCCTTAACAGGAATCAGTATGTAAAAATTACAGTTTTTAAAGAATTATATAAAAGGTATTATTCCAGAAGACTTGCTATGGAATCCCTTTTAAAAAGGGCGTTCAGAAAAAGGTAACACTGAAATTTATTACAGTTTGAAGAAAATCACTCCAATTATAAATCCATGAACCCAGTCATTGTTTAATGAAGCTCATCTTTGCTGGAAAATCCCCACTGAGAACAAAGCATCACAATGATCCACACAGTCCTAATCAAGCCCACTGGAAAAATCACCCTGAAGAACACTGGTGGAAAACAGAAAGAAGTCCACACCACAGTGTGAGAGCTAATTTAATGTGTTCTTCAAGAAAAATTAAATAAAACAATATGACTCAATTTTTCTTTTATGTTGCAAGAAAAATAACATTTATATAAAGCTAGTAGTAGAAAAGCAGAAGTATAGCTTAGCTTTCTATGATGGCAAGTGAAATAGTTTCTGCTAATCAAAGTGATTCTTTTTTTTTTTTCCTTTGAGACGGAGTCTTGCTCTGTCGCCAGGCTGGAGTGCAGTGGCACGATCTCAGCTCACTGCAACCTCCGCCTCCCAGGTTCAAGTGATTCCCTTGCCTCAGCCTCCCGAATAGCTGGGACTAGAGGCACGTGCCACCACGCCCAGTTAATTTTTGTATTTTTAGTAGAGACGGGGTTTCACCATGTTGGCCAGGATGGTCTCAATCTCTTAACCTCGTGATCTGCCCTCCTCGGCCTCCCAAAGATCCGGGATTACAGGTGTGAGCCACCGTGCCTGGCCATCAAAGTGATTCTTAGCCATTTTCTTTGAAAATGTCAGTCATAGAGGTAGGCTCTGTTGCTCTTCAATGTATACCTTCTTTTATATAAAAGCAATTTGACTAAATATTAGATGTCTGTGTGAGTCGTGTTCTGCTACTCAAAACACTTCTTGTTCTGTTCTTCTCTATATTTTGTTTATTTGTTTGTTTTTTGAGATGGAATCTTGGTCTGTTGCCCAGGCTGGAGTGCAATGGCATGATCTCGGCTCACTGCAACCTCCACCTCCTGGGTTCAAGCGATTCTCCTGCCTCAGCCTCCCGAGTAGCTGTGATTACAGGCGCCCGCCACCATGCCCAGCTAATTTTTGTATTTTTTAGTAGAGATAGGGTTTCACCATGTTGGTCAGGCTGGTCTTGAACTCTTGACCTCAGGTGATCCACCTACCTTGGCCTCACAAAGTGCTGGGATTACAGGCATGAGCCACAGCGCCCAACCTCTTCTCTGTATGTTTATTCAGACATTCATGTTTAAGAATTTCTGAGAAAGGAAGCCAAAGATAATAATACCTGACCTCTATGTCTATATGATGAAGAAGTGCACTTCCTATGTAAAGATGCCCGTATTCCTGATTAGGTTAAGCAACTTGAAGTTCTAGTGAGGGGCAAAACTACAGGACTGCAGAAACTGGCATAGCCTTTTACACATGGCAGCATTTGTCTACTGATAATGGTGACACAACCTCCAAGAGGGCAGACCACACGGTGTATTAAAGAGAAGCTGTCCCCATAAGAAAAGGGGAAAAGTAAAATGACTCATTACATAGTTTGAAATCTCTTATGATGGGTGGACAAAACCCTCAAAGAAGAAATTCTCCAGTCTTAAATTGGGCTTTTAATGTTCGAGGCAAGAACAAGTCTCCTGATGAGTACACTGCCATCGCCTCTTTAACAATTTAGCTATGAAAATATGAAAATACGAGGAGACTATAGATTTTTATCTTAGATTTACTTACAAATTAAGCAGTGAGGGAGCATGACTAAAAATAGAAAAATGATGAAAAGATTAATTAATGATACTTTACTATGTCTCAGTGGATGGGCAGTCCTATTACAGCTGGGGCAGATGATTTCATCTTTCTGGGCCTCCATTTCCACATCTGTAAAACAGGATAATTATATCCATCTCAGAGAGCTGTTTTTAAAATTACAGATGACAGGAAAGTGAAACTGTTTTGAAAATAATGAAGCTTTCTATTACTGTGAGATTATTAAAAGATTATTATAACTAGACATGGTCAATATGTTTTCTTCAAAGTTATCAGACTAGACATTTTTCCCTCTGGTGATCTTTCACCCATATGTCTCAATCATACTGAAATTATTCAAATCACTTCTTTTTTCTGTTTTCCTGGTACTAGTTTCTCTTTTTCTTTTTCTTTTTCCTTTCTCTTTTTTTTTTTTTTTTTTTTTTTTTTTGAGACAAAGTCTCGCTCTGTTGCCCAGGCTGGAGTGCAGTGGTGCGATATCGGATCACTGCAACCACTGTCTCCTGGGTTCAAGTGATTCTCCTGGCTCAGCTTCCTGAGTAGCTGGGATTATAGGCGTGTCCCACCACTCCTAGCTAATTTTTGTATTTTTAGTAAAGACAGGGTTTCACCATGTTGGTCAGGCTGGTCTCAAACTCCTGACCTCGTGATCCGCCTGCCTCGGCCTCCCAAAGTGCTGGGATTACAGGCCTGAGCCATTGCACTGGCTGGTACTAGTTTTCTATCTGCCTGAAGAAGTACGCAAATGACTATTTTCATGACTTTTTTTTTTGCCTTTAATATTATTTAACAGCTATTTTAACAATGAAAGACATTTTACATATTCTCAAAAGGTATGTACCAAAGAAGGGTGTGGGCAGAAATGTTCACAAAATCAGGACCTTTCATTGCATCTTGGTGACCACCAATAAAGTACACAGAAACCCATAGTGAACTGAGGTCTAAGTGGCTGCTATCAACCAACACAATCTTGAACTGCTGAGTCTGATCATTTCATTTTCTTAAAACTTCAGGACAGTTCAATTTAGAGAGCACAAGAGTGAAGTTAGCCTCCCTGGTCATCTAAAGCAACATGGGAAGGTAATTTAAGAAAAGTGACACCATATCAATCACTTTCCCAAGCTTTTCAGGGGCTCACTCCAAAGACTTTCTTGATGATAAATTTTATTAAAGTGCTGATCATAATCAAAACAGTACATTGTATCAGAGGTCAAGCATTGTTTTTCACTTCCCTTCCCAGAACTTATTAAAGATGTACCTCTGAAGAAAGACATAAGGAAGAACAAAATTGTTTTGACTCACAGAAAATGGCTTACACAGACATCTAATACTTAGTCAAGTTGCTTATATATATGAAATAAGTTATACCTTGGGAGTAACAAAGCCAATAGGCTTGGCTCATAGGGGGCTAACTACGGCTGCAGCAGTTATTCAAGAAGTTAACATATTCTCTCCTGTCCCCTGAAGACACCACAGGCATCTCAGTAATAAACTGATAACAACCAATACTCAAGAGTTTGTGAAAATGCTTTGTAAAGTGCTGAATAATGTAAGTGATTATCTACTTACCACAAACGTCCTCACCAACATCATCATTAAAATCTTGAAAGATAAGTGCTTTTCAGTAGTTTTGAGAGTGAACCAATGACATGCTAAATTAAAAGCATTATATTTCAACCATTTCCAATAAGTGCCACAGAATATTAAGACTTAAGAATATTAAAATTCTGGTCAGGTGCAGTGGCCCATGCCTGTAATCCCAGCACTTTGGGAAGCCGAGGAGGGTGGATTGCCTGAGGTCAGAAGTTCAAGAGCAGCATGGCCAACATGGCAAAACCCTGTCTCTACTAAAAATACAAAAATTAGCCAGGTGTGGTAGTGGGCACCTACAATCCCAGCTACTCGGGAGGCTGAGGCAGGAGAATAACTTGAACCCAGGAGGCAGAGGTTGCAGTGAGCTGAGGTCGTGCCATTGTACTCCAGCCTGGGTGAGAAGAACAAAACTCTGTCTCAAAAAAAAAAAAAAAAAAAGAATATTAAAATTCTTATTTCATCTCCTTTTCCTCTATAGATAGAGCAGGTAGGGCACTACCAGTCCAAATCTATGTAATGTGATGTCAGTGGTAGCTCCAGAATTCCCATAGAGGAGTGGCTACATGGGTGATGATCTGGCTGAAAGGGAGGCAGGCAACACAGCTGGAAGCTGTGCTTGCACAAGAGAACACTACTTGTGGTACCTAGACTGCATGTTTATTCAGGATGGATGGGGACTATGGTGGACGAGAAGGCTGAAGGCCAAATTCAAGACCATCCTTAGAAACCCACTCCTATTAAGCACCCAGGTAAGAAAGGCCTCATATTTAAGTCTCCTTAGCATGTATCATTTTAACAGGGCTTTCCAAAAAGTACAACCAGGGGTCACCTTTGCAATATGGGATTATTTACCCTCAGGTAGGTAGAAGAGTATCTTCAGGCACTCTTCATTGCACCAAGACCCCTTCAGCCATCCCTATTCCAGCAATCCCAATGACTGAAATCATCTATGACTCATAAAGAGAAAAGGCAGGAGTGACAAAAAATTGTCCTGCGTGAGATGGTGTGATTTACTTTATGACTTTGCCTGGTCTCTATAGTCATAATGCATTGAGCCTTCTGCAAAAGATTCACACATGAGAGAATAAATGAATCAAAGGCAGAGCCAGTGATGGATGGAAAATTAACCTTAACACCCACACACCACAGCTCCCCAAAATTCACAGAAACTAAAGACTGCAGACAGAGCAAGTCTCCACTGTAAAGAACAATTTACACAAAGCAGATCATACGAGATTTTCCATAAGCCTATGGTTCTGTCAAACAATACTACAGGTGGCTTTAAGCCATTGACATTTACACTTGGTGGTGAAAAGCCATCTGGGAGAAAAAAAAATAGCACTCCCCGCCTTGGATCTAAAAGCAAGTTTCCTCGGCCTTTAAAAGCAATGAATTCCAAACAGCAACAAACAAAACACATAAACAGAATTAGTGAGAATCTGTGCTAAGAGCTATGGCAAAATCAGACAGAAGTTTCTCCCTCAAAGAGTTTTCATTCTAGTAAGAGTTTTGTTTTGTTTTGTTTGTTTTGAGACAGAGTCTCACTCTGTCGCCTAGGCTGGAGTGCAGTGGCGCGATCTCGGCTCACTGCAAACTCCGCCTCCCAGGTTCACGCCATTCTCCTGCCTCAGCCTCCCGAGTAGCTGGGACTACAGGCACCCGCCACCACGCCCAGCTAATTTTTTGTACTTTTAGTAGAGACAGGGTTTCATCGTGTTAGCGAGGATGGTCTCGATCTCCTGACTTCGTGATCCGCCCGCCTCGGCCTCCCAAAGTGCTGGGATTACAGGCATAAGCCACCACGCCTGGCTAGTAAAATAGTTTAAAACACACAGAGACAGCACAGGTAGCTTGGCAAACAAGGTCATATGAATGAGAATGCAAGGCTTGTCGGAGAGGCTATGGGCAGGAAAAGGAATCACAGTGGGATGGATAATCAAGGAAGGCCCACTAGAAAAAGTAACATTTAGACCAGGCGTTATTTCAAAGGGTGGAGCCGTTGTAGGGCACAAATAGAGAATGGTAAAACTTGGGGGGAGGTGGTGGAGAATGGTCACAAGCTAGGAAATTTGTAAGCAAAAAGGATGTGTGAGGCAGCTGGGTTCAAGTGGAACCAGGGCATGAGGGATGTGAAGGGTGGAATAGATGATGGGCAAGAGGTTTGGCTTCATCTGTGCACGTAGTCATCAAACTGGTCCTGTGTCCCATCAGCACAAGGCACTCTCTTAGGAGCCAAGGGACACTGAGGCAGCCCCCATGCTCAAAGAGAAAGGGAAGGCCATGTGATGATCTAGGATTCATAAAATCCATGGAAGGCTTTCTAACAGAGGCCAGCTATTCAAAATGCCATCTGGGGGGAGATTTAACTGAGGGCAATGCCTGTGTTATTGACAGAGAAAGAACAAAGGGTGTCCATAAGCAGAGACCAATTAGGTGATTTTTACAGATGACAAATATAAGAGTTCAGGTTTGTGTTACGGTAGCATAATTCAAGGGCAAAAATAAAACCAAATGGTTATAGATTTTGCGTAACTTTTCTGATGGATAACTTAAGATTTGATGCAACAGGAATCACCATGAGATATGAGTTGCAATGGAAAGTTTTTATGTTTTTTTTTCTTGCCAAGTATAGTTCAGATGTCAAAGGCAAAGAAAAAAAAGTCAGAAAATAAAATTATTTGGAAACATCAGAAACTGCTTGTAAGGACTGGTTATTGTGGCTACTGTTAATTAAGAGCATTAATAACTGACAGGGACCCATAATTCTGGAAGACAAAAGTAACTAAGTCACAAAAAGCTGCCTTATGATATTAAAATAAAGGAGCAAATCAATGAAAAAGCCTACAGTGGCACTCTCAGAAAAGTCTAAAACAAATGTTGAGCAATTCAAGAGAAATTTATTGGGTCTTCACTGAGCATCAGACAAATAAGTTCCTCAAGACAAAAGAGGATTAAAAAATGTTGAAGAGTAAAACCACTTCCTGAAAACCTGTCATCGAATCATTAATTTATTGGGTACCTACTTTGTATAGAGCAGAGTGCTACCTATTTTAAGAAATGCTGTGGTATAATAGCTCCAGAATGAATTAGGGCCTACATATGTCAAGGCAATCTGTGAGTAAATGCCTAATGAGGTAAACATGATTAATGCAGTGAGTTCGATATAGAAATGGGTCCTTGGGGCCGGACACGATGGCTCGTGCCTGTAATCCCAGCACTTTGGGAGGCCGAGGCGGGCGGATCACGAGGTCAGGAGTTTGAGACCAGCCTGACCAACATGGTGAAACCGTGTCTCTACTAAAAATACAACAACAACAAAATTAGTCAAGTGTGTTGGTGCACACCTGTAATCCCAGCTACTCAGGAGGCTGAAGCAGGAGAATCGCTTGAACCCAGGAGGCAGAGGTTGCAGCGAGCCGAGATTGCGCCACTGTACACCAGCCTGGGCAACAGAGCGAGATTCCATCTCAAAAAAAAAAAAAAAACAAGAAAGAAAAAAGAAATGGGTCCTTGGGTTCTACAGTTCACCATGGTCAAGGGATGGACAATCAGTGGACAAAAGACTCATGAAGGATGACTGGGGAAACAGACTGGTTAAAAACTGACTCATTTAGTTGACTTGCTACCAGTGCCTTCTGTCTTCTGCTAGCTTTAGTTAAAACGGCTTAGGAAGAGTCAAAAGACTCTCATAAAACTAAGCCAACTCTTCCTTGAATTCTCCTCTTCTTTATTGACAGAAACAAGCCTGATGTGATCCACTAAAACCACTGCAGATCATTTGGCTACTCTTTGGAACATGCTTTAATGCTATTACAGCAGTGTTTTTCAAACTGCTATGTGTACAGGAATCACCTGGGGACCTTGTGAAAGTGTACATTCTGTTGCAGTAGGTCTGGGGAGAGGACCCACAATCCTCATTTCCAATAAATTCTCAGTGATGCCAGACCTCCTGTAAGCGGCAAGGTATTAGAACATCTTCAGTTGCTGTTATCAGAAGATGATAGGAAACCATCATTTTCGGGGTCAGAATGCTGGAGCTCAAGCTTTGGGCCTTGATGCATATAATAACTCATAAAATGTAATATTCAGGAAGGAATGAGGCTCCTAAAGAAGTGAGAAAGTAGAATGAACAAAGGCCTAAGAGAATAGAAATGTATTCTAACAATATAAATTATAAAAATAAAAGTAAGAGTGCCCAGGGGTATTGAGATTGTTAGATTATTTTATAATGATATAACTTAAGGGATTCCAAAATAATGAACATAAAATGTTATTATTAGATTTTTTTCCTTTTCACATACTTGAAGGACAAATTATATCATATTGTCTTTTTTTCTTCCCCAATACTATGAGCGTTAGAGAATGAGACGCAAATCCGATATGTAGTAACAAGGTAGTCACTCACAGCAAAAGTTGAAAGATTCCTAGTCTACGCTAACAAGTGTCTGCAAACTCTACAGAAATGCAATTAGAGGTTGCGGCAGCTACTCCCCTGCCTAAAACAGCAGTCTGAAAACTGCCAATCTGTTGCAAATTCTGTCTTTTCTGAGAATATTTTAAGAAAAGTGGTAGAGAAATATTTGAAAGGCAACAGAACACTAATTATATCTAGACAAGTTTCCTTTTTTTTTTTTCCCAAAAAATATGAAAGTTCCTTTAGGCTTTACATCTCCTAGGCATAGCAAAGCATTTCATAACTTTCTACCTTAGGAAAAATTTTCACAGACATTTTAACCAATTCAGAGGAAGGGGAGAATGAAAATACCATAATTAACCAAAGAGGAATAATATTACCACCAAAACCAAGTAAGCCTTTTATTTAGGAAGGAGTGAGCTCTAGCTGAAGTAAACATGCTATTTAGTCAGGATGTATGCTCAGACACCTGTAGTCGGAAATTTTCAAAATAGCTATGGTTTTTTTTCTTCTCTTTTTTTAATAGTAGTCATCTCCAATGAACACCAGTGGAAGTCTGTGGTATTTCTCAGTTCTGACCTGTCATGACTTTTGTTAGTTTTCTATTTTGATTAGCTAAAGATTTTCTAACTCAACTTCAATGATTTATTCTACTAACAAAATAGTACAGGGATAACAAAGAATGAAATGTTTCAGAAGAGAAAATACTGGAAATCTTATTTAGTCCAATTCTTGTCACTGTATAGAAGGAAAATGAGCCCCAGTGGGAAGAAAGACAGCCTGGTCACCCAGACACCTAGATTCCTGGTACAACATACCTTAGTCTTTACCAGCTGTCTCCTAGGTAGAGTCCTTCTAATCTCAAACTAAGGGTCAGAGCTAGGTTATCTTTCATCCAAGATGAAGGTTTGTGATAATTACATCTTTGCAACTTCTTTTCTACTTGGCATGGGGCTCTAAAGTAGGAAAATGATGAAGGGTTTAGCTAAACCTGGAGGAAAAATATTTTGGTTTTGTGAAATAACAATGCAGATTTCAGTCTCTGTTTGCAATGGGGGGAAGGAGGAAGAGGCATTTTTTAACATTTATTTTCTAAACCAACAAACAAATCCTACCATTAGTCAAAGACTCAGGTCTTTGGAATCTGAAGCTTGTAAATTTCAGGGGCACTCTTTAAGAAGAAGAATACAAAATTAAGAATAAAGTGAATATAAAATTAAGAATAAAGTGAATATTTATTTAGAATTAAAATGGCATACAGGCCGGGTGCAGTGGCTTACACCTGTAATCCTAACACTTTGGGAGGCAGAGGTGGACAGGTTCCTCTGAGCCCCAGTGTTCAAGACCAGACTTGGTACATAGTAAGACACCATCTCTACAAAAATTAAAAAACAACAAAAAACAAAAAACTGGCCGGTCTTGGTGGTGCATGCCTTTAGTCCGAGCTACTCTAGAGGACTGCTTGAACCTAGGACTCCAAGGCTGCAGTGAGTTATGATTATGCAACTGCTTTCCAGACTGAGTGACAGAATGAGATCTCATCTCTGGAAAAAAAATTTTAAATAGTATCATACAAACAACAAATTTTTAAAAGCTATAAATACTACAAATATGAAGTGTTTAAAAAACAAATATTTTTATTAACTGATTGCCATACCTCTGAAATAATTCTCCTATATTTTTTGGTTGCACACTCTTTGATCATCTCTTCCAATAACATTTTGCAATATTCTCTATTGAGAGAATAGAAAAATAATTCAGTCTTCCCTTTAGAAATGTAGATCAGAATTTGTAATTTATTCTTGAATAATTTGGAAAAGTTCCTTTCAGCTTCATAATTCATTACAGGTAATGTCATATAAATTTTTTGGATTGACTTCAAATTTGGAAAACTTTTATCAGGTTTCTTTTATATGTGAGCTGTAAGATTCAGGGCACTGCAAGATTTCGTAGTATTTGACTTGATGACACTTGTTAACCACATTGCCAGGGCCTCTCCTAGAGCCAGGAGATGGACCTATACCAGGGTATAGGTAGCCTTGAAGGTTAAGTTCAAGCACTTCACAGTAAATCCACCTGAGCCTGGCATTTATATCCTCAACATATTTGATGCATCTGTGAAGTCTCCCAGTCCTTTCAAATAAAGTGCCTGTTTTACTCAGAATACCTAAACTTCCTGATGGCATAATTGTTCCATGATTCAGCCAAGACTGTATCACTTGAGGTATACACTTCATTTTTCCATTGAGATCACAAGACAGGCATGATGTTTGACTACCTGGTGTATAAACCGAGTGTTATTTTATTACACTAAGAAAATGCAATGGGATAATATATGAAGAATGCTAAAACACTAGAAAAATGTTGGATATTATTATTTCTCTTAACCTCTAGTCTTCCAACACCCATGCTATAATGGACAAGTAGTTTATGTCAATTAAGGCAGACTAGTCTCAGTACAGTATAACAATTAGGAATCTAGATCCCCAAACCAGACCATCTTGGTTCCAACCCCAGCCTAATCATTTTCTAACTAGGTGGACTTAGGCAAATTTATTGACTCTGGAGGATTTATAATAAGCATAATATAACCTACCTTCTAAAGTTGTTTTGAGGGTTAATACACCTGAAGTACTCAGCATGATCCGTGCAGTAGCAAGACCTCAATAAGTGGTAGCTACTATGATTATTGGGAAATTAGTCCATGAAGTCTCTTGAGAAAAGCTACAGGGGAAATAAGCCCAATTTCATTTCCCTATGTAGAAAAGTTTGCAGGATTTGGGCGTGACAGGTAGTCATCCACAAAGCAGCAGTGTTATCGCCCCATAGGAAATGAAGACTTCGTAATGATTTATACTTTAATAAAGAGCTGCTGCAGCATATACTGAAAATATGCACCCAACCCATATCTTCTTTCAAAGGCATTCATGTTGGTTCAACCAAATCCCTAGTTCTCTAAAATGAAGTTTTGACAATCTTATATCTTCTAAAGCACTGAGAAGCCTTTTTCCTTGTTTTCTTTAAAGAGGCTTGAGAAGAACCAAGCCTTTTTTTGGTTCAAATAAAATATTTACAATAGGAGGAAAAAACATTCAGATAAACTTCACCTTGCCCGCCTGGTGGTCTCTCAATACACAGAAGAAATGCAACTAGGGCACTAGGAAATCTAAAAAAAAAAAAAAAAAAAGGAAAGAAAAAAAGTATAGAGCTAAAGTTCACTTCAGGACAACGCAAACTAAGAAAAACTACATTTCCCAAAGGAAATAGAGCACTATGTCTACAAAGTAACTCATTTTTTCTTTAATGTTCAATGTTGTCTATTCCAGGGAAAAAATGGTACAATTAACCAAAACTTATTTCTACCCAACATCTCTGCAAAGGAATGTTGCTGCTGCAGATCCACCCCCAACATGGGAAGGCCCAAGGCAAGTGAGCAAATAGAGGCCCATGTACCATAAGTCAAAACATTTAAAGTTACAAATCAAGCTAGCAAACTGCTCAATAAAATAGGTGTTATCCTTCTACCTAGACTGACAAATATATCTTTTCAATGTCTTGGAAGACCAGGTACAACTTTAGAACTCCTACAATGTTCATAGTCCTTCCACAGAAATGGGTGGTTTAAAGAGAGACATCATCCTGAGCCCTGGTAATCAATTTGCCTTCCTCCCCCCTGCCTGCTCCATCCTACATCAAGAGGGGCCTTGTGATATGTGGACACCCAAGCTCGCTCTCTGTCTCTCTCTCTCTTTCTCTCTCTCTCTCTCTCTCTCTCTCACATACAGACACACACACACACAGAGCTATCCCTTAAACAACCCTCGTGCAGAGATTGCACAACCAGTAGCAATGACAGCCTTCAGGAAGATGGCTTCAAGGATCCATGCAAACTGCAGATACCAGTTCAGGGCCTTCTGGACAGCGAATGTGGGTTCCCACATAACCAAATCATGGTCTAAAAATGAAAAGAGAGTAAGACTGGAAGGCCCAAAAGTCACCTCACCCCATAGGCATGGCTCTGACCAGAGAAGAATGACAGCAGAGTACCATCTAAGGCCCAGGACAGAGGCCAGTTGTGTTCATATACTAGGTCTATATTTTAGTTGTAGAGCTGAAAAAAATTGGAGGAAAATATTCCCTCAGAAAAGAGAAGAAAAAAAAAAAAAAAAAAGAGCTGCATGTCTTGACCTTTCCCAGATAGAATCTCCCCAGTCATAGGTACGGGCCCTGAAGCTAAATCTCATCTAATAATGATAGCTTCAAACCTACAAACAAAACACAGATGCTAGGGAACCCTTAAGAGTCTAAGCAGGAGGCCATAAGTAGACTAAACTGACTACACCCAAGAGGATAGTTGCTACTTGTTGGGTGCTAAGACCTAGAAAGCTGACTGTGGCAAGTAAAAGGCAGAAGTACTCCTGATGTAATGGGTGAGGAAGAGAATCTTAACCTCCTATAAGTTTTCAAATTGTCCCCTTCAAAAGTCAAACTGTCCCCTTCTTCTTTGTTATGTTGGATAAAGTCGGCTCTTCTTGCCCTCATCAGCAGTTGTACACGATTGTACACAAATGATTGTCCTACACACTCAAAATTTGGGGTTTACAATACACATCTTTGCAAATGGGGTATGTCCAACTGCTATAAGTGGCCAAACCACAGGTCACCCACCATGAGTCCTACCACTAAGACACCATTGTCAAACTGTGGGCTGTAGAGTTTCCTTATGCAAAGAAACTCTGCCTTATCTTGATTTTCTGTGGTACAAATGTAGTCAGGAAGGAGGCAGATAATGCAAGCAAACCAAATCAATTAAATCAGGAGCACTGAACTGATGACATTAGATGGTAAGCTTCCCCTCTCTCAAATCTGATATCCATTCACCCCTCTTCAGCCTCCCTCCCAACACACGCATACACACATAGAGACCACACGAAAGAACCTAGCAGCATGCAAGCACAAGAAGCTTGGGCCACACACTCATACATGCACCCAGGCAAAACTCCAGAGAGACCCTGAGCAGGATCCATCTTTCCATCCATAAAATAAAGATAATAAAACTTATCTTGGAGATTTCTTCCTAGGATTAAATGAGATACATAATATCAAGTGGCTGTCTCAGGGTAGGTTCTCAAATGTTAATTGTCTTTCTCTTCCTTCTCCCTGAGATGAGACAATTTGCCTGTCCAGCATTCCAAACCCTTTGGCATGCCAAGCAAAGAAGTATGAGTCATTATCTTGCCTCAGTCACAAGCAACAAGTACCTGTGGAGCAAAATATTACCAGGAAAGTAGAGAGTGCAAAAGAAGCGGTGAGCATTCTTGCTGCGAATGCATATCTGTTCTACTGAAAATCATAACTTAAATCTGCTGAAGTTGTACATAAGGACCTGGAGGGTAGAAGCTAACAAGGTAACAGAGTTATGCTTTTATGTGGAACTTGGCCAAATAATGCCATGCTGTAGCCAGGAAGTATGTTTCCCCTGCACCCTATTTAAAACTGCTTTGGTGGTTTGCATCAGACCTAAATAATATCCACGCTACTCTAGAGTAGGCAGTGGTGGCTACAAGACCACACTTCCCTTCAACCAACGCTGCTTCACCCTTATAAACCAAAACATAAAACCCAATGAAAAAAGAAACTTAAAAAATAAATTTAGATTTTAGCACTTCATTCGTAATAAAATTCTCTTTCCGACACCCTTCTATGAAAAAAAAAAAAAAGAGGAATCAGTATCTACTGGATAATTCCTCTGGTGACTTTATTTAAAATTTTGCAGTGGCTTTCAAGGCCCTACACTGATTCAAAATTTATGGCTAAAGGAATTGCATGAAAACTTCTAGCAGCTTTCCATCATGTTTGTCAGAAGTTGAAACATCTTTTTCCATATTTCATGAGAATACAAGAACCAATTCCATACTTCAAAAACAGTCAAATTACTTATTGTGATCAGAACTAAAACTATTCTAACTGAAAGTAAAGATTTTACTATTTGGACCAAACACCTAACAAACAGTGACTGCTTAGTTAAATGCTCGACCTCAGTTGCATTAGATACAGTAGGATGAAGTGGAGGCTCAGCTCAGCACTTCCTGGGTGCTAAATGATGTGTCAGGCACTGCCAGAGATCCCAGAGATAGAAAACTGAATAAGATTGAGAGGATTAAAGGTATAATGGGCAAGAGAGTTACGTAAAGATATGACTTTGGCTTGGTATTGTTACCAGCTAAGTGAGAGGTCTGTATCTCATAGGAGACATTTACCTCAAACTGGGACATTCAAAGCAGGTTTCCTCAAGAAGATGACACTTGAACTACGTCTTAAAAGATGAGTGAAAATTAGCCAGGTAGCAGGAGTTCCAGACATCCTGAACAAAGGAACAGCTGCCTAAATTGCTCACATTGTGTGTATGTGTAGTGACACAAATAGACTGGGAAAATGTGGGCTGTGGTGGGATGTGAAGCAGCAGAGTCAAATGGGAACCAGGTCAGAGGCCCCTGGTAAGCCCAATTAAGGAGTTAATAGTAATAACAGAAGCTGATATTTATTGAGCATTTACTATGTTGCAGGCACCATGTTAAATACTTTAAAACAATATTTTATTTAATCCTCACCATAACTCCATAATCCTCATTTTACAAATGAGACCAGGGATGACTAGTAGGTAAAGCAACTACAACAGGCTACACAGCCAGTACATGGCAAGTGGGTCTGGAACCCAGGACGGCCTGATTCCAAAGTTTATACCCTACACTCTTCTACCACCAGCCTATCCTCAAAGAGAGCACTAAATGAACGCATTGGGTCCATCATGCTGGCTATGGAATGGAGAATGCAATTAAAGGCTGCCCAACTGGGGCTCCGTGACAAGGCAGGGATAGGAAAGAGACAACAAATTGATTCAAAAATACATTCAATGGGACCTAGAAGGAAACATTCAACATGCACATCCTCCTAGTGCATACAACAACAAAAAAAAATGAGGCTTTTGAAAATGAGGTGTAGAAAATAAAACACCAGTATTCCATAATGCTTTCAAATATAAACAGTTAAAACACGTATCCTTTTCTTTACTTATAACATGCTCCCAGCTGTTAAATTCAATGGCAAAGACCAGGTCTGTCTTATTCATCTGAGATGGTATCCCAGGTCTGAGCATCCTGCCTGGCAAGAGATACTCAATAAATATGGTTGAAAAGGTAGAAGAAAAAATGCCCAGTTTTTGCAATGATATCAGAGGTGCCTTATTGATCCAGAGTTAAAAACTAACCTTACTGAAAAAATTAAAAAGTCATGTTCATAACTGAGTAGAAAACATGTAGTAGTTATGTTGACTACATAGACAACAGTCATCATTAGGGAATGCTACATTGAAAAGAAGGCAATGAGTTCAAAATGTGATTAGTATTTTGTATAAATCATAACTCATTAAAAATAAGATGTTGAGTGGCCTAAAGGTGGAAATGTGTTTTTATGAGGCGGAAAAAAAGCACGAGTAGACTGAAGATCAGATTTGGGGCCTAATGATGTCTAGTCTCTTACCCTGACAAAATAAGCAGGTTATTAAAGTGATGTGAAGAACCTGATCACTATGACACTTTTACAAATTCTTTGTCCTCAATAAGAATCTATCTACTTCCAGGAACCTGAAAAGTCATATTTTTCAGACCTGAAGAGTTATTGTGCACTTTACAGTTTTCCCCAAAAGAGTCATTTCTTAATTTTGATCATTTAGGAAGAGTGAATCTATTAAGTCAAAAACGAAGAAAAAAAAACTTTCTATTTCTTAGTGAAATTTGTTCTTTTATTTAAATCCTTTGCATACTACTAAACAGAAGTACAGAAGCTACTAAACAGAAGACAGATTTTTGGGCCTTTTTAGGTGACGTAAAAGGAGCTTGTTGTTTATTAAACAATCTCATTACCTGATATATTATCTTGCATTAAGATATTTTGAAAAAATGTTTTCAGTTTACCAATTACGTTAGAGAAATTCTGAAACTATTTACTTACATGAAAAATTAAAATGTAAGTAGAATTAGGTTTCTCGTCTTCAATATATCTGTCTTCAACCATTGGCCAACTTTGAAAATTTAATTTGAATCAAATGAATACAAATTCAAAATGATTCATTAATTCAACCATTTTGAAACTTCAGTTCTATAAAAATATGAAATCTGTGGGCCTTGTAAAACTGTCTAAATACCCAAATAAAAAGCCACCACGTTTTTAAGCTAATTGTTTAAAAGTGTGTATATTGATGAAATGAAAGTGACTCGTGAACTATTGGGTCTGGAATTTGCAAATCATAAACCTTATCCTTGTAAACAGAACCTAACTAACAACATCAGGGCCTGCTAATTTCCTTCTTTTATAATCTGGAACAAAAGTTGTAATGATTTTTAACATCCACAGAAAATTAAGGGTGCCATTTTAAATATTTATTAGCAAAATGTCACTTAGGTTTTAAAAGTCTGGAGGAAAATGAGAGACAATTGAACATTCTGGTACTGCAATGCAGGAAAAACGCCAAGAACGAAACACTAAGATTTTATTAAAACCATAGGACTCAAATGTGTGTCAAGACTTTTTGCTTGCAATAGTGCCTCTTCCTAATTTGATTAAAAGCTTCCATCTCCATGCCACCTTCAATGTATGCCATAATTTTTAAAAAGTTCCCAATCCACTTCAAACACTCTAAAATTTACAACTGACCGTGATGCGCATTTTTTCTAGACAAACCTAAAGGTAAATCTGCCCATGTCCCTGGATAAATAAAATGAGTGCCTCCGGGTGATGTGGACTGTCAACTCCTCTACATTTCATCCAAAGTCTACATGGGTCATCTCCAAGTCACCAGAAGAGCCAGGGGAAAGGAGGGGAGGGGCACGATACGTAAGATGTTAAACATGAAGATGATGTAAAATTACCCAGATTCAAGCTGGCCATTTTACAGATGAGGAAACTAAGGCCCAGAAAAAGCTCTATGACTTGCCCAAATACTCGGTTACCCAGACCACAGCTGCAGATACTGTTATTTGGATCATAGCTGCAAAAAGTCTAACTTTTGGCCGGGCGCGGTGGCTCACGCCTGTAATCCCAGCACTTTGGGAGGCCAAGGTGGGCGGATCACGAGGTCAAGAGATCGAGACCACCCTGGCCAATATGGTGAAACCCCGTCTCTACTAAAAATACAAAAATTAGCTGGGCGTGGTGGCACGCGCCTGTAATCCCAGCTACTCGGGAGGCTAAGGCAGGAGAATCGCTTGAACCCAGAGGCAAAGTTGCAGTGAGCCGAGATTGCGCCACTGCACTCCAGCCTGGTGACAGAGCGAGACTCCGTCTCCAAAAAAAAAAAATCTAACTTTTGAAGTCTCAGAGGTTTTACACTTTCCATAACAAATAGTTAAGAACCCCCATTCCTGCATGCATATATATATTAATATTATATATATTTATATATATAATTATATATATATTTATATATATATAATATATATATATATTTTTTTATTTTTATTTTTTCCTTAAAAACCTTCAGAGACAGCGATCAGGTGGGTAGCCTAGTTAGGATTTTAACCCTTCGGTTTCCAACAAACGATAATTGCATAGAACCATCAACTCCCTGAAGACAGGACTATCTTGTTCCAGGCAAAATCTACAGCCTCTAGCACCCAGTAGGCATTCAGTGAGGGATTCTCGGTTTCACCTGAGCATCTCCACTCCCTATCCATCCATGCCAAGGCGTCAGTGGAGCCAGCTAACTTTCTTTTGGAAATCGATTATTTTCTTGAAACTTGTTTCCAAAAACTCCGGGCCAAGAAGCCGGCCTGAGGGAAAGCGTGGCCGTCTCCAGGAGCTAAGGACTGAGGAGCTGGCCTTTTGAACGGGTGGCTCAGAAAGAGCTGGGTGGGCACGCGGCATCGCCATGGGCGGAGTGGCCCAGGTGCGCTGGCTGCTTTGGCAGCTCAGGCTGCCGCTCCGGGCCGCTGCTCCCCGGCCGCCTTCAGATAACCAACTTCTCAAACTTCCCTTTCCGGGGGTGGGGGCTCGCCTCGAACGCGGCCAACACAACGCCTTTCCTGCTCGCACAAAGGGGACCAAACGTGCCCCGCGCCCCTTGCAACTGAACTTTCCTTCTCTTTTTCAAGAAAAACTCACAATCCCTGCAGCTACGGGAGTCGGGCTGCGTGAGTGTCGCGGGGGAAACTTTCCTCGTTTCCGCCCGGGGGCCGGGTTGCCGGGCCCGACTGTCAAGCGCAGCGGAGAGGCGGGGACCCCAGGAAGACCCCCGGCGCCCCGCCGAGCCCGGGCTGGGGACCACTCACCCGACTTCTGAACGTGCGGTGGGATCGTGCTGGCGATACGCGTCCACAGGACGATGTGCAGCGGCCACAGGCCCCTGAGCAGCCCCCGACCCATGGCAGACCCCGCTGCTCGTCATAGACCGAGCCCCCAGCGCAGCGGACGGCGCCTTCCCGGACCCCTGGCTGCGCCTCCGCGCCGCGCCCTCTCCGGACCCCGCGCCGGGCCGGCAGCGCAGATGTGCGGGCCAGATGTGGCGCCCGCTCGCCAGCCAGGAGGGGGCCTGGAGGCCGGCGAGGCGCGGGGAGGCCCCCGGCGGCCGAGGGAAGCTGCACAGGAGTCCGGCTCCTGTCCCGAGCGGGTGCACGCGCGGGGGTGTCGTCGCTCCGTGCGCGCGAGTGACTCACTCAACTTCAACTCAGCGCTGCGGGGGAAACAGGAAACTCCTCGCCAACAGCTGGGCAGGACCTCTCTCCGCCCGAGAGCCTTCTCCCTCTCCTCGACGTCCAGCCCCTAGCTCTCTCGTAGCTGCCAATCATGTTTCCTAGACCAGCCCCTCCGAGAGCTTTGGCCGACTTTCAGCTGCCCCTCACCGCCCTCCCACACCACTCAGGAGTTCCTCGCTCCAAGTATTTACTCAAGAATGACTAAGTGCACACAGTTCACAAAGTAACAACAGAAAACGTCCACGTTTTCCCTAGTAGATCAGAACATCTGCCGCCTCCCCTCAGCTTTCTTCAGATTGCTCCTAGGTGCTTTAGAGATGCGTTTTCAAATTGCAAGTTGAGATCCAGGAGTGAATACTCCAATCTATTGAGTCGCGAGCACATTTCTTTCCCAAATAAAATAGTAACGGTAAATTCTACTTCATTAAATTTGTGCTTCAGTTGTGTCTATATGCATGTATGTATGTGCATACACTGTCAAGTTGTAAAATGTTTTTCTTTAGGTCGAAGTCTAGAGGTTTTTCTCAAGTTTTAATGTACATATTGATCACCTGGAAATCTTATTTAAAAATGCAGATTCTAATTCAGTAGGTCTAGGAGGCAGGCAGAGATTCTGCATTTCTAATGAGCACCTGGATAGAGCGTCCCATTTTGCACCGCCTCTTCCCGGGACTGAGTCAGTGAGTAATTGTAAATGATCACCTATCACGAAGTGATAGTGGTGGGAAATGTAATTTTCAGAATGTATAGAGTATAGCAGAAACTGTAAAATTAAAAGTGGGTTGGGAGTCACCTGAATGCTTGTGCTTTTATTCCCTTAATGCAGGTGAAGAAAGAGAATACTTACCCTCTCATGTGCAAACGGGGTAACATGGGAGCAGAACAGTATAAACTTTCAAATTTCCTTTCTTGCTAGGGCAACCAGATTTGCCCAAGACATTCCTGGTGTACATGTTTTGTAGTTTAAATATTAATAGAACCCCCTTTCTCTTTCAGATATGTCCTGATTGGATAATAAACTATGTGATCAACCTACTTCCCACTCTCAAAGATATGATTCTGTACAGCCCTCTGGTCAGTAGATCTTCTAGCAATTCATTTAATGAATTCCTTTACCTGAGAGGAAGATTGCAGAGGCAAGGGTTTGTGCCAGGGTCTCCAGGGAATAAAGGTAAATAGCCCTCCCCCAAACCCAACTCCCAAATCTTTCCTGTCATTCTAAGTGTTCATTTGCTTCATCCTGGAATTTTAACTCATGCTCCACCTAGCACCCAAGCTGCCTCTGGATGTTTTGCCACTTCCCAGTACTCATGTTGAAGATGCAGAAAGTGCAGTGAAATCAGGAGGGCTAGGCATCTTCTTTCCCACCAATTAATTGCCTTGCCAAAGCTGGAGTGACTTTGTCAATGGAGGAAGATTGAGTTCCAAATCTTCTCCCTATTCCCTCTTCTGCCACCAGCCCATGCCACTGCCATGGCTTGTGTAGGAGTCTCCCACGAGTCACCCTCAGCCACGGCCGTTCTGGGCTCTTTCACTCAGTTTCTCAAACGAGAGCTGAATTCAGCTTTTCAAAATACAAAACTAGTTATACCAACCCTCTGATTAAAATCATTTAATGGCTTCCCACTGCTCTTGAGATAAAGAGAAGATAAAAACCAGATCCTTGAACGTGTCTTCAAGCCTCCAACTCTCCCGTAAACTTTCATTTGGCTTCTCCTTGCTTACTGAAAGCCTTCTCCAAATTTCGTGAATATGCCTCTGTAATCCTCCTACCCTTTATGCTTAGAGCCTTCCCCAGTGTGGACTTCCTTCCTCTGACCTTTTTTTCTTCACCCAGCCAACTCCTGGTCTTCGTGGATTGAATCATAACTTCTTTGATGGGCAAGCTTTCCCTCACCTCCATGAGTAGATCTTGTATTACACGTTCTCTTGGCACCATATGCTTTTCTTTTAACAGCTGTAACTTTATAATTATTTGTGTCATTCTTTAATTTATATTTCTATCCTCCACTCAACTCCAAATTTCTTGAGGGCAGGTATTATGTATCTTTCCCTCCACTTACTATTGTGTCCCTAAGCATCAAACACATAATCGATGTTTAATAAATATTTGTTGGATGAATGAATGAATCAGGCAATAAAGATTTAGAAGAAAATTGTATTTGATTGTTCTAGTTGCTTCATAACTCTGGAGAAAACATTGTTACCGAATATTTGAGATATAAACAGACTACATTTTAGCCGAGAATGATGTCACCACTACTTCCTTTTCTTAAGAATGGAGAAGTATGTGGGTTTCTTTCTTCTTCTTTTTTTTTTCCTACATTTGCCCAAGTTCCTCCAGATAGCAAACATGTACTTTCTTTCTCCTGAAAACACAATGTGGCAAATAAATGTCCAATAGATTCCAAAAGCTTTGTTTTCCTTAATTATCACAAAGATGTTTTACATTGTTGGAGGCTAGATATTTAAATCTATGGTGGAATGTTTAACTGGTGGTCTTTGCCATGATACATCATTAATGTTGATTTTAATTTTGTTTGCCCTTAACATTTCTGATTTAATCTCCAGTCTCCTGTGAAATTGAGAAGAATCAGAATTCAGCATTGCCAAGTGCAAGCTAGCCTTTTGAAAATCATCATAATAAAAATAATAGATGTGTAAACTCATGCATATTGCAATTTGATAATTTTAAAAATTCATCAGGCTGAGTGCAGTGGTCCACACCTGTAATCCCAGCACTTTGGGAGGTCTAGATGGGAGGATTACTTGAGCCCAGGAGTTCGAGACCAGCCTAAGCAACATAGTGAGATTTCATCTTTACTAAAAAAAAAAAAAAAAAAAAAAAAGCCAGGCATGTTGGCATGTATCTATAGTGCCAACTACTCAGGAGGCTGAGGTGGGAGAATCACTTGAGCCCAGGAGACGAACGCTGCAGTGAGCCATGATTGTGCCACTGCACTTCAGCCTAGAAGACAGAATGAGACCCTGTCTCAAAAACAAAAAATAAATAAAAGAAAAAGAAAAAAAAATTGTCATGATGCCCTTCCTTTTGAAATTCTTGTTGAAAGGGATGTCTGATACCCTTAATCAAGACATCATTTTCACACATAGTTGTATATTTGGCTTAGTATAATATTTTGTGTATTCACATAAGCAGTTAATATATACATGTAAAAAACTGGGCCATTTGCAAATGGGAACAAAAAAATAATAGCCCGACTCAGGGTTTAAAAAACAAGGAAGGTAACGTTTAAGCCCTTAATGAGTTGAAAAACAATAAATATCAACTTGAACAGAAATTTTAAAAGCTGACAATCTATTTTACCAGCTTTTTAAACTCTGCACGCACACACAAACACACACAATTGAACTGAATCAAATTGTGGTTTATTTAAACGTTGGGTTTCTCAGTTGTGATGAGAGAAGAACTTCCTACTCCCCTGAGCTTTGTGACATGCAGCTGTTGAGGTTACTGTCAGCTAGAGCAGTTAACAGGGAGATTCCTCTCCTTATAAATTAACCAGCCTCATTCTCAGCTCTTATCTCTTGACCAATTTTCCTTTTATTGTGAAGCAAACCAATAAGCACTGAGACTGTAGTTAATTTGTGAGGGTCATCCACCCTTTGTGGGTCATCCATGATGCTACCTCCTCCAGGAAATATTTTGTGATGCTTCACCTACTGTGATCACTCCTTTCCCAGGGATAACCCAGGGAACATTTCGTTTATTTAGCCTTTTTTTAAAAAAAAATGTTTGCCCCATTCTAACATGGAGTACATTATTGTTATTTATTTGCTTTTTAGAATTCTACCCTAATGATTGTAAAGCCCTTAAAAGCACAAAATATTCCTTTTTCAATGTAGAACCACACTCCGTGCTCTACAGATAATCAGTATTCAGTGTGTGTTTCTTGTCTTCAATAGAGAGAAAAATAAGAATATCAGTTTTCCTAATCCATTCTCTTGTTTGCAGTTCTTCACAGATATTAATAGAACCTGCAATTATGCCACATGTTTACAGAAAGCATCAATAGTATGTTTTGAAAAAAATAACTTTTTGAAAATTACAAGGGTAATACGTGTTAATTATAGGTAGGAAATTTAGATTTTTTTTTTAAAGGCAGACTTTAAAAGGATTCTTAACCCTATTATCCAAAGATAATCCTTGTTAAATTTTGGAGCATGTCCTTGCAGTACTATTCTAATCTTCCCTTTACAAATGAAGAATTTGAGGATTAAAGAGATTAAGTATTTGACAAAGGTCACATAGCTAGTAAAAGACAGAGCCCAGATTTGAACTTAGTCCTGTCTAGTTCCAGACTTGTTCTACACTCTAGAACAAATTGATCAGGTGGTTGATCTTCGCCACCTGACCAGTGAAGGATTTCAGGAAATGCCACTCCAAAATATGCTGCTTTGGTATACTGATTATTTTCAGTTGAAGGCACTTAAAGACCAGCAAATGCAGGGAGGAGGAGAGACATGTGGAACAGATGTGGACCAACCTCCTGATTGAATCTAAGCCAGACCTCCATCAGCCAATCTCAAGCCTACCTCTAGCCAATCCATATGAGTCTGAGTAAGAATAAGTAAATGCCGTTTAAGGAAAAATTTGGGTTGGTTTGTTATCCAGAATTTTTGAGGCAATAGCTAAGAGATATAAGGGATGTGAAGGGTGAGGAATCACGGAAAAGCAAGGTTAAATAATTTGCAGGTGGTAAAACTACAAAGGGGTTCTTATAGACAAAAACTATCATGAGGTTTGTTATGGGGGCTGAAGATGAGGAAGACAGTAGGACTCCAATTTAGACTTTTAGGATCATCTACAAATTAAATTGTACATACAGTTAAAGAATATGGGCCGGGCATGCTGGCTTATGCCTGTAATTCCAGCACTTTGGGAGGCCGAGGCAGGCAGATCATGAGGTCAGGATTTCGAGACCAGCCTGACCAACATTGTGAAACCCTGTCTCTACTAAAAATACGAAAATTAGCTGAGCGTGGTGGCACACACCTGTAATCCCAGCTACTTGGGAGGCTAACGCAGGAGAATCGCTTGAACACGGGAGGTGGAGCTTGCAGTGAGCCAAGATCACGCCATTGCACTCTAGCCTGGGCGACAGAGCAAGACTCTGTCTCAAAAAAAAAAAAGAAAAAAAAATTTAAAAAGAAAATGACCAACACCATTCCTCCATTCCTTGTTTACTTAAAATCCACTCTCTCTCCCATCTTGCCATTAGTTCACTAATTTTGTTTAGGATTTGGATGCAGCTCCTCTTAAGGAAAAGGCCCATCCTTGTCTAAGGGTGGGTATGTAATCCAGGTCCGGTCAAAGCGCTGCAAGAAGAAATCTGATGGGGGCTTGTGGGAAATTTTTTTTCTACCTGATAAGAAAGAAGTGCCTAAGGAAAAGGACTCACCTGTTTCCTAGCTTTGAACATAATTGGAAGAGGATAAAACAGTTGGAAATACTCCAATCACCTTTCAACAATGAGAGGAAGGCCAAAAGTATCAGAGTAGAACCACTGAATCATTATCAGCAACTACCTCAATGTAGACATTATTTGAGTATGGTGGATAGTCTGTAAAGATGGCCACCATCGCCTCCTTTTTTCACTGTACTCACACATTATTCTGCATAATAATAGGTGGGATGGAGTCTATTTTCCCTCTCCTTGAATCTGCACTAGCTTTGTAACTTCCTTTCACCAGAATGTAGTGGGAGTGACATTGACCATTAGTGCCAATTCTGGGACTGGCCTCAAAAAGAGACTTCCTCTCTCTCAGAAACCAGTTTTGCCAGATGCAGTGGAGTGCACCTATAGTCCCAGCTATTAGGGAGCTATTAAGCAGGAAGATTGCTTGAGCCCAGAAATTTGAGTCCAGTCTCAGCAACATAGTGAGAACCTGTCTCTAAAAAAAAAAAAAAAAAAAAAAAGAATAGAATCAGGGCTGGGTGCAGTGGCTCACGCCTGTAATCCCAACACTTTGGGAGGCCAAGCAGGCTGATCACAAGGTCAGGAGATCAAGACCATCCTGGCTAACACAGTGAAACCCCGTCTGTACTAAAAAATACAAAAAATTAGCTGGGCATGGTAGCACACATCTGTAGTCCCAGCTACTCAGGAGGCTGAGGCAGGAGAATCATTTGAACCCAGGAGGCAGAGGTTGCAGTGAGCCAAGATTGTACCACTGAACTCCAGCCTGGACAAGAGTGAGATTCCGTCAAAAAAAAAAAAAAAAAAAAAAAGAATCAGTTACCACGTAAGAAGTTTGAATACCCAGAGTCCATCATGCCTCATGGAAGCCCAAGCTAGCCATTTGAGAGGCCGCATGGAGAAAGAAATGCCCAGCCAGCTATGCTCTATTCTAGCCCTCCTACCTGAGGCACCAGAAATGTGAGTGAAGAAGCCATCTTGGATTTTCTAGCCCCAGCAAATACCAGGAGGAGTAGAGCCAGCAAGATGATCCCCATTTTGCAGAACTATGAGAAATAATTAATTGATATTGCATAAACTGTTAGTTCCAGCCCAAATCATTTCTAATACAGAGAAATCCACTGATTAAATTGAAAAAGGAAGACATTTCAGTTACTATAAGCTGTTAACCTGTGTACCAAATACATAGTCACATCAACTATGAATTGAGAATTGCATGGTTTCTTTAGTTATCTTTGAATTGCACAATTATACACATTTCTATATTGTATATGTTTAAAGTGATTCCATGTTACAAACCCATAAATGTAAAACATATTGTGATTTTAATTTTAGCATTTGTTTATTTTTACACACTAATAAGGAATCTCAACACCCAAGAGTGGCCCAGCATAACTTGAGCTTGAGAGGCCCTGTGTTTCATTTCAGAATGAGGATAATAAAAAGGCATTGAAGGAGATTTTGATCGTGGGAGGGAGATGATAACAGATAATCAGATAAGATTTTTCAGTCAGTGATTAGAAAGTCTGGATAATGCATCCAAGGACATAAGACTGTCAGGAAAACAAGTAAGAAATAACCAAAGTCTAAACCAAAGTCATGACTGTGAGAATAGGGGGAAGTCAATAGATTAAAAAGATCATACAGAGTTCAGTCTGGTAGGAATTGGTATCTGAGTTGACACAGAGTGACATAAAGAGATATTCTAGCAGGAGACAGCTCTCAAAGCAACCTACACTTAACATAATAATTCTAGACAACATGTATTGTTTGGCACATTTATCTCTACATGCCATACAACATTCAGAGTGTTTGTATGAATAAATGACATTGGTCCTCGCAACAATCCTATGAGGTAGATAGCATCATACATAGTCATTTTATAGGTGGGGAAACTGAACCAGAGAGAGGTTAAGAGATGGCAGAGTCAGAATTCTGGCTCAATACGACTGGCTGCAGAGCCCAGGCTCTAAGCCACTCTGTCATCTGCTGCCATGACACCAGCCACCTCTCAGTCTCTCCAACTAGGCTGTGATTTACTGAGGCAGGGACTGTGTCTTTAGCATTTTTAGCTTCTTGTGCCTGATCCATATTTTTTGCTCAATGAATACTAGTGAATAAGAGGATGGTTCAATGAATAAACTCTATAATTTGTAATATTTAAAAATTGGGACTTAGAAAGTTGTGAATTTAGGAAATAAAATCTGCATTGCCCACAATGCCTGACCACAAAATGAGGTTCATAATGCTCATCACAGAATTTAAACACCTGCACAGAACTTCCTCTTAAAATGATGAAAAATGCTTTGTAAAAGTGAAAATGGTAAAAACAAATGAAGACAGATTTCATTTCCAGAGAGAGACTTTATATCCTTTGTAGTTACATTCATAAATTTCATCCTGGTAAAACATTCATCTCGAATTCTTAATTTTTTAAGAAGGAAAATTACAATAAACCGTTTTAAATCTTTTTGTCAAACTCAGTATGTGCTTCCTTAAAAATAATGACACTCCTATTTGGACATTATATTCCAAGTGCCACAATCACTTAGTTTAATAGTTATTAAACAAACTATACACAAACCTTGGAAGCTAGACACTTCATCAAACATAATCAATTTCTTTAATTACAACAAATTGTTTTAATTATTCATTTCTCAAAAGTACAAAGCCACTTACCAATAAGGGTTAATTGACTTAAAAATATTTACCTTAAGGTGGATTTATTTGGTTGCTATCAGAAAAAAGATGATACTAGCACTTTTAAGAGTTCTGTTTAATGGGCATGTACTTCAAATTAATGGTATTACACATCTTAAAACATATACAATGTATATGCATTAATTATATTCAATAAATACTTGATATTTACTGGAAAAACTTTGTACCTTAATCAAAAATAAATATTTCAAACATATTGTAGCATTTGGAAAGGTCTTCTCAAAAGGCTGTACCCCTGGAAAGCTTCTGGAATTGCTTCAGCCAATCCTATTCTTCTTTCAACTCCAGAAGCTTTGTTAATTTGCATAATGGAGGTGAGAAATACATTTTCATTTTGGCCATTATTTGTGCTCAAAATATAAAGACTGGCTTACAGGATTGTACAGGTATGCCTCCTGTGACATGAATAGGGCATAAAATCTTACATCCTTTCCAGTAGAGCCATAGCCCTAAGTATCCAGTCCTGTCTTAAGCCATTTTTGTAATATTCTGACATTTGATCTCAGATTAACTGTATCCTACTGCTCAAAAATTTTCACATTTTTCTAAAGTGGTGATTTCCTGCAAAATACTATCACAGCATGCTGAAGGATCAAGAGTAAAGTCTTCACTTAGTTTACAGAAGAGGTCCATGCAGGTTTGCTAATAAAAATTTGTACATGTTGAGGAATTCAATCTGAGATTTATTTTTATTGTTAAATGTTACCTGGATAGCAAGGATGTGGGGAGACCTTGAGTTCTTATCCATTTCTAACTCCTCCCATCTACCAAACCTAACTAAATATTTGTCAATGACAAATTGACTTTGGTCAATTCACAACAGCTCTCTAAATGCAGAAACTTTAGATTAATGGCTAAGAAAGATTGCAAAGAATACTTGGTAACAAAACACTTATGCTTTAGTGTATCAGAGGTTAGGAATGCACAGTGTGATATGTGCTCTTGCATAATCATTTGCGCAAGTCTCCAGAGGATATTAATTATTAACCAACAGAATCATTTGAACACTCTGTGCCACTTTTACCTTCAGGCATTTCAAAGGGTTGCCTCCTTCCTGAACCTGACAATAGACTCATTGGTTATTGTTTAGAATTGTTTAGAATGGTAAATGCTTGTCTCTAAGTTATAAAAAACTGAACTGTCTGTTTCTCACTTAGTCATTCCTCACCTAAAGGCTCTCAGAATGCTGCCAGTTCTTTAGAATTCCAGAAAAAAATAGTTCAGAGAGGTTGCCTTTGATATTTTTTATGATCATTTTGCCTCCACGTGTAAAACAAACCCCTAAAAGACAGTTAAAACACTGAACTATTTTTGTAACACTCAGTGTTTTGACTAATTTTATAGATACCTTTTATTATGCTCTACTTTTTTTCTCCTCAGCCATCTGCTCTAATGAAACATATTTTTTCTCTATGGGGAGTACCCATGTTCCCTAGGACATTTTTCTCTAAGTAGAGAAAACTAGATCATGGTTTTACCATAGAATTGTTATACGTTTTCACATCAATCCTTTACATAAATATCTTACAAAAGGTAACAATTATGTACGTAAAATTCTACTCCTGGATGAAGTATATAATCTCTAGCTAGACCTAGAAAATAATATTGGTATAGTGTTTTCCAATTCACAAAGAGTCTCTGCATGTATGATCTTCTTCACTACATGTAAAAACTATATGATGTGAAATTATTAATCTATAATTATTATTTATATTATTATCAACATTTTACAGGTGAAGACATTGATATTCAAAGACATTAGTGACTTATCCAAGGCCACCTAGCTAGTAAATGCTAAAATACAAATTGTTTATCTGACTGCTCTTTCCTGTAGCCCTCATAGCCTTCTTAACCTTTCTTTTCTGTTGTCCTATATGTCAAACTTTATGCTAGTCTTTTACCTCTGTCCCCAGCTCAGGGTACACTGGTGTGCTTAAGTCCATTTGCAAAGTCCAAGCAATATCATTTGCTTCCTATCCAGAAAGGGTCCAGAAGTGCTCTGGAGCCAGAGAGCCCTGAGGGCATTGCTATAGCACATCCAGCATGGTGATCATCAGTTAACAGATGATAATCTACACATACAGAGGAGCCCGGCAGAGCTGCCTGCACAGGTGAGTCATCCCTCCGGTGAGTGGGGATGAAGACGGGCATCTTCTAGTAAAACCACTGCTCTTGGCACTCCATGATGCCCCTATGGTTGTCCTCTACTCATTCAAGTCCTCAGAGCCTCTTCGTTCTGAGAGCCACACTTGAACCAGCAAACTCCCTTTCAGAATGTGATTCTCTGCTCTGTTCTTATAAATGTGGCTTCTCTCTTCCTCACATACAAGCCTACAACATGCTTTTTTCCAAAACAGGAGATCCTGACCTAGAATTCATGGAATTAACTCAAATGAAGTGCAAACTGTTGTATGTATGTGCATAAGTATGTTTTTCTTTTCTTTTCTTTCTTTCTTTCTTTTTTTTTTTTAGACAGAGTCTCACCCTGTTGCCTAGGCTGGGGTGCATTGGTACAATCTCAGCTCACTGCAACCTCTGCCTCCTGGGTTCAAACGATTCTCCTGCCTCAGCCTCCCGAGTAGCTGGGATTACAGGCACCCACCACCACACCCGGCTAATTTTTGTATTTTTAGTAGAGAAGGGGTTTCAACATGTTGGCCAGGCTGGTCTCGAACTCTTGACCTCAGATGATCACCCGCCTCGGCCTCCCAAAGTGCTGGGATTACAGGCGTGAGCCACCATGCCCAGCCATAAGTGTGTTTTTCAGAAGAGAAGATTTTAGCTTTTATCATATTCTCAAAGGGGCCTGTGGAAAAAAAAAATTACTAATAATATTTAGAATGAGTGATAGATCTAGAAACCAAACTCAGACCATTTCACTCTAAAGTGCCTATTACTCATTTCTTTCTTGATTTTTCACTTTCTAACTGGGTGACCCTGAACAATTTGTTCAACATTCCTGAGTCCAATTTATTTTTGATAGTCATGCCAGACTTTCATTTCCACGAATATGGCATAGGCACATTTTTCCTATTCCTATTGATAAGTACAATAAAAGCCCCAGACATTATGTATTAGGCAAATGTAAGAAGACTATAAAAGGAGAAAATATAAAGACAAGCCAGTTCGGGATGCCTAGACCTAGTGAAATCACATGGCAGTAATTGTCGTGGGCTTCCTTTTTGCTTCACGTATCTCAGACATGAAGCTGCAGAAGCCGGAAACCTATAAATACCAATAGACAAAAGAAAAGAAAATTTAAGCTCCAACAAAAGCTTCTTCTCTCTAGCCAAACATTAGGAAAAAGGCAACCTATCAAGACAGAAACATTTTACACAATAACTTCTCCAACAAAATACCACATGAAATACTGTGGCCCCACACCTATCTATACCAGTAAAAGATGAACTCGGAGCCTAGATTTCCACCCTCGTGAGTCTGTAATGAGGAACCCTAACACTTCGACTAGGATAGCTTCAAAGAAGACCAAGTCAGAAGGAAGGATTTTCATCCCTGCTGTCCAGTAATGATATCCCCACTCTGCTCCCCTCTGCTTTCATGGTGGCAATGGAGACCACATGAGCAGCATGGACCACATCGAGCAGTAGCAAGATGTCTCTATCCTTCCTCACTGTGGTGGTATCAGAAGAAACCGATTGGAAATTTAGGACATTAACTATTGCCTAGAGTAATGAGGCCACTACCACATCAGTGGAGACCACTAGAGGAGCTGGAACTCCAACCTGTAACCAGCAATAATGAGATGCTTCCCTCCCCGCTGCCTCTACCACACAGGTGTCACTGGAGGTAAAGTGGGGGAACCCAGACCTCTTCTGGCAGTAACAAGGTGGTAACTACTGGCAGTAACAAGGTGGTAACTACTAGCAGTAACAAGGTGGTGCCTACCATCTCACTGAAGCAGTGTCAAAATATTAAAGCAAATGGTTTGTAATAAGATCGTAAATCATGTAACACGGTGCAAAAATGTCCAGGTTTCGATAGAATATGATTCATCATGCCATGAACTAGGAATATCTCAAACTTAATGAAAAAAAAGATAGTCAATAAATTCCAACACCGAGAAAACAGAAATGTTAAAATTACCTGCTAAAAATTTTAAAGCACCTATGATAAAAATGTTTGAACAAGCAATTAGAACCAATGCCAGAAACAAAATTGCAAAGTCTCAACCAAGAAATAGAAAATCTCAGCAAAGAAATAGAAAGTATAAAAAAGAAACACATGGAGATTTAGAATGAAAAATATAATAACTGAAATAAGAATCTCAGCTGATGGAATAAAAAACAGATTGAAGGGGAATGAGGAAAAAATCAAGGAACTGGAAGATAGCGCAATAGAAATTGTCCAATCTGAGCAAAAAAGAGAAATAGGCAGGAAAAAAAAAAGAGCACAGCCTTAGGGATCTGTGAGACTATAACAATGTATCTAGTATTTATGATATCAGAGTCTGGAAAGGAAAGAAAGAGGGAAGAACTGAAAACATACTTGAAGAAATAATGGCTGAAAACTCCCCAATTTGTGGAAAGACATAAACCTATAGATTCAAGAGGCTGAACAAAGCCTGAAAATAATAAGGCTAAATCAATTGATGTCAAGATACATGATAATTACAATTTTGAAAGCTAATGACAGAAAAAATGTTGAAGCAGCCTGAGTAAAACATCTTACTTATAGATGAAAAATAAGGATGATAGCAAATTTATCTTCCAAACTATGAAGGTAAAATTGAAGTGGCATAATATGTTCAGGCACTGAAAGAAAAAAAATCTGCAAACTCAGAATCCTATATTTAATAAAATATATCCCTTAGAAAAAAAGAAAATCAAGTCATTCATAGATGAAGTACAATTAAGAGAATTTGTTGCCTAAAGACCTATCCTAAAAGATGTTTTTTAAACAGGAAGAGAATGATAAAAGAATCTTGGAAATCAGAAAGGGGAAAAGTACAATACAAACAGTAAAAATATGAGTGAACACAATAAATTTTCCTTCTCTTTTTGAGTTTTCTAAATCATGTTTTATTATATAACACCATCTGATGTGGCTCTAAATCTATGTAGAGGAAATATTTAAGATAGTTATTATAAATGGAGGAGGATTAAAGATGAAAAGACAGGTGATAGTTCAGCATATCATTCAAATTGATAAAATAGTGGCACCAGTAGACTGCAATAATTTATGTATATATCCATTAAACCCACAAATAAGCTGTACAAAGAAATGCACTCAAAATGCTATAGGCCAAGCAAAATAGAATTTTTGGAAAAAAATGTTTGAGTAAGGGAGAAAAATGTAAACAGAGAAACAAGAACCAGAAGAAATAAATAAGAAAACAAAAGTAGACTTAAGTACTAACTTATCAATAATCATGTTGAATATAAATAGTCTAAATATACTAATTTAAAAACAGATATTGGAAAGAGTGGGTTAAAAATGACCATACTACATGCTGTCTACAATAAACCTACTTCAGATATAATGATATGGGCAGGTTGAAGCTAAAATTATAGAAATGTATTTATCATGCAAATATTAATTAAAGAAAAGTAGGAGTGGCTATACCAATAGTTGATAAAGTAGATTTCAGAGCAAAGAAAATTACCAAAGGCAAAGAGAGACATTAAATAACAATATATCATCAATTCACCAAGAAGACATAGCACCCCTAAATGTATATGCACGAAACAACAGATCTGCAAAATGTGTTAACCAAAATGGATAGAACTGTAGGTCAATAATTATAGTTAGAGACTTTAACACATCTCTCTCACTAACTGATTGGAAAGCTAGACAAAAATCAGCAAGGATAGAGAAGAATAAAATAATGCCATTGACTGACAGGAATGAATAGACATTTATAGAATACTTCCCCAAATAACAGCAGGATATAGATTCTTTTGAAGTGCCCTCAGAACCTATTCCAAGATAGACTATCCTGGGCCATGAGACAAACCTCAACAAATTTAAAAGATCTAAAATCATACAAAGTATATTTTGAGACTATAATAGAGTCAAATAGATATCAGTAACAGAATGATAATAGAGAAATCTTCAAACACTTGGAAACCAAATGACATACTTCTGAATTATATTAGATCAAAGAAGAAGTCTAAAAGGAAATCAAATAATACATTAAACTGAAGAAAAGTAAAAATACAACGTGTTCAAATTGTGAGATACAGTTAAAGCAGTGCTGAGAGGAAAACTTATAGTATTAAATACATAAATTAGAAAAAAGGAAACTTCTCTAATAAATAATCTAAGCTTCCACCTCAAGAACCTTGAAAAACAGAAACCAAATAAACTCAGAGCAAGCAGAATAAATGAAGCAATAAAGATAAGAACAAAAAATCAATAAAATTGAAAATAGAAAACTATAGGAAAAATATCAGTGAAACAGAGAACAGTTTATTGGAAAAGATGGATAAAATTGACAAAACTCTAGCAAGCTTGACAAAGAAAAATGGAGTGAAAACACAAATTACCAATATCAGGATGAAATGGGGATGCCACGTGCAGACTCTGCAGACATCAAAGGATATTGGAACACCATGGACAACTCTACCCATATAATTTGACAACTTAGATAATAGGGGTCAATTCCTTGAAAAGCATAAACTACCCCAATCCACTAACCATAAAATAGATAATGCGAATAGATCTCTAACTATTAAGCAAATTGAATTTGTAATTTTAAAACTCCAAAAAAGGGCCTGGCGCGGTGGCTCACGCCTGTAATCCCAGCACTTTGGGAGGCCGAGGTGGGCGGATCACAAGGTCAGGAGATCGAGACCATCCCGGCTAACATGATGAAACCCCGTCTCTACTAAAAATACAAAAAGTTAGCCAGGCGCGGTGACGCCTGTAGTCCCAGCTACTCGGGAGGCTGAGACAGGAGAATGGCGTGAACCCGGGAGGCGGAGCTTGCAGTGAGCTGAGATGGCGCCACTGCACTCCAGCCTGGGCGACAGAGCGAGACTCCGTCTCAAAAAAAAAAAAAAAAAAAACTCCAAAAAAGGAATTTTCAGTCCCAGATGGTTTCAATGAAGGATTCTACCAAGTATTTAAAGAATTAACACCAATTCTATGCACTCCATTCTGGAAAATAGAAAAGGAGGGAGCACTTTCCAGTTCATTTACTGAAGCTGGTATTGTCCTAATACAAAAACCAGACAAAGACAGTACAAAAAAAATTAAAGATTAATACACTTATGAATATAGATGCAAAAATGCTTAATGCGATATTAGCAAATATCATTCAACAACATAGTAAATGAGTGAAATAGCATGACCAAATAGGGTTTATTGTATGAACACAAAATGGTTCAATATCATAAATCAATCAGTGTAATCCATCAAATCAACAGGCTACAAAATAAAAATTATATAATTACATCAATTCACGTAGAAAAAGCGTTTGACAAAAGTAAATATCCACTTCTGATTTTTAAAAAACTCTCAAAAATAGTAATGTAGGAGAACTTACTTAACTTTATAAAGAGCATCCATAAAAAACTTGTAAAAACGAGGAAGAGTGTTCACTCTCACATTCTTATTCAACATAGTATTAGATTTTTAGCCAGTGCAAAAAGGCAAAAATAAATAAATAAATAAATAAATAAATAAATAAATAAATGGCATACAGATCAGAAAGGAAAAGTGAAAACTGTTCTAATTTGTTATTGACAAGCTACAAAATAAAAACAACTTCAAGAAATAATAGGTGAGTTCAGCAAGGTCACAAGCTACAAGATAACAAATATCAAATGTATCTCCGTATTTTCTAACAATGAACATATAGGCACTAAAAGTAAAAATACAATACCCTTTACATAGCTCAAAAATGAAATGAAATACTGGGGCGTAAATTGAACAACATATAGAACTTGTAAGCTAAAAACCAGACAACATTGTTGAAAGAAATTAAGAAAGATCATGAATGGAGAGATGTATCAGGTCCACAGATTGTAATACTCAAAATAGTAAAGATGTCAATTCTTAAAAGATACCAATTCTTAAAGATGTCAATTTAAGAATTGACATCTTTAGTGTGTTTCCTATCAAAATATCAGCAATATTTTTGTAGATATAAAATATTAACAGAAAATGTATTCCAAAATTTATATGGAAAGGCAAAGAAAATAGCTAAAACAATTTTGAAAGAAAATAATAGAAATAAAGAAAACAGTCTTCAAGCTACAGTAATCAAGACCAGAAATAAAGCCTAGAAATAGACTCACATAAATATGCCCAAATAATTTTTTACTAACATAGAAAAGCAATTTAATTGAGGAAAGATAGCCTTTTCTACAAATGGTGCTGGACCATTTGGACTTTGGATTTCCATATGCAAAAAAACCCCACACACACATACACACACACACACACAAACACACACACACAAACCCTCAAACTAACTCGTATTTTATACAAAAATTAACTCAAAATGAATTACAGACTTAATGTAGAAAGTACAGCTATTAGAGTTTTAGAAAAATAGGAGGACCAGTCTTTGGAATCTAGCTTTAGGCAAAGAGTTTATAGTCTCGAGAAGAAAGGCACATTCATAATAGAAAAAATTAATAAATTAGATTTCATAATTTAAAAGTTTGCTCTGTGAAGACCTTGTTGAGAAGGAAAAAAAAGACAAGCTACAGAAAGCAAGAAAACATTTGCAAACCACATATGTGATACAGGACTAGTATCTATAATATAAAAAGAATTCTCAAAACTCAGTAGTACAAAGCAAACAATGAAACTAAAACATGAGCCAAAAAAGCGAGGGTACATTTCACCAAAGAATACATACAAATGGCAAACAAGCACATAAAAAGATGTTCAACATCATTAGCCTTTAACGAATTGCAAATTATAACCACGATGAAATATCATTAAATACCTACAAGTATGGCTAAAATAAAACTAACAACATTGTCTTTCTGTACTTAGATTTTTTCACTTAGTACAGTGTCTTCCAGTTTCATTCATGTGGTTACATATAACAGGATTTTCTTCTTTTTAAAGCCTGAATAATATTTCATTGTGCATAGAAATGTGTGTGTGTGTGTGTGTGTGTGTGTGTGTGTGTGTGTGTGTTTATCCATTCATCCATTCATCTGTCAATGGACATTTAGGTTGATGTCATATTTTTTTCTACTGTGAATAATGCTGTAATGAACATAGGAGTGAAAATATCTTTTTGGAATACTGATTTCATCTTTCCTTTGGATATATACCCAAAAGTGGGACTGTTGGATCTTACAGTAAATCTCACTTCTATGTAAAATCTGAAAAAGTTGGACTCATAGAAGCAGACAGTACAATGGTGGTTGCCAGGGGCTGAAAGTGGGGGAAATGGAGAAATATTGGTCAAAGGCACAATGTTTCAGTTATGCAGGACAAATAATTCTAGAGATCTAATATATAGCATGGTGTTTATAAGAAATAATAATGTATTGTATATTGAAATTTGCCAAGAGATTAGATCTTAAATGTTCTCACCACACCCACACACACACAAAAGGAATTATGTAGGGTAATGAATATGTTCATTAGCTTGGTAGTGGTACCTATATCAAAACATCACGTTGTATACTTTAAACGTATACAATTTTTACTTGTCAGTTATGCCTCAATAAACCTGAAAAAAGGGCCAGGCGTGGTGGCTCACGCCTGTAATCTCAGAACTTTGGGAGGCCGAGGCGGGCGGATCACGAGGTCAGGAGATTGAGACCATCCTGGCTAACAGGGTGAAACCCCATCTCTACTAAAAACACACACAAAAAAATTAGCCAGGCGTGGTGGTGGGCGCCTGTAGTCCCAGCTACTCGGGAGGCTGAGGCAGGAGAATGGCGCGAACCCCAGGGGGCGGAGACTGCAGTGAGCCGAGATCACGCCACTGCACTCCAATCTGGGCTACAGCGAGACTCCGTCTCAAAAAAAAAATACATAAATAATAAAAATAAATAAATCTGAAAAAAGTAATGACAACATCAAATTCTAGTGAGGATAAAGAGAAACGGATTCACTCAGACATCATTGGTGGGAACGTAAAACAATACAGCCATTTTAGAAAACAGTCTGGCAGTTTTAACAATAATTAAACATGCAATTTTCATGTAACCCAACAATTTCACTCCTGGGTATGTATTCCAGAAAAATGATGATGTGTGTTCCCACAAAAAAATGAACGAGAATGTTTATAGCAGATAATTTCTAATAGCCTCAAACTGGAAATAACACAGAAGTCATTCAACTAGTGAATGATTAAACAAACTGTGATACATCTATGCCAAGGGAATAGTACTTAGCAATAAAAGAAAATGAACTACACTGATACATGCAGCAGCCTGGATACATATCGAGATAAATATCCCAATGAAATAAAGTTGATGGCAAAAACTTACATGGTATATGTTTCTATTTATAATACTCTTGAAATTACAAAAATATGAAAATGGAGAACAGATTAGTGGTTGCCAAGGGTTAAGGAGGGGGCAAGGCAGTAGGGAGTAGGTGTGACTATGAAGAGGCAACATGAGGAAGCTGGTGGTGACAGACATGTTCTGCATCTTGACTGTATCGATATCAATATCTTGTCACTGCATGATATGGCACTGCATTTTTGCAGTGTTATCACTGAGGGAAAACTCAATTGGAGTATATGTACTCTCTCTGCATTATTTCTTATAACTATATGTGAATCTACAATTATCTCAAAATAAAAGTTTAATTTAAAAATTGTGTCTGTCAATGTTTTCTTGAAAATCAAATGTGACCGTATCTATGAAAACTCTTTATAACTTGTAAAGCACAGATACGTGTTAAGTTACATATATATGCACATATATATAACATAAAAGTTTTTATATATATATGTATGTATAACATTAAGCTTTTTCTTTATAGGTATTTGAAACTGGTATTTCATTAGTCAATTGCACTCAGTGCATTTTCAAGCATTTGTTTGCCAGGTTCTCCAATGTCCATGGAAAGAGAAATAGTTAATGAGGGTGCAGGCCTGATTCTAATTATAATGAGAGACAGATAAAAACACTCCTGGGTTAACACACACAATGTGGCCTTTGTGCTTGAGAATATTGCTGCCAACAAGATAATTAACTATCAGTGATGCAGCAGTGAATGGATTCCAAAATTGGCCTCAAAAGTGATGGCTGGAGATCACTGGCCAACTATTGCAAAGATTACATAAGAGAATGCTTATAAATGATTAAACTTAGTCCCAACTATATAGTAGGTATACAACAAATGTTTGTTGACCAAATGAATGCCAAACTACTGGTATACAACAAATATTCGTTGACCAAATGAATGCCAAACTACTAAATAAGTGGTAGCAGTCTGCACTGCAATTAAATCTGCACTAGAATGTCCTGCAGACACCTCAAATTTATCATGTTCCTCCCAGAACTGGCACCTCTGCCTCTGTAATCAAACCAGACACTTCTCTGGCATTCGTTTTTTAACAAATGACACCAGCATCTACCGACATTAGTTCCATCATGCCAGCAAGCTTGAGGTCGTTCTAGACTCCTCTTCCATACCCAAACTGGAAATTGAGTACTTAGCATCTCCTTAATTGTCCACCTTCCCCATCCTCACTAACTCTGGCTTCCTTCCTTTGTCATTTCTCAACTGGGAAATTTCACATTGCCTCTGTCTTCAATGGTCAGAGTGACTCATCTTGTGGAAAGCTGCCCCGATCAGATCAAATCAAATATTTTTATGATAACATTAATAACCGTTTATTGAGCTCTTACATTACTATACACTATGCTAAGCTCCTTTCATACACTAACTGTGAGGGTGGTTTAGAAGGTATTTTGATTGCCTTCCCAAGTGAATCTAACCCATTCCCACCCCTTAACCTCACATAATTTTCCTTCCTGGATTTCCTTCCATATTTTGTTCAAGTGTTTTTTCACTGTGTATCCACATATCCTAGAAAAAGAGCCTCTTCCCTGAACATTTCAGAGGATAAATATTAATTAGTTTGGGCCAATCGTGCCGTTTTGCTAGCTTTGACATCTAGAGGTTAAGACATGGCAATTCTGGCCAAATAAGAGGAAGTGTGCTGATAGTGGGTAAATAGGAGAAGAGTGGATTCTGACAGAATTTTGTTGCTTTTAACAAGAGATGCATAACTTTCATTTTTTTTTCTGTTCAAAAATACACTTGATTACTTAGAATGGTTATAGATTTACAGAAAAATGGAAAGACAGTACAAAGAGTTCCCATATACCTCCCACCCACTGTCCCCTATAATTAACATCTTAACTTTCCCTTTGAGGTCTATTGACATGGCTGTATGAGGAGATGGTTGGATCCCCTGTAGCCATCTAGCAAACATGAAGGTAACGCTGAGGGCGAACACCAACATAGCACAAGAAATGTGTTTACGGCCTCACCACTACAGTATAGCAGAGCTTGAATTCAAGCCATATGTAATTCCAAGATTATGTTTTGATTATGTGATTCTTATCACACAATATTGCATTTATTCATCATTTCACTATCTCCTCTCCTAGACTGTAATTTCCTTATGGGTAAATTTTATACAGTCTAATGTGATTTCTTCCAGTACAAGAACCATATATTTTCATATGACTGGACATAATATCAGCGCAAGTAAACAGTATGCCAGTATGCTTTAGAAATACTGCTTTATCTCCCTTAGCAGGGGACATTCTGGTGGTCCCTCACGGATTTGTTTCACTCTTTACCCCAAATAACAGACATAAGGTTTGTATGAGATTGACTACACCCCTAGCTCTAGCAATCACAATTGGCCCAAGTCAGTCAAGATAATTCCAACCTTTTTTCTGACATTTTTAGTTTGAAGATCATAATATGATGAAGGATGATACAATCAATGTGAATTTTTAATTAATGGTTGAGGTGAAAGTAATCTCTTCCACCTAGAAGTGAAGAAGATCTGGAGCCCTAGAAATCACTGGCAGCTTTCTTCTTGCCATTCCTACATGAGGGAAGCCAGCTTAAGTATGCAGAAAACACACAGAGGAAGTAAAGCTAAGCGAATTGCAGGAAAATGAGACCCGATGACTTTGTGGACCTTTGGATCAAACTTAAAACCTGCCCTAATTCTGAATTTTCAGCTTCATGAGTCAATACATTTCCTTATATTAATCAATCTGAATAGGGCTTTCTATAACATGCATATAAAGAGTCCTTACTGATACAATCTTAATTACTTTTTAAATTAAAATCTATTTTAGATAAAATATCATGCTGCAAATAATGTAAATATAGACTTCAGTCTGTATTATCTAGCAATAATAATAGCATTTATTATATACGTTCCTTTTTAGTTATATCCTTGAAGCATTAAAAATTATATATCTAATATTACATTGCTTGGTATAAACCATTTAAGAATTTTAGAAAGTGGTCAAATGTGAATATTAACTTAAAAAAAAGAAAATTTTGTCTATGTATAATTAATTTTTTTCTAAGTGTCAGTCAAATCATGAATTGAGTATAAATACAAATCTGTCATATTAAAAAGAAACAAGACCAATGTTTCATTACGTCTAAGGTTGGGACTCTGAAATCATGACACTCTTATTCATTGTGTAAACTTAAATCATATAGCCCTTGGAGCACAGTTTCTTTTAATGAAGTATTTTGTGAAATGATCTATGTGTGTGTATTATATATATGCGTATATGTATATTTATGATTATGAGATTTACGTTTTCTTTATGAAGACACAAGTCTGAGCTTTCATGATCTTGACATTACATTTGTCGAATGAATAAATACGGCAAAGATTTTTGGTAAGATTTAATAAAGAGTTCAAAAAGGACTCAAAGTCAACCTGTTATATGGAGAATCTGCTTTTGGAAAAATTTATTTATTGGAGATGAAAAAGTGGAGATGCAACTTAAATATTCTGGTTCAAAAATTGAAATCCACATGCCATGTATCAAGTTAACAGGCAAAGAATAGAGAGAAAAGTGCAAAAACTCATTCTTTGACTATGGTGTTGAAAGTGAGTTCAATAGCCATGAGACTGCTACTGAAGTGAGCATCACAATGCTTTGAAACAAATGGACTCTTCTATTTGTCTTTATAAAAACTTGCCTTGATTCTTAAGAGAGTTTTACAACCTTTTACAATCAAAACTTAACCATCAGGCAATAATATGACTACTTGGTCTTGTTCATAAGTTGTAGTTTAATGCTGCCTATCTACTTTCATCTGTGATTCTTCCGCTGGACTTTGCCCTTTTGATAAAGAATTAATGTTTGAACAAGTCTTCAAAAGGAATGGTGGGGCAAAAGAGAGGAAGGGGAGTGGTAGGAAATGAGAATAGAGTGGTAGCTAAGGCTGATAATAAAGAAGTTTATTCTATCAAGAAAGTTCTAGTGTGCCTCTGAAGGAACCTAAGCAAAGGAGAGCTCCTTGGTTTTTAGGTTTAATTATTCCCTTATTGCAGCTTGGTGCAGTCCTAAAAGAGATTTCTCTTCCTCCCTAAACTTCTCCTTATTCCCATGTGGCCTAGTTTACTCACTCTTTCCTGTATCCAGTCCTTACCACCAAGCATGGGTGCTCCATGCTTTCTCACAGGCCAGGGATCTCCAAAGATTTTTGGTTGTATGCCTTTATCAGTTCAAAAAAAGTGAAAATACAAAAATTTTTCTCTCATATAAAATGAGACCTTTATGGACAATATGGTGGCTCCATGCTGTCATAAGCTCCTTATATCTTTCTGTCCCCATATGTCTCATGTGGCTTCCACCTTCAAAGTGAGAAGATGGCAATCGGACCCAAGAAGGGAAAAAAGGAAGGATCCTATTTCTGTGTTCTCCCGTTTTAAGGAGACTTCCCAGAGGTTCCATCCAATAACTTCTAATTGTTCAGAATCTAATCACTTGACCATAACACGGTTGTAAAGAAGACTGGGGAATATAATATTTTAGCTGGGCACACTACCACACCCAGCAAATATCACAGAAGAAGAGAATGCTGTTTCTGCCATTTGCTTTTGCTTCAGAATCTTGTTTTTTTCTACTAATCGTCAAAGCAGCCACAATTCTTTGCTAAAATATCCTTAAGAATATATTATTTCCTCTATGCACATCTTTGCTTTTAACAATCTCCAAAATGTACTGCTTCAGGCATTGCTGCATCATGAAGGAAATTTAACGAATAACATAAGCTGAGATGAGTTAACACATCTATATTTTTATTCAGCTGGTAAATCACCTTCCTACATGGTGTGATGTGCTCTAACAATTGTCTCTTTTGTATCTCCAGCAATGTATTCTATGTATTTTTGAGTAAGTTTACTGACAAATGCTTTTTAATTTGTTGCTACATTGTATCTTGATGTTATTTCAGCTATTTTTAATATGCCATGAAAGAAACCATTTATAATTATTGCATGTCATTTTGTAAAGTATTCAATTGAGCATATTATGATTTAACCTTCACTAGATTTCTTGGATGTTTTGCTTTTAGTTATCTAGTTAATCATGATGTCTTCATACTAATATTACCTATAAATTCAAGCTGCTTCTCTTTAGGAAATTTTAGTATCTTGCTGCAGATCTGAACTTCAAGTTATGGACATGACACAGACCTGTGCCTTAAACTATTCATATCAGTTCTGTTTAATAGCCATTTAATGTAAACTATGGTTGTAATTTAAAAATTTCTAGCAGCCACATTAAAAAGTATAAAAAGAAACATAACATTAATTTTAATAACATACAACCTAACATATCCAAAACATTAAAATTTCAAAACAAAATCAATAAAAAATTTAGAGACATTTTAATTTTCTGGTACTGTCTTTGATTTTCATTTTATATTTTACATTTACAGTACATGTTAATTCAGACAAGTCACATTTGAAGTACTCAATAGCTACCTGTGATGAATGGCAATGGTATTGGTCAGCACAGGCCCAGATCTTACATCTATCTATACCCTGAAGACGGGGACACGGGTCTTGTGATTCAAGACCAGTTCCTAAAATTCCATATCCCAAATAACCCCTTTAGGGATTAAGTTGTTTCTTCATTGTAACATGTGATAGTGGCAATGATATTTGGTCATTTGACTCAACTCCTCCCCCTCCATTGCTCTCAGTGGTCTTACAATTTCCTTAGTGGATATGACCTGGCTTGACTTCCTAGAATTCCTAAGGTGTACATGCAAATACTACCTCACAAAAACACATACTTTGCATACCTTCAATAACATTTAACCCAGAAACACCTTTTGTCCTTCACTGAGTACAACATACCTTTGTTCTGTCTTATACTAAACGTCAACTCCTGTCCTTTATACCTAGCTCATGCCATGTACTTTTTCTAACTCAGATTTCCCAGTCAAAGACCATTAGCTTCTATATTATTCCTTAGGAAACTTCAGGCTACAAGTAACAGAAAAACCTTATACATACTGTCTTCAAACGCAATATATGGTACTAGTGCACACAACTGGAAGAACACAGACAGGGCAGGTATCATGTATGGCTGAATAGTGGTTTCAGGCACTGTCTTAGGTTGGGGTTCCCAAGAAGTAGAATCTGGGACAGGGATTTGGGTCTATGCAGTTTGTGGAGGAAAAACCCTCAGGAGAAAGGAAGTGAGGAAAATAGGATGGGGCAGATGAGGAACGAAGTACAGATGTGATTTCAGCTGGAGCCGGCTTCTGCCTAATCCCACAGGGAAATCCGGACAGGAATTATGCCACAAAGTCAGTCCCACCTTGAAGCAGGAAGGTGGTCTTCTGTACCCCTATGGTGGTCAGTCATTCGCTGAGGGTTAATTCAGGGATGAAAGACGTGCATAACTTCCAGCAGAGGGGAGTCCGGCTTCTCATCTGAAGGGAGAAATTCTTAGGAGGAAAGGACAGCTATTAACAGTGGCATGCTTTAGTTGATTAGGAGATCAGGGCAAGGCACCCGCAGCATCCCATACAGCTGCGTTTTTTTGTGGTTCTCTTGGACATGTACTCCTCTGGGTATGGATTTTATCTTCAGCATTTCCCCTCTCCCCTGGAAAACCTGCTTTTCTTATGCAGATCCTGGGAGAGTCCGAGTGTTAAATTTCCTATGAGTTCGCCAGGCGCAGTCGCTCACTCCTCTAATCCCAGCACTTTGGGAGGCTAAGGCGGGCAGATCACATGTGGCCAGGAGTTAGAGGCCAGCCTGGCCAACATGGCGAAACGCCATCTCTACTAAAATTACAAAAATTAGCTGAGCGTAGTGGCACCCGCCTGTAATCCTAGCTACTCGGGAGGCTGAGGCAGGAGAATCCCCTGAACCCGGGAGGCGGAAGTTGCAGTGAGCTGAGATCCACCACTGCACTCCAGCCTGGGTGACTCTTCTCGAAAAAAGAAAACAAAAATTCCTACGAGTCTCTCAAAAGAGTTAGGAAAACCTTCTCAGAAGGCCCCAACAAACTTCCTCTTGCTTCTTGGCCAAAATGTGGTCATATCATCATTCCTGAAGCTTTCTTTAATAAGGAGGATGGGATTAAATGTTGACCCATCAGTTTCACACCTTGGTATAAGATCAGCTCCCACCAAGGGAGAAGTGGAATATGGTGTCAGCCTCAAGGTACACAACTCACAGCGAGAGAAAGTCTGAGACACTAATTTGCGTTGAGATATAAACAATCCTTAATGGTTTCTAGGAAGGCTGTCTGTCAGGAATTTTTATCTCTTATAATGCAAAAAGGAGAGGATTTGGCCAAAGAATATTTTCACAGAATCTATTGTCACATAGAACAAATGTGAGATGTTACCTCTTTATTGTTCTAACAACTTAGTAGAAACAAAAAGAAGTTGTATTATATATAAGTATACACACACACGTATGAGCAAGTTTTATAGTTGATGAGCTGAAATTGTCAGTGGTTACCAGATCTTCTTAATATAAGAAAGTGTATACTTATATATCTGTGTGTATTTTTATTTTCCATTCACTCTATAAAGTGAAGCAGATTGCATCATGAATTAGAAATCCTGTTGTTTTGTTGTTGTTGTTGTTGTTTTTGGTGGTGGTATTTTTAATACAGGATCTCATTCTGTTGCTTAGGCTGGATTGCAGTAGCAGGATCATAGCTCACTGTAACCTCAAACTCCTGGGCTCAAGCAATCCTCCCACCTTAGCCTCCTAAGTAGCTAGGACTACAGGTGTGTGCCACCAGGCCTGGCTAAGTTTTTAAAAATGTTTTCTCACTATGTTGCCCAGACCAGTCTCAAACTCTTGGCCTCAAGCAGTCCTCCTGCCTTGGCTCCCAAAGTGTTGGACATACAGGCAAGAGTCACCACACCCTGCCACAGAGATCCTGGGTTTTGTCCTCAGCTGCACCGCTTACTAGCTGTTGTGATTCTAGTAAACTAATTTAACCTCTCTGAATTTCACTTTGTTTATTTACAAAATAAGGGAAAAGATTTATCCTGCTTAGAGAAGGGTATTGTGACACAGAGTTGATGAATGTCAAAGTGCCTTACAAAGTATATGTTCACATATTTTATGATTTATTTATTACAGTATTATTACAATGGGGAATTGATTTATGGCAATATGATCTATAACATTTCTGGAACTCCAATAATATTCCAGGTATTGGGCCTGATGCTTTCAAATATAGTATCTATGTGCCTTCTTGAATCTCAGGGCTAGACATGCACTGACCCAGAGAGCATGGTAAAAATGATGCCATGTGATTTGTCAAGGCTAGGTTATTAAAAACTGTTCAGCTTCCACCTTCTTTGCTGAAACACTCATTGTAGGCATTCTGAGCTCTATATAAGAAGTCTGACCACCCTGATGTCTCCATGATGGAGAGGCCTGGAGGAGAAATCACAAAGAGAAGCCCTGAGACTACATTGAGAGAGATGCCAATCAGCTTTAGCCATGAGTCATTCTGGCCCAGGTATCAGACCTGAAAGTGAAGAAGTCTCCAGAGAATTCTAGCCTCCAGCCATTCAACTCAACCTCAGCCATTTGAGTCTTCCAAGCTGCGGTTCCAGACATTGTGGAGTATAGTCAAGCCATGTTGGCTATGTCATCGGAACTCCTGACACAAAAAAATTCATGAGCGTAATATACTCATTGTTACACCAAGTTCTGGAGTGGTTTGTTATGCAATAATAAATAATCAAAACAGTTTATCAGTGAAGTGTTTTGATTAGTAAACCATAAAACTCTGCATCATCTCTGTCAACTGAAGAATGATGATGTTCATAAATTTGGAAAGGAGAGCATTATTTATTATAAAGCGTTGCAATCTGCAGGCTGGCCATCTTACAGGGAAGCCTCACTTCTGGCAAAAGGTGAGAGCAAGCACTTTGAGGGAGGGGTAAAGGGAACAGGAATTTATGCTGAGCATAGTGGCTGAATTTACACAGTCAATAACAGGAGGAGTCATAAATATTTCATGAAAGCAGAAACAAGGGCATGCACAACTGAGCTTCGTGCCTCTTCATGGGTTGCATGTTCAAAAAACGGCAGCCTTAGCATGATCCGCAGGCCAGGGTGTGGTGGGGTTGGCCCTCTGACATCAAAAGGTGAAGCAGAGGACACGAACACCATCACTGTCCATCCTCTGTGAGCCAGCCAAAACCAGTCTGGAGATGGTGGTCAGTTTTTAGGAAGGGATGCATTGTGAAACTGGTGAGCTGTCATGTTCAAACCACAAAGAGGGAGGGGGAGTCCAGTTGCAGCCTCAGATGACTAGCTAAAGGCAATAAAGGAATGAATCCTTTATTGCTAGTTTTCCAGAGTTTGTTTCTGCTTACTTCTTAGGAAAGAATTCTGGTTAAAGTTTAACAAGGAAGGGGCACACTGAGGCGTTTCCAACCTATGGTCCTGTTATAGCCAGGAACACAGTTTTGAAGGTTTCTTGAGTTGCCTTGGCCAAGAGGGAGTCTGTATAGTGGGTTGGGGGGTGGGGGATCTTATTTTTATTTCTCATCTCAATTTTTATAGATGGAAACTGGGAGTGAGAGAGCTTAAGTAACTTTTAGTCTTACTATTGATAATGGTAGATCCAGGATAGTAACTCAGGTCTGCCTTAAGGCAGAATCTATGTTTTTCTAACCACAGTGGGACTGACCTCTGGGGAACATGCATGGTCCGCCTGCTGAGTCCACAGGATGAAGAGGCAGAAGGAGAAACATGTTTTTGCTTTGGTGTATGGAGTTGCCTTGGCCAAGAGGGAGTCAGTTCAGTGGGTTGGGGGGTGGGGGATCTTATTTTTATTTCTTATCTCAATTTTTATAGATGGAAACTGAGAGTGAGAGAGCTGAAGTAACTTTCAGTCTTACTATTGATAATGGTAGATCCAGGATAGTAACTAATGTCTGCCTTAAGGCAGAATCTATGTTCTTCTAACCACAGTGGGGCCAACCTCTGGGGGACATGCTTGGCCAGCCTGCTGAGTCCACAGGATGAAGAGGCAGAAGGAGAAATGTATTTTTGCTTTGGTGTATGTTTGTCTCCAGGATGTCTGCTGGATGATCATCCAAGGAGCCCTCTGAATTTGTTATTATCTGCTTCAGACATCTTAATTAAGTGCTTTAGAGGCCTCTACCATACAATCAAAACTCTAAGCACTCTTCTCCCTATGAAAAAAAAAAGTAAACTAAAATTCCTGTCCACTGTTAAGATTCCAGCTATTGATTTCTGCTCATTTTTAACTTACTTTCTCTCTGAGAGTGCAAGTCCCCCAACAAGTGAAGAATAAATAAGAGCAAGTCAGTGCCACCTGGGTGAAAGAGGAGGAGGGCGTTAGAACACCCTGATAAGGGTCTGAGTTGATGGTTCAATAGGAGAAGGGTTAAGAGACTTGAAGTTAAAACTTGTTTGAACTTGCAAGACCCTTTTTTGAAACTCTAGGAGAAGGCCTTTCATTTCTCAGTGAACCTTGCTTCACATATACTCTCACAATAAGAATAAGAAAAATAAAATTTAAGAGAGAGAAAACATGAAAGCAAAAGGATGTCAAATATTGAATATTTCATTAACTTTTTAAACAGAAAAAGAATTTTCTCCCTCAATTTTATTAAATAAAGGGACTGGCCCAGAGATCCCATGTGATATATTTGAGGTGGCAGATAACTTATGGAGGCAGCGCCTGGAGAAGAAGGCTCAATTCTATCTCTTGCTTTCACACTATATTGTCCATATTTATTTTTATCCCATGCAATTGCTATGAGTAATATCTGTGTAGCATAAGATCTGGCCGCTTGTTTCTGTGAGGCTATATTTAGAATAAGAGCAGCCAACAGATTATTAGAGAAAGTGAGAAGTGGAGAAAGAGGGAATGCAGTCTGTTCGAAAGGTGAGACATATGTATCATCTTAGCAGGTATAACTATCGAGTACCTAAATAATCTATGCAGGACTTCCATTAGGTGATTTACATATTTAATCTTCACAAAAAGTCTCTGAGGCCAGTCTTCTTATCTCTATATTTATATGAAGCATTGACTTTTAAAGAGGTTATATTACCTTGGAAGTGGATAAGATCAATACCAGTTCATCTCACCCCAGTCTATGTTTATTCCACTCTGCCAGTATTTATCATGGTATATACAACATGATTTTAGTAGACATGATATATTCCAATATTTATGTGCTTATTTTAGTGTGCATTAAAAAATGTAATAGGCACATAAAACCTTAATATTCATGGATATTCTTTCTTACAACAGGGATAAGGTATGTATTTAAGGCTTTTTTAAAAAATAGAAATAGCTAGAGCAAAAATATTTACTAAATAATCATATATAAAAAAATGAAGTGGCATGCAGTGATTAATGTTTGGGGAACTAGACTATTCTGGGTTGTCTTCATTTCATTAATTGGTTATTTGAGAATTTTGAAAGAATTTGTTCAGATTTACTGATAAAACACAAGTTAAGTTTTGATTTTACAGTGATATCAATAATATTAGATTAGAATATGCTCTTAAAGAAAAGGTACCATTCCTTTTAAATGTATCTGTTTAATTTAGTAGGAATGTAAATTTCATGTATTCATGATCACAAATGAAAGCACCATCCTTTTATTCACGCATTTATTCACGTATTCGATGAAATTTATTGAGTACCTGAAATGTAGTAGAAATTAATTACACACATCCCATATTTTGCAGGGGCTCATGTCTCCTAAGAAAGTCAGTCATCTAAACATTTATTCATGACATAGTTATTTGTGGACAAATCGCTATGGGATCAACCAAGGAGAGAATTACTCTCTACCTCTCTAGGAATGGGATCTCTGGGAAAACAACACAGTGCAAAGAATTTTATTGTAGGTAATAAGTTGGCACTAAATTCAGTCCAGACCCAGGACAGTTGAAAATCTGTGACCTGCATCTGATAAATCATGGGATTATAGTTTGGGGTTAAGATAGTGCTTAACATTATAAAAGATCTAGCATAATTTATACCCAGAGCTGAGTCTATCTTACTTAACAGAACACTTCTTTATAAGATACAATTATTTTCAATATTAACCCTGAAGTAAAAGAAATAACAATAAAACTGGCCAGAAAGGAAATACAGTGTAATAGATTAATATTTTTAATTATTTTAATGAATTCTTTGAACAAAGCGGAATATGTATACTACTATACTGGTCACTTATACTAATGAAAAATTACATTAGTTTGGTTTCGAGGCTTAACTTCTGTCATTGTTGATGACTTCATCAAAATTAATCTTCTTCATCATATTCCTGCAGAAAAAATAGTCTAGCTAGGGTTTTTAACCTATTTCATTCACAGTTGATCAAATAATACATTTTATTAATTTTCATTTCAGAAAATTTCTTTAACATGAAGCAAAATATACAAAGTAGTTATGTAAAGTCTTAAATATAAGGATAAATTTGTCAGAGATGATAAAAATTCCATTTTATAATAAATTTCAGAAAATGCAACTACCCAGATATTTGTTTCTTCTTCAATAGTGTAATTGATTCTAAAGCCTCTAAATGTTTCTGCTCTTGAATTGTAAACAGAAATTAAAACACCATAGAATGACATATTAAAGTCACCTAAATTATGTTTCTTGTCTTTGCAATCACTGTGCTATCATTGTTTATTTCAAAGCTACTGCTTAAACACAGGAATATGGAGCACAGTGGGAGTCAGAAACAGAACTTTAGCCTGAAGCAAGCTCAAAGGATTTCAAACTGTTACAGACTTCCTCTCAAAGTGAATTTATATAGCTGAGTCTAGGTATTCTGGGTCAAGCTGTCTAACCAAGGATTCTCTCAATTTTCATGTCGAATATAAAATTTATTAATGTAGAAATTATAAAATATGCTAACTTGCTACTTATATATTGCGTTGGTTCGAATGTGTTCCTCCCAAAATTATGTGTTGGAAACTTAATCCCCGATGCAACAGTATTAGGAGGTAGGGCTCAAAGAGAGGTGATTAGGCCATGAGGATAGAGGGAATAGATTAAAACCCGTATTATTACAAGAGTGCATTTATTATCATATAAGTACATTCATTATAAAAGTGAGAATTTGGACCCCTTTTACTCTTTCTCTCACCCTCTCTTTGCCCTTCTGCTATGGAATGACATAGCAAGAAGATCCTTGCAAGATACTGGCCCCTTGATCTTGGATTTTCCAGCCTACAGAACCATGAGCCAATAAATTTTTGTTCATTATACGTTACCCAGTCTGTGGTATTCTATTATCGAATCACAAAATGGACAAAGAAAATCGGTACTAGTGAAGTGTGGTGTTGCCATATCAAATACGTGAAAATGTGGAAACCTCTTTGGAATTGGTAATGGGCAGCGGTTGAAAGAATTTGGAGGAACAGGCAAGAAAATCCCTGTATTGCCATAAACAGATCATTAAGAGTGATTCTGGTGAGATTTCAGAAGAGAACTGTAGTAAAAGTATGAAAATTTTTAGACATTACTTTAGGATTCAAATGATTTTCAATCTGGCCCTGTGGTAGAAAATGAAAGAACATTTTCAGGAGGCGAAACCGAGGGTATAGCCAAGAGACCATTTGATAAGGAGATTAGTATAGATGGAATGAAGTCAGAGGCTAGTCATGAGACACTGGAAGAATGACCCTGAAGCCACTTTGGAGATTAATGGTACTGCCTTTTCTGCCTCTTATGTCACAGGCACCAAGTTTAATTTCCCATATAATAGTGTTGAAATGTGGGTCCTAATAAGGAGTGATTAGGCCATAAGGGGAAAATAAGTAGATTAATACCATTATGGCAAAAGTGAGTTCATTATCATGGGAATGGGTTTGTTATAGAAGGAAGAGTTTGGTACCCTTTTATTCTCTCTCTCGTCCTCTCTTTGCCCTTTTGCCATGGGACAATATAACATGAAGGCTTTTGCAAGATGCCAGCCCATTGATCTCGGACTGCCCAGCCTTCAAAACTGTGATACAATACGTTTCTGTTCAATATAAATTACCCGGGCTGTGGTATCCTTTTCAGCTGCACAAAAAATGACGCACACATACACACACACACACACACACACACACACACACACACACACACACACGGATATATATGGTTAAAATTCAACTATAACCACAGCAATTGTTTAGCGCTTAAACCAACAACATATTTTAATTTTTACAGAGGAACATCTTTATGTCACTGACATTATTCAGATTTGCTAGTGTATAGTATTTTTTAAATTATTATTTTAAAACATTTTTGTGGGTACATAGTAGGTATATATATTTATGGGGTACCTGAGATGTTTTGATACAGGCATGAAATAACAACATCATGGAGAATGGAGTATCCATCTTCTCAAGCATTTATTCTTTCAGTTACAAACAATCCACTACCTTCTTTAAGTTACTTTCAAATATACAATTATATTATTATTGATTATAGACGCCCTATTGTGCTTTCAAATGGTATGTCTTATTCATTCCGTCTTTTGATATCCATTAACCATCACCACTTCTCCCTCAACCCCCTACTATACTTCCCAGCCTCTAGTAACCATTCTTCTACTCTCTATGTCCATGAGTTCAATTGATTTTATTTTTAGATCCCACCAGTAAGAGAGAACATGTGATGTTTGTCTTTCTGTGTCTGGCTTACTTCACTCAACGTAATGATCTCCAGTTCCATTCATGTTGTTGTAATGACAAGATCTCATTATTTTTATGGCTGAATAGTACTCCATCATGTATATGTACGTTTTCTTTATCCATTCATCTATTGATAGACATTTAGGTTTCTTCCCAATCTTAGCTATTGTAAACAGGCTGCAACAAACATAAGAGTGCAGATATCTCTTTGATATACTGACTTCCTTTCTTTTGGGTATATACCCAGCAGTGGGATTGCTGAATCATATAGTAGCTCTATTTTTTGTTTTTTGAGAAACTTCCAAACTGTTCTCCATAGTGGTTGCACTAATTCACATTCCCACTAACGGTGTACAAGGGTTCCCTTTCCTCCACATCCTCACCAGTGTTTGTTATTGCCTGTGTTTTGGATATAAGCCATTTTTACTATGTGCGTATGTAACTGGAGTAGGATAATATCTCATTGTAGTTTTGATTTGCATTTGTCTGATGACCAAGGATGTTGAGCACCTTTTCCTAGGCCTGTTTGCTATTTGTATGTCTTCTTATGAGAAATGTCTATTTAAAAATTTTGCCTATTTTTTGATCCATTATTAGATTTTTTTTCTGTAGAGTTATTTGAGCTTCTTATATATTCTAGTTATTGACTCCTTGTCAGAGGGGTGATTTGCAAATATTTTCTCCCATTTTGTGGGTTATCTCTTCACTTTGTTGATTGTATCCTTTTCTTTGAAAAAGCTTTTTAACTTGATGTGATCTCATTTGTCTAATTTTGCTTTGATTGCTTGTGCTTGTGGGATATTGCTCAAAAAATCTTTGCCCATTGTCAGGACCAATCTACAGGATATTGTCCTGGAGATTTTCCCCAAAGTTTGCCTGTAGTAGTTTCATAATTTGAAGTATTACATTTAAGTATTTAACCCATTTGATTTGATTTTTGTATATGGCAAGAGATAGAAATCTAGTTTCATTCTGTTTTCATATGGCTATCCAGTTTTCCCAGCATCATTTGTTGAAGAGACTGTCTTTTCCTCAGTCTATGTTCTTGGCACCTTTGTCAAAAATGAGTTCACTGTAAGTGTGTGGATTTGTCTCTGGTTCTCTATTTTAATCCATTGGTCTATGCATCTGTTTTTATGCCAGTACTATGCTGTTTTTGTTAGTATAGCTCTATAGTATAGTTTGAAGTCAGGTAATGTGATTCCTCCAGTTTTGTTTTTGCTTAGGATAGCTTTGGCTATCCTGGGTCTTTTGTAATCCATTTATACATTTTAGAATTGTTTTTTCTATTTCTGTGAAGAATGTCATTGACATTTTGATAGGGATTGCATTGAATCTGTCGATTGCTTTGGGTGGTATGGACAAATTAACAGTATTGATTCTTCCAATCCATAAACATGGAATATATTTCCATTTTTTGGTATCCTCTTCAAGTTCCTTCATCAGCATTTTGTAGTTTTCATTATAGAGATTTCACTTATTTGGTTAATTCCTATGTATTAAATTTTATGTGTGGTTATTGTAAATGAAATTATTTTTTAAATTTCTTTTCTACATTGTTCATTGTTGCCATATAGAAATGCTATTCATTTCGGTATGTTAATTTTGTATCTTACAACTTTATTGAATTCGCTTATCAATTCTAATAGTTTTCTTGTGGAGTCTTTAGGTTTTTTCAAATATAGGATCATATAATCTGCAAATAAGGATAATTTGACTTCTTCCTTTCCAATTTGGATGCCTTTTACATCTTTCTATCATCTGATTGCTCTAGCTAGGACTTCCAGTACTATGTTGAATAGCAGTAATGACAGTGGGAGTCTTTATCATGTTCCAGATCTTAGAGGAAAGACTTTCAGTTTTTCCTCATTCAGTATGATGCTAGCTGTGGGTCTGTTGTATATAGCTTTTATTATGTTGAGGTATGTTTCTTCTACCCAGTTTTTTAGGGTTTTTTTTCATGAAGGGATGTTAAATTTTGTCAAATGCTTTTTTCAGCATCAATTGAAATGATCATATGGTTTTCATCTTTCATTCTGTTGATATGATGTATCACATTGATTGATTTGCATATGTTGAACTATCTTGTATCCCAGGGATAAATCCCACTTGGTCATGATGAATGATCTTTCTAATGTATTGTTGGAATTGGTTTGCTAGTATTTTGTTGAGGATTTTTGTGTCAACAATCAACAGCGATATTGGCTTGTAGTTTTCTTTTTGTGATGTGTCTTTTTCTGATTTTGGTATTGGGGTAATTCTGGCCTCATAGAATGAGTTTGGAAGTATTCCCTCATCCTCTGTTTTTCAGAATAGTTTGAGTAGGATTGCTATTTATCCTTTTTTAAATGTTTGGAAGAATTTAGTCTTGAAGCCATCAAGTTTTGGGCTTTTCTTTATTAGAAGACTTTTTATTGTAGCTTTGATCTTATTACTTATTATTGATCTGTTCATGTTTCAGATTTCTTCCAGGTTCAATCTTGGTAGGTTGTGTGTATCTAGGAATTTGTCACTTTCTTATAGATTTTACAACGTATTGGCATATAGTTGCTCATAGTATCCACTAATGGTCTTTTGCATTTTTGCAGTATCAGTTACAATGTCTCCTTTTCCATTTCCGATTTTATTTATTTGGATCTTCTTTTTTTTTCTTAGTCTGGCTAAAGATTTGTCAATTTTGTTTAACTTTTCAAAAGAAAACCTTTTTGTTTCATTGATATTTTGTATTGTTTCTTTCATTTCAATTTCATTTATTTCTATTTTGATTTTTATTATTTCTTTTCTTCTAGAATCTTGGTTTTGGTTTGCTCTTGCTTTTCTAGTTCTTTAAGATGAATTGTTAAATTGTTTACTTAAAATTTTTATTCTGTTTTGATGTAGGCACTTATAACTATAAACTTCCTTCATAGTATTGCTTTTGCTATATCCCATAGGTTTTGATGTGTTGTGTTTCCATTATCATTTGTTTTAAGAAATTTTCACTTTCCTTCTTAATTTCTTTATTGACCACTGGTCATTCAGGAACACATGGCCTAGTTTCCATGTATTTGTATAGTTTCTTAAATTCCTCTTGTTAGAAATTTCTAGTTTTATTTCAATGTGGTAAGAGAAGATGCTTGCTATTATTTCAATGTTTTGAATGTTTTATTACTTGTTTTGTGACCTAACATATGGTCTATCATTGAGAATAACCCATATGCTGAGGATAAAAAATATATATCCTGCAGCTTTTAAATGAAATGTTCTGTAAGTATCTATCAGATCCATTGGTCTATAGTGCAGGTTGAGTCTGATGTTTGTTTGTTGATTTTCTTTTGGGAACATCTGTCAAATGCTGAAAGTAGGGTGAACACTCCAGTTATTATTGTACTGGGGTCTATCTCTCACTTTAGCTCTAATAAAATATGCTTTATATATCTGATGCTCCCATGTTGGGTGCATATATATTAAAATTGGTATATCTTCTTGATGAATTGACCCCTTTATCATTAAACAGTGACCTTCTTTGTCTGTTTTTATACTTGTTGTCTTGAAATTTATTTTGCCTGATGTAAGTATAGTGACTCCTGCTCTTTTTTGGTTTTCATTGGCATAGAATATCTTTTCCATCTTTTTATTTTCAGTCTCTTTGTGTCTTTATAAGTGAAGCATGTTTCTCGGAGACAAAAGATAAATGGGTCTTGCCTTTTCATTCATTCAGCCAGTCTCCATCTTCTGCTTGGAGAGTTTAGTCCATTTTCTTTCAATGTGATTATTAATAAGTAGGTACTTATTCTTGCCATTTTGTTATTTTTCTGTTGTTTTGTAGTCTTTTCTTCTTCTTTTTTTTAATTCCTGTCTTCCTCTAATGAAGATGATTTTCTCTGGGGATATGATTTAGTTTCTTGCTTTTTATTTTTTGTGTGTCCATTGTATTTTTTGGTTCGCTATTACCAGGAGGCTTACAAATACTGTCTTACAACTTGTTATTTTAACCTGATAACAACTTAACCATCTTAACATAAACAAACCAACAGGCAAAAAGAAAACTAATAATGTCTGACCTTAATTTCATTTTCCCACTTCTTAACTTTGGTATTGTTTGATTTTTGTTGATGCCATTGATATCTTATTGTACTTACTATGTCTTGAAAAGTTGTTGTAGTTATTATTTTGATTGGTTCATCATTTAGTCTTCCTACTTAGGATAAGAGTAGTTTACATACCACGTTACAGTGTTATAATATTCTGTGTTTTTCTGTGTACTTACTATTGCCAGTATGTTTTCTAGCTTCAGGTGATTATTTATTGCTCATTAATGCCCTTTCCTTCCTTACTGAAGTATTCTCTTTAATTCTTGTAGGACAGGTCTGGTATTAATGAAATCCCTTAGCTTTTGTTTGCTTGGGAAAGTCATAATTTCTCCTTCATGATTAAAGAATATTTTCACTGTATATACTATTATAGGGTAAAAGTTTTTTCAGCACTTCAAATATGTCATGCCACTCTCTCTTATTCTATAAGGTTTCCACTGAAAAGTCTGCTTCCAGACGTATTGAAGCTCTATCATATGCTATTTGTTTCTTTTCTCTTGCCACTGTTAGGATCCTTTCTTTATCCTTGACTTTTGGGAGTTAGATTATTAAATGCCTTGAGGTAGTCTTCTTTGAGTGAAATCTGCTTGGTTTCCTATAACCTTCTTGTAGTTGAATATTCATATCTTTCTCTGGGTTTGGGAAGTTCTCTGTTACTATCTCTTTGAATAAACTTTCTACTGCTATCTCTTTCTCTTAGATTTGCCTTTTTGAGCCTATTTTCTAGATCCTGTAGGTGGGTGTCATTGTTTTTATTCTTTTTTCTTTTGTCTCCTCTGTGTATTTTCAAATAGCCTGTCTTTAAGCTCACTAATTATTTCTTCTGCTTGCTCCATTCCACTGTTAAAGAACTCTGATGTATTTTTGAGTATATTAATTGCATTTCAGAGCTCCGGAATTTCTGCTTGATTCTTTTAAATTATTTCAATCTCTTTGTTAAATTTATCTGATAGGATTCTGAATTCCTTTTCTGCATTATCTTGAATTTCTTTGAGTTTCCTCAACACAAGTATTTTAAATTCCCTTTCTGAAAGGTCACATATCTCTGTTTCTCTAGGATTGGTCCCTGGTACCTTATTTAGTTCATCTGATGAGGTCATGTTTTTCTGGATGATGTCGATCTTAGTAGATGTTCTCTGGTGTTGGTGCACTGAAGAGTTACATGTTTATTGTAGTCTTCACTGTCTGGGTTTATTTGTAGCCATCCCTTCTTGGGAACGATTTCCAGATATTTGAAAGGACTTGAGTGTTGTGAACTAAGCTGTTTGTGTTTTGGGGGGCACCCCAAGCCAAATACCACTGTGGTTCTTACAGACTTGTAGAGCTATCGCCTTGATGGTCTTGGACAAGATCTGGGGGAATTCTCTGCATTACCAGGCAGAGACTCTTGGTCTCCTTCCTTAGTTTCTCTCAAGCATACGAAGTCTCTCTTTCTCTGTTCTGAGCCACCGAAAGCTGGGAGTGTCCTATCCTGCTGTGGCAGACCGGTCTCAAGATGTAAAACAAATTTCTCCTCACTCTTCTCTCTCTTCTCCTGAAGCAGAAGAAAGGGGTTTCTTTGGGAGCCGTGAAACATGCAGCCTGGGGCTAGAGGAGGGGTGATGCCAGTTCTCTCTTGACTGCCCAGCTGGTGGTGTCTCAGTATGTCACATGCCTCCCTAGTCCCCTCTCTTTGGGCCTAGTTCAGCCCTAGTAGTCTCCTATGAGTTGCAATCCTTATAACCGAGACTACCTTTCAAGTTTACTTCGAGAATGAGAGTACTTTGGCCCTCAGTGGTGAGGTTTTTGGTCACTCAAGTTCAGACTGCTGGGATCCGCAATTCCTCTCTGGCCGGGCTGGTTTAAATGCTCCCTCTATGGGTGGGTGTCAGCTGAGTTTGATCTGGTTTTTCTTTCTGCTCTAACAGGACAGCACTGAGTTCACTATCTCACCATTGCTGCGTTCTTCCTCCCTCAGTGCCCAGAGATGCTCTTTATATCATGCTGCTGCTGTGGGGGATAGGGGAGGGGTGGTCTTGGTGATTCAGGACTCTTTTTTCTATCTCTTCAGTGCTTCTTCCAGTGATACAAAGTTTAAACCAGGTACTATGAGTGCTCATCTAATTTTTGGTTCTTATGAAAGTGTTTTTCTGTGAAGATAAGTTGTTAACTTGGTGTTAATGCCTGAGGTGGGGGGGAGCAATCAGGGGAGCTCTCTATTCCATATTGGTCTGCCTCCCCGCTAATGCATAGTGTTAATAAAGTAGGCTGACTTTTAGTTAGTTTTATCATTGCTTTACCATTTGCTATATGCACTACGTCTGTCTTATTGACTACATGTGAGGCTGACAACTTTGGCAGCCCCAGCCTTGGAATGCCACTCTTCTTGGAAAATCTGAGTTATAGGGTAGAGCTAAATCATCTCTAATCAGGAACTGGGAAATAGGCTTTATCTTTATCTTAAGGTTAATATTATTGTTAATAATAGTAACAGTAGATCTCAAATCCCTGGTATTGATACTGAATCAGGCCCATTCTACTTATTGTTCAGTGTGCCAATCACTAACATGACAAGTTTTGTAGCAAAGAAAGGATTTATTCACCCGGAAGCTAAGTAAGGAGATAAGAGAACAGATCTCAAATCCACTGCCCAAAGACGAGTTTTAAGGATGTTTATTGCATAGGGGAGCAAAGTGGCCCAAGGCATGGAGAAAGGTGATTGGAGGTAAAGAAAAATTAGTCAAGTGGGGGTTATCTGCACTACTGTGGTCAAGCTTTATTGGTCTTCACAGGACTCATGTTCACACAATGGTGTGGTTAGCATGATTGGAAGATGGAGTTATTTGCCCTCTGAAGTCAAAAGGTCACCTATTAAACATATAGGCCAGTTGAAGGGTCAATGGTCTCAGCTGATTTGAACTGGACAAGAACTGACCCCAAGTCCCTGAAAAACAAGCAATTGTTACGGTGTTGACCCATACGTTGGAGATGTTATCTATAAGGAAGCTAGTGGGAGTTTAGATATATATTGTTTAACTATGTGACTTTTAGCTATACGAGTTTCGAAATCGACTAAAAGCAAGTGATTAAAAACAAATGAGGCAAGTTAAGTTTGGCGGGCCTAATCAGGTTAGCCCTCGGTTTCAGTATGAAACTCTTAATTGTGAGAAAGCAGAAGCATATCCAGGTAAGGAATTCTGTCCACATTTCCTGCCTTCTGAGATTCTCACTCACTTTTGTCTGGAATGCTACTACATCATCTTTTCAGCAGAAAGGAGTTTGACTTACTGTGTTACAATTTCCTTTACCCACTGAGGGATCAGCTGATTCCAATGTAGGCTTGCAACTTTAGTCAAGGCTTTTCTTTCTTACAACTGCATCTCCTCATATGAAAAAGTGCAGATGTTAGACTACATCAGAAGACACAAACATCCCTACAGAGGCCAGGAGGTACTAATTGTGAGTGAAGATGGCAAAGACTCAGCAAAAGGGAGGAGTGGAGACTGTAAAAACCAGAGAGCCCACATTCTGTCCCAAACAGGTAGCACCTGCTCCATATTCACCAATCAATGCCACATACAGGTTTGATATTGCCAGATATTTTTACTTCTCCAGAAAGATCAATTACCTTCTTTTTTTAATGTTCAATCTTACACTTTCGAATGTTGGAAATGAATTTTTGAAAATTAAAAACTGCATGAGACAAACACATATCTACAGGCCAGTTTATGGTCTCTGAATTTTGTGAGATTTCTTATTCTTGGGTTTCCTTAGTGATTCCATCATGCTAGAAAAGAGGAGCTTGACTTTACTCCTTGGGGAGAGCATCCAAAAAATGGCTTCTGATCTGATGCCAAGCTCACAGCTTGACCTTTTATAAACCATTGTTGGTTTGGTCCAAATCTGTTTAATCCACCCAGCTTGCACCCACTAGGCTGGGAGAAAAGGAGGATTATCTTCTGTCAATGGTTTCCATTCTACATCATGACTTTGAGGTCCATTTGGGATTATGTTGGCTTTTTCTATTAGGATATAAGTACAAATGGAAATGAAAATGAAACAAATGAAAATTCCCAATCTGAACAGACAAAATTGAAGTACAGAATCTCTACATGTTAATGAGCCTCTTTTATTTTTATGGTGAAAGAGTGAATTAAGGTAAGAACTATCTTTACTGCTTTTTCTTTACGTACACTTTTTTATTTATTTATGTATTTTTTTTGGTGCTAACATTTGGTGTTAATTGGTTTGGTAAGTTAGGGATACATTTTTTGTTTTGTTTTGTTTTACTTGCAATGCACTGCAGCTCACTGCCCATTTCAATTTTTATTTTTTCCTTATTACCTTGATATTTTCCTAAAATACACAAAGGATAAGGAATTTTAAAGATTGACAGAGATTAAAAGTAATTGGAATTAAAAGGAGGAAAGAAAGGCAGGGGACCAGAAGAAGGCAAAGACTGAGGAAAGGAAGCCTGAACAGAATTATCATTGTCAGTCATTAATCAAAGCTGCTGCTCTTGATTGTCATGTTGAGTCTAGTGGACTTTCCTCAGTGACAGAAATCCATACTCACATTCTTTTGTTTAATGCTTCCATTGTATGGGAGTGGGTACTTATTCAAATATAATATCATTTCCAGAAGAATTATGAAAACACACTGAAAGTCAATGTATGAGAGTTCTCTCAGTCCCAATTTTCCATGTAATGAAGGGCATTTTTGAAGCATAACTTATGCATTTGCTTCGTTTGTTATGATCAATTAAAGTGGAGAACACGATTATAAATTAAACCTTTTCAGAAAAGGATTAAAATGATCTTATAAACAGGCTTTTTAGTATGAGAGCATAAGCTTTACCTCTGAATTGAAAATCAATACCATATAAAAACTAATGCAAGAGAGTTTAATTAACCTACAGTTTATTCTCAACTTCTGTGAGAAACAAAAAGAAACTATCATTTACTTAGGATCTGTCTGTTTAATTTCTAGAACAATTGCATTAATGGAGAGAGTAATTATTAGTGCAAAGGAATGCATTTGAATGCTTTGCAATTACAAGAACAATGTTGAAAGTCTCCATGCTTGAAATTTAATCTGTTTCACAGCTCTGTGATCTAATAAAAGAGTACCTGAATTTCAGCCATTTACAAAACACTTGTATTTGTCTGCGCTTGCCTGTTTTTATTAAATTCCTGGGGAAAAATAACCATATCAGGCATTTAAAACAATTATTCTAAAATATTGCCTCATTGATGAAAGGCATAAAACATTTCTGGCAAGGGCTAAGAAGTGAATTATACATAACATTTTCAATGAATATTTTACCCTTTACATAGACACAAGCAACGAGAAACCAGAAATGTAATTTCAGAATCTCTAAGAGAATTTCAAAGTCAAATGTCAAACCCAAGAATTTAAAGGAAAAGAAGAATAAAAAATATATAATTAAAAACAAGCAACCATCTTTATATCTTAATCTTTGTACACATCCCTAATTATTTAAAGAGGTGTCTTTTTAGGGCAGTATGGGTTATGAGGAACCTTGCAATCTTTTTGTTTGTTTGTTTGTTTGTTTGTTTGTTTGTTTTTGAGACGGAGTATCTCTCTGTTGCCCAGGCTGGAGTGCAGTGGCACGATCGGGTCACTGCAAGCTCCGCCTCCTGGGTTCACGCCATTCTCCTGCCTCAGCCCTCCGAATAGCTGGGACTACAGGCGCCCACCATCATGGCTGGCTAATTTTTGTGTATTTTTTTTTAGTAGAGATGGGGTTTCATCGTGTTAGCCAGGATGGTCTCGGTCTCCTGACCTCGTGATCCACCCACCTAGGCCTCCCAAAGTGCTGGGATTACAGGCATGAGCCACCGCGCCCGGCCGAACCTTGCAATCTTACTTGAAATATAGAAACTTGGGCCCTGCCAAAAATCTAGGCATCAGAATACCTAATTTATGGGCCTGGTACAGGATCTAGGAAACTGAATTTTAGATTTTAGGAGATTCTGATGCAAATGACACTTTGGGAGACCCTACACTAGAGCTATAACAAATTACTCATGTTTATTAGATATTTCACTAGCAGCTAAATGCTTTTTTAAACCCAGGATGGAAAGAAAACAGAGCTGTTCTGACAAAGACAGACTGTCAGTCTCGACTGGCCTACTTGGCCTGCCCTTCAACCTCAAGAGGTAATCCATCCCTGTGGACTATTGAAAACCGGTACTCCTCTGTCCTCAAAACTTGATTAAACAATAGCTTTTGTATCTCCCCTTGGGAAGAACTAAAAAGTGAACATGAACATTCTTATGAGAATTTCACTAACATTTTGGGGGGATGTGGTTTCTAATCAAAACTAACATATAACAGGCCAGCCCCAAGACAGTCTAACCAGATGTTCAAGGTTACCTTGATTCTGATTAGTTATTTCCCTGGCAAACCCATTTTTAACTGTTTTATATCACCAGTGTTTTTGATTGAATTATTGTGTAAGAAAGCAATATTTGCCTGCCTAACAACCATTTCCATCCTCATTTGGGCTTTTTTTGTTTACCACTAAAGGATGGAAAAAGGATGAAAAAGCCAATGCTGACCTTCTTGGCTTCCCTTGTAGCCAAGAGCAGCCATGCAACCCAATTTTGAACAAATGTAAGTAAGAGACAGTCTTCTGGAGCCAGTATAAAAAAATGATTTTTGGTGATAAAAGCAGCAGGGTACCTGAAGAGCGCTTTCTTGACATTTTGGCTGCCCTCTGCTTTTTGCCCTTGGAAACAGTCACACGAAGTTATGTCAGAAATGGTGGCAGCTGCCTCGTCATCCCAAGGAAGGGCCAGGACAATGACAGAGACACGTGTTTTCTACCCTACCATGGTGCAGCTGATGACTGAGTGCCAGAAGGGTCTACCTCCAACTTTCTTGTTATATAAAAATTAATATCCTTGAATTGTAGGCCTCCTTAGTTGTATTTTGGTTTCTTTTACCTAAGAGCATTCTAACTAATGTTGTTTATAACAAACATTTTTCTTCTTCACTGGGTCATCTTCTCTTAGTGGAATATTTTCCCAGGAACTTTTTGAAGTAATATAATATTAAAACTTGAAAGCATTTCTAACTGGGTGACTAATGGTGTCATGTGTATACACACACACACACACAAACACACACACACACACACATTTCTAGTTCAGATTCAAGATCAGAATACCCAGAGGTAAATTCTGTAACTTGCACAAGCACTCAAAACTATCTTGTTAGTCATCATTTAGAACATTGATTAATAGATATACCTTGCTTTCCTCCAAAATGTGTTGAGAAAAACTTATAACTATTCACAAATTACAGACACATTACATAGAAAGACTTAGAGCAAAATCAAAAGGGAAGCAAGAGCTGAGTCATGATACAGAGCCTCGGTAAAGAGAAATCGAAAAAAAAAAAGCATAATCTGAGATGCTATATCGTGGGGCCATATATTTATTTTTAAACCAAGTACCAGTAGTTATTTGAAGCAAACCAATTGTTCGTAACAATTGTAACTATTCCTGATCCAAATGTCAGGAAGGAATTTTTCCCTGAGAATTCTTATAAATAGAGTATTGTGTAGTGTAGTCAGGCTCTGTAGCATGGTATCCTGGGACCTTTGCCTCCATCATCACACCAGGGTGCCTGGTCCTTTGTGAAGCTGTTTTTTTTTTTTTTTTTTTTTTTGAGACAGGGTCTCACTCTGTCACCCAGGCTGGAGTGCAGTAGTACGATTATAGCTCACTGCAGTCTGGAACTCCTGAGCTCAAGTGATCCTCCCACCTTAGCCTCCCTAGTAGCTGGTACCACAGCTGCATGCCATTATGCCTGGCTAATTTTTTTTGCAGGAATGGTGTCTCGCTATGTTGCCCTGGCTGGTTTCAAACTTCTGGCCTCGAGCGATCCTTCCATCTCAGCCTCCAAAGCAGTGGGATTATAGGCATGAGCCACCACAGCTGGCCCATGAAGCTTATTGCACAGTCCAAAGTAAAGCAAGAAAAACAAAGAGTCAACCTAAACAGACTTCTTAAAAAGGATTTGTGGGGCACACTAGGACAAATTTGCTTGGGTTGAGTAAATGGAAGCTAACTTCTTGAAAGAATGTGTTGTAATTACAATGTAAGTGTTAAGAACACAGATTCTGAAGCCAGGTTGCCTGGCTTTGAATCTCACCCTTGCTGCCTATTATCTGAATGACTGTGGACATGTTACATAATCCTCTGTACCTCAGTTTCCTCATATGAATTATAATGCTACTTAGTTATGAAGTTTTGTGAGGAGCAAATGTGCTACTTAAAACAGTGCCAGGGACATAATAAGAATTACGTTAGTGATTGCCATTATCCTATTTAGAGGTAGCTCTACCATGAGCTAAACCATGTTATAAATCATTCTGGGTTCTAGTCATAAGTTCCCCATAAAAGTTAGTCTAATATTTAGTGGCTTTGAAAAGCAAGCATTTTATCTCATGATTGTGTAGGTAAAAAATTTGGCAGGCCTCCTATGGACAATTTTTCTGCTGCTCGAAGCACTGACTAGGGTCACTCAGTGGTACTTATCTGGTGGCTGGTCTGGTCTGAAGTCTGGACTCAGCTAACATTGTAAAAGAAAGTGCCTACACATGACCTATCCAGCCTGGCAGCCTCAGTGCAATTAGATTTCTCATATAGTGGCTCAAGTTTCTTAGAGTTGATATTCCAAGAGACCCAGGTGGAAGTAGCAAAGTGTTTTCAGACCTGGTCTTAGAAGTTCCAGAATGTAGCTTCTACTGCATTCTATTGTTCAAGCAAGACATAAAGGTCAATGCAGATTCAAAGGGGAAAGAATTAAACTCCACATCCCAATGGAAAAAGAATAAAGAACTTGCAACCATCTTTAATCTACCATGTAAAGAATATACCTTCCTGGTCCAATCTGAGACACAGGTCACTACATCATTGTATGCGACCATATTCCTTCTTCAGTGACATAGTGCTGCTAGATGAAGCTCTTCAATATAAGAATGCACACAATTTAAATTCTTTTAGAAGAAAATTGTATTTGAAGACTTTTGATCACAAAAAACAGTGTACTACTAATCATTTAATATTTTCTTAGTATCAATAAAACCTATTTTGTACCATGAAACACAGGATTTATTTTTAAGATCAGCGATCTCTATATTCTCTTCTGAGAATTGGGCCACGAGAAAATTCAAGCCCTCCAAACTTGACAATTCTGTGCTTAGGCAGAATTACTTACTTATCAGAAGCTGTTTGATTATTCCAGTCATCACAGTTCAGTATCCAAACTGTAAGATTAATTAGCATGTTGACTTTCAGTCTTTGTAAATCAACTGAAATGTGAATAACCTGTATTAGAGACTGATAATAAAATATTAACGTTGAAACCTACTGCAAAAATGCTTAAGACTGGAAGGAACTATGAGAAAGGCAGAATATTGGATTTAAGCGATTCAATAAAGAAAAAGCGAGACATTTTGGGAGAAAGCAATAGGTCTCCTATTTGCCTTATACTTGGTAGAAGTCTCATAGTGGAGGATCCCAGATTGAATTTGTCCCTCAGAATATCCAGCAAACACATTGTTGTGGTTTGTTGATGTTTTCTGTACTATGTTTTTATTGAGAGTTTTAAGTCTTTGTGTACAGCATTCCTGATACTCAGGCACAGTCTTTATCACCCCTTACTGTGATACACTGATCTGCTTTGCTTTTGTATGTTGCTTGCTTAGCCACCTTAGCCACTCTCTATAAGTACCTTCATATTCCTTTCTCCTCATTATTATCACTTTAAGAACTTTCTTGTTCAAGAACAACATGGAATGTTCCTCAGGTCCCATTGAAGGCCTCATTAGCTCTATGGCCTTCTCTGATCTTTAGCATCTTTGAGCTCAGAAGCTAACCTCCAACATAAAAGGAAATGAGTGCATTAAAAAAATGTATCACTGTTAGCTATCAAGGGTAGGTCCTAGAACTAGGGCCACGGTGAATTGAAGGAAGAGAGAAGTTATGTATGCATCACTCAATGGTGGGAGAGCTGGAATGTAACAATGGGTGTCACCATCTGGTTACTTTTGCTGGCTGTCTTGATGTCTGACCACTAGGGTATCAATCCAGACTCTTATTTTATTTTATTTTATTTTATTTTATTTTTGGGACGGAATCTTTCTCTGTCGCCCAGGCTGGAGTGCAGTGGCACGATTTCAGCTCACTGCGGCCTCTGCCTCTTGGATTCAAGCGATTCTCCTACCTCAGCCTCCCAAGTAGCTGAGATTACAGGTGCCCGCCACCATGCCCGGCTAATTTTTGTATTTTTAGTAGAGACAGGGTGTCACCATGTTGGCCAGGCTGGTCTCGAAGTCCTGATCTCAGGTGATCCACCTGCCTCAGCCTCCCAAAATGCTGAGATTACAGGCATGAGCCACTGGGCCTGGCCCAGACTCATATTTTTACACTGCTTACTCTGGTGTCTTATGTCATTCATCTTAAGCATCATTATCCTGAAGACTACCTCAAATGTTGTGAAAAATGCAGTGTTTTAAAAGATGTGCTCAAAAAGGCAAACTGCTTTCCCTGTAGCTATTTAATTACTTGAGCTGGGGCCATTTTTCCCAGAGTCAGATCAGCCTATTGCTGATTATATTAGCAAGGCTTGCAGTAGACTCACTAGTAGCTAACAATTGCAGGGAAAAAAAAGTCTCATATAAAGTATTAGAATATAATGAGATTGCCTTTATTAGTCAACAGTCAAATCAATCAAATCAAATCAAGCTTGCCCTTGTTTTGATAGAACATTTGTTCTGTCCAACATTTAAGCAAAGACCACTTAGTAAATGACCCTATTTTCTTACGTATGTTTGTACTTTTTAGAAAGTATATTTGTCCCACTACAAATACGGACATTCTCTATAAGTACCTTCAAATTCATTTCTCCTCATTATTGTCACTTTAAGAACTTTCTTGTTCAAGAACAACATGGAATGTTCCTCAGGTCCCATTGCAAGCAAACTGCTGGATCTTATTCAGGCAATTCTGGAATTGGACTGCAAATAATGGTTGGACCTCTGTTTAAGAGGTCATTCTTACCCCCAACCCCCTGCCCAAACATGATGTAATTTGAGACACTCTGGGTTTTCCATTTCCCCCCAACTTGTTGATTTCTGGTCCTGTGTCAAGGAATTATTCTTATTAGAACAATAACAACAAAAACCCTTTGTTCTTTCATTGGTCTCTTGGGTGTTTTTAGTGGTATTGAACTCAGACATATATTTGCAGTTTCTTGAAATCTTGAATTCCACATCTCATTGGAGTCATTACAGCCTTACAGCATGAGATAAGTTAAATTGTATGGCATTTGTTTGAGAGGTTTCTAAAGAACAAAAGGAGTGTATGTTTCAGGAGGAAGGATGGGGGTGGATGGACTCTATTTATACATCCAAGATCATGGAAAACTCCTTCTCTTAAAAATAGCTGTCCTTTGTGGCAGGTACTGCTTGTTGCCTATCTCAAATCCATTTCTCCTTCTTCCTTCCTAGCAGGATCTCTGATTATGTTCAGGACTGCAATGTACGTAGTTAAAAAGACCCATCTCCCGGAGTTCCTTTGTGATAATATAACTGCTTTTTATCTTTACTGTGACCACAGTTATAGAAATCTATAAGGGTGATAAAACGTCACAGAATTATATACACGAACATATAAGAACCTGAAAACTGAATGTACATAAGAACTAGTGATATCTTAGGAGGGTCTGTCATCCAGACTAATTGTGATCTGTTGATGGAAATTTAATTTTGATAATGTACTCTAGTTATGTAAGATGTTACCTTTGAGGCATGCAACATCATGGCTACATAGGATCTTTGGTTCAATTTTTGCAACTTCTTGTGAGTCTGTAATTATTTCAACATAGAAACTTAAACAAAATAAAGATATTGACCTCAGAATTCCTTGGAAATAAGGATTCCCTAGCGAACTAATTTTGACCAATGAGATATAAGCATGTGGTGATCCTGGGTGAGCCACTTTATCTTACTTAAAAAGGGCAGACTATTGCATTACCCTCCATTCTTTTACCTTTCTTCCTGTGTACAACATAGACATGGGGCCAGAGATGCAGTTTATTTCATACAAGTATGAAGCAGAATATTGCCTAAGTAGGTGATGTGGTGATGTAGAAAATTAGAAGGAACTTGGGTTCTTGACTGTACTAGTCCAGGACAGTCTACACTGGGGTTTTTAATCATGTGAGGAAAATGGACCCCTTAGATGTTTAAGGCCATAAGATAGGGTTTATGCTCTTTGTTTTGCATGAAACCCTAAACAATACTTTTTTTAGTTCGAAATGTAACCTTGGTCACCAAAGGTCTGGGAGATGGTAGACTTTTATTTCTCCATTCTGAGGAAAACCACGGACAGTACACTAGATAACACTTTGGGAGACCTGTGTTCTTATAATAAGAATGGACAAGAAGTTCCATTTTCTCTAAGATGAGAGGGTTGAACTTGAGAACACTGAAGGCATGTATTTGTATGATTCAAGGAAAACCGTAAACTAGGGAATGAAGAATGATAGAATGTAGAGGCATGTTAAATCATACCTAATGATCAAAGAGTATTGGTGGAGTAAATAATGTGAGAAATAGATGGATATTAAAGAGAGGGTGATAGACTAAATCATTTTTCACAATTTTTATTATCTTTTTCTTATCAGAGAACAATTGCTCCTTCCTATTCCCATATGTCTTGCTTTGCTTCCTCGGAGAAGAGTAAACATTCTATCTCATCAACTTTGAGCTTGACTGTGTGACATACTTTGGCCAATGGAATGTGAATTTCACATAGAAACCTTATGAAGCATCATAAATTTTCAACAGAGCCCTTGCTTTTCTCCCGTGCCATCAAGCTTCCTCTCTCATCTATTTCACTGAATGAGAAGACATGTGAAACAGACCTATAGCTTGGCTGCAGTCAATCCACAGCTGAAATATGACATGAACAAGGAATAAGCCTTTGTTGTAAGCCAGTAAGAATTTAGAGTTTTTGTTACTGCAGCAAACTCATACAAAGAGGATCCAACAACTCATTGACAAGAAGCAGTCCAAGAAGAAAGTTGCAGAAGTGCAAAAATGATAATCTAAGGAAGGAATTGTGACTAGAAGCTGGGAAGTGGGTCAGGCACTAAAGAATGGGAACGTGAATTTGGTTGGGTAAATTCTTTAAATTTTGCCAAATGTCATCTTTTACATTATACAGCAAAGTGGTTATAAGTAGGGGTTCCGAGACCAGACACATAGGTTCTAATTCTCAATGCTCCATTGGCAAATTGTTTGTCCTTGGTCAAGTTATATAAATTCTTCTCTAAAACCGGGTAATAAATAGGATTGTGTATTCATTAGCTGGTGTACAAGGAGGATAAAATGTATCAACACCTAGCACTTCGGTGCTTGGTCTATATCACGCACTGAATAAATGCTAGTTAGTATTAATGTGAGAATTCTTTTTTTCACCCCCGTTATCCCAAAATACTATGCTTTGGGCTTTCCCTAGACAATGAGAAAATTACCAGAGCTGTAAACGTAAATCCTGACCAATGAATGAAGGTCTAGAAAAAATTGAGGCAAGACAACTAAAAGTTATAAAACGAGTAAAAATGAAAAATGTTTTCCTGGGCATGGGGGCTCACACCTGTAATCCCAGTACTTTGGGAGGCCTGGGTGGGCAGATCACTTTAAGGTCAGGAGTTCGAGACCAGCCTGGCCAATGTGGTGAAACCCTGTCTCTACTAAAAAAACTACAAAAATTAGCTGGGCTTGGTGATGTGCACCTGTAATCCCAATTACTTGGGAGGCTGAGGCAGGAAAATCACTTGAATCCAGGAGGCGGAGGTCGCAGTGAGCCAAGATTGCATGACTGCACTCCAGCTTGGGTGACAGAGGAGACTCCTTCTCCAAAAACAAAAAAAAGAAAAAGAAGAAAAATGTTTTGCCTATCTATCCAACCTTCTATTTTCCTGTGGATAGGCCTGTTTAATATTTGTACATATAAAATAATTATATATAATTTTAATAAATATGATATATAATTATATTACATATAAATATAATTATATATAGAATTCTTCCTTTGCCTTTAGTGTGTGTGTGTATATGTATGTGTGGGTGTTTATATATAGTGTGTGTCTATATAAACCTATATACACACATACTAAAGACAAAGGCAAAGGCCTTCAGTGTGTGTGTGTATGTGTATATACACGCTAAAGGCAAAGGAAGAATTCAAAATATTCTACTTTTTAGTTTAATTGCTATTATTAATTTTTATTGGAAACTTTTGAACATACACAAACTGGTGGGAATTGTAAAATGAGCCCCAGTGTATTCAGCACCTAAGTATAGCAATAATCGGCTCATGACTATTCTCATTTCATTTAAGCTCCTTCTTCCCCTGCCCCACTAGCTTATTATTAAGAAAATTCCAGACATCATAGCATTTGGTTTAATAACTTTGAAAAACAGTTTGCAATGAATCTTTTTCTAATAAAGGATAGCATGTTTGGACTCTTAGAGTTTCTTATTATCAATTACATAGCATCAGAAAATTAGAGTGTAATTATTAACTGGTGGGTGGTATATCAGCTTGTTAAAACACAAAGTATGAGCTGTGATCATGGTCTAGAGCCAAGAGTCTGCCACACATGCTTCCCACATGGCTTCAGGGCACTTCTTCTTCAAGTGCAGTGATGTGAGCAAGATATTTAAGAGTGGCACCTTATAAAGCCTAAAGAACAAATCATTGCCAAAAAAAGTCAATTCATTTTATTTCAACACATATTTAAAGACCATCAATAATCCAATATACTTTATTATTTGCGAAAAAATAGGTGATTGCAAGATAGCCCTGCCCTTATAGTCCCATAAGGAGAGAGACACATGTATAGTTAATTATAACCCAAGACAATTTGAAGACTTTTAGTAGAGAATTCCAAACCAAAGGCTGTATCATCACAGAGGGAGTGTGAGTCATTTTGTGTTTGGGGAGATGAGGCGAAGAGAGACAGTTTTCTAGAGAGAGCAATTTTTTTTTTTTTTTTTTTGAGGCAGAGTCTTTCTCTGTCACCCAGGCTGGAGTACAGTGGTGCCATCTTGGCTCACTGCAACCTCAGGTTCAAGCAATCCTCCTGCCTCAGCCTCCTGAGCAGCTGAGACTACTGCAGCGCACCACCATGCCTGGGTAATTTTTGTATTTTTAGTAGAGAGGGGGTTTCAAAATGTTGGCCAGGCTGGTCTCAAACTCCTGACCTCAGGTGATTCATCTGCCTTAGCCTCTGAAAGTGCTGGGATTACCGGCATGAGCCACTGCGAGAATGAGTAGCATTTTTGACTGGTGAACTAGAAAGTAAGTGGGTAAGAAAAGAAAACATTTTTTAAAAGGTGTGAACATATATATGCATAGAATATCAAAGGAATCAGTGATGTTTTGTATCCCAAATCTGGAACCTTCTTTCTAGTGTTATATAAATTTAAGTAGTGTTCTAGAAACTTTTTTTAAAAAATAACGACATCTCTTGGTGGCATCACTGAACACTTTCTACATACTGATGAAATTTTATGTACAAATTAAATAATAAAACATTTGTATTTATTTTACATATTGCCATAAAACGAGGGTCAGCAAACTATGACCCTCAGGCCAAATCTGGCCCTTTGCCTATTGTTGTAAATAAAGTTTTGTTAGAACATAGCCACACCCATTCAGTTAGTATAATCTCTAGCTACTTTAGTGCTACAATGGCAGAGGTGAGTAGTTGTAAGAGATCAACTATATTGCAAAGCCTAAAGTATTTACTTAGGGTCAGGATTAGTGAGAGCTTCCTTAAATTTTGTGACTGAGACACCTCACTTGCCTCACTTTAGTCCTGATCTTGTGTTTACTATCTGGCTCTTAACTTTTTCCAAGCCCTGTTATACAATAAAAGGCTTTGTAGCAGATAATACTCTTAAATTTAGCATTTTCCCTGAGATAAAATGACGTCTGTTCATTCTCTAAGGAACCAGAAGACTAGGAAGTGGTGGGTTGTGCACATTCATTAGTATACAGTAATACATTACCAAGTGGAAAATGTAGTCTGCCTTTTCTGCAAAGCATCCTGAAAAGTGACGTGGACCAGGGCTTTTCATTGATTGCAGTATGGATGAATCAAATAGGATTCATTTGTTGGTCTTTCCCTTTTCTTATTTATCCCATGTAATACACTTATCTTTTCCTTTCCAGATATTTCTCCCATTAGGTTGCATTATTATAAACTTCGGGTTATATGGGCAGATTGCTTTGTATTTTATGCTTTTTGAATCAGTGCATGCATTGAGTTCAATAAAATTACTTTCATACAACATAAATAACTAGACAACAAAAGATTAGCCAGAATAAAGGAAAACTCAAATGGAATGTCAATGCCTCTAGCCCCTTCATCTTCTCCTGTGTTTTCATCCACTCCCTCAGGTTACTCTAAAGAGTGCTCTAAATACGCCCTGAGCTTGTCATGTTTCTAATGAAGTATTCTTCCATATGAGTTCCATTGTCACTTTAGTCAGGGTGTTCTGTTCAGAGAAGATTGCTTTGGACAATGTTTTATGTAAATTTTTATCTATCTTTTATAGCTGTCACCATAAAGTTTCATATTGTACAGTTTGAGGGCATCACATCACCAATGTGACAAACAATAGACAGAACCAGGGATGCAGATATAATGTGAATATGCCAAGAGATTTGTAAATTTCTTTTTAAGAGAAGATACAGTGTAGGGGAAGAAAAATCATTTTCTCTCTTTCCTTCATAGTTCTTAACTGGGACTCCTTCTAACAAAAGACAGATTAAAAAGAGGAAAAAAAAATAGAAGTTAGTTAACATGTATTCCTCATGCATACATTGGAGAAAAACCAGTGAAATGAGAAGTCTCCAGAATGTATCTCAAAGAAGGCATTTAAACTTCAGACTTAAATATCACCATATTCTGAAACAACGAAGGGTGTGGGGAAAGGCCCAGCTAAGGTGAGATGAGCAAGAGAAGTGAAAGGTAAGGTTTGTTATGCAGATGCCTTCTCCATTGATGCTGGAATCTCTAGTGATTTAGTCTTCCTTCTCTTCTTGGTGTAGAGAGGAAGATACCCTTAACAAATGGACACTTAATTTACAGATATCAATTTCATTTACAAAAAGGTAACTTTTAAGAGCTATGCCTGTGTCTGCCTACTTTCTGAATGTAACCAGCTCAAAATAATCCTTATGTGAAAAAGGCATATTTGGAGTGCCCTATTCAGATCTACAGTCATATTTTGGGGTGGTGTTGAGTTCTGAGCCCCATCAGTAGCTACTCATTAGTATATTAAAATTGTTGGTGTATTTTGAAACTTCAAGGATATAAACATTATGTAATACAAAAGCTAATAATTGATTGGGTAAACATTAGATAACTAACAAAATAATGCAAATAGTAGGAAATACAAGGATGCATTTGAGGTTTCTAAAGCATTCCAAAGAAAAAGTAGGTTTTTTTCTTGTTGTTTATTTACAGCTGTGTGAAAATGTTACAGGTAGTTAAGCATGAGTAGGGCAGGAAAGGGCTCTCCCCCACCCACTAGAAATGTCAGGTGATGATGGTTCAGCAATTATCACATTGCTTCTCTAAAAATGATAGTTAGGCAGTGTCAGGGAGAGGCCATTTCCTGATGGTCCACACCTGTTAACATAAAAATGTTAATTGAATGCAGACCCCAGGGGGAAGCAACTTCCTGGGCATGCGTGTTAAGATAAAATCTTCTGGGTCACACTCCACTGGAAAAGGGAAGAAAGCATCAGATGGGCATGTGTATAACTACCTAAACATACTGAGCATGTTCAATTCCCAAAGGTAAGGAGAGCACCGAGCATGAGGAAAACCCACCCTAAGGGAAGAAACATGGGAAAGAGTTGAGCCTATAAAGTCCTAGGATCAAGGTTAAAGGTCATTTTTGCTGTCTTCTTCTGCTCTCTTTTCTCTCCTGGACCTTCAAGTGCCTGATTGGACGTCTTTCAAGTGAATTTTCCTATCTTTCCTATTCTAAAGCCTTTTTAAATAAACTTCCACTTCTGCTCTGAAACTTTCCTTGGTCTTTTTCTGCTTTATGCCCCTCAGTCAAATTCTTTCTTCCGAGGAGGCAAGGACTGAAGTTGCTGTGAACCCATACAGATTTGCCGCTTGTAACTCAGGGTAACTCAGATCTCTTCCACCGCTAACAAAAAGAGATATCAAATAGAGATAAATAAAATATTGTTCTGATGCCCAGCTAAAGTTAAGGATCTTAAATTTTTCATGGATCTGTTACCAACCATGGGTTCTTGCGCTTTCAGTGCAATAGAAATTGACATGAGGCCAAAAGAGTTCTCGCAGACAAGGCTTCATTGGAGCTTATGCCCGGGCATAAGGGAGACAGCATGAGAGAGAATTCCCCGACTCGCTTTCTGGAAAAAGCCAGTTGGGATATGAGGCAAAGCACAGGAATTTATATTAGGGGTAGGGTATGCAGGTCAGCATTATCTGGTTGTGATGGCTATCTTGAGTAATGGTTCACCTGGTGGTCTGGCCTGTGGCAACAAGGCTGCAAATCAATTGTTCAGCACTTCTTCCTGAGGTGAGACACTCTGCAACCTAGGTTTGATATTTTGGATTTCCTAAGGCCATTTCCTGGAATTCTTGAAATAAAGGGCATGGTTAAACATTGTGAAAGCACAGAAAGACAATATAGAATGGCTATTTTCTTTCTATGACTAAAGGCTTAAGTTAATGGTACAGTGTCAGGTAGTGGCACAGGTTTTGCAATCAGTGGGAATGCATGGAAGAATGCTCTAGTGGGGATGAACTGAAAAAAAGCCCTGTTCCTACTTTGTCTCAGATCTAGATTAAAATTTGATCAGTATGGATAACTGGAAACTATTAGTATTCTGTATGCAGGCATGGGAAATTGAATACATGAAATTTACTGAAGGTCGAAATAAAAAGTTTTTAAAAGGTGGTAGTATGATCACCTTAGAGAGCAAAGAAGACAAGGTACAGAAACCAAATGGTAGTTGAAAATAATAAAATACATAGTGGTGTGTGTGACTACTATATTCTATACTCTTTGCAGCTCAGAAATCCTGCTAACCGAAGTCTCTAGAAATTCAAGTTATGGGGACAAATGACTGGATAATGTTTATACATCCCACGTGTTTCAGGAAGAAAAACACCCTTCCCACACTCTCCAAAGTCTTCCAACTCCATATGCAATCAAGTGGTACACAATAGGGTGCTTATGTGGTGTTTAGCCCTTCCTCAAAAGAACCTGGCATAAGTCTCAGTAGGAGACAGGATATCAGAATAAATAGGTCATTGTTCCATTCCATTAGGGCAATTCTGGTGTTCCTGTTGCTTGACAAAGACACAAGTGCCGGGAAGTGAGGTCGATTGTTTCCTAGGACTCACATTTTAAAGTGCTCCTCAGTTGCTTCTTTTCAGAGTGGTTCCTTTGGTACAAGCCCAGCTGGAAAAAAGGTCTGGAGAACAATGCCACGGAGAGATAGTCTTTTTCTTTTATTCTATTTCTCCTGTTAACCATATGTTATCAATTACTTAGCAGCTCCATTTGTAAAGCATTTTTAAAATAGAAAAGTGAACAGGCAGCATCCTATCTGGCTTGGGGAAAATCTTGTGTTAAAAAGCGGAGTGAGGAAGTCTTGCCATCAGCATGATAGACCTGTAGAAGTCAGACCAGGGTTGGTGATACTCTTTTCCTAGTGATGAGGGCACATTTTAACCACTCTTCCATGTGCCATTTAATCTAAGAAACAACTGGATTTAGAAACTTTGGAAAGGTGTCTGTAATTAGTTTGCCAGGGCTGTCATAACAAAGAACCATAGACTAGGGGGCTTAAACAGCTGTACGTTATTTTCTTAATCATTCTGAAGGCTAGAATCCAAAATCAAGGTGCCAAGAGGATTGCTTTCTTCTAAGACTTCTCTCTTTGGCTTGCAGAGGTCCACCTTATTGTGTCTTCATGTAGTCTTCCCTTTCTGTGTGTCTCTGACCTTCTCTTCTTATACGGACACCTGTCGTATTACATTAGGGCCCACCCTTATTGGTGCAGAATTTTGCTCCTTAATTTAGCTACAACCGGGTTCTCGTCACACAACCAGAAAAATTTAGGCACGTGGAAAACATTGAAGAGTAAGTAGAGCAGGATTTTACTGGGCATAAAGGGGGGAAAAAAACCAGCAAAGCAAGATGGAATCCTGCTAACAGGTCTCCCACCTCACAGAGTGAATGACTCTCAGGCCACCACACAGGGACTGAGGAAGCCAAGCTCCTCCCCCTGACTTAGCTCCACCCCCTGACTGTGGCTCCACCCCCGACTGTGGCTCCACCCCCAACCGTGGCTCCACCCTGTTCCCCAGTTCACATATAGGCATGCTCAGACAAGGCCCTGGCAGGTTTCCTCATCTGCACAAAAACATCTGATGTAAACACTTGTGGGGTGGATCTATGATTCTCCAGGGACCCCTTTTTATCTGCCTAGGCATTTGGCTGTCTCCTATGACTTCGTTTTACCTTAATTACTCTTTAAAGGCCCTATCTCCAAATATATTCCTCTTCAAAGATTCTAGGGGTTAGAGCTTCAACACAGGAATTTTAGGGGAACACAGCTCAGCTCATAACAATGTCTTTTTCACTTCTTACTTGCAGAAACTCCCGGTTTAGCTCATGATTGGACAACTATGTCACAAAAATATATCTGGTTTATAAATGTCACTTGTGCTGCTGATGGCCCACTTCATATAACAGAAATGGGTTTTGACTGCCCAGGTTAAAGTGGAAGTCACAGGTTTTTCTTTTCCTGAGCTCCGGGCTCAAAAATGGAGCTTTTCCTAGTTTCCTCAGAATTGAGTGGCAGACTAAAGTGGGGAAGTCTCTGTCAAGTGCTGGTGAGGATTGACAATCTTAATATTGGATATTGATACCATTGTCACTATCAACTGAAAAATGATGAGATTCATACATTTGGAAAGGAGAGCTTTATTTCTCATAAAGGGTTGCTAGTCCGCAGGCTGGTCATCCTGCAGAGAAGCATAGCCTCTGGCAGAAGCCAAGAGCAAGCACTTGGAGGGAGTGATAAAGGGAACAGAAATTTATGCTGAGTGGGTTGGGTAAGTATACATACTCAATAGATCACAGGAGGAGCCATGAATATTTTATGAAAGGAGGAACATGAACATGAGCAGTTGCGCTTCATGCCTCTACGTGGGTTGCATGTTTAACAAATGGCACTGTCAGCATGATACATTGGTGGAGTTTTTGGCCTTCTGATATCAAAAAGTGAAGCAGAGGATATGGAAACGCCCACTGTCCCTTTTCCATGAGCCGGCCAAAACTAGTCTGGGGATGGTGGTCAGTTTTTAGTAAGAGGTTCATTGTGAAACAGGTGAGCCGTCAAGCTGAAACTGTAAAGAGGGAGGTCTGGTCATGGCCTCAGATGATTGTCTAAAGGCAATAAAAGAATAAGTGATTTGTGGCCAAGCATGGTGGCTCACACCTGTAATCCCAGCACTTTGGGAGGCCAAGGCAGGTGGATCACCTGAGGTCAGGAGTTTGAGGCCAACCTAATGTACATGGCGAAACCCTGTCTCTACTAAAAATACAAAAACTAGCAGGGCCTGGTGGTGGGCCCTGTAATCCCAGCTACCTGGGAGACTGAGACATGAGAATAGCTTGAACCCCAGAGGCGGAGGTTGCAGTGAGCCAAGATCACACCATTGCACTACAGCCTGGGCAACAGAGTGAGACTCCAGCTCAAAAAAAAAAAAAAAAAAGAATAAGTGATTTGTTTCTTGTCTTCTAGAGCTGGTTTCTGTCTACTTCTTAGGAAAGAATTCTGGTTAAAAGTTAATAAGGAAGGGGCATACTGAGGTGTGTCTAATCTCCCATCCCCTCATGGCAAGGAATCAGAACATTTCTCTGCAGTGCCTTGGCCAAGAGGGAGTCTGTGTTTAGTCAGTTGAAGGGCTTAGGATCTTATTTTTATTTCTCAGCACATGATTTGTGGACTAAAGTATTATGTGGACTTTACTTTTTTGACAAGTGTTTTCCACTTCCCTCGTCCTATGTAACTTTTCCCTTTTCATCTTTCTGTCATTGGTAATTAAAAAAGAAAGTTGTAGTACACTTTTGTCTTTTATTGTGTCACCTCAAAGAGTTTGTAAAAGTGTGTGAGCTCTAAATAAGGCACTAGCTTTTATCGATATTTATTTCTCTGTTGATATTAAGTTCATCAAAACATATCTTTATGACAATTATTGCTATTGGTGTCCCCCAAAACTAAAATATCTTTTTCCTATGTACATGTCAAATGTTAATTTAATTTTTCGTTTATCTTAAGAATTTTATTGAAAAAAATTTTAATTATATAAATTTGAAAAGTATTCAGAATATAGTCAACTGAAAATAGAACATGACAGCAAATAAGTAGCAACAAGGTAGCTGAGGTAAAATACCTTTGGGATTCAAGGTGGATTTTAGGTGGGTTAAGTGGAACTCATGTAAAATAAAAAGGAGTGAGCCTTTTTCTTTTATAAAAATATGCAGCTTTCTCTCTCCCAAGGTTCAACTTAGTGGTTGGAGAAGTCACTTTTTATTATCAGAATGAGAATGAGTAACGCAAGCACTACCTGGAAGCAAAACGGTAACGTAGCTAAGCCCTGAGTAGAGAAATGTGGACCAGTTCTTTCCAATTACTTGTTGAAATGTGGCAATTGCTCTAAAATAAAAATGTGCGAATGGGGTAAAAATTACGCCATGTGGGGGAAAGCACATTCTACTCTTTAAAACCCTTTAAAGATGCAACCATTTTCCACTCAAAACTGCTTGGTGAGAATTTGCAGGATGGCCCCACACAATTCTCAGTCATAGGGAGGTCGCTCAGGTGTTTGATTTCCATTCGAGATGGAAAAACTGAAACAGAGAAAAAGAATATAATTTCCTCATCTATGAGTCAGCAAGCTCATTGAAAAGATTATGGTAGATTTGTGGACAATACTTACTTCAGCCATAGATGGGGTTGACACAATTTTTTATTGCATTACCATGTAGACAGATGAAATAATAACTAAATCTAGGGTTATATCAGTCTTCCTTCCATTTTACATATTTTCCAGTTCTCCTATGAAAGAGTCAGCTTTGTCCTTCTACTCTTGTGTCTCCTTTTATAAAATCATAACACTTTTGTTTTATCCAATAACCTGGACACCTAAGGATTGTACACATAAATAAACAAAATTGGAATTATATTTTATATATATTTGATCTTACTAATATTATATTGTAAGGATTTTCCATAATTTCTAAATGAATTTTTCCTATCCTATCCTAACCTGATTGATTAATTAATTGATTGATTTTACAAAACTTAATTTTTTAGAGCAGGTTTAGGTTCTCAGCAAAATTGGGAGGAAGGTACATAGATTTTCCATGTACCCTCTGCTCCTGCCCCACCTGCATAAATTTATTTTTTCTTATAAACTTACTATGTTTATCTTTAGACTTAAAAATGTCTTTAGAAGAGGGCACTGTTTCTTGACATTTTGTGCTTTTTTTTGGCTATCTTTTACGGTGTTAATTTATTAGGTAAGTGATTGGAAGAAAAGAGTTTCAGAAATGAGACATTGGTAAGTATATTTTGAAGGATGGGAGAATAGTGAAAGGTACAGAGTGTAGCAGGTCGGATCGGGTGGGTCTTCTACCTAGTTAAGGACACCTTTGAACAATAATTAATGTCATTTGTGGAAAAAGAAAATCCCCAACACTTTTCTTTGTTCTGAAGATAATCAGAAACCTATTCAATTTAAAACTTGTGATGTCCCATATGGTAGTTGCTACTACATGTGGCTATTCAAATACACACTTAAATTTCAATCAATGAAAAGTGAATCAGATTAAAAATCTAGTTCCTCAGTTGCACTAGCCACATTTCAAGTGCTCAGTAGCCACACGTGGGTAGGGATTACCACATTGCATAGTGCAGATAGGGAACATTTTCATCATCAGCATCACTGTGAAGAACGGGAAAAACTTCATAAACATGTAAATAAGTGCTAAGAGGAGCTGGCCAGGCACTGAAAACAACCTATGACTACTTCAATTATGATCTTGGCAAAGGCCTGAGACTTTATGAGACGTGAACTCTTCTGACCCTCCAGGATGCTAAGGATTGAACACAACACAAACAGACTTTCCCAAATTAGTCATTTCCTTTTCCATCAATATCTGAGCTCAACACTGAAGCCTCCTTGCAGAGGGATTGTGCTGTGACTACCTTTTATTTAAGAAGATACTCTTTGGTACTTTTTTTATGGTACTCTATCTGCCTATTCTCAAATTACATTCTCTAGCAAATCTCTGCCAAATTTTACCAAATATATTAATAGGTATATTGCCTATATTCTCCAGGAGAAATTTCTTTCCACCAAACTCTAAACATGATTTGGATTAACATTTAGTGTATTACCATATCACTGGATTTTAATTTTAATGCTGAAGACTTTCAACTATGGGCTTAAGGTCAGTAGAGAATAGGTTATAGGATCCATGAGGCTTGCTTTGTTTTCTTTTGCTATTTTAGCATATTTTTAATTTTCATAATGTGACAACCTTTAATATTATATCTTAAATTGAATCTCACTTTTACTTCCATTTTTATGCTCAGTATTAGTGATTAAAAACACCCTTTAAATTCATTTGTCCTGGCATTTTGACTCTTATTATAATTGCATATATAAGAGATGAGATCATCAGTTGGTTTTTAATGCCTTTAAGTTAAAATAATCTCCATATGGTTGAATTAGCCATGATCTCCACACACATAAAATCCATATGGCTGAAATTATACATACAAGGCTTTAGATAAAATGGAGAGTTGTGTAAATTTTACCACCAACAACATGTAAATTAGCAAGGATGAATGGTTTCCCCAGAGTGTCTAAAATCAAATTGCCAATAACAAAGATGTTGGTAATCAAGGTTTGACTTAAAAAATAAAAACAAAAACGAGTGTAATTTGTTAGCACTTACTATGTGCTAGATATTGTATTCTGTGTTTTATGTAGTCTACCCAAATTAGGAGTTGGCAAACTTTTTCTCTCAAAAGCCAGATACGAAATACTGTATTTGAGACTTTGTGGGCCATACGGTCTTTGTACAGTTATTCAGCTCTGCCATTGTGGCACTGAAGCAGCCAGAGATGATATTGAATGAATGGTTGTGACTCTATTTCAATGAAGCTTTGTTTACAAAAATGAGCAGTGGATCTGATTTGGCCTTTGGGCTGCAGGTCCTTTGATCTAAGTTAACCGTCATAAATAACCGAGGGCTATATATTGAGGACATGCCTCCGCCATTGAAGACTGCTGCTAACAGAAAGGAGATAATTTTAAAAATCTCTCTAACACCTGGACAGAGAGTCTGCCCCTGCAAAGGACTTCCACAGTCCCAGAGCTGTTCCTTGTCCTGGTTCCATTTCAAGCTCTGAATGTAGGCCAAAGGCTATATAGTACAGGACCATAGATTGTGGGGTCATCAGGCCTCTGCTTCTGCTTGGATTTAGAACCCTGTACTACCTAAGTAAAAAACCATGTCTCAATCAAATTATTTATAATTTGACATGACACTCCTATGTCTGTTTTAGCCACCCATAATAATGTGGGCCTCTTTGGCCAGCTCTTTTCTCAGATACCTTCCCAGAGCTTCTTCCCTGCCCTCCTGATCTCCTCCTCAGGCTTTTTGTTGTAACCTGTGGGATCTCATTCCATTAGAAATAAACGCTTCCGTCTTCACAGACTCTCCATGGAATTCTTTTTCCACTTGTTCTGTCTGTACTATGCTTCCTCTTTCCATCTCAACTTGTGTGAAGATACAGAGAGTAACCCCTGCCCTCAGACCCTGGAGCGGCCATGCAAGTCCATTATCCTAGAGCCTGTGCGGTAGTGTACTTACTAGCTGCATGCTCTCGTCCATTTAGGCCACAATAAGAAAGGGGAACGTAGATCCATGCTACCTCATTCGCTTTCTTGTTTTCAACCACCTGCTCTAGAGGTGACTCGCAAGTCTGTATCTCTAGTGGGAATTTATCTCCTGAGTTCCTCAAATTCAAATACAACTGTTTAGATATATTTTCCATTGGGTTGTCCCACAGCATCTTTTTTTTTTTTTATTTTTTGAGATGGACTCTTGCTCCGTCGCCCAGGCTGGAGGGCAGTGGCGCGATCTCGGCTCACTGCAAGCTCCACCTCCCGAGTTCACACCATTCTCCTGCCTCAGCCTCCGGAGTAGCTGGGACTACAGGCACCCACCACCATGCCCGGCTAATTTTTTTGTATGTTTTAGTAGAGACGGGGTTTCACCATGTTAGCCAGGATGGTCTCGATCCCCTGACCTGATCAGCCCACCTTGGCCTCCCAAAGTGCTGGGATTACAGGCATGAACCACAGCACCCGGCCCAGTATCTTAAGCTTAATATGCTTAAAGGTGAATTTATTCATGATCTTCCTTACAAAATAGCTTTTTCTTATGTTTGTGAATGAAACCTCCTCTATCCTTTCACCAAAAACAGAAACCTGCGATACTCCTTGACTGGTCTTCTTGGATGAAGCTGGCTGGTGACCCAGTCTTATAAGATACAGCTTTCTGACATCTTCACTAGCTATTTGCAGATGGTAAAGACTCCTACTTGTCCCCTAGAATTGCCTTTCCCCCTTTCACTTAATAGTTGAGTATTTTTAATTACATGGCCATATGGAATAAGCAACACATTTTCCAGATTGACTTGCATCTAAAGTAACCGTCTAACTAAGCTCCAGCAAGGACAGGTAAGCGGAAGTCTCATGTGTAGCTTCTAGGAGGTGTTCTTAATGGAAGGCTGTATAGCCTTCTTTTCTTTTTCCTTTCCTAATCCTGGAATGGAAACATAATGACTCCATTTTGAGTAGCCACCCTGGAATTTGAAGTGAATCTACATTTTTGAGGATGAAGAAGCAAGCAGAATAGAGGATTCGTGGATCAATGTGAGAATTTGCCTTACTAGCCATGTAAATGGATCTCATTTACACGGGAAACAGAAAAATCCCCCAAAACCTACGCGTGCACACACAGACACACACACATGCACCACACAACACACACTTCTATCTTGTTTAAGCTGCTGTTTGTATGTGTGTGTTTCTCTCTCATTCATCTCAACAGTGCTTTATCTACAGAATAATCCTTGCAAAAGCCAAATCTGAACACTTAACACTTCTTACTACATTATAACCTTCCAGTGACTCTTGTTTGTCTCGAGGATAAAGTTCCACTTCCTCAGCAAAGCATACAAGGCTTGCTCATTCTGAAGTTGGCTACTATGTAATGGGATCTTCCATTATGGATGGAGCTAGTAGCAATTATGGTAATAATGGCTATTCTTGGTCTGAACTGCATATCAAATCTCCCAATAAGGAATACAGGTAAATCTGTGTCTCAGGACATCAACCAGAGAGGGGTTTAACATTCAATATTTATTAAAATTTTATTATTTTCTAGGTCCAAGGGCTCTTTATAGATCAACCTATTTAATCCTCAAAACAATTCTGTGAGATAGGTAGTATTACTATTCTTACTTTATAGAAAGAGACTGAGGCACAGAAAGACTAAGTCAAATATCCCAGTACTGACCACTTAATAAACATTAGGGCTAGAGTTTAACCCCTAACAATCTAATGCCAGAGCCTGCTTAACTAATGTGCTATGTGTTACCAGCTGTCTCTATAGAAAGCTAATTCTAACTGGTATGAGATGGTATCTCATTGTGGTTTTGATTTGCATTTCTCTGATGGCCAGTGATGATGAGCATTTTTTCATGTGTCTATTGGCTGCATAAATGTCTTCTTTTGAGAAGTGTTTTTTCATATCCTTCACCCACTTCTTGGTGGGGTTGATTTTTTCTTGTAAATTTGTTTAAGGTCTTTGTAGATTCTGGATATTAGCCCTTTGTCAGATGGGTAGAATGCAAAAATTTTCTCCCATTCTGTAGGTTGCCTGTTCACTCTGATGGTAGTTTCTTTTGCTGTGCAGAAGCTCTTTAGTTTAATTAGATCCCATTTGTCAATGATGGCTTTTGTTGCCATTGCTTCTGGTGTTTTAGTCATGAAGTCCTTGCCCATGCCTATGTCCTGAATGGTATTGCCTGGGTTTTCTTCTAGGGTTTTTATGGTTTTAGGTCTAACATTTAAGTCTTTAATCCAACTTGAATTAATTTTTGTATAAGGTGTAAGGAAGGGATCCAGTTTCAGCTTTCTACCTATGGCTAGCCAGTTTTCCCAGCACCATTTATTAAATAGGGAATTCTTTCCTCATTTCTTGTTTTTGTCAGTTTTGTCAAAGATCAGTTGGTTGCAGATGTGTGGTATTATTTCTGAGGGCTCTGTTCTGTTCCATTGGTCTATACCCAAAGGATTATAAATCATGCTGCTATAAAGACACATGCACACGTATGTTTATTGTGGCACTATTCACAATAGCAAAGACTTGGAACCAACCCAAATGTCCATCAGTGATATACTGGATTAAGAAAATGTGGCACATATACACCATGGAATACTATGCAGCCATAAAAAAGGATGAGTTCATGTCCTTTGTAGGGACATGGATGAAGCTGGAAACCATCATTCTGAGCAAACTATCGCAAGGACAAAAAACCAAACACCGCATGTTCTCACTCATAGGTGGGAATTGAACAATGAGAACAGTTGGACACAGGGCAGGGAACATCACACAGTGGGGCCTGTCGTGGGGTGGGGGTAGGGAGGAGGGATAGCATTAGGAGATATAACTAATGTAAATGACAAGTTAATGGGTGCAGCACACCAACATGGCACATGTATACATATGTAACAAAACTGCACGTTGTGCACATGTACCCTAGAACTTGAAGTATAATGATAATAATAATAATAAAAAATAAGTTTAAAAAAAAAGAAAGCTAATTCTAACAGCCCAAAGATTTTCCAGGGCTGTACCATATTTCCTTCCCATATCTGTTATCAGAAGCAGAGGCCTGTGCTGTTTCCATCTTTCCCAGGATTATTTCAATAAAAGGAACGGGGGGCTTTTTTATGATTCACTCATTCATGCCTAAGTTATTAGAAGTGTGAGCTCATTTCTGGTTGACTCAGATACTTTATATAGTCATAGGCAACATCTAACACTTATTCTAGTATACTCTTACAGTTAATAAATAGTAAGAAATACAAACTCATCTGTAATGTAATAACTTCAAACTTCTAAATATTTTAAATTTAACCTTACTTGCCCAAAGTGAACTAAATCATGATGACATTTATTAAGAATTTCCTCATCCTATAGCAAAGTATAATGCATGACTGGGTGAAAAGAGGGAATTTGCACTGTGTAAATGTCCGAAGGGCCAGAAAGATTTAAATGAAATCCGGGGGTTCTATAATTTTTATATTATTTGTATGCTTATGCATGCATAAGCGAGGAAGATTAATGAAAAGAAAGGATAATTAAAATTGTGGGATATTTTCTGAATTCCTTCCTCAATAGTTCTTTGGAAATGCACAAGCCCTATTATTTTCTCCTATGTTCACTGATATGCCAAGTCACAGAATGTTGTTAGACCGGTTATTGGTGTCAAAAGTTGAAATCCTATCCAATTAATTGCTTACAACATTGCTAGAATTTCTTCACACAGTTCCCTGCAAAAGCATCTATAATACACTGGCGGGGGCTACGTCTTTGCTTTTAAGGTATTTCACTGATGGACTGAACTTGTTGAATGTCTGGTACGTGTTAATAATTAGAATACAGTTGACTATTTATACCCAGGCTTGTTCCAGAAGGGATTTAAAAAATCATTTAATAAAATACATATGAAATAGCAAATAAATGATTTAAAAAAAGACTCAGGAAATTTCAGTGAAAGTAAAAGTGAGTCAGGACACAAAAATCACACAATGAAGTCACGCATATTTTCTAGAGGTATGCCAAAAACTTGTAAGTTTCTGCTAGCCAATGAGAAGAAGGAAACACTAGAGGTGAGTGAGTCACACTACTTATAGTGTTAAATCTATCTAGTTGCTGAAGAGATGAACAATTCTATCTGATTATGAGATCAGAATTTTCTCCCAAGTCTTTACAGACAGGATACCATATATTGTCATACACATAATCTCAACAGTAAACACAGACACAAGTTATTCAGTGAAGTTTATATAATACACCTCAGTATTGGCTGCTGGCATCTCACCAAAGTGCAATTAAATAAAAAAAGAGCTACTGAGGCTAATGTGAAGAGCTGTGAGCCCATGACTCCCAGATGATTTGACTCAAACTAGGGAAGATTAGAGAACTTGTAATAGTAGTTCTTGAACATTTATATCCATAAAAATATCCCAAAACATAAAGAATGGGTTGCTGTGCTTCTTCCTCATTGAGTCAGGTTTAGTCCATCTGGAGAGAGACCCACAAATATCTGTTTTCAATTATTAGCCCTCTTTCCTTGAAGTTATTCCAATGTAGAAGGTAAGCAGACCATCATGGAAAAACCAGAGATTAAAAGCAACAAGTAGCATTATTTGATATCAATTAATGAACTATCAGAGGATACTAGCAAGAAATGATCATTTTAACTTGAGATTAATTGATCTGTAACAAGTTTTGGGGGTAGTGTTAATATAAACTTGTTGAGCTGCCCTACTAGGGAGGATGCTGTACTAGAAAATATTTTTTCCTTTTCTCTACAAAGTGAAAATACCCACTGCATCAAAGAATGGATGGGGATAGAAAATCACTCAGAATTGTTGAGTGGAGACTTCTTAAAGGTGCCATTTCTTAGATGTGTGGTTGTGGGAAGAGGTCTTATTAGAATTATGTTTTTGGGATGTTGGACACTTTTCAGAAAATTGTGGCCCTGTGTAATGAAAGTTATGATGTGGTCTCCACATTCCCACTTCAGTACTTAGGCATTTGATCACCCAGCTGCCAGGAGTCTTTTCTTCTGATGGTTCTTCACAGAAATTGTCCTCCTTACCAAGGTTATATGCTTAACGCAGCTAGCATCCCATGACCCACTGGTGCAGAGAGACAAGACCTGGATGGATATCTCTGAAGGACCATCTTGTATTACAGCTTCTCTTGAGATTAGCTGAAGTCTTTGTAGGACCTGCATCACAGTTTGACTTCTTCCTCCTTCCAATCCTTTGTTCCTTACCCCTTGCAGATGTAGATCCCTAGAGGATTCTCCCCAAACTTCCTGCTCACAACCATCTCAGATTCCACTTCCTAGAGAATCTGACCTAAGACGTGGATATAAATCTCCTGATCTTCACCTCACTGATGCTACTACCTATGTTCCTTTGCAATTTGATTTTAATTATATTCACCCACCTTTCCTTTCTGTATCTGTCTTTTATTTTTCTTCAGCTCTGTTCTTGATATTTAAGGGCTTCTTAGTGTGGACACCTTTTTACTTCCTCAATGATTTTTTTTTTTTTTTTTTTTTTTGAGACAGAGTCTCACTGTGTTGCCTAGGCTGGAGTGCAGTGGAGCAATCTCAACTCGCTGCAACCTTCAACTGCCAGGTTCAAGCAATTCTCCTACCTCAGCTTCCCGAGTAGCTGGGATTACAGACATGTGCCACCATGCCTGGCTAATTTTTTTGTATTTTTGATAGAAAATACAATTTTTTTTTTTTCGTATTTTTGGTAGAGACGGGGTTTCGCCATGTTGGTCAGGCTGGTCTCAAACTTCTGACTTCAGGTGATCCACCCGCCTCGGCCTCCCAAAGTGCTGGGATTACAGGTGTGAGCCGCCACTGTACCCGGCCTGTTCCTCACTGATCTTAAAGGATTTATTTGTTCTGTACTTTGTTATCTCTTTTTGTGAGTCTGACCCAAAACAGGTCTGCTAAGCCTTAAAGATGAGGCATATGAGGTACTACTTAAGCAAACATATGTGCAAATGTGTGCAGGAGTGTGTGTAGGCGTATGTGCACACATACATATACACAGAACAAGGAGGTTTTTGTAATCCAATGCATTTGAGAAATATGACTTAAATGGGTAAGTTACTGCAGGAGTTCTCAGAGTCTGTAAAGTGCTAGTGTGAATTGTGAATCTCCACATTGTACATTATAGAACCCTCCTCTTTTCCCTTTTTATTGATGTAAAATTTTTTTTTTGAGATGGAGTCTTGCTCCGTCGCCCAGCCTGGAGTGCAGTGGCGCGATCTCTACTCACTGCAAGCTCCGCCTCCTGGGTTCACACCATTCTCCTGCCTCAGACTCCCGAGTAGCTGGGACTACAGGCGCCCACCACCATGCCCGGCTAATTTTTTGCATTATTTTAGTAGAGACGGGGTTTCACCGTGTTAGTCAGGATGGTCTCGATCTCCTGACCTCGTGATCCAGCCACCTCGGCCTCCCAAAGTGCTGGGATTACAGGCGTGAGCCGCCGCGCCCGGCCATATTGATGTAAAATTTACACAACATGGTTAACCATTTTAAGGTGTACAATTCAGTGGCATTTATTACATTTACAGTGTTGTATAACCACCGCCTCCATCTAGTTCCACAACATTTTCGTCACCTCAAAAGGGAACTCTGTATCCGTTAAGTCCTTACTTCCCACTGCACCTCCCTCAAGCCTGTGCAACCATTAATCTGCTGTCTCTACAGATTTACCTAATCTCAATATTTTATACAAAGGGACTCATTTAACATAACATGTGACCTTTTGTGTTTGAATTCTTTCACTTAGCATAATTTTTTTGAGGTTCAGTCATGTTGTAGCATGTATCGGTATTTCATTCCTTTTTATGGCTGAATGATATTCTATTCTATGAATATACTGCATTTGATATACACTCATTAGTTCTTAGATTTAGGCAGTTAATGGATACCTTTTGGCTATTTTGAATAATGGCGTTATGAACATTTGTGTATATGTTTTGTTTGAATACCAATTTTCATTTCTTTTTGCTATGTACCTAGGAGTAGAATTACTGGATTAGATGATATTTCCATGTTTAATTTTTTGAGGAGCCAAAACACTTTTTAAGTATATTGATACTAGCATACTGAGGAATAATACATTTTGAAAAGTGTTCTATATGAATTCACTTTACAATATTAATGTTAATTGTGGGTTAATAATGTTTAAATCTTTAGAACTGATGGTTTCAGAAAACTTTCACCAACAGCCTTGAATTTGGAATAAAAAAACTTTAAAGTTGAGATCTAAAAAGGAGAGATATTTTTGAGAAGAAATATCTTTTAGCATTCTTGCTCATATCATGCCATGCCAAGAACTTTTTTCTATGTTTCATAACACTTTTCCATTAAGGAATAAAAGCAAGTTTGATGGTCACTTGAGGACAATGTGAATAACATCTGCATCATAAATGCTTGTTGATTCTCTACTGAAAATCAAGTGACTGTTCTGATGTGAATGATTCAGCCTGGAAGTAAAGTTATAAAAACAAAATAGAAATAAAAAAACAAAAAATTTAATTTAAATTTACCGTTTTATAAACTATTTTTAAAAAATCTAATTCTTATTCCAGAAAGAATTTATTGAAGAGGAAAAACAATTTTGGCTTTATATTTTTTCTGCAGTGTTTAGACATTGATAGAAGAATGTACCCCTTCAATCTCTGGGGGTATTTTAGGGGAATAAAAATATAGACATTGCTATGATGCATAAAAATCAACTCTAATAATATTTGTGCTTATTTGAAAAACTTTATCTTGTAGATAGCATGTAACAGATTACATATGTATAAGTAATATAGTGTATATCACATACACTATTTTCAATTTTCATATATATTTGGATATAATACATATATTTTATATTGAATATATATTTCAAATCTTAAAAAATTTTTTTGCTCATTTATAGGCCAATTGTAAGAATACTTTTTTAAAAAATTTAAAATACAACAACAAAACTGTTTAATTACATTTTGATAGCAGCATTATATACTTTATAAAACCTGGTTTCTGGAAAGATCACATCAAATATCTCATAATTACAGCATAGTGGGCAGATATGAAAGGCTTCTTATTTTACTTTGAATAGTTAGAAATGCTGGCCAGGCACAGTGGCTCATGCCTGTAATCCCAGCACTTTGGGAGGCTGAGGTGGGCAGATCACCTGAGGTTGGGAGTTCCAGACCAGCCTGACCAATATGGAGAAACCCCATCTCTACTAAAAATATAAAAAATACAAAATTAGCCGGGTGTGGTGGCGCATGCCTGTAATCCCGGCTACTCGGGAGGCTGAGGCAGGAGAATCGCTTGAACCTGGGAGGCGGAGGTTGCTGCGAGCTGAGATCGTGCTATTGCACTTCAGCCTGGGCAACAAGACAACAAAAGCAAAACTCTGTCAAAAAAAAAAAAGAAAAAGAAAAAGAAAAGAAATGCTAAACAAATATTTTTTCCTGTGTGTGTGTGTGTGTGTGTGTATGTGTAATATTTCAACTACATAATCAAAACAAAGAATGGGAAATCTCCAGATACTGAAACTGAAGAGAGAACTTAAAGGTAGAGTGTGAGAGACCGAATTGAAGAATTGCAGCCCATATGCATATAGAGGATGCTTTTCCAATACCTTCATAGGACAGGAGTGAATGCACTGTAATCCGGAAGTAACTTTGAAAGTACCAATGAACTGAGATTAGAAAAATCTCCCCATAAGCCAAGGACATAGTCTGAAAGTGGTTCAACTTCCATGGCCTGTGGATGGAAAAGCAGATACTTATAAGTAACTGGGACTCAAGAATGTTACAAGGCACTCATTTGTGACTCCTTCATTTGTATAACCCTTGCTTTACAGATATTTCTTATATAGTAACCTAACAGTTATAGATACGTTTTATTGAGAGATTTATTCCAAAATAGTCTAGTCTATTACTGCACCTTAGAATCAGTGAAAATAGCAAATATAAATGAATTCAACTTTCCTGTTAAAAGACAAAGGTTCTCACATTGCAGTAAACACAGGTAATTTGCTATGAATTAACTCTATACATCAACATGGATAGTTTTTCCCATCACATTTATTCGAAATCAGTGAATTATAGCTGTATGTATCAATATTAATCAATGTCTAAAATAAAATGTTGAAAAGAAAAAGCAGAAATGATGAAGAATGTGTTCTGCATGATTTCATTTCTATAAAGTGCAAAAGCAAGCAGAAGTAATTAATGTATTTGTAGAAATTCAGTCATATGTGATACAAGTTTTAAGAAAATTGGGAGAATTTTTTTTTGTTTTTTTGAGACGAGAGTCTTGCTCTGTCGCCCAGGCTGGAGTGCAGTGGCGCGATCTCTACTCACTGCAAACTCCGCCTCCTGGGTTCACGCCATTCTCCTGCCTCAGCCTCCCAAGTAGCTGGGACTACAGGCGCCCGCCACCACGCCCGGCTAATTTTTTTGTATTTTTAGGAGAGACTGGGTTTCACCGTGTTAGCCAGGATGGTCTCGATCTCCTGACCTCATGATCAGCCCGCCTCAGCTTCCCAAAGTGCTGGGATTACAGGCGTGAGCCACCGCGCCCGGCCGGGAGAATTTTTAATATAAAATTCAGGATCATAGTTACATCCAGGGAAAGGAGAAGAATGAGATAGCTAAGTGCACATATAAGGCTTCTTTATAAAGGATTGTCGAATTGTGGGCACATGGGCGACCACGTCATTGATTTTCTTTAACTGTACTAATATTTTATAGCAAACACTATTTTTCTCTATACTCACACTCACTCTTCAATACTTCACTCTGACACTAGATATGTGGGATTTTTTTCCCTACACATCCATTCTTCAGCCAACACCAACTGGCTGTCCTACAATTCCATTCAATTTTCACACTAATGGTCGTTAGTCCAGACCCCCACAGGCTAAGGGCTCAGTCCTACAAGATTGCTCTCCACTTCAGATGCCAGTTGCAAGTAGTAGGTTTTCAGTTTACCCATATTTCTGTTCTCACTTAGCTACAAATTGGAAGTTCTCATGACCTCCTTGGGTTCTATCATTTGCTAGAACAGCTCATGAAATTCAGGGAAATACTTACTTATGCTTGCGGTTTATCATAAGCGCTATTACACAGGATGCAGATCAACAGTCAGATGAAGTACACTGTGCAAAGCATGCGGGAAGGGAGCGGGAGCTTCCATGCCCTCTTCGGGCACAGCTCCTTCCCAGTGCCTCCATGTGTTCAGCAACCCAGAAGCTCTTCAAACTCTGTCCTTTGGGTTTTTATGGAGGCTTCATTATGTAGACACAGTTAATTACATCATTGGCTGTTGGTTCTCACCTTAACTTTCAGTCCCTCTCATCTCCCCAGAGGTTGGGGAGTGGGTAGAGCTGTAATAACAACGTGCATTCACAGGGTTGATCCCAACCCTCCCAACCAGCCCCTGTGCTGAGGCTGTCCAGGAGCCCCCAGCCACCAGTCACCTCATTAGAAATTATTGCCTCTGAGAATCAAAGGTTACTAGGAGCTGTGTGCTAGAAAACAGGAATGAAGCCCAAAATATATGTTTCTTATTATATATCACAGTATCAAAAGTATATATAATATACAATCTGAGTTTTAAAAGGCGAATAAAAAAAATTTTAGATTGATACATTTAATATGATGTCATTTATGTAAATTATAATAGCACAGCAATTTACTTCATATTGTGAGTGGGTACATAGATATGTAAGAAAAATATTTAAAAATACACTGCAAAGATCAATGCCAAATTCATGACAGTGGTTGCTTCAAAAATGGAAGTTTGGAAATGAAATTTGAAAGGGGGTTGGAAAAAGACTTTAATGGTATCAGTAATGTTTTAAATTCTTTTAAGTTGAAAGAAATGGAAAAACAATATTATCAAAAGTTCTTGTATGGTGAAACAGTGACAACCACTCAAAATAGTTCATTACCGTGGAGTTATTTCTTTTCATGACAATATAGAAAGCAGTTGAACCATCAAGCTACATGTCAAGGTTAAATTTTTAGTGATGTACCAGATTTCATATTGTCGATGTAGCCCACATCTGAAGAAAGACAATAGGAAAAGAAACGTGTGTGGGGGGAAAAGACTACATGCCTAGTGAACACCAAATCCATACTGTGAAACCTCATGGTGTGATCAAAACTATTTCATGATTTTCAAATGAAATTTATTTTCACTTTCAATTGGATTTAGTGGCTTAAATATATCCATACATATGCAAAGTGTACATATATGTAAAATATATGTTTACATAGGCTATATATGATATAACCAGGGCTTATAAATTATAATCAATATTTATATAGAAGCTGGGCATGGTGGTACGTATCTGTAATTCCAGCTGCTCAGGAATAAGGAGGATGGCTTGAACCCAGGAATTTGAGACCAGCCTGGGCAGCATAGCAAGACCCTGTTCCTTTAAAAAATATTACATATCTATATAAATCTATATCTGCCTACATATACATGTACATATATATATATATATATATATATTTGACATTTATATGTATAAAGTCAGAGCAGGCACTTAGCCAGCATTCATTCCAATAAGCAGATGGGTAGTCCATGGATGGACACTGTACATTATCTGGCTAATAAGCCAGCTGTGTCTACCCACCCCCTGAGCTGGCCCCCTGAGGGAGGGCCTGAGCTAAGCCCATGCTCACTTTCCTATGGGACCAGGGACTTTTTCCTCTGCCAGGGTGGAATGCAATGTCCCATTGACCCTAAGGGCTCCAGGTGCAGGGCAGCCAACATTCCCAGACAGCAGCCGCCATCTGAAATCCAGAAAGGATGACTCTAAGCAGCCTATGTATTCTCTGTGGACCAAACTATGTACAGGTCTCCACATGCAAGTGGAAGAGACCTTTGTACTGAAATGCAGTCCTGCCTTTGAAGACCAACAGTGCCCTAGTCTAGGCAAGCCTCCTATAGGATGATGTGAAGATTAAGTGGACCCAAGCAGACGTTGACCTGTGTAAATTTTCCCAATAAAGGCTATTCCTTAACCTATGCTGTGGGTAAGGTGGCATGTGTCCCGAACTCTGGAATATAATATATAGAGGCCTGAATGGGACCCCATATGCATAACATAGAGAGACATTGAAAGAGGGGGTACACATGTACTATAAATATGACCATGTATTTCTTGCTTGTAAGAAACAGGGAAATAAGGAAAGTGAGAAAAACATTAGTAATTGAGCAGTAAGTTTCAAAGGGTAATAAAATCTTGTTCTTTCATGATCATGATAGAGTAGCCTTAGTGACCCAGCCATTTGCCCCTTGGAAGTGTTTCCATTTGCAGTCTGTACTTTATTGCCCCTGCCATTCTCATCACTTCCTCTGCCTGTTTTTACTGTGATTGCTTCTGCTTCTCTAGGTGTACCTCAAGCTCAGAACTCCTGGAAAAAGGATCAATTAATCCCCACCCAATTAAAATCTGATCGCACAGTATTCTTTCACCTCATCAGTGACATGGTCTCTAGCTTAAATAACTATAATTAGAATAAAATAAGGTCAATTATGGCAATTTTCATAAAAAAGTAAAAGACTAGTTTTCTAGTCAAACCAATGGGTGTGGCAAGCCCTTTGATTTTTATGAGTTCTGATCTAGTACAGCCAATATGAGTTAGGATGCCATACTATCTGAACCAGGATTCATTTGAGAATGAAAAAGGGGATATTTTAATAATTAGGACAAGTACTAAGCCAGTACTGTCCTAGGCAAATCAGGATGTATGTTATCTTAATTAGAGCAAAAAATTGATGACTAAGAAATTAAAGTTCAAGCCCTAATACTACCATGAACCAGTGGTGTTCCGGGAGTTAGCCATGTTTTCTGTATAAGTTGCATTTTCCTGTCTATAAATGTGGATGTAATGGTTTCCTCTAATATTCCATGGTTGCAGCATTTTTCTGCCTCTTGATAATTATTTGTTCAATATCTGGCCTCCCTGTAGGTAGCATGAGGACAAGATTCTGCTTGTCTTTTCACCCACATGTCTTTGTATCTATCACAGTGTTTGGCATCTAGTGGTCACTCAAGTGCCCTTTATTGAGTGAGAAGACACAGGGATTCATTCACCTGAGAGACTCAGGTAATGCCAATACAGAATACAGTATCTGTCTAATCAGAATATTCTGGAGAAAGTTGTTCCACTCTTGTCTTGCTAATATTGACAGCAGTAGTGTGTTTGATATTTATGCCACCCAGCCAATGTTTGGAAGAGTTATTTTCTCTAGATGTATGATGTTACTTCTCAGGTTGCTGCAAATGTTGAGATCATTAATTTATGTATTTTAGCTTCAGGGAATACACATGCACACATACACATTGTTTATTTTATGCAAGTTAGAAGTGAAAAAAAAACAATGTTTACCAGGGATATTGAATCTTACAGATACATTTATTTAACTTATTCATCAAATCATCACCTGCTTATATGGTGCCTACTATGTGTCAGGTGCTCTTTTAGGCATTGAGGATACATAGGTAATACAAAAAGGGACATGGGCCCTACTAACTTAGATTTATGGTAGCTGGGGTGAAAAATAGTAAACTAAGAGGAATTGATACATGTAATTTTTGTAGTAATAATTAATGTTTTCAATAAAAATGTAGCAGATAGCAAAAAGGCTGGGGAAGTGAGGAAAGGGGCCTTTCTTGAAGAAGTAACATTTAAGCCAAAACTTGAGAGATGTTAAAAATTAAGCTATGTGAAGAATTGCAGGAAGAGCATTCCAGGGAGAGGAATAACATGTGCAAAGGCACTGAAGTGGGAAGTGCTTGGATGTTCAGGGGATCCAAAGAAAATGAATGTATTTATAGCAGAGCAAGCAAAGCACAGAGTATTAGGAGGTAAGAGCAGAGAAGAAGACAGGAACCAGATCATGTAGAACTTCTGAGGCCCTGATATGGTATTTAAATTTTATTCTAAGAGGAATCACATAATCTGATTTAAAGTCTAAAAAGACAGCTTCGTCAGGTGGGAAGAGAAGAGAGATAAGAGAAGAAGCAGGGAAACAAGTTAGCAGGTGATTGCAACAGTCCATGTGAGAAATAATAAAGATTATGAGAGGCAATTGGCTTTTAAATGTATTGGGAAGGTGGAGCAGAGAGTTTGCTAATGGATTGGATGTGGGATATTAGAGAAATAGATGAATCAAGGATGATTGTTAGGATTTTGTCTACAACTGGAAGAATGATGATGCCACTTGCTGAGATGGGAAGGATCTGGGTGGAGTAAGTCTGGGGATAGCAGTAAGTCAAGGGTCCAGCCTGGACATGCCTTTTAGATATTTAAGTGGATATGTTGTTAGCTGTTGGTTGTACCAGTATAGATTTTACAGCAAAGATTAGGACTAGTGCTATAATTCTGGGAGCAGTCAGGCTAGAGAGGATAGTTAAAGAATGGATTGGATAAAATTGTTGGGGGTATGAGTAAGAAAGAGAGGAGATAAAGACTGAGTTCTGAGATTTGAGACTGATATCACAAAGAGAAGGACCCAGTGAAGAATTCTGAGAAGGAGATAGGAAGAATCACAGCAGAGCATGGTGTCCTGGTCACTGGGGGAGTGGGGGCGGGGAAATGCATTTTAATAAGGAAGAATGGGGATGAGCCATGTCTAATCCTGTTGCTAATTTTACTGAACTCCATCACTTTTAACTTTAGTTCAAAACTGAAGAGATAGCAAATGGCAACAGCTACTTCTAAGGATAAACTTAACTGTGCAAATAAGTCTGAGAGTAATTTTTCTTGTATCTGAGATGAGAGAAGAAGCATGGTACATTTTTCTCCATCAGCTTTAATATTTGAGGAGACATTTCTTTCAGTTATAACAAATGAGCAAATGGTAGGAAGATGTAGATTGTTTGGTAGAGTTTACAAAGGCTAAGCTAACACTTAAACAGATTTTTCAATTGCGTGCCATCATCTGAGTACCTGCAAAGCATATTACATTCCAAATTCTTTAATTTTATAACTGATTTTTAATTTATAATTTTAATTTATAATTGTTTTCTCTTCCAGTGTCCTACTTAGAGTAATAGGAAAAGCTGTTCTTTTCTAGGCGAGAGGAAGTGTGATGTTCCTAATTTGGCTTCTTTTCTTCAGACTTACGTGATTCTGTGTTTACTTTGGAGCTCTCTGAATGGAAAATTCAAGGGTCAGTGTCTGTCACTTGACCTGAGGGAAATGGCAGGTTTACTGTGTTTTTCTTTCTGTTTTTCACAGAAAGGAAAAGATGACAGTATATTTTTGCCTCACCCTCTTCAGTTTCAGGTTTTAGGATGACCAGTGAGATGATCAGAACTTCAGAACCTTCCAAGGTGATGGGTCATTCAAGCTCCAGGAACGTCAAGGCCTCAACAGTTTGGACATAATTTTAAGCAACACATATAAGACCCACAGGTCTCCACTGATATGACTGGGGATCTCATGAAGAAACTACTCGACAAAGACAGATACTGGAGGTATCGTACCCAGTGCCAAAGGCAGATATATTCCCAGAGGGAAGGAAAATCAAGCTCTAAAGGGGATCAGTCTGTCCTCCCATTCTGGTCATAAGTATTGCACCTAGGACTGAGCAAACATATTTCTCTTCGTCCTATTTCTGCGCAGTTGTGGGATTTTGAGCATGCCTCACAATCCCTCCGAGTTCTAATCACTGAGTGAACATATTTCTGTTTGTCCTATTTTTGCGCAGTTGTGGGATTTTGAGCATGCCTCGCAATCCCTCTGAGTTCCAATCACTAGATTTTGTAACCCTGGATTTCTGGTGCCTGCCCTGCCTTTCTTACATAGTACATATAAGGGTCAAAGAGTCTAGTGAGATAATGTATGTAAGTGTTTTTGTAAATTAAAAGTTACTGCAAAAATACACGATGTTATTTTTTATCATACTTTTAATCCTGGATATCTCAAAGTATTTTATAAAACAATCCATGTTGTTTTGTTACACTTTGTTCCTTAAGCTTCCCAGGGTTTAGTTATCTTTTCTCCAATGTTGATTTTTCGCTTGTGTCCCCTTTTTCATCACCATTCAGTAAGACCCCTCTGTACCCCTCACCCCCAACAAGATACCTTGGAGGCGACTTAAACCATTCCTTCACCCTATCTGAAATGATGACAAAGGCTGGGAGTGGTGGCTCACACCTGTAATCTCAGCACTTTGGGAGGCAGAGGTGGACAGATCACGAGGTCAGGAGATCGAGACCATCCTGGCGAACATGGTGAAACCCCATCTGTACTAAAAATACAAAAAAAAAAAAAAAGAAAAGAAAAGAAAGAAATTATGACAAAGTCCTGACAATTCTAACTTTATAAAATCCCCGAGTTCTTTCCTCTGCATAGTCCAACTTTATTGGTACTCCCCCCAGGTCAACAGCCTCCTCCTCCATGCCCATTGATATATTCTAACTGTCGTTATTGCCATAGCTTCTTATTCTCCCATCCATTCTTCATGCAGCTACTTTGTACTGATCCTTAAAAACAACAGAGAGCAACAACCCTGGAAATGTTCATATCATTCCCCAATTAAAAACCCAGAAATGGTTCCTCAATAGTAGCACTATAAAATAAACCTCGATGTGATTTTAAGGTTTTCCATCATCAGGCTTCTCCTGGAATCTTCATGCACAGACTGCCCTTTCCAGTTCTTGTCCCCATATTTCCAGACAGGTTAAACTTCTTGCACTGCCTTGACCAGTCAGTAAGCTTCCATCAACCCCTTCTCATACTGCCTACATGTCCCACACCCTTGATTATCAGGCTTCTCACCTTTTAAATTCCTCCATTATGACTTTACAAATTCAGCCTTGATCTCTACCTTGGCCCTTCACCCAGCCAGAATTAACAGTCCTGCTTTCATGCCTTTGCTTGCCACCCAGCTTAGCCTCTTATCTCAGCTTCTGAAACATTCTTCAAGTAGGTGTTTACGCAACTGTCTCCTTCTTCCTATGAGCTCCTTCAATGTACAACTTTTGTCTTATTAATTGCTTTACTAGATAAGTTTACATTAAGTTACATGCCTAGAACCTTATAACTATTCAACAGGAAGGAAGGAAGGAAGGAGGAAGGAAAGGAGGGAAGGAGGGAGGGGTGGGGAGACGGAAGGATTGTGTATATCAATTTATTTAAAATATTTATGCTACAAGTTACATGTGCTTTTTTTTTTTTTTTTTGAGACGGAGTCTCGCTGTCGCCCAGGCTGGGGTGCAGTGGCGCGATCTCGGCTCACTGCAAGCTCCGCCCCCTGGGGTTCACGCCATTCTCCTGCCTCAGCCTCCCGCGTAGCTGGGACTACAGGCGCCCGCCACCTCGCCCGGCTAATTTTTTGTATTTTTAGTAGAGACGGGGTTTCACCGTGTTAGCCAGGATGGTCTCGATCTCCTGACCTCGTGATCCGCCCACCTTGGCCTCCCAAAGTTCTGGGATTACAGGCGTGAGCCACCGCGCCTGGCCTATGTGCGTTAATATGTAAATAGATGGTACATACCCACCAAACTTTTGTTGAAAACATTTCTTTACCCACATTCTTTCAAAAATAGACTCTATTTTTAAGTAGCCCTTGATAAAAGGTGTCACAGTTTTTGTAATTTCTGTGCTTTTCCCTAACCTTGAGCCTCTACCAGTCTTCTGAAGGTGGCAGCTGTTAATACAGAACTTGATGAGGAAGATGCCAGCATCTCACCTGGAATTCACAAAACCCTAGCCAGCCCTAACTCACAAGGGCCTGCACACCCTTTAATCCAGCAAAATTAACTCAAGAGCATGTGGGACCTGAAATCCAGTCTCTGCATATTATTGCAAGTGCTTCAAGCAAAGAAAAGAACCTGATTTCACATTTGAGATGCATTTTAAACCAAAGGTCTGTTCTGGTACCTCCACAAGGAAGCATCAATCGGACCACAGAAAATTTACATCCAGGGATTTGTCTTCTGGAATGGATCTCACTGACCTACAAGAATTGAATTTGCCCGTGTCTTCACAACACCTTGTTAGTGGTATCAAATCAGGAGATTGAAGTGAGCCATAGTGAGAGTATGGACACCACAGAAATCAACTTACATATCAAGGCTTTTTCTTTATTTCAGGAGAGCCAGTTCAATAGTACAACACTTTTATGATCTTCCCTCTTTTGCTCACACCTCCCTGCCATTCCTGTTCCCAGTCCATACTTGAATAACTGTGTTGCAAATAACATCAGTTCAGAAAACTTGTGTCTCCGCAGGAAGATTTATTTGTTCATTTACCTTAATACAGGAAGTTCCTCTGCAGCATTTTTTAGCTGGAGGTGCTGAAAGACCACGTCCTCTTTGGCTATATTCATTTCAGGTTTATGTGAACATCTTTTGCTAAAAAGGTGTTGAAATCTTCCTAGAACACAGAGTCTATTATAAATAACCATGAAAAAAATCTCCCTTAGTAGACTACAGTTATAAGTAAACACACACCCCACACCCCCCGCAAAAAAAAACACAAATCTTAACTGCTTTCCTCTTCTCCCTTTTTCTTCTCCAAATTACCACAGGGCACTCATGTATGAGTGCAAGCACTTTCAGCCTTTGGTTTGAGGGATTTTATCAGTGTTGATGGCACTCTCTCTGAAACAGTGTCTTAGAGGGCTGTTTGCCATGATGCTAATGAGGCTTAAGCGTCAAGACTCTTCACTTTGATAAGATCTCTCCAAAATCACAATGTGTTCTCATAGTCATATATTTGAAAAATTTACAAAAGTAAGGTTTCTTTCTGTATTCTCTTCCTTTCTTTCTTTTTTTTTTTTTCAGGGTCTCGTTCTGTCACCCAGGCTGGAGTGCAGTGGCACAATCTCGGCTCACTGCAACCTCTGCCTACTGGGTTCAAACGATTCTCCTGCCTCAGCCTCTTGAGTAGCCGGGACTACAGGCATCTGCCACCACACCCAACTAATTTTTGTATTTTTAGTAGAGACATGGTTTTGCCACATTGGCCAGGCTTGTCTTGAACTCCTGACCTCAAGTGGTCTGCCTGCCTCAGCCTCCGAAAGTGCTGGGATTATGGGCATGAGCCACTGTGTCCAGCTACATTATTTTTTTCAAAGAGAGCCCTGCAACACTATATAAATTTCAGGCTCCATGAAACCTCCATACACCCCTGAGGGTTATTTTACATTGGTTTAGCCTAACTTATTTAAAGTCACAATCTTGCTTCCGGCCCTACCCTTCTCATGAACTAAACTCCTGTCCTCTTTCCCTCTTTCTAATAAATTCACAAAGAAACTTCTATGCAATGAATTTGCTGTTTTTAAACTTCCATATTATTATCAAGAAAAAGAAAATGGATGGTTATTTAACTTCTGAAGTAATTTAGAGGAACTCAGGTGCTTGACCAGGGAAAATATAAACTTACTGGCAAGAAAGCTTGGAGCTCAGCTGCCTTCTTGACTAACTGAATCAGAAATGCCTACCTTCCCCAAGCCCCACTTTCCACTGACTACAAACCAGCTTTCTTCCTCAGCCTCATTAACTTCTTGTCCTGCAGGCTCAGCTTAAAGATTGTGTCATCTCGGAAGCCTTTCCTAGGTTAGACATCTCTCCTATTAACTCCCATTGTATCTTGAGTTTAACCCTACAATGGACTTATCACACCAGTAGATTATGAGCTCTAAAGGGCTAGCATGTGTTGTATACATTACTTCTTACAGTGGCTGGCACAAAACCAGCCTTCAACACATATTTGTTGAATGAATATATGAATGAAGGAAATAATACTTTTCTGAATTAGGAGTTAGAATACCCAAATACTTATTGTATATCTGCCAGTAATGAGCTTGTTAACACTGAACAAACCTGTACATTCCCTTGACCTCATTTCCACATACATATATATGTATATAGTAAAGAGTCCAGGTGGAACCAAATCTGAGATTATTCTTAGGTTTTTATATAGCTGTAGCCAGTCTTTACAAGAAAGAATGAGGAGCCTCTTGAGAAAGATCACATGGTAAGTGAAGACAAACAGCTATAACCTGGTTCAAGAACAGTAGGCTGGTGTTGAACAGAGCTGGGACTCTGAATAGACCTTGGGCCTGTCACTCTGATGGTTCTCTGGCCCAGGCCCAATGGACATACAATATGAATAAGAAAACAAAGTTTGTTTTCCTTCTTTTTTTTCCTACTAATTGCTTCACTGGGCTTTGGGACCTCAATAAGTCAGCAGCATTGGCATTGGCAACTTGGGCAGAGACAAGATAGCACTAGAGTCTTGGGAGATGATGTTGGCAGTTTCAGGAGCAATAGCAACGAAGGCCTGGGCACTGAAGATATGTTAGCAGCCTCTCTCGGTATTACGAAGAGCCAAAAACACCATCGCAGTGAGGCAGAGTGAAAGAGGAGGAAAATGACAGACATCCAGTGTCGTAAGAAGATAATTCGCAGCATGCTTACCACAACTTAGACACGTGCCAAACTCCATGGAAGGAATGTAAAGAGGGCTCTATGTCTTATAAAAGCAGAGAGAAACATAGTTTAACTGTTACTGCATAAACCTCTTTTTACTCCGATGTATAGTCTGGAATAAGTTTTGGGGGTTTAACTGGAATTCAAAATTATAAATAATCATCCTTACCCAAAGAATGTGACACCTCAAATATTAGCAAATTGAACAGAGTTAAAAATAAATCTCACTATGGCTGTGAAATTGGGGAAGAGAAGTTCAGAACCTATTTCTTATTTTCTCAGTGCAGTAGAAAGGCTTTGGATTTGGGCTGGTATCCTAACTCTGATACTCAATGGATTAGTCAAATTAGTAAAATTATTTAGCTTATTGAGCCTCAGCTTCTCTAACTGGATGATGAGAATAATACTATCTACAGTACTGTTGGAAGGGATTAAATATATAAAGCATAAGCACATAGCACATATGTGAGTGCCTGACCTTTGGTGGGTGCTTAATAAACATGAGTTCTCCCTCCCTGCCTTCATCTCCCTTTATTAATAAAGCTTCTTCTCACACTCCAAGCTATTAGAAGTTCAGCTGACACAGGACATAGGGCAAGAGGAAATAAACTTTGCATGGTTCTAGAAATTCCCTTTTGATATTCATTATGTTATTTTTCAGGGATAGAAGAGTCTATGAAGTACAGAAAAGAGGAAAGATCTGCAAACAATTCGGTATCTTCTTTTAACTTGAAACTCATTCTACCCACTGCTACAGCTAGGTACTGTGCTCTTGCTCAGATTGCTGGAGGGTTTTGTTGTGATGATCTCCTTCAATACATCAATACTATAAGTTCTATAAGAATCATCTCAGAGCTTGTTTAGAACTCATTTTTTTTCTTTTTCTGGGTTATGCAATTATAATATTCATTTACATGTGAAAGCCCTGGACCATCAATGGATTTTATCAATGTATTAAAATTGCTAACTGTGCCATGCAGATACCAGTGATGTTCCTGATGGAATTACAAGTCTAGGGCCATGGTGTTCTATTCCAAATAAATCCCATGCAAAGCATATTCTTACATTTAGACATTTCCATAATTATGCACATTTTCCTTTATTAGCAATTTCTCTGACTGTGTTTGGATGAGTGGTATGGAGTGTGTATAGGCTTGAGTGTGTACATACACAGTAAGGTGAAATGTGCCATGGTCAATAGGGGATGCTTTTTGGACTGTGGTGGATCTGCATGTGCTTAAGCTCCAGTTTGACACTCCCTATGTGATCTTGGGCAATTTACTTAATACCTCTAAGCTCTTCAGTTTTGTTATCTTTAAAATGGAGTTTGGAGAACTTACGCATAAACAGAACACTCAAAAAATTTTAGCTATGCTATGGATATTCCAAATATGATGAAGCAATATGTTAGATATTACATTAAAACATTACTATCAAATAGATTTTAGGGGTAAATTTTCAAAAATAATTGTTCAGATCTTTTGGTAATAGAGACCACAGAAAGAGCCAAAAAGCTTTTACAAATTATCCTAATGAAGGGAAAGAAGGGAAAAGGGAGGCAACTTTTGAAAAATGAAGTTATTGCTTTCTCAGTCCTTTCCAATTCAGTCACTGGGAGCTGACAATAAAAACAATATTGATTCCTCATTTTTAGTGAAACCTACCCAATAGAAATCCTTCAGGGCTTGCTATTTTTCTGAGAGAAACCCTGCCTTAGCACTATTGCCTTTTCCGGAAAGGATCTGGCAGAAAACAATATTCTGCCTGGAATTCGCAACATTTCTTCCTTTGTGAAAACAAACAAACAGTAAGTTCATTTCCTCCCAAATCTTCTCAGGATTCTTTCTCCTGGTTTACCTCCTAGAAATCAATTTCTTATGACTTTCTTCACTCACTTTCATAAAAGAGATCAGGCAGATACTCTAAAAGGTGAAAATTAAACATTTCAGGGACAATCTGATGTCATTTTGATTTTTTATGATTAAGTCTGATAGGATTTAATCGAATTCTCAATAATTATTTCTGGCAAGTGATTCTATAAGTGATTAAGTAATTCTCATTATTTTTACTTCTCTGTATTTTCTAATTTCCCTACAATAGATATTTAGTACTCATGAAAGAAAACACATAAAAGTTAAAAAGTATGGTGATCTTAAAGTTGCAGTCAAATATTTGTGGCCATTCTAATCAAATCGCCTTTATGGGGTCTGCTCTTGACTATACTACTTCATTTAATTCTTCCAATCACATCTACTCATCTTGACTGTTTTATCACTGAGGAACCAAAGCCCAGAGATTTTAATAAATGAATCGAATTATCACAGCTAGGAGAGGCAACACCATTATTGAACTGACAGCCTTATTTTTTAAAACACCCTGCAAGTAGGTAAAAAGCAGGAATGTAAACTCAGGTCTATCTGATCAAGTTTTATATTATTAATCACTGTTATTTCCTCAGATGTCTTCCTGAAGTAAAAAACTCAGAATCTGACCAATGTGATTTCTTTTTGTAGCCACGGTTCTACAGTTAAACTGAAGAAAAAAATTAGTTTTCTCTCTGTCAATTGAATGGCTAGTTGTTTTTTTGTTTTGTTTTTGTTTTTCTGACAGTCTTGCTCTATTGCCCGGGCTGGATTGCAGTGGAGTGATCTCGGCTCATTGCAACCTCTACCTTCCAGGTTCAAATGATTCTCCCGCCTCAGCCTTTCAAGTAGCTAGGACTACAGTTGTGTGCCACCATGCCCGGCTACTTTTTGTATTTTTAGTAGAGATGGGGTTTCACCATGTTGGCCAGGCTGGTCTTGAACTCCTGACCTCAAGTGATCTGCCCGCCTCGGCCTCCCAAAGTGTTGGGATTACAGGAGTGAGCCACTGCACCCAGGCTTTTTTTTTTTTTTTTTTTTTTTCCCAAAACAGATGAATTTTCTGAGAGAAGGCCCTCAGCTACATCTAGACTCTACTGAAATGGCCCATTCGGAACCCAGAACATCTATAAGAGTATCTTTGCTTGGAAACTTATAAGAAAGTTCTCAAAATACTAAAGACAAGACACTATGAGGGAAATGAAGGAAAGTTATCATACAGACAGAGGCATTAATTGAACCCCAAGATGAGGCCAGTTAATACAAAAACGAAAGAACTTAAATTCAATACACATTTTCCATTAGCACGTAACTAAAAAAAAAGACTTACAGTAACTTTTAGTATTGCCTGGTATTCTACATTTTTGTAGGCGGAACTTAAAACTCTTAATTTTCACTGAGTTACAATTTAATGACCATTAAGTACCTTCTAAGCCAGAAACATTTTGACTTCCTTTAAGTTTTAAAAACTTCTCCCCCAGACCTTTCCCTACTTTGCTTGTGTTTCCCCTCCTCAGACTTTAGTCTTGCTTTGCTTATTATTATTTTTTTAATCTTCTATTTAGTTTTTTGCAGTTCAGGGTAAGAGACAAGGTATTACTTCTCTCTTGTGGGGTTCCAGCACCAAGGCTGATCTTAATTGAATGGCTCAGAGAATGAATCTGAGGGAAGCAACTATGAACCAATCCAACTGCAAAGGAACAGATTATGAAATTAGTCATGTGCTTTTAAAGCAGTCCCATGTTTCAGTTTTGGAAAGCTGGACTTAAAAATGTAACTAAAATCAATGACTAGGAATGAATGGGGGAAGAATAATGTCTTACCTGTTCTATGTTCATCATATTAAGTTTCAAACATACCATCTCCAGCCACAATTTCAAGCAAAATTAGTTTGAGAATGAGACATTCAGGAGACAGGGGAATTGACAAAGAAGGGAGAACCAAACTCATTGGGTCAAACTATACGGAGATGGCCAGAGAGGACCTGTTGCCAATTTGATAAGTGATCTCATTCCACTCTGAAGCCCATCAGAGTTCTGAGCAGAGAGATGCTGGATCTCATTATTATTTATTCTTGACCTGCAGCCAAAAAAACCCTCTGAACTGAATATCCAGCTTTGCATCTAAGGCATTTCAGTGTCTCCAATGTGGTAAAGGAAAACACTTTTTCTTTCCTGTTGCTATGTATATTGGCAAATATCCTATCCAAAGAATTGTGCTCCAAGAACTCTGGAAACACCTGCCAGCAGAAAACTTGGGAGCTTTGTTTAAACAAGTATACCTGCCAACTTTCCAGTGCTGTTGATTTTGCAGGACTGAACAACGTGGACTATTTTAAAACTACTTATGGATAACAGGAACTGGGCCATGGAGATGAGGCACGGAATGTGCCTAGAATCATGTTTATCTTTTTATTTTTTAGTATTGTGTAGTCTGAGCCTTGTGCAAGAAAACTGCAGTGTTAATCTCCCTTCAGCACTGGGTCCACCATGTGGCTGTGAACAGGAAGAATGCTTGGGCGTGAATTCAAGGTATTTGGCAAAATAGGGTTTCCAAGAAACCCTGTGGAAATATAAAGCTCCAGGCTCTGTGACATGTACTGGCATTAACAAATGTCCCTTAGGTTCTCAAGGGCATTTAGATTCCTTTTGTAATTTCTTCATAGCATTGTAATCAATGAATCAGCTCAAACACTCTTGAGTCTTAGTGAGCAATTCCAAATCTGAGTCCTAATTGGACATGATTATAATAAACAGTTCTACTCTAATTTCCTTCCATCAAAATTAACTACTGTAGGTAATTGTCCAATAGGCAAGATGTTTTCTTGAGGTATTAAATAAAGGCATTTGGATATATAAATCTTAATGGTTGGCATAAAAGATGCCATGCTCAAGGCAATAAGGCTTAGTGGTATTTGTTTTTAACTCAACAGCTAGTATATGGTTGTTTGAAAGTAACTGAACTGAGGTCATTGGAGGAGGTGGAAGGACACCAACCTCCCATCTTACAGACCATAAGGTGGTCCCACTGAACTTCAGCTGTTTCCATGGCTGAGCAGCATGGTGATGTTTTGTGGATGGGAAAGATGCTGCTACTCCAAAGGTGTATCAATCTGAAGATGCTAGCCTACTTCATGTGGTTGGAAGGAAGGATGTTGAAAACCTCTTTATCAGCTGGGTGTGGTGGCCCATGCGTGTAATCCCAGCGCTTCGGAAGGCCCAGGCAGGTGGATCACCAGAGGTCAGGAGTTTGAGACCAGCCTGTCCAACATAGTGAAACCCTGCCTGTACTAAAAATGCAAAAAAAATTAGCCAGTTATGGTGGCACGTGACTGTAATCCCAGCTACTCAGGAGGCTGAGGCAGGAGAATCGCTTGAACCTGGGAGGCAGAGGTTGCAGTAGGCCAAGATCGCACCACTACACTCCATCCTGGGTGACAGAGTGAGACTCCGTCTCAAAAAAAGGAGAAGAAAACCTCTTTATCAATGTGTTCTTCTGGCCTGCTATGAAAGTCCTACCATTTTGAGTTTTTCCTTTGGATTAAGGCTCTGTAGGAGTCACTTTGCTTCTTAGTTCCTCAGTTGCCTCCTCCATACTGTTAGGGAATTAGTTTATGTATCATTTAGTGATCACTGCAATAACACTATGTAATAAACCACCTCTGAAACTCAGGAACTTAAAATAATAATTATTTGTCCTCATAGAGCTGTGTGTTGTTTGGGGAGGCTCAGTTTCAGGCCATGGTGGCTGGGGTGGCTTTGTTTTACATTGAGGGTCCACTGGTCAATTTTGGACAACCTGCCATTGGCTAAGGCAAGTCACATGACCAATCCCTAAGCCAAGGAGTGTGGAAATATGCCTCATTCATGAGTATTTAGTACCAAGCAGTGTGAAAATATACTTCATTTATGAAGTTACTATGGCAAGGGTGTGATATAGGGAGGAGTAAAAAATTGGGGTCACTAAATCAACCTAACACAGACTAGTTAAGTGGATTCTAAATATTGGGGTCCTTGTAGCTATAACAGAGATTTCTCAAATACACTATGTTACAGAATCCTAAAATTTTAAAAATGTAAAGACAGAACCATTTTGCAGGTCCACTAGGGAACTCCTAAAGCATTGTAAGTATCATGTGGGAAGCCTGTAAAAATCTGGGTCTTCTGTAGCAGAACTGAGACGGATGGTCTAGGAAACACCATTTTAAATAACATTTCAAGTTATTCTGATGAGAGCTTGGTGGAGCTTGAATTCTCCAGGATCCTAGGATTCTAAGCTGCACCTCTATTTTGACAGCACATGTGGTTATCAAGTACCAGCACCGTTTTACTGAGTCAGGTTACATATGCTAGCTGAAATAAATTACTCTTCCTATGCCAGTTGACACATTTTGGCAGGGACCTCTTATCCACAAGCCAATACAAATAAAGTGGGTAAAAGCAGGAAAAGGGAGCAATGGTATCTTGTCAAGTTTTGAATACTAATATCTCACTTTTATTTACAACAATAATAGTTGACAATAAAGTCAAGTTCTGATTCTAAGCATTATTTCCAGAAAGTTAGAGTTAATATGCAGTTACTGTAGGCCAGGAAAACCTTAAGCAAAACTTCAGTCATTGGATATATCATTCAGGGTTATACCAGATAAAAAGAATTGGTAGGATATCTATCTACCTATCTGTCTATCTATCTATCTTATCTATCTGTGCAAGGAATTGTCTTTTATGATTGTGGAGGCTGGTGACAAGTCTGAAATCCGCAGGGTAGACCATTGGGAAGGGCAGGCTTGAAGTTAGGCAGAAGTTGATGCTACAGTCCACAGGAAGAATTTCTTCCTTGTCAAGAAAAGCTCACCTGTGCTTTCAAGGACTTTCAGTGGACAGAGTCAGGGTCAAGCACATTAGAGATGATAGTCTCCTTTACTTAAAAGTAACTAATTATATATGCTATTCATATTTACAAAACACATTCACAGCAACACCTAGATTAGTGTTTGATTGAATCACTGGTGCAACAGCATTGACAAATTGGCACATAGAACTGACCATCATCATATCTGAGGATTTCTCTTCTTGTTTTGGGTGTTACATTTGTGTGTTACCTGTATCCTTATTTAACATTTTTTTAAACTAACTTAGTTTTTGAATTTCAGCCTTCTCATAAGCAATAGTAACTATTAAACTATTCATTTCATGTGTTAGTTATATAAATCATAAAAACAATAAAATTAGTTATATCTATTAAAATAGTTTGTCCATATACTACCTTAAATAATTTACCACACCCTCTTGGAAATACTAGACTAATTTATTAAATTAATCGCTAGATAGTTGGGTCGAAGAGCTTGCTAGAAAGAAGCAATTTTAATAAGGAAAGAGAAAGTCTAAAGCCAGGAGCTCAACCTGGGCAGGGCAAAATCCAAAAAGATGCTTTCTGTTACAGAAAGCCCAGGGGAACCTGGGATTGGGAGTGCTACACACCTATGGTGAAAATGACACAGGGAGGAGTGTTTAAAGCTGTCTGAAAGTTTCATAGAGTTTTGAGGAATGACTTTAGCCACTTACATTACAACTTTCAGGAAGGCTATACTGCAAAGAACTTAAAATAGTTGAGTTCATCAAGCCAAAGACAAAGAAGGCGAGAAAGAAATTATCTTTGCCCTTAAGACCCTTATAGTCTAATAGAAAAGAGCAATATCAAAATATGATCACAGACCAGTATGGAATACACTGTTAGAGGCCTGCAGAGGTGCCAAGTAAAAGGTGAAGTGCTCAGGAAAGGTTGCTTGGTGGGGAGATGTCTGAGTTGAGGCTCAAAGAATAACAGGTATTAGCCTTGTGAAGATGGCCTGGGTGCACGTGTGGGAGGAGGTGGAGCATTCCACATAATGTGAAAGCATGAACAAAATCGGGGACTTGAACTTGGATTGTATGTATATGTGTGTATGGGTATGTGTGGAGTATAGCGTTGGGGTGGATACAATAGAGAACAGTACAGAAAAATGGCTGAAACAGAGTCACCACGTTGCACAACTCCATGGGACACCATTCAAAAAGACTTTGAGGCTCCGTTCATCAATGGCTCACACCTGTAATCCCAGCACTTTGGAAGGCTGAGGTGAAAGGATTGCTTGAGCCCAGGAGTTCCAGACCAGCCATGGCAACATAGAGAGACCCCATCTCGACAAAAAAATAAAATAAAATGATTAGCTTGGTGTGGTGGCACACACCTGTAGTCCCAAGTACTTCTTGCGAGGCTGAGGTGGGAAGATTGCTTGAGCCCTGGAGCTCCAGGCTACAATGAGCTGTGATCGTGCTACTGTACTCCAGCCTGGGTGACAAAGCAAAACCCTGTGCCAAAAAGAAACAAAAAACAAAAAAAGAAAACAAACAAAAAAGACTTAGATTTAATACCCATTACAAACTCTGCATGACTATAGGGTTTAAAGTGCAAACATGGAGGGTGGAATGTTGGGAACCTAGTCTGGAAAGGTAGGCATAAAGCAGGTCATCATGAATCCTTAATTCCATGACGAGGAAGTTGGCCTTCATATCACACAGCAGTTCTGAATTTTCCAATAAGAAAAATCAAGTACACGCTTAAGACATCAATTAATCAGAAGGGCAATTATTTTATTTTGAAATTGTTTGTAAATTTTCAAATTACCAAAGTAGTTATTTTAGGAAAATACCCCAAACATTGAGTTGCTTTTACCCTTGTTTAATGTCTTAGCATTGCTTTTGTTTTTGAGTTTCATATGGCAGGATGAAGGTAGGTAGAAAACAGCATGAGCTCATCAGTGTTTTGGGTAAATAAAAGCTTTCAGGTCCTGCTGTTGAATATATGTGGCCTTTGAAGAATGTTAACATGAGCAAATACAGAAGAGAAAACATGGTGGCCAGGGTTAGGTGCCTTATTTTAGTGTCGGACAGAATAAAGTAGTGCATTTTTACATTCACTGACCTCTCTGAAATACATACGATAGATAGCATTTTGGTATTATAAAATTGATATTACAAAATATTTAAAATTGCTCAAGGAAAAATATACTAGATCTGTCAAAGTTCCTGGCAGGAAACAGATGGCACATTCAAGTAGAATAATTCAAAACAATTTACTAAAAGGAACTATTTAGTGAAGTGGGAATAGGAATCACTTTGATTTAAGGGAAATCAACAAGGAATATTCAGGGGCTAGTACATTAGGAAGCTCTAAGCACAACCCATAAGCCTGAAGGGACCAGGGGTGGGAGCAGTAAACAGAACCCTGAGAGCCCAGCTGTAGCTGTAGAGAAGATCGTCAGACTAGAGCTGTGACCTTTTATGGAGGGATATACGCAACCTGTGTTAACCTAGCATGAAGGAAGCTAGACTGTATCTTGTCCCCATTTTCCTTTGGCCTTCTGAGTTTCTAACAATGTCTCCTCTTGGCTGAACTTAAACAGAAGCCAGGGAATTAGATTGTGAAATGATGGGTCCATATAAGCCAACTTTCCCTACAGAAAGCAGGATGGAGAAGGATGGTAAGTGCATGTGGAGAGTCAAACAGAAAATATCCAGCGTAGATATATATATTGCAAACAAACATCATTTAAATAATCATTTAGCTGCTGGGTGCAATAACAAAATTCTATCTGTGCAAAAATACAAAAATTAGCTGGGCATGGTGGCACGCGCTTGTAGTCCCAGCTATTTGAGACAATGAGGTGGGAGGATGGCTTTAGGCCAAAGCAGAGGTTGCAGTGAGTTGAGATCTGGTTACTACACCTGATCTCAGAGCAAGACCCTGTCCGTGCCCCCCACCCAAAAAAATTACTTACTTTCTACATCAGGGGCCAGTAAACTATGACCCATAGGCTAAATCCAGCTTGCAACCTGTTTCTTGAAATAATGTTTTATTGAAACACTGCCATACCCATTTATTTACATCTCATCTATGGTTGTTTTTGGCAGAGTCTTTAAATCTGAAAATATTTACTATCTGGCCCTTTACCAAAAGCCTTTACTGACCACTGCTCATAGTAAAAAAGTAGGCTTTCTCCTTTTAAAAAAGTTTCTTAGCGATAACAACATACTCCAGAGTTATCCTAGTTTTTTGACCTCTGCCATCACCAAATATGTATTACTTTCATGATACATATTTCATTTCAGTCTTAGTTTTTCCACAGATGAACTGTATTTGTGTATATATGTATATATATATATGTGTGTGTGTGCGTATTTGTGTGTGTGTGTGTCTGTATGAGGAAACCAGCTTTAATCAGAAACACATCTACGAACTTGGAATGAATAAAAGTGACCAGCAAATAATTTAGGGTGACATATTTAGGTAGCCTTCCCAATTTACCTGGTTTCTCAGATTTTTTAAAAAATGTAGAATACTGTTTTTAAAATGACGAGACATTTCAAAAATATATCATTTCTCACTCCCCATATTCACCCAGCATATAATTATCTATGCACTTTGTCCATGGCAAGTATGACTTTTGACTTCATAGCCTCCCCTTCTTGATTTTCATTTGATGTTATTTTAATCTTCATATACTCAAAAGTGCATTATGAAGTTTTGCTTCAGGTTGAAGAGGAAGATTTAAAAGTTGAAAATTAATTATGTCCTGTTCTTCAAGTCAGATTTGAAACAATGCAAGGAGGGAAGGAGACAGAGAGAGGGAGCAGGAGCAAGAAGGAGAGAGAGGGAGAGAGAGACACACACAGAGGCAGAGAGAGACAGAGAACGAGAGGGAGAAGAATTGTTTGTAAATGAAGAAAGATTGAAATAAATGTTTGAAGATTTTTACTTTATGAATCATATTACTGCCTCCTTTGACTTTGGTTTCCAATGATTTTACCTATTATTTTGTAGTGCATTTGTGCTGAAGCTCTCAGATACTGCTCTTGCAGACCTCGGCCTGGATCTTTCTTGGTGCTGTCTCATTCCACATTCCCGAAATGTTGCAATAGGATGTATTACACAATCTGAGATAGCAAAGAAGAGACTAGACTTGAAGTGAGGAAGCTTGTCATTTAGCCATTCTTCAATATTTGCTGGTGGAAAGAATGAAGAAAGAGGTGGGCGGAAGGAAATAGGAGGGAAGGATGTATTTAACCACAGTAATGTACTGTATGCAATAAATGTGTATAAGAATGGCATTCTCGGTCGGGTGTGGTGGCTCAGGCTTGTAATCCCAGTACTCTGGGAGGCCGAGGCGGGCAGATAACCTGAGGTCAGGAGTTCGAGACCAGACTGACCAACATGGGGAAACCCTGTCTCTACTAAAAATACAAAAAAAATGAGCCGGGTGTGGTGGCACATTCCTATAATCCCAGCTACTAGGGAGGCTGAGGCAGGAGAATAGCTTGAACCTGGGAGGTGGAGGTTGCAGTGAGCCGAGATCGTGCCATTGCTCTCTAGCCTGGGCAACAAGAGCGAAACTCCGTCCCCCACCCCCCAAAAAAAGAATGGCATTCTCTTAAACTACATGTAAAACATTACAGGTCACAAAACACTATTTTCAAAGCACAAATAAAAACTTAATATACGTGTTTGTGTAAATGTGTGTGTTTTTGCAGCACATAACCAAATTTCTATGAATGAATAGAAAAAGGAAAACCCAATAGACAAAAACTGATAGTTTAGAGATGAATGAAATACAAGTGATTCTTAAATAATAATAAAATGTGCATTTTTGTTTGTAATAAGATAAATTCAAATTAAAATCATCGAGGTAACAATTTTTATCTTTCTTACTATATAGTTTGACTCTACGCACCTCTTTCACATTGCTGTATAGGAGTGTAAATGGTTAGATCTTTTTATGGAGAAAAATCAGAAGCTTGTTTTTTGTGTTAAAAATGACATACAGTTTGACCCCATGATGACTCAATTTCTAGAAATAATATACTTCTCTATGTAAGAAATGACATCCATACAATAGCGAACAGTATGAACATTGTTGTATTATTTGTCATAGCAGAAGGTTACTATTATATAATGCGATCTAGAAGATTGCTTAACAAATTAGGAATGCAAAGAACAATATATTAGCCTACAGATCTATGTTCCACTTCTGTAATTCCTCCCTGCTGCGAAAACCTCAGGGGCAAGGGGTCTTCAGTATGTCATTCTTCTTTTGAAGATTACTAACTCTTAAGTTACAAAAAATGCACAGAGTGCAAAATTGGGGAGCTATTATAAAGAATGCAGCAGCTCTATATTTTCTGGAATGCAATAAAACTTTTTTTCTTACAGCATTGGTTTTAATGATGAAATTGGAAAACATTACAAAATCCAATAATAAATAATTAAATTAAAGATAATATATCTGCCTGAACTCAAAAAAATCAGCAAGAAAAATACCAAATAATCCTATTAAAAAGTGGGCAAAGGACATGAATAGATAATTCTCAAAAGAAGATATACAAAGCCAGGTGCAGTGGCTCACACCTGTTATCCTAGCACTTTGGGAGGCTGAGGCGGTTGGGTCATGAGATCAGGAGATAGAGGCCATCCTGGCTAACACGGTGAAACCCCATCTCTACTAAAAATACAAAAAATTAGCCTGCTATGGTGGCATGCACCTGTAGTCCCAACTACTCGGGAGGCTGAGGCAGGAGAATCGCTTGAACCCAGGAGGCGGAGGTCGCAGTGAGCCGAGATCACTCCACTGCACTCCAGCCTGGGTGACAGAGCAAGATTCTGTCTTAAAAAAAAGATATACAAATGGCCAATAAACAAATGAAAAAATGCTCAACATCACTAATCATCAGGGAAATGCAAATTAAAACCACAATGAGATACCACCTTATACTGGTAAGAATAGCCATTATTAAAAAGTCAAAACACATAGATGTTGGTGTGAATTTGGGGAGAAGGAAACATTTATACACTGCTGGTGGGAATGTGTATTAGCATACCCTATTTGGAAAACAGTATGGAGATTCCTTAAAGAGTTAAAAGTAGATCTACCATTGGATTCAGCAATCCCACTACTGGCTATCCACTCAAAGGGAAAGAAGTCATTTTATGAAAAAGACACTTGCAAATTTATGTTTATGGCAGGACAATTCACAATCACAAAGATGTGGAACCAACCTAAGTGCCCATTGACTAATGAGTGGATAAGAAAATGTGATATTATATATAACATATATATGTATAAATGTATCTCATATATATGTATATCATATATATGTATATAGATAGATTACATATGTATATAGATATATATGATATATATGTATATAGATATATCATATATGATAGATATCATATATATGTATAGATATATCATATATGATAGATACCATATATATGTATATAGATAGATATATATATGATAGATATCATATAGATGTATATAGATAGATAGACACCATGAAATACTACTTGGCCATTAAAAGGAACAAAATAATGTCTTTTGCCACAACTTAGATGGAGCTGGAGGCCATTATTCTATGTGAAGTAACACAGAAGCAGAAAACCAAAAACTGTATGTTCTCACTTATAAGCAGAAGCTAAGCTATGAGTAATCAAAGACATACAGAGTGATATAATAAACTTAAGAGACTCAGAATGGGGAGAGTGGGAGAGAGGAGAAGGATAAAAAACACTGCGTTAGGTACGATGTATTCTACTTCGTGGTCAAGTGCAATGAAATATCAGAATTCACCTCTATATGTAGGTGAAAAAATGTTTGTACCCCAAAAGCTATTGAAATAAAAATTAAAGAATTTAAAAAATTTTTAAAAAAGATAATACGTCTAGTCAGTGGATTTTCCTTTTCTCTTAACCTCTCTCGTCTCCTCTTCCAGGCCTCTGGTAACCACCAATCTACTCTCTATTTTCATGAGATCTAGGTTTTTAGCATCCACGCATGAGTGTGATGTTTGTCTTTCTGTGCTTGGCTTATTTCACTTAACATAATGGCCCCAGTTCTGCCCAGGTTGTTGCAAATGACAGGATTTCATTATTTTTTATGGCTGAAAAATATTCCATTGTGTATATATACCACATGTTTTTAATCCATTCATTTGTTGATGGGTGCTTAGATTGATTTCATATTTTGGCTATTGTGAATAGTGCTGTAATAAACATCGAAGTGTAGATAGCTCCTTGGGATACATTAATTTCCTCTTTTTTTTTTTTTTGGTTATGTACACAGAAATGGGATGCTGGACCATATGGTAGTTCTATTTTTAGTTTTTTGAGGAGACTTCATACTGTTCCCCATAGTGGCCGTACTAATTTACATTCCCAGCAACACTGTATGAGGGTTCCTATTTCTCCACATCCTTGCCAGCATCTGTTACTCTCTGTCTTTTTCACACAAGCCATTTTAACTTGAGTGAAATGATACCTTATTGTGGCTTTGATTTGCATTTCGCTGATGATTAGTGATGCTGAGTATTTTTTATATACCTATTGACCATTTGTATTTTTCTTTTGAGAAATATCTGTTTAGATCTTTTGCCCATTTTAAATTGGATTATTTGTGTTTTTTTGCTTGAGGTCCTTATATATTCTTGTTATTAATATTTTGCCAGATAGATGGTTTGCAAATATGTCCCCCCATTCTGTGGGTAGTTTCTTCACTTTGTTGATTGTTTCCTTTGCTGTGCAGAGGCTTTTTATATGGACATAATCCCAACTGTCTATTTTTGGTTTGGTTGCCTGTGCTTTTGAATTCTTACACAAAAGAAATTTTTGCCTACATCAATGTCCTGAAGCATTTCCCCAATGTTGTTTTTTTTTTTTCTGTTCTAGTAGTTTCATAGTTTCAGGTCTTAGATTCTATAATCCATTTTTATTTTATTTTTGTGTATGGTAAGAGATAGGGACCTAGTTTCATTTTTCTGCATGTAGTTATACAGTTTTCAAAGCATCATTTATTGAACAGACTGTTGTTTCTCCATTGTAGAAGATGAGTTGGTTGTAAATGCACGGATTTATAACTGGGTTTTCTATTTTGTTCCATTGCTCTGTGTCTGTTTTTAATGCCACTACCATGCTGTTTTGGTTACAATTGCTTTGTAGTAAATTTTGAAGTCAGGTAGTGTGGTGCCTCCAGCTTTTTTTTTTCCCCCTCAGGATCGCTTTCAATATTTGGGGTCTTTTGTGGTTCTATATAAATTTTAAGATTCTTTTTTCTATTTTTGTGAAGATTATCGTTGGTATTTTGATAGAGATTGCACTGAATCTATAAATTGTTTTGGGTAGTATTGCCATTTTAACAGTATTGATTGTTTAAATCCATTAACATATAATATCTTTTCATTTTTTCAAGTGTCCTATTCTTTCATTAGTGTTAGTTTTCCATGTATAAATCTTTCACTTCTTTGGTTACATTGCTTCCTAGGTATTTTATATGAATATTCTTATAGCTATTTTAAATGGAATTGCTTTCTTGATGTGCTTCTCAAATTGTTTGCTCTTGGTGTATATAAATGTTACTGATTTTTGTATGTTGATTTTGCGTCCTGTTCAGTTCTTACAGTGGTTTTTTTTTTTTTTTTTTGGTGGAGTCATGAGGTTTTTCTAAGGATAAAACCATGTTGTCTGAGAACAAGGCTAATTTTACTTCTTCCTTTCCAACATGGGTATCTTCTTTTTATTTCTCTTGCCTAATTGCTCTCACCAGGACTTCTAGTATTATGTTGAATAATAGCAGCAAAAGTGGGCATCTTTGTCTTTTTCCAGAATTGTTCCACAGAAAAGGTCTTCAATTTTTGCCCATTCAGTATGATGTTAGCCATGGGTTTGTCACATATGGCCTTTGTTATTTGGAGGCATATTCCTTCTATATCCATTTGGATGAGCATTTTTTTCAAAAAGGAATATTGAATTTTATCAAATGTTTTCTTGACATCTCTTAAAACAATCATTGATTTTGTTCTTGATTCTATTAATGTGATGTATTGTGTTTATTGATTTGCATGTGTTGAACCATCCTCGCATCCCCAGGATGAATCTCACTGACCGTGGTGAATGATCTTTTTAATGTATTGCTGAATTTGCTTTACTAGTATTTTGTTGAGGATTTTTGCATCTATGTTCATCAGTAATATTGGCTTGTGGTTTACTTTTTTTGCTGTGTTCTTGTCTGGTTTTGGTATCAGGGTAATGCCGGCCTCATCGAATGAGTTTGGAAGTATTCTCTTTTCTTCAATATTTTTGAAGCATTTAAGTAGAATTGGTATTAGTTCTTCTTTAAATGTTTGGTAGAATGTGTCAATGAATCCTTCAGATCCTGGGCTTTTCTTTGATGGAAAACTTTAAATTATAGCTTCAATCTCTTTACTTGTTATTGATTTAGTGAGATTTTGGATTTCTTCATGGTTCATTCATGGTAGGTTGTACGTGTCTAGGAGTTTATCTATGAAAGGGAATAATCTTGAAGAGAGATGCTACAAAACCCAGAAGGAAGCCGTTGCACAAGAGCGCCTGGGTGATGCAGGCCTTAGTACTGAATCACAGAGGAAAGAAGCAGACAGAAAAGGCTGGAGAATTGATCTGATAAGGCAAGTAGTGCAAAAAAAACCACCACATTATTATTAAACATTTCTTTCACAGTGTCATTTTCAGGAGAATCAAATATGGCAAAATACTTTGAAAAGCACAATGTGTGATATGACTGAAAGGCCTATTTATTAACTTTTTTGACCTATTCATGACTCAAGGTCCTCCCTGGGTCTAGGTGAGATTTCCCTCTATCAGTTAAACGACTGGTGGCGCAACTTGGAATGCTTGGAGAGGGGTGAAGTGGGATGAGAGATTTAAGTAAGAATCCATCCACTGTAGTCACCTAAGCTCTAATAACCATCTTCCCCCATCTTACCGTGTTTCCTTTAAAACTCTGAACTCCAATAACAGACCTCCAATCAGAAGGGGTGAGGGAATAGTTATAGAAAGACAAAAAAAAAAAAAAAAGAACAAAAAACATGAATAAGCAGTGTAATATCCCATTGTTTCTTTGAATTTAGACTATCATGGACAAAAATTATCTACGTTTGCCTTTTTTACCTCAGATCAAATCCTGTGTAGAAACTTTCTCAAATGCTATATTTACCATGAAGCATGTTTTGACCTACTCTCCGAACAGAAAGTCACCTCGCATTTTCCTGACTACCTACTGAACTTTATTCTGTATTTCTTAAGTGCCAAATCTCACCTTATGCCCCATAACATTGTTATGTAGAAACTTGTAGATCCCTTGCAGAGAGGAAGTAAGCCTGATTCATTCACCTTTGTAAGTTATTTTCCAAAATGTTTGGAATTTTCCAAAATGTTTAGAGTGCCAAGTATTTAGTAGGTATTATGGGCTAAATCGTGGATCCCAAATATTAATATGTTGAAGTCCTAATCCCTAGTGCCTTGGAATGTGATTGTATTTGGAGACAGGGTCTTTAGAAAGGTAACCAATTAAAATAGAATCGTTAGCGTGGGCCTTAATTTAATATGACTTGTATTCTTATAAGAAAAGGAGATTAGGACACAGACATATACATGCACAGAGAGCCACCATGCAAATGCACAGCAAGAAGGGGAAAATCTGTAAGCCAAGGAGAAAGGCCTCAGGAAAAATGCATTCTGCCAGCATCTGATCTCAGACTTCTAACCTCCAGAACCACAAGAAAGCAAATTTCTGTTGTTTAAGCCATCCAGTTGATATTTTGTTATGGCAGCGCTAACAGACTAATACAGTAGGTATTCAAAGAAATGTAACTCACAATACTCTATTTACATAGCTCAGCTGTTCCATTATACCACATGTCTAAACTTGACTGGAATTTAATTCATTTAACTTTTAGAAAGTGTATGTCTGGGTCAGGAGTTTGAGACCAGCCTGGCCAACAAGGCCGCCTCTACTAAAAAAAATACAAAAATTAACCAGGCATGGTGGCGTGCGCCTGTAATCCCAGCTACTCGGGAGGCTGAGGTGACAGAATTGCTTGAACCCAAGAGGTGGAGATTGCAGTGAGCCAAGATCACACCACTACACTCCAGACTGGGTGACAAAGCAAGACTCCATCTCAAAAAAAAAAAAAAAGAAAAAGAAAAAAGTGTATGTCTCAAACGTTTAGAGCTGGAGAGTGTTCTTGCCTTTGAAGAGAAAGTTAATAGAATTCACTCACAATTGACATTCTGTAAGGTACAAGTGCTAAGAATGTATGTGCCAGAATCAGTTGGCCCCATGATCAAATGTCAGCTCCCCTTTTTACTGTTTGACTTTGAGCAAGTGATTTAAACCTCTACACTATAGCTTTATCAGCTGTAAAACAGGTATAATAGCAGTTTTCTACCTCATGATTTAGTTGTGAGGACCGAACGAGGTAAGTCCATGAAAATTGCTGAGAATAGTTCTGAGACCAGAGTAAACAATCTTTTTTTTTCTAAGCTGTTATATAATAAAGCTATCGTAAACTAGGGTAATTATGGCAACCATTACAAAAAGAGCAAATGAATCAGCATCTGTATCAGAAGATCCTATAGTTGACAAACACTGTCTCATATTCTAATATACATTTTTAGAATCAGAGAGGTATAATATAGTTTATATTCACAGAATCAGGGACTCAAGAGCTTAGAAAATGGGGTGACATGGGGAGGCCGAGGTGGGCGGATCACGAGGTCAGGAGATCGAGACCATCCTGGCTAACACGGTGAAACCCCGTCTCTACTAAAAATACAAAAAAAAAAATTAGCCGGGTGTGGTGGTGGGCGCCTGTAGTGTCAGCTACTTGGGAGGCTGAAGCAGGAGAATGGCGTGAACCCGGCAGGTGGAGCTTGCAGTGAGTAGAGATCGCACCACTGCACTCCAGCCTGGTGACAGAGCAAGACTCCATCAAAAAAAAGAAAAGAAAATGGGGTGAATGAAAGCAGAGTTCTAGTGGGCCATTTTACCTAAGAACAGGTATTCCTTTTTTCTTTAACTCCCAAGACTGTCAGCAAATATATACTCAATGCAGGCAAGCAGAGAAATTTTGGTGTGACATATGGCACAAATACCAGTTTTCAAATGACACCCACAAAAAGTCACTAAGGAAGTAGAATCTGCCTACTGAAAGAATGAGGAAGATTCTGGGTCATTTGTAGAAAAACATTGACTGGATGTCTGTCAGTCTTATGATGAATCATAACTGAAGGGCAGACAGCTAGATGTCTTGGCATTTGGGGGTTTATGTAGAGACCCAAGACCTGAGTCCATTCCCCAGAATCCGGAGGAGGCAGGACTGATTCTGCTCAGTAAGGAGCTGATATTTTCATCTGTTTTCCATGTTGGAATAGGCTTTTCTGGAAAGAGCTAGGTGGACGGGAAATGGGATCAACAAGAACCTCAGATACTGCCTCAACCTAGAACTTGCATTAGTTGGTTTCCCTGTAGCTTTGCAAGTATGCAGGAGAGTAAAGAGTGTCATTAATATTCATCAACAGATCTCTACAGAGAAAAAAACAACAAACTATTTCTTGGTCTCTGGTTCTTTAAAGTATAGATAATCATAACGTTTCATGTAAAAATTGTTGCATTTCATAAAGTAATAGGTGTTTAAACAGAACAATAATAATTGAGCACTAGTGCACATATTCTCCCCCAACCCTGTCTCTCTGCCACTCCAACTTCAATACCCACTTGAACACCCACACCCCTCTAGTTTTTATTTCTGTAGAAGGAAATAATCTGAGAATGATGACTTTCATTTATTGAGTTCCTACTATGTGCCAGGTGGTGTTTAATTTCATAACAACTTTGCAACGTATGTACTCTCTCTGTTTTATAAATGAGTCTCCAAAAAGTGAGTAACTTGTCCAAGCTGTAACAGCTGATGAGCTATGAAACTAGAATGTAAAACAAAATTTGTCTGGTGATAGCCCCACCCATTTACCACATTATCACATGAATGGTATGCATGAAAGATTACACAAAGTTCATCTCATTTACCTATTGAGTCATGAGGAACTAGTCACCTGGTCTAAGCAGGTGCTCAGAGGCCACTGTTCTCCATTCCATAAGGATACACAATCACTCTTCCCATAGTTAAGACTCTTATGAAGGGCATAACCAAGTTTCTCCCTCCCATTAATAAAAACTTACTATTTTACTGCTGTCAGGCATAACTCTTTGTGCAATACAAATACTTAGCAATGTCTCTGCTTTGTGGTTCTAGCTGGGAGTGGTAATGGCAACATCTTAATTTGTTTCTCCCACCTTGCTTCTGACAAGGAACATGGTTGGGTCACGAATCATGATTTTAGCATTCACAAAGAACTATAATATCAGGAAATATGGAAGGTTGGGGTGGAGTGTGAAGGAGAAGAGGCTGCTGGACTGACCAGAGGTTTCCAGAAACAACACACTTGTCCAGGACTTGTAGCTGAAGAAGGTCATAACGAGTTGCCAACAGAAAACAAAGGACCTGTAGTCCCAGCCAAATCTCTGCTTACCTCTTACCAGCAGCTGTGGGTGCTTTTGCTAACATCTCACATCTGCAGTCTCATCCAGGGAAGTGTCCTTGGGCAACAGGAGCTGCCTAGCCCAGTAGTGTCAGGAGTTGGTGTCCTGACTCCTTCTGTTCCCACCTGGGGCAGCCCTGATCCAATGACTCACCAGCACAGGATTCATTTCTTCATCTTAAGATAGGGCAGGCTCTGTGGTACAGTTTACCCTCCAGAGGGTAAGGATGAAGAATAAAGATAGATTTCATCTGAAACCACATCTTTGCCTAGAGTTTTTTCCCCTTCTCTGTCCTATTTCTCTCACTTTCTTATAGATTTCTCTTGGAAGTACTCCCTGAATAGATCACGTGCATAAGAATTCCCATCTTGAACCCTGCTTCTAGGGAGTTTTTGGCCTAAAGAATTTTCAGAAGCCAGGTGACAAAACCAGAAGAGCAAAGATGCAAAGACTTAGAGCAGGGACCCAAGGGGAGAAGTGGAAGTGCTCTCTTGGTGAGTTTCTATGACAGGACTTCTCCAGTATCCTTATTGGTGGGCCATAGCCACATATATGGCTGAGGGTATGAAGGCAGGGAAGAGGTGACAAGGAAGAGGAAGAACAGGAAATTCAAGAATCTCTTTCAGAATTCTAAAATTCCTAGAAAACTACTCATTTCCTCAACTCTATAAGTTTTATGACATCTCTATTCTTTCCACAAAACATTCCACTTTGACCTTGACCCCTCTAGTAACTGAATTGGTGTCTTATAGGGCATAGTTCAATGTCATTTAAGTCTGGGCTTTAAACCCTACTAGCTTTTTCAGTCTTTTGGGAGGGGATAAGGAGGCATTGCTAGAGTAGACTGTTCCAAAAGTGTGGGGCCTCCTGCCTCAGCACAGTTCTTTTCTTCTCTTTTTCGCTTGGGCACAAAGGGAAGCACTTGACTATGGCAGCCACACAACACTGGGACGCTCAGACTCTGTAAAGAAGTGATGAACCTCAAAGTCTTTGGAAACAAATAGAGAAATTTTCTATCTTTATTCAACTTCCATATACTTAATGAGCATGGGGCAGAGGGACTCAAAGACAGACAAGACAGACTTGAGTTCTGCCTTCATGGAGTAGGCGGTCTGGTACAGACAAAGAAGTAAACAGACAGACGTAATCCAAAGGGGTATGTGTACCATCAGTGGCCATGTGTACCATGGGAACTCAGAGGAGTGGCAGTTCTACCAGATTTGAGGGACAGGGAAGCCGTCCCAAAATATGACACTGAAGCCAAGACCTGAGGATAAGTAGGAGCTACTTGGTGCAAAACACAAAACCAAACCAAAACAAACAACGACAACAAAAAGAAAACAAAACAGATGGAAACTTTTGCATCAAAAGGAGAGAACAGGCTGCCTGGAGATTGGGAAGCAAGAGAGTAGCTGGGGATTTCTCATAGCCAAAGGAAGTTGAAAATGATTAGAGTGCAGAGGCAGAGGTCAGGTTGTGGAGGTGCACAAATCATTTCGAAAGCCAAGTTAAGGAACTGGGGTTTTACCCTATGAGCAAGGGGTGGTTATTAATAAGTTATTAGAATGAGCAATACATATCACTATAAGAATTTTAGACAGATTACTGTTGCTTTTACATGGAGGATAAGATTAGAGGTACAAAAATAAGTTAGGAGTTTCTTACGGCAATTTAGAAAAGAGAGAGAGAGATAGTAGTGGCCTGGACTGGACTAGAAATAAAGAGTTCTTTAGAAGGTCAAATGAACAGAACTTGATTTAGTGTTGGGGTAGAGGAAAAAAGTGAGGGAAACTGAGAACCCAAGTGTGACTCTAAGGTCCTGGGTTTGATGGTGAGGACATTTACCAGAATAGGAAACAACAAAGAAGAGATGATGCAGGCCGGGCGCGGTGATTCATGCCTGTAATCCCAGAACTTTGGGAGGCCAAGGCAGGCAGATCACCTGAGGTCAGAATTTTGAGACCAGCCTGACCAACATGGCGAAACCCTATCTCTACTAAAAACACAAAATTAGCCGGGTGTGGTGGCACACGCCTATAATCCCAGCTACTCCGGAGGCTGAGTCAGAAGAATTGCTTGAACCTGGGAGGCGGAGGTTGTGGTGAGACGAGATCATGCTATTGCACTCTAGCCTGGGCAACAAGAGCAAACTCCGTCTCAAAAAACAAACAAACAAACAAACAAACAAACAAACAAAAAAGAGACGATTCAAGGAGAAAATGAATTCAGTTTTAAAACACTATGATTTTGAGTGGTCTGTAGAACATCCCAGAGATCAGTTACGTATATAGCTCTGAAACCTAAGAGAGAATTCCAGGCTGGACGTCCAAATATGGGACTCCCTGGGATAGAAACTATAGCTGGTGCACATTTAGGTGAGAATTATAGAACAAGAAGATACAAGGGCCTGGTACAAAAGCCTGAGCTATTACCGGATCTCCATAGAAATATCTGAACTAGGACTCTGCAGGGACTGCATTGGTGGTGGATAAAATGATTGCAGCAATGATGATGATAATGATATTAACAGTTAATAGTTACTGAATACTTCCTATGTGTCATGTGCTATATGCTGTCTATTTTTCTCTCATTTAACCTATAGCATTACTATCAGGTATGGATCGTTATCAGTCCCACTTTACAGATGATGAATACAGCCTCAGAGAGGTGAAGTGACTTGCTGGAGTTCACGTGGTGAGGAAGGAGCAGAGCTGGGGTTTCCATGAAAACCTGTCTTTTTCCTCATTCATGGCTCTCAACTGTCAAGTGTCCAAAAGTAAAATCTGAAATACTTCCTCAAGACCTGCCAAACTTCATCAAATGTGTTAAATTAAGTTCACTATCCTTTAGGGTGGGTGTAAGATAAATCTAATGGTTTAAAAATTATTAATGAGCTATTTATGCAACTGATATTAACTGTTAATTAGGACATTTGCTCATCCATAAGATATCATTTCTTCATTAGTATAAGGGACACAGAGATTTGGCATCGTGGAATTCCAGAAAAGAAGTGCAAGAGGGGATCTCAGAATATCTAATTAAAACCTTTTGATCTACAATGGAGAAAGTTCAGAGCCCTCAAATTACTCAAGAGCACAAAATAATTGCAGAGTATCTTGGGGCTCTTTTACTTCTATTCCATTTTTTTTCCATTTCTCAGAGCAGGAACATGTCCCTTGTGCCCTAATACAGCCCCCTTGGGAAATACAGAGCCATAATTCATCCCAGGGGGCAACCCTGGCCTGACTCTCCCAATTCTGGATTTTATCTTCCTCCACCCTGCTGCGATACTCCTGAGTACAAAGCACACACGGCTGGAAGCAGCACACACTCTGGCTTCCTCTCCCATGTGCCTTGGAGGTCATTTTATTTCATTTCTATTCCTCTTGTGAGCTGCTTGCACTTCTGTGTAAGACAGATTTATTTGGAACCAATTGCAGCTGCCAGTTAGAGGAACCCTCTATGAAACATCTCTATGAGACAGCCATCTGAGACTGACCTTCAGGACACCACTGTGCTGTCTCCTGCCAACTTTCAACAGACATATCCAGGAGCAAAGTACATTGTGTAGCCTGGAAAGCCTGCCCCTGTGGTCTCTTCCTTTGTCCCCTCTGACTGTGGTGAGGGGCAGCCTCTATTGACAGTGTGGGAACATGGGAACACAAGACAGAATGCCCTTTGGGCACCCGTTCTTCCTGAATTTAAGTTCCAGGTAATTTCACAAAGTTGGGAGGAAAAGGATGGAAAAGAAGGAAGAAAATGAATATTTCCTACATCTTCTATGGGTTAGCCCTGGAACACCCGCTTTGTATAAATAATCTCTGATTCCTCACAAGATGCAAGGTGACACAGCTGGCAGGGGCAGAGCTGGGCTTTGAACCCAGGCAGAATTGTTCCATGTGCACCATATTTCCTGTGCCCCATATACCTTATTAGTGTCTCAAGGATGCTAACATTTTCCTAATTAGCTACATTTGTCTTCTTTAGGAAACTCTGGAACCCCAAAGTGCTTCAAGAACTGCAAAGAGAGTTCTTGCAGTGATAGTAAGATATCTGTGAAGTGAATGAAGGATGGTATGGAGAGGAGCTGGAGTTCATGTAGGAAACATGGATGAGCCTAATAAGCTTTGTTCCCTACAACTGCTAGCTAGGACTCATTGGGTCTGCAAACACCGTGAACCTTATTGGACAAGAGAAATGTTTACTTACTTGCATACCCTCATGTGTTTTAAAGCAGAGTCAGGGAGAACTATGCCCCTTCTCAAACACGTCCTCTCTTTTGGTGATCTAATAAATTACTGGGTGAGTGTAACAGAGAAAGGTCAGGCTGGGCGCAGTGGCTCACACCTGTAATCTCTACACTTTGGGAGGCCGAGGTGGGTGGATCTCCTGAGGTCAGGAGTTCGAGACCAGCCTGGCCAACATGGTGAAATTCCGTCTCTACTAAAAATAAAAAAAATTAGCTGGGCACGGTGGCATGTGCGACTGTAATCCCAGCTACTTGGAGGCTGAGGCAGGAGAATCACTTGAACCCAGGAGGCAGAGGTTGCAGTGAGCCGAGATCAGGCCACTGCACTCCAGCCTGGGGGACAGAGCAAGATTCCGTCTCAAAAAAATAAATAAATAAAAAATAAAGGTCAGCAAAATACCCCCATAGCAGTAGTGATTCTCACTGATAGCCTCTCTGTGGCTACAGCACAAACTCTTCCACCCTTCTTTCTCATTTCCATCCCTAAAAATATTTGCTGTTATTTGCAAACCTAAAGAGACTAAAGAAATGGGCATAGACCAGTGGAAGTCTCCTTAGAGTTACTTTCACTGTGCATACTTTAGAGAAAGTAGAAAAGTTTTCCAAGAAGGGAAAAAGGGGCCACAAATTATATGTTTGACGCACAACTCCAAATCCTGCCCACTATGTCTTCTCTCATCATTCCTGATACAATTTTAATTCTTTCTTTTGTTCTCTCAAATATTAACAAGAGTTCATATCCCCTGGTATCACATCAAGTTTATTCTGGAAATACTAAACTCTCCACAGAGACTTGGGACAAAGAAACATAATTAAAGGCTCTTATCAAGTGTTATGTCCTAGTTTTGTCCTAGTTTTACACAATGCTTTTGATGAATGAAGAAAATGGCAATAAGTAATTTGTTTTTTTTCTGCTGGAGAATAATATGGGAATAGGAACTTGCACAGCAACAAGCTTGGAAAGTAATCTGTCCTATAGTCTCTGAGTCTTAAAAGCTCAGTCTACCTCTAAGAAAGGAGAGGCAACTCTACTTTTATGGGATGTCTATGTGTGTGGAGGGGAGTATGAATGAGGCTAGTTATGCTGTAAAATAGCCACATCGTTTCTTGCTACATTTTTGTGCTTCCAGCCCATATACACTTCGTGTGTTTCTTGGCTTCCTTATTCGGATGAGGCACCAGCATTCAAGTGAACTGAGGGTGCAGTTTTAAAAGCTGCTTTTTGCGACAGGGGTGGTGGCCTAGCCCACAGGAAATGAAGAAAACTGATAGGTCCAAACTTTGAGTTCCCGCAGAGGCCTGAAATCAGGACACTTGCTCTTGAGGACAAGAACTACTTTGTAAAGAATAACCAGTGTACCCACAGCTCAGAATGCTCTGTGCCTAAGCAAAGCCAAGCCCCGAAACTCATTTTTCCATAAACAAGCCTCAGCCGCAGAGACATAACTCTCTTTAGACTCTCTGGATGATTTCATTTACTCGGCATGCCAAAGCGCCCAGATGTATGATTCGCTCAGCCTCATTCACTGGGGAAACTGATCTTTTCTTTTGATTTGGTATTAGCAGAAATGTCATTTATCAAAGCTTTTCGGGCAGGTTGCCTATCTGGAATTTGTCTCCTAAGACCCTGAAGTCATTTTCAGGGTGACTGTCCCTCCCCACCTCCACCCTGCCATAGTCACATGTACTCTCTTCCTAAAGAATTTAGACCTCCAGTTCTTTCTCATGTAGTGTTTTTCCTTTCTGGGTTTTCTTTCTTTTTTTTTTTTTGGTCTGATACATCCCTTTTGGTCTCTAGGATATTTCCATGCATAAATGGGTTGACATTTTTATGACTTGTTATTTAAAAAAAGAAAAAGACTTGCTGTGTTCACTGTAATCTTTTTAATGTAAGATAATTCCAATGACAAACAGTGGTAAAACAAGCTTATTTCTCCGCCAAACATGATTCAACGTCGATGGGTATTTCTTCTTTCTCCTCGCCGTTTGAGAGAAATTGGGAGGGTCAGGAGGAAAGCCAGATTTGAGAAGAAAGTGCTTCATTAAATTCCAGGCATGGGTCTGAAGCAAAACAGACAAACAGACAAGGAAAAACAAAGCACTTCTCTAAATTTTTATATGGCTTGGTTTTTTTTTTTTTTTTCGCGGTGGTTTCAGACAGATGGCAGAGGTTAGTTCCATCTTCCTGTCAGCTGTCAGCTACTGAGACACTTGTGAACTCCAATCTAGACAGTCTGCCAGGTTTTCCACAAATACAGCCACACATCTCCTAAATTTCCCAGACCATCTTAATTTCAACGGCTCTATACCATTGTTTTACAAATACCTTGACTTGCTGGGCTTCAACTTTTTGTTCAATTCTGATTCTCTATTAAAGTAGAATATAGTCACAGTAAAGTAGACAAATAAATCTAAGCGTCCATCTTTAGATTTTTACCTATTTACACAGGCATGTGTGTACACATTAAGTCAGAATATTTCCAGTGCCAATGAGGTTCCCTGTGTCTCTTTCCTGACTCAGAAATAGCCAAACTTCTGACTTTCATCATCATATTTTACTTCGTGTATTGTTTATTCACTCAGTGTGGAGTCTTTTATATCTGATTTCTTTCATTTAACATAACACTTGTGAGACTCACCTATTTTGTTATGTGTAGCAGTAGCTTGTTCCTCTTTACTTCTATGTAGCATTCGAATTTATAAATACACATGCCATCTCTCTATTCTCCTGTTCATGGGCTTTTGGAAATACCCTTATTTTTGATGATGGATGATTTGGTTACCATACCCACAAGATATCAGACATCATCAAAGAGTGGGGCAAAAAACACAAGGGCTTTCAAACCTAATACATGGGATCTCACAGATATTAGCTTAATGCCCCCAGGAAAGTTACTTAATTTATCATCTGAATTTGCCTTACACATCATTATAAGAAAGACATGGAATACCATATATACATGTCTATACTAATTCTTTACACAAGATAGAAATATAATAAAAGATTGCTATCATGATTTTTTTTAATCTTCGGGGCAAATTAGTTGTTAATATGACACAGGAAGACAAAACATCAATATAATTAGTGCCTCATTATACCATTAGAAAATGACAAGAATGTTTCAAGGAAAATTTTTAAACTTTATCTTGGCAGAAAGTATTTAATTTCTGGTATTATAGAGAATAATTCCAGAATGGGATTTTGGGTGTGGGCTCTAAGGATAAGGGTTCCAAAGATTTGTCATTTTCGGAGAAACATACTAATTCTTCAAAGTTCATCCAACAAATGATTTTGGAGCAATTACAAAATTCCAGTCACTGTTGCAGCAAAGAATCAGACAGTTTATCCTCATGACTATTAGTGGAGATGGATCATAAATAAGTAAGCAATTAAATTAATAAGATATGTTTGGGAGGCCGAGGTGGGTGGATCCCCTGAGGTCAGGAGTTTGAGACCAGCCTGACCAACATGGCGAAACCCCGTGTCTACTAAAAATACAAAATTAGCTGGGCATGGTGGCACATGCCTGTAATCCCAGCTACTTGGGAGGCTGAGGCAGGAGAATCACTTGAACCTGGAGGTGGAGGTTGCAGTGAGCCAAGATTGTGCCATTGTACTCCAGCCTGGGCAACAAGAGTGAAACTCTGTCTTGGAAAAAAAAAAAAAAAAAAGATGTTTTTATCAATAAGTGCTGAGGTAAAACACAGAACAGGGTAAGGAGAGAGAGTGGTGGGCGTCAGGTGCTGCTTTAGATCAGGAGGCTAGGAAAGGCCACATTGAGGAAGGCATATGTAAGCAGAGAACCCTGTGCAGGAGTCATTTATCAAAGTCCCTGGGGAAAGAGACTTCCAGGCAGAGGGAAAAGCAAGTACAAAGGCACTGAGTCAGATATGAATTTGGCAAATTTGAGTAACAGCAAGGAACTCAAAGTTCCTAAAGGGTAGGAATCTGGGGATTTGGGGAGGAGGAGTGATATTGGTGGAGGTTACAGAGACAGGCAGGGGCCAGACCCTCTGTATTTCATCCACTCACTGTTAGTGTTAGAAGCCTCGGAATGTGCCTTATGGGCGGCTGGAGGGTTAAATTACTTCTCTAAGATTACTCAGAACTAGAGTTGAGCAAGAATCCAAGTTTTCTGTTTCTGTTTTCCATGCTGCCTAACTTTAAATAATATATATCAAGTCCATTACCAAGTCTGGGTATGATTTAATACTAATGATTATAATTCAGCCAAAGAGAATAAGAAAATAGGCAATAAAGAGGTGTTATTATGATGAAGAAATTCTCAAACTTCACAACTAGAACAATTTTGGAAAGAACTGAATATTTTGAAACAGATGCCAAACACTGTTTGAAGATACTTTTGATAGTTATTTAGCTATAAACCTCCTGATAACAAAAAACACACGGCGTGGCCACTTTCCTGCACTCTAATTTTCCCTGGAGCCCAGGTGGCGGCTCACGCCTGTAATTTCAGCACTTTGCGAGACCAAGGTGGGCAGATTGCTTAAGCCCAGGAGTTTGAGACCAGCCTGGGCAACAGAGTGAGACCCTGCCTCTATTAAAAATAAATAAATAAGTCCAAAACATATGGTGAGACAATGCAGTGAGATTGAGCAGTGCTGAGGATGTGGATATGATTATATAGTGACACAAAGTGTTGTAACAGATAGGGGCCAAGGGGCTGGGGTTAGCAGCATTCAGGTAAAGATGCTTCATCATTACATATCCAGTAAGGGTACAGTATCACAGGAGAATAAGAGCACAGAGTCTGCAGTCGCCCCCAACTTTGTCACTTATGCTGGAGAAGTGACCCAAGCAAGTTACTTAACATTTGTGTATATCAGTTTCCTTACCTGTAAAATGAGGATAATACTAGCCATGTCTTTGTTCTCATCACTGCCACAACTCCCCTCCCCCTTAACCTCTCAATCACAGCCGCTTCTAATACCATACATTCCCCAAATGAGAGGAATAGGAACACAAGCGAAGAGGGACATGTGGGTTGTAGATAATGCAAACAAGGCAGGCTGAAATAGACTTTAAGTTTGTACATTCCCAGTGAGATGACTGTCACTGTGGTGCAACAATTACATCTCGATCACGATCTCTGACACATTCCATTAAACACCCTTGTTTTATTTCAATACTCACTAAGCTAATATGTGACCCTCAATTGACCTGACTATAGGGAAAGATGTACAGACTCAATAGAGCTTTGTTCCTGATTTCTATGAAGGTACATTCTCATGGTCCGTGTTTGCATTGGCTCTCTGACCTTGAGTAGTATTGTCATGTAGTTTGAGTAAAGGGAGAGATAGTGTTTTACATGCCTATGTGAATATTTCTAGTCTGTGTGACAGATGGTTTATTGTTCTTGGATAAACTGGCTTTCATGAATGAATGAATGCAATTTACAAATAGGCAGAATGATCCTAACTACAGCATAAAAATGTCACTTCATTCCAATCCTTCTAAATCAAGATTTCCCGGTGTGAACTACTTAGACTGGGGGAATTTCTTCTCAGCTGACAGTCACATTTGCTGTTAGTTAACTCCAAAGAAAGCCTGAAATTTTGGTAGGAAGTGAAAGCTCTGAAAATTGAACTGGGTCAGTTTGTTGTCTACCACATATGGCCAGCCTTCATTCTCAGGTTTGAGTGTCACTAACTTGAGTAGAAGAAAAGAACACATGCACTTAGGGTTCTTCTTATAGTTTTCCATGGAAATGTCCCTTTTTGCTTAAAGGCACCAAAAATAAAAAAAAAATCATAAGCTGTACCTCCTAGTAACACTTATTAAAAGAAGGCTCTATTGTGGGGACAACCTTCATTATATATTTTTGCTCCAATGTTTTTTATTATTAGTTCATTCGATAATAAATTGTTGAGATTTTACTGTATCCTATATCCTAGGCACTGGTTATCTTTAGGGATTTAAAGAGGAATAAGAGAATGTTTGTACCAAAAGCTTTTAGAGCTTATAGGGAAGAATACAAAGAAAAACTTAAGATTTCATTTATTTCCCATCATTCCAATAAGATCATTGGCAAAGATAAATAAAATGGGACTTTGTACAAAGAAGTAACTACCTATAAATTAAAGCGAACCAATTATTTAGGGGAAGCAGATTGATCTTGATTCTAAAACCTGAAAACATTCTATTTAGGGAAAGAATAGAGTAATCCCAGCACTTTGGGAGGCCAAGATGGGTGGATCACTTGAGGTCGGGAGTTCAAGACCAGCCTGACTAACGTGGTGAAACTCCATCTCTACTAAAAATACAAAAAATTAGCCGGGCATGGTGGCGCTTGTATGTAATCCCAGCTACTTGGGAGGCTGAGGCAGGAGAATTGCTTGAACCTGGGAGGTGGAGGCTGCAGTGAGCTGAGATCACACCACTGTACTCCAGCTTGGGCAACAGAGAGAGACTCCATCTCAAAAAAAAATAGAGTATTATTATTAACATCCTCAATAAGATCCTTAGAGTAAACATAACCATATTTTTCACAGGACTGCCTCTCAGTATGCGATGAAGCACAGCTCTCTATAAACCATTTGCATGAGCGGGAGGGAGACAAATAGTGAACTCTGCATTACTGGCTGTTTAATAGTCTGTCATGATAGAAAGAGCAGGATTTTCAAATTGCTGCATGGAGACAGATAGAGTTTGAGATCTCTAAACCTACTCCCAGGTCCCCATCACGGCTTGTGAGTGAGCAGTGGAAAGGGCCAGACAGTGATGTTCCAGTTTCCATCAGACAACTGTAGCTTTTATCTGTTTTATAACATGGACTTCCTTGTCAGGTTTTATTGAACAAATGATTCTTATGGCTTAAAACAACTTTAAAATTATTTATCTAAGGGAATGTTTGTGGTAAAATCAAATTTCCACTTTAAAATGTATATAATATTGATAATCCAAGGTTTGATAAATATCAGTAGATATTTCAAGATTATACCCTTCAACAAATATTTGGGACGCAGTTAATCTGTGATTCCAGAAAAATTTAGATTCTTGACTTAGTAATTAACAGAATTGGAAGAGTAAATGATAGTGGCTCATAAAGGTTAGGGAGGCCAAGGCAAACATATGCCTAAACAGAAGACTGACACAGTTCTGCACAGGAGGTTTCATGAAAGAATCAGTGGGAAACATCTAAATGTTCCTTTTCTTTAATTTTAATTTTTAATTTTATTCAAACTTATATTTGTGTATGGTTTTTAAAGAGTTAAGCAATTGACAAGGCTTTTTATGAAAAACCAATTGTTTACCGTCACTCTCCCTCTACCTTAACATTTCCTTTTCTTCAGAAACCGTTTTTCCCCATTCTTTCAGGTAATTTTTTTGGTATTTATCCCCATGTCTAAATGACCAGGTTGAATCACTATCTGTGATTTTTTACTTTTAGACACTATCTATTGACTCTCCAATATGGATAAAGGGAATTTAGCTTTCTTATACTCTTACATTCCCTACCAAAAACGTGAACAATTCCTATTATCCTTAACCCCCAAATTTAATTATCTCATAGGTTTTGTTGGATAAATCTTTGGTGTTTATTAGTGATTGGAAAAATTCTGTTCACAACTAGTCATATGGCTTAATCTGACTACTTTTCTCACTCTAATTTTCTCTGAAGTTACAAGTTTCTTCACACATTTGCTTATTATTCTTTGTACTAATTCAATCCAAACTTCCCCCAACTCAGTTGTGTGAATTTTCTCGCACATTAAAACACATCAAGCATTTTTATAAATGCCATCTTCTTAAAGACTTTTCTCTGGAGTTCTCTGTCCTGCTGCAGCCTAGACTGAAGATTTCTCTCTGGGCCAGCTGCACAGCTGTACCTTGGCATCTGACCATGACCCTTTGGATTCTATGTAGCTCTTTCTTATATTGGATCACCTATTTCCTGTGTCCCATTCTCCTGTTGTTTACTATAGTGCATTGGAGAAGTATACATTCTGGTAGCTTCCTAGAAATTGTGTATGGGCAGAATAATGTTTGATCCCTTGAATATCTGAAAATGTCTTTGTTCTATACTCATTACTTGAAAAGTTATCTGAACATAGCATTCAAGGTTGAAATAATTTTTGTCTATAGCTTTGAAGGCATTGCTACATAGTCATTTGTAAGTTGTGAGGTTGTGATGCCATTATGATTGCTGATCTTATGTAATTAAATTTATATTTCCTCCATTTGGAAGCTTATAGAATTTTCTTTTGTTCTTAGAGTTTTGAAATTTCCCAATAATTACCCTTCGTGTGGATCTGTTTCAGTCAATCCATTTTTCTAGAAACTCAGTGGACTTTTTAAATCCAAAAATACCTGTTTTTCAGTTTCAGAAAATTTTCCCCAACTATATTATTTTTAGAATTTCTCCTTGCCAAATTTTTGGTTATGTTTTTTTAAAAATTCCTTCTATTTCATATATCGGATCTGTTAGATTTATCCTCTAATGTTCTTACAGTTTTTCTTCCTCCTCAATCCCTCCAATTCCTTTACTGAAGTCTACTTTCTGGTATTTTTATTTTCTAAGAATTCCTTTACATTCCCTGAGTGTACCCTTTAAAAAAAACTGTTCATATTTCATGAACTTAATTTCTCATCTTCCTAATCACACTGATGATTATTTTTTGATGTTTCTTTATCATTGTAATTTTTTTTCTTTCCAGTGGTTTTATTTATCTTTGGTCTCCACCTCATATGTCAGAGACTGCTCATTTTTTAAGACTGTGGTACTAAGAAGCAGATTGCAAAATGTCTGTACTTGCAATGGGCTTTTCAACTAGGTGTTTTCTGTAGCATGATCAGGATGAGCCATTTTGGGAAGACCTCTTGATATCAGTATTGTTAGAAGGTTTCTCTTGACTGGACTGAGTTCTCCAAGTCTTCCAGTCTCTTGTTTTGAGGATAGAATCCTGGCTGCCAGTATTTTGGCATTCTGATCCTTTGTAGAATAAATTCGTAGTAATCTGCCGGATAAAGGGATGGTATCTAGAGAGATCAATAATTTTTGAACGGATTTTCAAAAAATCCTACTCTTTTCACTGTTTTTTTTTTTTTTAGCAGAGTATGTTAATTGTGTAGACTTTTTGGGCTCTACCACATAAGTTGGGTTGCTATTCATTTTCCCCAAGTAGTCTTAGGATTAAGCTGTCTTGTATTTGTTAATTTAGTTACCACTTATTGATCTCCTTTTTTTTTGCCTTCAACATTTTTTGCTGTTGTATGTGTGTATGTCTGTGTGTGTGTGTGTGTGTTTGTATGAGTTCTCTACCAGAATCTTCATCCCTATGGGTTTATAGCTTTAAAATACATAGTTCTTTTGTGTGGTTTTGGGAGGGAGCAAATGTCATTGGTCTGCTTAGTCTTCCATCTTTAATTGGAAGACAATATCTTGATTTTCTTAACAAATCATTCAAGGTGAGTTCTAACCAGGGTTCCTTCTTCTAACCAAGGGACATGAATGAGTGAATGTGAATGGTATTTGGCAGCATCCACTTTAATAATTTCAGAAGCTTAAATTAGCATGGTACGTTCTGTAGAGTAGGTGTTAGCTAGATCCAGCTTACTATCTGTCTTTGTAAGATTCAGGAGCTAAGAACGGTTTTAACATGTTTAAATGGATTAAAAAAATCAAAATAGAAATAATGTTTTGGGACATGCAATACTATATAAAACTCAAGATTGTGTCAAAAATGTAGTTTTATTGGAATACAGCTATGCTTATATATTCGCTGTGGCTACTTTTGGTTCTATGACAGGACAGTTGATTAGTTGTGACAAAGACCACATGGCCCACGAAACCTAAGATATTTACTATCAGGCCCTTTATAGAAAAAGTTTCTTGATCTGTTCTCTGTAGTGTAAAACCTGGCAGTTCAGTAATTGAAATACCTAGCCACAGAATATAACTGAAATATGTAGCCACTTTAAATAATATAATGTTTTGGTAAAACCCCCAGGATAAGCAAGTAAAAAAATACATTTCTAGATACCTCTGTTAGCTTGCTTTGTAGATTTACTAGTTATAAACCATTAAAGCAAAACAAAGATTTTGATTTTAGAATATTTGATTTGCATGCATTTTTCCACTGGTATATAGATAGCCCGTCTAGAGTCTTGTAATATATTAAGGCTGCCACTCAGCTGGGTGCAATGGCTCATGCCTGTAATCTCAGCACTTCGGGAGGCGAAGGCAGGTGGATTGCTAGAGTTCAGGAGTTCGAGATCAGCCTGGGCAACATGGCGAAACACTGTCTCTACAGAAAATATAAAAATTAGCCCTACATGGTGATGCACACCTGTAGCCCCAGCTACTTGGGAGGCTGAGGTGGGATGATGGATTGAGCCCAGGAGGTTGAGGCTGCAGAGCCACGATTGTGTCACTGCACTCCAGCCTGGGTGACAGCAAGACTCTGTCTCAAAAAAACAAAACAAAATAAAACCAAAGATTGCTATTTATATATGGCAAAAAAATTCTTGTTAGCCTATATAATTGTTCTTATCTTTCTCTTTCCTATAGCAATGGTGTTTGCTAACTAAATGGATTCTCAGATATTGAGAAGGAGCAAGCAGAGGTGGGATAATGAGGGAGAAGAGAAGATGTTATGGACTGAAGTTTGTTTCCTCCAAAATTCATATATTAAAGCTCTAGCCACCAATATGATGGTATTAGGAGGTGGTGCCTTTGGAAGTTCATTATGCTTAGATGACATCATGAGAATAAAGCCCCCATGATGGGATTAGTAACCCTATAAGAAGAGGAAAAGGTCAGAGCTCTCTTTCTCTCTCTTTTCCATGTGAGAATACAATAAGAAGGCAGCCATCTGCAAGCCAGTAACAGACCCCTCACCAAGAACTGAGTCTGCTGACACCTTGAACTTGGACTTCCCAGCCAACAGAATGGTGAGAAATAAATGTCTTTTGTTTAAGTTACCCACTTGACAGTATTTTGTTACAGCAGCCTGAGCACACTAAGACAGAGAGTAGGAGGAAGGAGCTAGAGAGAGACAGACCACATTCCTATTTAACTCATTGGTAATTATTCCTAATCTTACAACTTTGACTCTTGGGTAGCATTAAGATACAGGTTTTATATTAACATTACTACCCTAAATCCACGCTGACTTTTTATGGTTTATCACTTTACTTGTGTCTGTTAAATAAAGGCCAATAAATCCTGAGAATGATCTCAGGTATTCCTGACAGACACTGCTAGGTGATAAAAATATGATAAAAGTACCCCCAATAAAGAAAGGAAGAAATAAACTGTCACTTGCTGAGAGTCTGTACCTAGTCCACCTTTTTCATATGCTATCTCTGTAATGCCATTAACAACACTATAAAATAGGTACCATTATTATCCTCATTTTATGCCAAATGAAACTGAGTCTTGGATACATTAGATAAATGCCGCTCAAAGACTTACAGCTAGTAAGTGGTAGGACTAAACTTCCAGCCAAGGCTTTCTGTTGACCAAGTCTCTGCTCTTTAAAACCAGACATGCCACTTTGTAGCAGTTCCAAGAAAATGTTTTCACTCTAAGTTCCAGGAAAGGGAAGACATCCCTAAAATATTCTAGCTCATCTGCTGGAAGACAGACTTAAAAATCTTTAGACTGAGGTCGAGAAATTCCCTACAACAACTTTATTTATGACTATAGAGAGTCCTTCATCTGTCTGAAACATTAATGGGTCAGAATAATCATTCAATGAGTTGCCTGCAATAGTCACTTCAATTGGAGATGGCACTAAAGGGATAAACTTTTCCGCACATTTTCTCCACTGCCTGGGCCCCACTGCTGGTGGGATACCAATTCTGCATGCTTTTGGTATCTAGAACAAATGAAGGTCAGTGTGAAAAGACTATTTTCAGATATTCTTTTATTAATGTTCTTTGGAGGACAGATCATAAAGAAGTGGGTTATTTCCAAAACTCTGCCACAATCCTTCTCTGTAAGATACTAGGGAATCTGCCTGCTTTTGATGATTCAGCTTGTCTATTAGGAGAGTGAAGTGTTTTAAATTCTCTTTTTTCCTTCCTTCTTTCCCTTGTTTCTAACTTCTGATCCTTCTAATACTTTTCAACCACTTTGAAATTTTTGTTGAGCACCTACTAAATGCATGGCCTTGTACTTTGTTGTTGCAACAAACATGAATGTGAGCTAAAAAACAGCCACTCTACCCCTAATCCCAATCACATTTTACAATAAAGTAAAATAATCTGAAGACTTCTTTTATGAATGTCTTCTCCCCTTCCTTAAACTGATTACCCATCCTGAGTCTTGCTTCTTGCTTTCCAGGTCAGATAAGTTGCTGCATCAATCAGTGAACTTGGAGTTCATCTGTCAAATACAGTGCAGATCACACAATTGCTTATAGACATAGCGTCTGCCTGGATCCAGAGTTTGATTTGGCTTTTTTGTTTCTCTGCCTATGACTGACTTTACCCAGTGGCTAACTCCATAGTGAGATGGTCCATGTGACAACGATTTGTCCATAATGCACTAGATCACTGATCCATTGTATGGCCTAACAAGGAACTGCAGGTTCTTGTTCCATCTCCTGATCTGGGATCAGAAGATTCCAAAGTTGTTAATAAAGGAATGATTTTCCAGCCCCCAAAAGATGAGATGGGAGATGGACAGGAATTGATTTTGAAAAGGATTTTTGAATAATCACATAATTTTGCATAAATGTGTCTTAGGGGATGCTTTACGATTAGGGCATTTGAAAGGCTAGACTGCATTCCTTCCTTTAAGACATTCAAATGCTCTCATTTTTTTTTTGTTTGATTTTTAAACAGTCTGGCTAAAGGTTTATACATTTTATTGATCTTTTTAAGGAACTAGCTTCTAATTTTATTGATTTTTTTCTTTTTTATTCCTCTGTGTGGTTATTTTATTTATTTATTTTTATTTCACGTTTTTTTTCTTTTTCAACTTTTACTTTAGATTCAGGGGTTACATGCACAAATTTGTTACCTGAGTATACTTGTGATGCTTAGGTTTGAGGTATGAATGATCCTTTCACCCAAGTACTGAGCATAATACTCAAGAGTTAGTTTATCAGCCCTTGCCCCCTCCCTCCCTTCCCACTCTAGTAGTCGCCAGTGTCTATTTTTGCCGTCTTTATGTCCGTGAGCACCCGATGTTTAGCTCCCATTTATAAGTGAGAACATGTGGTAATTGGTTTTCTGTTTCTGCATTAACTTGCTTAAGACAATGGCCTCCAGCTACCTCTATGTTGCTGCAAAAGACATGATTTAATTCATTTTATGACGGTGTGGTATTCCGTGGTGTACATGTACCACATTTTCTTTATTCAATCCACCATTGACGGGTACCTAGGTTGATTCCGTGACTTGGTTATTGTGAAAAGTGTTGCAATTAATGTATGAGAGCATGTGTCTTTTTGGTAGAACAATTTGGGTTGTTTCACATGCACACACACACACACACACACACACACACACACACACAGAGTAAAGGGATTGCTGGGTTCAATGGCAGTTCTGTTTTAAGTTCTTTGAGAAATTTCCAAACTGCTTTCCACAGTGGCTGCACTAATTTACATTGGCACCAACAGCGGATAAGCATTCCCTTTTCTCAGCAGCCTCACCAACATCTGTTGTTTTTTGACTTTTTAATAATAGCCATCCTGACTGGTGTGAGATGGTATCTCATTGTGGTTTTGATTTGCATTCTCTGATGATTAGAGATGCGAAGCATTTTCTCATATACTTGTTGGTCACTTGTATGTCGTCTTTTAAGAAATGTCTGTTTATGTCTTTTGCCCATTTTTTAAGTGGGGTTATTTATTTTTTGCTTGTTCAATTGTTTAAGTTCCTTATAGATTCTGGATATTAGATCTCTGTTGGATGCATAGTTTGCAAATGTTCTCTCTCATTCTGAAGGTTGTCTGTTTATTCTGTTAATGGTTTCTTTTGCTGTGTAGAAGCTCTTTAGTTAATTAGGTCTGACTTGTCAATTTTTGTTTCTGTTGCAATTGTTTTTGAATAGTTAGTCATGATGCTTTCCCAAGGCCAATGTACAGAATCATGTTTCCTGGATTTTCTTCTAGGATTCTTAGAGTTTGAAGTCTTACATTTAAATTTTTAATCCATCTTGATTTAATTTTTATATATGATGAAACGTAGAGGTCCAGCTTCATTCTTTGGCATGGCTAGCTGGCTATTCCAGCACCATTCAATGTATTGAATAGTAAGTTCTTTCCCTTTTGCTTATTTTTGTTTACTCTGTCAAATGTTAGATGGCTGTAGGTGTGCAGCTTTGTTTCTGGGTTCTTTATTCTGTTCCCTTGGTCTATGTGTCTGTTTTTGTACTGGCACTGTGCTGTTTTGGTTAGTGTAGCCTTATGGTATGGTTTGAAGTTGGCTAATGTGATGCCTCCAGGTTTGCTCTTTTTCCTGAGGATTGCTTTAGGTATTCGGACTCTTTTGGTTTCATATAAATTTTATAATAGTTTTCTTCCAATTCTGTGAACAATGACATCGGTAGTTTGATAGGAATAGTGTTGAATCTGTAGACTGCCCCTTGGAGTGCCCTCGTTTTTACAAAATAATAAAAGCTTATCTGGAGGAAAACAGCCTTGGACAAATTCTGACTTGAGTTCAGATAATATGAGCATTTGCTACTATGTCCATTTGAAGAAGGTGTTTAAATTCCTAAATCTAAACTGTCTCTTTTAAATGGACATATGGAAGGTAACTTTTTTATTGAATTGTCCTAACTCAAGATGTAGTCCGATAACTCAAGATGTAGTCCGATGGCCTGTTGTGGAGTAAATAAATATTGGCTAGATGTTGGCTGCAGTTTCTATTCTTCTCTGTCTTAAATTGAACTAATGAACTCTTCAAACAAATGTTATTCTTCACTGGATGATACACTTTGTGTTATTTCCCTTTTGCCTTTCTTCTGTGGAGGGATGCCTAAAAATGATTCAAATGAGATTAGAAAGTGAAGGATTAAACACTTAAACAGGATTAGTTGTTGAAGAACCATTCAGGGTCATTAATGCATTAAAACATTTGTGCATTATAAAGTAACAAAGAGGAACAGGTGTAGCATTTGGCTTAATGATTTGACCACAAAAATTAAAACAAATTTTTTTTTGTTTTAAAAGAAGGAACTTGTAAATTGAGTGTTCTAAGGCATAAATTTTGGGAAATGTCAGTTTAACAATGGATGCAGTGAAACTTGGCCCTACTATTAAGGGAGGAAAATAAATTTGTACAACATGTATCACATATGTCAAATAGTTAAATGTAAAAAAAAAACCTGAAAATATATTAAGACTAGAGTAAAATATGGAAGTACATTTTTAAATCTTTGCATGCCAAGAACTCTGTGTTCCTGGAATAAATGAAAAAAATTACAAAGGTAAATATTGATAGATTTGATTATATAAATGCCCAAGTATTTCTTGTGCCAAAAAAAAATTACTTGACTTTAAGAGGCAAAAGTTAAACTTGAAGAAATCATTTATTTAAAATGACAGACTTTGTAAGCAACTTAAACAAGTAGTGAATTAAATATATATATATATATATATATATAAATAGACCGAGTGTGGTGGCTCACACCTGTAATCCCAGTACTTTGGGAGGCCGAGGTGGGTGGATCACAAGGTCAGGACATGGAGACCATCCTGGCCAACATGGTAAAACCCTGTCTCCACTAAAAATATAAAAAATTAGCTGAGTCTGGTGGTGCGCACCTGTAATCCCAGCTACTTGGGAGGCTGAGGCAGGAGAATCGCTTGAGCCCGGGAGGTGGAGGTTGCAATGAGCTGAGAGCACACCACTGCGCTCCAGCCTGGGCAACAGAGTGGGACTCTGTCTAAAAAAAATAAAAAGAAATAAAAAAATATATAAATGATCAAAATATATGAATTGTATATGGATATAAGAGGAAATAAATGGCCAGGCATGGTGGCTCATGCCTGTAATCTCAGCACTTTGGGAGGCTGAGGCAGGTGGATCACAAGGTCAGGAGTTTGAGACCAGCCTGCCCAACATGGTGAAAGCCCATCTCTACTAACGAAAAAAAAAATTAGCCAAGTGTGGTGACAGGCACCTGTAATCCCAACTACTCAGGAGGCTGAGGCAGGAAAATTGCTTGAACCCAGGAGGCAGAGGTTGCAGTGAGCCAAGATCGTGTCAATACACTCCAGCCCGGGTGACAAGACGGAGTTTTTGAAACTCCGTCTCAAAAAAAATTATGAATAAATGCATGAAATATAATATTTAAAAAAGTTAAATTAAAATAAAGAACAAATTAAGGACATAACATTTTATTTACAAAGTTTGTAATCATTCAAAAAATTCAATACTCAGTATTCTTAAAAGGGTTTCTCTGTCCCATGGAACACTTACATGAAACTGTGGGAATATTAATTTTTGTCATATTTATAAAGAATAATTTAGTAACATATAATTAAATAATTGCAGGTGTATTAGTCCTTTCTCACACTGCTATAAAGAACTGCCAGAGACTGGTTAATTAATAAAGGAAAGAGGTTTAATTGACTCCCTAGTTCTACATGTTTGTAGAGGCCTCAGAAAACTTCCAGTTTTCTGCCAAACCTAGAGTCATAGCCAAACCTCTTCACAGGGTGACAGGAGACAGAATGAGAGTCGAGTGAAGGGGGAAGCCCCTTATAAAACCTTCAGATCTTGTGAGAACTTACTATCACAAGAATAGCATGGGGGAACTGCCTCCATGATTCAATTACCTTCCATGAGGTCCCTCTCCCAGTATGTGGGGATTATAATTCAGATTACAATTCAAGATGAGATTTCTGGGTAGAGACACAGTCAAATCATATTATTCCACCCCCAGACCCTTCCAAATCCCATGTCCTCACATTTCAAAACACAATCATGGCCTTCCAACAGTCGCCTTAAGTCTTAACTCATTCCAGCATTAACCCAAAAGTCCAAGTCCAAAGTGCTTCATCTGAGACAAGGAAAGTCCCTTCTGCCTATGAGCTTGTAAAATCAAAAGAATGTAGTTACTTCCTAGATACAATGGGGTTACAGGCAATGGTTAAATACACCTGTTCCAAATGGGAGAAATTGGCCAAAACAAAGGGGCTACAGGCCCCATGCAAGTCCAAAATACAATAAGACAGTCCTTAAATCTTAAACTTCCAAAATGATCTTCTTAGACTCACTGTCTCATATCCAGATCATGCTGATGCAAGAGGTGGGCTTCCACAGCCTTTGGGAAGCTCCATCCTTGTGGCTTTGCAAGGTACAGCTCCCCTCCTGGCTGCTTTTACAGCTGATGTTGAACATCTGTGGCTTTTCAGGAACACAGTGCAAGCTATCAGTGGGTCTACAATTCTGGGGTCTTCAGGATGGTGGCCCTCTTTTCACAGCTCCATTAGTCAGTGCCCCAGTGAGGACTCTCTTTTGGGGGCTTCAACCCCATATTTCCCTTCCACATTGCACTAGCAGAGGTTCTCCAGGAGGGTTCTGCCCTTGCAGAAGATTTCTGCCTGGACATCCAGGCATTTCTATAAAACTTCTGAAATCCAGGCAGAGGTTCCCAAACCTCAATTCTTGTCAGGCCCACCACTGTGTGTAAGTTGCCAAGGCTTGGGGATTATGACCTCTGAAGCAATGTCCTGAGCTGTACATCAGCCCCTTTTAGCCACAGCTGGAGCTGAAGCAGCTGGGATGCAGGGCACCATGTCCTGAGGCTGCATGGAGCAGGGGGGCCCTGGGCCTTGCCCATAAAACCATTTTTTCCTCATAGGCCTCCAGGCCTGTGATAGGAGGGGCTGCTGTAAAGGTCTCTGACATGCCCTGGAGACATTTTCCCCATTGTCTTGGTGATTAACATTTGGCTCCTCATTACTTACGCAAATTTATGCAGCCAGTTTGAATTTCTCCCCAGAAAATGGGGTTTTCTTTTCTATCACATCATCAGGCTTCAAGTTTTCCAAACTTTAATGCTCTGCTTCCTCTTGAATGCTTTGCTGCTTAGAAATTTCTTCTGCCAGATACCCTAAATCATCTCTCTCAAGTTCAAAGTTCCACAGATCTCTAGGGCAGAGGCAGAATGCCACCAGTCTCTTTGCATAGTAAGAGTGACCTTTACTCCAGTTCCCAACAATTTCCTCATCTCCGTCTGAAACCACTTCAGCCTGGACTTTATTGTCCGTATCACTATCAGCATTTTGGTTAAAGCCATTTAAACAAATTTCTAGGACATTCCAAATTTTCTCATATCTTCCTGTTTTCTGAGCACTCCAAGTCTCTAGGAAGTTTTAAACTTTCACACATTTTCCTGTCTTCTTCTGAACCTTACAAACTGTTCCAACCTCTGCCTGTTACCCAGTTACAAAGTCACTTCCACATTTTCAGGTGTCTTTACCGCAGCACCCCACTCTCTCCTGGTACAAATTTACTATATTAGTCTACTCTCATGCTGCCAGAAAGAACTGCCCAAGACTGGGTAATTTATAAAGGAAAGAGGTTTACTTCACTCACAGTTCTGCATTGCTGGGGAGGCCTCATGAAACTTACACTCATGGTGAAAGGCACCTCTTCACAGGCTGGCAGGAGAGAGAATGAGAGCCAAGCGAAGTGCAAAGCCCCTTACAAAACCATCAGATTTCATGAGAATTTACACACTATCACAAGAAAAACATGGGGAAACTGCCCACATGATTCAATTACATCCCATGAGGTCCCTCCCCCAACACCTGGGGATTATAATTCAGATTACAATTCAAGATGAGATTTTTCTGTGAGGACACAGCCAAACCATAACAGCAGGTAACCTAAATACTATGGTCTTAAGGTTTGTGTCCCCAAAATTTGTATGTTGAAATCCTAACCCAAAGATGACAGTGCTAGGAAACAGGGCCTTTGGGAGGTGATTAGGTCATGAAGGTGGAGGCCTTATGAATGGGATTAGTGCCCTTACAAAATATATTGCCGATAGATCCTTTATCTCTTCCACTGTATAAGGGCACAGTAAGAAGGCATCTTCTATGAATCAGAAAGCAGGCCCTCACCAGACACTGAATCTGTCAGCATCTTGATCTTGGACTTCCCAGTTTCCAGAGCTGTGAGAATTAAGTTGTTTATAAGCTACCCAGTTTATAGTACTTTTTTATAGTTCTCCCAATGGAGAAATATGCTAATTTTTTTAAAGAATGTAATTAGGGAAATGATAAAGCATACATAAGAAATAGTGTATTGAAGCCCTTAAAATATTCCTGAAGATATTTCAGATATAATATGAGCTCAACTAAAATGAGTTTATCAATAAGTATACCTGAGAGGAAATAAACCAAAATGTTAACTTTGATCATCTCTGACTGGTAGAATTAGCATTTTTTCTTTCTTAAACTTTCTTTTATTTTCTATAAAGGAAAAAACCCAATAAGCTTAAAAATATATAATCACAACTTGGATTGGCATTTCTGACACAGAATTAAGTCCTTGATGGTAGGGCAGGAAGTAGTGTAGACAAGGAGTAGCCTAAACAAAAATGCCTCCTAATCTACTTACATGTATATTGGACCATTTGATAAGGCAAATAAAGTGTCCTGTCCAAGCTCAACTAATCAGCTGATAAATAAGTTTTTATCTTGGGTTGTGACAGTCATTGGAAATGAAAGTGAAAATGAAGGATAGAGGCAAAGAAAAGAAAGAAGTAGTTTTGAGCGTCCCAAGAGTGAGGGCCACTATCAAATTTGGAGGATGGTAGCAAGTATGTGTGCTGTAAATTCAAAAAGAACCATCTCAACACTGTTACTTTTAATATCATCTGTAATAATTCTCCAGGGGAAATCAGGAACTAACCAAAGTCACATGTACTAAGCTATTTGGGGTTATGCTAATAAGTTTTATAAATGATGAGCTTAAGTTTGTAATGATAAGCCCATATTAATCCTATTATATTGATAAAATGGCTGGTATATTCACAGTTTTCTGCTCTAGCCTCCAAAGTTAAAGCATGGAAATCTGTAAAAACTAACTAAGCTGCTTTTGTATGTACACAGCACAAAGAAAAACACCAAAAAAAAAAAAAATAATACAACCTGCTCTTCTCATGTTTAGAATTTTTGTTTTTTGGGTTTATTATTTGTTAGTTTGTACTGCATTCTGCCAAGACATGAATGATTAATTAGAATAAAACAATTATAAGGTAAATTGAGTCATCATAAAACAAAAAGCATCCCAGCAGATTTATTAAACTATCTCTTGGATGTGGAAAGGAATGGGATGTCTCCATAGCAGCTCTGTATCTACTGAGGTCTATTCCCAAGTGTGTTCCTCTGCCTCTGAGTCTTATCAAAGTTACAGTTTCTGGTAGCTACTTATTTTGGCTGTCTCTTCAGTCCTCAAGCCGTTTTCCTTCCTGAGAACTACTTCCTTGCATATAGCTATGTGCTCCAGTCAGCTATAATCGCTCTGTACGTCCCCATCCTTTCCCATAACTTATGTGGGGAAGGAGTTGTGGTGTGGGGGTATCTGACACAAAGTGGGCCAATGATAATCTTCTTTCTAGGCAGATGGAAGTAACACCGAAAGGCAGGGTATCCATCCCTATATGTGTCTGGGACAGTAACAGGGACTCTTAGAAGCTAAGAGGCCACAGGGACAAGGAAGCAGAGAAAGCCAATTTACAGAGAAAGTAGAATGAAGTTTTCAGGGAAAGAAAGAAAAAGAAAGTTTTTTGGGTTTTTGCAGAATTCCCTCTCCTAATCTCAGTTCCTCTTTAAAATCTAGCTACATTATGACTTCTGGTTTCTGCAAAGCACCCTTATATTTTTTGAAAGATATCTGACTCTGTTGGCCTGCTCCCCCAACTCCCAATTTTTGGTGTAGCTGTTAAGGGAATTTAATTGTGTCCAGTTATTTGCAAATCGGGAGACTTATTTAATATAAACTTTTACCAAAGGCAGGTATTTCATTTATTTTATCTCCTTCAGGTCTCCCTGACAAACCTGTCCTCCTTTGGGGCTGCTTCATTTGATTAACTTAAACTTGTACAATATTTACATCATTTATAAAACGCTCTTGTATGAGATTGTTTGGGCTCCTCTGGAGTAGTCATGGTCTATTGTGTAAACACAGCTTTGATGTGATTTCTACAACTTGCATTATTTACCCAACAGACTGTGTAACTGCTCCAAATGAACCATTATGACTGTCATGTGGCATAAATCTATCTTCAAGCACTTTTGAAAGCATGACTCACTGTAGTCTTTTGTGTAAGGGAATTTATGAAATGTGTATTATCCATTTAATAAAGTCTAATGTCTGTCTGGTGAGCTGAGTTAATCCACTGGGAAAAAATTAAAACCTTTGCAGAAAGGAGAAATAATTTCTTATACCAACTAATTCTAGCACTCGTAGTCAAAAAATCTTATTTGTTTTCTTCACTAGACAGAAATTTATGGCCCTGTTTTGTACACTACCTTATCCACAGTGTTGGGCACAGGATCTGGCATAGGGACTAATGCACTTTGCTGAATGAGTGCCTGAATAAACTCATATAAGTTGTTATCTCACTTAATTCTAGCAGCATCCTCATTTGCAGATAAGGAATGGTGACTCAGGTGTGGTAAATAATTTTTTTTAAGTCACATAAATTTATAAGGTAAAACTGGAATCCAATCCATCCTACCCAACGCCATAGCTACTTCAATTATGTCAAAATAACAGAAAAGATACAGAAATAATAAAACATTACTATAATAACTAGCATAAAACAAAATACTTATGTATCCAAAAGAACACAAAAACAAGTAAAGTAAATCTTTCCAGACTGGAAGTCAGGAGATCTGTGTTTTACAAGATCTTTTCTTTCAGTTTGCTACATGTGTTAGGCAAATCACTTCATTTTTCTCATCTTTCTTTTCCTTCTTGGTGTTACAGCTTATTTTCTAAAAACCACTATTTTGGATATTCCTGTTTCAGTTGTTTTCATTCTCTCTTCTTGGAAGCACCTGAGAACAATTGCTTAAATTTTAACTTTTTACTCAATTTTACTCCCTAAGCACCTGGCTTGCCTCACGCCAGTCCTGGCCCTGCTCTCCACAAAAGCCCAGGAAACTCCTAACATTGCTTCCAATCATTAAAAACTTTCACAAGAGTCAGTCATTAACACCTTCCGCAAGAGGCCTTAGGCTCACCTCTCCAAGGAGACTGAAAATCAGAAGGAATACATTTCCAGTGGAATTATAAAGGTCCTAAATTATTACCTGGGTAAGTGGGATTGTCCACCCCTTCCAATTTTCCTGTTTCTTTTTCTCCTTTTCTTTTTCCTCTCTTTCTTTTCAATTTTGCTGCATGTGGGGCTCCTTTCATGCTTCTGCATTATATCAGGTATATACCCATCAAAATGCCCTTGAATGGACCGTAGTAAGAATAGGAGTAACATCTCTCCTCTCAGATGACATCAGGTATGACCTCTGTTATCCTCTATGATTGTTGCTCTCATGAGCATTCCTACCCTTGATCTGGACTTTGCATCTTTTCGGGTGATGTTCATGTAGTATTTGGTTTATATTATCTTCTCCTGAGAATAGAAGCGTGTAATGGCCATGTATTGGGGGAAGTTTGGGCGTTTGGCATGTTGGCGGCACAGCCCTGTTAAGCACTTCTTTTGTTCTCAGTTCCACCCAGGTCTGGAGGTAGAATAGCTGGCTGATTGCTCACAGCACCTTGGTATAAGAGCAGGGGAAACCCACAGCTGCTGAAGGTTGAAGCTCTTTGTGGCTTAAGCTGGGCTGGGTTGAGTTCAATGCTCCATTTAGGGATTGAAAGACATGTCTTCCAAACTTCTGAATTGTATTCCAGAGAGCCCCAACATAGGAAAGTGGGACAACTCTGAGTGAGAAAAACTGGGAACAAACCCAATAGCTTTTCTCTCCCTGCAGACCTCATGGGTTTCATTATTAGCTATGAGTGTTTTGGGTGTCAGGACTGAAAGTTCATTGTATATGCTGCCTCTTGAAGTAAACTGTCAGTAGTAGACCAAGAAGTTATTGAAGGGCTCTAGATTATTTTTAGGTGAATACAAACAAACTTGAGCTATCATTTAAAAAAAAAACTTCGGGAGGATTAAATTAGAAAAACAAACAAACAAATAAGCAAGCAAACAAGAAACAACAGCAGCAAAAACAAACCCTACACAAAGATAATTAAAAAAGAAACAAAATTAACACCCCTGAATGGTATTTGAGTAATGGTGAAAGACAGAATCAACACATTACCTTGTCCTTAAAATTCACTGAAATAGCAGAGAATGATAAATAATACACATGCAATGAGGAAAACAAAAATCTCTTGCATTTCCATGCTCTCCAGAGCTTAGCTGAAATAAGTCCCCGTTCCTGTTTGAGTTTGGCCTTGTAGGGCTTTGAAATCAGAAAACAATCCCTGCACACAGAATTGGATGCTCACTAGCTAGCATTTAAAAATAGGAAATGAAAATGAGTGACAAAATAGAATACTGGAGAAGAGAGGAAATAAACCACTTTCCCATCCTACTACTCTTTCATGATCTATTCTGTCCCACAGGCATAGTGGAAATTGCTTTGCTTGTGCTGGCAATGGGGTTTCACCATAAGTTATTAAAAAGTCAAATCAAGGTTTTTTAGATCCTTGTAATTACAAAGCTAAAAAGCAATTGGAAACATATATTCAGTACCTTCAGAGCATTTGCTGTGACTTCCCAGTGACATATAGTCAGGGGCATGCTATTGGGTGAGGATTTTTCTCTTCAATTCCTTCAGCCTTTTCTGAAAGAAAACAGAATTCTCGCACCATCTTTCAATTAAATGAATTCAGTTAATTAGCTTCACAAACAGAGCACATTTCCTATTCAGCAGAGGATTCATTAAGATTGTCTTTTTGTAGCCAGCTCTGGCCCTCACCTTACTGGCTAGATGGGCTAGGTATCACACATTAGGGTCTGCATTTGAGTCAAAGTTTGTCCTGAGTTAAGAGTTTGGGTAGGAAGACAAGGACCGAACTTGGGGTGTGTATAAGTTGGGGAATGAAAGAGTGTGTGTCATGAAAAAGTGTGAAAGAATCAGAATGATCTCATGATTTGAAAAAAGACAATAACGCAATGGTTCATTTGTAGTCTCTCTGGGGTATGTGTTCTGAGAAATTTTTCCTGCCTCATCATATTTGCTTCACTGAGATCCAGTAACAATGATTCATGATTTTATCACAGTGGAGCTGAACAACTGGCTACAAACATACATAGAAAATAGATCATCTAACCATGCCTCGTGTGTGCCACATGCAGCTGGGGAGGCAAACCTGGGAAGAATCTCAGCACATAGTCTCCAGTTCACCTAGAAGGACTATGTTTTAGAAAAAGAATAGGAATCGAAGCCACCTCCCTGGGGTTTTTGATGCAGTTGACTGTATGGCATAACAGACTCTAGGAATGTTTGAGCCTGTCCCATCTGTTTTCTTGATAATGAGGAAACAGGCTAAGGGAGGTCAAGCACTTGTGCAAGATCACACAGTTGGCCAAGAGCAGAGCCCTCTATAATCCCTGTTGCTTGGCCATTGCACATCAGTCTCTGGATGGCCTTGAAAAAACAGCTTCTCTTCCCTGTTCTGTCTAGTGGTTTCTTGTTCTCCATTTTTGTTGAGAGGTTTTTGGGGCTAGTGGTTATGGATATGGGCTCTGGAGACAGTCAACTTGGGTTCAGATCTTGCTTCTGTCACTTAATAGCTCTATAATTCTGTACAAGTTACTTTTCTGAGCCTCAGTTTCCTCTTCCATAAAATAAATTGTTGTAAACATATAGATGGCCGTACATGTAACATGACCCAGCTCTCTTGCTCCCCTTCCCCTTTCCCCCTTACCTTTACTTTCTTTAAATAACAGGCTTCATCCACCTTTGATAAATATGGGAATTGTGATTCAAGAGGCTTATGATCCATAAGGCAGAAGATCAGGCTGATACATTACAGTCTTGAGACAGATATTTGTTGTTTTACCTACCTAGAGTTTTCCCATTCTTCTCAGAATAGAACACCCCTTCCTTTACCCACTCCAATGATGTGGTCATAGATAGAGTAACTCACTATGTTCCCAGATGGCCCTGTCCCACTGATCACAATTAATTTGTCCATTATTAGGCACCTATACCAAATTGAGCAAATAGGTTATTCGCCTAGATTTTTACTAAAGGATCTGAGGGGAAAAAAATAAAGGTTCTCATTTTTAGTGGTGAAGCTGAGGCATAGGAGACTTAGGGATACTGACACCCACCACATGGAGAAAGCCTAACCTCACTGAGAGAAAATGAAGTTATCAGAATAAGATGTGGAAATGAGCCAGAGAACATCTTGGCATTATTCAAGTTCCTATACTCAGCTCTTCATGGGGCTCAACTCCACTCCTATATTTGATATATTTAACTTTTTCACTCTTTATTTGATTAGGTGAGATACCTTGTTATCCATCCGTTCGCCGAATGCTCCTTTTACCTAAGTACTTTCAGACAAGAGATATATATTGAGGGCAAGTGTCTTAGTTTTCCAAAATCTAAGAAAATGTCACCCTTCTTGTATGGTTGCCTTGAGGAATAAATATCATATGAAAAGCCCCTGGTTCTTAGTGAGTATGCATGTTTTAACTTTACATGAGTTTAAGTGCAGGATCTGCCACTCATTAGATAACATGCATATGAGATTTCTGGTGGCTCAGTTATTGACCTTTAAGACAGTGCTGATAATAACTCCATCACAGTGTAATTATTAGCACTAGTGGAATCATGAATGACATGTGAGAGAGCATTGTATTTTAAGGAGTGCTATTCAAAGATACAGTGAACTGTGGCCTTAGTATCACTATATTAAACCTTCCACATTTCTGAGTATTGTTTGAGGAAATCTTCCTGCCACACTCTTCCTTCACACTCTTCATATGAATGGCTAGTATGTAACATAATTGACTAATCAACATGCCACCAATTTGTATTTCTTCAGTAAATCTTCAGCAGACATCTGAAGGAGCTGAAACACTAAAGCAAAATAAGATGATTTTGAAATAATCAGTTCCCAAATGTGAACACATGTGATGCATGCTTGACAAACCCTTGGAGTAATTATCAAGTCATTAGCAATGATTTTGAAAGAAGGATTTCTAAACATTCTTGGTTATACATTTCATGTCTTTGTCTTTGTTTTATTTTTGGGGGTTGGGGGCCTGAGATTTGGGAATCCACTGGGGCTGAAAACATAGGCATCTCTTTTCTGGGACAATGAGGAGAGAAGAGTAAGGCAGCCAATTGACTCAGTCTTCATAACCAGTGATTTACAAAAGAACAGACCGTCTGTCATTTTTTAAAAATGGGATTTTCTGGCAATTTATTAGAGAAAACATAAACGGTCACCCAAAGGAAATGGATAAGAGAACTATGATTTCATTCTTGTACTGTTTCCATTAGAAGTTTATGACAATGGGTAATATTTATTGAAAATCAACTATGAACAAGAAGATTTATATGTATTATAACCTTGATGGACTATTTTCCTCACTCCACACATAGACAGACTGATATTCTGAAATGCAGTGTGTCTTATTTGAGACTAGGACTGTCTGGTTCCAAACCACCACTTTACCACTATTCTGGACAAACAGGTCTGATTAAGGGACAGTTGGAAGGTGAACAGGGGTTGCAAGTTATGATAAACGATTTGCCTGAACCACACATTCCATGGCAAGCAACTTTCCCAAACCATGCCACGATACCCATTATTTCAGAGTCTTGCCAGCAGTAAGTGTGCTGTTTCTTCAGTCAGTGCATTCCTGAGCATGCAAAGGAACTTCTCTAGACATTTCCCAAATCAGAAAGTGTGGAAAAGGTCCAACTGTGTGTACACCCCTCATGGACAGATGTGTGAGGTTATAAAGGGAATTGTAGAGTTTATCTGCCAAAGAGATGCAAAAGTTGATGACATTTTTTCTAAAGTGATTTTTTTCAACTGAGATAAGATCTATTTAATCTGTAGTGGGTTGGAAAAAAACTCATCTAAGTTTCTCTCTTTTAAAATACTTTTACATAAAAATTGAACAGTTGCTATTGTAATTACTCATCATTGTTATTACCATTATTATATTATAACCACTTATTAAAAATAACATTAGGAATTTCTCATGTAAGAACCCCTTGTAAGGAAGGTTCTGAAAAACTGAATTCTCATTCATTTCCTGATTTGCAAACATGCACAGCATTTTCTACTGTAAGAACAATCCCAGCACTAAATTCTTTTTCTTAAGAGAATTCCATTCCTTCTGCCCATTTCTCTCTGACTCAATAACTTAAATTGTATTGCATTTTGCCTGAAATTCCAGGATTAGTAGTTCAAAGTAAGTGTTTTCCACTTCTGTGACCTTCCTTGAAAATGAGAATTTCTCCTACTCGAGTTCAACCTGATATGTCTATAGATGAATTTCTTCATCAACATATATTCTTTGTTCCTCTTTTTAGGTATTAGAAATCTTTGCCTTGTAGTCTTTATTATTTTATTCTTAAGTCTTGTCTTTTTCCGATTACCTCATAAGCTAATTTATAGGTGGGAAAACACTGGAGTTTTTCTTCTTTAGCCACTGAGCTATAATCTTGAACTGAAAAAAAAAAGGTAGAAAAAAAATTTTATTTTCTTGTTCTGAGGACATTCATTTATCATATATTTACCAATCACTCCTCTGGGCTGGACATATATTGATGTACCTTCTCTCATGCAGTTTTTCTAACACAAATAAGTGAACAAATGATGAAATAAGAAAATTTCATATGCTGTAAAGAAAATTAAACAGGATAATAGAATGCTATAGAAGAGCCAACAATGTGAAGATTTGGGCCAGGACTACCCCGTGCTGGGGACAAGCAAGTACAAAGACATGAGATGATAACCAGGGTACAATATGTGTTCCCAACAGCAAGGGTGTGAAGTCTCATTGGTAGGAGATTTAAGGGTGGAAATTCTTCTTTATGGGGAATAATGTGAGAGAGAGGTTGGGTGGGGACAGAGTTAGAGGAATCAGATCTTAAATAAAATTGTGACAATTCTGATTTATTTTTTGTAAAATAATACAACAAATGGTTTGTATCCTTACCAATTTAAATAAATAAATGTTATTGGTATTTAAATAAATAAATGTCATTGCTATTCTCTCCAGGTCAGAAGAGAATACCAGTGACATTTATTTACTTAAATTAGTAATAATGCTTAATTCTCTATTAATTTCCAATAGCCTTTCAAAAACTTTCCTCAACTTGGAAGTAAATAACAAAACTGAATGAGAAAAAGACTAGAAAAAAAATTTCAAAATGTTTTTTGAGGAATAAAATTTACATATGATGTCTCAGAACCAAAGTATTAAACTCAACATAGCCTCCTTTGTCATGAAATGTAGTGAAGCCACCTGCCTCTGAACCCATGAGAGTAGGATGACTATTGAATTGCCTACATACCCACTATCTATGCCTTAGGCACAGATGAAAATCTGAGGTATAAATTGTTCTACCTAGAACCAGGGATTTGAAGGGGAAGGCCTACTGCACAACAGTATCCTCTTCTGCCCTCAAATAGTCTTATAAACCTTCTAAAAATGTCTCAGTCATTATAATTTGTAATTTAAGATCTTCTCTCATGTGCTTCCCATCTTTCTTTCCAGTTAATAATGTTCCTCTCCAACCCTGCCAAGTTTGGGGTATTTGAGGAATAGATACATGAATCAGACTAATGATGATAAAACATGAGCTTTATATTTGGTAGATAAAACATTAGCTTTAAATTTGCATCTATAACCACAATGAGATTTCCAAAAGCCTTGCTTTTGAGATAATCTACTTAAGAGTGAGTTTCAGTTTTCTGAGCAAAATGTTTTCCCAGAATTGATGCCTTATTTCCAATGTATCCCCATGTAGTACCAACCAATGTTAGAGATCTGAAGATATTGAGATTTGGTCCGCCAAATGCATCCATTGTTCAAGAAAATCTTGTCTTCCTTCACCTTTATGAGTAAGAAAATAATATAGGAAGATATGTTAGAAAAACAAACGTATGAGCCTTTAAAAAAAGAGTAAAAGTAGAGTTACAGATTCAGAAAACAGTATACACATATAGTTCACTGAATTTTTACAAATATATAACAACTGTGTTACCAGCATCTATAACAAAGTAGTAAGGAACTCTCACTCAGAAAAAATCTCCATTCAACTAGCCTCCAACATAGGACTGGGCCTGTTCGATCATTGTCCTGTCATTCGTTATTTTTAAGTAGTTCTTATCTTTCTTGTACTTTCTCTTTAGGTCTATTATTATTTCCCTGGTTTTCCCAGGACAGTCCTATTGTCATGGTGAAATTATTTGTAGTGGGTTGAATAGTGTCCCCCCCAAAAAGAGATATGCCCACTGAGAACTACATAATGTGACCTTATTTGAAATAAGGGTATTTGCAGATGTAATCAAGGTAAAGATCCCAAGATGAGACCAACCTGTATTAGGGTGGAGTAAACTGTAAATTCAATGATGAGTGTCCTTATAAGAGAGATAAAGGGAAGACACAGAGACATAGAAGTCCATGTGAATAGAAAGACAGAAATTGAAGTGATACAGCTATTAATACAAGCTAAAGAATATCCGAAGAATATCTAATAACACAAGCCAAAGAATATCTAGGATTGCTGGGAGTTACCAGAAAGTAGGAAAAGGAAAGAATGAATTCTTCTCCAGAGACTACAGAGCAGGAACAGACCTGCTGACATTTGTATTTCAGACTTGTAGCTTCCAGAACAATAAGAAAACAAATTTATGTAATTATAAGTCACCAAATTTGTGGTAATTATTTACTGCAGTCCTAGGAAATTAATACATTATTAATAATTCCCCTTTTCAGTCTCAAAAGTGTCCCAGTTTGGATAATAAATTATATGGTCACCCTTAGTCCCTAGGAGTTCTCATTCCATAAACTTCTCAGGAATTTCCTTCAGACATCAGTCAATACCTATAACCCACTTATAATAAAATAACTGTGGTGTATTAAAACTTGTCTATTTACACTTGACATAACTTTTGTTGATCTTTACAGATTAGTCTACATTTTCTGCAGCTCCTTGGTTCTTCTGGCCCCATTTTCATAGACACAGTTCTTTGTAAACTTGCATAGTAGATATTCTATCTGTAGCTTTTAAAAAGCACTTCCAAGCATAGACATGCATTGCTTAGGAATGAGGATATCTTCTGAGAAATATGCTGTTAAGTCATTCTGTCCTTGAGCAAAAACACTTAAGCTATATGATATGGCCTATTGTTCCTAGGCTACAAGCCTATACAGCATGTTACTGTACTGAATATTGTAGGCAATTGTAACACGATAGTAAAAAAAATGTGTATCTATATATATCTAATCATAGAAAAGGTAAAGCTATGGTATAAAATGGTAGACTTCTACAAGGCAGCTCCATTATAATCTTATGAGATTACTGTCGTATATGGAGTTCATAGTTGACTGAAATGTTGTTATGCAGTGTATGACTATGTTTTTTTTTTTAATTTTTTTTGAAATGGAGTTTCGCTCTTGTTGCCCAGGCTGGAGTGCAATGGTGTGATCTCGGCTTACTGCAACCTCCGCCTCCCGGGTTCAAGCGATTCTTTTGCCTCAGCCTCCTATGCATGACTATGTTTTCTTGGGTCTTGAATCCTTGTGGAGAAGTCATTTTATTTACTCTCTGAAATTTTACCTCTCTTTCTTTGAAGATATCCTTGCAGCTCAAGTCACTGTCTCTGATCAAATAAAAATATTTCTTTTGGTAGTTGGAGTGGCAGAACAAAATGGTAAAATAGAAAGCTCCTCCAATCATCTCTCCTGCAAGGACACTAAGTTAACAACTATCCATATGGAAAAAACACCTTCACGAGAACCAAAAATCAGGTGAGCACTCATAATACCTGGTTTTAACTTACTATCGCTAAAGGAGGCACTGAAGAGTTAGAAAAAACAACCTGAATTGCTGATGCTACACCTCCCCTATCAACACCCCCACACTCCCTAACCCCCCACCCCCGACGCCCCGCCTCAGCAGCATGGTGTAGGGAGCCTCTCTGGGCACTGGGGAAGGGAGAACCCAGCAATTGTGAGGCATTGAACTCAGCGCTGTTTCTGTTACAGCAGAAAGGAAAACCAGAGCAAATTCAGTTGACTCCCACCCACAGAGGGAGGATTTCAACCAGCCCTAGACAGAGGGGAATCGCAGATTCCAGAGGTCTAATCTTGAGTGCCCACAAACCTGACCATCAACAGCCAAAGTGCTCTCAGTCTCCAAGTAAACTTGAAAGGTAGTCTAGGTCGTAAGACCTGCAAATCTTAGGCAAGTTGTAGGGCTGAACTATGCCCAGAGAGAGTGGACTTTTGGGGGCACACAACATACTAAGACACCAGCTGGGGAAGCCCAAAGGAGTGCTGGCATCACCCCTTTCCTAATCCTAGGCTGCACAGCTGGTAGCTCCAAAAGAGACTCCTTCCTTCAGCTTGATGAGAGGAGAGGGAAGAATAGGGAGGACTTTGTCTTGCCTCCTGGAAACAGCTCAGCCACAGCAGGATAATGTACTGGTCGGAGTCATGAGGCCTCCATTCCAGGCCCTAGCTCCCAGATGGCATTTCTAGAAACACCCTAGTTCAGAAGGGAATCTGCTGCCTTGAACCCCCTGGGTTATGCTGCTAACTAAAGAGCGCTTGGGCCCTGAGTAACGAGCAGCAATACCCAGGTACTACACTGAGGGACTTGGTGAGCCTCTGAGACTTGCTGGCTTCAGGTGAGACTCAGCACATTACCAGCCATGGTGGCTATGGTGCAAAAGTCTTTATGCTTGAGAAAAGCAGAGAGAAAAGAAAAGGGGACTTTGTCTTGCACCTTAGGTACCAAGACTGCCACAGGTAGGTAGAGCACCAAGCGGGCTCTTGGGGTTCCTGATTCCAGGACTTGACCCTTGGATGGCATTTCTTGACCTGCCTTGGGTCAGAGGGGCACCCACTGCCCTAAAGTATAAGTCCCAGGCCAGACAGCATTTACCACAAACTGACTTAAGAGACCTTGGGCTTTAAGGGAACATCAGTGGCAGTCTGGCAGTACTCCTGGCCAGAGGCAGTGTTGGCTATGGGGTGAGTCTCCTTTGCCTTTGGAAAGGGGAGAGAAGAGTGGAAATGGCTACATCTCCTGGTTTGAGTGCCAGTTTAGCTGCAATACAATATAATACCAGGTATACTTCTAAAGTTTTTGACTTTTGTCCTTGACTCCCAGAGGGTACTTCTAGACCCACTCAGGGCCAGCAGGAGCTTGCCACCCTGAAGGGAAGAACACAGGCCTGGCTGGCCTTGCCACCTGCTGATCGTAGAGACCCAGGGCCTGTAGCAAACATTGGCAATAGCCAGGGAGTGGTTACAGCAGGCCTTGGGCAAGACCGAGCTCTGTGCTGGTTTCAGGTCAGTCAGTCATAGTGATGGTGGCCACTTGTGTCACTCCACCCCCAGATGTAGGTTTTCAAGAAAAGAGAGAGAGACTGTATGTTTGGGAGAAAGTAAGGGAAGAGAAGAGTCTCTGCCTGGTAATCCAAAGAATTCTGTCGGATCTTGTCCAAGACTATCAAGGTGATTCCTCTACAAGTCTACAAGAACTAGGACATTACTGAGCTTGGGGTGCCCCATAAAGTAGAAACATCTTAGATTACGATATCGAAGTCCTTTCAAATATCTGGAAAGCCTTCCCAAGAAGGATGGCTACAAATAAGCCCAGGCAGTGAAGACTACGATAAATGCCCTAACTCTTCAGTGCCCAGACACCAGAGAACATCTACTAGCATCAACACCATCCTGGAAAACATGACCTTACTAAGTGAAATAAATAATGCACCAGAAATCAACCCTGGAGGAACAGAAATATGTGACTTTTCAGTTAGAGAATTCAAAATAGCTGTGTTGAGGAAACTCAAAGAAATTCAAGATAACAATGAAAGAATTCAGAATTATATCAGATGAGTTTAACAAAGAGATTGAAACATTTAAAAAGAATCAATCAGAAATTCTGGAGGTGAAAAATGCAATTGGCATACTGAAAAATCCATCAGAGTCCTTTCACAGCAGAATATATCAAGCAGAAGAAAGAATAGGTGAGCTTGAAGACAGTCTATTTGAAAATATACAGAGGAGATGAAAGAAAACAATGAAGCATGTCTACAGAATCTAGAAAATAGGCTCTAAAGGTTAAATCCAAGAGTTGTTGGCCTTAAAGAGGAGGTAGAGAAACAGATAAGGGTAGAAAATTTATTAAAAGGGATAATGGCAGAGAACTTCCTAAGCCTAGAGGAAGATATCAATATCCAAGTAAAAGTAGGTTCTAGAACACTGAGGAGATTTAACACAAAGCAGACTACCTCAAGGCATTCAATAATAAAACTCCCAAAGATCAAGGATAAAGAAAGAATCCTAAAAGCAGTAATAGAAAGGAAACAAATAATAAATAATGGAGCTCCAGTATGTCTGGTAGCAGACTTTTCTCTGGAAATTTTACAGGCCAGGAGAGAGTGACAAGATATATTTAAAGTGCTGAAGGAAAAATAAATAACTTACCCTAGCATAGTGTATCTTGTGAAAATATTTTTTAATCATGAAGAAGTAATAAAGACATCCCCAGACAAACAAAAGCTGAGGAATTTCATCAATACTAGACCTGTCCTACAAGAAATGCTAAAGGGAATAGTTCAATCAGAAAGAAAAGGATATTAATGAGCAATAAATAATTACCTGAAGGTACAAAACTCACTCATAATAATAAGTATGCAGAAAAACACAGAATATTATAGTACTATAACTGTGGTGTATAAACTACTCTTATCCTAAATAGAAAGACGAAAGACGAACCAATCCAAAACAATAACTACAACAACTTTTCAAGACATAGTCAGTACAGTAATATATAAATAGAAAAAACAAAATGTTAAAAAGCAGGGTACAAAGGTAAGGTGAGTTTTAATAGTTTTCTTTTTGCTTCTTTATGCAAATAGTGTTAAGTTGTTATCGGTTAAAATAACGGGTTATAAGATAGTTATTTGCAAGCCTCATGGTAACCTCAAACCAAAAAAAAAAAAATACAATGGATACACAAAAAATATAAAGCAAGAAACTAAATAATATCACCAGAGAAAATTATCTTCACTAGAGGAAGACAAGAATGAAGGAATAAGTCCTTACTTATGATTAATAACATTGAATGTAAATGGACTAAACACTCCAATCAAAAGACATAGTTCGATGTTTCTTTGCTGATTTTCTGTCTGAGGGACCTCTCCAATGCTGAAAGTGGGGTGTTGTTCCCAGCTATTGTTGTTTTGAGGCCTATATCTCTCTTTAGCCCTAACAATGTTTCCTGTATGTATCTGGGTACTCCATTGTTGGGTGCATATATATGTAAAATTGTTATATTCTCTTGAAGAATTGATCTCTTTATCATTATACAGTGATCTTCTCTGTCATGTCTTACAGTTTTTATATTGGAAACCCTCCTCTAACCTGTGAAATTCCTGTTCCTCTTTACCTTTACCTACTCTTTGCTCCCTGATGTGTTCTGGGAACTCAGAGCAGTGCCTGGCACTTAGTGAGTCCTCATCAAATATTTGTGCATTTGAATGAATGAATGTCGATATAGTCCCTGCTAAAGCCAATTTGTGCCCATAAAAACAGTCAAAGGAACTTGCAGAGGTCCCACAGCTCATACTTATTAAAAAACAGCTGCATAATCACCATGGAAGCTATTATGAATTACCAACATAAAATAAACAGAGAAGCTTGAGTTTATGAAACACTGAAGCTTAAAGTCTCATCTTCCTGCCCTGATTCAACCAATATCCATCATGTCTCCATGGATTCCATGAACTATCTCAGTCTCTAAATATCAGTGCTAATAACTATCTATCAAGGTTCCCAGTTGATTCACTAATTGGAAGTTTTATGAAACAATAAATAACACTTCTCTCTTGCCTCTCTAGGTTCAGAAATAAGGAATAGATAAATAGATGACTCAGATGAACGTCAAAATATTAACTTTATTTATGATATATGATAGAGGAGAAAATAGCTGTATCTATGGCCATAATCAGGTTTCCTGTACCCTACATTCCTTTTTATTTGTTCATTAATAAAATCTAACACAACTCTGTGAGTCAATTTAAGACTTTAAAGTACTGAGTCCTGAGGAAAGAAGTTTTATGTTCTTGCATGTGGAGAGGGAAATCAATTGAAACTAAAGATGAATTTTTTTTATTGCTAGCTTTCATGATAGGGACAATTGTAAGTCAAGAACAAGTTCCTAAGAGTTAGAGTTTTCATAGATTCCTAGGCTGATATAGGCCGACATATTTCATCAAATAAGGGCTCCTTGTAAACTCTTTATGATCTTGATTTTTTTTTTTTTACTTTTATGTGGTCTCCAAAAGGGAGAAAAGGAAAGATAAAACTCCTATCAATTCTACAACTAATTATTTTCTCCTGTTCTGCCTTCTCATTCCTCTTTCTTTCCTATTCCTCCTCCTTTTCATTCCCCTCTCTTTTTGCAGTTTTCTTTTATAACCTGAAAAAAATGAGGATAAAATCTTGGGCTACTTGAATTTTTCTCTTCTCTCCTTCCCACATTTCTCCTTCTTCTCTGCTTAGATTTTGGGTAGCTTTCACTTATTCCACATCCCATGAGCCCGGATGTTTTAAAGTTAGTTGCAAAGGATTACATTTTCTTGCTTCTCATCATCTTATCTTAGGATGATAAATCCTAAAATTCTTGAGGCCACAAATTGCTAATTTCCATAAACAAAGACTAGGAAAAACATATCACAGTCATTTTGATAGCAATGGTCACAAAAGCAGCAAATACTCTTTGTCACCCCCTCTGTAGCTGACTACTGATTCAGATGCCATTGGTCCATGAAATTATTTAAGATTCAGTACCAAAGCATAAGCACAGTCAATGTTTCTAGATATGCCGTTGCTATAAAGACATTCAGGGTTTTAAATTTAAACATTTATGAAATATCCCAAATATTTCAGGGTTTCTATGGTATCAGTGGTGATATTTATGTTATTGACATTCACAGATTAGGAAAACTTTATTTTAAAATATAAACCCTACTTTGACATAGCTTTATCATTATCATCTGAGCAAGAGAAAGGACTATTACATGAATGTCCACCTGATCCTCACCTTGTATTTAAATCTCCATTCCAACCATAGGCTTAAAATTATGCATTGATCCATCTCTTTCTCATTGACCATTTTAAAACTATAGAACAGAGGTGACAGAGGCAATACCTTCAGTAATCAGGGAGGTAATATAGAGTGGCATTTGGATATAAGAAAACAGTAGAGAAAAGGTGATAATGAATAGCAAGTCAACTACAGTGTCAGAGAACAGTAGGGAGTGGCAGAGGTCGTGGTAAATTGGGACACATATGCCGTGTTTAAAGGGAGCAGATCTCTTGCTTTTTTGCTGACTCTTGAGAATATACTCATGCATTGCCAGATTTTCCAACTTTTCTGGACCTAGAATTCAGATATTGATGTGAAATATTTTATTCTCCTAAATGCTAGAAACTTATTAAAACCTCTTAACAGAGCTGTGTAGAACAAAAAATATCTGAAGAGTGGAATTGGCTCATGGACTAGCTATAGCTTTGTTTTAAAAAAAATTGAAGCCCAATATCTCTGACAATTCTGTTTCTGTGCTCCAAGGCTGTCCTTGGACTCCTTGGACTCCTAGCTAATGGAGGAGTGGAAAATGGAGAGAATAAGATTTAATGGAGACCTACTAAGAACCAGGCAAAGCACAAATTACCTCAGTACCATCTAATGTTGGTTGAGTACCTATTTCATGCCAGACACTAGGTAAAATTTGTGGGGTATACCAGTGAACAAGGATAAAAGCCCTAATCTCATTGAGCTCATTCTACCTACAGCTCTCTTATCGAATAACTCTATAACCTTGATGGAAAGAAGTACTATTATCATCAATGTTTAAATGGGCCAAAAATGATGGAAAACATGTTTGGACCTGGATCTTTGAGTCTTCAAATCCTCATTTATTTCCACTATTCCATATTCCTTGCTAGTTCCCAAGAAATTCAGAATGAGGAGATGGATAAATAGCTCTCACAATAAATTCCTTATCTGTATATTAAGAGAATGGGGTCCCACTGAGTTCCAAATTACATCTCACAATTATATGTATTTTAATTTTTATGGATACATAATAGGTGTATATATTTTTGGGGTACATGAGCTATTTTGATACAGTCATACAATGCTTCATAATCATACAAGGGGAAATAGGATATCCACCACCTCAAGCATTTATCATTTCTTTGTGTTGCAAACATTCCAATTATATTCTTTTGGTTATTTTTAAATGTACAATAAATTTTTGTTGACTCTAAGAACCCTGTTATGCTATCAAAGACTAGATCTACTAGATCTTATTCATTCTATCTAACTATAGTTGTATACCCATTAACCATTTTCCCTTGCTGCTCCCACTACTTTTCCCAGCCTCTGGTAACCATCCTTCTACTCTATCTCCATAAGTTCAATTGTTTTAATTTTTAGCTTCAACAAATGAGTGAGAACATGTAAAGTTTATCTTTCTGTGCCTGGCTTACTTCACTTAACATAATGTCCTCCAGTTCCATTTATGTTGTTGCAAATGATGGGATCTCATTCTTTTTTATAGTTGAAGAGTATTCTGCATTAGGCCTTTTTTGCACTGCTATAAAGAAACACCTGAGGCTTGGTAATTTATAAAGAAAAGAGGTTTAACTGGCTTACAGTTTTTTAGTCTTTATAGGAAGCACAGCTTCAGCATCTGCTCAGCTTCTGGGAAGGCCTCAGTGAGCTTTTACTCATGGCAGAAAGCAAAGGGGGAGCAGGCATCTCATATAGCAGAACAGGAACGAGAGAGTGGGGTAGGTGCCACATACTTTGAAGAACTAGATCTCATGAGAACTCACTCACTACCATGGGGATAACACCAAGCCATGAGGGATTCACCCCCATGATCAAAAAACCTCCCACATAGCTCCACCTCCAACACTGGAGATTACATTTCAACATGAGATTTGAGTGGGGACAAATATCCAAACTATATTATTCCATCCCTGGACTCCCCCAGATCCCATGTCCTTCTCACATTGCAAAATATAATCATGCCTTCCCAACAGTCCCCCCAAAGTCTTAACTCATTCTGGTATTTACTCAAAAATCTAAAGTCCCAAGGGTCATCTGGAAGTGAGTTTCTTCCACCTATGAGATATAAAATCAAAACAAGTTTACCTCCAAGATACAATGGGGTTGTAGGCATTGGCTAAACATTCCCATTCCAGGGGAAATTAGACAAAAGAAAGGAACTATAGGCCCCATGCAAGTTCAAAACCCAGCAGGGCAGTCATTAAATCTCAAAGCTTCAAAATAATCTCCTTTGACTCCATGCCCAACATCCTGGGCACACTGGTGCAAGAATGCCAGTGCATCCTTAGGCTCCTAAGGCCTTGGACAGCTCCATCTTTGTATCTCTGCAGGGTTCAGCCCCCATGGCTGCTGTCACTGGTTGGCATTGAATGCCTATGGCTTTTCCAGGTGCAGGGTACAAGCTACTCGTGGATATACCCTTCTGGGGTCTGGGGGACAGTGGTCCCCTTCTTGCAGCTCCACTAGGTAGTACTGCAGTGAGGAATCTGTGTGAGGCCTCCAATCTCACATTTCCCTTTGGCACTGCCCTAGTAGAGGTTCTTTGTGAGGATTCTGCCCCTTCAGTAGGCTTTGCCTGGGCACCCAGTCTTTCTTATACATTCTCTGAAATCTAGGCAGAGGCTGCCAAACCCCCCTTACTCTTGTACTCTGTGCACTTGCAGGCTTAATACCATGTGGTTTTCAACTTGCATGATCTGAAGCAGCAGCCTAAGCTGTAACTGGGACACTTTGTGCTGAGGCTAGAGTGAGAGTGGCTGAGATGTGGGGAGCAGTGTTCTGAGACTGTGCAGAGCAGTGGGGCCCTGGGCTTGGCTCCTGACATCAGTAGGTTATCCTGGGCCTCTGGGCCTGTGATGGGAGTGGCTGTCCCAGAGATCTCTGAAATGCCTTCAAGGCCTTTTCCCCATAGTCTTGGCTATCTGCACCTGGCTCCCATTTAGTTATGCAAATTTCTTTAGCAAGTGATTGCTCCACAGCCTGCTTAAATTCTTTTCCTGAAAAAGCTTTTTCTTTCTCTGCCCACTTGGCCAGGTTACAAATTTTCCAAACTTTTACACACTGCTTCCCCTTTAAATATAAGTTCCAACTTTAAGTCAGCTATTTTCTCCCACATCTGATCATAGGTTGCTAGAAGCAGACACGCCACATCTTGAATGCTTTGCTACTTAGAAATTTCTTCTGCCAGATATTCTAGGTCATCATTCTTAAGTTCAAACTTCTGCAGATCCCTAGGGCATGAATACAATGCAGCCAAGTTCTTTGCTAAGACATAACAAAGATGACTTTTGCCCCAATTCCCAATAAGTTCCTAATTTCTATCTGAGACTTGTCAGCTTGGACTTCACTGTCCATATCACTATCAGCATTTTGGTCATAACCATTTAACCAGTCTCTAAGAACTTCCAAACTTTCCCTCATCTTCTTATCATCTTCTGAGCCCTCCAAACTCTTCCAACTGGAACCTATTACTGTTATCCAAAGTCAATTCCACATTTTCAGGTATCTTTATAGTAATGCCCCACTCCTCAATACCAAGTTTCTGTATTAGGTCATTCTTGCATTGCTATAAAGAAATATCTGAGGCTTGGTAATTTATTTTTTTTTTAAAAGAGAGGTTTTATTGGCTCATAGTTCTGTAGGCTTTACAGAAAGCAAAGTACCAGTGTCTGCTCTGTTTCTAGGGAGGCTTCAGGGAGCTTTTACTCAGGGAAGAGTGCAAAGGGGGAACAGGCATCTCACATGGCAGAGTGGAAACAAGAGAGAGTGGGGGAGGTGCCACATATTTAAAAAATCAGATCTCATGAGAACACAGTCACTAACATGAGGACAGCACCAAGCCACGAGAGATTCATCCTTATGACTCAAACACCTTCCCACCAGGCCCCATCTCCAACACTGGGGATTACATATCAACATGAGGCTTGGTGGGGACAAATATCCAAACTATAGCATGTTTCATTCACAATTGAAATAGTAGTAGTAATGTCTGAACCCATTTGATAACATTTGGTCTTATTTGGGCACTGTGCTAAGTGCTTTTCATATATTAATTCTTACAACAATGAGTTAAGTAACAGCTATTATACTCTTTTTAGAGATAAGGTAACCGAGGCTTAAAGAGAATGGAATATGTATTCACAGTGTCACAGATAACAAATAGTTGATATCCAATTCAAGCCCAGATCTGTCCTGATCCAAAGCTATGCTCCAAAGCCCCTCCCTACTCTGACTACAAGAATTCACCTCTTTTGAGATCAGTGGAGAAAAGGAAGTAAAAAGCTAGCCACTAGACAGCTAGTTTAACACTCTGTTCTATCAATATCCATCGGCAGGAAACCAATGGCAAATATAATTTCTGAAGGAGTGTGGTCAGGGATTTTAGCTCATCCCTGCTCAGATGTAAAAATTTAACAGCAGGAAAACAAAATCCATATTCTTCCTATCCCCAGTCTTTAGCATTGCTCACAGGCTGCTTTAGTGGATTTGGCTATTATCCATCACTGTGTATTCTCTTACTGTTAGAGGCAGCTGTCTCAAGAAATTCTGTAGGCCACCTAGATATCAAAATAAAAACATGCTAAGCCAAATATAAATGGGAGAAGTCATGACATAAACTAGTTGCATTAGGGTAATCAATTCTTGGCATGATATACTCAGAGCTAACATTCATTAAAAAATAATTACCTCTCTGATTTGTGGGAAGCTAGCAAAATATTTACAAATAAATAGCTCTTCCTCTTCAAGTATTTATGAACAGGTATTGAGTTCTATAGATTATATATAATGAGCTTTTTAATTTCTCTTGCAAACTTGTTACTTGCTTTTTTTTTTTTTTTTCTTTTCTTGGTCCATTCACCTGATCATTCAAATGAGAACACTGAGTTTTCTTTAGCTCATTCCTTCATCAGGCCCCATGTTTCACTAATCATCAAAGCCTATCCTATTCCACTTCTGAAAATTTTCAGAAATTGCGTTCTTCTTCAGTCCCACTGCCTTTGCCATTGATTAGATTTTTTTGGAATCATTTGCTTGGACAACCATGATAGCCTCTGTACTAGTTTCCTTTTTTCCATTTGTTTCAACATTGCTGGTTTTAAAACATCTTAGATTATAATTCTGTTCTATCAAAACCCTTAGAGAGTGCCTTATTATCTGCAGAATAAAGTTCAAGCCTCTTTAAATAATGTTTAAGATCATTTATGTATTCAAACATTTATTAAGCTTCTACAGTTTATTCTGGGGGAAAGAGGAGTGACAAAGGGTATTTCCTGCCATCAAAGGAACCCACCTAGAGTCTTGTAAATGACATATGATTGTAAAAACAAATGCGGTAAAGTGTAATGGGTGTTTCTTACAAATTGAGAAGGTATAAGGTTGTAATGAAAAAGTAGTTCATTATTTCCTATAGGGTACATCTGTTGGCGGGCTTCCTAGTATGCAGTCTCTACTTTCCCATAATCCCAGATTGTGGTACTCTTAGCTTTAGGAATGGAAGATGTAATATAGGCTAAGCCAACATGTTTTTCTAGCCCCTGAACCCAGTTCACAGTTCAAGGGTGGACATGTGAACTAAAGTAGTCAAAAAAAAAAAGAAAAGAAAAAAAGAAAAGTGTCAGGACTTTTGCAGGAAAATTTACGTCAGAGATGTTCTTAGTTTCTTTCTGGACAAGGCAGCGTGATGACCCAAGAGCTGCTGGCAGCATTTGGGAAATAGGAGGGAAGCCAAGCTCAGAATAAAGCCAACGTTGTAAAAATCAGAGCAAAAAAAAAAAAAAACAAGAAATTTATCTTTGATGTGAGTGTTAAGCTGAGAGCTCAAGTATTGCTTAAATTCTGCCCTAATTCTGAACTTTTTAGTTAGGTAAGCCAATACATTCTTTTTATTTTTTTAAATGCAAGATTACATATGGTTTTGACCCAGTTTTAAATTTCTCTTCACTAAGAAATTGTTGGGAACCACAATTCTCGGGGCTGAAGAAAGGCCCTTATCTGATCTAGATTCTTCCCTATGAAGCCTATATTATTCCAGTCAACTGTGTTCCTATATTTTGAAATGATTGCTCTTGACTTCAGGGCTCCTATTAAGTCTCCCTCTCTCTCTCTCTTTGCTTAAGCATTTGCTCATTTAGATGATTTATGCTGGTCGTGCCTCCCCAAAATCAATTTCTCATAATTTAATTTTGGTAGACTACCCCAGTCCTATTCTCAGCCTGTATAGTCTAAATGTTTCTAACTGTACCCCACGGTTCCAGGGGTGGACACAAGGCCCATGCTGAGCCAATAAGCTTACTGTGTTTAACTGGTTACAAATATTAGTTTAGTAGAGGACATGTGGTCAAGCCTGTTGAATCCAAATGAATAAGCACCACATCTAAGATGTCATTCAGAGCCAGGGTCCAATCAGGAAATTAAAACGTGATAATTTGAACAAGAAGATTTGTTACAAAAATTATTGATGACTCAGCACTTGGGGAGGCTGAGATGGGCGGATCACGAGGTCAGGAGTTCAAGATCAGCCTGACCAACATGGTGAAACCCTGTCTCTACCAAAAATAGAAAAATTAGCCTGGTGTGGTGGCTTGTGCCTGTAATCCCAGCTACTCAGGAGACTGAGGCAGGAGAATCACTTGAACCCGGGAGGCAGAGGTTGCAGTGAGCTGAGATTGTGCCACTGTACTCCAGCCTGGGCAACAGAGCAAGACTCTGTCTCAAAAAAAAAAAAAATTATTGATGACTTACCAGGAATTAACTAGGAATAGATAAAAGGGTAATCTAAAGAATGCCATGGGGCTGAGGGAGAGTATCCAATGAAGGAAAAAACTTGGAAGATGGGAAATTCTTCCCAAAGATTCCTCACTGCTGGGAAGCCACCCGAGGGAAGGAGTTTCACTAGGTATCTTGCAGGCCAGCCCAGCACCATGGGAGTAAGCAAAGCCAAGCATGCTGCAACCAGGAAGAGCAGCCTCTTCCCTCTCCAGGGTCCCTTCAGCACCTTCTACTGACCAAGCTTAGCATCATTCCTGTTGGCAAAAGGAACATGTTTCAGTATCACAAGAAGTGCAATAAAGGGTGGATTTGGGGCTGAGAGGCAAAACATTGGTAACTGGCACATCTGAGATTTTTATTTTAATACTAGGAAAAAGAAGCTGTCTGCTATCCACTGATGTACACTTAAGGGCAAGATGGTGGCCATCGTGCAATCAGGAGATGGAAGCATATCTTAGAATAAAGCTAGCATAGGTGAAAAGGACAGCTGAGAGATTGATAGAGGAAAGTTGGTGACAATATTGCCTGGCTCTAGCAATGCCTTTAATACACACTACTTGAACTTTTTAGTTATAAAAGCCAATAAATTCTTTTCTTACTAAACCAGTTTGAGTTGAATTTAAGTGTCTTATAGTCTAAGGCGCTGTGAGCAAATCTCTAATAAATATTTAAGCATTGAGCTTAGGCTAGTGTTGTATCTCTAATATGCATGTATTGTTTCTCATTCTTTGTCCTTGCATTCGTAATTCATGTGATAAATTGATCTAGGCTCCAATTGATCTGAAAGCTCCCTTAGTGTGGAGAGCCTTCTTAAACATAAAACTGATGCTACATTTGCACAGCACTATACACTCCTTATGTAACATCTTTCAGTAGTCTGTGTAATGCCCTTTGCAGGTGTATCTCAGGCTGTTATGTTTTAATCATTTCATTAACAGTATCATATTAATTACCATGGAACAAATGAGATTGAGAGGAGTTAAGTGACATGGTAAAGTAACAAAGCTCTCCATGAGAGAATGGGGGAGTTGAGAGCCATAGCATTCAGTTATCCGATTTGGGGCAATTTTTTTTCTGGATGAAGTCTTTAGAGTGAGCCAAAAAAACTAAGCAAACCCAACATATTATCTGCCCTTTTGTGAACTGAATTATTTTAATGTGAAAGATGAATGAATAGCTGTAATATTGTCCCATAAACTTAAACGTTCACAATTTAAGAAATTGAATTGGTTTTGATTGGTGCTTTTCTCAACTGCTTCTGAAAGGTAATTTGCTTGAGAATCAAAAAAGAGAGGAGAGAATTTTGTTGAACACACAGAGGAGTGGTTTTCTTGTGAACCATTAGCTTTGCTCATGATCAACCGACACTGAGTTATATCAATAGCAGTCACTCATGTAGTCTGACAGGAGAGGGATTGCCTGATGGAGAACATTTCCAAACATGTGATAGACCAGAAACTGCTCTCAAATGACCTGGCTCTGTTCCCAGAGATGACAGCCCCTATTATATATATATCTTTGTTAAGAAATATTTCTGGATTGCCCGTACTTCTGCAAATTTAATTTAAGTTAGAAGACTGTTGCAGAAGAATAGAACTTGGTATTGGAAAAAGAAATAGAATTAAAATGCCCTTCTCATTGGCTTTGATAATTTTTAATGTTTTTCTCCTTGAAACTTTGGCCTTAGTAGGATTTGGGTATGAGAAAGGAGGACAAAAAAGGAGAAAAAAGAAGAAAGTATGGGAGAAGAAAGAGTTATTAAGGAATATTCATTATAAGTTATAAACTTGACACAATAAAGAGAATTGAACGAACTCTTTTTCCCTAATACCTTTCTATTTTTAGAAAGAGAATCAGGGTGGGAATCTAAGAAAACATTCATCCTGAGAATTTCAGACACATTATTGGAAGTCTTTCCTGAGGGATTCTAGACCTCCTAGAAAAAGAATATGTGTATGTTGTCAAGACTCCAGAAGTTAAGCCCAAAACTCTCTGGTAGGAGATAAGTAGTTTTACCAACCTGTGGGAAGAGTAAATTCACATTTCCTCAGAGGTCAGAAAATTCTGCAAAAACAGACAGTGGTCCAAAAGATAGGAAAATGATATATCTGAATATGGTACTAGTGTTTCTTACAAGCACAGACACTTAGTGAACATATTCTAAATTCCTGGAAAAGGGGGATTTTTAAACTGGAAGAATCAGTTGGCCTGTGGAAGACCAAAAAGAACGATAATCACTGACAAAGCCTACTCATCCAAGAAAGATCAAAATAACTCTGCTAAGTTTGTTTCTAACATCTGAAAACTGGAAATAGCCCACCTGTTCATTATTAGACAAATGGATAAAAGTATTGTGGTATATCCAAACAATGGAATACTATTCAGCAGCCAAAACAAATGAACTAGTTTAACATTCAACGATATGGGTAAACCTCCAAGTAATTTTGCCAAGTGAAGGAAAGCAGACAAAAAAAGAGTACATACTATATGATTTAGTATATTTAAAACTCGAGGAATGCAAAGAAATCTGTAGTGACAAAGCAGATCACATCGCTTGGGTATAGGAGGAGGGTAAGGAAGGATGGGAAGGGGAAATTTCAAAGAAGTACAAAGAAATTTGTGGGAGGGGTAATGTGTATGTTCACTGTCTTAATTGTGGTGATGACTTTACAGGTAAATTTTGTATGTCAATTATACCTCAGCAAAACTATTAAATTAAAAATCTGCTCACTTCTTGGCCAGAACAATTACATTTGACTGTGAGAAGTTCTGGGAAAGAAAATTGCTTCCCAACTTCAGGAATAAGATGTGTTTCATGGAGATGATGTTTCTGAGAACATCAGAGTGGAGCATCAGCTGTGAAATAGCCATAGAAAACCTATAATAGCTTCCAAGATGGAAGCCATTGATTTTGGAATCTTAACAATGAGATCAAGTGAGAGTTTGGAGCTAAGCCAACTAACTTTGCTACTAACATCCAAGTCTTCGATTGTAGCTATAACTTCAATTGCAGTGGGGATTAGGCAAAGATTTCACAAGGAATATTACAAAGGGTAAACATGGACTTGGCATGTTATTGCCATCAGACTGAGATGCCAGGAAGAGGCTGAAGGACATGAAGATCAATGTCATTGTTCTGGACTAATACCTACATTTGTTCTGGTGAAGTCCACAGACAACCAGGCCTATTTCTTTGTCCGCGTTTGTATTGAGAAGGCATTAACAACCAGGATTTTGTTGGCTCAGGATAGATGAAACAAAGAAGAAACATAGGCATTTCCATATCTTGCCATGTGTAGAAGAAACAAGACTTCTATGTGGCTCCAGAGGAATAAACTTAGAGTCAATGGGTAAAAACTATTGAATGGCAGCCAATGATTTAATATGAAGTCATTAATAAAATGAAATGAGCTGCTCTGTGAGACAGAAATCTCCCAGTCAGTGAGAGCATTAGAACAGAAGTTAATTACAAATATTGTTTCTACAGCTTGTGCTCCTTTAAGTTAAATTATGTGTAATGTAATTGATTGATTCAGGAACACAATCTGTGTTATAAAGACCATTATTAGTTATAACATGGTCACTAACTGTGTGTGCATAGGAAAAAAATATTGCAGAAAGCATAGTGATATACAGCTATTTTGAGTGGCTGCCTGTTTAGTTTGCATTGCATTCCTTTGTTCAGTATCTGCAATTGTAAACTGTTACGATTTTGTGCTTTTTGCAACCTAATTTGAATTATGCCAATTTTTAAAACAATGTGCCCCATAGGTGACACAAAGGTATATATTAAATTGCTGTGGATTGCCCAGTTAAATTGATTGCCTTTGCAACATGACTTTTTATAAAGTGAGATTTTTTTATCATTGCAACTATAACATCAATGTGTTATAGCCCTGTAGAAGGGTTGATTACATTGTGCAATATTAGATTAGATTTTCCAAGGTGATTGTCAACTCTTTAGTGATATGATAGTAGCAATCTTATATAGGATAATCAATGGGGATGAAGTTCCTTGTACTGATAATATTTCCCTACTCACACTTACCTCTCATATTCTCCTGAATCTCTCCCTTCTTATTATTCAATTCAGAGCCTCTAGGGGTAAATTTTGGAAGGGAAGGAATAATAGTTTGGTTTCACTCATGTTATAATTTTAGATGCTTTTTTGACACTCAAGAAACGGTGTGAGTAGGAGATCGAGTCTGGAGCAAAGAGAGGAGAGTGCCTAGTATGAGGATACGTATTTCCATGAGATTAGATGAAACTACCCAGACAGAATTTGGAGGCAGGTTGGTAGATGGAGCATCTTGGGCTTCTCTGATATTTAGAGATATACTAGAGAAGATAGGGATAAAATAGCCAGTGAGATACGAACAAATTCAGGTGAACATTGTGTCACAAAAGCCTGGAAAATAAAATATTTTCAAAATGAGGGAAAGCCACATAATTTCTGGGTTCTTCTTGCCAAAAATACATAACTGAATCTAATCATGGGGAAACAGACAAACCCAAATTGAGGGACAGTCTACAAAATGATAAATGGCCTGGAGTCTTCAAATCTATCAAGGGCATAAGAAAGACTAAGGAACTGCTCCAGGTTAAAAAGACTGAAAAGACACGACAACAAAATGCAATGTGTAATCCTTGATTGGATCCTGATAAGTAACTATTATTTTTTAAAATGTGCTATAAAGGACATTATTGGGACAATTGGCAAAATTTGGATAGGTTCTGTGGATTTGATAATATTGAATCAATGTTAATTTCTTGATTTTGATATCTATATGGTGGTTGTGTAAGAGAATGTGTTTGTTTAAAAAAAGAAGCACACAGAAGTATTTAAGGGTAAAGGGGCATAATGTCTGCAATGTATTTCCAAATAGTTCAGAAAAAAATAGTATCTATATCTAATCCACATATCTATCTCTCCATGTGTCTATCAGTAAAGAGTAAGCAAATGAGGTAAAATTTTAATTCAGGAAAACATGGGTAAAAGATGTATGATAATTAATTTGTACTATATTTTCTGCTTTTTTAAATCTGAAATAATTTAAAAATAAAATTCTTAAAATTAAAAGAAAGGAGAAAATATCAAAAATAGACACATGTCTCTGTCAATTATTCCTTTCTTGATTGAAAACTGGCTTTTCTTGGTTTCTAAAGCCCACTATATGTTGCACATATGTCTTTCAACCTTACACCTGGCATTTAATATTCTTTTTGCTTCAGAAATTTAGAACGAAGTCTCTAGACTCAAGGTGCCTTCGACCATATTTTTCCATAGATGGATTTCTAATGATCTTGGATAGAATTAAGCCCTGATGAAAGAATACTTCAGTCTGGTTTATGGGCCTATTCTGCTTGATATATAAAACTATTACATGACTTTTCTCATGAAGGAGTCCTTTGATACATTAGAACAACAATATTATTGTCACCCAACAATTTCATTCCAAGAGCCAGAGCTATATATAAGTCATAAGAATGCATTCATAAGGGTTGGAAAACACAGCTTTGTGAGATTGACAAGAAGACATTTCAGTATCAGAACAAGTGAGGTTTCTGAAGAGCATTTTGTTGGGGTCAAGAAAATGGCAGCTGGATCTGTAGGATATTCACATCGGAGCTTTTTCCCTTGAACATTTTCAGTTCTACAGAGGGCAAAAATTACATCTTTGTTTCCCTCCAATTTTCTTTGGCCTCTCAGACTTCTGAGTGATTCCTTAGTTGTCACTCATCAACAAAGACTTAACGTTTACCAGGGGACTTGACAGCAAATTCCTCAGGCCTTCAAGCCATGGATGATTAGAAAAGCCAGCATTTAGTAATTAAGCCATGAAATGAATGTGAACCACAAAATATTTGGAAGGTTATGGCAGAATATGCCTAGCAGCTGTCCAGCATGAAGGGCTTCTCTTAGAAGAAAAGCCCTTCAGTCTTCACGATATCCAGGGGACCTTTTAGCTGTGTTGCCGTTTTTCCCTAGCTGGAGATTTTCTTATACTTCTGAACAGTTAATATAAATCACAAAATTTCATAATGGTATACAGGCATCCTAGGGTTGGCTTAATATGTATCATCTAGCAATTCGCAGTACAACCTACTGGGTAACTCTGCATAAGATATTTTGATCTGTTTATGCAGCATAATGATAATGGGTTTTGTAAATTGCTTGCTTTTCCTTTTATATGATTGATTTACTGCTCAGGATTACTGAGTGGGCTCAGAGATCCATAAGTTTGGAGAAATATTAAGACTTCACCCATCTGTGTTAAAACGTGAAAATTCTAATGAATCAAGAAAATGCATTTTATATATCTAGAGCTTACACAATCACAGGACACTCATTAAAATATCTGTCTGCTGAGGCATTTGCTAGTGTTTGCTTCTGCAGTAGTATTTCCTCATGTTGAATAAAAATTGTTTATTCACAGAGAGTAATTTTTCTTCAGTTAGATTAATGGTCAGGTTTCTTCTAGTTTGGTATTCTATCAATTCAGGAAACATGTATTAAAATTAAAACAGAAGAAAATGAAAATAACAGTATGGTAGGCCCTTGTTTCACCTCACCCAAAGCTAATTTTTAAACATGTATTTCAATTTCGCTCTAATTTCCTCAATAATAACAATGAATGTTTAGCAAACAGTCGCTGTGTACCATTATGTGCACTCTGCTGAAGGTAATCAAAAAAGGATTTAATGTGGTCAACATATTTTGTTATATTCTCCACTCAATCATATCTCTCAGTTTTGTTTTTTTTTTTTAAAGAAGATGGGATGATTGGCTGGTGGAGTGAATGTAGGTGTTAACACCCACATAAAAATATACCCAAATTCCTGTCATTGTAGTCATGAATTTCAGTGACTTCTTGACTTACAGCTCTGGTAGATAAATACCCCTAAATAGTGCTCTTGATCTGATGACCAGGTAATGACAAAAAGATATTAAATTAAAAATCGTTAGCTCCTGCTAATGACATCTCTTCATGACTTTAGACTCTTGAGGTTGAAAGAAGCTTTAAAAGTTGCCATATGAGAGTTTCTTTTTTCTTGTTCTTGAATCTCTTTCTTAATCAATAATTGTCTTGACTCTGGATTGATATGCCTTGGCATTGGCAAATAATTACCTCCTAAATCTCTGTTAAAAGCTTTTTCTTATATAGACACAAATAATGTTATTATTGGTTTCCTACTGTGTGCCAAGCACTGTTTCACATAGCTTACACCCTTCGGCTCAAGTCCTAGCTCTTGGTGCCACAGAAAACCGTTTAAATTCATCTTTATGTGATGCACATTCAAGGATCTGAGGATGGCAATGGGATTCCTTTATGCACCCCATCTTCTCCAACCTGAATACTTTTCATTTGCAATTAGCCCTGGTAGTTTGACATCATCTCCTCATCATTTTTCTTGTTAATCAGTGTACCTGTAACCCAGATCTAGAGCCAAAACTGAATATGTTTCTTGTTTTAAATATAATAAATAAATTGTGTTTCCTATGATGTAACTACCCACACCCCGCCCCATTTTTGGCAGCTACTCTATTTTGTTAAAGTTGATTTATTCCAATTAGCATTTATCAAGAAACTACTATGTACCAAGTACTATTGTATGTTGAAGATAAAATACAAATCAGACATGGTTTTTGACATGACATCTATATTTGTATAAGGCCAGTGCATATGTTAAACACGTGACTAAGTATAATAAAATGTGCTTCATATGTTACCAGAAGCATCAAAATGCTCTGGCAGCATGGGAAAAAGCTTGATTCTGCATGGTTGTGCTGCTGCTGGTGGTAAAATCAAAAGGCTCATTTTGAGAGTAGCATTTGAACGGGATTGTTAAATGTTACTAGGGCATTTTCAAGGAAAGAAGACAACAGATGTATTGGAATCTTGAAATATTATAGGAAGATTAATAATAATAATAATAAAAGCAGATGTGGAAATATGAGCTATGTTTCAACAGTGGCTAATGGAATCAGGAATCAAGGACTGAGAGGAAGGAGAGGTACTGGCAGTAGAAGAGCAGGTTAGGACCAAACAGTGAATTCTGGGGAAAGGCATTTAGAGCTATGCCAAAGGTACTCATCACACAAAGTGTGGTCTGAAAATGAGCAGCACCATCACCACCAGAGAGCTTGTGAGAAATACAGAATCTCAGACCAGCTGACCTAGAATCTGCATCTTAAGAAGGTTGCCAGGTGGTTTCTGTGCTTACCGAAGTTTGAGATGCACTGCCAGAGGTGACAGACAACACTTTATGTAAGGTTTGGAGGTAAAGAAAGAAGTGAAAAGGGAATGTACATTTTTAGGGATACTGGTGTTATTTCACGTAACCCACACAATGTACTTCTATTACTGTCTCTTTACAGAAAAGAAAACTCACATCTGAGTAGGTTAATTCTATCGCCCACAGTCTTGATTTAATAAATGGTAGAGCAAGAATGTGGAGCCTGGTGTGTCTAGCTCCAAAGATTGCCTGGTTCCATTTCACGACTGAATGATTTTATCAGTTTGGGATTTTGAAAAGTTAAATGTAAGAGAGTCAATGAAGTGGGTTGAGACTGTTTTCTGTCAATTAGAAAATACCCATCATGTTCTTGTGAGGACTGAATGAGGCAGTTTATGGAAGCTGTGTGATGTATGGTGGGTAGGTGCTCAGGAGATGAAATCTGCCATTAGTAGTAACTGAACCCTAGAGTCTTTGTTGCACTCCCCTCTCCAGTATATGCTTACATAACCAAGTTCTTTATGGTCTCTTTTTCCTTTAATATTCAAATATCTACAATCTGACTTGTTGTCCTGAGTGACTGTGGAAAGTCTGGTCTTTTATTTTATCCCCCCTCCAGGCATATCGGAGAATGCCAGGGGATTGTTTACATGTTCTATGATTCCCACATGGTTTTCACTTGTCAACTGTACCAGACATCTCCTTCATATCTCCTTCCTCAGTACTGTTTCACCCTAACAATGGAACAGGCATCTCTATTAATTCCCCAAAGGACAATTAAGACCAAGGTTTGGAAAACAACAGCAGGAAACTACAACGCAGAGAATATGATTGGATTCTGAACAATAATTTTGAGTCTTTGTCCTATGGCTTTTCCCTTCCCTGACTCTTCCCTTGGCTTTGGTTTGCCTCGATGTTTCAGGGGCCACCCTCATGTCCCTCCACATGGATGCTCTGGTCGTTTCTATGCTGCTTTGAAGATAGGCTCCCAACTTTCTCTTGAGCTCAGGAAGAAGGAAAAAGAGTCCTCATTTCCCTCAATGGGGGACTTGTCTTTTGTTTTTTCTTCCCTAGGACTTGTAGAAATGAGGACATTCATGTTCTTCATGGGAAATAGCCATCTCCATTCAAAGAATGTAAACTGGCCTTCCATGTTTACATTAGGTAATCACAGTACTCACCATTTTATTTTCTGTCTGGTTAATTCAAACTAAAATGATACCTTAAGGGGGAAATTGAACAATCTTCAAAGAAAATAGTTCTTTGAAACTAACCCTCCAGCATTTCTTCTGTCAGGTCTACATGTTCCTCCTGATGTGGCTTGGTCTCCTAATCAATAAGCAGCTACTTTTAAAAGACACATGGGGGGACGGATAGCATTAGGAGATATACCTAATGCTAAATTACGAGTTAATGAGTGCAGCACACCAGCATGGCACATGCATACATATGTAACTAACCTGCACATTGTGCACATGTACCCTAAAACTTAAAGTATAATAAAAAAAAGACACATACACTTTAAGAACAAATAATATTCTTTTTAAAAGTTAATTCTTTTTATTGATACATAATAGTTGTGCATATTTATGGGGTACATGTGATATTTTGATACATGCATACAATGTGTAATGATCAAATCAGGGTAATTGAGATATCCATCACCTCAATTATCATTTCTTAAGAACACACAACCTTCTTACAGAAGGAATTCTAACATGTAAACAGAACATTTAATATCTCAGCCTGAATTAGGCCTTCCCAAGGACAGTGAGTAGATATTTGAATTATAACTGCATAGCATAATGGGCTTAGTAAGCCCACTACACTATCTCCTGGAACTGGCACATGCCATCACTCATAGAACAGGTGTGTTTATGAGGGTCTGTGTGTGTGTGTGTGTGCGTGTGTGTGTCAAAAAGAACCACAAGGTTACAGAAAAATTTAGTCTATCCAATTGCCACATTTTTTGACACCATGTTGACACAATATGTCACAGAAACTGACAGCATCCAAACATTGAAACATAGCTGTTTCTTGATTTAAAGATCATGAAATTAGAAGCACTCTGTGTTAAGGGTAGGGGGAGTGGTCTCCAAAGACAGTGCACATACACCCCAAAGACAAGCTTTATAATCACCTTGAAAGCAAAAACTTCCTATAATCCTCCAAATGGTGTGACACGCTTCAGCTCTTTGGATATGTTTTTCTCCCTGGACTGCTCTATTACCCCATGCCCTGTTGTTTGTCTTGGATACAAGATGAAGATTTTCTACTTAGACCTCTGAAAATTATTCAGGTCATGTTTAGCTACAGAATGTTTTGCTGCCTCCACCGGATGGAATCTATTTTTAAAATTTGGAGTTTGAAGGACTAAAAGGAAAGAGAAAACATGATGCTTTATTGGTTTTAAGGCAGTTGTTTTTATGTGTTTCAAGTCATACACTCTTGTGTACTTAAAAGGAATGGGACTTAGCCTCTAAGAAATGCACTTACAGATGACATTAGAGTTTAAGAGACCTAATGTATTTTTTTCAAACCTTTCCTGGACTCCCTCCATGAGGCCTCTTGGTTTAAGATTAGTTTAGACAATATTGTAGTATCTTTCAGTGAAAGAAAATATTAATAACTTTAATAAAGAGGAAGATTATATGCCTATAAAAATTAATCTCAACATTGCAACCTTGCTTCAGTCTGAGGCAAAAGAGGGCCTTCATCTGTTACCACGATGGTTTCCCAGAGGCCAATCAAGTTGTTGACCAGATTTATCTCTGTAGCAGTTAATGCTGAATGTCTGCGGTTTGAATGGCTTGTGAGTAGAAGCCATAAATCAATTGTTGGGTATTGCTCATTTTTGTGGTTTATTCTTCAAAATATAGCCAAAGACAGTAGCAATTTAGAGGATTTTGTTTCTTGGCGAATAGGTATTTCCTTTTTTACACATACATTAACTTGCCGAGTGACAGTATGTGAAAATCATTTCTGCTCTTTGAATACTTGCAGGATATTCTATCACTCTAACTGATGGAAGTTCTTCAAGGAAGCTTTTCTCACAACTTACCTTTTTCTTCTAGCAAAGGGACCATTTGTGAGTATTCTTTGAAACCTAATAGTTTGTTTTGTGTGTTGGTGTATGTATGTGTGTCTGAGAGAGAGAGAGAATTTTACAAAATTGAGTCAAACTAGGATTATTGATTTGTGAACAGTAGGATATTCTATGTTTCTCAAAATAATGGAAAAAGGTCAGCACAAAATTTGTATCACTTAGATTTTTAATAAACAAGAGAAATAATGCCAGATTTTAGAACAAGGACTCAAGTAGCGTAGACTTCAAAAGGTGCTTCTCTGAGGTGTAGGCATTTTAGAAGTCAAATTGTGAGAGGAGCCTCAAAGTGTATTTCCCTCTTAAGTGTCACCTCATTTTAAACCTTGAAGACTCAGGTTTTACCATATCCTTGATATAGGATCACTGCTTTATAAAGTGTTCAAGTAAAGTCTCAAATGTTAAATAATGTTAATACAAAATAATTCCTTAGTTCACAGAAAACTTGAGATTTTTTTTTTTACTCTGGTCCAACTCGCCAGCATATCTGACCTGGACTATAGCAGTTGACTCCTAGCTGGGTCTTCCTTTTCCTACCCTCGTCTCCCTGTCATCCATTGTCCACAAAGCAGTCACAAAGGCTGATATCAACCTTAAGACTATTCAGGACTTTATATCACACTTGGAATAAAATCCATACTCTCTCTTTTGGCCTGGGTGACTCTTCTTGATCTAGCCCTTACCTCATTCTGGGAATCCCATTTCGTACCACTTGTTCACAGTGCCTCAGCCCTACTGGCTACTCTCTAGTCTGTTTCTTGAACAAGCTAAGGCCATATTTCCTAGCACGTGCTATATCCTTGTTTACAAATGTAAATGGCTGGCTTCATCTTCTCATTTCGGTCTCTTTTCGAAGTGACTGTGTCAGAGAGGTCTTTCCTGAACATTCATTTCAAACCAGTCTTCTCCACCCTTACCTTTCATCTTTTTTTTTTTTCTTTCTGAGATGGAGTCTCACTCTGTTATCTAAGCTGGAGTGTAGCAGCACTCTCTTGGCTCACTGCAACCTCTGCCTCCTGGGTTCCAGCGATTCTCCTGCCTCAGTTTCCAGAATAACTGGAATTACAGACATGCATCACCACACCTGGTTAATTTTGTATTTTTAGTAGAGATGAAATTTTAGCATGCTGGCCAGGCTAGTCTGGAACTCCTAACCTCAAATGATCCACCTGCCTTGGCCTCCCAAAGTGTTGGGATTACAGGCATGGGACACCATGCCCGGCCCTCACCCTTCATCTTACTACCTTGCCTTATTTTCTTTACAGCACTTTTTACTGCTTAAAAATACAGAATATATTTATTTGCTTCCATGTTTATTTTTTACTTCCTTAACAGAATATAAGCTCTCTGAGGGCAAGGATTTTATCTTTTCCAGCTATAACCCTAACCTTTAATACAGTGCCTGTCACATAAACAAATACTGAAAAAAAAGCTATTTGGATTATTGAATGACTGAGAAAGCGAATTTTCAATGGGATTTCACATGCTGGATCTCTTGGCATATGGAATGTGGATGGAAGGAAAAAAACGTGTTATTCTCTGATTCACTAGGCCTTCCTTAGGGTAGGGACAAACTTAAATCTTGCTCTTCTGTGAGCAGATTTAAAAGAGAGTCAATGGAAGACAGTCTGTGATATTTAGGAACGTCTGTAATCTCCAAAGTGAGGAAAAGAAGAAGTTTCAAATGTCAGTGATAAATGTGGAGAGGGAAAACATTGGAACACAGCAGTGCATCTCTCTGGTCATACAACATGACAGAGTCGCTTCAACAATTTCATCTCTTGTGCCCAGGGAAAGGCATTGAGCTCCATATCAGATGTGAGTTCAAGTTTTGCCTTTGTTCTCATCAGCTCCTGCAAACCTAGGCAAGGCACAGATACCTGGGCCTGATTTTTCACTGGTGAAATGGGAAGGATAATGAAAGGAGAAAATAATTTTTATTAAGTCTTACTGTCTTCTAAGCCCTAAGTACATATCTGCCTGTATTATTTGGTTTAGTTCTTATGATAATCCCCCATTGCTACACCCTTCTCCACCCCAACCCTGTGCTACAGATAAAGATACTGAAACTCAAGAGGGATTTGATAATAGTAGTAATTATGAAAAGGCACACATGTAGCCAGTGACAGAGCTGGTATTAAAGCTTCATGTCAATTTGAGCTTGCAGCTCATGGTTTTAACGGCTGTGCTATGGGGTTTTCCCTTCAATATGATTGGGAGAACAAAACGAAGTCACCTTCCAGCTCTAATAAAACGTATCACACCCTCTTGTAATTGTTATGAACACATATGCCTCCTCCATCAGAGTCAAAGTTGCAAACCTGTCCATAATTCAATTCAAAGTTGCAAACGTGTCCATAATTCACCTTTGTGTCTCCATTATCTAGCACAGAGCCTGGTTCATAATAGGTATTTTTAAAAAATGTCCGTCTCTCTTTCCTGGCACCTTTCCTTGCTTTCCTTTTCTCTGGTGACAGAAATTACATTTGCCATAACCCACAGGGTCATAACAAAGACATTCCTGGGGAAGGAGTGAGAAGCAGAGCACAATCGTCAAGTCTCTTTCTTTCAACCTGCTGATAAACCACACTGCTGTTCCAACTCCTGCAAATCCAGCTTTGCCAAGAACTTTGTGTGCTTTCCACAGCAGGTTGGTGTGAATGCTATGTTTAGAACACAACCGTAAGTAGTCAGGGGTTTTAAAATTCTAGAAAGTATTGTTAGTTTTGTCCAAACACAGAGCTTGGCCTCAGTAACTTTGCAAGGTACAGGAACAAGACCCCTGCCCACACAGTGTATTTGGATTCAACAATGTTAATTTCACATAAGGGAAAAAGGGCTCTATGATTCCAGGACCAAGAGGTGGAGATTCAACAAATACTATAGGATACACAAGTTTTAGAAAATATAGGTTTTTTTTATTGCCACCTACTGTTGAAGTTATGACGGAAATAATTTATAATTCTTATTTATTTTCTTGCTTCTTTATTAAGGCCCCAAAGAGAAATGTAAACAGATGTTCTCAGCTACATGTTTTTGTTTATTAATTTTTCAAGTTTATTATTTGTGCAATACGTAATTTCTCTTTGAATCCTTTTATTTGTATAGATAGTAAATAATGATGTGAGAGTCAACACACCAGGATGAATGAATCATTCCTGGGGACTAGAGAACTGCCACTCATTTTACAGATAGAAGAGAATAAAATTTCAAGAATGTGAAATGGCATGCTTTACAACAGTAGATTGGACAGTCAGGAGCAAGGCTGAGAAACAAAGGCCAAACCTCAATAGTCTCTCATCAATTAGTAATCAGAATCAGATTTTGTGAAAGTCCATTGGAAAGAAAACAAGAAATCTGGCTAATACTTCAAATGAAAAGTATGCTTGAGGAGTATTGAATTGTTTGCCTTGGCTGCCATCTGCCTTTTAAATGGCCTTGACCCAATAGGCAGTTGGGAACCGTAAGGCTGATCTCCTACTCCCTAAGCAAATGAGACTTCACTGCAGTTAAAAGAGGTTGAGTACCAGGAAAGGAGAGGATGTGCCAAACCATTTACTTTTTTATTAATTTCACTTCTTGGCCGATAAATGGCCATTACTTTGGAAATTTAAAAAGTCATTCTGTTGTAGAAAGGTACCAATTGTAGAAAGAGGCAAATAAGTTTACTTCTTTTTATTTTCTTTTTGACGGAGTCTCGCTCTGTCACCAGGCTGGATTACAGTAGTGCGACCTCAGCTCACTGCAACCTGCACCTCCCAGGTTCAAGCGATTCCCCTGCCTCAGCCTCCCAAGTAGCTGGGATTTCAGGGGCACACCACCATGCCTGGCTAATTTTTTGTATTTTAGTAAAGACGGGTTTCACTATTTTGGCCAGGCTGGTCTTGAACTCCTGACCTCGAGATCCACCCGCTTCAGCCTCCCAAAGTGCTGGGATTACAGGAGTGAGCCCACAAGCCCAGCCAAGTTTACTTCTTTATGTCGAGATTTTCTTGTGTGATTTAAAATTGTTTATATTCTACAAATAAATATTGAGCAAGACTACCCATGAATGGAACTCTGTACAGAATTATGGGGCTGGATGGAGCCCTGGAGATTACCCAGAATGATCCCTTAATTTAACCACAGAGGAAACGAAGACTCCAGAGAAAAGAAAAAACAAAAACAAAAAATAATACCTCTTTGATGTAACATTCTCATCTAGTAGCAGGACTGTGACTTGAACCCAGCTCACTTAATTCCTAAGTAATCTCAAATTCTGTCTACCATTTGCTCCCACCATCACCATAGATTTTCAATTCCTCACCTTAGATAAGGTCACTCAGCTAGCATATTGCAAAACACAGAGGCTTTTTTTTTTTTCACTCTGAGTTCAATGGTCTTTCCACCTACCACCATCACTTTTTGTATTGGATTTTAAAATAATAATACATAAGAAAATGTAAAAAGTTACAGTGTGCCAATTGTGCCTTTTTGCCTCTAGATTCTATGCTGCAAAATATCTGAATTTCTATTCTTAGAATGAAAATATATCCTAGAAACATCAGAGGGCAAGATGAACCACAGAAAGAATCCCAAGACATTTTGCTGGTAAAACTGATTTTTTCTTAGTTGTCTCTTTTGTTCTGAAAGGGAACAACTTGAACAGTAGTCTCATTGGAAAGGAGGGCCATATAAATTATTTTTTATGAGGTACAACCCGTTTATACATAGAAACAAGAAAAGCAGATTTTGACATGGTTATTAATTACCCCAAAGCAATTTTTTAGTACTTTGACATTATTATTATTCTAAAGTCACTGTAGGAAATCACAGAAAAACTATTTCCCTTTAAAATGTACTGAGATAGTAGTTGTTTTAAAATATCTTCCAACTCTAAAAGATAGCAGTATTGCTTTACTCTAAAATTATGTCTCGATCTCTTTTGCATTTTTTCCTTAATTGTTCACTTTGTGGTAACAATTAGAATTCTGAAGAAAAGTAACCACAAGGAGATTCCTGGGGAAAAATAAATAGGAAGTTGATTCTGAAAACAGAACTCTTCTCTTGCAAAAGAGGCCATAGTTGGTGGTCCCAAACTCTTTATAGTTCCAATAAACAGACCTACACTTCAGAAAATGATCACCACCTGTAAGGTCAATGATCCCAATGACCATGAGATCATTACCACATAGAGGAAGATTTGGTTGGAATGGCATAAAAATTGAATTTATTGATAACTTAAATTCTTCCCATTATCAAAAAGGATGTGAGGTGGCATATAATAAAAGCCAGAGATGCGTAAGGGGATCAGATGAGGAACAGAAAGTCAAACCTGCTGAGGGCTATTCATTAACAGGCTAAGTGGCTGGCAGTTCTTGAGACAGCCTCTCCCACCCGATCCTTCTGAAGAGAGTTCTGATTCTTTTTGTAGGTAAATGATTGTTCATGCCAGAACATGGGAAACTTCTTTCCATCCCTCCCCACCCTCATTCTAATTTGAAGTACAACTCATATACAGTAAAATGTACAGATCATAAGTGTATAATTTGATATGATTTGACAAACGTAAGCATTCATTTGACCCAAATCCCAGTTAAAATACAGAAAATTTTCAGAAAATCCTTGTATCTACTACCTCCTAAGAAGTAATCTGTGGTGGAAGAAAATAATTTATACGTTTTTCCCAGTTACATGGCAACAATTTGGGGGCTTCCTTTAGCAGACACCAGGAGTAAAGAATATGTGAAACCATAGTGCTTTCAGTGGTCTTGGCTGATTGTTTAATAAATTTCTGAATTGTAATTATTACCGATGATATTAAATAAGCTCTGCGAATGAGATGCCATGTTCAGAATGCCTAGGACCTCAACATAAAACATTTCGTTTTCTTTCTGTGGGGCAATGGTGTTAATGTACATTAAACAGAATGGTCCCCAATGCCAAGGGTAGGAAATATTGGGAGCTACCCTTTTATGGTAAAAAAATGATTCTTCTGCTGGGTAAGCAAATAGCTCATAGCTCTCAAAGGAGGGAACTTAATTTAAGGAAGAATAAGCACTGGGGAATTAAGTTTCACAGGGGCAGCTGGGCAGAATTCTGTGTGTTTTTATAGCTGGCTCTTGAAAAGTCTTCAAGCTGGATATTTCATTCACACCATAGAGTGGCCTGGTCACATGACAGGCGTGCTGAAATTCACTCAACCAAGGTTTTGTCGAAAGGCTCCCAAATGCTGGTCTCCGGTTGATTTTAGGGCAAGCAGTTACTTAATATGCTGACTCTCTAGGGACTGAAGCAATACATAGACACCACCTACGGAATTCCACTCCCACCACTAGGCCTGTGAAAGCACTTGTTAGGGGGAAAGAGAGAGAGAGAGATTTATCCTGCTTTCTTAAATTAAAGATGCCTTTCCTATACTAGGGCCTCCTGAGAAACATGAACTTTCTTTAACTGCAGTTAGTGCCAGCAGCAAGCACCAGCAGGGGAGTTGTTTGGCTGAAACTGGGCTGAGGTGCTGCAGCTCATTTTAGATTAATAGGCTTCTCTGGTTTCATTCCCAAAGTTTCCACCAATAGATGTGGAAATTTTTCCAGTTCTAGAACCATTATCCCTACCCCTGGCTGTCTAGTATGTTTGTGTCTGCAAGAGTTGTCATTCGTTTATCTGGGACACATTGTTTTTTTTAAGGGATAAAAGATGAAAGATGAAAGGATGACAGTTTTTTTTTTTTCTTTTTCTTTTTTTGCTGAGAGAACGGTCTGACTAAAATTTTTTGGTATAGTTGAAGAAATTCCTTGTATAACTTTAAGAGTAACTTTATTATCAAGCCATTGCAACTAAGAAATGCTTAAGCCTGCCCAAGAAGTTCTTCAAGGATGTAGGTACAAAACTTTGAGGATACACTTTTGGCATTATTCATGAGGCACCATTGTGTAAGAAAACATACTAGACTGGGTGTCTGGGGGCCAGAGTTCTAATCTCAGCTTCGTCGCTAAATTGCTGTGTCACTTGCAAAGTGAGGGGGATTAGAAAGGGACATATTCTGAAGTCCTTTCCAGCTATAAATTCTTGTGGAGATAGATTACATCAAATCAGATTCAATTTCATGGGGATAGATTTAAAATTACAGGATTGGCAATAATGATGACCTGAGATTCACATCGAATTTGCCAACAGCAAATTGCATTATGAAATGTGATTTTGCATTTTTGCAATGGTAGAGTAGCTTATGCAGGCCCATCATTGTGCCTAGACATCTATAAATGCAGCATAAAACCAACCAAACAAAAAAACCCAAAACAAAAACAGCTGTTTGAAGGCTCTGAAGAGCAACCATGATTTTGAAGAAAACTGCATCATGATAATGCCAATAGTCCTAGTCAGTTTTCTCCTTGAGGCATTTACTAATTTGTAACAGGTGTAGGGCTGAGAAACCAGGCAGAAAGGTGACAGACAGCTCAAGACTTCGGCAGTCTCACTTGCCTGAGAAGACAAAAATTGGAGATCAAGGTTATTAAGTGAGCCAGAACTTGAGGGTTTAATGTCCCACAGGAAACAGAACTACGGAAACGTGAATCTAAAATTCTGTGTGCGCTTTACCCTGAAAGCATTTGCAAAATCGTAAATTGCATAAAGTGAAAGCAAGCAAGAAAAGCAGAGAGCAGCAGCTTGAAGCTAAAATATAAAGCCCAGCTTTTTAGCAGACTCACGATGCTGGTAAGACAGAATTTGAATTTCACGGCACTTCAAAGCAGGGTTCCTAGTAAGCATGTTAGGATCCTATCTGAGATGCCTGGGAAGCTTTATCCTGGGTGTAAAGCAAAACCTACAAATAGACTAGATCTCACAAAGACAGAAACTCAGGCTTGAATCATCTCAACTCCTGTTTAAATCAAGGTGATCTGCCTCTAATCTACTTGCCTGCCAGAAGAAAATCAAATTTTCTCTGAGGAAAACAGCATCTCACAGAGCCTCTGCAATATTTTAGTCACAATGCCCAGCATTCATTCAAAGTTACCAGATACGTCAGGAGACAGGACAAAATACATGTAAGCTAAGACAGAGCGAAAAATTAAAAAACAGTCAAGAGAGTGACCCGTAGGTAACCCATGTATCAAAATGATTAGGCGTGGAATTTAAAATAAATACAATATTTATGTTTAAGAAATTATGTGACAAAAATGGAAAAGCTCATCAGAGAACAGAAATCTATGAAAATGAATTAACATGTAATTCTAGAATTGAAAATTTTAATACCTGAAATTTAGAACTTAGGTGGGCTTAAGATCAAATTAGACACAGGAGAAGAAATTATTAGTGAACTGGAAAGAAAAGTAAGAAATATCCAGACTAATATACATGGAAAGTAAGAAAAAATTAAAAAGCACAGAAAAAAGCTCCTAAAGTGGAGACAGCCTCAACAGCAAAAAAGCTAAAACATGTGGCATTGACATTGAGATCAGGAAGTTTGTGGGGGCTTGAAGAACTATGAGGAGATTTTAGTGAAGACTGAAAAAGCGGTGACAAAATTCTTGGAGACTGAAAAAATGGTCATCCATGTTACACGGTGTCAAATGTTTGACAATACTCATCAATGATAATGTTGGACATAGAAAATGTATTTAGTAAACTCATGGAACCAGTGTGGGAGATTGATAGGCAGGATATTGAAAGTGTCATTGGTTTCTTTTACCTACGTATGATAAAGTACAAGAAAAGAAAGGGGAACTGAAGAAGGAACTGTTAACTTTTCAAGGAAAATTACAGAAAATACTTTAATAACTTAAGTAGCTAATAATATTTAATAATTTAAATAACTACAACCCTTTTCTCTAGACTGGATGGTATTGCCATATCAGGGCATATTCCCACTAAATGTTACCTTAAGATCAAAATCAAGTCTAGGGTGAAGCTGTAAGACACTTCATGAAGACACCAAACATGATTTAATGTGGAAGCATTTCAGATGCTCTCACTTAATGAAAAGAGATTCTAGTAATATTGGATGCGTGCTTCAAAAATCTTCTCTGCTAAACAAAAGAGCTTCTAAGTATCTTAAGAACATTGTTCCACAACACCCTAACAAAAATTATAAGATATAAAGGAGACAATATTAATGTGTTGATGTGTTTAATGAAGTGGCTTATAATTTGATAAATAAGAACCCCAATTTTAAATTTTAAAACCCACGATTTTAAAGGAGCTTTACCTGCTAGTACTGAAAGGAACACAGATGATTCAAAATGAAAAGAGGTCTCTGGGCTCCAACCTTCTCTGGACATCAAGTAAGCTGAGAAAGTTACTTAGCCGCAAACAAGGACCAGTCTTATGGAATAGTAAGGATGACTCAGAATGTAAAATTAATATCATAGAGGACAGAGTTAAGAGCCATGGAGCACTGTTCCAATGAGCAGAACTAGGCTCAAAGCACCCAACATTTCCTGCCTTCAGAGAAAGATTAATTACTGACGTATGTTCAACTGACTTGCAGAATTGCTTTGGACCAGTAATTACTATAAGCCTCTCATTCTCCCACTTTTTTAAAGAGAGTGTCTATAGCAGTTATTCTGTCTCCATCTCTCCACTTTATTTTGGATGTGTGGAGGGTAAATACCTTGTATTTATTCATTTTGAAATTTACAGGTCTCCACGTCAAGATAAAGCACACCTGAGAAGCTGCACCCAAAAAACCACATCTTGGGTGCCTTGACAACACCTGATTTTAATTTAGATGATGGAATCTTGGTCTGTAAGCCTGAGCCTAATGCCATAATGGGATAAATGTTGGAGCCTTTAGGGGAGGTGAGCGTATTTTGTATGTAGGAGGGATGTGGCTCATAGGCCTCCAATAAGCCATTCCTACCAATACTCGCATCTCTGTGTAGTCCCCTCCCATACTGACTCTGGGCTTGGCTATAATACTTTCCTTGACCATTGGGAAATTACAAAAGTAACTCATGCAAAAGTTTGATAAATGCTTTTATGTTTTTTTTAAAATTTTTTTTACTTTTAATTTTTTTATTTTTTTCAGGTGAATTTTAATTTTATTTTTTATTTTTTATATACTTTAAATTTTAGGGTACATGTGCACAGCGTGCAGGTTAGTTACATATGTATACATGTGCCATGTTGGTGTGCTGCACCCAGTAACTCGTCATTTAACATTAGGTATATCTCCAAATGCTATCCCTCCCCCCTCCCCTCCCCCGACCCCACAACAGGCCCTGGTGTGTGATGTTCCCCTTCCTGTGTCCAAGCGTTCTCATTGTTCAATTCCCACCTATGAGTGAGAACATGCGGTGTTTGGTTTTTTGTACTTGTGATAGTTTGCTGAGAATGATGGTTTCCAGCTTCATCCATGTCCCTACAAAGGACATGAACTCATCATTTTTTATGGCTGCATAGTATTCCATGGTGTATATGTGCCACATTTTCTTAATCCAGTCTATCATTGTTGGACATTTGGGTTGGTTCCAAGTCTTTGCTATTGTGAATAGTGCCACAATAAACATACTTGTGCATGTGTCTTTATAGCAGCATGATTTATAATCCTTTGGGTACATACCCAGTAATGGGATTGCCGGGTCAAATGGTATTTCTAGTTCTAGATCCTTGAGGAATCGCCACACTGACTTCCACAATGGTTGAACCAGTTTACAGTCCCACCAATGGTGTAAAAGTGTTCCTATTTCTCCACACCCTCTCCAGCACCTGTTTTTTCCTGACTTTTTAATGATCGCCATTCTAACTGGTGTGAGATGGTATCTCATTGTGGTTTTGATTTGCATTTCTCTGATGGCCAGTGATGATGAGCATTTTTTCATGTGTCTGTTGGCTGCATAACTGTCTTCTTTTAAGAGGTGTCTGTTCATATCCTTCGCCCACTTTGTGATGGGGTTATTTGCTTTTTTCTTGTAAATTTCTTTGAGTTCATTGTAGATTCTGGATATTAGCCCTTTGTCAGCTGAGTAGATTGCAAAAATTTTCTCCCATTCTGTAGGTTGCCTGTTCACTCTGATGGTAGTTTTTTTTGCTGTGCAGAAGCTCTTTAGTTTAATTAGATCCCATTTGTCAATTTTGGCTTTTGTTGCCATTGCTTTTGGTGTTTTAGACATGAAGTCCTTGCCCATGCCTATGTCCTGAATGGTATTGCCTAGGTTTTCTTCTAGAGTTTTTATGGTTTTAGGTCTAAAATTTAAGTCTTTAATCCATTTTGAATTAATTTTTGTATAAGGTGTAAGGAAGCGATCCAGTTTCAGCTTTCTACATATGGCTAGCCAGTTTTCCCAGCACCATTTATTAAATAGGGAATCCTTTTCCCATTGCTTGTTTTTGTCAGTTTTGTCAAAGATCAGATGGTTGTAGATAAGCGGCATTATTTCTGAGGGCTCTATTCTGTTCCATTGGTCTTTATCTCTGTTTTGGTACCAGTACCATGCTGTTTTGGTTACTGTAGCCTTGTAGTATAGTTTGAAGTCAGGTAGCATGATGCCTCCAGCTTTGTTCTTTTGGCTTAGGATTGACTTGGCAATGTGGGCTCTTTTTTGGTTCCATATGAACTTTAAAGTAGTTTTTTCCAATTCTGTGAAGAAAGTCATTGGTAGCTTGATGGGGATGGCATTGAATCTATAAATTACTTTGGGCAGTATGGCCATTTTCACGATATTGATTCTTCCTACCCATGAGCATGGAATGTTCTTCCATTTGTTTGTATCCTCTTTTATTTCATTGAGCAGTGGTTTGTAGTTCTCCTTGAAGAGGTCCTTCAGGTCCCTTGCAAGTTGGATTCCTAGGTATTTTCTTCTCTTTGAAACAATTGTGAATGGGAATTCACTCGTGATTTGGCTCTCTGTCTGTTATTGGTGTATAAGAATGCTTGTGATTTTTGCACATTGATTTTGTATCCTGAGACTTTGCTGAAGTTGCCTATCAGCTTAAGGAGATTTTGGGCTGAGACGATGGGTTTTTTAGATATACAATCATGTCATCTGCAAACAGGGACAATTTGACTTCCTCTTTTCCTAATTGAATACCTTTTATTTCCTTCTCCTGCCTGATTGCCCTGGCCAGAACTTCCAACACTATGTTGAATAGGAGTGGTGAGAGAGGGCATCCCTGTTTTGTGCCTGTTTTCAAAGGGAATGCTTCCAGTTTTTTTCCATTCAGTATGATATTGGCTGTGGGTTTGTCATAGATAGCTCTTATTATTTTGAGATACGTCCCATCAATACCTAATTTATTGAGAGTTTTTAGCATTAAGGTTGTTGAATTTTGTCAAAGGCCTTTTCTGCATCTATTGAGATAATCATATGGTTTTTGTCGTTGGTTCTGTTTATATGCTGGATTATGTTTATTGATTTGCATACGTTGAACCAGCCTTGCATCCCAGGGATGAAGCCCACTTGATCGTGGTGGATAAGCTTTTTTATCTGCTGCTAGATTCGGTTTGCCAGTATTTTATTGAGGATTTTTGCGTCGATGTTCATCAAGGATATTGGTCTAAAATTCTCTTTTTTTGTTGTGTCTCTGCCCGGCTTTGGTATCAGGATGATGCTGGCCTCATAAAATGAGTTAGGGAGAATTCCCTCTTTTTCTATTGATTGGAATAGTTTCAGAAGGAATGGTCCCAGCTCCTCCTTGTACCTCTGGTAGAATTCAGCTGTGAATCCATCTGGTCCTGGACTTTGGTTGGTTGGTAAGCTATTAATTATTGCCTTAATTTCAGAGCCTGTTATTAGTCTATTCAGAGATTCAACTTCTTCCTGGTTTAGTCTTGGGAGGGTGTATGTGTCGAGGAATTTATCCATTTCTTCTAGATTTTCTAGTTTATTTGCATAGAGGTGTTTATAATATTCTCTGATGGTAGTTTGTGTTTCTGTGGGATCAGTGGTGATATCCTCTTTATCAGTTTTTTAGTGTGTCTATTTGATTCTTCTCTCTTTTCTTCTTTATTAGTCTTGCTAGCAGTCTATCAATTTTGTTCATCTTTTCAAAAAACCAGCTCCTGGATTCATTGATTTTTTTTAAGGGTTTTTTGTGTCTCTATTTCCTTCAGTTCTGCTCTGATCTTAGTTATTTCTTGCCATCGGCTAGCTTTTGAATGTGTTTGCTCTTGCTTCTCTAGTTCTTTAATTGTGATGTTAGGGTGTCAATTTTAGATCTTTCCTGCTTTCTCTTGTGGGCATTTAGTGCTATAAATTTCCCTCTACACACTGCTTTGAATGTGTCCCAGAGATTCTGGTATGTTGTGTCTTTGTTCTTGTTGGTTTCAAAGAACATCTTTATTTCTGCCTTCATTTCCTCATGTACCCAGTAGTCATTCAAGAGCAGGTTGTTCAGTTTCCATGTAGTTGAGCAGTTTTGAGTGAGATTCTTAATCCTGAGTTCTAGTTTGATTGTACTGTGGTCTGAGAGACAGTTTGTTATAATTTCTGTTCTTTTACATTTGCTGAGGAGTGCTTTACTTCCAACTACGTGGTCAATTCTGGAATAAGTGCAGTGTGGTGCTGAGAAGAATGTATATTCTGTTGATTTGGGGTGGAGAGTTCTGTAGATGTCTATTAGGTCCGCTTGGTGCAGAGCTGAGTTCAATTCCTGGATATCCTTGTTAACTTTCTGTCTCGTTGATCTGTCTAATGTTGACAGTGGGGTGTTAAAATCTCCCATTATTATTGTGTGGGAGTGTAAGTCTCTTTGTAGGTCTCTAAGGACTTGCTCGATGAATCTGGGTGCTCCTGTATTGGGTGCATATATATATTTAGGATAGTTAGCTCTTGTTGTTGAATTGATCCCTTTAGCATTATGTAATGGCCTTCTTTGTCTCTTTTGATCTCTGTTGGTTTAAAGTCTGTTTTATCAGAGACTGGGATTGCAACCCCTGCCTTTTTGTTTTCCATTTGCTCGGGAGATCTTCCTCCATCCCTTTATTTTGAGCCTATGTGTGTCTCTGAACGTGAGATGGGTTTCCTGAATACAGCACACTGCTGGATCTTGACTCTTTATCCAATTTGCCAGTCTGTGTCTTTTAATTGGAGCATTTAGCCCATTTACATTTAAGGTTAATATTGTTATGTGTGAATTTGATCCTGTCATTATGATGCTAGCTGGTTATTTTGCTTGTTAGTTGATGCAGTTTCTTCCTAGCCTCGATGGTCTTTACAATTTGGCATGTTTTTGCAGTGGCTGGTACCAGTTGTTCCTTTCCAAGTTTAGTGCTTCCTTCTGGAGCTCTTTTAGGGCAGGCCTGGTGGTGACAAAATCTCTCAGCATTTTCTTGTCTGTAAAGGATTTTATTTCTCCTTCACTTATGAAGCTTAGTTTGGCTGGATATGAAATTCTGGGTTGAAAATTCTTTTCCGTAAGAATGTCAAATATTGGCCCCCACTCTCTTCTGGCTTGTAGAGTTTCTGCCGAGACTTCCGCTGTTAGTCTGATGCGCTTCCCTTTGTGGGTAACCCGACCTTTCTCTCTGGTTGCCCTTAACATTTGTTCCTTCATTTCAACTTTGGTGAATCTGACACATATGTGTCTTGGAGTTGCTCTTCTCAAGGAGTATCTTTGTGGCATTCTCTGTATTTCCTGAATTTGAATGTTGGCCTGCCTTGCTAGATTGGGGAAGTTCTCCTAGATAATATCCTGCAGAGTGTTTTCCAACTTGGTTCCATTCTCCCTGTCACTTTCAGGTACACCGATCAGATATAGATTTGGTCTTTTCACATAGTCCCATATTTCTTGGAGGCTTTGTTCATTTCTTTTTATTCTTTTTTCTCTAAACTTCTCTTCTCACTTCATTTCATTCATTTGATCTTCCATCACTGATACCCTTTCTTCCAGTTGATCAAATTGGCTACTGAGACTTATGCATTCGTCACGTAGTTCTCATGCCTTGGTTTTCAGCTCCATCAGGTCCTTTAAGGACTTCTCTGCATTGGTTATTCTTGTTAGCCATTTGTCTAATTTTTTTTCAAGGTTTTTAACTTCTTTGCCATGGGTTCGAACTTCCTCCTTTAGTTTGGAGTAGTTTGATGTTGATGCTTGATTGCATTAAATTTTTCCTTTTGTTGGTCTTAGACTCTCATGACTTAAGAAAGTTCAAGATGGACATCTGAAAGGGCAGAGGAAGGACATCTAAAGAATCCAAGCAAAAACCAGAACTAAGGCCTCAGACATATTGCCCCAGTAGAGCCAATATGACTGACTGCTCCTTAGCTATTCAAGTCATCCCAGCTTAGTCATCCCCATTGTGGTCTGACAAAATTCCTAATTCACAGAATTGTGAGTTTTAAAAGAAGTGATTGTTGTTTTAATTCACTAACTTTTGGGATAGAATGGATAATTGAAACAGGAAATTTGGTCAAGGATTAAAAATGCCTAACATGTTTAATTTGAGTTCCTGAAGAAGAGAAGGGATAAAATGGGACAGAAGCAGTATTTGAAGGTATATTGGCAAAACAATGATGTAAACCACCACCAAGACACAGATTTAAAAATTGCTGTGACTTCAAGATGATCAATGAAAAATAAGACATACATAGGCACATTATTGTAAAACTGCTAAGTACAAAGGCAAAAATAGTTTCTTAGAAGCAGACAGAAAACAAAGGCATGCTACCTAAAAAGAAACAAGAATAACTTTGATATCTGTCTTTCTAACCAAAATGATGGAAGCATAAAATAACAGAATGGTGTCTTGAGATAAAACAAAAACTCTATCAACCTAGAATTCCATATAAAATGAAAATACCCTTTAAAAATTAAGATAAAATAAAGACATTTTTAGGTAAAAAAAAAAAAAGTCTAGAAGACTGATTCAGTAGCAGGCTTAGCTTACAGCAAAAAACTTAACAGAAAAGTCTGTCAAGAAGAATAACATAACCCCAGATAGAAGGGCAGACATTGAAAAGGGTGAATATTTTGAAAATTTTAAACGTTTATTTTTTTTTAAGAGACAAATTCTTGCTCTATTGCTCAGGCTCAAGTGCAATGGCACAGTGATAGCTCACCAATCCTCAAATTAGTGAGCTCAAGCAATCCTCCTGCCTCAGCCTCCTGAGCAGCTGGGACTATAGGTGCCCACCAGTACACATGGCTAATTTTTTTATTTCATATTTTTTTTGTAGAGATGGGGCCTGGCTATGTTGCCCTGGCTAATCTTGAACTCCTGTCCTCAAGCAACCCTCCCACTGTGGCCTCCCAAAGCACTGGGAAAATGTCTATTGACTATATATTAAGCAGTAATAATGCTGCCTTGTGGTGTTTAAAATAAATGTAGGATTAAATTACAAGAAAACAATAGTACAAAAGGTTGGAGGAGAATAAATGACAATTAAAGTGATACAAGGTTTTGCACTGTCTAGAAAAGGAAAATAGTACTAATTTATATAGACTCTGATAAGTCAAAGATACATATGGTAATTTCTAATACCACCAGAAAGTTGATAGAGAAAATTATACTAAACATATTATTGAAGGAGGGAAATTAAATAATACAATTTATTTGATTATTTTGGTGGAAGGCAAGAAAGAAGACATAAAGAACAGAAAGCAGATTAAACAAAATATTACAAAGTATTATGGTAGATTTGAGCCCAAATATGTTGAAACTACTAGAAAAAAATACTCCAATTTGAAAACAAAGACTGTGAACTGATTCAAAATCAAAACCCAGTTATATGCTGTTTATAATGAATGTACCTTAAATATGAGAAAAGAGGCAGGCTGAAAATAAAGAGTAGAGATCATTATGCAAATACTACTCATTTTTAAAAAGCTGATGTAGTTATATTATTATCTAATAAACTAGGATTCAGGAAATAATGAGGGAATTTTATAGTAATAAAAGAAGTGACAAGAGTCACATCTTGAATGATGTCATGAGGAGCTCAGAGGATCCTTTGCCCAGTGAAACAACTGTAACTGGTGAAAATTAGTAAGTTTTAACAAAGGAAAAACAATGACACAAATCTATAATTTTTGGAAAATGTCTAAGGGCATCCAGCAAATGGAGACATATATATTTAAGAAAATCTTCTAAATCTTATTAAGAACAGTAAAAATAGGTGGCATTTGAACTAAAGACGTGCTCCCTTCCCCCGCTCTCCAGCTGAGCATGACAGAAGCTCTACTCCAGCCAAGAGGAGTTGCAGCCAAGAACACAGAGCTTGCATTCCTCCCAGCTCCCAGTCAAGGGCCGTGGTATCTTCTCAGAAAGGACAGGCTGACAGCATTTCTCATTACCACCCCCAGATCTGTGTTGCAGAAGCTCTATTCCAAGCAAGAGCAGCTGAAAAGTCTGGGGCTCCCTTCTTCCATCCACCCCCATTCACAGGGCAGAAGCTCTACCCCAGGTGTGACTGGGTAATAATATTGAACCCTATTGTTAGAAGACAGGATCTTGTAAGGAAACAATTAGAATTAATAAATGAGCACAGTAATGTTCAAGATGTAAGACAAATGTGCAAAACCAATTGTATTTCTATACACTAGCAATTAACAATCTGAAAAAGAAATTAAGGATATAATTCCATTTATGACAGCTTCAAAAGCTATAAATACTTAGAAATGAAATTAACAAAAGAAGTGCAAAACTTGTACTCTGAAAACTGCAAAACATTGATGAAAGAAATTTGAGAAGACTTAAATATTACAACCTATGTTCATGGGTTGGAAGATTTATTATTTTAAGGTGTTAATACTCCACAAATTTATCTACACAATTAATGCAATACTTATCAAAATTACAGATAGCTGACTTTTTTTTCAGAAATTGATAAGTTGATTCTAAAATTCATATAGAGTGCAAGAGAACCAGGATAGCCAAAACAAGCTTTATAAAAAAAGAACAAAATTGGAGGATTTACAGTTCCCGATTGTAGAACCTACTTCAAAGCTACAAAAACCAAGACAATGTGGTATTAGCATTTGGATAGACATATAGATCAATGTAAAAGAATGGAAAGTACAAAAGTAAATCCTGACATTTGCTGTCAACTAATTTTTTGACAAAGTTTCAACATAATTTAATTGCAAGAAAAAGTTTTTTCAATAAGTACTGGGATAACTGGATACCCATATGTAAAGAATGAAATTGGATGCCTTCCTTATACTGTACACAAAAATTAACTTCAAATAAATTATAGACCTAAATGTAAGAGCTAAACTAAAATTATGTACCTAAATGTAAGAGCTAAACGAAAGATCTCATAGAAGAAAACATAGGAACATATCTTTATGATATACCTTCATGGCAAAGCCTTCTTAGATATGACACCAAGTGCACACACCAAAAAATGCATATGAATTCAACTTCATGAAAATTAAAAGCACTTTGCACTTTAAAGGACATTATGAAGCATCTGAGAAGACAACCCACAGAATAAGGGAAATTATTTGCAAATCATATATATCCAATATATATATGTATCTTGTATTTATAAAGAATCCACACAAACCAATAATAAAAAGGGAAATAACCCAATTAAAAATGAGCAAAGGCTCTGATTAGACATTTATCCAAAGAATATACAAATGGCAAATAAGCACAAACAGTTTGGCAGTTTCCTAGAGTGTTAAACATGGAGTTATTATAATACCCAGCAATTTCACTCCTAGTAATATACCCAGACAAAAACATATACCCACATAAAACTTGTACACAAATGTTTATAGCAGTATTATTCATATAGCATAAAAGTAGAATTAAGTAAAATGTCTACTAATTGAAGGATGTATATAAAAATGAATATCCATAAGATGAATGGCTGTTTGGTAATAAAAAAGGAAGAAAATACTACTATATGTCCCAACATAAATGAATCTTGAAATATATACTAAGTTTAAAAACCTGGTAAAAAAAAAAATCACATATTGTATGATTCCATTTATATAAAATGTCCGAATCTATGCAGAAAATATTAGAATAGTAGTTGCTTATGCTGGAGGTTAGGGTAGCAGAACAAAGAGTTACCACAAATGTCAGTGGGTTTAAAATATTTTAAAATTGATTGTAGTAACATTTTGCAATTATGTAAATATACTAAAATCCATTTTAGTTTACATTTTAAAAGGATGAATTGTGTGATATGTAAATTATAGCCTAAATAAGGCTGGCAAAAAATGAATAAATAAGAACCAATTTACCAGAAAAATGTTAATACTAAATGTGTATAATCTAAAATAAAGCCTCAAAATATGTAAAGGAAAAGTTAACAAATTTTAAAGGAGAAATAAATTTCACAATCATGATGACAAACAATGTAACCCTCTAAGTAACTATTAGAGCAAACAAATAAAAAGTAAAAATAAAAAAGTTGACTTATTAATTGATCCAACTGACATGTACACACCACTGTAGCCAGCAAATGTAACATCCACATTCAAGCACACAGGAAACATTTAGCAAACTTGATCGTATGCGGAAGGGTAAAGCAAGTCTCGAGATGGGAGAAGATTGAAATCTGGCAGGTTATTTTGCTCAGGGTAGAAATAAGATAGAAAAGAATTATTAAAAGCTAACTAGATATTCTCAAGTGACAGAAAATTTAAAAATACACGTTTAAAGAATCAATGAGTCAAAAAATAGTGAAAATTAGAAAATATTTTAAGCTCAATGAAAAAGAAAACATATTACATCAAACCTTTTAAAATATGAGCTTAAAGTCTTGCTTAGAGGAAAATTTAAAGCCTTGTTTAGATGTATTAGAAATTAAGAAAGGCTGAAAATTAATGATCTAAGGTATCCACTCCAAATAATTAGATAAAGGGCAGCAAATTAGATCCAAAGAAAGTAAAAGGAAGAAAACAATGAATATAAGAAAGTTAATAAAACTAATGAGGTAGAAAATAAAGATATAATAGACATGACATTATCAACAATCAAAAGGTGGTTATTTGGAAACATTATTAAAAATGACCAGATTCCGCTTTGACCATAAAAAAGGTAGTGAGAAGTGAAAAATTACCAATATAATGAATGTAAGAGAGACATTATTACAGATACTATGGACATTAAAAAGAAAATAAGAGTATTTGATAAACAATTTTATTTTAGTAAATTTTAGACCTCATATCTATTGAGAAAAGTTTTGAGAAAAACTATCAAAGTGATACAGGAAATAGATCATTTGAATAGAATAATATTTATTAAAGTAATCAAATTCACACTGAATAAAACCAAACAAAAAACTTGAGACCCAACTGGCTTTGCTAGTAATTTTTTTCAAACATTTACGGAGAAAATATCAGTCTTATACCCACTCTGAAAAACAAGGAGCACTTTTCAACTCATAAGGTCAGAAAAATTCTGATAGCAATTCCTAACAGTGACATTACAGAAAGATTGACATATAATGAGATTGACATTATAAATCAGTCTCTCTTATGAACATTGGTGGAAAAATGCTAACAGAAAAGTTTACAGACTAAACCTATCAATATATAAAAAGTATAGCACCACAACCAAGTTGAGTTCATATTAGAAAATTGAGGCTGATTAACGTTTAAGAAGTTCATCAATGAAAATACACTCATTAACAGGCCGGGTGCGGTGGCTCACGCCTGTAATCCCAGCACTTTGGGAGGCCAAGGCAGGCAGATCACGAGGTCAGGAGATTGAGACCATCCTGGCTAACAGGGTGAAACTCCATCTCTACTAAAAATACAAAAAATTAGCCGGGCGTGGTGGCAGGCGCCTGTAGTCCCAGCTACTCAGGAGGCTGAAGCAGGTGAATGGCGTGAACCTGGGAAGCGGAGCTTCCAGTGAGCTGAGATCGTGCCACTGTGCTCCAGCCTGGGAGACAGAGAGAGACTCTGTCTCAAAAAAAAAAAAAAAAAGAAAAGAAAAAAGAAAATACACTCATTAACAAAACAAAGGAGAAAATAATAATTATCTCAATAGGTACAGAGAAAATATTGGATAAAATTCAAAAAATTCATAGTTAAAAACAACCTTTTAGTAATTTTGAATAGATGAGAATGTTCCCAATCTGAAGACAGTATTAAATATAACTATAATAAACGGTATAATTTATGGTGAAATATTGGAAATATCACTACAAAGATTAGGATTGAGGCAAAGAAGCCCATTATCACCACTTCCGTGTTAGGCAACTTTCAAGACAGTCCCCCATGATTTCCATATTCTGGTATTGATACCCTTGTATAATTCTCTCCCCTTGAGTCAAGACTGGACTTACTGATTCACTTCTAACAAATATGGCAGAAGTGATAGAATGTTTTTCTGAGATGAGGCTATAAAAAGACTGTCGCTTCCATCTAAACACACTTTCTCTCTTTCTCTTGTGTGCCTGTAGGTGGTCTTTCTTAAGTCATTTTCCAGAGGAGAAGCCAGCTGCCCTCTCTTGACATAGCCATGTGAAGATGCTCAAGTACTGAAGATCCTAAGCCTGCCAACAAACATGTGAGTAGGTTCAGAAATAAATCACCTTTTCTACACTCTTCCATTGGAGACTTCAGTAAGACCACAGCTTCAGGTAACTGGTTGACTATAATTTCATGAAACATCTTAAGCCATAGGCACTCAAATAAGCATCACCCACATTCTTGGCCTATGAAATAGTAAATGTTTGTTGTTTTAAACTATTAAATGTCAAAGTAATTTGTTATGCTGTAAGAGACAACTAATATAACTTTATTCACCATTGTCTCATAGGTCCTAAAATGTGAAGTAAGATAAGAAAAGATGCCATCATTGAGCATATAAAACATGAGTACATTTATTACAGTTGCAGGTTACAAGTTAAACACACAAAGATCACTCACATTATATTAAATAGATATGGCTATAAATATATATTAGCAATAAACAATTCAAAAGTAAAATTTAAAACTGATCAAAAAGCACTCATGATAAAGGAAGATGAAGCACTGATTGATAAAAATTGAAATAATTTTTTTATCATCATAAAAATTAAGAAGTTTTGTTTACCAAAATACATTGTTAAATGAGTGAAAGGCTGGCCAGTGACTAAAAGAATATATTTTAATCCAAATTCTGCATACAAGAAATTTATGCAAAATATATAAAGAACACATACAAACTGAAAGCCAACAGATAGTTCCCCCATTTAAAAATAGCCTAAAGTCTTGAATAAGCACTTCCCAGCAAAGGACATTGAAATAGCAAATAAATGCATGAAAATTGCTTAACATTATTAGTCATCAGAGAATTGCAAATCAAAACTCCAATGAGATACCATACATAACAACAAAATGACTACAATTAAAAAAAAATAAAATGTTGCAATACAAAACGATGGTGACAGTATGAACAGCTGGAACTCTCAGCTACTCCTGGTGAGAATGTCAATGTATACAGCCACTTTAGGAAACTGTTGGCAGTATCCTTCAAAGTTGTGCGTATACCTACTTTTTCATCTAGCAACTCCACTTTTACATGTATACTCCAAAGAAAAACTCAGATATGTACATCAATTGACATGTAAAAGAATTTTAATAACTGCATTATAAATAAGTGCCACAAACTGGAAGCAAACTGAGAGCAATCAGTAGTAGAATGGATAAATTATGATATGTTCACGCAATTGCATACGATCCACCAAAGAAAATGGGTAATTTATTGTTGTAAAAGTAAGCTGAATGAATTTCAAAATTATTACGTTGATTGAAAGAAACCAGACATAAAATAGTACACGGTAGTATCCCATTTTAAAAAGTGAAAAACCAGTGAAAACGAATCCACAGTGTTAGAAGTTAGAATAGTTTTTATATTCTGTGGTTGATAATCACGAGGGGTAGAAACATGAGAGAGACTTTTGGGATGTTGTAATCTTTTATTTATTGTTCTATGTGGTGGTCACATAAATGAGTTTATTTTGTGAGAACGTATGAAGACCTACCAATTAATGCACTTTTCTTAATGTACATTACACTTCAGTAAATGTTGACTTAAACATTTTTCTTAAATCTCTTAATTTTTCTTGTCAGAGTAAATACATTAAGTCAAAAGGCAGAAGCAGTAAGCTTAGAATGCACAGTGCCAGGTAAAATGAGGGTCCTACCTAAGTGCGAAGGGAACTCTGGCAAAGTCAAACCTGCTTGCCTGTCCCACCTAAATGAGCCAGTCCGTCAGCTTCAGCCCATGATAGCTTCTTAAGAGCGTCCACCAGCCTTGACACAGTTTTTAGTCTTTCAAAGAAAGTCAGCAATTCGCAGTTTTATGTAAGATCTGCTGAGTTAATTTTTTTAAAACCACTTTACTGAGCTGTTATTGACATGTAAAAAGCTGTACATATTTAATATATGTAACTGGAGGAGTCTGGGGTAAGTACACACCGTGAAACCATCACCACCATCAAGACTGTAAACATGTCCCTCACCTCCCAGTTTCCTCTTACTTCTTCTTCATTATTATTATTATTATTATTATTGTTAATACTATTTATGGTAAGAACACAACACAAAAATCTATCCTCTTAGCAAAATTTAAGTATACAATACAATATTGTTACATATAGGCATTATGATGTATAGTAGATCTCCAGAATTTATTTACCTTGTATAACCAAAATGTTGTACCCTTTGACCATCATCACCCTACTTCTCTCTACCGCCAGCCCCTGAAAACCACCATTCTTCTCTCTGCTTCTGCAAGTTTGACTACTTTACATTCCACATATAAGTGGGATCATACAGTATTTGTCTTTCTGTGTCTGGCTTATTGCTGTTAGAATAAAGTCCTCCAGACCCATCTATGTGATTGCAAATTGAAGGATTTCTTTCTTCTTTCAGGCTGAATAATACATCCATTGTATGTAAGTACCACATTTTCTGAATCCATTCATCCATCCATAAGCATTTAGGTCGTTTCCATGTGTTGACTTTAGTGAATAATGCTACAATGAATATGAGAGTATAGGTATCTCTTTGAGATCCTGATTTCAATTCTTTGGATGGATAAATACCCAGAAGTGGAATTGCTAGATCAGATGGCAGTTTTATTTTTAATTTTTTATGAGAACTTCCACACCATTTTCCAAAACAGCTGTACCAATTTACATACCCACCAACAGTATTCAAAGGTTCCCTTTACTCCACATCTTCACCAACACTTGTTATGTTTTTTAAAAGTAATAGCCATGCTAACAGATGTGAAGTGATATCTCATGTATGTTTCTTTTGCACTACCCTGATGATTAGTAAAGGCAAGCACCTTTTCATAAACCTGGGATAAAAAGAGACTAGTAGACAAACGGAACAGAAAGAGAGCCCAGAAATAAATCTATGCACGTTAGGTCAATTAATCTTTGACAAGGTCATCAAAAATGCAAAATGAGAAAAGAAGAGTCTTTAATAAGCGGTATTTGGAAAACTGGGTATCCACATGCAAAAGAATGAAGTTGGATCTGTATTGTACACTATATACAAAAATTAATACAGATGGATTAAAGACTTAATTATAAGACCTCAAATCTAAAACTCCTAGAAGAAAACGGAAAAAAAATCTCCTACGTATTGGTGTTGGCAATGATTTTTTTAATATGATATCAAAAATGCAGGCAGCAAAAGCAAAACTAGGCAAGTGGGACTACATCAAACTCAAAAGTTCTGCACAGCAAGAGATACAATCATCAAAAGGAAAAGGCAACCTATGGAAGGGGAGAAAATATTTGCAAATCATATATTTGAGAAGTGTTGATATTGGAAATATGTAAGAAACTCCTATGACTCCATGGCAAAAAAAAAAACCCTCAAATAACCTGATTAAATAATGGACAAAGGGCTTAAATAGATGTGTCTCCCAAGAAGACACAAAAATCTTGACTTTTAATGTTGGCATCAAATTAGAATTCTATAAAACATTGCAGTCTAAACAAAAGACAGCTGCAAACTTGATTTAATCATTTTGTTAACTCTAATCTATAGTGTCAGCATGCAAATTAGAATTGTAGAGTTGGAAACCAAATATTACCATCCCCAATATTAAGCTATATCAGATAACTGCTGATGCTCATCTTTGATATGATTCATTATTCTTAGAAAGTTTCATGCATTTTTCTTCTCTGACTACATCATCAAAGGTCACATGTGTACTTATAAAGAATGTGTATTTTGCAAATGTTAAGTATTAGGTTCTACATATAGAAATTCAGCCAACTTTGTGTTTCAATCTTTTGTACCCTTATTGATCTTTTATTTACTTGTTTTATCAAACTCTGAGAGTAACGTATGAAAATATCCAACTATGGCATTTAACTTACCTATTTCTAGTTTTTGTTCTATCTACTTTTGCTTTGTGTAATTCGAGGCTATGATATCACATGCATACAACTGTTAGTATTATTTTGTCTTGCTGTGGCATTGAAACTTTTATTATTAAAAAAAAGCCTCTCTTAAAAAATTCATGCTTATTTACATTGGCTAACTTTTTAGACAGTTTCCACTTTAGTAATGTCCTACTTCCTTCTCTGGTTCTCACAGTTGTCCATCAAAGACTTGCCCAATGTCACCCCAGTCTGTGCTGTCTTTTTTGCTGCCATACCCTCAAGAAGCATGAACTGTCCCCTTACCTATGCTTTTAGGTCCATATTTCTATTATTAGACATTATATATTACATTGCAGTTGTTTTTCCATCTCTTTTATTATTTAGTTTATGAACTCCTTGAGAACAGTTAAAAGAGAAATACAGTTAGATTTTTTTTTGCAGCATTTGCATGATGCAAGATAAGTCACCCTATGCAAAACAAAGGCACAATGAATATCTGGTAGCAATGTTGTCCTATTAAACACAGGATTTTAGAACCAATACTTGCTCCTCTGGAGAGCCAGTTCACTTCCATCAGTAAAACTCTTGGCAGTGAGGGAAGACGTACCTATGTATTTCATCCTAGTCACAGATGTACTGTAAAAAACTACCTTGGAAATCCCTATGAAAACAGCCTCTGTTTTTGTGACATAGAAGCAAGAAGGAACTATAGATTCCATCTACTTACTTGGCATAGAATGGGGGACATGCAATAAATAAGGTAGACAAATGTCCTGGCCTTTTGGAGCTTACATATTACTAAGGGGAGACAGTGAATGATTAAACAAGCCCCATTATTTCAGATTGTGGAAAGAACAAAGAAGGAAAGAGTGTAATGAGATTGAGGGTAATAGTGGAGTGGGTAAGGAGAGGGCCACTTTACATTGGGAGGCTATGGAAAACCTCTTGGAGATTTTTGAGCTGAGGTAAGGAGTCACCCCATGGAAATGTGGAGAGAGAATTCTGAGTGGGGACATAATAGTGTGGTTGGTCCACAGTAAGTGGAAATAAGCTTGGTGTATTGCAAAAAAAGAAGTGAGATCAGTGCAGTGGGGCCCAGTGAGCAATGGGGAGAGTGATGTGAGGCCAGTCGGGATAAGGTGAAGCCATGACTTGCTTGGCTGGGTAGGTCAGATTGTGTTCTAAGGGCATTGGAGGCCTTTGGAGGGAATGATGTAATCTGACTTTTGCCTTTATAAGACCACTGGTCACTGAATTGAGAACAGGTGGCAGGGAAAACAAAGATGGAAATTCATAGATCATTAAGAGGCTATTGCTATAGTTATGGCAATAAATGATGACTGGACTTGGTGAAGACAAGTGGGTGGATTTGAGGTGTTTGGGGAGCTAAATGGTAGATTATGAAAATGCAGGTGAGAGAGAGGGAGACATTTTCAAGGTTTTGGGCTGGAGCCATCAAGTCTCGGGAGGGCTCTGCCATTATGAGATAGAGAAAACTAGGTGTGGAGTAGGCAGGGAGGGGGCATTGAGAGCTTGTTTAGCTGTTAATTATAGTATGACAACACCTAATGCCATGCCAGGGTAGAATTGAAGTACCACTGTGACGTCAAGAGCCTGGATGAGTGAGAAAGAGAGACGGGGGCAAAGACTAGCCCCTGGCATCCTCTGACATTTCCAGTACAAAAGAGAAGGGCCAAACAGGAGTTTTAGAAGGAACAGTCAGTAGTTTATGAGGAAACTGAGGCAAGTGTAGACTCACAGAAGCTTAGACAAGACAATATATTAAGGAAGAGAGAAAAATGAAAGTATAGTCTTATATGAGTGACTGCTATATAAAATGGAAAATGGAATCCCTAGACTTTTAACATTCACTCTGTGTACTACTCTAGGACCAGCCTTTTCTTTCAATGCATCATACCACCCTGTCGTTTGTTCAGGATATTATAGTCACACTGGCTTGTTTTCCAGTGTCTCAAGCAAACCAAGTTCATTCCCATCACTACGAGTTTGTCCTGGCTATTCCCTTTCTCTGAAAAACTTCCTTTCCAGCTCTTCACTCAGATCCTTCTCACTCTCCAATTCTCCACTTAAATGCCACCTCCTCACAATGGCCTTCCAGATCTCTCTCCCTAAAGTAGACCCTTCTCCAGGCTTTCTATCATCTTACTGTTTAATTACTTCTCAGGACTTCTTATTATCAGAAATTACAGTTTATCATTTGTTTCATTATTTATTTTCTCTGTATCTCAATGAGAACATAAGATCTGTGAGAGCAGAGGCATTTCTGATCTTTTCCAATGCTGATCCTAGCATCAGTAAATTGTCTGTGTTGGTTGAAAAAGTAAATAAATAAGAGAGAGAAGGCTAATTAAATTAGAAATACCAAATTTGATGGCAATGTTTATTAGAACACAGTGGTATGTTCTTATTTGTAGGCTTGCTCTATTAGCCCACTAGGGCTGCCATAACAAAATACCACAAGCTGGATAACTTAAACAACAGAAATTTATTTCTCACAATTCTGGAGAATGAAAGTTCAATTTCAAGATGGTGGCAAGTTTGGTTTCTCCAGAGGCCTCTCTCTTTGGCTTAAAGATGGTTGCCTTCTCACTGTTGCCTCACATGGCCTTTTCTCTGTACTCACACAGGCCTGGTGTCTCTTTCTCTCTCTTCTTATAAGGTCATCGACATAATGAAGCAGGATCCCACCATTATGACTTCATTTAGCCTTAATTATCTCCTTAAATGCCATATCTCCAAATATAGTCATATTTGGGGTTGGGCTTTAAAATATGAATTTAAGGTGGACATGATTAAGTCCATAACAGCTGCATTTATCTCTATCATGTCCATTCTCTCATTGCATGAGTCTATGACTCAATTCCATAGTGAGATAGAATGCCATTTGTATTCTACTTAAATTGGCATCACTGGGAGTTTAAAAAGAGGGTGAGAGAATGCTTATTTAGGTAGATATTAATGGCTTCTCAAAGAATCTATGCCAAATCTAGAGAATAAGAAAGGGTAGTAGTATATTCTTTTCTTTCTATATCAGAAAAACACTTTAATATTTTCATCCTCCACTCCAGAACATTGGCTTTCTTTCCTCCAGATATGAAAATTCAAGCATGAAATTGTTATTAAAGACCTCATTATTCCTCTTCAAATAGCACACAAGACCTGAAATATAGTTTAATTATTTAAATGGGTCACGTTGTAAGTAATGATTGACTAGTACATTGCTTACTTAGAAAAGGAAATCATATTGGTACATTTAATTCTGTTGAGTAGTGAGCAGTGACCTCTTTTTGATTAATGGTTTCACCCTAAGCACTTTTCATTTTGATCTCTAATTAGGTATAATTAGAACAATCCAAACTTTTCAACTTAGATAACTCTCTTGGCTTGCTTATGTCTTCATTATTTTGTCTGGAAAACTACATGAAACAAAGGCATAACATTAAAAAAAGACATTGCAAGTTTTCCAGAAATTTCTAGATAAAAACAGAAATAATGTATTTTCCTTTTGCTACTATGCAAAGATTGATCATTCAACAGATGTTCCAGGCATTGCCTGAAACTATCTTTTACAAAATAATGCATATGGCCTCTGAGAGAACAAACAGTGTACTGAATATGACAAACTATAATGCCCATGCTGGTTATAGGGTACAGTTTTAAAGCTGGATTTTAGTTTAATCTCCAGAGTGTATGTTGAATCAAGTCTGGTTCTCACTATAAGATTTTTTTTACCTTACAGAAAAAGCATTGACGTTATTTTTGCAGAAGTTTTCTTATTATTAGACCATTGAATGGGTACAATTCTAGAAAGTAACAAAGTCATGCTTCATTCTTTGATGACACACCAATGTCCTTCCAATTTGGGGATCCTGGTTGTTCCTTGTGAAATAAAGTTCATCTGGTGATATTGGCTTTCCCACTACAGTCCAACCTCAGTCACCCTTGGAACACATCCAGGCCTAAAAAGACAATTTGTTTAAAAGGCAGGTTATATTCTAGCCCCTTAGAGTTGGTTTTCAGTTTCTGTTGTCACACAGCTGAAGTCTCAATCTCTAGTTTTCTTTGAAAAATGTGGGAATTTCTTCACAAACAGGAGTGTCAGGAACACCAAGCAGTAGAAAGAATCAATCAGAAGCTCTTTAGTTTAATTAGATCCCATTTGTCAATTTTGTCTTTTGTTACCATTGCTTTTGGTGTTTTAGACATGAAGTCCTTGCCCATGCCTATGTCCTGAATGGTAATGCCTAGGTTTTCTTCTAGGGTTTTTATGGTTTTAGGTCTAACATTTAAGTCTTTAATCCATCTTGAATTGATTTTTGTATAAGGTGTAAGGAAGGGATCCAGTTTCAGCTTTCTACATATGGCTAGCCAGTTTTCCCAGCACCATTTATTAAATAGGGAATCCTTTCCCCATTGCTTGTTTTTCTCAGGTTTGTCAAAGATCAGATAGTTGTAGATATGTGGCGTTATTTCTGAGGGCTCTGTTCTGTTCCATTGATCTATATCTCTGTTTTGGTACCAGTACCATGCTGTTTTGGTTACTGTAGCCTTGTAGTATAGTTTGAAGTCAGGTAGTGTGATGCCTCCAGCTTTGTTCTTTTGGCTTAGGATTGACTTGGCGATGCAGGCTCTTTTTTGGTTCCATATGAACTTTAAAGTAGTTTTTTCCAATTCTGTGAAGAAAGTCAATGGTAGCTTTATGGGGATGGCATTGAATCTGTAAATTACTTTGGGCAGTATGGCCATTTTCACGATATTGATTCTTCCTACCCATGAGCATGAAATGTTCTTCCATTTGTTTGTATCCTCTTTTATTTCCTTGAGCAATGGTTTGTAGTTCTCCTTGAAGAGGTCCTTCACATCCCTTGTAAGTTGGATTCCTAGGTATTTTATTCCCTTTGAAGCAATTGTGAATGGGAGTTCACTCATGATTTGGCTCTCTGTTTGTCTGTTGTTGGTGTATAAGAATGCTTGTGATTTTTGTACATTGATTTTGTATCCTGAGACTTTGCTGAAGTTACTTATCAGCTTAAGGAGATTTTGGGCTGAGACAATGGGGTTTTCTAGATATACAATCATGTCGTCTGCAAACAGGGACAATTTGACTTCCTCTTTTCCTAATTGAATACCCTTTATTTCCTTCTCCTGCCTAATTGCCCTGGCCAGAACTTCCAACACTATGTTGAATAGGAGTGGTGAGAGAGGGCATCCCTGTCTTGTGCCAGTTTTCAAAGGGAATGCTTCCAGTTTTTGCCCATTCAGTATGATATTGGCTGTGGGTTTGTCATAGATAGCTCTTATTATTTTGAAATACATCCCATCAATACCTAATTTATTGAGAGTTTTTAGCATGAAGGGTTGTTGAATTTTGTCAAAGGCTTTTTCTGCATCTATTGAGATAATCATGTGGTTTTTGTCTTTGGCTCTGTTTATATGCTGGATTACATTTATTGATTTGTGTATATTGAACCAGCCTTGCATCCCAGGGATGAAGCCCACTTGATCATGGTGGATAAGCTTTTTGATGTGCTGCTGGATTCGTTTTGCCAGTATTTTATTGAGGATTTTTGCATCAATGTTCATCAAGGATATTGGTCTAAAATTCTATTTTTTTGTTGTGTCTCTGCCTGGCTTTGGTATCAGAATGATGCTGGCCTCATAAAATGAGTTAGGGAGGATTCCCTCTTTTTCTATTGATTGGAATAGTTTCAGAAGGAATGGTACCAGTTCCTCCTTGTACCTCTGGTAGAATTCAGCTGTGAATCCATGTGGTCCTGGACTCTTTTTGGTTGGTAAGCTATTGATTATTGCCACAATTTCAGCTCCTGTTATTGGTCTATTCAGAGATTCAACTTCTTCCTGGTTTAGTCTTGGGAGAGTGTATGTGTTCAGTAATTTATCCACTTCTTCTAGATTTTCTAGTTTATTTGTGTAGAGGTGTGTGTAGTATTCTCTTATGGTAGTTTGTATTTCTGTGGGATCGGTGGTGATATCCCCTTTAAAAGAAACTACCATCAGAGTGAACAGGCAACCTACAAAATGGGAGAAAATTTTCACGACCTACTCATCTGACAAAGGGCTAATATCCAGAATCTACAATGAACTCAAACAAATTTACAAGAAAAAAACAAACAACCCCATCAAAAAGTGGGCAAAGGACATGAACAGACACTTCTCAAAAGAAGACATTTATGCAGCCAAAAAACACATGAAAAAATGTCCATCATTACTGGCCATCAGAGAAATGCAAATCAAAACCACAATGAGATACCATCTCACACCAGTTAGAATGGCAGTCATTAAAAAGTCAGGAAACAACAGGTGCTGGAGAGGATGTGGAGAAATAGGAACACTTTTACACTGTTGGTGGGACTGTAAACTAGTTCAACCATTGTGGAAGTCAGTGTGGCGATTCCTCAGGGATCTAGAACTAGAAATACCATTTGACCCAGCCATCCCATTACTGGATATATACCCAAAGGACTATAAATCATGCTGCTATAAAGACACATGCACAAGTATGTTTATTGTGGCACTAATTCACAATAGCAAAGACTTGGAACCAACCCAAATGTCCAACAATGATAGACTGGATTAAGAAAATGTGGCACATATATACCATGGAATACTATGCAGCCATAAAAAATGATGAGTTCCTGTCCTTTGTAGGGACATGGATGAAACTGGAAATCATCATTCTCAGTAAACTATCACAAGGACAAAAAACCAAACACCACATATTCTCACTCATAGGTGGGAATTGAACAATGAGGTCACATGGACACAGGAAGGGGAATATCACACTCTGGGGACTGTTGTGGGGTGGGGGCAGGGAGGAGGGATAGCATCGGGAGACATACCTAATGCTAGATGACGAGTTAGTGGGTGCAGTGCACCAGCATGGCACATGTATACATATGTAACTAACCTGCACAATGTGCACATGTACCCTAAAACTTAAAGTATAATTAAAAAAAAAAAAGAAGTTTAAAATATCCCAAAGTAAAAAAAAAAAAAAAAAAAAAAAGAATCAATCAAATGTAACATTAATTCACACTTCAGCAGAATCTAAGCCGCCCCTTCAATTCCCAGATCCACTTGAACTGAGTCTGTTTTACCTCCAGGTTGGTCATGACTTGAAGCTCAAGTTTTTCAGGTGTTTTCACAGATGCCCAACTTGAATGCACTGGGGAGTCTAAAGGGTTTAGAAGTTTTTTGCTCACCCTCTTCCCCTTTCCTTCCCAGGAACAACACATTTTTTTTCTTGTCATTTACACCCTTGCCATCTTATCAAAAACCAAAAGAACCATCAGAAATAGTATGGGGTGTGGGTGGGCTTATCAAATAATTAATTCCAAATTAATATAGTAGTCTCTCTTTCTAAGATTACTTCTGATAAATAGAATTTTGACTTATCCTAGTACAAATGTTTATTTCCTTCTGAGTTGTCTCAAACTTTAGGATAGTGGAAAATATCATGGATTTTTGAAAATTCAGATTCAAATGGTAGGTCACTGTCTTGTAAAAATTAGTTATCTTCTTTAACTCTGTTTAATCCATAGTAAATGGTACCTCAGTAAGGTAAGGTATAAAGTTCCCAGAAAGAGATTGGCAGTTGCCTTCTCTCTTTCCCTCTTGTATACTATGTATAGTACCTAGCATAGCTCCTGGAGCCTGGGACATGTTTACATGTTTGCTAAGTTGAAACCATTGGAAATAAACTTTGGAAGTGGAAATTCTTTATCCTGGAAGAACTTTACAGGACAGAAAGATAATTCTCTTATGAAAAGACAGTTAATTTGCATTTTATGTGAATATTTTAAGTGTTGTTTTCAAGAGATAGGTTTCTTCTGTCTTGTGCACAGTGATAATTATATAATAATTTATTGTTTCTGAACATACAGCAAAATATTCGTCGTCATCATCAGGCTGCAGAGAGTGAAATATTTTCAAAAGTCATCTGTGAAGAGTTATGAAACTAAAGGAAAACCAGGCAGGAGTTAGAGAACTGTTGTGGATGAGGGGGAGAAAAAATGGGGTAATGGTAAGATAAATCAGAGTAGGGTTATTATTTTGGGATGTGTAGGAAATAAAATATCTGCCTCATCTTACTCTTCTGCTGTGCATACATTCTCTCTAGAGAAGCATAGCCTCTCCAAAGTCGAAGCCCACACTGGAGTAATTTCTATAGTTAGCCCCTTCCTGCCTTAATGTCTAAAAGCTTAGAGTGCTCCCTATTGTAAAATCCAATAAAAACGAAGGGCTTGCTTTCCATACTAAATTCCTAACTACATTTCTCTTAATGAGTTTAATGAGTGTTGATTCAATTTATAGACAGATATTTTTCAATAGCCCCCAAGCCTATAAAGCCACAAGAGGAAAATACACTTATCCAGGTGGTAAAATGTAAATGCATCTCTCCAATCCAACTGGTTTCATTTAATCTTAGGTTGTTTGTCTCATATTGTTCTTCCCACGTGAAATGAAAATGGCTGATGCTGTTGAGAGAAGCCAAACAAATGGTAACATTTCAACTTTTAAATCTCTCCTGAGTCACTTAGAAAATAAATTCAAACTTTGTTTTCCCCGTTTGGAATTAGATTCCACAATCCCCTCCCCTGTATATGCCAAACCTATTATGCATCTCCACGTTTGAAAAGTTTGTGACATCTTTTTTGGCTAGGAAAAGGCGATGTAGAATATTATGTATACAGTAATTTTTTCTTTTTGTAAGCTTTTCAAACTCTGGCCTCAGGTTGCTTTTTAAAAACTTTAAATTTTTTCCCCTGGTGCCAAGAGTTACAAAGCTTAAAAGGAGACAGTGAGAAAAAGGAAAATGGTGGTGAGAATTTAGAAACAGCACTTACAGAATATCCTGAAGACGTTTAGTTTCTCTGGCCCTGTCAATCCTAGTGTATGTTTTATTGAGCAGACAAGATTTCAAACAAATAAACCAGATTTCGATTTTTCAGAGGACTTCTGATTGAATCCAGAATTTAGGGGACACAGATCAAGCAGGTGGAAAAAAGGAAAAGAACAATAAACAAAAGTAAAATGAGAAGAGAAAAGTGGAGAATGGGAGGTGATCTACTCCCCTTTTTTTCCTTCAATTCTGTTATAGCAACTACACTAGAAAGTCCTTTTCACATCATCTCAGGTGGGACAGTTTTAATTATTCTCATTTAACACTATTTTCATTATATGAAAAAGTTAAGGCTCAGAGAAATTCAGCAATTTGTCTCAAATCACATGTTTTTAAAGAGGTAAACAAATTTCAACCCAAGTCTGCTATTTCCATGACAAACTTCTCTTAGTCAGGATTAAGGATGGATAAAAAGATGAAAGAGAAAAAGAACTCTGAAAAAACAAAACTTCATCAGATAATTACTATATTTGAGATCTTTTAGTGATTTTAATTTTATATGTATGTATAGGGTAAAAAAATTTAAAAATTCAATAAAGTGTAAAAAAAAAGAAACAAAATAATGACTGCTAGTTTTCGGTATATTTCCTTGCAGAATGTTAGCTTTTTTTTTTTTTTGGTGTTCAACTATTTGTTTATATATACATATATTTACAAAATTGAGATCATCTATTTGTAATCTGCCATTTTTTAACAGTATATGATAAACATTTTCTGTCTGCACATAATCTTCTATAAGATGATTTTAAATAACTGAGTAATTCATTTCAATCAAAAAAATTTTATTGAATACATCCTATGTCCCAAGCACTAACTAGGAAATAGGTATTTACAATGATAAAAAGCAAATGGTCTCCTTGCCCTTGGAAAGTTTACACTTGGTGGGAGAAAGTAGTATATTAGTCCTTTCTCATGCTGCTAATAAAGACATACTCAAGGCTGAGTAACTTACGAAGGAAAGAAGTTGATTTGACTCACAGTTCAGCATGGCTGGGGAGGCCACAGGAACTTCTAATCATGGCAGAAGGGGAAGCAAACACCCTCTTCTTCACATGCTGGCAGGAAGGAGATGTGCCAAGCAAAAGGGGAAAAAAGCTCCTTATAAAACCATCAGATCTCATAAGAACTCACTCACTATCATGAGAACAGCATGAGGGTAAAAACACCCATGATTAAATTACCTCCACAGGATTCCTCCCACGACATGTGGGCATTATGGGAACTACAATTCAAGATGAGATTTTTGTGGGGACACAGCCAAACCAAATAATGAGCAAGTAGACAAATAAATACAGAATTTGATCTATAAAGTATGATGAAGAAAATCTATCTGTGGATTTAGTACACAATTACTCTAAGTTAGAAAGGAAATTCAGAGTGTGTGTATTTGAGAATATGGCATTAGAGTTGAGAACTAAAGAATAAGAAGGAATTTAAAGGTTTTTTAAAAAATAAGAAATTGCATTCAGAACAAAGAAAGGGCACTTCAGATAAGGGGTTCAGCATATAAACTGACTCAAGGAAGTTTTGCTCTGTTAAGGGACAGAGAATTAGAAGAAAGTTCTGTGCTGCTGAAATATTTGTGGAGGGAGGAGAGAATGATAAGAGATGAGCTAAGAGATGTTATCCAGGAGGAGATCATGCAGGGTTTTGTGGGCCATTGCGGAATTTGGATTTCATTCTAAGTACAACTGGGAAACTACTAGTGATTGCTAAGTGAGGATAAGTCTGATTTGATGAAGGTATAATAGGCATGAATTTCTCAGTCACAGACTCACGCACATAAAAATGAAACATTTCTTCACTCAAATTGATTTCTAAGTTTTAGCCTCAAGCTTGTCCAGCAGCAGACAATCAAATCTATCCAATTGCAAGTTTCTCTCAGTTTGATCCAGGGATTTTTCACTAACTCCAAAAGTATAATTTAATCATACTCTGTCCTTCACCTCTTCTTTGTTCAGGAAAGAAGGGTCTTATGAACATTATTATGTTGAGAGGTGTGTGTGTTCCATTTGTGTATGTGATGGTGGTTGGATTATTTCTTCTTTGCTGGCTTTTACTGCTGATATAAGTGATTCAGTCTTCAGGCACATTTCCTATCTATGTGGATAATTGGGAATTGTCTAGTTGTCTTGTGCTAGATGCTGGTCATCAATTTTTACCCTGCTGACATGACTCTGGTCCCACCAGACCTCCAGTCCCCAGGTCCATGCAGGTTGCTGGTCTCAGCAGTCAAACATAGTTCATACAGCTGGGACTTTTCTCAGACCCTCCATGGCCTTCTCTTAGGTATAGAAAATGATCAATGTCTCGCCTGTGCTTTTGTGAGTCCTGAGGGATATGGATTTATTCTTTAACTTTCATAAGTTTCCTGAAATTATACTTCTTAAAGTTTGTCTTCCAGGATTCTAGTGACCTGGAGTTCCAGCTAATAGAGCCACAAATTCACTCTATTCTGAGATTACCAAATTTAAAGAAAGATTTCCACCAGAACTATAGGCTAGAGACAGAGGTGACTAGAGGTTGGAGGAATCCTCCTATCCACACAACATATGACCATGTCTGTTTTTTTGTTGTCTTTCCAAAATTATTTTATCTCCTCTGCTTTTGTCTGCTCTGGAATGTGGGGATGTGGCAGTATGACGGCAGGGACTCAACTCAGAAGCCATGAGTGTGGCATCTTTGACTTCACTGTGAACCTACACATGACATTGAGTACACATTCCACATAGCTACGAAAAGAAGACGGCCAGTGGGTATGCTATGGGTAGAAGGCAGCATAATCAGCAACATTTTGAGGCATTATCCTGCTACGGACATTTTTACAAATTTATCAGGGCTGCCCCACAGCTCGTCCTTATATCCAGTTCTTACTCCAACTTTGGGCAGGTTCTGGGTTTTCTTAGGCGTATCCTCTTATTACTCCTTAGGCAGCTTTTGCTTTGCTTGCTGGGATTTGCTAATTTTGGTGCCCTTCCTGTAGTCTAATCTTATGCGCAGTTAAAGTTTTGGGCATATGGCGGTACAATTTCCTTGTTTTCAACACTAATATTTTTTTAACTATTTATTTATAAATATATTTTAACCATTTCAGTTAGAATTTATGAGTTTAAATTTCTACTCTTTGATTGCCATGTTATCATTTGCTTTGTTTTAAAATACTTACCTATTTAATCCACCTGGAATGCATTTTAGCGTTTTGTATGAGGTATCAAATTTTGATTTTTTTCCCCAAAGAGTTAACCAATGGTTCAATTAATATTTATTGGTGTAAAATGTTACCTTTTAAAGTCCTTTTTTTAATAAAAAATGTGTTTTCTGGGATTTCAATTACTTTTTTGCTTATTTCTACTTTATTACTACAGCATGAATTATTATCTTTTTATGTCTATTTTCAAATTTCATTGAGAAATTTTTTAATACCCCTTGCTTATTCAAAGTATTCTTGGCAAGTATCAACCCTATATTTTTCCGGATAAATTTTATAATCAATTAGCCAGAATTTTAAAAAGCAAACACCTTGAGTTTTATATTAAATTTTGAAATTTACTTGGGAAAAATTTATTTTCATCCCAGAATATTGTGTATATCCACTCTTTTATTTCTTTTATAAAGTTATTTTGCACACATTTTTCTGTTGAATGTTTTCCTAGTGATTATTGTTTCACTGCAGCTATTGGATTTTACAGATTTATTTTGTCTCTGGACATTTTGTTAGTTGTATAGCATTTTCTAGTTGATTCTTCTCACTTTTCTAGTCAAATAATGTCAACTATAAATAGTAATTGAATCTCCTCCTTTGCAATTGTTAAACATCTTGGTTACACTTCTTGTTTTATGCCATTGATTGAATCTTGCAAAACAAAGCTTAAGAAAAGGTAGTGACAATAGTTCAAATCTTTGTTTCTTTTCTCATTTTAATGAGAATGTTTTTGTTGTTTTATTCTTATATGCTAAGTTAGCCTCACGTTACATATTCTTTCTTTTCTTGTTCAAGATTTTGTGTGTAATGTACTGATATTCATTGATTAATTTTCTAAACTGATTACATGATTTTTCGTGTGGTGTGATAATTCATATTATCACATTTCTTATTAAGAAACCATAATAGATGGATAAGGTTTTTAGATTATATTCTACTTGCTCTTGATGAATCATTTCTTTTAATAAACTACCAAATTTGACTGACTGTACTTTAAGAACTTAGAATATATATCAATAATATTTATATATTTATACTTTCACTTTAATGAAGTATAGCATTTACATAGCAAAGTTCACATGTTATAAATGTATTATGAAGTGATGATGTGAAATGTTTCTATTTTTATTTTATTTCATTTAAAAATTTTATATTTTGATCCCTTCTGTTAGATTTCAGCTGCAGGATTAAGCTTATCATGTAAAATGAACTGTTAAGCTTCCCATCATTTTCAGTGATGGAAAAAGTTTATGTAATATGAGACTTTTCTGTCTCTTTATACTTTAAAATAACTAGTCTATAAAATCATATCTGAGCCTAGATCCTTTTTATGAACTTTTTCCATTTATTCCATGACTATTTGTGTCATATTTTATCTCTGTACAATTTTGTAATATTTTCTATAGGAATTGGTAATATATATTATTGCCCTATGCTTTGAAAACAATAACCATTTATCTTGTTATATCATATTTTAAACCTAATTTGTGAATTTATGTTCTCCAATTTCTTTTGAGATTACATTTGCCAGGAAAATTCATTGTTTTCCTCAGGAACTTGTTCTTTGATTTATGCAGCCTATGTCTTTAATTATTTATTTTCAGCTTTTAACTTTATTAATTCCCTCCATTTCATTGGACTTGTTTTATTATTTCTCATATAACTTCCTGAATTCCTTACTCATTTTTCTTGTGCTATGTTTCTTGTTGTAAATGAAAGCATTCATAACAATGAAATAACCCTGAGGACATGCCACATGTTCATATATGTTTTCTAAAATTTTTTATCTTTCTAAAAATTCTGCAAATGCTTTTTGGATAGACTCTCTGAATCAAGAGCTCAGAATGCTGTAATGTAAAGATAGAAGCTGATTTCCACCTCATACAACAGGAGTTCTAGGATGGTTCAGAGCTAATAAGGCAGTCCCTACATGATTGTCCAAGCTCCCAAGAATCTCCCGCAATTTTGCACCAATATCCTTTGGACCTTATTTTTGTCCACATAAGTATTACATAAGTGATGTGTCTGTCTTGGGGAATCACAAGCATCAGATCTGGAGGCACAAGTTGTCCATTCGAGATTAACTGTGATCACCTGGTAAAGGTATTGTCTAACTTCCCCACTACATATTTAGGATGTTTTTCCCTTTTGCAACTAATAAGTCATTTACAGGGAAGCACTTTGAGATCACGCAAATATCTTACTCCCCATCAGAAAATTCCCTCTAGATTCAGCATCCATGATGATATTTGCTGAGAAGCAATTTTTATCAAAATTACTGCATTTAACTTGTATATTAAAGACAGCATATGGGACAATTGTTTTGGTGTCAATGTCTCTCTCCCTGTTTCCGACAATAACCCGACCCTTAACAATCCTTTGCCCCACCCAACCCAACATGACATAAATTCCTTTTAGTAGCTTCTCCTTTAAGTTATTAATTTTAAAAGTTATTATGATCATATTTCAAACATTTTCAAAATTAGAAAGTATAATACAATGAGCTTTTTTTACCCATCACCTCACTTCAATAGTTGCTGAGATTTTGCCATATTTCTTCTCTCTTCCTACTTACTGAGTTTACATTGCTGAAGTATTTTAATGCCAATTCTAGACCTCCTGTCACTTCCTTACTACATAATTTAGTATGTATTATTTTAAAGTATGGACATTTTCTTAAATGAAAAAAACAAAATCTTGGTGGAAAGAGCTAGAAAAAATTCCTTGTTTCCTGATGAAAATCTGCCTTCTGTCTTTATAGAGTTCTTGAGTCAGAAAAATTAAACTGAGCTGGATAATATACACCGCATTGTCCTCCAGGAAAGTGTTTTACCAAATAGCAATTCCCCTCACTTTATCTTTGGCTCAAGTTTTTCTAAAAGAGAAAAGACTGTCTATATTTTAAATATATGTTCTGTTTAGCAGAGAGAGAGAGAGAATCAGTTAGGAATATGGTCCAACAAGTTTATCTAAACTTTTGCAATTGTTTGTAGCAAAACTCTTTGCCCAGTGAATTTGTTCTCATTCATTCTGTGCATCCACGTGCAGACTTCTGTGAACAGACAGTTCAAGAATTATGTGACAGGAGACATCTTTGGCATTAGAACATGGAGTCCTATAAATCTATCAGGGAAATCTATTGCCAAACAATTTAGCAGCTAGAAAATTTGTGTGGTTCAGGTAAGAATCAGCCCAAGGCTTTGGGCTGAAGTGCATGCCATCCAAAGGTCATTGAAAGCCCTGCAAAAATTAACAGGGGAACATAAAACTAAATACTTCATATTCTTACTTATACATGGGAGCTAAATGATACGAACTCAAGAACACAAAGAGGAGAACAGACACTGGGACCTACTTGAGGTTGGAGGGTGGGACAAAGGTGAGGGTCAAAAACTACCCACTGGGGACTATACTTGCTACCTGGATGATGAAATTATTTGTACACCAAACCCCAGTGACATGCAATTTACTCATGTAACAAACTTGCACTTGTACACCCTGAATTTAAAATGAAAGTTGAAAAGTAAAATAAATTAAAAATATAGTAGTTGCCTTTAGAAAACTTAAAAAAAAAAAAAAAATTAAGACCCTGCAAGGAGACAGCAGCTCTTCAGTGGGCTCCCTCAAGCAGCAGTTCCCTAATGCCCATTCTTGGACTGGAGCAGGGTTACCACACAGTGTTCACCAGCCTAAGGATTTCAATCTGGAGGAAAACAAGGACCATACTGGTGGTTTCTTATAAACCAATTTGTAGTCATCTGGGGAACGAATTCAAATGTCCTACTTTCTAAAAATAGTAGTGCTAATAAGTAGTGTTTGTAGGTTGGTTTTTCTTAATGTCTTTACTTAGTACAATTAAAATGTTGCCAATCTTATGCCAAAGCATCCAGTTCTTTAATTGTTAATTTTACCTTAGATTCCTAGACTGGTAACCCTAATGTAACAGATGTAATAGTTTTTAATATCTAGATTCTGTCAGCTCTAGCTCTGTGTCCTCAATCCACAAATATCCCTTGCATGTGAAATCTATTAACTTTTTGCCCCTGAGGATATCTCTTCAAGGAAATAATAACTAGCTCCTGGCTTCACTGGGGTCATGTGCAAATGAAAGCACAGGCTGCTCCCTGTAGCCTCAAGCTTGTTCTGGACTGGTAGATGATGAATCATTGCACTCCTCTTCATGTGCAGAAAGTAACACCTAAACATTTGACATAGGATCAGCATCTGCATCATGGATGCCTCATGACAAAAGGCCTCTCTCCTGCATCCTTCTAGACAATGACAAGAAAGAAAATGGAAAACAGTATACAAATAGGTAAAATCTTTTTCTTTAGATGAAAAAGTATTCTTTTTTTCATTAGAAAACAAGAACATTTTAGCATTCACCTAGTTTATTACAGCTACAAACATTTTTGAGCTTATATGTAGTGATCACAGTTAGCACAGGTTTTCTGCTTTCTGTTTCGTAGTTGCTATGATCTTATCCTTATTCGATTACAGGACAATTATAGGTCATATCAATCTTTTAAAACTAATGGATTTTAAAACATTTCATAAACAAATCCTGGTTTCTGAACGGCATTGCCTAGGATGTTTTTCCTTTTGTTTTAGTTTTCCTTCAAAATAGAAAGAAAATCTCTTTCTGTTTATTTCCTTCCTAAACAGAAGAAAATATAGCATAAGAAAGACATTCACTTGTAGTTTACATTGTCCTATAAAATACATGGTACTAAATTGTGGGCTATCACACTTGTTTATCTCAAAGTATTTCAAGCGATGAGTATCAAACTGGCTCCTTGATATATAAGTGTATGTATAGTCTCTGTGTGAGAGAGAGAGAAAAAAAAATGAAGAGATTTTTAGTCTTTGTCTTGTTTCTTTTGGATTCAAAAAGAAAAGAGAAAACAATATTATATCTCTGCTTTAATTTGTATATGTGTACAGAGAAAGCGCTTTGCATATATGTGAGGCTTGTTTCATGCAAAATAGCATTGACAAGGTGATCTTCATAGACAGAAGAGGGAAGTCAGGGAGACAGTCATCGAAATAGAATTGTATGCACATACTGTCACACATCCCCTCATGATAGAGACAGCACCAGTATCGGGGAGCAGAGAGCAACTGTGTGTAAACGTGCTTGAGGTCCTGTGAAAGGCAGGGCAGTAAAGTCTGTTTAGAGTATATGACTGCACTTGCTTCCTGTGGTCCAGAAGTGAAAGCAAATAATCTATTATAGGAGTCCTTATCCCTTCTGGGAAACAACATTTCTGGTCTGACCAAGAGATAAATAAATTTGAGGGCAGAAGCATGGAGAGGATGGGTCAGTTTTTGTGATAGAATTTCTGGCAAAGACTGCTAATTATTACAAGAAGCCTTTGTATTTTTTTGTGACAGACTGTCTCATTGCTCTAAATATTTTCTGTCCCTCTATCTTAGTTTAAGTTCTTGCAGAAGGATACCTTGAAGGAAGGATTCAAATGTAAGTAGTTTATTTGGGCAGTGATCACAGGAAATACCAATATGGGAAAGGAAAGCAAGACAGAAATAGGATAAAGGCCAAGAAAGAACATGCTATAAAGCGCATGACCAATGAGAGCAACTGGAACTCCCTCCAGTGTAAACCATGAACCTCAGAGCTATCCTGAGAGATGAGGGAGCTAATGTATTTATTGATTGAAGGCTGCTCGTAGGGGTGGTGGCTTGGGCATTAATTCCCTGGCATATTGGCCTGCTCTAAACATGGACAGGAAGGGCTTCATACTGTCAGCTGGAAGTAAATTGATGCCCACTGAAATAGCAAGAGCCAAGAGAATGCTCATGGTGGACTTACTTTATCTACTTTACCCTCTGTGTGAAAGGATTAGACAGTCATCCCTTGACTGTCTGGGGGATTAATTCCAGGACCCTTTGAAGGTACCAAAATCCTCAGATACTCAAGTCTCTGATACAGAATGGCCTAGTATTTGCTTGTAACGTATGCATACCTTCTCATATATTTTAAATTATCTCTAGATTGCTTTTATCTAATGCAATGGAAATGCTATGCAAATTGTTGCTATACTGTAATTTTTAATTTGTCTTATTTTTGTTGTATTGTTATTTAAAATTTTTTTTAAAATATTTTTGATCCACAGTTGGCTGCATCCATGGATGCAGAACCCGAGGATATACAGGGTGGACTGTATATCCTGCCCTACTGACTAAGCTTAGCTAGGTTACTTCCTGTAGGAGGATTATATTTCTCTGCTCCATTGACATTGAAGTGTCAGCAGAAGTGATGTATTTGACTTTCCAGCACAGCTTTAGGAGCCATCACCTACCTTCCTTTCTTTCTTTTTCTTTTTCCTTTCCTTTCCTTTCCTTTCCTTTCCTTTCCTTTCCTTTCCTTTCCTTTCCTTTCCTTTCCTTTCCTTTCCTTTCCTTTCCTTTCCTTTCCCTTCCTTTCCTTTCCCTTTCTTTCTTCCTTTCTTTCTCTTTCTTTCTTTCTTTATCTTTCTCTTTCTTTCTTTCTTTCTTTCTTTTTTCTTGTCTCTCTCTGTTCCCTCCCTCCCTCCCTCCCTCCCTCCCTCCCTCCCTTCCTTCCTTCCTTCCTTCTTTCCTCCCCTCCCCTCCCCTCCCCTCCCCTTCCCTTCTGTTTGAGATGAAGGTCTTGCTGGTTCACCAGGCTGGAATGCATTGGCTATTCACAGGCCCGGTTCTTGTGCACTATACCCTGAAACTCCTGGGCTTAAGTGATCCTCCTACTTCAACCCATGGTTACTTTTTTTTTTTTCCTTCTACTTTGTACCCAGCAACATCCTGGGTAAGAACTGCTCATTTAATCTGGGTCCTGAGATGAAAAAAATATGTAGCTAAGCCTCAGCATAGTGTAGAATTAGAAAGAAATAATATTGATGATTATATGCCCCAGAATATTTCAGGTTGTTTATTATAGCAGGATAGCTAGTCCATCCTGACAAATGCTTTGTTTCTAGAAATAAATTGTTGAGGGGAAAAGCAAATAAACAAATGTGGTATTGACTTCATGTTTGGGCAGATAATAGTGTGGAAACTGTCATGGATAGCATGCAATTTATGCAGTAGTGAAACATTTTGACAAAACCCTGTCAGTAATAATTTTGAGGGCAGATAATAAACCAAATGAGCTTGTTATCTTAGGTAAAGAAGTTGGAAAGCAGAGTATAAGCAGCCTGATATGCTATTGGCTGAATTTCATGATAAAGAGGTGAGCTCAGAAAAATAATTGGCTGGTTTGCAAGCAGAAGTAGAAAGGAAAAGAGAAAAAAGTCCAGATTTTCAGGACTTGCAGCACTGAAAACCTCTGGTTTATAATAACAGAAAGAATTAAGGACCCTTGTCCTCTAATTGTACTCTGAAACAACAATACCTGCCCTAACTGTCTTACTCAGGATTATTTTATGTGGAAAAGAAAACCTTTTTATTCTTTATTTTGCTTCATTTTATCTTTATTTTTTGAGACAGAGTCTCACTCTGTTGCTCAGGCTGGAATGCAGTGGCACGATCTCGGCTCACTATAACCTCTGCCTCCTGGGTTCAAGCAATTCTCCTGCCTCAGCCTCCCAAGTTTCTGGGATTACAGGCGCCCGCCATCATGCCCAGGTAATTTTTGTATTTTTAGTAGAGAGGGGATTTCACCATGTTGGCCAGGCTGGTCTTAAACTCCCTACCTCAAGTGATCTGCCCTCCTCCACCTCCCAAAGTGCTGGGATTACAGGCGTGAGCCACCGCACCCAGCCATTATTTTAAACCCACTGTCACTTCTGGTCTTTGTTATCTGCATGCACATTCAAGCTGATATGATGTAGTCAGAACACTCAGGGGTTTGTTTGCTCCAGAAAACTTTAACTGATGACTCTGGTGAGAATGGTCTGGGTTTCATCAACGCGCAGTCACCTGGGAGGGACTAGAGTTAGGAGATGGCACTGGGTGGAGAAGAAAAGCACAGATCTCCATGTTAGTGGATGCTGCACAGTGGTTTGTGGATGGGTTGGCAGGAGGAACAGGAGCAATAACCTGCCAGTTTAGCAGCTGATGGCCTGAAACATCGGCCTCTAGTTGTCTCTAGGTTTCCTTAGGAATGTCACATAATAGAGTTATTTGCCAAAAAGGGTTATTTGTCTGCCATTCAGTATGAGAGGTCCTTTAAGAGAGGGATCATTCTCTTAGCTATTTACAAAGGAATCCTTCCCATAAATATTTGTAGCAAAATATAAGATAATAACTATTGAGCTCATTTTTGCCATAATGGATCACTTCCTTCTGATCTTCCATCAACAGAGTTATCTTTAATGCATTCTACAGAATTCTGATAAAAACACAGGATCCCATGACAGGGAGAACATGGTGACACTTAGCTTCAAGTTGTTAACACAGAAAGGAATGCTTGTTCAGCACAGAAATGGGGCTGATTTAGGGCAGTTATGGATTTCTTTATTGATATTGATGTTCACCTCTCCCTTCCTGAACACACCTTCCAACAGTTGGGTTGACAGGGCAGCGAAAGGATTAATATTATTGTCCAAACATAAAATAAGCCTTCTTTCCTAGGGTACATTACATTTCCTAAGAATGATCATGTTTGGAAAAAAATAAAACCTAGATTAATCCCACAAAATAGAAATTTTATAATCAACATTTGCTGACTATTCAGCAGTCAGACTTTAAATGTTTAGATTCAATTTGGCAAAAAGTCAATGCCATGGGAAAAAGAGTGAGAAGACTACTTCTCAGAAATAAAAAGGCTTAAGAGACACAAGAACCAAATCTAAACTATTATCTTATTTGGATTATGATTCAAGCAAACCAACTGTAAAAATATATTTTTGAGACAGTCGGGTCAGTTTGACTATGGACTTAGAATTAGAAGATACCTGAGATGATAGTGGCATTGCTTCTTCATTTTATTACTTAAGTGCTGCTAACAAAGGAAAGCTCCTTGAGTGGAGGGTAGAATATTCAGCCCCTTTAGACAATCCATCATAGCCGGGCTCTGCAAAGTTTCCAGTGTCACCTATAACCATCATCACATTATGTGTTCCAGCCAAGGTGCTATACTTGAAATTCCTCAAACACACTCTCCTCTTTCAGAACTCAGTGTCTTAGCAAAAGCTGTTTCCTGGAGTTTGCCTGAAACCCTCTACCTGCCAAAACTGTCCTTGAAAATTGCCTTCCTGTATTCTTTCCACAGCAAATGTGGCAGCTTTTTATAGCACTTACACCATTAGATTGTATTTATTTCTTGAAACATCTGTCTTTTCCCAGTGTTCCCTGTATATCCCTCCAGCTGCCACCCAATCTGTCCATTTCCTTCAAAAAAGAGTGGTTTCTATTTACTGTCTATTTCTATTTCTATACTGTCTATTACTATTCTATTTCTATTTACTGTTTCTATTTCCTTTCTTCCCTTTACTCTGCTTACCACTTAATATGCTTCCCCACTCCCCTCTCCAATGAACTATCTGTCTAACTGTTCTCCAAAATTTCTAATCTTGCCAGAGCTCTGATTTCTTGATTTCTATGGATTCCTGTTTTAGTGACTGTCTCGCTTTAACATATTTTAACGTAGTCTCCCGCAAAAAAGCAGATGACAAACAAGGGCTTCTGCGCTGGGATTCCATTTTGGAAAAAGATATTCCAAAGAACATGAGTGGAGGACTTAGAAAACTGAAAAGCAGAGAAGGAGAAAAAGCCAAACCAACGGTGCAACCCTTGACCAAGAAAATCACCACTGTAGGCCACAGGACTCCATCTTGGTAGGAAGCCTCTAAGGAGTTATGAAAATGCACTTTAGAATGTTCTTCCTGAGATTCAGGACAGGGGCTACTTATCCATCTGTTTTTGTCTCTCACTTGTGAAGGGTTGCTCCAAGGATGGTGTATTAGTACATTTTCACACTGCTGATAAAGACATATGTGAGAGTGGGCAATTTACAAAGGAAAGGGGTTTAATGGAGAACTCACAGTTCCACATGGCTGGGGAGGCCTCACAATCATGGCGGAAGGCAAAGAGGAGCAAGTCACATCTTATTTGAATGGTGGCAGGCAAAGAGAGAGCTTGTACAGGTGAACTCCTGTTTTTTTATTTTTATTTTTATTTATTTATTTATTTATTTATTTTGAGATGGAGTTTTGCTCTTCTCACCCAGGCTGGAGTGCAATGACACCATCTCAGCTCACTGCAACCTCTGCCTCCTAGATTCAAGCCATTCTCCTGCCTCAGCCTCCCGAGTAGCTGGGATTATAGGTGCCCACCAGCATGCCCAGCTAATTTTTGTATTTTTATTAGAGACAGGGTTTCACAGTGTTGGCCAGGCTGGTCTCGAACTCCTGACCTGAGGTGATCCACCAGCCTTGGCCTCCCAAAGTGCTGGAATTACAGGCATAAGCCAACAGGCCCGACCCAAACTCCGGTTTTGAAAGCCATCAGATATCGTGAGGTACATCTTGTGAGACTTATCCACTATCATGAGAACAACACAGGAAAGGCCCACTGCCATGATTCAATTATCTCTCATCCAGTCCCTCTTACAACACATGAGAATTATGGAAGCTACAAGATGAGATTTGGTTGGGGACACAGAGCCAAACCACATCAGACAATTAGCAACATTGCACTTCCACATTTGCACATGTGGAAGTATATCTGAGTGAATTCCAACAATGTCCTTTTTGTTGTTGCCAGCTAATCCTTATGGCTAAAGTCCCCAAAGTTACTCTGTACAGTTATGACAAGATACTATCTGATTACATTTTAGCTCAGCTGGTTGTTCCAAAAAATGGCAGCTTTAAGAAAGTGTGACAGTACAATGTGAAGTAGGACACAAGAGATGTTCAATACTCCATTCTTTTTCTGGATCCTTTTCTTCTACTGGTGACTAGTCAAAGTTTGTAGAGAAACACAACATGTACTGTACATGTTCAAAAAGTCTACATAGATATGTTTCTTTACAGTGGGGACAATCTGTAGGCACTGCCTTAAACAAATTATTAAGATTAAAATCTCTAGAAATAAGACATATCAACTTCATCATGATGTACCAAGAAGGACACACCTCACTTATACAATAGTTTTGCCCCAAATGCATAACTTCAAACTCATCCTGAGAAAGTATTACAGAAACCCTCTTTCTTTTCAAGTGCTGGTTGCTTTTTCAGTGTAGAACCTGCAGGAAGGAACCTTGAAAACAGAGACATCAGCTAGGAAACTATTGTAAAATTCCAGGAAGGAGATCGAAGGGGATTGGACCAGAGTGGAAGCAGTGGAGGAGGAAGAAGGGATTGCATTCTGGAAAAATTTCAAAGATAGGTAGGGCCAATAGGATTTGCAGCAGATTTGATGTGTGGTGTGAAGGAAACAGAAGAAGTAAGGTTATTTTAGAAGTCTTTGGCATTGACAACAGGTGGAATGGGATGTCATTTTTTAAGATAGGAATGCTATGAGAGGGGCATGTTTAGTGGAAGACAGATGAGAATCCAAGTTTGTATTTAACATAGTGAACTTTAGATGCTTTTTAGTTAGATGTCAAAAATCAACTAGGCATTGGGAGAATGGTGCTCAAGAGAAAGGTAGGGGCTGGAGTAAGGAACTTGGAAGCTTTTAACATATAGATGGTATTTAAAGACATAAGGTTGTTGACAGCCCTGAATGACAAGGAGTGAGTACAGACAGAGAAGAGATACAAAGACTAAGATATGAGGCTCTCCGGCCTTGAGAAAGAAGAATTCATAAAAGAGACTAAGAAGGAAGAGTCAGCAAGGTAGAAAGATCCTCAAGATATGTAGTGTATCCTAAAAGTCAAGGGGGTAAAACATCGTTTCAAATAAAAGGCAATGACTAACTTTGTGTTGATTACCGCAGATAGGTTAAGTAAGGTGAGGACTAAGAACTACACATTGAAATTGGCAGCAAGAAAGTCCTTGATGACACTGACATGAGCGGTGTTCCTAGAGTGGTTGGCTTGAGAAGATGATTTGAGAGGAAAAGAGAACAAAGTTATGGGGGTAGCTGGTGGGGAAGAGAGCCAAGAAAAATTCTTGTTAAGACAGAAAAATAACATGTTTTTATGTCAATGGAAATGACCCGGTAGAGGGGAAAATTTGATGAGAAAAAAATTGATAAAACAAAAATCATGAGTAGGAAATGGGGATGTCATCTGGCAGAGGAGTTTGGTTTTAGATAGGCATGTCCAGCGGTTCTTTATTCTCAGTCTACATGTTCTCTCTGGTTAATTCCGGGGCACTAAAATCAAACTAAATGCCTCCATTGGACTGTGGTGAGCAGAAGGGCACCTACGTTGTATAAAAGCATCATTTTGTGGACAACTCAGCTCCAGCCAGTTGCTGACAGGTCAGGAGTAAGGACACAGCTTTGCCAGATCTACTTTGTCAAAAGAACCCTGGAACCCTGATTTTATGTGAGAGTTCCCAATTTTTAAATGTTCACAACTAACTCAGAATTAAATGAATAAATTTTTTAAATGCACCCTGAAGGCCAGAGCACATTAGCAGGTTGAATCAAATTGTGGTCTTTATCCTAGGAAATCACATCGAGGCTCACTATTTTAATTAACATCTCATTTTCCACACAGTAGCTGGAATGAGTTTTTAAAATACAAATCTGATTGTATCACTACCCTGCTAAAAAATCCTTAAGTGGCTTTCTCTTGCACACTAGATAAAGTTTAAGTTCTATAAAATAGCTTGTGCCATGATCATGCCAAAGCTAACTTTCCCAGCTTCAGCTCTTGCTGTTCTCCTTTTAGACTTGACACTCCAGCGATGGAACATTCCACAATTTCTCAGGTACGCCATGCCCATTATCGCTTCCTGGTCATGGCACATGGGACTTTCACTGCTTGAAAAATTTCTGTATTCCTTTTTTTCTGGTTCATTTCTACTAGGTCTTTAGATGTCAGCTTACACTTTTTTTTTTCTCTAACCTGCCTGGCCTGCTGCCCTCTCTCCATGCTACCTTATGCCAAGTCTTTGTTAAGAACCCTTCTCTATGCTCTCGTCACACCGTATACTTCCTCTAGTAGTGTAATTAAATAACTCAGTGTTCTATAATTACATGCACCTTCTTTGGAGATTACTGAGACTCTGAGACCTTTGGGGTTAGGAGTGACTACTATGAGGCAAGCATCAAATAAATAAGTGATGGAATTTGGTGCTCTTCATATCTTTACACCAGCAGTCCCTCTCGATTATTTCCTGCTATGTAGATGTCTACTGGCCCCTCAGATTCAACATGCTTCCTTCTCCATGGACCAGAGAACTTGAAGTCTCTCTCACACCTCACATCAGTCATCACCAGATTCTATTGAATATTTCTTGACTATCTCTTAAGTCTTGCTGCTGTTTTCTTTCCACTACCACTGTCTTAGGCAAGACTCTCTTTATTTCTCACTATTTCTGATTACTCAAAAATATATATCTGTGTCTATAATTCACTTATTTCTGTCTTCCAACTTATTCTCAACGCTGCTGGCAAACCCATTCCTGGTTTCTTCTGCTTTGAATGCTTCACTTTCTCCTCCTAGGCATTTGGGTATAGTTCAGATGCTTTAAGAGACATTTCTATCCATTCATAATCTACCCTACCCTACGTTTACGTTTTTTATCTCCTCCCATTTTCTCCCCTCACCACTTACACAAAATGCTCTAAAGATACCAAGCTTATGACAATATCCTAAACATAGTTTCCATGCTTTGTTCTAAATGTATTCACATATACTATTATTTCTGCCAAAATGGTGTTTTTATTTCTCCAGAAGGACTTTTATTCATCTTCAGAATTCAGTTCAAACATCCTCTCATCCAGAAATCCTTTATTTAATATTTTCCTCTAAGAGTTACTCACTTCCCCTGAGCTACCTTTGGTTCTTGTTTATATTTCTATTGTACTTACTTATATGTCTTTTTCTTCTTCTAAACCCTGAGGTCCTTAAGAACAGAGACTGAGCTTTACCTGTCTCTGATATTTCAGTGACCAGACCATCACCTAATGCATGGTAGTCATTTACAGACTTTGTTAGAATGAATGGATGAATAATGGTTATCCCTTGTCACACACAGCTTGAACTTGCCATTGATTCTAAGGGCACTGAATACCCCTGCCCTTTGTATTTACAGCACTTGCCAAAGCATTTAGTTTTTAACTTACAAAGAAATAATTAAACAGAAAGGATCCTGTTGCCTTGATCTTGAAATCAATAAGCATTTATCTTATCATGCCTTCTGCAGAGTAGCCAGGAAAATCTAAGTGAAATTGTGAGGACGTTGACATTGCCTTTGCTATCATCCCAGCTTCCCTTTTAGAGGTCATTTCTTCCCTTCTGAAATTGTTCGCTTTCTAACCTTCTTTTTATCCCCAACACTTACTGCATTTCCTCTTCTGGGACACTTCATTTTCTTGTCTGTAACAGAATCATAGAAATTTTAATCAGCAATAATTGTTAAAGTAAATTGAGATTCTTTTTTGAACGTTTGGTCTGGAAGGAATGAATCTACTTATGAGACCAAAGGAATAGAATGTTTGAAATTGAGTCTGTTCCAGAAACTATATAATATGTGTTCCGTGTAATCAGAGATGACTTGGCTTCACCCTTCTTTTTATAAATGAGAACGAGCTAAGTCCTCAGACACTGCTAAGCAGTTCTATAACAATCTACTGTCACTCACAAATTCCCATAAAGTGTTGGGCAGGTAAGTGTAAATAGTTTTTCTATCACATTTCCAGAGAGAACTGTTGACATTGGAATACCATTTAAAACTTAGAGAAAAAAATCTCTGATCTAAAATGGTAAAAATTTGAGCACAAGGTGAGGAAACACTACATGACGTTTAATTATAGAGACATTATTTAATCATTAATACCATATGCTAAGTTGAAGAAAACAGGGCAACTTCCCACAAATTTTCTGTTCAGAATTTTAGAAGCACTCAATGAGTAAACACACAAAACCAGTTCTTGTTTACATGGGAGTTAATTCATGATGTTACATTATGGGAAATATCTATTGTTGCTAGGATAGATCTACAAGGTTTCCTCTTTTCCTTCAAACGAATAATACTGTAGGTATCCCCTGGAGGGGATAGTAATGGCATGATCTTATGCGGTTGATTCCTGAGATGATGCAAAGGGTGATTAAAAAAGGCTGACAAGAATTTGGAGTTGTGGCAAATCAACAGGCCTGGCCTTGCTAATTGTACTGAGCATCACACTGAAAATTTTGCTGATTGCAGTCCTTGCCTGGGAAATGCACACCCAGTCTCCTAATTAGCAGTAACAGCATTAATAATCTTCCAAAAAATACCTTCTCCAAGCTCTTTGTTTTCTTTCAAATTTCTATAGCTATTTTTCTCACATTTTCTCTCTGGAGTTAGAGTTAGGAAACTAAATGATAACCCTTGAATGCCAATTAGATGTGAGGCACTCTGCAATACATTATTTCATTTCATTATTGTGTGGCCACAATAAAGACTACATTCCCATCTATAGATGTGGAAACTGAAGCAAAAAGTTTGAATAACTTGCAAGAGATAATAACCATTAGCAGGCATGTCCCAAAGGACCACACTGCCACATCTCCGATAAGCATTTTTAAAATTTGGGAATATGGGTATATAGTGGGTAGAAATTTCATGCCACAAACTCAGGTGTGCAAGAAGCATAACATGCTTTTGCACATAAAACAAAATTTATTATAAATTTTTCCACATAAAACAAAATTTATTATAAATACTTCATCTGGCCAGTTGGTGGGAATTTTAGCTCAATCCATTTCTTCCCATTGCCTATTCGTTGGAGTGGTGTCTCGGTTCTAATGGGCTTCCATAATAATGTAAGGCACTAAAGGAAGCATGCAGGCTGGGTCATCAGCTATCCATGCTGGCACCTACTGAGATGTCCTCATTCCTCACTATCTTTAGGTGCTGGTCTATGCAGGTCCTTTCTGAGTTCATCCCCAAAACCAGTCTTCAACCTAACAGCTAGACTCATTTGAGTCCAGCTGTCTCCCACTTAACCCAGGCCCCTGTTGGGTTTTGGGATTTTTCTCCAAATCTGGATCTCACTGTGATTGGGAAACTTGGTTTGGTCAACTATAGCCCTTCACCCTTTCCATGCTCTTCTCAGATGCAGGTACGTTTTTACCACTCCCATATCTCACTGGGCAGTGGGCAATAATAAGGCTGTCTACATCTCACCTGACTGAACACACCTCAAAGTCATTTATACTCTGGCATCTTGCCTTTCGCCTGGTGTCTACCTGGGAAAGAAAGCATAGGTTACTCCTGCACTGGAATCTCTCAAATTATCTGAGATTTCTGCTATATCTCTATACCCCAAACTGATCCCAGAAGAGGGGCAGGTTCCAGCCCAACCCGACCCATATTTCAGTAGCCCACACTGTCCCTTCAGCCTTTGTTAATGCAATCCTCTCACCTCATCAAGGAGCTTTTAGTTTTTGAAGGATGGTGTTTCCTTAGTGTTATTCTCATTAGATCCATCTTCCAATTCTACTGTAGATTTTATACATGTAACTTTTTTCTCTTGACAATCTAGAATTTTAAAAGAAAAAAGTAATTTGTACTTTGTTTATTCTGTTTCAGCATTTCCAACCCTTCCTTGGAGCAATAACTCTAGAGCTCTCTAAACATCTGCCTGAAGGGGAGAAGGGCCATGGGTAACAGGAAATACATTAGTTGGAAAGCACTTTGGTTGGTTTTTCCAACATAATATTTTACCACATTCCAACATAAAGTAATTAACCAGCAATTTCTAGAATGAAACAGTGCTTGAAATTAAAGAGAACAACAGGCATTATAATAGAGATAAAATAAAATAAAATTTTAGAGAATGACCAACACCATAATGTAAGCCTAGAGACATCAGGGGGAAGGGGAGGGGAATAAGTCCAAAATGTCAATGAAGCCCAAGAAGCTGTTAATTTTCTATCAATTAAGCATCTTCTTTGGGTCATGTTCAGTGCTATGTCCTTTTTAAAAATTAACTTTTAAGCTCTCCAAAAATCTACAAGATAGGTTTCATTATCTCCATTTTTGCATAAGGGTAAAATGTAAGCCCAGATGAAAGTGACTTGTTCAAACTTCCCCCACTCCCCATAATATGCTTCAGACCTGGAAAGATTTAGAGGAGCAGATTATTACCTGTAACAAAAATTACTGCCAAAAAAAAAGAATATAAGGGAACTTATCCTTCTCCTTTTAAGAAGCTACAATTCCAAAACGGGATGAAGACTGTAAAAGAAAGAAAATTATCAGCACACTTGATTTTTGCTTATAAATGCAAAAAGTATAAATAAAATATTAACTGAATCTAAAGGAGTATTAAAATGAATCATGAAACCAATGAGAACAAAGACACAATGCACCAGAATCTCTGGGACACATTTAAAGCAGTATGTAGAGGGAAATTTATAGCACTAAATGCCCACAAGAGAAAGTAGTAAAGATCTAAAATCAACACCCTAATATCACAATTAAAAGAACTAGAGAAGCAGGAGCAAACAAATTCAAAAGCTAGCAGAAGGCAAGAAATAACTAAGATCAGAGCAGAACTGAAGAAGATAGAGACACAAAAAAACCCTTCAAATAATCAGTGAATCCAGGAGCTGGTTTTTTGAAAAGATCAACAAAATAGACCGTTAGCAAGACTAATAAAGAAGAAAAAAGAAAAGAATCAAATAGACACAATAAAAAATGATAAAGGGGATATTACCATTGATCCCATAGAAATACAAACTACCATCGGAAAATATGATAAACCCCTCTATGCAAATAAACTAGAAAATCTAGAAGAAATGGATAAATTCCTGGACACATACACCCTCCCAAGACTAAACCAGGAAGAAGTCAAATCTCTGAATAGACCAATAATGGGTTCTGAAATTGAGGCAATAATTAATAGCCTCCCAACCAAAAAAAAAAAAGTCCAGGACCAGATGGATTCACAGCCAAATTCGACCAGAGGTACAAAGAGGAGCTGGTACCTTTCCTTCTGGAACTATTCCACTCAATAGAAAAAGAAAGAATCCTCCCTAACTCATTTTATGAGGCCAGCATCATCCTGATACCAAAACCTGGCAGAGACACAACAAAAAAGGAAAATTTTAGGCCAATATCCCTGATGAACATCGGTGCAAAAATCCTCAATAAAATCCTGGCAAACCAAATCAAGCAGCAGATAAAAAAGCTTATCCACCATGATTAAGTTGGCTTCATCCCTGGGATGCAAGGCTGGTTCAACATACACAAATCAAAACATAATCCACCACATAAACAGAACCAACAACAAAAACCACATGATTATCTCAGTAGATGCAGAAAAGGCCTTCGATAAAATTCAACAGCCCTTCATGCTAAAAACTCTCAATAAACTAGGTATTGATGGAATGTATCTCAAAATAATAAGAGCTATCTATGACAAACCCACAACCAATATCATACTGAATGGGCAAAAACTGGAAGCATTCCCTTTGAAAACTGGCACAAGGAGGCCCTCTCTCACCACTCCTATTCGACATAGTATTGGAAGTTCTGGCCAGGGCAATCAAGCAAGAGAAAGAAAAAAGAGTATTCAGTTAGGAAAAGAGGAAGTCAAATTGTCTCTGTTTGCAGATGACATGATCATATATTTAGAAAACCCCATCGTCTCAGCCCAAAATCTCCTTAAGCTGATAAGCAACTTCAGCAAAGTCTCAGGATACAAAATCAATGTGCAAAAATCACAAGCATTCTTATACACCAATAACAGACAAACAGAGAGCCAAATCATGAGTGAACTCGCATTCACAATTGCTACAAAGAGAATAAAATACCTAGGAATCCAACTTACAAGGGATGTGAAGGACCTCTTCAAGGAGAACTACAAACCACTGGTCAAGGAAATAAAAGAGGACACAAACAAATGGAAGAACATTCCATGCTCTTGGATAGAAACAATCAACATCATGAAAATGGCCATACTGCCCAAAGTAATTTATAGATTCAATGCCATCCCCATCAAGCTACCACTGACTTTCTTCACAGAATTGGAAAAAACTATTTTAATTTCATATGGAACCGAAAAAGAGCCTGCATAGCCAAGACAATCCTAAGCCAAAAGAACAAAGCTGGAAGCCTCATGCTACCTGACTTCAAACTATACTACAAGGCTACAGTAACCAAAACAGCATGGTACTTATGCCAAAACAGATATATAGACCAATGGAACAGAACAGAGTCCTCAGAAATAACACCCCACATCTACAACCATCTGATCTTTGACAAACCTGACAAAAGCAAGCAATGGGGAAAGGATACCCTATCTAATAAATGGTGCTGGGAAAACTGGCTAGCCGCATGCAGAAAGCTGAAACTGGATCCCTTCCTTACACCTTATACAAAAATTAACTCAAGATGGATTAAAGACTTAAATGTAAGACCTAAAACCATAAAAAAGTCTAGAAGAAAACCTAGGCAATACCATTCAGGACATAGGCATGGGCAACGACTTCATGACTAAAACACCAAAAGCAATGGCAACAAAAGCCAAAATAGACAAATGGGATCTAATTAAACTAAAGAGCTTCTGCACAGCAAAAGAAACTATCAGCAGAGTGAACAGGCAACCTACAGATTGGGGGAAAATTTTGCAATCTATCCATCTGACAAAGGGCTAATATCCAGAACCTACAAAGAACTTAAACAAATTTACAGAAAGAAAAAGCAAAAAACAAACAACCTCCCATCAAAAAATGGGCCAAGAATATGAACAGACACTTCTTAGAAGAAGACATCTATGCAGCCAACAAACGTATGAAAAAATGTTCATCATCACTTGTCATTACAGAAATGCAAATCAAAACCACAATGAGATACCATCTCATGCCAATTAGAATGGTGATCATTAAAAAGTCAGGAAATAACAGATGCTGGAGAGGATGTGGAAAAATAGGAATGCTTTTACTCTGTTGGTGGGAATGTAAATTAGTTCAACCATTGTGGAAGACAGTGTGGCGATTCCTCAAGGATCTAGAACTAGAAATACCATTTGACCCAGCAATCCCATTACTGGGTATATACTCAAAGGATTATAAATCATTCTACTATAAAGACACATGCACACGTATGTTTATTGCAGCACTGTTCACAATAGCAAAGTCTTGGAACCAACCCAAATGCCCATCAATGATAGACTGGATAAAGAAAATGTGGCACATATGCACCATGGAATACTATGCAGCCATAAAAAAGATGGGTTCATGTCCTTTGCAGGGACATGGATGAAACTGGAAACCATCATTCTCAGCAAAGTACCACAAAAAGAGAAAACCAAACACTGCATGTTCTCACTCATAAGTGGGAGTTGAACAATGTGAACACATGGGCACAGGGAGGGGAGCATCACACACTGGGGCCTTTTGGGGGTGGGGGGCTGGGGGAGGGATAGCATTAGGAGTAATACCTAACGTAAATGTCAAGTTGATGGGTGCAGCAAACCAACATGGCACATTATACCTATTTAACAAACCTGCATGTTTTGCACATGTATCCCAGAACTTAAAGTATAATAATTTTAAAAAAATGTATAAAATAAAATACATCATGATCAAATAGAGCTTATTCAAGGAATGGGAAGAAATTTTAACATCAGAATATCTGTGTATGTTTATCAACACGAGGATTGGACTAGGATAAAGAAAGTGAGGTATCTAAGAAGTGATATTGACAGAGGCATGCTATACACCAAAAACTTAGAGATTAGAGGATGGAGCAAGGTGGCAGAATAGAAGCCTTCACCAGTCATTCCTGTGCTGTAGGAATAAAAGCACCTTCATAAGAATAAAAAATCAGGTAAGCAATCACAGTATCTGGTTTTAACTTCTTATCTCTGAAAGAGGTACTGAAGAGGGTACCAAAGACAGTCTTCAATCACTAATGCCACCCTTCCCCCTTCCCTCCACACTGCCCCACCTCTCCAGCAGCAGCCATGTGGTGTAGAGAATCTGAGTGCTTGTGGGAGGGAGAGTACAGCAACTGTGGGGCCCTGCATAGAACTCAGGGCTGTTCTATTACAGAGGAAAGCAAAACCAGGTAGAAGTCCACCGATACCAGCCCATAGAAGGAGCATTTAAGCCAGCCCTGGCCAAAGGGGACTCACCCATCGTAGCATTTGGAACTTGAGTTTTGGCAAGCCTTGCCATGATGGGCTAAAGTGCTCTGGGGTTCTAAATTAATCTGAAAGGCTGTCTAGGCCACAAGGACTGCAATTCCTAGGCAAGTACTAGTGCTGTGCTAGGCTCAGAGCCAGTGGACATGGGGGAAACACAACCTAGTGACACACCAGCTGCGATGGCTAAGGAATTGTTTGCATCACCCCTCCCCCAAACCTGGGCAGTGCAGCTCACAGCAACAAAAGTGACTCCTTCCTTCTGCTTGAGATGAGGAGGGAGGAGGGAGTAAAGAGGACTTTGTCTTGCACCTCGGATACCAGCTCAGCCACAGTAGGATAAGGCACTGGGCAATCATAAAGCCCTTGTTCCAGGCCAGAGCTACTGGATGGCATATGTAGACACACCCTGGGCCAGAAGGGAACCTTCTGCCTTGAAGGGAAGAACCCAGTCCTGGCAGGATTTATCATTTGCTGACTAAATAGCCCTTGGGCCCTGAATAACCAGTAGCAATACCCAGGTAGTGTGCCTTAGGCTTTGGGCATACTGAGCACTCTGAGACATGCTGGCTTCAGATGAGACTCAGTACATTCTCAGCTCTGGTGGCTATTGTGAGAAACTCCTACTTAAGAAAAGCTGAGGGGAAAGCAAACGGGACTTTGTCTTGTACCTTAGGTACCAGCTCGACCACAGGTGAATAGAGAGCATCAGGTGGGCTCTTGTGGTCCCTGATTCCACACTTCAGCCCATGCATGGCATTTCTGTATCTGCCTTGGGACAGAGGGGAGTCCACTGCCCTGAAGGATGAGTCTCAGGCCTACTAGGATTCACAACAATCTGACTAAAGAGCCCTTGGGCCTTAAGTGAACATCAGTGGTAACCTGTCTGTACCTCCCATGGGTCTGTGGTTGTGGTGGCCATGGGTAGAGGCTCTTCTGCCTATGGAAAAGAGAGGAAAGAGTGGGAAGGACTTGGTCATATGGCTTGAGTGCTAGCTTAGCTGCAATAGACTAGAGCACCTGGTAGATTTCTAAGGTATTTGACTCCAATCTCTGGCTCCAAGATGGCATCTCTGGAACTTCCTGGGGCCCAAGGGAATTTGCCAACCTGAAGGAAAGGGTAGAATCCTGGCTGGCTTCACCACCTACTTACTCTGGAGCACTAGGACCTTGAGGAAACATAATCTGTAGCCAGGTAGTGGTTACAGTGGGCCTTGGGTGAGACCCAGTGCCATGCTGGCTTCAGGTCAGACCCAGTGCTGGTTTCCACAGGGATGCTTGTGTCCCCCTACCCCCAGACCCCGGTGGCTCAGCACAGAGAGAGACTGTTTGGGAGAAAGTAAAGAAAGAGAACAAGAGTCTCTGCCTGGTAATCTCAAAATTCTTCCAGGTCTTATCCAAAACCACTGTACTAGGCTAGTTTTTCATTTTTATAAAAAAATATGTGAGACTAGGTAATTTATAAAGAAACAAGGTTCAACTAGCTCACAGTTCTGCAGGCTTTACAGGAAGCAAGCTCCTAGCATCTGATCCACTTCTAAGAAGGTATCAGGAAGCTTACAATCAAGGTGGAAGTTGAAGGATTTCCACCTTGTAGTAGGCATGTTACATGGCAAAAGGAGGTGCAAGAAAGAGTGGGGCGGGGAGGTGCCACACACTCTTAAATGACCAGATCTCATGAAAACTCACTATCTTGAAGACAACACCAAGCCATGAGGGATCTGCTGCATGATCCAAACACTTCCCACCAGGCCTCACCTCCAGCCTGGGAGGGAGGAGGTGTCCTGCAGAGCCACAGGGATGGAACTGCCCAAGACCATGGAAACCAATCTCTTGCATCAGCATGACCTGGATGTGAGACATGGAGTCAAAGGAGATCATTTTGGACCTTTAAGATCTGACTGTGCTGCTGAGTTTTGAACTTGAATGGGGCCTGTAGCCCCTTTGTTTTGGCCACTTTCTCACATTTGGAACAGCTGTATTTACCCAATGCCTATAGCCCCATTGTATCTAGGAAGTAACTAACTTGCTTTAGATTTTACAGGCTCATAGGTGGAAGGGACTTGCCTTGTCTCAGATGAGGTGTTGGACTGTGGACTTTTGAGTTAATGCTGAAATGAGTTAAGACTTTGGGAGACTGTTGGGAAGGCATGATTGGTTTTGAAATGTGAGGACATGAGATTTGGGAGGGGCCGGGGGTGGAATGATGTGGCTTGGCTGTGTCCCCACCCAAATCTCATCTTGAATTCCCACATGTTGTAGGAGGGACCCAGTGGGAGGTAATTGAATCATGGGGGCACTTCTTTATCATGCTGTTCTCGTGATAGTGAATAAGACTCATAAAATCTGATAGTTTTAAAAAGAAGAGTTCCAGCCACACACGGTGGTTCACGCCTGTAATCCCAGCACTTTGAGAGGTTGAGGTGGATGGATGAAGAGGTCAGGAGTTCAAGACCAGCCTGGCCAAGATGGTGAAACCCCGTCTCTACTAAAAATACAAAAATTAGCTGGGTGTGGTGGCAGGCACCTGTAAATCTAGCTACTCGGGCAGCTGAGGCAGAGAATTGCTTGAACCTGGGAGGCAGAGGTTGCAGTGAGCCGAAATCGTGCCACTGCACTCCAGCCTGGGCGGAAAAAAAAAAAAAAAAAAGAAGAGTTCCCCTGCACAACCTCTCTCTCTTTGGCTGCCACCATGTAAGAAGTGCCTTTCACCTTCTGCCATGACTGTGAGGCCTCCTCAGCCACATGGAACTGTAAGTTCATTAAGTCTATATTTTTTCCCCAATCTCGAGTATGTCTTTATCAGCATCATGAAAACAGACTAATACAGAAGACATACATGTGGCCAGAAAGCATATGAAAAAAAGCTGAACATCACTGATCATTAGAGAAATGCAAATCAAAACCACAGTGAGATGCCATCTCACACCAATCAGAATGACAATTATTAAAAAAGTCAAAAAACAACAGATACTTTCGAGGTTATGGAGAAAAAGGAATACTTTTACCCTGTTGATGGGAGTGTAAATTAGTTCAATCATTGTGGAAGGCAAGATGGAAATTCCTCAAAGACCTAGAGGCAGAAATACCATTAGATCCAGGAATCCCATTACTGAATACATGCCCAGAGGAATACAAAGCATTCTACCATGAAGACACACACACATGAATGTTTATTGTAGCAGTATTCACAATAGTAAAGACATGGAATCAACCTAAATGCCCATCAATGATGCACTGGATAAAGAAAATGTGCTGCATATACACCACTGAATACTATGAAGCCATAAAAGGGAACAAGATCATGTTCTTTGCAAAGACATGAATGAAGCTGGAGGTCATTATCCTTAGCAAGCTAACACAGGAACAGAAAACCAAATACCACATGTTCTCACTTACTAGTGGGAGCTAAATGATGAGAACACATGAATACATGAAGGGGTGGACAACACACACTGGATCCTGTCGGAGGGTGAGGGGTGGGAAGAGAGAGAGGATCAGGAAGAATAGCTAGTAAATGGTAGTATTAATACCTAGATGATGGGATGATCTGTGTAACAAACCACCACGACACATGTTTACCTAGGTAACAAACCTGCTCATCCTGCACATGTATCCCTGAACTTAAAGTAAAATTTGGTAACACATAAAAAAAGAAATACTAAAGGGAGCTCTTCAATCAGAAAAAAAATTATGTTAAAGAGTAATAAGAAATCATCTGAATGTACAAAATTTACTAGTAATACTAAGTACACAGAAAAACATAGAATATTTTAACTCTGTAAGTATGATGTGAAAACTGTTCTTAAATAAAAAGACTAAAAAATGAACCAATCAAAAATAACTACAGCAAGTTTTTAAGGCGGAGATAGTATAGTAAGATATAAATAGAAACAATAAAAAGTTAAAAGTGGAGAACAGTTAAAATGTCGGGCTTTTATTAGTTTTCTTTTGCTTCCTTGTTTGTGTATACAATCAGTGTTGTCATTATAAGTTTAAAATAGCGAATTATAAGATAGTATTCGCAAGTGTCATGATAACCTCAAATAAAATACAAAAGCTACACAAAAATATAAAGCAATACATTAAAACATACTACCAGAGAAAATAATCTCCACTTAAAGGAAGACAGGAAGGAAAGAAAGAAAAAAAGACTAGAAAACAACCAGAAAACAAATAAAAAATTGGCAGGAGTAAGTCACTGTTTATCAATAACAACATTGAATGTAAATAGAATAAACTCTTCAATAAAAAGACATAGAGTGGCTGAGTGGATTAAAAAACAAAACCCACTGATCTGTTCTCTACAAGAAACACACTTACCCTATAGAGACACACAAAGACTGAAAATAAAGGGATGGAAAAAGATATTTCATGCCATTGGAAACCAAAAAAGAGTAGGAGAAATGACACTTATATCAGACAAAATAGATTTTAAGACAAAACTATAAGATGAGACAAAGAAGATAGTTATATAATGATAAAATGGTCAGTTCAGCAAGACAATATAACAATTGTGAATATATATGCACCCAATACTGGAGCACTCATATATATAAAGCAAATATTATTATTTCTAAAGAGAGACATAGGCTCCAGTAAAATAATAGCTGGAGACTTCAACAGCCCACTTTCAGCGTTGGACTGATCTCTAGACAGAAAATCGACAAAGAAACATTGGACTTAATCTGCACTTTAGACCGAATGGACCTAAATAGATATTTACAGAACGTTTCATCCAGGAGCTGCAGAATATACATTGTTCTCCTCAGCACATGGACCATTCTCACTGATAGACTATATGTTAAGTCACCAAAAAGTCTTAAAACATTAAAAAAATTAAAATAATTTCAAATATCTTCTCTGATCACAATGGGATAAAACTAGATATTAATAACAAGAGGAAATTTGGAAACTATATTACAAACATATGGAAATTAAACATTATATTCCTGAATGACCAGTAGGTCAATGAAGAAATTAAGAAGGAAATTGAAAAATTTTTTGAAACAAATGATAGCGAAAACACAAGATTCCAAAACCTGTAGAATACAGCAAAAGCAGTACTAAGAGGGAAGTTTATAATTATAAGCACCCATGTCAAAAAAGAAGAAAAACTTCGAATAAATAACCTAATGATGCATCTTAAAGAATTAGAAAAGTAAGAGCAAACCAAACCCCAAATTAGAAGAAAAGAAATAATAAACATCACAGAAATAATAAAGACAAATGAAATTGAAATGAAGAAAACAATATAAAATATCAACAAAACAAAGTTTTTTTAAAAAAAGATAAGCAAAATTGACAAACTTCTAGCCTAAGTAACTAAGAAAAAAAGGGAGAAGACTCAAATAAATAAAATTAGAGATGAAAAAGGAAACATTACAATTGATACCAAAGAAATTCAAAGGATTATTACTGGCTACTTTAAGCCAATACATTGGAAAATCTAGAAAAAATTGACAAATTCCTAGACATATAAAACCTACCAAGATTGAACCATGAAGAAATTGAAACCCTGAATAGACCAATAACAAGTAATGAGATTGAAGCATCATAAAAAGTCTCCAAGTAAAGAAAAGCCCAGGACCCTATGGCTTCTCTGCTGAATTCTACTGAGCATTTAAAGAATAAATATATACCAATCCTACTCAAACTATTTCAAAAAATAGATGAGGACGGAATACTTCCAACCTCATTCTATGAGGCTACATTACCCTGATACCAAAATGTGACAAAGACACATCAAAAAAGGAGAAAACTACAGGCCAATATCACTGATTAATGTTGATGAAAAAGTCCTCAACAAAATACTAGCAAACTGACTTCAACAGCACATTAAAAAGATCATTCACCATGGGCAAGTGAGATTAACCCAGGGATGCAAGAATGGTTCAACATACACAAATCAATCAATGTGATACATTGTATCAACAGAATGGAGGGCAAAAAACATATGATCATTTCAGTTGATACCGAAAAAGCATTTGATAAAATTCAACATCCCTTCATGGTAAAAAGCCTTTAAAAAACTGGGGATAGAAGGAACATACCTCAACATAATAAAAGTCATATATGACAAACCCATAGCTGGTATCATACTAATGAGGAAAAACTGAAAGCCTTTCCTCTAAGATCTGGAGTATGACAGGGATTCTCACTGTCACCACTGTTATTTAACATAATATTGGAAGTCCTAGCTAGAGCAATCAGGAGAGAGAAAGAAATAAAAAATATTCAAATTTGAAAGGAAGAACTCAAATTATCTTTGTTTGCAGATGATATGATCTTATATTTTGAAAAACCTGCAGACTCCACAAGAAAACTATTAGAATTCCTAAGTTCAAAAGTTATAGAATACAAAATTAACATACAAAATCAATAGCATTTCTATATGCCAACAGCAAAGAATCTGAACAGTAATCCCATTTATGATAGTTACAAATAAAATAAAATACATAGGAATTAACTTAACCAAAGAAGTGAAAAATCTCTACAATGGCAACTATAAAACATTGATGAAAGAAATTGAAGAGGACACAGAAAAAAAGAGAAAAATATTCCATGTTCATGAATTGAAAGAATGAATATTGTTAAAATGTCCATACTACCCAAAGAAATCTACAGATTCAATGCAATCTCTATGAAAATACCAATGGCATTCTTCACAGAAATAGAAATAACAATGCTAAAATTTATATGGAACCAAAAAAGACCCAGAATAGCCAAAGCTATCCTGAGGAGAAAGAATAAAACTAGAGGAATCGCATTACCTGACTTCAAGTTGTACTACAGAAGAATAGTAACCAAAACATCATGTTACTGGCATAAAAACAGACATATTGACCAATGAAACAGAATAGAGAACCCAGAAACAAATTCATATATCTATAGTGAACTCATTTTCCACAAAGTTGCCAAGAACATACACTGAGGGAAAGATAGTCTTTTCAATAAAGATAGTCTTTCCCAGTTGCTGGGAAAACTGGATAGCCATATGCAGAATAATGAAACTGGATCCTATCTCTCACCATATACAAAAATAAAATCAAAATTGACTGAAGACTTAAATCTAAGTCTTCAATCTGTGAAACTACTACAAGAAAACTTTGGGAGAAAATCTCCAGGACATTGTTCTGGGCAAAGATTTCTTGAGTGATACCCCATAAGCACAGCACTATTTACAGTAATCAAGATTTGGAAGCAACCTAAGTGTCCATCAACAGATGAATGGGTAAAGAAAATGTGGTACACATACGTAATGGATTACTATTCAGCCATAAAAAGAATGGGATCCTGTCATTTGAAACAACATGGATAGAACTGAAGATAATTATGTTAGGTGAAATAAGGCAGGCACAGAAAGATAAACTTTGCACGTTCTCACTTATTTGTGGGAGCTAAAATTTAAAACAATTGAACTTGTGGAGACAGAGAGTAGAAAAATGGTAACCAGAGGCTGGGATGGGTAGCTGGGGGTTGAGGGGGAGGTGGGGATGGTTAATGGGTACCAAAAAAAAATAGAAAGAATGAATAAGACATACTATTTTATAGCATGATATGGTGACTATAATATTATGCTATAAGTTATTATCAATAATAACTTAATTGTATATTTTTAAATAACTTAAAGGATATAATTGGACTGTTTGTAACTCAAAGCATAAATGCTTGAAGGGATGGATACCCCATTCTCCATGATGTGCTTATTTTTTTCTCTTTTAAGTGCCTGATATTCCATGAAACTATAGAATGTCTAGAATAAAAGGTGAAGCCATACTCTTAATAAATATGTTTATGCTCAAGTCTAAGCCAATACATGCAGTAAACAGTTTGAAAGGAACATAATTAACATTCTTGGTTTGATGTCAAGGCCTGAGGCATCATCCTGGGATGAAAAATAGTGTATGCGGCAAGGTCTTTATGAAAGTACTTATGAAAAGTTGAACAGAATAAGAAGTAAACCAAAAGAAAGGACTAAACAACATTTCACTGGCTAGTAAGATTTGAAAATTAATTCACAGTCAACACAATTCCATGCAATTTGCTGTATACTGAACATCTGGATAATGATGTTAATATATATCCTGCTTTTTTATACGCGTTAACCAAATAGCCTAACAAATGCAAAGTTATAACTGAAGTATTTACAGCCACAAATGAGCATTTCATGTTAAACAAAACAAAACAAACCCTCATGTTATTTAGAGGCAATCAAAGCCTGGTCCTGGTTCTGCAATACAGAAGGTGAAACACCCCAGGTGTGGCTTACTCCCTTCCATTTAGAGAGAAAATAAAAACTTAAAAAATAATTTTGAAATAAATTGACCATCTTTTCTTCTCACATGTAATCCATCAACCCTGCTTACTTGTATTTACAAATAGTTTTACATTTTTTCAAAGCCAAAATCTATTTTAATATCAGTTTGGGACATACATGAACAGTTCCTAGCAATTCTATGTTTTTGTTCTCCTAATAAGTTTTTTTTATTCGTTTGTCAAAAAAGAGAAAGGATTACAACAAAATAGATATAAGCATGGATGGTCTCACTGAAATTGAATTAATTAATTATCTGGAAAAATATACTGAAGATAAACATTCAAAAAGCTTGCTGCAATCAAAACCAAAAAGGTGGAATCCTCACCCTCCATAGATCCATTCCATTAGAAGACATTAACAGGGAATTTAAACATTTTTACTAAACGATAGGAGAGGCACAGATATGTACCTAGATGATGAAATGTTTATGTAAGTAGTTAGACAGTTAAACCCAAATACTGGTTTATTTCACAAAATCCAGTAAAACCAACTCTTACAATTAACATAAACTAAAATTTGGAAATGTATGAGTTGTTGCCATCCACACATGTAATTTTAAGACAAGTCCCTTTGTAGTCTTTGGATAGTCTAAGATAAGGTGATTGGTTTATTTCTTGTGTCTTATAATGAATATTATTGCCAGAAAAAGAAAGATGAATCCAATACTGAGTGGTATATACTCTCTGTAGTACAGAATTTTAAGCCAATTTCCAAAAGAAAAAATTCCTTAGCAAATAATGCAAATATTTCCTCCATCTTTTTTCCCATCATACCTGTAAGTAAAAAACCATAATTTGATTGTTAATCCCAGCATAGTGATATGCAGTGAGGCTTTTTTCTCATTGGGGAAATGAATAGTAATTTTGATAATTAGACTTGGACTTTACTCTAGCTTGGCTCTTCTTAGCTGTGTGAACTTGACCAATACGCTACACTTTCTATGCGCCTCGGTTTCCTTCTCTGTACAATGCCCACCTCATAGGACATTTGTGAAGAGTGATTAAAATCATGCTTGTGGAAGGCTCAGACTGACAATGTGTGAACTGAATCCTGCCTATAGATATGGTTTGTTAGGCTTATACAAAGTTAAAAATTTTTAAGTTCATTGACAATTTTAATTTTCTAAATTTAATCAGAAAATTAGGTAATTCAGATTTTGGATTTTTTGGTTTTAAATCTAAACACTGAAAACTTACAAGCTGAAACTGAATTAACTGGCTTACACTTGTTTCTCACTACTGCCTTTACTCTTCACCCATCTTGCCCAGTAGATGTTTGTGTGCTTGTAATTCCCATTATTTAGAAAATATTTAATTGATTACACCAGTAATATCCCGCTAAGGTAAATGTTATTAGACAAAGTGATCTTGAGCACAAATTAAAACTCAGTGCTCATTAACAGGGAACTTAAACATTTTTAATAAATGTTAGAAGAGGGACAGATACGTACCTAGATGATGAAATGTTTATATAAGTAGTTAGACAGTTAAACCCATATACTGGTTTATTTCACAGAATCCAGTAAAACTGTCTCTTACAATTAACATAAAGTAAAATTTGTTCATGTATGATTTGTTGCTATCCACAGATGTGACGAACCATTCCTCAGGAAAAAAAAAGTTATCTATGTGAGATGCAAATGATCAGCCAAATGATGGTGACTAGTAAGTAGTTGTAGCAAGCAACAAGGACTTATCCCCTGAAAAACTTGAGTGGGCATGTAGGCTCTAAGTGGAGTTAAACAGAGTTCAGCTAATGAAAGCTCAGAGTCCTGATTCTTCTCAACAGGTTACCCAAATTTTCTTCGCAGTCATTTAAAGTTGCTGAACACAGTTTGATGAATTTTTAGGTCAGTATTTTTCAAACAATTTTCAAAGTGTATTTTTCAACATCCCCAGTCATCCCAGAGGTCTATCTATATTCCTATTTTCTCCCCAAACCTTAACTAAAGTATAGCATTATATACAAAAGTACAAAATTAAGTGTATTACTTATTGCATTTCCACAAGTTGAACATACTGTTATAAACAGCACCCAGATCAAAAACCAGATTATTCGCACTCCAGAATCCCTGCCACTCCTGTGTTCCCTCCAGACACTACCCATTTGCCCTGTACAAGGGAAACAGCTGTCAGAACTTCTAATACCCTAAATTACTTTTGCTTGTTCTTAAACTTCATAAAAATGAGACCAAAAGGCACAATTCATAAAAATATGTGCCTTTTATGTGTGGTTCCCTCCCCATATCATTATATTTGTAAGATTCAGTGTCATTTTCAAATGTAGTTGTGTTGTAAGTCTATTCACATTGCAGAATTGTATTTCACTGTGTAAAAAACCCACAATTTACCCATTCTACTGTTTCCCATATGGGGATTTTATAGTGTTCCTGTAAATATTCTTGTGCTTTTTGGGGGGTGCACACATGAGTGAATATATGTTGGGGTTCCTGTATTCCCAAGGTTCACTCTATGAGGTTTCTCGTAAACTTAGAGTTGTGTAGACCCCTGAATCCAATTACAGGGGCTGTCCTCAAATCCTGTTTAAGGCAGAGGTCACCTTGGGTTTCAATTATGCTCTAATTATGCTCCTGCTCTCTGACTCCTCCACCTCTCCTGAACTTGACCTGTCACTGTCTTGATCTTGGATTTCTAAACCTGATTTTCTATCTGCTTCCTGGCTTTGATGCACTGATGACACTTCTTGGATCTAGAAGTGATAGATAACAAAGACGGTTTACTGCGTGAGTTTTGCTTCAGGAGGCTTTTGTTAAAGGCACATATTAGAGCATCAGTGAGTATCAAGTTGATCTTAAATAAACATTGTTGGCCAAAATGATTTTTTTCTGTGTGTAAATAGTGCAAAAAAATGAGAAAAGAACATAACATTGAAGTAGCATGTGGCCACATGCAGAAGGAAAAATAGAGATTTACACAGCTAATACCCAACGGCTCATTCCAACTTCCTTGCCCCTTTTGTACAAAGATTTAAGAATTTGTATCTACCATCTTAAAGCCATACACAAGCAGGTAGACAATAATAAACAAAAAAGCCAACATGGTTGAACCTGACTTCATTCACTCTGCTTTCTTGGCTTGGAAAACCCTTCCCTTGTTTGCTTCACGCCATTTTCATCTGTCACTCTCCACTTCGATGTCACCAACTCCAGGAAGGCTTCTGGACTCTCCAAGCATGGATAGGTTGTTTGCTCATTTGTAAGTCATATAGTTGTGTATTTTTGTCAGTTCAGTGGAGCATATCTTCCACCAGACCCTGTGGGGCAGGCTAGTCCATGGGTTCTGCCATCAAGTTTGGGTCTGTTTTGTTCACTGTCCCACCTTTCAACACTCAATTTAGAGTTTGGAATGTAGGAGCTGCTCCAGAAATGCTTGATAAATATGAGCATGAAGCCAGGGTATTACCCTCTTTCATCAACTAAAGACATGCGATAAGGAGAAAATAGACGTTGTATTTGAGAACAGTAGGAGACTGTTAGAAAAAATAAAGGAATGGAAATACAGATTTTTAGAAAAGAATAAATGAGAACAACTAAAAAGAAAGCAGTTAGTGTTATTAGCTACTTTAACATTCAGTTTTCCATTAAGTAAAACCAGTCACCTTGCTCGGGGACATTCTGCTTCCTCCAGTTGCTGCCACTCCACACAGTTCTTCTGGTTCTGAGGAACAATCCAGAGAGAGGCTCTAATCTTGCTGAGCCAGCCACTCCTTTCTCTCTCATGACAGAGATAACACACTTCCCACAGCTCCACGGTGTGCTGAATCCTGGAGAGAGACCTCCTCCAGGCACAGGGCATCCTTCCTGTCATCCCAGGGATGCTATTTTCTGTTCCTAGAGCTCTGACGCTTAAAAATGTGCTTTGGATCTCAAGCAAGTCAGTTTGAAAATTAGGTTTAAATGTAACCACACTAACTTCTAAAAATAGAATTCATCTACAGCTGGACAATATTGAAATGAGTAAAAAGAGTAAGAAACTTGAGGATCAAGAGAAAATAATGGTGGGGGCACCTCAAATTATAGAACTGATATCTGGGCTTAGCCTTTGTTATTTAGTTGGTAACTTGACCTAAGCATTTACATTCTCAGAGTCCCATTTGCAGGTTAGGGTAAGGGTATGTTTCCCGGTGCCTCAAAGCCCCATTTAGAGATCCCTGATCTCAATTGTTTTGAAACCATTACAACTTCCTTTTGAACCTCAATTTTAAAAGGTACACAAAATAGTTAGAAAGAATGAATAGACCTAATCTTTGATAGCACAATAGTCAATAACTTTTTTAAATAACTTAAAGAGTGTAATTGGATTGTTTGTAACTCAAAGGATAAATGCTTGAGGGGGTGGATACCCCATTGTCCATGATGTGCTTATTTCACATTCCATGCCTGTATCAAAACATCTCAGATACCTCATAAATATATACACCTACCCACAAAAATCAAAAATTAAACAAAAATAATTGTATCCCCTAGGAATTGAATTAATAGAAGACTTGGTGTTTGAATTTGATAAAAGTTAAATTCAGGACTTCGTGGCAGTTTTTAAGTGTTCATCAATTTTTTCTGACTCTTTTCCCTTCAGAATTAGAATCCATGTTTCCTCCCCTTAAATCTGGCAGGCAATGACTACCTCAACCAATGGAGCAGGGTTTTTCAACCTCAGCACTATTGACATACTGGGCTACAAAATTCTTATTGTGCATTATAGAATACTTAACAGCATCATTGAGCTCGACTTACTAAATGCCAGTAGCTCCCACCACCTTCAGTTGTACAAACTAAAAATGTATTCAGATACTGCCAAACATTCTTGAGGGTGGTTCCATGCATCCCAAAGGGGGAAGATGGGAAAATAAAATTGCCCCTCGTTGAGAACCACTGCAACCGAGAATGGCGGAAATGAGGTTACATGACTTCTGAAGCTAGCTATAAAAGTCACACAACATTCTCTTGATTTTCTTTGGATACTCACTCTGAGAGACACCACCACTCTGAAAATCTAACGACTCTGAAACTGCCCTGCTAGGGAGGCCATATATACACATTCTGAGTAACAACTGCTGAACCTGGGTGCCAGCCCCAGCTGAGTCTTTTCCAGATTCTTGATCCATAAAATCTGTGAGATAATAAAAATTGTTTTACCCTGCTAAATTCAGGATGATGTTACAGTGGTAATGCTTTCCTTGGTAATGTTTTATTGTTTTCAATGGTAATTGAAACATAATCATTGGGAAATTGGAAGAATATAGTTTACTTACGAAACAGGTTTTACTTGATTATACGTGTAGCTTATCAAATGATTAGCAGATACACAGGCGCCCACAGAATAAATTCTTTACACTCAGTTATATGTGCTTGTGGTATGCTGAGAAAATAAGAGCTGGTGTCTTAAACTCGTTCTAGTCCTTGTTGTTTTTTTTTTCTCAAGAGAAAATATTTTGAAGATGTAAGAGTTAAAGAAAACATCTGGTTTATGGGAAAATTATAAGAACACGCTTTCCCCTACGACCTTCCCACCACTCCCACAGTGGCACATTAGCAGATTCTCAGACCTTAGCAACAAAATCAATAACAACAGGCTAACATAATTACTCTGTAGAGAGGGCAGATTGTGTCGGTTATTACTTTATTAAGCAAAAACAACATGTGTGAAAGAACAGCATCCTGCAAAGACGGAAGAATTGGGAGAATGCAGGAAAGAGGGCAAGGCAGCTCATAAATATGCTGAACTGAAGAAATCAGGATCACACCCCAGAATGGCAGGAAAATGAATGTTTACTTTTTCTGGCTGATTATTTGCTTAGGGATACCTCAGCATTTCTAAAAGATAAATGCCTTGGCTGTGGTTCTATCAGTCTGCTTTATTTAATTTCACAAAAGCGAATGCTCAAATGTTAAAATATTTGTTCTCTTCTCACTTGTGGTTTACTTCATTTTCTACTCAAAGTGGAATGACCCTTCAAGGTAATGTTTGAAGCATATGAATTACTTGGTGTTCATCTGGCACTGGTTCTGTGATAAGTTCTTGGCATATTTTCATTGTTTTACAAAACACCTCTGGGAGGTGTTTGAAGTAAAGTGATTTGTTCCCATTCATCTTGCTCAAGGAGGTCAAGATAAAACAAAGATTTAGAACCTCAAATCTTCCACACAGCCCATGTTTTTCCTCTGGCTCTTCACCACTTGGGGTAAAAAGAAGCATCTCATGTTGGAAGTAGGCTGCTTGTTTTCCTGTTTACCCTCAGATCGATTTCCTGGTCATTCCCTTCTTTACCCAGTACCACAGAGGGCAGATCCACCACCTGGATTTCCCAGGTTCCCCTGCCATCTGCTTCTGACTCTGCTCAACCAACAGGAGACACTGGAACGAGGTTGAGGGGTGGAAGATGGAAGAAGCAGCCAGAGAATTTCTTCCCCTCTCTATTCTTCCTCAGGGTAGCATTTCCTCCATGGTCCCAACTGTTGCCAGGTAACTCCAGCCATGGATCAAGTTCCAGTCTAGCTCTGCAACCACTGTCTCTTCTTTTTGTCCTTTCTTAGGGTTAGTAACAGCTAATATTCCAAATTTTGAATTTCGTCTAATGAACAATATTACATAAACTCTTGTTTTCCTAACTGGACTGTAACACAGGGAAATCTAGCTCCAACTGAAGCCCAACTTGAGATCTAGATATTGTATGTTACATTTTAATGAAATATAAAAAGCATCGAAATCTTTATATTATTTCATAGTATATTGATTGACTTTACAGTTTAGGTCAGAAAGTTTTAGAGTAACATAATCCTCTGATATGTTTCCTATGTATCTTAAATAAACTTTATTGGGGTATAATTTACATATACTAAAATGCATTAAAGACATCATCCTTCACATTTCTTTTTTTGAAAAGTCTTTCAAATGTTTTGCCCAGTTTTCATTGGATTGTTTATCGAAAAATCACTCCTGTACAGTTATGGTTTCTGGTTCTGCATGTAAGGAGCTTGAAAATTGCTACTCCCTCCTTACAACAAGTAAAAAGATGAACAGACTGAAAAATCAGCAACTCTTCTTAGATCCATAAGAAAAATGAAAACAGAGGGTAAGCCATTGCCCCCCAGATTACAGAGGCAGACAAGTGAATAGAGGAGCCTCAACTTCCTGGAGCAGAGACTCATAAGTGGAACTACAATGGGAGCTGGTGCCAGGGTAGGGAGACCTGAACTGTAATTGATGAATTTCTGGAGGCTCATTGTAGACCAATCTGAGAGTTAATAACTTCAGAGCACCCAGTCATTGCTAGCCCCCCTCACTTTTGTGAGTTTTACCATGTTTTTACAGTAAATATCAGAGAAAAAGTCACTTATGCTTCTGGCATGGAGAGGGAAAAAGGAACCATTTCAGGGTATGCCACAGCACTCTGTTTTTAACAATGCTTGCCCTCAGGAGAAGCTAATTAACCAGAGTGTAACCTGTTGGAGTTTTATCAAGCCTAACTGAGTTGGGGGAATGGAGGTAGCCAACTCCATCTGGCTTTGGTGAATTCTACCAAACACTTAAGGAAGAAATTATAGCAATTATGCAATATCTTTCAGAGGATAGAACTAGATGGAGTACTTCAATGAGATGACTCATTCAATGAGGCCAGCATTCCCCTAAATTCAAAACCAGGCAAAGACATTACAGGAAGCTGGACCAATATCTCCCATAAACATAGATGCAAAAATCCTCAACAAAGTACTAGCAAGTTCAATCCAACAATGGACAAAAATAATTATACACCATGTAAAAGTGGGATTTACCCCAGGCTTGTAAGGCAGGTTCAATATTTAAACATCAAGTAATGTAATCCATTACATCAAGAGGCTAAAAAAGAAAGGTCACATAATCTTGTCAACAGATGCAGAAAAAGACATTTGATGGAATTCGACAGTCGTTCATGAGAAAAACTCAATAAACTAGGAAGTAATGGGAACTTCCTTGGCCTGATAAAGAATATCTACAAAAAAAGTACCACTAATGTTATACTTAATGGTGAGAAGCTAGAAGCTTTCACACTAAGATTAAAAACAAGCCAAGAATGTCCTTTTCTGCCACTCCTTTTTCAACATTGCATTGGAAGTCCTAGCTAATAAAATAAAACAAGAAACAGAAATAAAAAGGGTATTGATTGGGAAGAAAGAAATAAAACTTTGCTTTTAGATAACATGATTGTCTAGGTAGAAAATATAAAGGAATCACCAAAATCTCCTTGAATTAATACTCAATCATAGAAAACTTGCAAGACACAAAGTTAATATACAAAAATTAAACAGTTTTCTATATTCTAGTAATGAACAAGTGGAACTTGCAATTAAAAGCATAGTACCCTTTACATTAACACCCCCCAAAAAGATAAATTCTTATGTATAAATCTGACAATATATGTACAAAATCTATACTAGAAAAAATTTAGAAACTCTGATGAAATAAATCAAAGAACAAAATAAGTGAAGAGTCATTTTATGTCCATCTTTGGGAAGAGTCAATATTTTCAAGATATCTGTTCTTCCCAACCTGATCTGTAGACTAAATATCATCCCAATAAAAAATCCAGCAAGTTATTTTGTGATAGAGACAAACTGATTCTAAAGTTTATACAAAGAGGAAAAAGATATAGAATAGTCAATGAAATATTGAAGGAGAAGAACAAAGTTGAAGAACTGATACTACTCAACTTCAAGACATACTGTAAACCCACAGTAATAAGGACAGAATGGTACTGGAAAAAAAATTAATAATAATAACAAAAACAAAAACAGAAAAAAACAACCTGACAAATGGATCGTGGATTAGTGGCAGCAGAAAATAAAGCCCAGAAATAGACCTACATAAACAATCAACTGATCTATTAACAAAAGAGCAAAGGCAATAAATATAGCAAAGAAAGCAGTCTTTTCAACAAATGGTGCTGGAACAACTGAGCACGTATATGAAAAAAAAATCTAGATGTAGATCTTACACATTTCACAAAAATAACTCAAATGGATCATAGACTTAAATTAAAAATACAAAACTATAAAACTACTGGAAGATAACATGGGAGAAAAATCTACATTACCTTAGGTATGGTGATGCCCTTTTAGATACAAAGAGATGACCCATGAAAGAAACAATCGATAAGCTGGAATTCATTACAATTAAAAACTTCTGTGAAAGACAATGTCAAAAGAATGAGAATGCAAGCCAGAAACTCAGAGAAAATAATTGCAAAGCACATATCTGATAAAGAACTGTCATTTCAAATATACAAAGAACTCTTAAATCTCAGCAGAAAACAACCCAATTTTAAAATGGGCCAAAGGCCTTAATAGATACCTCAACAAAGAATATATCCAATGGCAAAGAAGCATGTACAAAGAGACTGCACATCATATGTTAGCAGGAAAATATGAATGAAAACAAGGTATCACTACATACCTATTAGAATGGCCAAAATCTGGAACATAGACTATACCAAATATGAGTGAGAATATGGAGCAACAGGAATTCTCATCTGTTGCTGATGGGATTGCAAAATCATATAGCCACTTTGGAAGACAGTTTGGTGGTTCCTTATAAAACTAAGCATATTTATACATATCATACAATCCAACAATCATGCTCCTTGATATTTATTCAAAGGAGTTAAAAACTTATGGCCACCCAAAAACCTGCATATGAATATTTGTAGCAGCTTCTCCCAGCTCCCACCATAATTGCTCAAACTTAAAGCAGCCAAGATGTCCTTCAGTAGGTGAATGGATAAATAAAAACTGTGGTACATTCAGACAATAAAATATTATTCAGTACTTAAAGAAAATGAGCTATCAAGTCATGAAAAGACATGGAAGAAAATTAAATGCTTATTACTAGGTGAAAGAAACCAATCTGAAAAGGCTACATATTGTATGATTACAACCATATGACATTCTGGAAAAGGCAAAACTATGGAGACAGTAAAAGTTCAGTGGTTGCCAGGGGTTTAGGGTAGAGGGGATAAATAAGCAGAGCACAGAGGATTTTTAGGGCCATGAGAATACTCTATATGTGTAATGATGGATATGTGTCATTATTTGTCTGGCAAAATCCATAGAATATACAACAAGAGTGAACTCTAACGTAAACTACTGGCTTTGAGTGCCAATGATATGCCAGTGTGGGTTCATCAGTCGTAACAATTATATCACTCTGGCGAGGGATGATAATAAAGGGGAGGCAATGTATTTGTGGGGACAAGGGGTAAATGGGAAATCTCTTTCCCTTCCTCTGGATTTTGCTGTAAAACTAAAACTGCTCTAAAAAATAAAGTGCTTTTAAAAAAGAAAACTTTCTTAGTCTACATAAAATATCTTTGTCAGAAATATGACAGATATAAATATTGTGACTATTTTTCCCAGATCTAAGCTTGCATTTTAATTATCTTTTGAAGTCCAAAAGTTCTTCATTTTTACAAAGTCCAAATTATCATTTATTATTTTTTTATATTCCATGCTTTGTGCATCTTCACAAAGATTTTTTTAAAGTTTTTTCAAGATTGTTTTGACAAAGGACCTTTGCATTTTCAATACATTTTATTTTTTTATTTTTTATTTTTATTTATTTTTTAATTATTATTATACTTTAAGTTTTACGGTACATGTGCACGATGTGCAGGTTAGTTACATATGTATACATGTGCCATGCTGGTGCGCTGCACCCACTAACTCGTCATCTAGCATTAGGTGTATCTCCCAATGCTATCCCTCCCCCCTTCCCCCACCCCACAGCAGTCCCCAGAGTGTGATGTTCCCCTTCCTGTGTCCATGTGTTCTCATTGTTCAATTCCCACCTATGAGTGAGAATATGCGGTGTTTGGTTTTTTGTCCTTGCGATAGTTTACTGAGAATGATGATTTCCAGTTTCATCCATGTCCCTACAAAGGACATGAACTCATCATTTTTTATGGCTGCATAGTATTCCATGGTATATATGTGCCACATTTTCTTAATCCAGTCTATCATTGTTGGACATTTGGGTTGGTTCCAAGTCTTTGCTATTGTGAATTAGTGCCACAATAAACATACTTGTGCATGTGTCTTTATAGCAGCATGATTTATAGTCCTTTGGGTATATATCCAGTAATGGGATGGCTGGGTCAAATGGTATTTCTAGTTCTAGATTCCTGAGGAATCGCCACACTGACTTCCACAAGGGTTGAACTAGTTTACAGTCCCACCAACAATGTAAAAGTGTTCCTATTTCTCCACATCCTCTCCAGCACCTGTTGTTTCCTGACTTTTTAATGATTGCCATTCTAACTGATGTGAGTTGGTATCTCATTGTGGTTTTGATTTGCATTTCTCTGATGGCCAGTGATGGTGAGCATTTTTTCATGTGTTTTTTGGCTGCATAAATGTCTTCTTTTGAGAAGTGTCTGTTCATGTCCTTCGCAAGGAAATAAAAGAGGATACAAACAAATGGAAGAATATTCCATGCTCATGGGTAGGAAGACTCAATATCGTGAAAATGGCCATACTACCCAAGGTAATTTACAGATTCAATGCCATCCCCATCAAGCTACCAATGACTTTCTTCACAGAATTGGAGAAAACTACTTTAAAGTTCATATGGAACCAAAAAAGAGCCCGCATTGCCAAGTCAATCCTAAGCCAAAAGAACAAAGCCGGAGGCATCACACTACCTGACTTCAAACTATACTACAAGGCTACAGTAACCAAAACAGCATGGTACTGGTACCAAAACAGAGATATAGATCAATGGAACAGAACAGAGCCCTCAGAAATAATGCCGCATATCTACAACTATCTGATCTTTGACAAACCTGAGAAAAACAAGCAATGGGGAAAGGATTCCCTATTTAATAAATGGTGCTGGGAAAACTGGCTAGCCACATGTAGAAAGCTGAAACTGGATCCCTTCCTTACACCTTATACAAAAATCAATTCAAGATGGATTAAAGACTTAAATGTTAGACCTAAAACCATAAAAACCCTAGAAGAAAACCTAGGCATTACCATTCAGGACATAGGCATGGGCAAGGACTTCATGTCTAAAACACCAAAAGCAATGGCAACAAAAGCTAAAATTGACAAATGGGATCTAATTAAACTAAAGAGCTTCTGCACAGCAAAAGAAACTACCATCAGAGTGAACAGGCAACCCACAAAATGGGAGAAAATTTTCGCAACCTACTCATCTGACAAAGGGCTAGTATCCAGAATCTACAATGAACTCAAACAAATTTTCAATACATTTTAAAATCAGCTTGTCAAGTTTTACCGGAAAAAAACTTACTGTGATTTTAATTTGAATTGTGTTAAATGTGTAGAACAATTCTTAGAGAACTAAACTTAAATAACACTGAGTTTTTCAATCCATGAAATTGGAATCTATTTCTATTGAATTAAGCAAATCTTCAATTTTTCTCAGAAGTGTTTTATAGTTTTCGGTGAACACATTTTGAACATATTTTGTTAACTATGTCCATAAAGACTATTATGAGGGCTGCAATTATAAGTTGTTCCCTTTCTTCTCTGTGTTTCATTTTGAACAGTTTCTGTTGCTATGTCTTCAAGTTCACTGATATTTTCCTTTGCAGTATCTGATTGCCATTAATTCTATCCAGAGTATTATTCATATCATACATTAAAATTTTCATCTTAGAGGTTCAATTTCAGACTTCTCTTACTGTAGCAGTACGAGCCGCAGACAAAACTCCTCAGACACTGAGTTAAAGAAGGAAGGGGTTTATTCGGCCAGGAGCATCGGCAAGCCCCCTGTCTCAAGAGCCAAGCTCCCCGAGTGAGCAAGTCCTTTCCCTTTTAAGGGCTCACAACTCTAAGGGGGTCCACGTGAGAGGGTCGTGATTGATTGAGCAAGCAGAGGATATGTGACTGGGGGCTGCATGCACCGGTAATGAGAATGAAACAACAGGACAGGGATTTTTGCAATGCCTTTCCATATAATGTCTGGAACCTATAGATAACATAACCGGTTAGGTCAGGGGTCAATCTTTAACTACTAGGCTTAGGTCAGGCAGGCCTAGGCCTGGTTTCGGGTCTGGTTCCTAGGTTTCGGGTCTGGTTCCTAGGCGCCGGGCTATCTGCCTTTAGTTTTGCTTCTCTTTCCTTTTCTGAGTATAAAACAATATGAGAGGGTCTGTCTCTCTTCTCTCAATATCTTACATGTCCCTGCTCAACTTTCTAACATCTGGAGAACAGTTGTAATGATTGTTTTAGCATCTTTTTCCAATAATTCTACCATCTTTGGCAATTATTAGTTGATTTTAATTAACTTGTTTTCTCTCAATTATGAGTTGCAATTTTCTACCTCTTTGCATAGTTGGTAATTTTTATTTTTACAAGGTTAAATTTTTGTTTTGAAATAATTTTAGATTTACAGAAAAGTTTTAGACATACTACAAATGTTTTCCTTATACTCTTTGCCCATTCTTTCTTTATTTTAGCATTTACTGTAACCATAGTACAATAATCAAGAATAGAATAATACTATTAACTAAAGTACAGGTCTTATTTGAAAATCACTAATGTTTTTACTTACATCTTCTTTTTTTCTTTTTCTGGATCCTACCCAGGATCCCACTTTACACCTACTTTTAAATTTTCCTCCAATCTGTAATATTTTCTCAGTCTTCTTGTCTTTCATGACCAAGACTCTTTTGAAGAGTGCCAATCAATTATTTTAAACTATGTCCCTCAATTTGGGTTTGTCTAATGCTTTCTCATCACTGGAGCTATGCTACAGATTATTGTCAAGACACCACAAAAATGATAATGTGTCCTTCCTATACAGTGGTTCATGATGACAAAGGTCTTATTCCATTGATTACATGAGTTATGTTTTTGTCTGTCAGACTTCTCTTCAGCAAGTTCTTACATTTGCCTTTGTAATTAATAAGTCTCTTGGTGAAGGTACTATGAGACTACGCATATCTTGTTTCTCCCCAAATTTTCACTAACTAATGTTGCCTTGTCTGCATAATGTATCTACATGGTGTTTCCATAATGATGATTCTTTCTGTTATTCTACATGTATTAATTTGAATTCAGCTGTAAGAAAGAACTGTCTTTTCTCCCATATTTATTTATTTATTCTGTTATTTATCCATATCAGGATGAACTCATGAATATTTATATATGGGTTAAAATCAAATTTTGTTGCTAAAATTTGTCTACTTTTAGCCATTGAGAGCTCCTTCAGAAGGGCTCCTATGTTCTTTCATCAAGATTTCACTGTCCCTTATCATCTTGAGCATTTCTTACTTTCTGGCATCACATAATGTTCCTGGATCATTTTATATTTGCCCTTCCCCGACCCTGAAATTAATCACTTCTCCCAGGAGCTCTCATACCTTTTATTTGAATAAACGTTTAGAGACAAGAATCTGGATTTTATATACTCTCATTGTTATTGGGATGTCATTGCTCTGATCCTCAAAGAAGACAGAGCTGGGTATTTTATGTATACATAGTAACCCACTAATATACTCATATCTATATTTTGATATGAGTATGTATATTAAAAACCATGAGTTGACATTGTTAACTCTGATACTAATCTAATACCATGTGGTGTTTATTTTAGGCTTCCCCTTTTCCTTCTTTATAAATTATTTTGCTAACATTAAGAAACCTTGGTTCTCATTATCTACAATCTATTTTTTTGTTCAAGTCTAGTATAAACATAAGTAGTTTCAGAATTGCTAAACATTACTGTTTTTAAAAATTACTAGATTACGGTTTTTATGTACAATTATTTTGTCTTCAGCCTTGCAATATCCTGGCAAAATAATCCTGGCAAAATACAGTTTTCCAAAAACTTCAGATAATTCTTTTTTCTCACATACACTTCAGTGTGATGATGTTATTTACTCGTAATACAGTTAGGTTCATTTGCTAGTGTTTGTATTCTATTTTGGGTTACCCTCATGTTTAATTGCTTTTAATTATTTGCTTAATTTGGGGTAGTTGAAGGGTATATGAAACATTGCTATGGATCTAAGAATAAGTTATATTGAAGTCATAGTCAAGAAAGTTTCACTCTCTTGTCATCCCTGCTACCTCATTCTTATCTCTCATTCTCACGCCTTTCCAATAAACCTCTGTAGGTAACCAATCTCTTTAATTTCTAGTTAATTTTTCCTGATTTCATTCTTCAGGAATGAAGAAAATGGAGATTCATGATTAGGCAAATGAGCAGACAGTAGTACTTTATTTTATATTTCTTTCTTACATAAAGTATCATCTAATATAGACAATTTCTTTGGGCCTTACATTTTTTTACTTAGAAACATGCCCTGGAAAACATTCTGTATAAGTTCAAAGCAGTCTTTCTCATTAAAAAAAAAAGTGACAGCTGCATAGTACTCCATTACGTTATGCCTGGTAATTTTTTATTACCTCTCAAACATGTCCTCCTTTGCCCTGTTGCCCAATGTTTGAAAATTGTTTCGTGTATTTTTTGTTTAGTTTTCTAGTTTTTATGGTGTACAAACAAGTCCAGTTCCATTTACTCCTTCATGGCCAGCAGCAAAAGTTTGTTCCCTTCAACAAACTTTTGAGGATTTTCCAAGACTGTAATAAAATAACATATATTTGATTACTCTATTTTTAAATTTGTGGCATGTTGACATAAATTCACCTGCTTGATTTTTCAACTCTCATTATTTGTCATTATATAAGATAAAATAGTTCTATATAAAAATACAATGTATGATAATTTGTTTTGTTGGGATAGAGGTGCTATCATTTCGAGGACTTTCTAAGTGTGATTTTTTCATTTAACTTTTTGAATTTCAAATATATTAATCTGTGTCAAAATCCAAAAAATTTTAAAAAGGAATTCAGCTAAATATTTCTCCTTTATCTTTTCTCCATTTATCCAGTTGCCAACCCACAAACAGGTAACCCTTGTTATTAGTGACTTTTGAATCCTTCTATAGATACTTTATTTTTTATTCAAGGCAATACAAATGTAAGCTCCAATATTTCTTATGTTATAAAATAGAATATCTTAGATGTCTTTATGTATCAAAAAATAATATGGAATGATAGCTATAAATGTTAAAGGAAAAATACTTTTCAGTAATTGTCTGCCAAATTATTGAAATTATCCCTAAAAGAAGAAAATATAATTTTTAAGCAAAAAAAAAGAGATAAATTTGAGAACCAATTATAGTGTCTTTTAAATTCAAATAGCCATGATAAATTTGGCAAATAAAATATGACTTCTCCACCCTCACTTGGGGATCCTGATTAAAATAATGGTGTTTCTGAATTGAAAGAACACTCAATAACCAAACCAGTACTAGAGGGGGAACTCACCTCTCAGCCTCTTTACATTCTGCCTTATTCTGGACATTATTTCAGGTAACAATGCCGCAACAATATTGAAGGTTAAAAATAAGCAAAAGAAGAGTAAAAAACAAGATTAGGTTTAAGGGTAGAAGGGATGAGATGAAAACCACAGAAGTCAGCATGGGTCACAATTTTGCCTTTGAGTGTTCTGAAATCCATATTTGAACATTATACCTCCTTAAGATAAAAACAGACAAATTTTTCAGGAGAAGTACAGCTGGTTTAGGAGCAAAGCTCTGATAGGGATTTCTCCTTGGGGTGCTTTATTATAAGGAAGACAGCATGAAGTAATGACCAACTTCTTTATTAACAGATACTATAAATCCACTTTTGGTGGCCTTTGGTAAGCACGGCTGGTTAAGAGCCATCATGTGTTTGATTATTAACCTGTGGAGGTTGACATTTTTTGTCTTCTGTTGAGTGCTGATCTGGTAAAAAGACATTGAACAAAAGCTCATCCATAGGTGGTAATATTATGAAAAGACAAAACACATGTAAGATTAGCGATCAGCCTCAACAAAATCAGGAGGTCTGTTGAAGGGTGGACAAGAATAGACGATATTTGGAAACCACAAATATCCACAAATAACCACCCTTTCATGTGGAAACATATTTCTAATCAATCTGAACTATTTACATGTGGCATGTAAAGAGACTTTTGAGAAGCATTTGATGATATGATGAAGAATTTACTACATTTAGAGAAGATGGTTGGTAAAGTACCTTATCTAGGGTAGTTAAAATACAACACACACACACACACACACACACACACACACACACACACACACACAGAGCATACTTTTATAAGTACAAAGGCATGCAATACAGATCCAAGTCAAAAGACTTATCTTTTTAATTGAAGTAATCAGGAAATCAGAATGTAAATAGAACAATAAAAACTGGTCGGTATGTAGATATTGAATTTGAAAGGAGAAATTTTATATGATCACTGTTATGGTGAACCAGAAAATTTTATTAATAGTAGAATAAAGAAATCAATTATAGTATATTCATTGTACACACCACAATACAGACAAATCTCACAGACATAATGTTGAGTGAAAAAAAGAAGCCAGACATGGAAGAATACAGATTTTAAAATTTCATTTATATAAAGTTCAAAACCAAGTACAATTTAACTGTGTTAGAAATTAGATCATGGTTCATTGGCATATGTCCTCTGGGGCATGGGTGGCAAATTTAGCTCGAGTTGAGAATCACTGATATGGTTCATAATTATAACAAAGAAGTCTGGTAAGGCAGTATGTGCCGTATCCCTGTACCTAAAACATACACCTAGTAGATGCTGGGGAGATGACGAATTTTATGGACTTACATTTGTTTAATATTATGAGCAATGTCAATGGCATGATTCCTGTCTGTCAAAAGAGTTACCAAATTCATCAAGTAAAAAGTAATTGATTTATAACTTCAGCAATTTCATAGAGCTAATTTTAAAAAACTCTTAAATCTCCAAAAAAAAAGTTAGATCATGGGTAACTTTGAGGTACTTTGACTGGTAAAGATACTAGCAGGACTTCTGGAGGTTTGGGTAATATTGTCTTTCTAGATCTGAGTCGTAGTAACGCGAGTGTTTGCTTTGAAAAATTCATTGTATAGTTCGTTGAACTGCACAGTTATGTTTTCTGTAACTTTCTGTATGTCTGCTATAATAAAAAACAAACAAGAAGACCTTATTTTGAAAAAGAATAGATAAAAATATTCAAAAACTCAGTTTTTAAATCAAAACATGTTTTTAAATTAAAAATAATGCAACTGTTTATCCTACAGACAATGGGAAGCAATGTTAACTATTGCATTAGAACTTTGAACAATATTCTACAAATTTCCTCCTCTAAAAAAGACATAGTGAACAAAAGGGCAACTACAAATAGTTTCTGGGTGTTAATTGAGTAATTTCAGGTTAATTGCATATTTTTATGTGTTTTTTACTGTTAAATGGGAAACCAGATGTACTTATCACAGTAAAACAATAAGAGATATTTAGGACCCTTTATGAATAAAGAGGTTTTAGGTTTTGTTTACTGTTATGTCTCCAGTATCTAGAACAGTGCCTAGCATATAATAGGTATTATATAAATATTTATGGATGACTGGCTGAGAGAAAATAAAAGAATGTTGTGGCTCTCTCAACATAAAAGGATTATGTTGTTGCTAAGGTGTGGCCAATATTCTTACTTCATGACTATTAAATGTAGTGTTACAATTGTAAATTAAGTCTTAGCCTCCTGGGTATTTTTGTCACTCTAGTTGCCTTGGGAACTGAGATGGAGCAGAAGAAAATAACATGGGCAAAAGCATGGGTGTGGGACACCCTGGTTACATGTGGGGGAGAATGAGTAAGTAGTTCCTTTTGGCTGAAATGTCAGGGTATTAGGGATTTAACGAGGGACAGTATTAGAAATCATGTCGGAGTTAGGATAAGAAGATGGAGTGATATTGAATATTAAGCTATGACTCTACAACTTTTATTTGAACTCACCCATGTCTGCATTTCACAGATTCACTTCCCAATGCCCTAGTGAAAGCCAATGAAATGATCTGGTCCCATGACATTGTCTGCAGAATTTTCTCGCAAACCAGCAAAATTTACTCTAAAACATATCTGAGTATCTGGAAGACATCAAGATTTTTTTTTTAGGTATCTGTTTGCTATTGTGTAATAATGTTTGAAGGTATGAATCAGTGCTGATCTATTCATTCAAAATAGATCTGCTTCTCTTTGGGTAAATGTCTGAAGGCTGTGGGCAATTGGAGACCCATCCTCACTTAGTCATAAGGCAACTGCCTGAGTGTCTGTTCAAATTTCAAGGCTTTTGTGTCAGCCTTGCTGTGTTCTGGCTGGCTTGGCACATCTTGACAAAGATTAAAAATTATGGGTATCCATAGAATGCCTTCTGGAATGCCTTGATTTTGTGCATCGTAATGAAATGAATCATACACATCTAAACAAAGGATTTTAAAAATGTAAAGCAAACAGTATAAGCTCAAACGGTCCCCGTTCCATTGAGCAGTGCTGAATATGCAATTACATTTTGAACAATAGGTATTCATAAATCAGGCAGAATACTCATGAGAAAACAGTCCTTTAATTAAATAAAAGGAGAATCAGTGTTTCTTGTTGCAGGGATTTTTGGTGGGATTAAAGGATTGTTCTCGAGCCCATCACACATGAGAAGCCTGGCTGGCTGGCTTAGAGTTCTACAGCCCCCACGTGCCCAGATGACCCAAGCTCTAAGACCAATCCAGCTTTGCCAAGTAGGAAAATTAAAACAGGCTTTGACCATTACTCCCCGTTCTGTGCTGATCTTGTCAGGCCCTCTGTGTAGTGCTGTACAGTTTGAGCATTCTATAAAGGCACTGGGCCAAGTGGGCAAGTGGAGGCAGGAATCCAACCCACATGCTGCTACCAAGCTGTGCCCCCTTGTAGCAGGACTGTGTCTGCCAAAGGACTGCCTCATTCTAATTCATTTAAAGATGTTCTGTTAACCCACAGGGGCCTGCCTAGCTCTAGTATACAATGTCCTCTGGGGTTGGTGACCCTCCTGCTCAAATATAGACCTAGTGTCACAGTATCAAACACCCAGTGCCAGGACTCTCTGAGGTGGATATCTGTACCCCCTTGAGCCATATGCCCAAGCCAGATGCTGACTGATTGTCTCTTGTCTGAACACTCTTCTTTCTCTGAGACTTGGAACCTGCTGTACTGTGAGGTTCTGCCTCGTCTCAGGGTCTAAAGAGCTCCACTGGGCACAGTCCCTTCCATTTGGCTCGTTGTTCTGACCTGGTTAGGTTGGACATTGGGTTTACTGTAGGTACAGTGAAGTTCCATAATGTGAACATTTAACGCAAAAACCCAGCTATTAGAGGTCAGCAAAGAAAAAGCAAATGAGAAAGTCAACTTAGTTTTCTCCTGTCATTCCAGTGAATAAGTATAAGCTTTAGGGTGAGCATATTTCCCATAGTGTGAACATTTTGATGTACTAATTATGATTCTAATTTTTAAAATAATATACATATTTATATATAACATGGCCCATAAATGCAAGCTGACAATCTCTTTTCTGGTACTCAGCTAAAGAAAGCATGATTTTTTTAATGCTGGGGAAAAAGGGAGGTCAGAGATGGAGCTATCTTAGAAAGATACTGAAAGCTATTCAGAAATTGGGATATTTTGTTAGGTAATTTTGACTACGCATAATTTTTTTTCTTAAAGTATCAGAGCCTGCACCTTGGTGCAAAATATGAATCTGACGTAAAGACTTTGAGGTTTTTATGTAACCATTCTCCCTGGAAGTGCCCTTGAAGTCCTTGTTCCTACCTCTCCTAGGCACATTGCTGCTAGGAGAGAGACACTACTTCAAATCTCCTCTCAGGATCATCCTTGCTGCCAGCACTTTGTGCAACAAAAGCTCTGCTCAGCAGGGTGTGGAATGTGTACAGGTTCTTTATAAAACATCAGGGAATGTTTTCCTTAAAACACTTTCTTTGGGCTTAAGATTGTAGCCTTGTCTGAAGTTCTGCATCTGGTATGGGTCAGAAGCCTAGTGAGCTGGAACTACAGTAGACCACAAAGGATAAGGAAGTCAGAGAAGCAGAAAAGAAGAGTTGAGTAATGCCAGCCATGCACCATGATCAATGAAAGGAACAATCTAGCTTCACCTCAGTTATTCCGGACACAAATAAATGTCCACTTATAAACCTTTAGAGCTGGATTAAGTTCAGGTCCAAGTAATACATTAAATTTAATAGGTGAGTGCTTGCTCTATACCAGGCATTCTTCTAGCATGCAGAAATTTATGAAGGGGCAGCTTGTCCTTCCTTGTCATTTTAGAAATAGCAACACTAAAGCCCAGGGTGGCCCAGACTTATCCAGTTACACCTAAGACACTGGCAAATGACTGAAGATAGGATTTGTTTGCTAGAAATAATTGATAAACGTCTTCAATACCATCAAGTGCTCTCCCTTACCATCATATCTTTGTGAAATTCTTATAATAAGATAAAATGCTTTCAGTGTTTTAAAGGATACCAGATGAAATAAATCTTACTCCAGTTCACCAAGACCTACACACAGCTCTCATGAACCTTTAGAACAGAGCTGTGCAAATAAAGATTCACATTTCACTTGGAGCATGGCCAAGAATGATGGAAAGTAATCAAAGAGCATTTAGCGTTTATTGTGTGTTCCACCACACCGTGCTGCCTCATATGTAACTACATTCAAAACCATTGTTCCTTGGGATTCTCTACTGAGAACATTTAATCGTATACACGGCTGCTGTCAAGTGGCTGTTTCAAAGAGACCCCTCCCCACGCCTAGTCAAGTTAAAGCGAATCCCTCTCAGTCCTCGCTGCTCATAAAGCACATAAAAAAATTAAACTCCAGCTTCCTATCTCCAAGTGCTTAAAGACTCCCAAGCAAAACCTCCTTTTTGAAGTGCTGAAAGAACAATTGGTTCTCAGAAAGTAGATCTGCTGCTGAAAGGCCAACTGACTACCTCAATAACTGCAGTGGAGGCCTCCTGGAACCCTGGGAGCCTGGGCTGAGCTCCCTCTTAGGAAAACAGCCCCTGCACAAGCCTGGCTCAGGGGCACATAGACTGGGAGAGACTTTCATGACTCTGGCAACTCATGCTCTCTAGTTGCCGTGAAAGGTCAGGCTGGCCTTGGGAAGTGAAGCCAAGAATAGTTTGATGCTTTTCCACTGGGAGGTTTGGTCCCCAGAGAGGACTATTCTTGGAGGGAATACATAGTTTACAGTGTCCAGGCAATGGGGGCTGGGGTGTTTCTTGATAATATCTGAGTGCCAAGGCAGGAACTGTGTCCTATTTGTGTAAGAATCTTTAGCATCTCACCTAGTGCCTAGTACATAACAGGATCACAGTGGGTGCTTTTGGAGTGAATGAATAAACAGAACGTAGTTAATCCCAAAATAAAAGAGATCCTCTAAATTTCTTTGCACAGAGTTCTTAATATAGTCAGTCACAGGGACTGCCTCCTGGTTCTAGCTGTCAACAAAACTGGGCCTATTATGAGCATGGCTCTGCATCCTTCATCTTGCACAGAGCTGGTACACTGTGGACCTTTAACTCACCTCAAATGATAACCACAGGAAGTGGTATACCTGCTAATGCACATGTCAGGAAGAGGCTCAGGGCTGTGGTTTCTCTGTGTGTGTGTATTTTTCCCCAAGTAGGTTTTTAAAATTCAAAACTTATGACTTGAATTTGATATTTAATAAACCAATAATATTAACTCTCTTTCTTGCCCTGTTGTATACAAGAATAGTGCTCTGAGATTATTTTCATCTGGGAATAGAGTTGCACTATTGCTATTGGGATTAAAGCCATAAAAGTGATTTTGCCTTTTTGTAGGTGATTCTATAAATAGATCATGGAACTGTAACCATGGAAGGCTCTTCAGAGGGATAAACCTGTGAGTGTGATCACATTTACAGTTATGCAGGCATGTGTAGGCATGTGAAAATTACAGCTTTTAACATAATTCTCAAGTGATATAGTCCTGTTGTATTTTTGCTGAGAATGTTTCATTTTGCTTCTTGATTCAGATACACTTATTAGGATTCCTTAGGCCAAAGGTTGGCAAGCTTTTTCTGTAAAAGACTTGCTCCTAAATATTCTATGTTTTGCAGGCCATATGGTCTCTGGTCTCTTCTGGGGCTACTCAGCTCTGTGGCTTGAGAGCAGCCACAGACACTACATATATGAATGAGCACGGCTGTGTTCCAATAAAACTTTATTTATGGACACTGGTTTACTAGAATTTTATATAATTTGTATGTATCATAAAATATTATTCTTCTAAATACCTAATGTAAATGACGAGTTGATGGGTGCAGCAAACCAACATGGCACATGTATACCTATGAACAAACCTGCATGTTGTGCACATGTACCCTAGAACTTAAAGTATAATAATAAAAAAAAAACCAGGCCCGACTTTAACATAATAAAAAAAATATTATTCTTCTTTGGATTTTTTTGGCCCTTTAAAAGTGTAAAGTTATTCTTAGCTCATGGGGTACACAAAAACAGGAGGCATGCTAGATCAGATCTGAGGGCTGTGACTGGCTGACCCCTGCCTTGGACTTCCTCAATAAAACTACCCCTGAACTTCATTTGCTGACTGATTCCATTTAGATGTGTCCATGGTAATTTCTACCACCTGGGGTCAAGCATTCACTGGCACTGTTCTTGGCTGCCACTGTGCAAATAGTCCTACCAGTCAGACACCTGGAATTTCTGTCTTTTACTCCCATTTTTAAAGTAGAGTCAAAAAAGGCACTTTGGGCCAGGGAATCTGGCATAATCAAAAGGACCGGATCATACAACTTAGAAGCACAGAGAAGTTAACTTCTAATGGGGCAAACTTGGACCAATGAAACAGGAGATGGGAAGGAGCCAAATTCTTCCTTCCTCACTCCCATGGTAACAGTTTCTCATACACACTTTTTTGAGGCATCCTGCCTGAATGTTTGCATCTGCTGAATGATGTGTTATGCCTAGCAATGTTCTGCATCTTCTGGCAATTTCTTTCTATAATTTCCTGTCTCATTTTCCTCTTTCTGTGCTTTTGTTGCCCTAGGTTTGTACCTCCTAAATAAAATATCAACACTTAATCCTTGCCTCAGGCTCTCTTCCACAGGGAACCCAGCTGAGACACTCTTAAGAACACATACACATATTCACTAAAAAATTCCAGTCCAAAAAATATATATATCTACAAGTAACCTTGCTCAAAATACATGGCAGGGATTCCAAATTCAACTAGAGCCAGTTAGCTAATGTGAATTCATGAGACATTAAGAAGTGGTGACAAACTAGAAACCCATGTTTTATTTAAAGAGAGGAGTCAAAATTCAGGTCCCTTGATGATATTGCAATTCAAGAGTGTGTGTTCAGGATTCCCAGCTCTTTCTATTTTTCAAGAGCAGTTAGTTTTCAATCTGGAATACTGTGTGAATTGTTCTTACTATTAAATGTTGAAAACTAATTTTAAAACTTTAAAGTCCATGTGGAGTTAAACATATCTATCTGTGGGCTGAAGGTGGTTCAGGCAACTTTGAGCTTATAGTCTCAGGAGGAGAATCATACACTGCAATGATTACAAAATGTGAGAGAAGCAAACAAGGAGAATTAGGGAGAATGTCCCAGAGTAATAGGTGTGTCTCAAGTATGGCTCTTTTATTTTGTCAGTTCCCCAGGAAAATGAACTAAGCATTCAAAGAATTAATGTATTTAGATTTCAGGACTCTGCTCTGTTTCTCAAACTGTAAGGATGTGGGCTCTGATTTCTGGAAAAAGAATGCACTTCCAGTCATGGAATGGCTTTTATGATATGTACAAAGATGAGAAACAGCCATTGACATCGTCTTTTCCCAGTCTCAATTCAGCGTTTGATTCTTCTCTGTAACATCCTCAAAAGGAGTCTTACTTGCTTGAAGACCTTTGCTCAAAACCATTTAAAGCATTTTATTTCACATTTACATTTTATGGATATGAATATTATATTTGGCTTACATTTACTTTTTCCCCTATTTTCAGCTGTTTGAATTTATATTTATCCCTAGGTAATATATTTCAGTTTTTCCCTATACTACTTAGAAGTCCTTTAGTATTGAAAACAGTTATCCTATCTCACAATATCTTTCTTCTTTTAGGCTAAACATTCTCAATTCCTTCAGCCATTCTCCCCAAGACATGATTTCAAGTCTTTTCACTGTTTTCTTAAACTTGACTGAACATGCTGCTGATTATCTAAATCTGTTTGGTCCTAAAATCATAAACTGAAAAAATATTATAGGTAAGACCTGATTAGTGCAGAGTAAAATTGAATTATCAATTTTTGTTTTCAAGATATTCAATCTTGATTAATTTAATCTAATACTGCATTACCTTTTCCGGTCACAACCTCACACTACTGATGCCCATTATATTTGGCTGCATAGGAATTAGTATAATAGATTCTTTTGAATTTCTACATTTTTCTGAATTCCTTTCACACCTACTCTGTTTCATATTTCTAACCATATTTTTCCCTTGCTCCACTTTTACCATCTAGTTATTTTGTTGTAGTGTACATATTTTGCAATCTGCCGCAAATACTTTTGGAAATGAGACAGAGCATAAAGAATATATAAAATACAATAACCAGTCATTGTTATTTCTCAGTCACAGGAAACAATGTTATTTTCATCAAATCAGCCTGGATTAAAGATTCACATTTCAGTATTCTTTTGGCAGCCTGCCATTCATATTTGTTTGCAAAAGTGAGTCTCATGGAGATGTCCGCTAGGTAACATATTGTTCTTCTAACTACACACAAACACACACATACACACACACACACTTATATATGTATATATAAATATATATAGATTGAAACAGATAAAATGAATATACCTTCCTCCAAACATTTAATTCAGAATTCTCAAGGTTTCCAACTGTCATTTTCATTGCTTCAGCATGGGTATTTATTGCCATCTGCTCCTGTTCCATTCTTCAATTTTACAATTATATTTCCCTGACAACTTTGTCAGAAATCTCAATTGTTCTATCTTGCCTCTATCAAATCATCCAGTTAGGTTAACAACCAGGTCAATTCCAGCACAAAGAACATTGGTGGGTTCACTTCTACTATTCAGATGGTATCAAGTTGGGTTTGCCCAGAGAAACAGAACCACAGGAAGTGATGTAGAATCAATTGTTTATTGCAAATATTTTACTTTTCCCAATTATGGGAGCTGACTAAACAGTTTATGTGTGGCTGTTGCTTCTATGTCTTGCATTGGAGACTGAAGTTAGCAGAGCAGGACATCGAGAAGGAAAGACAGACATGAAATGTTGGAGAGAAATGATAAATTGGAATTCAGGGGGACAGGCTGGAAATCACAGAGGCAAACTGTTTTTCAGCCTCTGTCTTGAAGCCTCCAAATTCAATGATGCCAGTGACCTGCAAGAGAAACTGCTTTGCTTCATCATGTTGCTAAACATGTAACTGACCCAGGAGCTGGAGAAACTGAAGGAAGCAAATCTGGTGAGAGCTGATGAAGCTGCATGCCCGGCTTCTGCTCAATGTCAATAATGTGAGCCAGAGAGCAGAAATCACTTGGTGAGCTGCAGTGGTGCCTGTGCTCTGCACTTTTGCCTGCACCGATCTTCAGTGCTTTAAAGGAATGTGATTGACGCTTAACTTCAGCCTTCCAAATCCCATCATGTGTGTTTCTGGTGGCCCACGCTAACCTGAAATTATGCAGAGACAGGGATCCTGGGAAACATAGCTCCTGCTTAGCTAAATTTGCACAGTGCAAATCTACCATACAAACTCATTTTTTTTACCCTAGAGTCAGTCTGAATTCATAGTTCTATAGTTTTTTTCTCTCATTCTAAATCTTTACCAGGTTCCTGAGGTCCACTCTTCAGCTCTGTTTTGGGGAGCACAGGCCTGATGGCTCTTCCCTGGCATTGCAGACACAGATTCAGAAAGACATGCTGTGGAGGATGGAAGGAAAATGCCATGTTGGAATCACAGCCTTCCCCGGATTAGGTTGCTTCTCCCCTTCCCCACTTGGGGCTGCAGCATGGTTCTCATTGTAGTTTCCAAGTAAACCGCCCTTACTTCCTGGCTTCCTCTAATCAGGGTGGCAGGGGGATGTGTCCACCTCTACAGCAGCCTTCCTGTGTTGACAACACTGTTTGTTCTTCCCATCTCCCTAGGGAGAAGCTGCCTTATCTTTTCCGTGCAATATGTTTGGAAAAAAACACATTTTTCTCTCTTAAAGGAATTGATTATTGTGCTTCTCAAGACTATAAAGAGAATATCTTCTGGACCCAAATACTGGCTTTAAAAAAATAATCTAGATTCCTAGATTATTCTTAGATTATTGCAAGAGAAGGGGATATTTTGGTGATTATTGGTAGTGCATTTTGAATCACTCTATGCACTAAAATATGGCATTTGAGTATGTGTGTGTATGAAAAAGAGACAGAGAGAGACAAATACGAACAGATAGATACAGATAGAAAGACGAAAAGAAATAATTTTAAGTTTTTTCCAATATCTTGACCTAAATCCCAAATTTCTTGTTTGTGCAGCTTCCTTGATCCTATACTGCTAGCAGTATAAGAAAGACTTGCCTGTATAGGCAGTTCTCTCCTCCACCCCGCATGCAATATGGATTAGTTAAGGAGCTCAGGGTTTTATCGTAAACTTTATTAAGCACTTGAATGCAACTAAAACTCAAAATTATCTCTGCACAGAAATTATTTGTTTTGGGGGTTCCTAAGCTAGGTCCATTGGATTCTGACAAAGCCTATTTAAGAAAAAAAGAGCCCTTAAAAATATATTTGTAATTGCAAGAAAATTTGTCATTAACTCTGTGTTACAAGTGTCTTTGTCAGGTGGATTCCTATCTTCCCTTCGATTTCTAACAGAAGGCAACAAAAGCTATCAGAATTTTCTCTTAATAACAGAATTCTATATGCATGACTATTGGTCTTTTTTCCTTCCTTGGTCTTTTCTGAGCAGTTAGTTGAGGAGAAGGTTGGGCTAGCTCTTGATCTTTCACTGATTATAATAATGTACTGTTTCATTTCCCTCCAAACATTGCATTGTAAAGTGAGATTATATGTTCATTTTCACTTTTGAGACAATATTTGTGAACCACAATCAGTTGTGTGTTTGTCTGCACATGTGTGTGTTTAGTGTCTTATTGTCCACAAAAACATTTTATGTTCTCAGTGTTAATTAAATAGGCATTTATAGAATTAATTTACTATGTTAAAAGTATTAGATTCTATTTGGAATTAGAGATGAGTCCTTAAGAATTTCCTAAGTTAGCAGGTGAGAGAGTGATGCAATTAACCAAAGATGCAAGTAGAAAGAATTAACTGTTTAAAGTAGGGCCAAACATAATATGTTTTGGGAGCTTAGAGAAAGAAGGAATTAATTAATTGATTACAGAATTGAAAGAAGCTTTATCAAGGTTATACTGAGATGAGTTGAGCCGTGAAAGATAAGTAGAAAGGAGACAGATAAATAAGCTTGTCTAAAGGAACCATATCAGCATTGTTTGGACCAAGAGCTCTTGTTTTTGTTTTTATAGTTATTTCTTCATGATCATTTTTTTTTAAGAACATTGCTAGAACACCACTTAGGAATGTGTTTGCCTGTTAAGCTATACATCAAAACACAGGATAATCTGATGTCCATGATCTAATACTCAGAGCAAACAAATATTAAGCAACTACTCTTCACCAAACACTTTGTGGGGATTTTCCCATTTAACCTTCCCAAGCAAGGGGGATACTGTAATTAAGTCTACTTGAGGCTTCAAGGGGTCAGGTGACTTGCAAAAGATTTGTCTAGTAGGTGGTGGAAAAAGAATTCAAAGCCAGGCAATTTTAATCTGGAGACTGAACTCTTAGACATTTTACACTGTGGTGCCTTAACAGAGCAATAGATGGCTGTTGTTCTAACATAGACAGATCTGAAATTTGCTCTGGTTCAAGTATGACTCCTCATTTGTCATCTAGGACATTCATGTTTCCTGGATGTGGTTGTGTGCTAGAATGAGTCAATTGGTCCTCACGCATCCTCTCCATGATCTTTATCACTGGGGCCCCTTTTTCCCCAGCTTGTTTCTATGCCATAAGAATAAAATTCGTGCCCCAGCTCTTTCCTTCAAAGCCTTCTGTTGTTTTTTCTTCTGATTTACATCAGAAATCACTTTAACATTCCAGTGATTTTTATTTCAAGTTTTATTTTCCAACTAAAGAAACATACAGTTTCAACAATCTACAAATCCTAATGAACACCCTTTCTGTTATGCCAAGAATGATGTTTTAAGGTACATCACAATCCCAGCAAGATTTTCTAAGATGTTATTTCAAAATAACATAACCTGCTTTTCTAAGGCTGCATTTTCTAGAAGGTTATCTCAGATTGAATGTCGCTAAGGCCTCAATTTTTAATTTCCTATAATATCCTTTCATTTTGTGTCCTGGATCCTGAATTTATGAGGAAAAAACATGAAACTAGTATTCAGCAATCCTTGTTCAGATCCTGACTCCACTATTTATCAATGGGCTAATATTGTCAAGACATAATAGGAACATAGGTCAGTTCTACTCCAAAGCCAATGTTGCTTCCACTAAACTGCAAAACCTTACTTTGAAAAGACTAAGCACTGTATTTTTCAAAAGTTCCAAGCAGGAAATGGGTTTTCTTTTCCTGTTGAGAAAAATCCCTGTTAAGAAACCCAGGATAATCAAACTACATCTTAACATAATGGGCTCAGGCTTCAATACTTCTCTTTACTAAATAGCATTCATTGGCTACCATGGCCTATGCACCTGGCCCTATATTTTATTTCCTCTGACTTAAGCTGTCCATTTTTCTTGCAGGTGGAAAATTACTAATATTAATACAGTCTTGGACCAGCTAATTAAGTGCAATGAGCCCTCCCAATGGGTGCAGAGCCTAATTGCATTTGCAAGCAGCCACCTGCAGGCATAAACTGTCGGCTTAACACTGCACATGGAGGGGGACAGCCAAATCTTCTAATACTGTCCAATTGTCCCTAAGGATATTGAATTTTTCAGAACACTCTGTGTGTGTGTGTGTGTGTGTGTGTGTGTGTGTGTGTGCGCGCACGCGCGCAAGTACTTGACACTCTGTGTGTGTGTGTGTGTGTGTGCAAGTACTTGATTTGTGCATACAAAACAGGGAATGTGGATGAGAAGGCAAAGAAAGATGGAGAATGGCAATAATCCCTATTCCAACCTAACCATAAAATTCAAACCCTTTGAAAATATATTCTTAAAATCATTACAAATGTATGCTCCCACTGTAGCATCCTAGTTATAATCTCTTCCTTAAAGAAGTTTGGAGCCCAGTTGTATGCCTAAAAATTACCATTAACTTACACAATACTGAACAAGCCAGGGCTGGTTTAAGTAGTATGCCTGCCTGTTAAGTTTCTTACTGAGTCATTCACAATGAAGCTGATTCAGGAAATATGGAGTGAGACAAAGTAAAGGAAATGGTGAAGATATTTCTTTATTTGGAATTTTCCTGTGTTCTATTCTTCAGGAAAAATTTGACCTACTTTGAAAAAAAAAAAGTGAACCTCCCTTGATTTTATTTGTATGAACTGAAGTAAAATACTAACCAAAGATTTTAGGGATTTTTTTTTTTTTTTTGTGAAACATCTTGGGCAGAGTAAAACTATAATTACAACTAATCAGGGTAAAATAATGGTGACCCATTGAGCTGAATATGCTGTAAGTGATCTATGACCTTCTGAATAGAAACCTATCTCCTATCTGAATTGACTTCCTTCTAAATGATAATAAAAAAATCTCTAGCAATCTAGATTGGCAAGATAGGTTATTTATTATAATGTGGGAAGCAGGAGAGAGAATTTGTTTGATAATTGTAGTTTCAGGCTGACAGTAATTAAATACTTCTGGGCCCTCATTGAAGAGAATACATTTTATAAGTCTCTGTCCCAGGAAATCAATATCATTCTTTTCTACCTCTGCCCTTTACTTCATCTCTTGGTTTACTTTTTAGTAATTTTTCTCTAACAGTTTCCTCTTCTTGCTTTCGCCATCTTAGAAGTCATGAAGAGCTCTGATGATGTTACTGGGTAAACAGCCTTGGCCTGAGGTTGAAGCAAGGAAACTCTGGAGTTCAACAAAGACACCAGGCCTGATGACCAACACTGTAACTACTAGACAGTGATACTGGACAAAACAACCAATCTCTCTGGCATCAGCATCATCAGTGATAAAATCAGAATAATGATAATTCAATCTTCATAGAGTTGTTGATAGAATTCAGTGATGTGAATTATGAAAAGCAATTAACTAACATAGTGCCTGACACATTAGAACTGCTTATAAAAGGATGGGAACTTTTACTATCATTTCCCAGGGACCAAATGAACACTCTCTTTCTTAATAGCACTGGAACCTCTGAGCTATCTTGAGACTTTACTTTAGGGAGTAGATATGTGTTATTTTGGTAGTAATTTTTAAACAAGATGTAATTGCATACAATATTCTTAAGAGTTGAGTGTGATTAGCGTATGTACTAATAAGATATATAAATATATACACATACATGTGTATATGTGTTGTGTATATGTGTGTGTGTATATATATATATATATATATTATATATAATTTGAAGAGTAACACCCCAGTTAAGATATAGAGCATTACCATCACCCTAGAATGTTCCCTTGAATGTCTTTCCAGTCTATGCCCCCACCTCCATAGTCGACCACTATTCTGATTTTTATTCCATAAATGAGTCTGCCTATTCTTGAACTTTCATATAGGTAGAATCAAACAGTAAGTACTCTTTTTTTCTGGATTTTCAAGCTCAATATAATGTGTGTGTGATTCATCCATGTTGTTGCAGATGTAGATCTCAGGTCAGGCCACTTATTTCTTTTTATTCCTGAGATATTCCTTTATGCCAATATATTATATTTATTTTTCTGTTTTCTTGTTGTTGGACGTTTGGGTTGTTTCCTGGGTTGTTTGTAACTTTAAAAGTTTATGCCATTTTTAAAAACTTCAAAAGAGATGGTATGGTATAAATAATTTTGCATTAGTTGGCTTTATTCTACACCTTATGAATAGAGTACAAGCATCTAATAAACATAGATGGTAGGCTTCGGAGTGGAACATTAGATTTAGATTCCAAAATGGTGCATGTACAGCCTTAGCTTCCTGGGACTCTTTATTGTCTGACTGCCACTAGAAGGTTGGCTGGCTCCTGCCAGGAAAACATTGTTGCATTTACCCTGAGTGGACCTTTTCTGTGTGTGCCCTCAGAGCACTTAAGAGAACATAGAGCTGTCACTTCTCAAGTTTACTCACCAGGCTATAAGCTTTCATTATACCTATTTGGTAACAAATGTTTGCATAGTGACAGAATTTGGTCTTAGACTCACTTTTATTGCAACCTGGTTATGAGACAGCAAAGAGGCCAATGCCCTCTTATACTACCAACAACAAAAGCACTTATAGTTACCAAAAAATGAATGATAATTATGAATGATAATTGGCTCAATACCTATTGGCTCAATACAGAAATAATATATTTCAGGTAACTTAAGTATAAAACAAAATCATTATAAAGAAATTGCCATTTTTTTTTTCTACTGACCTAACCACCCTCCTACGGCACCAGGTAAGAATTTTTCTGTGCCAAGGGTTTGTGGTTTATACTATCAAATGCACATTAAAATTTAACTTCCCATTTTCAATTAAATAGAATTGAGTCACAGTCAGTACATATCCAGAAAGGTTCACATCTTGTGATGCACTTATAAATCTGATCTTGTAAGTCCCCAAATCATATCTGCTTTCATGCATTTGTTTCTTCATTTCCTGCCCAAAGAATGTTTGGAGGATTATTTTGATCCTACTGTAGTTTAAGACCATGCCCTTACATGACTTAGTTTATTGAATATTTTGCTAGCTTATTTTTATTTTATTTTATTTTAAAGTTGTTAAGAACCAGTGGATTGTTAGTTGAAATATGCAGGGCTGCATTCCCCCATCCCATTACTACCTTTATTTCAAGTGAAAGTTTGCCATTCATAGTGCCTTTGCTTCCTAATGACCTCATTCATACCAAAATTGGGACCTGGAAGCTGAGGCCCGGATTTTTCTCTGACTCAGTTTCCTGTGTTCCAAAAAAATTCCTTTTCCTATATTAATTGTTATTCTTCTTTTGTTAAGACTTAAGTGGTTTTAAGGTAAATTCTCATGTTACCCTCTAATGCCAACTTGAGCTGTTTAAAATATCGGAAGCGCTCCCACAAATGAATTGTGTTCCCACAATTTCCTAGCATCATTCATTGCTCTCATTTCACAGATGCAAACACAAAAACACATCCTTTTGTACATAACAATCATAAATACTTTCCCAAGGTCAGGAATATTTCTGTCAGGAAAGCCCTATTTTACCAAAGAACAGGATGTTTTGATAAACTAAATATTCTGAGAATTATCATATGTACCTATCAAGGTTTCTATTGTGAAGCCTTCTCTCTCTTCACTGAGAAAGAAGTCGGCCCTTTATCTGTCTTCCTTGCTTCCTAATCTCCCACCCAAGAGGTTCAACTATTGGCTTAATGATTCACTAATTGTGAGAGATGGTGATTTATGATATTAGGGAAAAAAAAGGAAGCCTTTATAGTTGAAAAAAAATTAAGATTGTTCTCATGTTTTAATCCTACATCTATTTCTGGTCTGACTCTAGTCTTGCTTTGTTTTATTTTTGCATTTGACTGTCATCTTGATGTTTACTTCGGTCTACTTTAGAATCCTTGTCTTCATTCTGGCTTTTCTGCTTGTCAGTTTTGGGTTGGCTTTATTTATTTATTTTGTTTGGGGGCAGGACATAATCTCTTGCCCTCAGGCAAAATCAGTTGCTGACTCTCCCCCGTTTTTTCTCCAGGGTCTAGGTCACTTTATTAGCATATCTTTCATGTTTAGGTAAGACTGCTGTCGCTTTTTGAGAAGTTAGTAGGTATCCTGTGGATAAAAAGTGATATCAGGCTTTTTTTTCCTTCTCTCTCTCTCTCTCTCTCTATATATATATATGTATATCAAAAATATTAAGCACATGGATATGATTCTTATACGATAATTTGTCTTTCAAAATGATACGAAACACAAGAAGGTACATGCAGTTGATGTGATTATGACACATTGCTCTATTATGCCCAGGAAAGACTGTTTGATGAAGCCTGGATTTTTCATAATTCAGAATCTGGCTCAGCTACCTGGTCTTGTCAACTTCCAAAAGTGACTCACCAGTGACTCAGACTCAGAGGATTGTACCATGCGAAGCTTGAGCCCCAAAGGCTTTGGAGTGAAACAGGCTGGTCCAAAGTTTTAGTTCAGCTGAGATATCCTAAGTGTATTATTTGCAGGTTGAGATTTGATTATGAGAAATGAAGATATCTACCTTATAACATAGTTTAAAGGCAAAATAGTCTAATATATACACAAACACATATAGAGGCAAGATGAAGTAAAAATGGTAGCTGTGGTTGTTCTGAGAATGATTATAAAACAGAATTTGTAGAAAGAGACATATTGTTAAGAGGCTTATATAACTTACATAAGACAAAAATTATATTAGCCAAATTACATTTAGTAACTTTGTTGTATAAACATAGAAGAGCAGAAGCAATCAAATCTAGTATGCAGATTTTCCATGAGTCAGGTTATGACATCCTAATTCTTTCATCTGCACAAGATAATTAGACCTGCCTCCAGGACCACACAGATGGAGACAGTGGAAGGGCACCCTTGATCCAAGGTCAGCATCATCAATATTTCCTTTCAGTTCACTCAGTGCTCTTTCTCACTGACACATGCTTTAGTTATATGATCTTCAGTCTGGGTCTAGGCATGTCTTGCTGGTCGTTGAATTATATGTTTTCTTATTTTTTCTGATGAATTTTTAGGAAAGAACATCTCTTCACACTTATGTGCTGATACAGTTGGGAGACTTATGATGGCAATTATATTTTTTATTAATCACATAGGGAAAAAAGTATAAAGACTAAGGAGTGCATAAAAGCAGGAAGGAGTAGTGTGGTTAAGTGATGGGCGAATGAGAAAGAAAGCCGGGGTCAAGATGATAGAGGGTGAAATATTTGTTGACACTGTATTAGATCCTGTACAATGGCATGGACACTTAAAATACAAAAGGTATATACCTGAAAATTGTTTGCCTAAGCCTTTACCTTATGAAAGTAGATGGAAGAATATGTAACATTGTCTCCAGTTTTTTTTAGCTTTCCTCTTAACTCATCCATTATTATCTCTTTTTGCAAATCCAGAAGCAGGCCAATTTCCAGATATCAATTAACTGAGTTACTATCTTGCCGAAGGCAAATGTGTTTATTGGTCAATTTACCAAACTCCCATTTTCAAAAACTATTTTTGATGGACAACATTTTACTTTCCCTTTCATGACAAGCTGCTAAGGGATCTTCAATATGTCTGCCACTGCTTCCTGCTATTAGCAGCTGGAGAATGACAGGATGAGAGGCAAAGACACAAGAGAGTTGGGACTTAAGAAGATATTTCACCTGAATAATCATGGAATATAAAAATGCAATAAATATGCTATGAATATACTATTTTGCATGATGCGATTGTGTTGATAAGAATTCTTCACATATATTCAATGAATTTACATTTTGCACTATTTTTCTTGGATATCAAGAACTGTAACAATTGTCCACTTGCAGGATTAATAATATATTCTAAAAACAATAAATTCAAAAGAATGCTCTGTGTTTGAGAATATAGTCTTACAATTATATCTTTCATACCCTCTGTAGTATCTGTCTCTTCTACCCTGAAGCTCATCCGTTTCTCAGCTCACCTATTTTTCAATTCCCCTTTCTCTGCTCTCTCTTTCCTCAGCCTCCTCTTTTCTTTGTTCTATAGCTCCAGCTGGAACAGTGCGGACTGTCACAGAAACAAACCAAACATTCCTTAAAGTGCTATAATTAGGGCAAAATAAAAATTCATGAGCCACAACTATGTAGTAGAAAGGTATAAGTAAATTTGATGAATCAGTCATTTGGTGAATTAGACTTTCAACTAATTGGCTTTAGGCATGTTGCCCACTCAACAAACTGACTTCTGGTGGATTCACTTAGAACCTGTGTATTCTGGGAAGAGGTAGAGTGGTGAAAGCATAAAGCTTGGAAGAGATTAGGGTTTTGCATTTTTTTTTGTATAAAAATTGTTTTGGCGACTTATAGCAAAATGTAGTTCTGTCCAAGCAAAGGTGACATGACTCAACTGATCATTAGTCTAGATTGGTGCTGTAGTTGTGTGCAGCACTGATAACTTATTACAACTTCATATCTTTGTGCTCACTGGCTACGTCATCAATTTTATTGAATTTAGAAAATAAGTACAATGAGCTTGGTAGTTTATGTGATATGTGTGACAAATAAACTTTAAAGTAATTGGTGGCAAAGATTATTAAAGTACCTAAATATCATGTTCGGCATATTTTTAAAATATGAAGTATTAAAGGATTTTTTTTGTTGTTCAGTGGTCCTTGTTGAAATTTTAATGCTATGTAGTTCAGTTTCAAAGAGTAAATGTATGTTAACAGCCTTATTTGATTCTCTTATTTAATCATCACAGTAAACCTCTGAAGCAAACACTATTATTAATCTCAGTTTACAAGAGAAAACTGAAATTAGTGATGTTTAGTAACTTGATCATAGTCTTCCTGTTAGTAGGTCACAGAATTCAGAATTTGAAATAAGTAGCATCACTCAATGTGATCAGCACTGTTCAATACAAATATAACATGAGCCACATATATAATTTTACCTTTTCTAGTAGCCACATTTAAAAAGTGAAAAGTTAAATTAATTTAATTTTAATGGTATATCTTGTTCATCCCAATATAAGCAAAACATTATAATTTCGATATAAAATCTATAAAAAGTTAATGATATATTTTGAGTGTTTTTCATATTAAACCTTCAAAATCCAGTGTGTATTGTGCAGTTTCAGCATAGCGCATCTCAATTCAGACCAGCCACATTTCAAGTATTCAGTAGCCACATGTGATAAGTGGATATCATGTTAAACAATGCAAGTCTAGACCTTTGTTTCTCAAAGTGTGGTCCATGGAAGGCAGCAAAGAAATGCAGGCTGTCAGAGCCCATGCCATTTCTACTGAATTGTAATCTTCCTTTATATGAGCGGGGTAATCATGTGTACATCAAAGTTGAGAAAGGCTGAGCTAGAGTCCATGCTCTTTACCATTTTATTATGCTGATGGTTCAGGGTGCTCATTTGCTACCTCATTTCACAAATGGTTTTCAGTATTTATACATGGCAACCCCCTGCAGGATAACACTGATGACAGCGTTACATTGTGAAAGTCATGTTGGCTTTGGAATTAGGTAGATTACTTGCCATAATATCTCATAATTGCATAAATTAACCACTGAGCCTTAATGTCTGCATCTGTAGCATGATCACACCTATGTTATTTGCCTATTAATCAACATTCTCCCTTTCCTTAGCTATGAACTTTCCATTTTAAGATGAGGGCATTGTCTTCAGAGTTTTTTTTTTTTTTTTTCTCTGTCTTCCTGGGACTAAGTTCTGGTCTATGAAATGTTAGCCTAAGTACTTGTCTTTTTGACTTCTGGAACGGTTCTTTAAAAGTTTCTGACTCAGTTCAGAGGTTTATCTCCTTTACCTTATTCTTTCTCTCCTTCAGCCTGGAATATAAATATGATAGCTGGAACTCCAGCAGCCATACTAAACCAGAAGGTGATCTTAAAAATAGAAGTTATACACTAGAATGGTAAGGCAGAAAGATACAATGATCCCAGATTTCTGGGTATAAGAGAGCTTCTGTGCATGTTTAATTGCCTTCTTCATATATACATATATTTTTTTTTCTGTGAGAAAGTTCTGCCTTCTTTAAGCTACTTTGGGTTCTCTATAATTGAACAAAATTCTGTTATATCCACCCAGAATTTTTATTGTACAGATTAAATAAGTTAACTTATATATACAGCCTTAGTAGGCACTAAATAAACATTTTTGGTAGATATGAGAGTGCTAGTCCACAAGGAGCAAAATATAGAGAGTGGACAATAAAGTAAATATAAATGTCCAATAAATAAGTATCTGGCCTGCCATGAATTATTTCGTGCCTTGGGCATACACATGTAAGCTCACAACTTCTGACCTACTAAAACTCCTAACAAATTAATGTAGTTTTTGTCTTTGCTTCTGTTTATATGCTGGATTACGTTTATCGATTTGCATATGTTGAACCAGCCTTGCATCCCAGGGATGAAGCCCACTTGATCATGGTGGATAAGCTTTTTGATGTGCTGCTGGATTCAGTTTGCCAGCATTTTATTAAGGATTTTTGCATCGATGTTCATCAGGGATATTGGTCTAAAATTCTCTTTTTTTGTTGTGTCTCTGTCAGGCTTTGGTATCAGGATGATGCTGGCCTCATAAAATGAGTTAGGGAGGATTCCCTCTTTTCAGGGCAATCAGTCAGGAGAAAGAAATAAAGGGTATTCAATTAAGAAAAGAGGAAATCAAATTGTCCCTGTTTGCAGATGACTTGATTATATATTTAGAAAACCCCATCATCTCAGCCTAAAATCTCCTTAAGCTGTTAAGCAACTTCAGCAAAGTCTCAGGATACAAAATCAATGTGCAAAAATCACAAGCATTCTTTTACACCAATAACAGACAAACAGAGAGCCAAATCATGAGTGAACTCCCATTCACAATTGCTTCAAAGAGAATAAAATACCTAGGAATCCAACTTACAAGGGATGTGAAGGACATCTTCATGGAGAACTACAAACCACTGCTCAACGAAATAAAAGAGGCCACAAACAAATGGAAGAGCATTCCATGCTCATGGATAGGAAGAATCAATATCATGAAAATGGCCATATTGCCCAAGGTAATTTATAAATTCAATGCCATCCCCATCAAGATACCAATGACTTTCTTCACAGAATGGGAAAAAACTACTTTACAGTTCATATGGAACCAAAAGAGGGCCCGTATCGCCAAGTCTATCCTAAGCCAAAAGAACAAAGCTGGAGGCATCACGCTACCTGACTTCAAACTATACTACAAGGCTATAGTAACCAAAACAGCATGGCACTGGTACCAAAACAGAGATAAAGACTAATGGAACAGAACAGAGCCCTCAGAAATAATACCACACATCTACAACCATCTGATCTTTGACCAACCTGACAAAAACAAAAAATGGGGAAATGATTCCCTATTTAATAAATGGTGCTGGGAAAACTGGCTAGCCATAGGTAGAAAGCTGAAACTGGATCCCTTCCTAACACCTTACACAAAAATTAATTCAAGATGGATTAAAGACTTAAACGTTAGACCTAAAACCATAAAAACCCTAGAAGAAAACCTAGGCAATACCATTCAGGACATAGGCATGGGCAAGGACTTCATGTCTAAAACACCAAAAGCAATGGCTACAAAAGCCAAAATTGACAAATGGGATCTAATTAAACTAAAGAGCTTCTGCACAGCAAAAGAAACTACCATCAGAGTGAACAGGCAACCTATAGAATGGTAGAAGATTTTTGCAATCTACTCAGCTGACAAAAGGCTAATATCCAGAATCTACAAAGAACTCAAACAAATTTACAAGAAAAAAACAACCCCATCACAAAGTGGGCAAAGGATATGAACAGACACTTCTTAAAACAAGACATTTATGCAGCCAAAAGACACATGAAAAAATGCTCATCATCACTGGCCATCAGAGAAATGCAAATCAAAACCACAATGAGATACCATCTCACACCAGTTAGAATGGCGATCATTAAAAAGTCAGGAAACAGCAGGTGCTGGAGAGGATGTGGAGAAATAGGAACACTTTTACACTGTTGGTGGGACTGTAAACTAGTTCAACCATTGTGGAAGACAGTGTGGCGATTCCTCAAGGATCTAGAACTAGAAATACCATTTGACCCAGCAATCCCATTACTGGGTATATACCCAAAGGATTATAAATCATTCTGCTATAAAGACACATGCACACGTATGTTTATTGTGGCAGTATTCACAATAGCAAAGACTTGGAACCAACCCAAATGTCCAACAATGATAGACTGGATTAAGAAAATGTGGCACATATACACCATGGAATACTATGCAGCCATAAAAAATGATGAGCTCATGTCCTTTGTAGGGACATGGATGAAGCTGGAAACCATCATTCTCAGCAAACTATCGCAAGGACAAAAAACCAAACACTGCATGTTCTCACTCATAGGTGGGAACTGAACAATGAGAACACTTGGACCCAGGAAGGGGAACATCACACACCGGGGCCTGTCATAGGGTGGGGGGAGGGGGGAGGGATAGCATTAGGAGATATACCTAATGTAATGATGAGTTAATGGGTGCAGCACACCAACATGGCGCATGTATACATATGTAACAAACCTGCATGTTGTGCACATGTACCCTAGAACTTAAAGTATTTAAAAAAAAAAAAAAGAAACAGGGTTTCGCCATGTTGGGCAGACTGGTCTCAAACTCTTGACCTCGAGTAATCCGCCTGCCTCAGCCTTTCAAAGTGCTGGGATTACAGGCGTGACCCACAGCGCCAGGCCAGTGATGCCATCTTGAAGGGACACCGCCCTGATGATGGGCATTTAACCCCCACCTACCAAAGTGTTCTGCAGCGAGGTTGTCAATGCCTGGAGCATACATTACTCGTCATAAAGCTGCTGATCTAATCCACATAGTGGTCACATATCGTGGCAAAAAAAAAAAAAGGTCCGAAGATATAAGCAGCTGCACCAGTTTTACCGTAAATGCTTGTTCTATAAAGAGTACTTTCTGGAGGGTAGGTGCAGGGATCCACCACCTCCTGATTGCCCAGGACATTGCTTCTGTTTGTAAGTCCCTGTAAAGTATTTCTTGTTGAGAAAAAAAAAAAAATGAATGTAGCTAATGTTCAATGTGTTGATGTCCATGTGGAACTCTTTCCTTGAATCAATAATGGGAAATTGCCAGTGGCAATGATGCATCTTATCAAGCCTACTCTATTGAATTCCTTTTTTTTTTTTTTTTTGGTAATATCTGCTATAACAACACTGTCCCAGATCTTAATATGTTGAAATCACCTCATCTGGGACTACTCTGGTTATTTGGGGGGACATGTATCTATTTTCAATGATTCTTAACCATACAATACAGAAGCAGAAATTTTATTTAGACATATTTATTATCTAATCATTTATTTTGAAATAAAGAAGAGGTAGAATTAAAAGAAAATCAACACTTGAATTTATGGACACATTAGTAAAAATTTTTAGTTTGTGAAGGAACTTTAAGCTAATCCAACCATCTCATAGTACAGATAAGGAAGCCGAGACCCACAAATTAAAAAAAGGGCTCATTGAAGTCCATAGCAAGCAGCTTGTTAGGAGTAGAGCTGGCAGTAGAACAGTTCCCCACTTCCTGATGCAAACTGCTTTCCATGTATTATTCCATATATAAACATGTACAACACATGCAAACATACATACATATGGCGGTAATGACTATTCTAAATGTGGCCAGTGAGTTACAGTTTAACAAAATGCTTTCACAAACGAGATCACATTTTTTTTTTTCTTTTTTCGTGTGTGTGTTTGAGAACCATTTCTGTACAGTATTTTATTTCAGCTCCCAGTCATTGTGGTAAAACAATCACAAGACAAAATATATAAGAATTACAAAGAATAGTTATCATTTTTTAAGAATTGCCATATAATTATATTGTTACAAATTCAATATAATAAAAGTTTTCCTATATCTTATCTCTAACAGTAAACATTGATTTTACTCACCATAAATGATTTTCTTTCAAGCTTTAATATGCTTGCTAGAATCATATATGACAATAATTGTTATACATTTTTATAACTTCAACTTTTATTTTAGATTCAGGGGGTGCATATGCAGGTTTGTCACATGGGTATATTGTGCAGTGCTGAGGTTTGGGGTATGAATTAATGATCCCACCACCCAGGTACCAAGCATAGTACCCAATAGGTAGTTTTTCAGCCCTTGCCCACCTCGCACTCTAAATCTTCTAGTGGTCTCCAGTGCCTACTCTTCCCATCTTTTATGTTCTTGTATACCCAGTGCTTCCCTCCTACTTATAAGTGAGAACATGCAGTACTTGATTTTCTGTTCCTGTGTTCATTAGCTTACTATAATGGCCTTCAGCTGCATTCCTATTGCATCAAAGGACATGATTTCATTCTTTATGGCTGTATAGAATTTTATGGTGTAAACGTACCACATTTTCTTTATCCCATCCACCATTGATGGGCACCTGGGTTGATTTCATATATTTGCTATTGTGAATAGTGCTTCAATGAACATATGAGTGCCTGTGTGTTTTTGATAGAACAATTAATTTTCTTTGGTATATACCAAGTAATGGCATCGCTGGATTGAACAGTAGTTCTGTTTAAAATTTTTAAAGAAATCTCCAAACTGCTTTCCTTAGGGGTTTAACTAATTAACATTCCTCTCAACAATGAGTAAGAATTCCCTTTTCTCCTCAGCCTTGCCAGCATGCTCTTTTTTTTTTTTTTTTTTTTTTTTTACTGTTAATAATAACATTTGGCTCTTTCAGGAACCCTGCAAAGTAGGCATTCTTTCCCCATTTGTCAGATAAGGAAACTGAAATATAGAAACATAAGTTACTGTCAAAAGTTGTCACATACTGGCAGAGCTGTGACTTGAAAGGGTTTCTCCTGTGTTGAAGGAATGGAGCTTTGAGTGCCCAGCAACATGTCAATGTGCTTTCTGAAGACATCTCCAAAATTCCCAGATTTATTTTTATTAATATATAAATGCATTATCATAATTCCTAGTTTTCTATCACCACGATTGCAACAAAGCAATTATAAAGGTGCTCTTAGAGATACGTGCTGGGGTATGACATAAAAAACAGGAGCTGTCCTTCAAAAATTCTTAGAAATACTGGGAAAAGAGGTATATGAATATTTTAAGGGCAAAAGTTTGCAGTTTTGAAATATATATTCAAAATATATAAAAACGATCAGCAGTGCTTTAAAAATATGCCTTCATAAAATACAAAATATCTTCCTGGAGGAGAGTCGGAGAAGATGCAATGATTTTGAAACAAGAACACAGTACTTTTAGGAGACCATAACAGAATGTTTGAGTAGTGGGAGGACCGAGTTTTATTTTAAATTGAGAAATAGGAAATATGTATCTGCAAAAATGGAAAAAAATTGAAATGCCTGAGAATCAAAAGTTTTTCCTCCTTTTCTCGAAGGAAACGTTATACTGATGCTGGCAGTCTGAAAGTAGAATACAAACATGTGGCGTTACACACCTCCAGGAAGCTCCGTGCATATCACAGTCTCATGTATGGTGCTGCCAGGAGGAGAACACAGCGGGCACTATGTAGGTATTATCCCCAGGCATTTTAGAGGACTCTTTTTAACACACAAATTGGGAACACAGTAAAGAAAAAAGCATGGACTTTGTGGAGATCTGGGCTAATCATATATGAATTTTAGTTTCTTTCAGCTTTAAAGTGAGGATAATAAAACTTGTATCTCAAGATTCTTCCAGGTTGTCCTATGAGAGACTAAGGTTTAAAAGAACACCAGAATGCCCTCAACTTGAAAGAAAACTCATTAATGGACATAATGATGTTTACTTTGTCACTGAAAACGACATTACAAAAGAGGTAGCTGTGGTCACTGAAGTGTAGGTTTCCAGTCACCTGGGGCTAGCCACGACCCAGAGTTAAGACAGGGAAGTGGTATGGCCACTCCACCCAGACCCACGAGAATGCCTTTTACCCCAGCTTCTGTGTGTTTTGCTTTCTGTGGGTTGCTCCTACAACTTCATTCAAAGGGCTACCCTCAGGCTACTGTTACTACTTCTCTGCATTGCATGGAGAACTGGAAGCACCTGGGAGAGGATGACCTCCCAACCCTCACTCCAGGACAGACTCCTGTAGGAGTGTGAATGCCCGGCTGGCTGTGGGAGTGCCAGACGTCTCTGAGGTGGCATTTTGACTCCATGGTTCCTGTGGGATCACGGGGAGGCTGGGGCTTTGCCTGAAATCACATCCTTCCTTAGACTCTTCGCCTTCCCTGTCCTGTTGTCCCCCTGCTCTTACTGGTGATTTTTCTGAGAGTTTCTTTAATAAACCACTTGCACAAAAGTCCAAGAAAGTTAATTGTTTATGCAATTCAGAGATCACCTGCACTGGGAAATGAGGTTAAACTTGGCTTGAGCCCCAATTCCAAGTCTTGTAAAAGCAAAGTCTGCTGCTGTCTCTGCCTGCACCCAGACCCGCTCTGACATGCGTCTCTACTTCTGCTCTCACTCTCGTCATTTGCCTTTTCCTGTTGACAATTTCTACACTCTCAGTGACTTTTGAATTAGTGAAGAAAGTGAAGTAATAAATTTTATGTAATACCTCAAAAATAACCATAGTAAAATTATTGTAGACTAATTTTTTTTTTAAAAGGCTGCAGCCGATAAGAGAATTACAGAGCAAGAGAGCTAATAGCATCTGTTGGTAGGGAGCTATGTTCTCCACACAGCTTTGTTTTATCTATGAATATTGGTAAGTTGAAATTTATTAAATAGAGGGACATATTTTAAGTAAAGATAAAAGAACCCCAAACCAGTGCATAAGTGCATATTGTATATACCCTCATACATGTATATATGATATAATTGAACATGTTTACATATATATGCATACATTTATAAAGAAAACATTCCCAGATGTAAAGACAATTCTGGGTTTTGGAGTAATTGGTTATTTTAAATGTTTTCCTTTGTAATAAGGTACATTATACCTACAGTAAAGTGCATAAAGTATATCACTTAATTCGTTTCTTAACTATGTGACCCTCATGTCACCATCACTCAGATCAAGACATAAAACATCTGCAATCTGGAAGGCTCCCTGGTGCCTCAGTCAATACCAACACCTATGTGGCAGGCCAGGTCTTACTAACACCTGCCTCCATAACAACTGTTTCAGTACTGACTCAGTGGTTAAGTTAAATATTAAAAGCAAGTGCCCTTATACAAAAGCTGGAATGTAACAAAAGCCCAAACAAGAGTTTTGTCTAGGCCTTTCCTGGGCCTTAAAGCATGACAAAATAATGAAGGAATTCTTAACAGGACCCATTTAAGATGAAACAAGTTTTATTGGGCGGTTGAAGAAACTCCCCAGGACTCCACAAATAAGTTTATTGGGGGTCTAAAGGAATCCCCAAACCTCTGTGATTTAGCAAGAGACAAGATAAAGTTAATCACCCCAGGACCTGGACCCATTTAGATTAAGTAAATTTACCGAGGCTCCAGACGAAGGTGTTCTGGACTCAGAGTTTAGTTATAGACTAAAAGAAGTTAATCACTTATGTCTTTAGATAAATTCACACTTACACATACAGACATATAGCTTAGAAGGTATATAAGCTCCTGAAAACTTTGTAATTTTCAGCTGGTCTGGCAATAATTCCCAGGCCTTCTCCCTGTAACCAGTGGCAGAAATAAAAACTCTCTTCCTCCCCAGTTCATCTTCATCTCATTATTGGGCCACTAGAATAGCAGCCTGACCCTCAGTTTGGTCTGGGAACACCTACACTTCTTACTTGCTTGGCAATATAGAGTCTTCTGACTTTTACCATATAGGCGATTTTTTAACCTGTAGGTTTTTGTCCATATTTTCAAATTTTCTACAGTGAACTTATACTGCTTTTATAATTACTAAACAAAGCAAAGTTGACAAACAAACTGCTTTATCCAATGGTCTGGGTGTCTTATATGGAAGAGGCAAGTGATTTTCAGAAATCCTAAAGCAGTGGCCACTAGCAAGGAGAAGTGTAGGGTACATTTGCCACTAGAATAAAGAGAGCAGAAGGGAGTTTATGGATAGAGAGGTCTCTTGTGTTGAATGGAGGCCTGAATTTCAGCTCCACTTTTTTTTTTGTTAGGAAGAGGGCTCTTAGGGTGGCAGCCAATGGTTTCATTGCTCTTACAGTTCTTTCACTTTGTAAGCAGTAAACTGGGATTACAGGTTTCAAGAAACTGATTCTCACTGATCTCTTTCAGGCCCATATTTTTCAAATCCATCATTATTCAATTGAAGATTTTGATGTTCCTGAGGAGAGGTAAATTACTGCCTTGGAAGAGCTTTGCTAGCAAAAAGGAAAATATCACTGCTATGGTAGTTCACCAATTATTCTCAAGTCTGTGCGAGACTGTGGGAATCATTCCATTTCTCAACCTCTTCGTTTTTTAGAAGGGGGTCTGATGATGGAGAAATAACAATCTTGCCATGATTAAAGAAAAACTGCTATTCTTCAAAGCACTTTTTCTTGAAGATTTCAAAGGTGTGGACAATTTCTTAGAATCGGAGGCAAGATTTAAAAATAACTAAATTTTGCTGGCCTGCCACCATCTTCAAATCTTCTGATAAGTCTTAAAAAGGAGTTTTGTGCTGATTCCTGTAGGCAGTTACCATGAATATTATTCATTTGTCCCCAAATATTAGAGGTAGAAGAGGAAAAGTGTGTTTTGTATAGTTAAAAAAAATAACTAGTAGGTTCCATGTTTGCACTTGGCATTATAAACTACACATTCTTTCATAGTGAGAATAAACAAGGAAATTGGATTCAAGCAAGACCCAGTTCAAATGACATGAAAAATTCTTTTGGATAAATCGTGTTTAGTTAAAACTTAAGCCCTATGAGTTTATTTTTTCATATTTAAATTGAGAATACTACTACTTCCTCAGAGGATAATTATGGGGACTAAATTTTAAAAGCAGAAAAAGAACAAATGAACACTCCATAAATGGTGGCTTTATCTCTCTCTACCTTTAATGAGATGTCCTAAGGGAAGTATAAAAGAAGAAATGGAAGAGTGATAAAATTAAGAATATGCATTTTGGAATTAGGCATAAATAGTTTTAAGCTATAGGTCTTCCATCTACTGGATTTGCAACCTTAGGAAGGTTAATTCTGAACCTCTCTGAACCATGGTTTCTTCATTTTAAAAATGAGATTAAGAATGATAAATAGGTTAGAGGATAAATGAAGATTAAATAATGTTAAACATCAACAAAGTTCTTAGCTCAATGCCTTACACATCAAAAAAATAAAATAAAAAGGTATTTTTATTATTTAGATTAGACCTTAGCTGCTACCATGTTATTTATAAAAGTGGGGAGATAATAATATTTTCATGTTACAGTAAAGGAAACCTCTATGTAAAGTGTGATTTCTCTAAATCTGAGAACATTTTCAAAGGATGTATTCAGTATTCAGAATCCCTGCCAAAAGTTTACTCTTTTGACTCCTACACATGTCTCTTTCTTAATTTTGAGGCTGTTTTATTAAGAAATTATTATTTGAATAAGTACATGAAATTCTTAATATTACCAGGACAAATAACAGACATTTTTATATAGGAACAAACTTCTGAATTTGAAAGTCTTTTATGGGTCCAGTCTCCAGGAGAGGAGACCACCGTATTGCTAAACCTTAGAGTGTAATTTAAAAAGTCAGTGATAAAGACAGTGGTGACAACATCCAATACCAAGAGCATGATGCATGCTGTACCCTTTACTCTCTTGAAATGCCTTAATTAAAAAGAGGGTTCATTCATGCATTCATTATTACTCATTAGAATCAAGTTTGTCTTTTAGTAAACCATGTGGTACATTATTTTCTACAACTCATAAAAAACACCTTATTCTCACTTTTTTGACATAAATCAATGCGTGATGTGAGAAAGTGAAGATTTCAATAATATTTCTACTCTTATTAAATTTTGTATTAAATAGACTGTTTTTAGAGCAGTTTTAGGTTCGCAGTGAAAATGTGCAGACAGTAGAGAGTTCCCATAAACCAGCTGCTTCTCCCACCACACACAACCTCCATAACTATCAACATTTCACTCCCCAGTAGTACACTGGTTACAACTGACAAACCTGTGTTGACACATCATTATCACCTGAAGTTCATAGTTTATTTTAGGATTCACCCTTGGCACTGTACATTCTTTGGGTTTTGAGAAATGTAAAATGACATGCATTCACTATTGTAGTATCACACAGCACAATTCCACTACCCTAAAAATCCTTTGTACTCTGCCTATTCACCCCTTCCTCCTCTAACCTTAGCAACCACTGAAATGTTTATTGTCTCCATAGTTCTGCGTTTCCCAGGATGTCATATCATTGGAATCACATAGTACGTAGCCCTTTCAGATTGACTTCTTTCACTCAGTAGTATGGGTTTAAGGTTCCTCCATGTCTTTTTGATAGCTTGATGGCTCATTTCCTTTTATCACTGTATAGTACTCCATTGTCTGAATGTGCCACCATATTTTTATCCATTTACTTATTGAAGGGCATCTTGGGTGCTCCCAACTTTGGGTAAGTATGAATAAAGCTGCTGTAAACATTCACGTGCAGGCTTTTATGTGGACATAATTGCTCAACTCACTTGGGTAATTAGCAAGGAATGTGATTGTTGGATCATGTAGTAAAAGTATGTTTGGTTTTGTAAGAAACTGCCAAATTCTCTGCCAAATTGACTATAACATTTTGCATTTTCTCTAGAAATGATTGAGACTTCCAGAGTCTCCACATCCTCATTAGCATTTGGTATTGTCAGTGTTTTGGATTTGGCCATTCTAATAGGTGTGTAGTGGCATCTCATTGTTGTATTAGAGAATTTGGAATTCCCTAATGATATATGATGTTGAACATCTTTTTGTATGCTTATATGAAATTTGTATATAATTTTTGACAAGATGTCTATGATCTTTGGCCTATTTTTTAATACAATTTTTCATTTTCTCATCGTTTCAAGAATTTTTGTATACATTTAAGATAGTAGTCCTTTATCAGCTACATCTTTTGCAAAAATTTTCTCCCAGTCTGTGACTTATATTCTCATTCTCTTGACATTGTCTTTCACAGAACATGGCTTGTTAATTTTAATAAAATTCAGCTTATCAATTGCTTCGTTTATGGATTGTGCCTTTGTGTTATATCAAAAATTCATCACCATGCCTGAAGTCCCCTATTTTATCTTCTAGGAGTTTTCTGGTTTTGCATTGTAAATTAAAGTCTATGACCCATTTTGAGTTATTTTTTATCAGTGTTGTAAAGTTGATGTCTAGAATAGTGGGGTTTTTTTTTTTTTTTTGGCATGTGGATGTCCAGTTGTTCTAGCACCATTTATTGAAAACACTATCTTTTCTCCATTGTGTTGCCTATGCTCATTTGCCAAAGATGAGTTGACAATATTTGTGTAGGTCTATTTCTAGGCTCTCCTGTTGCACTAATATATTTGTCCTTTATTTAAAAAATCAATACCACATTGAATTACTATAGCTTTATAATAAAGTCAGCTAGTGTCAATCCTCTGACTTTGTTCTTCTTTAATATTGAGTTTGCTATTCTATGTCTATTTTCTCACCATATAAACTTTAGAATCAGTTTGTCTATATCCATAAAATAACTTGCTGAGATTTTGAATGGGATTGTGTTGAATCTATACATCAAGTTGGGAATAACTGACATCTTGACAATATTAAGTTTTCTTATCCAGGAACATAAAATGTCTTTCCACTTATATAATTCTTATGTGATTCATTTCATCAGAAGTTTATAGTTTTTCTCAGATAGATTTTGTATATATTTTGTTACATTTATGCCGAAGTATTTTATTTATTAGGGTGCCAATATAAATGACAATTTTTAATTTTGATTCTACTCATTCATTGCTTATATATAGAAAATGTTCTTATATTTTTTATCTTCCTTTGCCTTTCATTTTCTACTTATTGTTTGTTATTGGTACATTATTAATATTTATAACATTTACCTCCTATTATATATTTCCCATGATTTTATATTCTGTGTTTACTATTGATCCCTTTTCCACTGTGTCTTCTTCCATCATCTAGTTGTCTGGATTTTGTCCAGAGAAGTCTGGATGTTTAGAAGTCTGTTTGTTTTAAAAACAGGCTACTTGGTATTATGCTACCAGATTCATTCATGTTTGAAAATTTCTACATTTTGGCTATTCCATGAAAGACAACTTGACTAGGCATCATATTTCAGGGTCATATTTTTATTTCCTGTAAAAAAATGTTGTTGTTGTTGTTGTTCCTTTGAATGCTGTTTTGGAGAAGTCTGGGCCCAGAATAATTCTAGAGAATTCCTTATTCTTGGTAATTAATGCCAGTGCTTGTCTAGAAGGTATCTTCATGCCAGCTTTTATATTAATTTTTCTTTTGATTTGCTTATTTAGTTTTGTCTTATTTCAGTGAAATCTTTTAATATGACACTGATGATATTTTTTCTTCTATTTTTGGGTTTTCATCTTTAAGAATGCCAGTTAACTTTTTGGTGAATCACCTTTGTCTGCTGTAATATCTATTTTTTCTCTTGAATTGGATTACTATATAAGTCCTTTCCCTCTTGCATGTTAAATGGCTATCTTTAGCTTTTTCTCTTTGTCAACAGTCTGTCATCCATGCTTACTTACTGGTGTTTGTTTAAAAATAATTAAAAAATTTATCTGTAGTTGTATTGTTATTGGCCTCCGTTTATTTTCTTATCAAGAAAATCTTTATTTTTATCTCATTTTGCTCGCTGTTTTGCTTGGTATTTCTTTATCTTATCTTTAAACATTTATTTCTTAAATTCCTGACATTATTTAGTTCATCTATAGCTTAAAGCACCTCTAGGAAACGTCCCTCTTTTCTGAAAGCTTATCTTTTCTTCAAGAATAGATTCTTCATGTATTTTTGGTATAGTATAGTTGTTTTCCCATTATTTTACTGCATATGCTAGGAGAGATGTATTAGACCTTTCCCTCTCTTTGTCTCACTCCTTTATGCTGGATACTCTTAACTGGGCAGTGGTGTCAGGTCTAAAACAGAGTGGGTGGATCCTCAATGAGTCTCTTTCCAATCCAGTTGTAAACTGTTTGTCTTCTAATTTAAAACTTGAAGATAGTGTAGAGTGGGAAGCAGTGGTGTACTGCAGCCTGCTCATACAAGCTCATGAGAGCAGGTTATTCCATTTTTGCAAGTTGGTTATTAAATATACACAGATGTTATTAAAAATTAAATCATATTGATTTAAAAATAAATGCATTGTATTAAAAACTCCCCCATCCTGATTACTTTACTATATTTTTCTATTATCCATACTATTGAGGTTATTTAAGACCATTTTTGTGCTTTCAGTGATGTCACATTCGTTGCTTGAAATCAGCTATGGTGGCAGTTTACACGTCCTGAAAATTGGCAAATACTACAAATCAGAGCTAGGCTTATTGTTTTGTTGATGATCTAGATTTAATAAGAAGACAGAATGTTAATAACATATCTTAAACATAAATGTGCATTGTATGTTTTGTCATTATAACGGAAAATTGAGAAAATATTTTTTCAGTATTTGGAAACTACTACCCAATACACAAAGAATTTGCTCAATTTATTGACAGATGAAAGCTATCTTTATTGTTTCACTTATTCTTACTAGACAAATAAAGAAAACATCAATAAACATTCATGTTGAAACTACACTCATTGAGTACAACCATAGCTTGGCCATGAACACAAGAGCTCAACAAAATTCAACAAAACTATTCTTAAAAATCATTTGGCCGTATGGAATGTATTGTGTATTTTATTATTACTGGTAAATAATGTTTGTAAGTTTATCATTTTTATGCTATGCATTCTTCATAAGAGTACAAATTTTATAAACATATATATATGTGTGCATATAGTCCTCCCTACCTCTGCCCAGAGAGCCAGCTGTTAAACATTTACCAACATCTCACTGGTGGGAAGGACTGCATGGGGTTGGATGCACTTTTATTAGTGAATCTGAGCATTGCTCACATGTTTTATAGCCAAGTTTATTACTCTTTGTCAGACTGTATCCAGGGGTACTAGTCAAAATATTTACAACCTGAAAGCCAGGCACTTAGCAATCAAAACAGAGCAAGTAGATATTAGCCATGGTATTCTGGTCCTGTGAAAAGATACTTTTCGGACACAAATAATGTTTTCAATTTAACTTGAGGCATTATAGCTTTTCATTCAGTTCCTGAGTCAGCCAGATTGTTCTTTTATCCTATTTTAACCCATTGTTTCCAGTAACTATGACCACTTTCTCCTTTTGCCCTGCTCTTGCTCTCTTTATGATTTGGGAAGAATTTTATGAGTGTCCCTTCCCCCACTACCTGCTACCTCTGAGAATCTTAGCTTATTTTCATTCATTTTCACCTTTTCTTTGGCTAAATCTCTAGTTTGGGGATTTTACATCCCAAATTTTGGGTTTTACATCACTACTTATTGCCAGAGACAATTAGATTGGGAAATTAACATCCTTTTGTTTTTTTCTCTTTATTTTCCTTCTTTTCTTTTTTTTTTTAACTTTTATTTTTAGGTTTGGGGGTACATGTGAAGGCCTGTTACATAGGTAAACACATGTCACAAGGGTTGGTTGTACATATTACTTCATCACCCAGGTATTAAGTCCAGTACGCAATAGTTATCTTTTCTGCTCCTCTCCCTCTCACTACCCTTTATTCTCAAGTAGACCTCAATGTCTGCTGTTTCTTTCTTTGGGCTCATAGGTTCTTATCATTTAGCTCCCACTTATAAGTGAGAACATGTGGTATTTGGTTTTCTGTTCCTGCATTAGTTTGCCAAGGATAATAGCTTCCAGATCCATCCATGTTCCCACAAAAGACATGATTTTGTTCTTTTTTATGGCTGCATAGTATTCCGTGGTATATATGTACCACATTTTCTTTATCCAGTCTGTCATTTATGGGCATTTATGTTGATCCCATGTCTTTGCTATTGTGAATAGTGCTGCAAGGGACATTCATGTGCATGTGTAGAATAATTTATATTCATCTGGGTATATACCCAGTAATGGGATTGCTAGGTCAAATGGTAGTTCTGCTTTTAGCTATTTGAAGAGTCACCATACTGCTTTCCACAATGGTTGAACTAATTTACACTCCCACCAACAGTGTATAAATGTTCCTTTTTCTCCCCAACCTCACCAACATTTGCTATTTTTTAACTTTTTAATAATAGCCATTTTGACTGGTATGAGATGGTATCTCATTATGGTTTTGATTTGCATTTCTCTGATGATCACTGATGTTGAGCTTTTTTTCTTATGCTTGTTGGCCACATGTATGTCTTCTTTTGAGAAATGTCCGTTCATATCCTTTGCCCACTTTTTAATGGGGTTGCTTGTTTTTCTCTTGTAAATTTGTTTAAGTATCTCATAGATGCTAGATATTAGACCTTTGTCAGATGCATAGTTGACACATATTTTCTCCCATTCTGTAGATTGTCTGTTTACTCTGTTGATAGTTTCTTTTGCTTTGCAGAATATCTTAACTAGATCCCACTTGTCAATTTTTACATTTGATGCTATTTCTTTTGGTTTACTCATCATGAAATATTTGCCCATTCATATGTCCAGGATGGTATTGCCTAGGTTGTCTTTCAGGGTTTTTATAGTTCTGGGTTTTACATTTAAACCCTTAATCCATCTTGAGCTGATTTTTGTATATGGTGTAAAAAAAAAAAAAAAGGAGTTCAGCTTCAATCTTCTGCATATGGCTAGCCAGTTCTCCCAGCACCATTTATTGAATAGGGAGTCTTTCCCTCATTGCTTGTTTTTTGTCAGCTTTATCGAAGAGCAGGTGATCATAGTTGTGCGGCCTTGTTTCTGGGCTCTCTATTCTGTTCCATTGGTCTATGTGGCTGTTTTTGTACCAGTACCATGCTGTTTTGGTTGCTGTAGCCTTGTAGAATTGTTTGGAGTCAGATAATGTGATGCCTCCAGCTTTGTTCATTTTGCTTGGGATTTTCTTGACTATTCAGGCTCTTTTTTGGTTCCATAGGTGAATTTTAAAATAGTTTTTTTCTAGTTGTGTGAAGAATGTCATTGATGGTTTGATAAGAATTAAATCTGTAAATTACTTTGGGCAGTATGCCTATCTTAATGATATTGATTCTTCCTATCCATGAGCATGGGATGCTTTTCCATTTGTTTGTATCATCTCTGATTTCTTTGAGCAGTGTTTTGTAATTCTCATTGTAGAGACCTTTCACCTCCCTGGCTAGCTGTATTCCTAGGTATTTTATTCTTTTGGTGGCAATTGTGAATGGGATTACCTTTCTGATTTGGTTCTCAGTTTGGCTGTTGGTGTACAGAAATGCTAGTAATTTTGTACCTTTGATTTTATATCCTGCAATTTTGCTGAGTTATTTATCAGCTGAAGGAGCTCTTGGGGAAAGACAATGAAAATGTCCAGATATAGAATCATGTCATCTGCAGATATAGTTTGACTTTCCTCTCTTCCTATTTGAATGCCTTTATTTCTTTCTCTTGCCTGATCACTCTGGCTAGGACTCCCAATACTGTGTTGAATAGAAGTGTGGACAGAGGGCATCCTTGTCTTGTGCCAGTTTTCAAGGGGAATGCTTCCAGTTTTTGCCCTCGCAGTATAATGTTTTATGTGGGTTTGTCATAGATGGCTTTTGTCATTTTGAGGTATGTTCCTTTAATACCTAGTATATTGAGTGTTTTTAACATGAAGGGGTGTTGACTTTTATTGAAAGCCTTTTCTGCATCTATTGAGATAATCATGTGGTTTTTGTCTTTAGTTCCATATATGTGATAAATCACATTTATTGATTTGCAATATGTTGAACCAACCTTGCATCCTGGGGATGAAGTTTACTTGATTATGATGGATTAACATTTTGATGTGCTGCTGGATTTGGTTTGCCAGTATTTTGTTAAGGATTTTTGCATCAATGTTCATCAAGGATATTGTCCTGAAATTTTCTTTTTATGTTGTGTCTGCCAGATTTTAATATCAAGATAATGTTGGCCTCATAGAATAAGTTGGGGAGGAGTCCCTCCTCCTCAATTGTTGGAATAGTTTCTATAGGAATAGTACCAGCTCTTTTTTGTACATCTGGTAGAATTTGGCTGTGAATCCATCAGGTTCCAGGCTTTTTTTGGTTGGCAGGCTATTGGTTACTGATTCAGTTTTGAAGATTGTTATTGGTCTGTTTAGGGAATCAGCTTCTTCCTTGCTCAGTCTTGGGAGGCTGTATATGTCCAGGAATTTATCCATCTCTTCTAGGTTTTCTAGTTTGTGTGTGTGTATGTGTTCATAGTAGTTTTTGATGCTTGTTTTCATTTCTGTGGGGTCAGTAGTAACATTCCCTTTATTATTTCTAATTGTGTTTATTTGTTTTCCTCTTTTTCATTCTAATTTAAAACTGTAGATTTTCTTTGGCTCTGCTTGAACTCAGACATAGTCATGGTGGTTAAGATTTTTGTGGAAATTGTTATCTTTCCATTTGGAACTGATCAAAGTAGCTGTTTTCTCACCTCTTTCCAAGTTAGACATCTATTGTAAGAGTTTGTGTGTGTGTGTATGTCTGTGTCTGCGTGTGCGTGTGTGTGTGTGTGTGTGTGTGGTGGAGGGGGTGTTTATTTTCCATTTTCCTTCCATTGCCTCTTACATATTTCTTTGGAAAGCAGGGATTGGATATTAGTTTTATTTATATTTGGATATAATACCTCAGAACATTAGTTTTCTATTGACAAGTTACAAATTACTACAGTCCTAGTGCCTGAAAACAACACACACATTGATTATCATACCGTGTCCATGGATCAAGAGTCAGGAATGGCTCTGCTGGAACCTCCACTCACCACTGGTGAGCTAGGAACAAGTTGTTCGCTTTATTAGAAAATTGTCATATTTAGTTTCCTCGTGGGCGTATAACTAAAATCCCCATTTTATAACTATCTTCCAACCATGGACCACTGTCAGCAGCTAGAGGTCACCTTCAGGTTCTTACTTCCTGAACCCCATAGGTCATTTACAACATGGCTGTTTGCTTTCTTCCAGGCCAGCAGGTTCTCTCTTTGACTCCTCACTTTATTCCATTTGATTAAGTTAGGACCTTCCAGGATAATCTCTTTTGGCTAACTCCAAGTCAACTAATTAGTAACCTAATCACAGGAGTGACATCTCATTATATTCACTGGTTCTACCCAGTTAAAGTAGGTTAGGGGATTATAAGGCATGCGTGTACACAAGGGAGTGGGAATTTGAGATCCCTCTTAGAATTTTTTTCAACCACACTCAGCCTTGCTAATTTTTAACATTTTCAATCTTTCTTACTGGCAACAAACTCTTTCTATATCCTCATGATTGCTGTTAGTTTATTTTAGCTGTTTTTTTAAAATGTTTGTTTACTTACATTTTCCTCTTAGGTTATAAGAAAAGGAGGATCTTGAGGTCAACACCTCTGTGGATTTTCAGTAATCCCTTTCATTTTATTCCCCTGTAGCTCCTTCAGAATTCACACTTAAGTCATGAATACTGTCATGCCAGGAAAACAGAAGGGGGTTAACCTTAGAATAAAGAATTATAAAGAGAGTACAATATTTGGGAAGTTTCCACCAAAGAGAAAAGGCAGGTAAAAGCTTTTCATATAGGAGAAGAAAAGAGATTTGAATGAATCAATACTAAAGTAAAGATAAAGCTTGTGACCCTCAGTAACTCAGTGCACCCTCCCATGAGTGCCAAGAACAAAATGGACAGTGACTGAGAAGGTGTCAGTCATGAGGTGTGAGGTGAGTGCTGAGTCCCTGCCCATCTGCTCAGTAAAAAATATCTGAACTGGTGCCAAAGCAGCAATGTGGGGAAATGAAGTCTTTACTGCTCCAAGAGGCCAGCCAGTGAGTTACAGCATCTGTGACACTTCAGAAGAGAATGCAAGGAGGTCAGAACTCTATGCCTAGAAAACAGGCAAAATGAGCTACATTTCATTTATGGGTCAGTGAAGCCATGGAGAAACATAGCATGAAGGCAGGAGATTCCCTGAGGCTATAGGAGATTTCCTATGTGTCCAGATGCCATCTTAGGAAGGTGGAGAAGAGAAAGCTCTTTCAGACAGAAATGAAAACCTCATTTTACCCCCAAATAAGATTGTTTACAGTAGGAAAGACTTTATTACTTATAACTGGAAATAGCTTCTGCTGTCAGTGGAAACAGAAACAGAAGAAAAGGTTTGTATTTGTTATAGAAATAGAGAAACTAAAGTTCATATGTACACTCTAGGTTGTGTTGCACTAAATTTTGACCCTACTCTAAATGTATTATCTCATTTAATCATTTCATAAACCTTACTATTATTCTCATTTTAGAGCAGATAGTACTGAGATTATAGGAATGTAGATAATTTGGGCAACATCACAAAGCTAGTAAGTCATAGATGTAAAGTTTTGTTTGACCGTAAAGCTGTCTATTTTAATCATCTGGCTTAACAATATAAGAGATATATTATTTTAGTGACAATTTAAGTGACACCAACATGAGTTTCATTGGAGTCAATATATGAATTCCTAATTGGGACTTCAAATATTCAGAAAGCATGTTAATTTTTAAAGTTTAAAGGAGAATATTGAAATTCAAGGTGCTTTTCTTTTTCTCTATGTCTACATCACAACTTAGTCATTGGTCCTGCCTGCAGACAGTAAAGTCAGCCTACACTAAAGACTCCTTCTTCAGAATCATTCTGATCCCTCAAAATGGTGTTACATGCCATTTTTTTTTTATTTCTTCACTGTTTGGTACCATATAGTACCCCTTATCCAGACTTACCACTGTGCAAGAGCACAAGCCTAGGGAGACCGATTTAGGAACTAAAACCAGTCTACCTCCACTGGCCAAGCTTTGGCACAGAAAGACACCCACTTGATAAGTCAGTGGTGGCCATGACAGTATCTCTGAATAGGAAATGGCTATTTACCCAAAGTCCCACCCAGACTGTAGATCTTTGAGGACTGGCACTGCCTTGGTCTTTACTTACCCATTTTATCCTGTTATTTATTACTTCTTTTCTGGATGATTTTCATGCTCTTTTTTGTATCAACCTTTTTGTTATTTGTCTGTGTCAGTTATTTTATTCATAGGAAAGAATGCTTGACTTGCAAGGCTGAACCATGGTAGGCATATACAAACTACTGTGGTTTTAATTTAGGGGCAATAAGTGTAAAAACATTCTGATGTATTTATTTGAACAAAATGGAAATCAAACATTCTAAAAAATATATCTTTTCATAGTCTAAAATTTGTCTCCCAACAAAGTCTATTCAAGGATGCATCAATATTTTGAGTTCTGGCCTAGGTATTCAGCCAAAATATATTCTTTTCCTTTGGCCTCAGCATTGGCCTTTGAAGGATTTGGGCTAAAGATTCATGTATAATTTCATACCATATCTGATATCCTTCAGCATGGTTGGGCACAGTCACGTGATCACATGCATTACTGTCATACTGAAACAGCATCGCCAAGTTAGTAAAATGAGCTAGGTATTTCATCCTGATTCATTGATTCTTGTACATACGATGAAACTCTGGCAGTTATTTGATTATAAATGTACATTTATTCTCCAACCATAAAATGCTACAACAATTAATAGTGATTTTGAAAAATTTTAAGAACCTTTCAACAATGAAATGAATGGAGAAATGATTGACAGAAAATACTAATGCTATGAGATTATGTTAGCTACATAACTTGGGAAGAATATTATATTCTTCTAGGATCAGAATATATTTACAAAAGTAAAATAATAATACAAGGTAAAAAACATTTATATGGTATTTCTGATCTTCATAAAATTATTTGGTGTATTAGTACTCACAACATTAAAAAAGATAGCATTTAAAAACTATATTTAATTTTCACTTATTTAATTATACTTAGGCTATGAGTCTGTCAAGAAAAGCCTTATTGAGGAATTGTTCTCATTTTGTGAGAATGAGTCAAAAGAAGAATGTCAACTTTTTCAACTTTTTATAGAATGGAAAATCAGGAAAATGTCATGCGATTGTTATTGACAAAAGAACAAACGTAAAAGCTGTGAATAATTCAGGCATCACAAGCATTCAGTTTTTTCACTCCTCAGTTTTGTGTTTGGAAAGTTATTATAGAAATATATAATATAACAGATTTTCTATCTGTGAGAAGAAAGATAATAACCATTTTCCTCGTTCTACTTAAGCCATAGACAAGCTCTATGGCATGCTAGAAATGTTGAAACTTCTTGTTTGTACTTTTACAAATATTGAACCAAATGAAATAGCAACTATTACATGTTTAAAACAAAAATTGCTTGAAATAAAGAAACCTTTAGTACTGAACTTTGTAAATATGAAAATCAAATTAACAACAGACGACTACTTGAAAAGAAGATAGTTTATGTATTGGAATCTATTGTACTAAAGGATAAAATTAATGATGTTTCTTGAGAGTGAAAATATTTCTTATGTGTATCTTATAAAAATAAAGAATAATCATTCCATTATTCTGGGAAAGATGCATGGATGGAGGGCAACTTTGTGGAGAATCATTGTAGTTAGTCCCAAGCAATATGACAAGATCATGCCATTATTTCCGTGGAATTACAGCAGTTTCACAGCTAGGCTTCATTTCTGCATTCCCAAAGCCATCCCTGGTGACTATGTATATATTGACCTGTCCATTTAGTTGTTCAGCATAGGAAAAAACTTGTTTCCGGCTGAGTGATGAGATTTGTTAATTAGGTTCATTCATTAGGAGGAGTCACTGGGAAATTTTAGAGCAGAGAACAGTGTTACTTGCATAAACAAGTTATTACTATAAAAAAAAGTTTCCGTAAGTGTTCAGAAATGCCCTGTGCCTGTTTCTTCATGAACAGTTGCTTCAGATAAGTTTCACAAGAAAACAAAGAGCACAAGGAAAGTCAGAAAGACTTGAAGTTCTGAATAAAATGCAATGAAACTCTTCATCTTGAAGAGAAAAGCCTGAGTTTAGCAATTTCAACAGGTTAAAGTTGAACCCTTCCCTTTCTAAATAAGCAAATATGAAAAAGCAAGGAGAGAGGGGTTCACAGTGATGTATGATGAAACATAGGTAAGATTTTGAATTATTGGACATTTGGGTTTAGAATCCTAGTTCTGACGCTTTACAGCTGTGTGATCCTTAAATTTTCTAAACCTTGGTTTTCTCTTCTGTAAGATATGAATCATAATAGAGCCTACTGTATAAGATTATTATAAGGGTTAAACAAACTAATCTTTATAAAGTGCTTACTAGTTAGCAATTATTGCATGAAACAATATCAATACTTATGGCCCACATAAAACTCATTTATTATTTACCCTGAGCCTGTGGGTGAGCTTGACACTGCTGCTGACCTGGCCCAGGCTTGGGTAGTGTTACTTGAGTCCAATCACATATCTGCTATCAGAGGCATGCTTACTGGGGGATGGCTGGTCTAGCATGGTCTCACTCACATGTCTGAAGAATTACCAGATATTGGCTGGTTATTACGTTGATTTAAGAAATGGGGATACATATTTCTCATGATCCAGGTACCTAGCTCAGGCTTGTTCTCATAGCAGAAGCAGATGTCTAAGAGAAAGAATGGACACATTTGAGATTTCTGGAGGCCTAGGCTTGGAAGTGGCACATAATTACTTATACCATATTCTATTAGCCAAAGCAAACCACATGACTAAATTCAACATCAGTGGAGTGAAAGTACATTTCACCTCCACGAGAGGAACTGTAAAGTCACATGGCAATGGTTATGAAAACCTGGAGGTCTGAACAATTGTGGCTATTTATGCAATGTACCATAACGCATAGCACAATGGTTGGTACATGCAAGCATTCAGTAAGAGACCACTCTTATATTTTCATTGTGGAGTGAGGTAGGTTGAAAGGTTTAGGGGGTGGAATGCTGGCTTAGGAATGGGGGTGCAATTGAAGAACCATAACTATGCTCTGGCCTTTCAGAAAGAAGCCTGAGCTCTAAAGATGTGCTAGAAATCAGCTGCCCCTGGGTGTCTAGCTGACCACGGTCACTTGATTGGAATGTTTGTATCATTCTTTTTAACTGTTCGAATATTAAGAAAGTCTCAAATTCTTACTCCATAGCTGGGCAGAAAATGAATAATTCTGTATTCCCAGAGGAACCTTCTTTGTTACAATTGTAAAGTGATTTATCCACCCCAGGTCACTGGTAAATTGAAATTTGAGCCAGGACTTTGAGGGAGTTACTATCTCACGACTAAGTGCTTTGACAAGGTGGGATGAGCCAGGTTAATAGAAAAAGCCACTTTTAAAGGGGATTTTTTTTTAATCCACACACTTTGCTGGAAACCTTTAACATAAAGATTGATAGCAAGTTGGAAAAATTGCAGGGGAAAACAGAAAGGCATTACTGAAAGTAAGGAGTATAATTTGATTTTAAAGCACCCCATCAGCTACCAGTGGGAGCGCTGAAAGGGCTGGAGGGCTTTGGAGTGGAAGTGTGCAAATGGAAGATAGTTTTTTCAGGAAGACAGAAACAAGAACCAAAACTTGGGCTAGAAAAACTCATTACAAAGTTTCTTATTATAAATGAAGAGAAACATTGCAATCCACTACCAGCCAAACCCACAGGCTTATCTCTAACTTCTGTTCACATAAGGTATATGCCCAGAATTTTTTGTCAAATGCCAAACAGACCCCTTCCCCTTTCATCATCATATCCCTTTAAGATTAAGGGACTTTTATTTCCTTGCCCACAATTATATTATATTTAAGAAGACATAGAAGTGTCCAAGTTTTAAATGTTATTGTGCAACCTCCCCTCCTACAAACTACTCACTCTCCATCCAGAAAGCGTCTTAGAAAACTGGATGACACTGAGAAGACCTCTGCTTCTCCCAGTTCTCCACTAATCACAGCCTCAATGCCTTTATTGGACTTGAGATTACCAGAAATAATACAAATGTGCCTTTTATGCTAGTTTCCTTCAGGCAGCACAAATTGTCCGGGCCTCCCACGTTTCTGTGATGCCCAGGCCCAAATGTAAATGAGCTCTATGAACAGAGAGGCACCTCAGCTACCAACCCCCACCATCTTCTACCTGCTGTCATATTTTAGTTTTTCCATAGCACTTATCACCAACTATTCTATGTATTTTGCTAAGTTTTATTTACTAAATTAAGTGTTTAATGTATTTATTTTCTGTCCCTGCTGGAATAAAAGCTCAATGAAGTTTGGTATTTTTATTTTTATTTTTGCTATATTCCTAGTGTCTAAGACAGTGTATGGTTCATAGAGGCACTTGATAAATATTTCTTGAACTAGTAAATGTCAGCTTACTCCTGTGTATATTTAGAATTTGGGTGAAAACATGCCTATGAAGTACACTATTGTATTAATGTGAATGAATTATATAACTATGAAAACTGGTAAAAAGAATCAGACAAATTGGGCTCCAATCTCAGTAATAAAATGTGAGTGAAAATGATATGTGTCCCTTCTGGATGGAAAATGCTATAGGCAGCAGGAGATGCTACAATACTCCTTTCTCAATGCCTGCTGGGCAAAAGCATGAGTCAAGATGGATCCTTTGTCAACTTGGTTCTGAGAGTGACTACAGTAAGCAGACACCCGCTGACCCACAGCAAACATGTAACATGAACAAGAAATAAACTTACGTTGTATTAGCCATTGAGATGTGAGACTTGTTTGTTACTGAAGTATTACCTAGCCTATCCTGACTGACTCATACACTGTGTGGATTAGGAAGTTGCTATGATGATAATGTAACTATAGTGTAGAAATAATGAGGCTTAGCACACAAAATTGTAATAAAATTAAATAATGTCTATAATAAAGCACTTAGCATGACCCTTTGATTCAAAGTATGTCTTCAATAAAATATAAAAAGATAGGCCAGGCACAGTGGCTCACACTTGTAATCCCAATACTTTTGGATGCCAAGGTTGGTGGAGCACCCGAGGTCAGGAGTTTGAGACCAGCCTGGCCAACATGGTGAAACCCCATCTCTACAAAAAATACAAAAAAATTAGCTGGGTGTAGTGGCACTTGCCTATAATCCCAGCTACTCCGGAGGCTGAGACAGAAAAATTGCTTGAACCTGGAAGGCGGAGGTTGCAGTGGGCCAAGATCACATCACTGCACTCCAGCCTGGGCGAGAGAGCAAGACTCTGCCTAGGGAAAAAAAAAAAAAAAACTATATGTAAGAGAGATCAAATATCTGTAATGTAACTGTCGCCAAGCTTTTCAGCCCTCTGAGATCACCCCTTCATTCAATATCCAAGTAAAAGGGTTCCAGTCTTTTTATACTACAGTGAATGCAGAATGCAATGTCTTCCCTAATAATCCTTCAGGAAAATAGGAATGGGAGAGATTGGAGGACATTTGTCATTGTTTTAACCAAAATGTTACTTTTGCGCTTGCCTTGGTTCTCTCTGCTCACCTTCTCTTTGATTCTACTAGCCATTCCATCTCAATGGGATCCATTTTAGTCCATCACATGGATAATGCCTACCCCCTTCATTGGCACAATAATTCAAATCAGTGCCCTCAAGTGGTTAAAGGACCTACTACTCAGAGGGATAAGATGCATCTTGTTGTGTCTACTGCAAATCCTGCAATAGTATTAAGCATATGTCAAGCATTCAATAACTACTTGTTGTTTACTCACTTTTGTGATTTATTTCTTTTTAAGTCAGGTCTCAGAATTTTTTTTTCAAAACATTAGGTAGTAGATATATTCAGTTTTTGGTCCATACAGTCTCTGTCACAACCACTCAGTTGCTATTGTAGTGTGACAACAGTCATAAACATTATGAAAACAAATGACCATGGCTATTCTGTTCTATTCATGACGAAGTTCTAATAAAATTTTATTTAAAATGTAGGTAACCAATGAATTTGACCCTCAAACTATAGGACCCCTAACTTATTTCAATTACCTTCATCTCAGCAGAAAATATATATACTTAAGACATTTCCAGGTATATTTTCTTCAACTTTCCTTCATTTTTGTTTATTCAACAACCTTATTGACTATCTACCGTCTTAGGCTCTGTGTAACATTGTCCCTCACTAAGACAAGTATAACCCTGCTGGGATCTCTTTGTCCAGAGGTAAAATAGAGATGGAAGCACAGACAAAAATACAATTTGGTGTGAGAAGCTCTATAATAAAATCTTTTTCAAATTGTGAACAAATGAGTACTATCCAAGAGAGTTTATTTTACCCTTCAAACCTCCTAGAAAAAACTGCCACACACTAGACTGCTAATCTCAAAAGTATATTCTGTCTGGTGGGGATTAGAGGAAGTCATCATTTCCATCTTAAGTTAAAAGCGAGGTGTTAATTTTTTTTTCTTAACATCTGGTTGTTTCTTACCTTAGAAAAATAGGAAGTAAAAATAATCAATAAGCATTTTCAAAAAGAATTTCTTCCAATGCTTAAATGCTATGTTAAATGGCAAAACCTAGGGAATGGAAGTATCGATCAAAAATTATAATTCTGCCTTATGAGATTTAAGCAGGCCAATGTCAACCCCCAAGCAATCTGTGAAGCTATCATAGTATTACCTTATTTGAGATTGTAACCTGAACAATTTATAAACACAAAATAATTTTTGCGGTGGTACCTTCTTTTTTCACATTTATGAAGTCATTAGCAAGCACTTTGCAAGGGCAAAGACTTGCATACCATTCTTCATTCATAGGACGCTCTGATAAACCTTGGAGTAGGCTGAGAAAGGAGCAAGAGCTGGACTCCCGCCAGCTCCTGGCGCCACTTCTTGATGGCTGTACCAGATGCCTGAATCAACCTCAGCAGATGGGCAAGGCACTCTTCTTTTAAATTTAAAATTACAAGCAGAAGCATAAGACAGTTCTTTGTCTTCTTTAAAGGAAAGGGAATTAAGAGGAAAGGCATTTGGAGAGTAAAGAAGTAGAGGCCATTGACCTGACTTGTATTGAAACATCTCAGGCAAATCCCCATTAAGAAGTTGTTTTCTACTCAGAAATAGTGATGGCCCCACAGTCTCAGACCTATGCCCTCTTTTCCTGACTTCAGCTGATCAAAACAGAGAAGCGCTCCAAAGAGACAGCTTCACCTCACTGAGCGGAGGACATCCAAACTTCCTTGGGGGACTGTTTCCTCTAGACAACCTGTAGTGGCCATGACAGCACCTTAAAAAATGCCAGGGCTTAAAAAGGCAGAAAGTTAGCTTTCAGGTTTGTGTTACGAAAGGAAGAAGATAGGTTAGTAAAAATTATTCCTGGTAGACATGTATTCAGTAAGCTCACATGCTTTTCATAAGCCAATAAGCATAAAAAGTGAGATGTAATGGCATCCATTGGCTGAATTAGAAACAAGGGCATGGCAAAAGAATTTTCCAAATATGTCATGTTTTTAGATTTACCTTTCATTTTTTATTAATACATAATAGATATACATATTTTTGGGTCACATGTGATATTTTGATACATTCATATAGTGTGTAATAAAGCAAATCAGGGTAATTAGGATACCCACCATCTTAAACACTTGTCTGTTTTTTCTTTTGGGAACATCTGAATTATTCTCTACTAGCTATTTTGAAATAAGCAATAGACTATTATTTACTATAGTCACTATACGATTTATGGAGCACTAGGTCATATTTCTTCTATTTACCTATATTTTTGTACTCATTAATCAACCTCTTGAATGGGTCTAGTCTCCTTCCAATAAGGTTACTCTGTCTACAAAATAGATTCTTCAGAGAATCAGGTGTTCTAAGTCCTGTATTACTTTAACTGGCCTTAGGAAGATAAAATCTTTTGGCCCCGATGAAGGTTCTGTAGCTGAAATACTGCATGGATTGGCAAAAAGCTCACAGTGTACACCTCCTGGAAGTGATATTTCATCATACACTTGGCTGTAGCAGTAATTGTGCTTGCAAGTAAAGAATTTCCGTAAACTTACTGTAGCAGATGAACAGCAAGGAAGTATATAAGGATATTTGATGACACAGACCATAGACTTCAGGATGAAGTCACAGAAGATTGGCTTACTCTTGGCCTTGGATTTCTTTGTCCAATCAGCACTACTCTCATCTTGTCTACAGGCTTGCCCTCAAACACCATACAGAAGGCCTTTTCACTGAGTGTCCCCATGTGTTGCCTCCAGACCCCATTTCCAGTTCTTGCTTGTCCTGTGCTGTTAAGCCTGATTTTTGGAAAATTATTGCTCTTTGTCTGTGTGTTTAGATATGACTTTTTGGTATCTCTCATGCTTTTCCTATCAGCAAGATTGTGAAATTTAGTTTTCCCTTTTCACTTGCTTAGCCAGACTATGATCCTGGAGGGAAAAAGAACCCAACTAAACACAGAGATTCCTGCTGGCTTCAGAAAAGAGGTGGGGGTCTATTTTTTACTCTCACAATTATAGATAATCTTTCCTCCCTGAAAGAGGACTGGGTATGCTGGCTTGAGGTTATTAAATTAGGATCAAGTTGAAGGTGGAGTCTTGAGGCCCAGGAGGAGAGGGTACACTCTTACTTGGTAGTTCAATGCTGGCATGGCTGAGAGTGCATTTCAAGTCAGAGACTTGAGAAAGATGAAAGAGAGCAAAGCCACTGAGAGATCAGACAGTAATATCCACAGCAGGGAATACACCAGAGGAGTCTTCACACCTTTACTGGCAGGGAAGACACAGGGCTTTGGTGCACAGGATTACTTTGGGTTAAGAGTTCAAAAGCACAAGTCTGTATTCACAGAGACACAGAGTGAGACTAAACCCAGACTGCTAAGAATTGGAGCGCTTTTCCATTCTCAGACACAAAACTAATTTGTCATTTATTTGCTTTTCTCCCAGCCATATGATAACCAATTATTACCCATTTCACAAGACTGGATAGTAACTGTAACATAAAGTTAGGGAGAACCAAAAAAGGAACTAATAGCATTCACATGGTCTGAGCCAACTTGACAACCCTTAATATCTTTCTCTCCACTCTGTTCCAAAATAATTTTGAAAAGTTTTTCACTATACTTCTCTAAGTCTCAGCTTTATAATCAGTAACATCGAGATCACAACGCCTATCTCACAGTCGTTTAAGGTTGAAAGATAATGAACATAAAGCACCCAGCCCTAGTGATGGATGGCAAGGTACATTGTGCTCAGTAATGCCAGCTTTGGGAAATATCTCTAGACTCTGTTTCTTGCCCTTATGGCTTGATCTGACAGATCCATCCTAGTGTCTCAATCTAGTGAATGGCAAACTCTGAAATTACAAGGCTGCTAGCAGAATCTCCTATAGGTACAATAGTGTGTGTGTCCTACTAAATTTTTTAAACCTACTTGGGATTTCTTCATTTTTAATATGCTTAAAAAACTCATAAAAGGAAAGAGGCTTGGCTTCTCTTGATCTTTGGCCTTAGGACAGGTTTGCAAGTTTCATAACAGATCCATTCTCCCACATCGAACATTTAAGATCTCACAGGCCACATGACATATCAGCATGGTGGTGTCAACAGCATCTCATTTTAGTTCACAGTAGGAAGAAAAGAGGTTAGATCTGAGCAAGTTCCCAGAGAGTTAGGCTTTTGGTTTCCTCTGATTGCTAAAGTTGGGAAAATCAAAGTTCAGCCAAAGCAAAGCCAATGGAAATTATGGTATCTATATCTGGTTGGGTAGTGTCACCCTAAATTTAATGTCCACCTTGTACCTTAGAACATGACTCTTAATTGGAAATAGGGTCTTTGCACATGTAATTAAGTTAAGATGGGGTCATTTTGGTTTAGGTTAGGCCCTAATTTAGTGATAAGGAAACAGACACAGAGAAGGAATGTCATGTGACAACAGAAGCAGAGATTTGAGTGATGCGTCTACAAGCCAAGGAACACCAAGGGTTGCTGGCAACCATCAGAAGCTAGGAAGAGGGAGGGAAGTTTTCTCCCCTAGAACCTTCAGGGGGAACATGTCTTTGTCAACACAGAAAATCTTGACTCCAGAACTGTGAGAGAATAAATATCTGCTAAGTCATCCACTTTTGGTAATTTCTCATACAGAAAAGTAATAGCAAGGAAACTAATACACTATTTTTAGGGGCAAACAGTTGGGAACTAGAAACTCAAAGCAGAGTTAATGAAAATATCAAGCAAATTTCAGTGGCCACTTATGATTCAAGAGGTTAGGTTAAATTTCTAGCAACATCTAGAAATAGAATGCTGAGTTGAGCCTGATTCTGAGTGAAAAGTACAGGACATCTATGCAGAAGTAGGTGAATCTGAACATTTCAGCATGAAAAAGAGAATGGGCTGTAGGAAGGGTCAAGTCCTCAGTAACTTAGAGGTGGGTCCCGATACTTTGAGACTTAGAAGAAGGCCTCTTAGAATCAGGAGTTTATTACCCTAAAGATGACTAAAACATTCCATCTGCAATGTGAAGCTGACTGATTACAAAGAAATAGTAATGATGATTGTGTAACTCTGATTATTATGAAACAAATTGATTTACTGTTCTCATAAATGTTTTGCCTTGTTATTACTTTTCTGGATAAGAAACAGCCCTTTAAAATAAAAATAGAGCTTCCCTCAGCTGGTGAAGGATATAATGTGACTGAATTATTAAAAGGCAAGTGTCACCAGCGTGAGCATAGGACCAAGGGCAGTCATGTTGCACTAACACAGCTGGTGCACTAGCTCTGATTCTAATGATATATTCAGCATTCAAAATATCCAACTCTCTGTTCAGATATTTGTAACACTTCCTGGTTGCTTTGAGGCTTTTAATAGGCCTGAATAAATCTGTAAGTATTGAAAATTTGTCATCAAATGGACTACACTGTAGATAACAAAAACTCAAGTTGTATAGAGCTATATCTATTCACTTTATTTTGGCTGAAGAAAAATATTGCAGTAATTTCTTCTTAGCATCACCAGTTTAAATGAGTTTGCCTCTTCATTTAATTAATCAGGGAATCCCTCTTTAATTATGTGATAAAATCCATTGCTAAGATGATCCTTCTGTCCACTCAGCAAAATGCTGTGAGAGTTGTTTCATCCTTTCTTCTTAATTCTTCAGGTGCAGTTTGCATTTTTAATTGCTTAAGACAGTAATTCAAGGTTGAGATTATAGACAGAAGACTTAGACCCTTCAACTTTGTTCTTACACCAATAAACACCAAATTAACTCTGCAGATAAGCAACATGTATAATGCAGTATGTCTCAAATGTCATTCACTCATGTGCCACCTTCACAATTTCACAATTGTCATAGTTGAGTAATATCTGTATAACTTTTTCTTATTTGTAAGTTCTTTAAATCAACTTTTGTTGCCTAAAAGCATTTAACTAAGAGAAAAACTATATATTACCACCATAAAAGGAAACCCAGTATCCTGGGCCAATAGTATATTGCAACTATAAAAATTAGTGCATAATTATTAAATAAAAGTAGTAATCAGTGAAAAATATAAAATCACTTCACCTCTCTCCCATATAGGAGTGGCATCATTTTGGAAATAATGCCTGCTATGGTTTGGATATAGTTCCTTTGGTCCTGTCAAGTTTCGTGTTGAAATGTGACCCTTATGTTGGAGGCAGGGCCTATTGGAAGGTGTTTGAATTGTGAGGTTGGATCCCCCATGAATAGCTCGGTGCCATTTTTGTAGGAGTGAGTGAATTCCTATTCTTAGTTCCCAAGAGAACTGGTTGTTGAAAATAGCCTGGAACTCTCTGGCTGTCTCTGCCTTCCTCCCTCTCTCGCCATGTGACACACCAGCTCCCTTTCACTTTCTGCCATGAGTGGAAGCAACTTGAGGCCATCAGAAGCAGATGTTGGCATCATGCTTCTTGTACAGCCTGCAGAACTGTGAGCCAAATAAACCTCTTTTCTTTATAAATTTCTAAGCCTCAGGTATTACTTTACAGCCATACAAACAAACACAGTGCCCAATTTTAAGACTCCCTGGACTGAAAGTAACAAGACATCTTACTAGTTACCTGAATAATGAACAAATGACTCCCCACTTTCGCCATCTGTAGGACACAATTTTATCTATAAAATAGAGATTGAATTAGAATCAGTAACACACATTCATCCCTCCGCTCTCACCTCATGTCCATAACAGACATGGCTAATTCATCAGAGCAATCTTTCCTGGGTGAGAATGACGGACACTTCTCCACGGTTCTCTCCCTACTCCCTCTCACCTTTGTCTTTTCATTAACATTCTTACCTGGTTAAGATTTTTCCTAACTTGGGAGAGAAAAATATTTTTATTCAATCCCCTCTTGTCTTTCAGCTATTGCCCTATGTCTCTTTTCCCATCCAAAACAAACTTGAATGAATTTTCTTGTCTGCCTTTGCTGTCTCCACTTGCTTACCTCACTCTTCACACTAATCCAATCCAGTGTCATCACTCACCACTGCATCTAAGCAGAACTGACTTAGGTCACCAAAGATCTCCTTGTCTTAAAAGTCAATGAATATCTCTTAGTCCTTATCTTACTTGACCTCTCAGCTCCATTTGAAATATTAACCTACCTGCCTTCTTGAAATACTCTTTTCCCTCTGATTCCAGGATACTATGCTTTTCCTCATAGTTCTCTGGCAGCAAGTACGGAATATTTTTTTCTTGACCTTAGAGCTAGATTCATTTTCTACATTTCTCCAAGTTGATCATCTTCTAGGAGGCTAATCTATCTGTATGGACAGCATCAATGGGCTTCCTTGTCACCTGACTTCCCATTGATTTGGCCACTGTAAGGCAATTGCTCCGCCTTCCAGAGGGAAGCCTGGGAGGGGTTGAGCTCCTTTACCAAGGCCACGGCTCCTATCCAGCAGTCCTCTCCTGAAGCTACAGTCACAGCCTCAGCTCTATCTACATTTTGGTATTCTAAATTTTGGTATTCTCTCCCTTCCCTTGCCCCTTTCAAAGCTAGGGGGCATATTTCCACCCCTTTGCTATCACACTATCCATTTTTGGTTTCCCTAAACTCTCTTTCATTAATCTCCCTAATTACCCCATTTGCCTGTGCCATTTTTTTTTCTCCTAGAACTGAGATTATCTATTCCCTCTAGATTCCTGAACACTTTTTTATGAAGTGTCACATAAATGTGACACAAATGCATACTTTTATCTTCTTAGAACTGTAAAATGATGAATGCTTCATTTCAAAACTTGAAATGTATTGTTAAATTTACTTTGTGGTGCTGTTTTAATCAATGGATTCAAGTGTGTGTTTCCAATAGATACAAAGGCAAATCAATAGTCTTGGCAAATTTAGTGTGGATTTCTTATTTTTAGGATGGTATACAGGAGTAGGCTAAAAATAATCTCCCTAAAATATTGGTTTCTAATTTCTGAAACCTGTAAATGTTATGTTATATGGAAAATGGGCATATGACAGATGTACCTTTCAGCAATAACTTAAGCATATATTCTGAGAATGACTCTGTATGGCAAACACACCTGACAGCAATAACTTAACTTGATACCCTTAGATTGACCCTGTGGTCTAAAAAGAATGTGTGTGTGGAGTCCAAAGCTAAGGAATCCGGAAGTGGCCAACCCGGAGATTCATTCCTTATCTACGAGGAACATCTCAATCCCCATCCCATCCCATGGAACATGAGCCATACAGGGGATCAAAACCCTTTGTTTTGGGTTAAATGAAGGTTGTGAGGTGTAGGCTGATATGAGAAAGGTGCTAAGTGAAAATGCCACATAAACTGCATTTTCTTTTTTTTTTTCTTTTTTTGGGGATGGAGTCTCACTCTGTCACCAGGCTGGAGTGCAGTGGCACGATCTTGGCTCACTGCAACCTCCGCCTCCCAGGTTCAAGTGATTCTCCTGCCTCAGCCTCCCAAGTAGCTGGGACTACAGGCATGTGCCACCACGCTCAGCTAATTTTTTGTATTTGTAGTAGAGACGGGGTTTCACAGTATTAGCCAGGATGGTCTCAATCTCCTGACCTCAGGATCTGCCCGCCTCAGCCTCCCAAAGTGCTGGGATTACAGGCGTGAACCACCACACCCGGCCTAAACTGCATGTTTTTTACAAGTGGTAGCTGTTCTTTTATCCAGCCCATTGACACTGGGTTCCTTCAATAAACCCTGTATTTCATTCACCGGCTCTAGGTCTCTTCTTCAGCCTGTCAAACAGGGTGTCACTCCTATCGATGTCAGCAAGGGTCTGGCATGACAAAGGCTCTTTTCAGATGTGATTAAGAATCTTGAAGACTATACTTTGAGGGATCATTTCTATAGTTTGTTACTGGAGAAGTTTCTCTGAATATGTAGAGCACCACAAATCACGAGGAAAAAGCGCAGCATTCTCTCCTGAGCATGAAGCCAGTTTTCAGTGTTGCTTCGATGTAACTGCCTTCTGCCCTTGATGATCATTCTTCTCTCCTCCCTGGAGAGTAAGAGGGAGAGGAGGCAGTCTGAGTGGTTTTCTGAAAAACAAAAAAACAAACAAAAAGGAATCTTGAGATGAGGAGATTATCCTGATGAGTCCTTAATACAATCAACAGTGTCCTTGTAAGATGGCGGAAGAGGGAGATTTTGACTACAGACAGAAAAGGAGTTGGTGATGTAAACTCAGAGGCAGAAATTAGAGTGATGTGGCCACAATCCAAGGAATACTGGCAGCCGTCAGAAGCTGGGAGACGTGAGAAATGAATTCTCCTCTAGAACCTCAGGGAGAATGTGGCCCTATGAACACCTTGTGCTCAACCCAGTAATGCTGATTTTGGACTTATGGCCTCCAGAACTGTGAGGAAATAAATTTCTGTTAAGTCATCAAGTTTGTTTGTTCTGGCAACCATAATAAACTAATACACAGGCCATATCTGTAATTCTGACATATTTAAGGCCTTGGGCTCAATGCTCTTCATTAATACAAGGCACATATGAATGTATGCAAATGTCTCATTTCACTGTAAAACATCAGTCTCCATCTTAGCTGTGGGCAAAATGTGCTCATGCAATGGAAGAAAATGCACATGGATTTCTGCATAAGAAAAGATATTTTACTTTTCAAAAAAAATCAGATTACAAATATAAGTTCATTTCTAAAACATAATACAATATAGAATGTCATATACACAATATACAATAAAGACAAAAATAAAACCCATCACTTAGAGATAATCCCCATTTTTTAAGAATTTGGCATATTTCCTTTCAAACATATTTCTCTGGCTACACACACACCCACATACACACACGCATGCATACCCACCATGCTGTATCATGCAAATTGGATCATGCTATCTGAATCTAAGATGTTTTGTAGTTTGCCTTTTCTACTACTATTTCATGGCATTCCTTTCTAGTTAGTAAATATGTATATATCATCCTTTTTAATGACTTCATAATATTCAATCACATTGCTAACTCCTAATTTATTTAATGACCATTTTCTTGGCATTCAATTTCCAAATTTTATATTCATAGTCATCCTATGTATGTATATCTCTGAACTCGTCTGAGTATTTTTCTGATATAAATTGCTAGAAGAAAAACTGCTAAGCCAAATAGGAGCACATTTATAATACTGACACATACTGCCAGATTGATATTCCAAATTTTGTACTACTTTACACTACAAAAAAAAGTATAGTCTTAAGATTTAAGTTTCATTGGTTGCAAAGAACAGAAAGCATGCTAAATAAAGGAGAAAAGAGAAGTATTAAAAGGATACAGGGCCAGGCACAGTGACTCGCACATGTAATACCAGCACTTTGGGTGGCCAAGGCAGGAGGATTGCTTGACCCCAGGCAGGAGTTTGAGATGAGCTGAGGCAACATAGTGAGACCCTGTCTCTACAAAAAAAATATATATTTTTTTAATTAGCCAGATGTGGTGGTGCACGCCTGTAGTCCCAGCTACTTGGGGGATTGTGGTAGGAGGATCCCTTGAGCCTGGAAGTTCAAGGCTGCAGTGAGCTGTGATTCTACCACTGCACTCAAGCCTGGACAACAGAAGTAGACCCTGTTTCAAAAAAAATAAAAAATAAATAAATAATTTTAAAAGGATATTGAAGTAGTTCATAGATACAAAAAAAGGGCTAAATGCCAAGTCAGGGGCTAGGTTCCTCATACTCTTTCCCGAGGCCTTCCTGAAGGTGATGCTGATCCATCCTCCTCTTAGCTCTTTGTGAATTAAATTCCCAAAAGACAGAATAGGATTGGAAGAGCTTGGCACAAGTGCCCTCTCCCTAGACCACTCATTGCTTCCTGGGCTGTATTTTGATTGGCCATTTCTTACCATAGCATATGGCAAAGAGAAAATTGCATGTCTCCATAACTTGCACATGAAAGAGAAGCCATTACAGGGATGCAGATTACTTTATGTTCAACCTTGAATTAATAACAACAACGGCTGTAGAGAGTTTTTGAAAAGTACGTCTCAAGGTGGGATACCTGAGGAGATACAGAATGACATCAAGGCTCCCGGAAACATCAGCAAACATCAGCAATAATGTGGAACCTGAAGTCCAACGAAAGTGAACATTTCCCTGAGTCATACCTGTCAGGGATTTCCCAAGCTACATTCTGCATTCGGTGTAGTCTGATGTTTGTGGTCATGCTTATGTTATATACTGAGCAAACCATGGGGACTAGAGCCAAAGCCCTTCTTACAGACTGTTGCCATAAGAAATCAGATTTCTTTCTAGATGGGCTTCCTACTAGACTTTGTAGGGGATACAAATTTGGCACAAACATTATTCTGAACCTCATCTCCATTATAAATATTTAACCCTCTTTTGTATTTCATCACTTGGATGAAAAAGGCACATCAAATTTTACTAACCTCCCTCCCCTACTTAACCTATCATTCTATGTCAGCAAATGCCAGTGCCATCTACTAAGTAGCATAAGCCCAAGATGTGACCTTTTCTTCACTTCCATGTCCTGTCGGTCTCTATCTAGATTCTAGTTAACAGTAATTGCTAACACATTCACAACACTTACCATATGCTAGCTACTGCTCTATGCTTGTTATAAACCAGTTTATTGTTCACTGCATCTTTAGGAAGTACTACTATTATCTCAATTTTGCAGACAAGAAAGCTGAGGCACAGAGAGGTTACACAGCATCCCCAGCCACAAAGCTAGTCAGTGGTATAGCTGGTATGCGGCCTGGGAAACTCTGGCTGCAGAATCCATGCTTTTAACTATTGGCATTTATGTCCTAAATATTTAGTGAATCTCTCCTCTTTTCTCCGTCTTTTCTTTGTTCCTGTCCTTATCAAACCTCACTTAAGTTGTAACTTTATCGTGGTGGTCATTATATGAATCTCCACATGTGACAAAATTTCATAAACCTATATGTATGTAAAAGCTGGTAAAATCTAAATAAAGTCTGTATTCTAGTTAATAGCATTGTGCCAATGTGAGGTTCCTGGTTTTTATAATACATTATAGTTCTGTAAGTTGTTATAGTTCTGTAAGTTGTTACCATTAAAGGAAGTGGTTACCATTTAAGAGTATATAGGGTCTCATTCTTTTATTTTGCTATTTCTTATGAATCTATAATTATTTCAAAATAAAACATTAAAAAATTAACCTTGGCTATTACAACAGCTTCCATGGGAACCTTCCTGCTATTATCTCTGTGTCCTGCCCACCAACTCCTTTCCTCATCGTAGCCAGAGGGATTTTGTTTTCTCCCTATTGTCTACTTGCAGTTCTTCCACATCCCCTATTGTCCTGAAGGATAAAGTCCACATTTCTTAACATATTCAAAGGTCTGGCCCCACTCCAGATTCCCAATCCCACCCCTTGCCACTCTCTACCTTCCATATTGTATTCCCACATGGCATTTTCAGGAGAAATACTTATTCCTCCCTGAATGTGTCACAGATTCACTGCTCTGGGACTTTGCTCCAGCTTTTCTCATGCCTGAGGAGTCTTCCCAGCACCTCCTTCTGCCAATGTTAATCCATCTTTTGGAATGGGTAGGAGCTCAGCATTGCCTTCTCTGGGACTTTTCCTGTCTCCTCTTCTTCCCCATCTGAGTTGAGTTAGACCTCTCTAAGGTCCCAAAGCATCAGATGGATGTTTCTATATTGTCATTTCCTAAACTGCCTCATATCCATTCATTTAATCATCTGTTTCCTGACATTTCCCCTGAAGACCAAAATAAATCTATCTTGTATATAAAATTTCCGCAACACAGTGGGGTCTAAATAAGTTAATGAAAAAAATAAATGGACTTTGAAAATGACCATTTTCTATCTTGTCAAAGGACTACATTATACACCACTTACTCAAACTTCCTTTTCTTCATCACAAAACAATTAATGCATTTCTACATTGACCTCCCCAAAGCCACACTTTAATTTTGTCTTTTTAAACATTTTAAGTGATGTTTGAGAGAATTTATAAATGTACAAAAATAATTTCAAATGCTATAAATTTATGGGAAAGGAAAAGTATGTAGCATTGCTTTGAACATTTCTACAAGGAAATAAATTTTCTTCATATCCATTCTGTCATTCCAGGCTGGATGACTTTGTACCTTTCCCTCCCTTATGAATGCTGCCTTTTATGCTGAACACAGCAGACTGCTCTGAGTTCTTTCAATTTCAATGTAAACGTAAGGTTTTAAATATTTGGAATTTTCAGTTTATTTTTCTATGTTTAGAATTTATGGAACTATAAGGTTGCTTCATCCTTCGCTATGTTCTCATTCTAATTGTTCAGGTATCATATTCCACAGAATCTCTCCAGGAAAAGAAAACTTACCAATTTGAGGTTTGCTTGCTTTTGACACATAAGGGAAGACTTTTTGTTGGTTGGATATGACTAGAAACCACTTGCAGTCATTTATTGATGGTTTGAAATCCTTGTGTATACACAAAGAGTAATAACTAAGGCTGAATAAACCTAGCCAGACACATTTTATTCTAAAAGTTTCTCAAACCAGTTTGAGAATGTGGCCTGTTTCACAATGTTTTCTGCACAGTTAGATCACCACCTTCCATCATTTTGAAGTCCAGGTGCAGTCCGGGAAAATTCAGGACAGATGTTCTGGATGCCTTTACACTGACATAATTGACAGGTGGGTTGAGAATAGTCTCTTCAAAACTAGGATCACTCACGGGGGAACTCTGAGATGATTTCGAGGCATTTGCTTAACACAGGAAGTAATGATTTCTCTAAAGTGGAAGGAGAACAACTTGAGGCAAAGAGTATTGGGTTGAAACTTAGAACTTACACATTGTCATGAGTTGTCAATTTGAAATCGGCAAATGTCTTCTGGTGTTATCAAGATGTTTGAGAAAAAAGCCTATGCTCCTGCACTGGTGTGCCCTTCAAAATAAAATTCTAATGCTAAGTCTTCTGAAAAGGCTACAGGCAGAATTAATCATGTATTCCTAGTAACTCCTGTAGTGTTGATAATAAGAACAAGCTCTACTAGAGGCAAGTGCTCTTCCAAGTACTTTACATGTATTGGCTCATTTAATCATCAAAGCAACCTATGAGGTAGGTACAGTATTATTATCATCCCCATTTTTCAGATAAGGAAACTGAGGCCTAGAAAGGGTAATTTGCCTGAAGTCATACAATTAGTGACTGCAGGACTAAACCTTACATTCCCTTCATTATGCCAAATTGTGCTCCAAACTATTCCCAGTTTCTTTCCTCAAAAGGGGACCATTCCATATAATCAGGCATTTATTTTCCAGCTTTGAAAATCATATCCTGTATTTTTTTATTTTTAACAGTCTTAATTGAAAATTTCTGGAAATCTTGGAAATTATAGTGATCTTGCCAACAGTCCTTGCATCCAAGTTATACCAGATGCTGCCATTATTGAGCTACCAAAAGATAAGGTTGTTTGAGAATTAAAGAACAATTACCGTCATTTCTTTTGGAAAGGTGAAGAGGCAAAATTTCCTCTTAAGAGTAAGGAGGGCTACTTTATACTCTGTATTACCACTGCACTGAGAAGGTTCCCGTGGATTTACCTGCAAAGAGAACAAGAACTTGTTCTTTCCTTAACTTTTAAAAAGAGGTCCAGACATCAAAATCAAGCTACATGATTATCTTGGTGTCCCACCTTATCTGATTTTATTTTATGGTTTCCTCATTCATGTCTCCCTCTTAGAGAACCATGGGGAAAATAAATGTCTGGGGAGAAATTTTTCCTCTGAAATAAAAATATGAAAGTAAAATATATTCCTCAATAAACCTGTTGTCAGAGGGAATGGGGTAGGAAGGCCACATTCCAACATATTTTTCCAGAAATCTAGATAAATTGTGAGAATAATTGAGTTGTCTCATGAGGGAAGCCATAAAATGCCATGATGTTGAGATAAAGAAAGGACTGAGAACCATTGCAAGGGCACACTCATTTCCCTGCACGTCACTACATGAGGCCATGTTTACAGATGCAGATAGACGGCTTCTGTTCCCAGGATGGAGTTCTGATGGCAGAGCTGTGGGTTCTGGATGCCTGATGGGTTTCCTAGAGACAACCAAGAAGATTAAAAAGTCCAGTAACTAGAAAAAATAATTAATTATAAATATGACTTTAATCAAGTTGAGATTGGCAGTGTGTAGCTTGCAAATTGGGTGGCTTTCCTTTGATAATATTATTTTGATAATGATAAGCCAGGATATTTGATAGTGACTGGAATTGTATTTGAAGCAAAATTTGCTTGAATTCCTTTGCATTTTATATTTTATTTTATTTTGTTGTTGGTGACTTGTAAGAGTAGTACTGGATTTTGAAATTATTTATACCTTAACCAGGATTTACCAAACAGAGATGAACACGTTTTAAAAATGGCTGAGCCTTGATATGGGGTATCTGATTGTCTCGTATTGGGTGCTTTCCCTGTAAGCCTCACTAATCACATCATATTCCCCCAAATTATACCACACAACCACAACCTTAAGTGAACACAAGGAATCATCATTTAAATTTTTACCTGACATTATTTTTTTTTACATTTAATTTTGAAACAATTTCAGACTCACAACAAAATTGCAATGCTAGTGCAAAGAATTACTGATTACTCTATACTTAGGTTCCTCCAAATATTATACTTTATAATATTACCTCATTTATTATTCTTCCCCCACCCATTAAATTATAGGCATTCTCTACTGACATCACATATCACTTTTATGTCAGCTTCTTAAGCTGCTTCTAAAAATCTTATTTGCCATTTAATTTTCATGGTTTAAAATGTTATTCCAAGAATAAGATAATTTCTCAAATTATAAAGAACTGAATATAATGCAATCATCATTTGCTAATACAGCAAATGTAGATTTTTTTTTAAAAAAGTAGAATAAATCAAAGAATTTCAGGAGCAGGTCTAATGAGGAACAGAGGTAGGGAAAAATAAACTGAATTTCTGTTTCTTTGCATTTGGCTTCAGAGACATCTTATTTCAAAGTACAACCGTGAGCATATTTGTGGTATGCAAATATATATACTCAGCTCAGGAAAGTGAGAGGCAGTAGGAGGTAGGCAATTAAAGAGGCAGAATATAAATTTGACAAGTGTAGGTGAAATCAATAGTGATATAGAAAACTAAATAGAGTTTTGATTAATGTAATTATTTTTTGAAATCCACTTACAAAATAACTGCCTGTGAAGCTAGAGCTGAAATATAAAGTACTAGCCCCACACTACCTCCTCTGTATTTTGTGTGCTCTGATAGTTTCACATAAGCTGTGTGTGTGTGTGTGTGTGTGTGTGTGTGTGTGCCTATGAAATAAACTTCTTCTTTGTGTGGAAAAATTAGGATGTCATAAAACGTATTTTCAAATAAGAGCAGTTGTAATATTTGCTGAAGTGTAAAAAGTGAAGTGGACATTTCTAGTATATAGCTATATCCCTTCCTAGTTCATTATATTTTGCATTTTTATGACAGGTTGATATGCAGGTTGCTTCATAAATATGGACAATTTGCTATATATTTTGCTATTGCCAAAGACCAGCAAAGGGCTTCCATTTATTTAATTGTCATTATTATTTCTTGATAGAATTAAGTACTCAAGAAAATATTTCCATTAAACTAGTTTGATATATTGATATATTGTAACCAATCATTTGAATTGTGTGGGTGATCTGTGTGGTTTACTCATATCAGTATAAGCATCCTTTTATTTTAAAATGCTCCTATTAAAACTATCATTAAAAAACAATATAGCAGCAACTGCCATTTATTAAGCATCTACCATGTACCAAAAAGTGTGCTAGGCATGATACATACCTGATTTTATTTAATCCTCACCACGAATTACTAACAAAGACACTATCATTTCAATATTGCAGTTGAAGTTACTGAGGCTTATAGAGAGCCCAGAGAGGTCACTGAATTAGAGGGTGACAAATTCAGAATTTAAATGAAGTTCTGTCTTAGGTCAGAGCCCATGTCTTTAATAATTTTGTAAAATTGCCTCTCAGCCTAATTAAAAGAGCATAAATGTATTAAAAAGTATCAAACCCCAACAGGAATCATTCTTATTAAACTTTATCAATGTATTTCATATCTTGCTAAAACTGGAAGCAGAGCCATAACTTATGTTTCCATGGTTTGTGTCGTGTACAAGTACCTATTCAAGGTGGGAGTGAAAGTTGACCCATGGCCTTTGCTACGCTCCTGCCTGGGTCCTTCCTTCTCCACACACAATGGGTGCCTTTTTCTAACACCAAGCCATCAACTGGAATGAACATGAGCACTCACACAGTTCATCCAAATTCCTACTCTTATTTTTAGACCTGTATTAGAATATCTCTTGCAACTCAATTTGATGTTTTAAACTGACAAACTATTTTTATAGGTCTCAGATTAGATTGTTGTCAGAAACTTTTAAAAATGAACCCCAATGATAACATTAGTCTGTCTTCAGCTACTCAGAAGTATTGTTGGAATTTACTGTTGCTCAATCCATGCTTTAATTTTTATTCTCACCTCAAAGGGAAGCCCAAACATGTAGGCTGCAATCCCAGGGATGAATTTCCATGGTCATACACACCACTACAACTAATTTTTCCTAGTCTAGAGACAATTTTTTTTTAAATCTGCATTTCAAGGAAGCCTCTGCAATCTATTTACTGGTCTCTTGTGTTATATGAGATGCATTGAATGCATTTGAATTTCTATTCAAATGCAATTTGAAAGTGCAATTTGAAAATACAATATGGAATGCATATTGAACTCCTTCAGTATCTGTGAATAATGACTACTCACAACTAACTTTTTAGATTAGGTTTAAAACAAAAACAAAAAATACTTACGACTTACACTAAAATATCTTATATCCCTATACATTTCAATAAGATTTAAGCAAATTTGAAAACCAATTTTTAAAGTGTTATCTCCACAGCCACAAAAATGAGTGACTTATTTTCTTCAGTTGTGGAGCACTTAAGCCCATGATAAAGAAATTAAAATTTATGCTTGGAGAAGAACAGCAAGAGAAGCTAGAGGAAGAGTTGGTGAGCATATACTGTTGCAGCCCTGAGCTAGTAAGAAAATACAGTAAAAACATAGAATTTTTTTTTTGTTTTCTCCTACAGCCTCTTCCTCCCTCTCCCATTTTATTGTATCATTTATTCATTTGCTCTATATTCATTGAGCATCTATTGTATTTTAATCAGTGGGGATAAAACAATGAACAAACCTCATGAAGTATACAGACTACTGGGGTGGAAACAAACAATGAACAAATAATTAGAAAAGTACATAATTAATTATTTCAATCTTTACTAATAAAGAAAGTATGAGATGTGTGATAGGTTACAAATTGTAGATTCATATCAGTCCTCAACTCATCGGAGGCCTCCTTCCCTTTTATCTATCCATAAGTCTTTGGATTATTGCCAGTTAAGTTTCAGGAATTGTGTGAAAATATTATTTGTGAGTATAGAAAATTGCATATGAAAATTATAAAGCTGAAATACATTTGTAGTCATCAGAATATGCTCTTCATTTAAGTAAACTGTGTAAAATAAGGGCAGAGCAGGGCGCTGGCTAAAATTAGTAAGTATAAGTTGGGATCAAGGTTGTGCCTAGAGCATCAATACTAAAGGCAAGGAGCTCAGTGCTCAGAGCCGTGTAGAAAGACCCAGCAGGCAGCAGAGACTGATAATTGCCCAGGTGAAGTAGTTTCACGGATGGTTTCCCCACTGTGGCTTCATTCTGAAGTGCGCCTTACTCCTCTTATCCCCACTAGGCTAGGAAAGCTGCAGGATGTGTGGGCTCACGCATAGCCAACTCTATCCTTCAAGCATTTGCTTTTTTTTTCAGTTCCTGTTTCCTTGACTTTATTCTCTGGGGAACTAGAGTTGGAAAGAAGGAAAAAGAGGATTGAAAGAATCCAAGTGTTCCTCCTCTTTATTCTCAGTTCCTACTAACCTTGGGACAAAACTATTTATTACTAAGGGAACAACTATTCCCTTAGTAATAGTTTGAATTTCCCTTAGAAATTCAAACCTAAAACACATAGTCTTATGAAAATATGCCTCACGTGGTCTGGGAGGTCAGGATGAAATCCTATTAGGCAGAAACTTTAGAGCAAGGGAGAGTAAGCCAGGTGAAGGAGAGGAGAGCATTCCAGGCAGTGGGAATTTATTTATAAACAGCTGTCTTAAGCAGTGAGAAGCGTGTTGTATTTATTAGAGAAACTGAAGGAAAATGTGTCTGGAGCACAATGTGGGTGAAGGGAGAATGACGCAAGATGACGACTTTGGAGTCAGGCAGAGGTTGGAATCTGCAGGTCCTGGAGGGCAACTTTACGCAGTTGTACTATATTCTACAGTGATGAGAAGCTCTTCAGAGTTTTTATTGAAAGTGTTCAGAAGACAAAGGACTCAAGCCAACCGAAGCAAAGTAGGAGATTCATACATCCCATTTTTATGCAAAAGAAATGTTGGCATCCAAATTAATGTTCCAGCACCTACAGCAGTTGAACTTCCTACACACACAGTGCAGATCAACCCTGGTATCCCAGATCTCCTGTCTCTTCAGTATTCATCAAGAATTCACGGCATTCCTGGAAGAGGGTTTTCAACCCACTGACAAAATGACAAGAAGCAGTAACTCATGTTTCAAAGCTATGAATAATTGGGTGAGATACCCAGTAATTTCATCCAAAATAATGAAGGTGCTTATTTTTTGTAGAACAAAATATAACATTTAATTAGAATTTCAAAATCAGAGTCTATTTAGAGAAAGCTCTTCAATGGTTATTCCAAATCCAATTTGTAAAACATAAATTGTCATCTAGATTTAAGTGCTTTTCCATCAAAATATATAATGAACTTGGCTGAGGTTATTTCAGGACATCAGCATGAATATAATTAATATGTGGAAATGTATTAAAATGACCATGAGAAGAGTAAAGTTAAATAATGAAAACTCATAACACAAGGTGGGTTGTCAGGGCTTAGCTTAACATTCATAATATTCCTCAATTTTAGGGCAACAATGTTATTGAACATGAAAACTATTTCACATGACTCTGCAAGTTTAGGTTAAAGAAATTGATAAAAATCACCCATTTGCTCATTTTCTGTAAAAGTGAATATTAACACTCTGAATACCTATTCTCAGACATCCTTATGTGCCCAGGACATAGAACACCAGCAGAAGCAATGCTAAATTTGGGTATGTACTCCCAATGTGACTAGTCTGTAAATCTTTTCAACGATGCAACTTAGCAAGTGCTTTTTAAGCAAGTATTGTTAACACAGTCCTAAGCCCAGCCCTTTGTGCTGTGGGAAGAGAAAAGATGCAGAAAATATTGTCCATGCTTTCCAGGAGCTTACTATCTATTTGAACATACTGCTTGGGGAAAGTGGCCACAGTGTAGGGAAAAAAAACAGTTTTGAAATTGTATCCCATCTAGACCGTGATAAGAAAAATTTTAAATTAAAGACCAAAACTATATCAACAATACTAGAACCTTGCATTTAACTAGTACTTTATCATTATTTTAGTTAGCAATTAGTTATTGAGCATTGACAGGAATTTAAATGTCTTGCCTCATATCTCACTACAGTGACTCAAGTTCAATGTCACACTCAGGAAGCAGCAGCATAGAGTTAAAATATTTCTACCCACCTCCAAAGTCTTTCTCTACCAGAGAGTGGCCACTTATTATATTGTCTGGTCTCAACCGTTCATTCCCTTCTTTTGAGGTAGCTGCTTCCCTCTCCAACATCGTGGTTGTGAAAGGGGTTTCCATTTCTAAAACTAGAGACCCCTGGTCACAAGTTTAGGTACGTGACCCAGCCTGAATCAGTCATTGTAACCATTCCCATTATTGTTCAGAAGTAGATATGCAACCAAACCACAACAATAATAGTCATTTCCTAAGTAATTTCTCTGAGGAGAAGGCAGGAAAGAGTTGTATTTACCTAGCATGATGCAACATCAACGCTGCCTATGGTAATGGATTTAGACAGATGGGAAAATGTGGTGGAGAGAATGAAGCTAACATGCAGTGAGAAACAAAAAGATGGAGATGAGAGGAAAGGAAAGGTGAAAGGAGGGGTGGAAGAGTGGAAGAAAGAGTGTTAGCAAACCAACAGTTTATATATCCATTGGAACTAGTTGCTTATGGGACTAATTCTTTCTACTCCTTCTCATGATTTGCTTATGGGATTAATACATTCCTATTTTTGCTTAAACTAATTTAACTTGCACTTCCTGCTTCATATACTGTTGGGAATCAGTATGTAAAATGGACAGCCACTAGAGCCTCCAGACTGGGTTTGAATCCTGACCTAGGTATTAGCTGATTAACCTTGGAGAAGTACATCACTTCTTGGAACCTCATTTTTTCTCATCTGTAAAATGGTGTTAAAGTGTTTCTCTCCAGCATTATTGAAAGAATTACACAATGTAATGCACACAATATAGTTGATAAAGTGCCTAACAGTGAAAACAAAAAGAATTCAAGTGATCTCTTTCTTTCTTTACCACCCTAGTGTCTTTTCTTTTTTCTGTGTCCCTCAATGCTTTCCACCACCCTTTCAGCTGGTGTTTTTGAGAAACATTTGTTCAGCTAGAGCTTGCAGAGTGATGTTTGAAGTGTCTGTTCTAAGGAAGAGGTGATCTGAGCAGTAGCATGGACTTGTTTCTCCGCTGCTGGTTGTGGCTGTGTTTACAAGGCTACCTATTTTGACATCTGGCAGGTGTCACTGATTTTTTATTTTTTTCCATTTAAAAAGGTCATTTAGTCAAAGACAGTGCTAGAAGTTAGTTTAAAGGGTGTGATGTGTTGGTCACATCGCAGCCAGTAAGAAACGCTTTGTAGGTTATCCACATCTTTTGCTGTCCGTTTCCATATGCAATTCTGGTCACCATATTTTCCAAAGCTAAAATCTGAGATGTGGGCTGATGGTTTTTGAAACCAGGATTACTTCAGGGAGAACCAGGTCCTATGACTAATTTACCTGATTTTGAGGCTTCGAAGGCTTGTTTGAGACCCGTTCCAGAGAACTTGGTACCAGAACGTGGATTCACAGTCCAGCTTACTATTGATACAGGCCTGAGCACCCTTTAGGGTGAGGCGCCTCCTCCTGCCTGCTGTCCTGTCCCTAATTAGTCAGAAGACTTGAATTTGGCAGGAGACGGGAGCCCTGTGTCCACGAGGCAAGAGGGTCTATACTTGGTTTCAATTGACCCCCTATCAAGATTTCAGACTTGCAGTGTGGCCACCTGGCCCTGCCCTGCTTCTCCCTTTCTCGCACAGCTTCAAAACTTTACCACTTTTATTTTAAAATAAACAGGTTGGGAGAGAAATAGCGTCACCTAAGGGGGGTCATGGGAGGGAGGGAGGAAGTCATGGGGGTGGGGCGCTGGAAAGGCTTTTTCCCAGGACTCAGGGTCCTGTTCTCCCTGGCCTCTTCCTAGAGGGCCCGTTGACAGGCCACTGGGAGTGCTTATTTGGAAAGCGGATGTGTGAACCCAATGCCTGTGCGGCCACGCACTCAGCACAGGAGCCACTGTACCTGGCTGCCCTCTGAAAGGAGCAAGGGGCTACTTCCCAGGTGGCTCGGACATCACGTGGGCTCATCAGCCCCAGCGTCCGTGCCAGGTCCAGGTGCCTGCCTCTGGGTGTGTTTGAGGGAGAGTCTGCTCCCTGGCCTCACCCTGGGGAGGCCCCTGGTGCCAAGTGCTGGGGCCGCTGCAGCTGGTCAGCCTCAGCAGGCGGGAGTCTCTCTACTGAGCAACTATGCATTGTCATTGTCGGGTTCGAGGCTTGCTGTGGCTCCTTGGTGACTGGGAATTCCTTGTTTGCATGTGCTGGAATGCATGCTTTGGGGTCCCAGCTGCCCCAGACCCGCACAGGTACCCCCTTCCCATCCGAAGCCATTGGTGGAGCTTCTCTGGAAGCCAAAGCCGAAGGCAGAATCCAAGAGTCCGAGATCATTTCCCTGGAGCTCGTTTTTCTTTCCTGTAGGAACTTTATTTATTTATTTATTTATTTTTTAACTAGCACCCACCATGCTTCCGAAGGTCATGTTTCATTTTTCCTGGATCCCTACACTGAAATATTGCAGTTGTACAATTCCCAGTCTGGCCTTGTCTTGCTTGGATAAAACTTTGTATTTTGTATGGCATAGATTCCATATTGTAATGATGTTCTATGTAAAAAGAAAAAAAATGAATGAAACTGTAAATTTTATTGTTTTAACATGTATGCATGTTTAGTGATGTTTACATTTTGAAATATAATTTATGATTCACTATCAAAAAAAGAAGAAGAAGAAGTTTCTGTTCCAGTGGTGGCAGCCTAGCTTTCCTGAATTCAAACCAAAAGCAGCAGTGGTCAGTTGTACACCTAAAACCACACCATGCTATTTCCTCCACTGTGTATTTCCTGTTTGCCGCTATTCTCTGATGGTCCATGAAAATTTCATAGGAAACTCAACCAGGGAAGCAAACTGAGCATAAGAAATATTTCTGACAATAGAAATTAACTACAGCATAACATAAAGTTGAAAGAAGCCTTAGAGAAAATATTGACAACCAAATTATTTTACAACTGAAGAAGAAAGGGCAAGAAATAAGGGGAAAAGTATTGACCTGAAACCTGACATACATTTCTTCATTCAAATTATGATTACCATTAGAAGTCAATATGATTTCCAAATTTGGTAGCTGAGGAAACTGAAGGTCAGAGAAGTTAAGTAATCTGCCCAAAAACACATGGTTAATAAATGCAGGAAGTGGCAGTGTGACTTTCTCCAGAGACCATATCCTTCCACTGCAGAGTATTTACTCCCAGTAATCGAGCATTGACAGTACTTTAAATGTATTACCTCATATCTCACTACAGTGACTAAAGTTCAGTGTCACACCCAGGAAGCTGCAGCATAAAGTTAAAACATTTCTACCCACCTCCAAAGTCTTTCCCTACCAGGGAGTGGCCATTTATTGTATTGTCTGGTCTCAGCCATTAATTCCCTTATTTTGGGGTAGCTGCTTCCTGGGTGTGAGAAACATCAGTAACAAATCAGTTGAAAAGTAGGAGTAAACCAGCATTAGTGATAAGTCTTAGGAAAAGAGCTTATGCTAACAAAAGAGCTTCTAGAGAAGAAAATAATTTTCAGGATAAGAATGAAATCTGAAATTGCATTTGAGATAAATTCCTTAGCTAAAAGAGCTGAATTCTACTTATATTGCCTTCCCCTCTGTTTTAACACCATAATTTTAAAAAATAAGGTCTAGTGAAGTTTAAGAAACACCAGTCTTTCCATCTTGCTTTTAAAGCCTACAGAGTTCTGGCTGGATCTTTCAAAGGAGCCAAATGAAATGTTGCCACATGGAAAATGTAGTGCCTCCTAGAAAGGGGAAAGGTCTGTTCTAATTTCACTCTCTGAGGCATGCAGTCACTTTCCAATTTAGCTTTTTTTAAAAAAAATCAGTGGTGTCCTATTGTAACACCAACACCTGTGAAAAGAATTCATTCATGCTGGCAATTAGAGTGGAAGTTTGGGGAAGTGGGGATTTTCAAAAGAAAAGAACTAGAATTTAGTCTTTTAGTCTTTTAGTCTTTTCTCTTTCTCCTTTGTCTCTTCCTCTCCCCTCTCTCTATCCCTTTCCCCACCCCACCTTCTCTTCACCAGTTCCATCGCCCCACAACACACACACTCGCTCATGTTTTTCTATCACAACTAACAAGTTTGGTTTTGCAAATTCCTCAACAAACACTTCTCAATATTTTCCTTGGAATCTGTTTTTCAAGTTGTTACTGTTTGTGGATAGTTATTTTTTTCACATGTAAACCTGTAATTAAAATTATGCACTTACCGCAAGCCAAAATTTCATCTTGCTTTGCAGATTGAAATGACCTGTCCATTTATTTAATCTTATTAACAGCAACTGTAATCATCATTATTTAGATGCTTTTAGAACATAGCATTTTATTTATGTATTTTTGAAAGAACCTTTTTTTTTTTTTTTTAATTGCCATAGTGCTTTAGAAGCTTAGGCTCAGAAGTCAGCTTTTTCTGGGCTCGAATTCTAACCTTCCGACATCCAGCCATGAGTTTTTAGACAAATTATTTAATTGCCTTAATCATTAGTTTCCCTCATCTGTAAATCAGGATTATATAATATATATGTAATAGACTATTGGGAGAGTTAAATGAGGCTATGAATAGACAACACATAGCAATGGCTGGAATGTAGTATATAGTCAGTAAGTTAGCTATCCTCCAGCATTTTCTTCTCCGGCACCATTATAATGTGGGATATTGACAAAAGAGATTTATAAAATAAAAGAATTATATGTACAGTCTTAGTTTCTTCATGCTTCTATAACAAAATACCTGAGACTGAGTAATTTATAAACAACAGAAATCTATTTCTCACAGTTATGGAGGCTGAGAAGTCTGAGATCGAGTCACTAGCAGGTTTGCTGTTTGGTGAGTGCTAGTCTCTGCTTCAAGATGGCACTCTGTTGCTGCATCCACACATGGTGGAAGGTGGAAGGGCTAAAAAAGGGATACATTTTGGGAGAAGCTTCTTTTATAGGGCATTAATACCTTTCAAGAGGGCAGAACCGCCATGACTTAATCACCTTCTAAAGGTTTCACCTCTTAATACTATCACATTGGTGATTAAGTTTCAACATGAAATTGAGAGGGAATGCAGTCAAACCATAGCATATACAAATCATACTAAGAAAAATTTTCCAATATTGACTTTTCCAGTAATTTAAAACAGTCACAGGAATCTGTGCCACTGTAGAAAGCTGCAAATAGGGCTGCAAACGAGCACCCAGTACTTCTGATCTAACTGATGTTACAGTGAAAATGCTGTCATGACAGAGGCATGGTTACCCTGTATCCACAGGGTATGCACTGTGCCTTTTGGAAATGGAGTATGTTAATCAATGTCATAAGAGCTAAGCTGCAACATTGACTGGATATTTGAACAGGACACATCTATGGTGTAAATTCAGCTTTGAGTCATCACTTCTTTAGTTGTTGTAGCTGGAGTAAAAAAATTCATGAAAACACCAACTCATTCAATTATAGGATGCAGAAAAATTTGGAAGGGATGGAAGGCTGTTTTGTAGAACACAATGGGTATAAAAGCCTTGAGTAAGACTGAGAAATTATGATCCCATTGAAGTCATTGGACATACATTTTCTGAGTATCTGCTCTATTCTGGCAGTGTGTCTGGTCCTATAGAGGCAGTGAAGCCCAAAACAGTGCCCCAGGCCTCAAAAAGTTTCAAATCGTGAGACTGGGGTAGAAGGAGAGATGGCCTTAAGGAAAGAGGGTATGAGTCAGCTTTTGCTGCAATGATGCTGGGCAGCAAACATTCAAAAATCAGTGACTTAAAACAAGCTAAATAGTATTGTAACCCAGGTTTCTCGACTCAACAAAAGTTCAATACCACCTTAAAAAGCCTATTTAGACATTCTTTTAATCTCACTCCTTCTAATTGAAATTGAAATGCCTCAGATAAATTACACATCTGTTTACATATTATATGTATATCCATGCTTTATGCATTAAAAAGTAAGATTTTTTTTGCCTTCCAGTGCCAATTTTCACCCCTTTTGGGCAACATTGCTCCATTAATAATGCATGATCTAACCCACCTTTGGGGGTTCAGGAAAAAGCTTCCAGAGACTTTAATACTTGGATTGCACCTTGGAGGTAGCAGGATTTTTCCAAACAAACAAGAGAGAAGTGTATTCTAACCATTAGGAATAGCACTGGTACCAATGGGTAAAAGAACCTTCTGTACTTTGGAAACTGCCAGGGTGGTTGGAATGCCAGGCTAAGGTCAGGGTGTGGTATGAGAGAAAGCTGGAGAGGTAGGCATATTATGAATCAGAGCCATGGTAAGCACCTCACCATGAAATCAACATTTCCCAGACTTTTCTCAGCCTTTTTTGCCTGCTTATATTCTAGGCATAGAATCAACTTTGCTTCTGAGGACAACTGTATCTTACTTTAGCCTTCAAAATACTCCCACAATTGAAGGGGAGGGCTCCTTGCAGCAACAAGGCTAGCAACTGGGGTGTGAAAACTGCTATTCTCCTTCTGAATGGGTCAGCTGGGAAATCAAGGGAAATGAATCATTGAAAACAGCTGTGTGGGTTGACCATGGCTTGGCAGTTGGCCATTGTTTGCCAGTAAAAGTAGCAGCAGAAATCAACCTGTACTGAATGCTACCCGTACATTTGGCTCAACCAATTTCTTAGAAGCTGATTTAAAGATTCTTCCCAAATTTACTATTAACAAAAAAGCCTGTACCACAGAAAGAAATATTTGGATTGCCTGTCAGTTTGCAGTATTTATGTCAACTCCTGTATGTTCCACTTTGGCAGCTTTGGCAAGTAAAAACTAAACAAAATAAAAATGATGCCATGAAGTAAAACACACATTCTCTTTTGCCAGATTTTTAGTATGTTCCTAATTTCTAAACCAAAAATTTGGTCACTATGACGTGACTAACATGAACCTCCCTAGGAATGGAAAGTAAATAAATATGAAACTAGGACTATTTTAAAAAATGTGAACGTAAAATCACTAAATTTTAGGCAAATTTTGGACTTAGTAAAAACAATCATGTTGTGAAATACTAAAATAATTCCCTGACCTACAACTAATTAGTTTACTTCAGATTTCACTAAGATATTTTAACCTCAACAAACAGCAAAAATCCTTCTTTCAACTGAATACTTGCAAAATTAAATTCCAGAACCCATCTTTAAGTTTGGCTCCCATAACCCAATATGCGATAGCTATGTGATATGCTCAAGTTGTCCATATTTTTGCAACATGTGGAGAAACAGGAAGCCCAGAACAGTCAAATGCAGGCCCTTATGCAGACATAATGTAATTGTGTTCAGACAGGATATTCATTCTTCTGGGTTTTATTAGGTGCACTCTAATTAATTAAAGAATGACAGACGTCATTGCGGAATTCTTCATCCCTCCAGTTAAGGCATCATTTTCAGGGCATGATACCATCTTAATGAAAATGATCCATTATTACCATGTTAAACAGATACAAATAACAAAAACCAAGTTAAACAGGAAGAAATGAACCTAGCTATAAATCACAGGTGAAACTAAGCCCAACCTAATTTGCAATGCAGAAGTTTCTCTGTTTCAGATGTTCTACTCTGGTAGTAGCTCCGGCCTTCCCATTATAGGCACCCTCTCCACCACCAGCAGCCTTCTTAGGTATCAGCTCTGGAGCATTCTTCTCTTGACTATCAATGTTCCATGACACTGAGAACCTTCCATTCAGCCAGAGGTCAGGTAACTTTGAGTCTTCATCAGCTTGCTGGAGACACTGAATGCACTGAAGGTATTTTTAAAAGAGAATACAGAATCATGGAGACTTGAGAGGTAGGCTGATCTATATCCCTGTTCTTTCCCTCAGGAGAGATGAAGTCACATAGTGACTACATTGAATAAAGAATAACTTCAATATCAACTGAATTCTGAAAATTAAGAGATCTGCTCTGTATTGTACCATTTTGTTCCTGTAGGATTTCTTTTTTCTTGGCTTATTTTTATCAAGAGCAGAGATGAATTATGAAGAAGCTAATGATGCATTTTTAAACTTTAAGACACTTCCAAAGCCAGGGGAAGAGCTGTAGCTATGTCTTCATAGTCATATTTTTGTAAAATTTCAAAAGTACTATATTTTAACTACAGGTGAATCACTTTCTCTTTCTACTCTGACACCCCTCCATTATATTGTCCCTCATATCAAGTGTCCCCAGAGTAGCCACAGAGATTTGCGGGTTTCAGCTAAGAGGAAGTTTGGTAAAGCATCGATACAGTTGCTGAACATAGTTGGGCATATTTATGCTAGTTGTCCCATTTTAAGAATGGCTCTAGAAATCTTTCCCCCAGTTGAAATATGAGATACAGCCCAACTAATGCTTCCATGGAATAATCACAGAAGACTTGGGAAGGACCTTGAACCACACGCACTCAGATAAAATATATGCATATTGCTGCCCCGCAGATACTGAGATAATTAATGTTTGTTGTCTTGAGGAGCTAAGTTTTAGAGTAGTTAGTTATATGCCAACATATAATTAATATATTGAGGAAGAGAAACAATAATTTAATCATCTTGTTAAATTCGTCCTCTCAGAATATATGAAAGCTGTAATATCTTGCATAATGAAATATCATTTTATAATAAGGTTGAAAGTCCATTTCCTTATTTCTTTTTATGTTCCATTAAGTGGTTCTAAGGATACTCACGAGTTCACATAATTTTCACAATAGTTGTCCTTGGTGGTTGAGAAAAAATTTATGATACCAAATAATTCATATTAATATTATTCTAAAATCTGTATGTAGGTAAGATTAGATGAAACATATACGAAATATGTAAGCTTTATTTATTGAAATCTAGACAGATGTTAAAAGCTAAAATTATGGATAATTTTATTTCAAAAAACTGTTTTAAAATATTTAGTTACATTTTCAATAAAATGTTTAAAATTCAGCTTTAAATAAATTTCAGTGTAAAATATTGATATTCACTAATTATAGTTGCCTCTTACTTTTTAACTTATGTAAATTCAAGTTTTTTAGAATAAAATATTTTAAGCATATGTCAAAGAATTTTATCTTTAAATATTTTACATTAATTTTAATTTACTTTTTTGATTTAAAAATACTCAATTTGTTTAATATTGCATATATTTTAATTTCTGGCCCCTTAGATGATCAGAACAAAATTATGTCAAATATTAGATTCTTTAGATGGAGATTTTTCTGAAATGAAAAAAATAGAATACATTTTATAAAACAAACATATAAAAAGTCATTAATAATGTATGTCTCTATTTGTCTTTAAACATGGCTGGCCACAAAACATTTAGAAACACATATTGATAATGAAATTTAATAATGTTTGATATTGTGTGTCATATAAAAGCTATAACTTTATACATAATTTTCAAGTTTGTCATTATGAAGATGTATTTCAGGAAGATATAATATATTTTAATTAACAGTTGGTTATTTTAGTTTATAATTGTAAAATATTGACATATATGGTATGTGCACCCCATTAGTATTCTTGCCCACACACTTACAAATATTAGGGGCAGGTGTGCCTTTCTTGACAATTCCACTGTAAAATTTCAACATCACTCACATCCTCTGTATCATCTTCCTCTTCCCAGATTTACTTTTCTTTAAAGTTCTTATCAATATTTCACAAGATATACATTTTGCTTTTTAATTTGCTGCCTTATTTTCTTTACTAAAATGTAAGAGTAATAACATAGCAGAGATTTTTGGACTTTTCATTCACTGCTATATTCTCAGGGCCTAAAACAAAATACGGCACATGCTTGAAAACAAAACATGGCACATGCTTGGTATGCCTAATAAATTCATTTATTCATTCATTCTTCAATCAAAAAAATGCTTATTGAGTACCTTCTATGTTCCAAACACTGTTGAAATCTATTAATTGGTATTTAAAAAGTAAAAATAGAAAAAAAGAAATGAGAATATTCTTAATTGGAGAAAGAAATTAATGAGGTGATCTCACCCCAAGTCTATGCAGATTTTTTAAAGGGTTGTAGAAGAGTACAAGCCACCAACCACTCCCACCTCCCACCAGGGGATTCCATTCAACCACTGCTATCAACCCTGAAATCACATTATTTCTTTGTCAGCCATTCTAGAATACAAGAAGTGACTCACAAATTCTTTAATCCCTGCTGGCAGCAAGGTTGTCTCCGAGTCTGCATATTTAGATGCTGCCTCAGGAATCATCCTAGAATAAATTTGGATGTGAATCAGTGTTAAAAAGTATGTCTCATCGTGTCAGAACTAAAGGCTTTTATGGTTTTAAATTCTTTTTTCCCTACAAAGGGATTTTGCACACATACAGCAGACATCAAAGGCTATTTGTAATTAAGCAAGGTCTTGAAAGGCTACTAATGTACTTTAATCTATTGGAATAAAAACTGAGCTGGGCTCTGAAGCTAAGTACAGTATTATTCATCATTCCTCTTTTTACAAGCAGTGCTGTCTTTGTAAACAACAAACATAAACTAGGAATCTGAGTTCTACTTTCTGCTCTGCCACTATTAGCCATGTGACCTCGGGAAAGTTACTAGAGATTATGTATGCAAAATGACTGGCTCTATCAGTGGTAGAGAATGTTCATGAGCCTTCAAAATTGAAATAAAATTTTTACAATTTAATCTACATACAATGTATATTGAATGTATAATATACTCAATATATTTATAATTCAATATATCTATAATTTCTATTCAATATATTTATTATATATATGCCATTTTATGGGATTTTTATGTAGAGAAAGGAAAGACAAAATATATAAAGAAAGCAATATCTGTTCAAAATATAAAATTCGATTGTTTAATCCACATGGATTAACAGCAAATTACATAAATGAGAGGAAAAAGCCAATCTAATTCTGAATTTAATTGGCCATTCAGTTTAGTCAAATATCAGTTGACCCCAAGTGGAGAAACATAGGAGACCATCTGCTAGAAGGTCTGTCAGATTCCCTGCTTGGCAGTAAGTGCAGGCAACAGTCTCTGCCTAAGGATGGAAATATGTACAAAGAAGGAATCTGAGAGTGTGATGGTTAATTCAAGGCCCAGATGGATGTGCAAGAGTTTTCAAGTCATATTGCTTCTAACAGCTAGAAACAAAAAATAAACTAAATACCTACCAATAAAATGTGATACTTCCACAAAGGGTGGTCATTAAGAATAATATGGTAGAAATGAATGTGCTGACATGGAAAGATGCTTATGATATGTTAAATGAAAAATTAAAATTTGGCTGGGCATGGTGGTTCACACCAGTAATATCAGCACTTTGGGAGGCCAAAGTGGGCGGATCACGAGGTCAGTAGTTCCAGACCAGCCTGGCCAACATGGTGAAACCCCATCTCTACTAAAAACACAAAAATTAGCTGGGCATGGTGGTGCACACCTATAGTCCCAGCTAGTCGGGAGGCTGAGGCAGAAGAATTGCTTGAACCAAAGAGGCAGAGGTTGCACTGAGCCAAGATTGTGCCACTGCACTGCAGCCTGGGCAACAGAGCAAGACTCCATCTCAAAAAAAAAAAAAAAAATTAAAATTTACAGGGATGTAGTTGGTATGATCCTATTTGTATAGGAAAAAGCATGATATGTTAATATGTTACAGGAAAGGGGTCCCTATCTAGACCCCAAGAGAGGCTTCTTGGATCTCACACAAGTAAGAATTCAGGGCGAGTCTGCAGTACAAAGTGAAAGCAATTTTATTAAGAAAGTAAAGGAATAAAAGAACGGCCACTCTATAGACAGAGCAGCCCAGAGGGCTGCTGGTTGCCCATTTTTATGGTTGTTTCCTGATGATATGCTAAACAAGGGGTGGATTATTCACGCCTTCCCTTTTTAGACCATATAGGGTACCTTCCTGATGTTGCCATGGCATTTGTAAACTGTCATGGCGCCAGTGGGAGTGTAGCAGTGAGGACGACCAGAAGTCACTCTCGTCACCATTTTGGTTTTGGTGGGTTTTGGCTGGCTCCTTTACTGCAACCTGTTTTATCAGCAAGGTCTTTATGACCTGTATTTTGTGCTGACCTCCTATCTCATCCTGTGACTTAGAATGCCTTAATTGTCTGGGAATGCAGCCCAGTAGGTTTCTGCCTCATCTTACCCAGCTCTTATTTAAGACGGAGTTGCTCTGGTTCACACGCCACTGATATTTCCTCCCTCTGTTTTATAAGAGAACCCGTAATCCTGAGGGTTGCAGAGGGATGAAGATCCGTCTTCTGTAACTTCTTTAGGCTGAATAGAGGTGATGATATTCCTGCCTAACTATGAGGGTCTCTTGCATTCAGGGTATAGAGAAGCTCAGTAAGAAAGCATCAGTATGGTAAATCCATTTATAACTCTTGAGTTTCAACAAAAGGTGATATCTGGAAGATTAATAAGCGTTTAAGAAAACATTCAGCAAGCTTGTCCAGTATTCCTGCACAAAGAGTATAAAAGCAATATATTCCAGAAAAGCAAAGCAAAATAAGTAAAGTTATTCCGAGTAAACTAAATTAGAAGGCTTTTCATGAACTGGGCAATTGTTGAACTAAGCTGATATGGGGTTGATAGCTGATTGTAATGTGTCCAGAATTAGAATACAGATCCAGATTTTTACATTACCCATCCCTCTTGTTTCTTCTGAGCAGCAGCCAGAGATCACTGGTTGGTTCACAGGAATAAGCAGGGTTAGCCTAAATTGCAGAAACAAACTTAGAAACAACTAATGAGACTAGAATTTAATAAAAAGTGTACCATAGTTCTTGAAACATAATATTTTGCTCTCCAGTTTCCCATTTTTACTGAAGACCATTCATGGTAAGACTGATTTCCTTTATTATGCTTGGCCTGATTATTTGTATAAAGTGCAGCAAGAATAATTATTTTTCACACAGACTCTATTTAAATTGGCTTTGATGGAACTCTGTTCTATAGAAGGAATCTTAGATGAGACTTTTTAAAGCCAAGCTTAGCCATGGGTTTGTACCCTCAAATACCTATAAGTTGAGTAAATGCCTCTCCTCTTGGGGTCCCAAGATAACTTGGGGCTTCTGGACCTGTCAAAAAGTGACATTCTTTACTTACCACAGGTGAGAAATCTTGTATAGGGACTGTTGCAGACAAGGTCTGTGGCCAATTCCTTAAGGGGCTTTTATTGGCTTTATAAGTCAAGCTGATTCCTTCAAGGAAAGCACACCATTCCAGTTAAAGCCTTGGTTTAAAAAAAAAAATTCTCCAATTGTGTCCTGTTACAAAAGAAAACAGATTTTTTGTTTGTTTGTTTGTTTTTTAGATGGAGTCTCGCTGTGTCACCCAGGCTGGAGGCTGGAGTGCAGTGGTGTAATCTTTGCTCACTGCAACCCCTGCCTTCTGGGTTCAAGCGATTCTCCTGCCTCAGCCTCTCAAGTAGCTGGAATTACAGGTGCATGCCTGTAATTTTTGTATTTTTAGTAGAGACAGGGTTTTGCCATGTTGGCCAGGCTGGTCTCAAACTCCTGACATCAGGTGATCCACCCACCTTGGCCTCCCAAAATGTTGGGATTACAGGCATGAGCCACCACGCCCAGCCAAGAGCAGATTCTTATTGCACTTATGCAAATAACTATATTGCCATAAGTTAAGAAAACTCACAACTAGTTTCCTAAATTTTGGAAAAATTAGGTAGAGAAAAACAAATATGTTCCAAATTTTGTTCACAGCAATATACTTTACTCAATTCCTACAAGCTATGAATAGCTCAAAATGATAGTATCCTTGACTCTGAAACACAAAACTAAGCATCAGCAGCGTTTTAAGCAAAGTTCAAAAGATTACTTAAGTTTTCTATTGGTTCAGTTAATTCAGTTAACTCCTATTCCATTTGATATTCATGTACATTCCAACTCTTCATGAGAGTTCTGAAAGTTATTTTCTCTATTCTAATGTTACAATTTCCAAAGTTATTAGAAACCTGCATTTAAGAAGACCTTCTAGCATTCTATAGTTGATTATAAACCACCTTCTAAAGAAGATTAACACAAGACAACAATTGTCTGTGGATGACAAAATGTTTTAGGGCAGCCACAGTCAAAGAAACAATTGACAAAGAAATTTGTTACCTCCATGGCAGACAATAATTTTATGTAACAATTATAATTGTTCCTGATAATGTACACTAAATCTATCAAAATTATAGAAGTTTCTCATAATTTTAGAATATGTACTAATAACACATTTATGCAAATACAGCCCAAAGAAAACTAAACACCCGTTTATATTTGACAATGCCTCCTGTATGATTTTTGTACCAAACAAGCCAAATTTTACCTTTACATTAATGTAGCATTAATGTTAAACCCAAGTTTTAAGAAAATGTTATAGACATATTTACCCAGTTTTAATGTTTAACCATAAGATAAGATTCTTATAAACATTTTATAACCCTTTACAAATTTTTGTTAAAGAGCATTTCATAAGCAGGTTTTTGCTCTAAGAAAAACCTGTTGTGCTTTTATTCCAGTGTTTAATTTATAGAAATACTGAAAAATACCCCTTTAATTTAGCCAATGTCCACACACAGAATCTTTTACAATTATTTTTTTACAAACCTTCCATAACTGTGCAAGCCTTTAGCTCCATTCTATCTAACTTAAAACATTATTTAACCCTTTAGGAAAAAAAACATATTCCCATGCCTTCTTATAATATTTACCAAAAGTACATTCTACTTTCCTTACACACACATTACATGTGAAACTGTTTTTTTTATAGTCTCAATTACATGTTACAATGTTAACTTTTAGCGAAAGTTACTTTGGTGAAAACCCTGGTTAGTAAGCAATTTTAATTATGTACTAGGTGTGGAGCCTAGCCAAGGACACACCATGCAGAAGTGCAGGTAAGGGCTGACTCTCCAGCATAGCTAGGGGGTGTGGCTAACTCCACATGTCCCCAGAACTTACCTTACTTAAGCATGCAAGTTGTACAGTAAGAGTCATAGTGGCATTTTAGGAAGTATTCAGGAGGCCTGACAACCTTTGAATTGTACATTTCTTACATAAATCCCCTTTCACAAATCCTTTCATGACTTACACAGACCATCTGAGACATTCTTGGACTTTCTGACTTGCCCTAAACATCCCTCCTTTTAAACAACTAGTCATTTTACTTTAGGGCAAGAATTGACCATGCAAGATCCTTTCTTACATAAAATCTCTTTCTTTATAATCTTCTTTGTATAGCTAGGGGGCATGGCTAATTCCACATGTCCCCAGGCCTTATCTAGAATCTAATGGTTTTAAGGTAGGTAAATTGAACAATTTTTAAAAGTTAAAGAAGCATTTTGTGACCTTAAAGCATTTAGCAAACTTAATATCTGACCCACATAATTTAGACTAAATGTTTTTATTTTATCAATAATTTGTAAAGCTGTTTTTATTTCCCAAAGATTACTAAAATTACATGAACTAAAAGACATTACAGCTTTTATTTTGCTTTTAAAATATTTGATTTAAGCATTTATTTTTGTTTCAGCCAATTAATTAGAGTTCTTTTATGTAAACATTACACATAACACATATATAGCTACACAGAAAGACAAAATATGATTACTACAGTGGTTGTAAGATTTTTCGTTTGCCAGTTTTTAAGTTTCTTAATTGGATTACTAGCTTTAGGTTGGAGCCCTTGGAAGAACAGGGCCAGGAAAGGGTTTTCTGGTGCCTCTTGTTTTTCCCAAGGAGTCCAGGCTGTTAGAGCTTGAATATCCACTTCTAATTAAACTGATTCTAACCATAGCACTCTTTAATAACATCCTTTTAGAATTTCTTACGTCAAACGGCCAATATTTCTGGCTTTTGAACTTTACCAAAGGTAACCTCCCAGGTGCTTAGAGAAAGGAAAATTTAAGGCAGTCCATGGAGGAGAAGAACATAGACAAGATCACGCAGATAAGTAAACCAGAAATGATTTACTTCTTAGGTGGGGAATTGAACCTGGACCACCACTGTGAAAATGCAAAACATTAGCTACTGAGCTGCAGCATGGTGCAGCTTCCATTTCCTTTCCCGGAAGGAGTCTAGAGTAGTTAATTTTGAGCTTGGAAAGGCTTTTAACTATTTAATATGATTTTTAGAGCTAACTATGACATGAACCCAAAAATTTCTGTTCCCTGGAAGGTGGAGACCAAGAGAAAGTACTGCCACATGGTTACAAGGTCAAGCCCCCAAGGACATAAAACAAGGTGGAGACATCATGCAGTTTTTTGGTTTGTTTCAGGGACCTGCAGCCAAGGTTGTTACTGACCAGCTTGCTGGGTTGTCTTGAAAAGTGGGCTTAAAGGTGTTCTAAGCCCGTGTTTTATCCTGAAGTACCCCTCAACACAGAAAAATGAATTCATAGTGCAAAATACACCAGCTTAAGACTAGCCTTAGAATTCTTTTTTGCATTAATTAAGACTTTACAGAAGAGATATACACTGATTTTCTTTTTTTTTTTCCTCTCATTCAACTGTTTGCACAGAGAGAGAAACCAGAAATCTGACTGGTAAGAAATTTTTACCCTTTTGCCAGCATGCCAGGCTTCTGAGTTCCCTTTCCTTGAGCAGCTCTAGTGATCCAGCTTGTGGCACCATCGCCCTGGGGGCAAGCTTCATCATAAAGGAAAATTACGTTTTTTTTGTTCTGGCCAGAGCAAAGTATGTGTGACAAAACATACACATTAGCCACTCTGCTTAGCACTTAATACCAAATTGGCAAGGCCTAAATTTGCCCCCAGATGGCCCCCGTCATCTTTAATCCAGCCTCAGTCCAGGACTTTCAACACGTGGTCTCTGGGCAAGATGGTTGCCCTGAGTAACAGAAAAGCTAAGAAAGGGAAAGGGGAGAGAGAAAAGCATTGTCTGTGGCAGGGTGGGGAAGGCGAAATGCTCAGGGAGGCCAGAGAAAGACCTACCCATTGCAGCGATACTGAAAAGTTCAGGCGGCTGCAACTGCTGTTGTGAAGGGAATTTTTTCCAGCAGTCCCATCAGCTCTCAAGTTTCTCCTTTTGAAGGAGGAAAAGGCTCCCCATGTCCCACGATCTTGCACATGCCTAACCCTGTCACCCACAGCCATCAGCAAAGAGTTCAAGGCAGATTAATCCAAAGAGTATAGCAGTTTACATCTCATAGTACCAAACCTGTTCTTAGCTGAGAGGGACTTTACTGAGAGGGGCCTCTAACTCCCTAAATCTTAGAAGGGATTCTAACCCTCCTAATTTGGGTGTCTAACCCAAGGTCAGTCAAGCATCCTTGCCTTTTATTAAGAGGGGCCTCTAACCCACTCGTTCTTGGAAGAGACTCTAACTCCCCTAAGCTGGGCCTCTAACCCAATTCCATTCTTTGCCCAAGTACCCCACCATTTACCCAAAGTCCTCTAATAAGTGCTGCAGTCTATTTCCTTTGGGTCAAGGGGTCTCCTCAGTATTGTCCCTTTTGTGGTTCACAAGAAAGATGTTACTGGACCTCACTACTTTCCCAAAGGTAGCTGCTGCATTAGGGTTTCTGCACTATAGTCCCTTCTGTGGTTGCCAGAAATATGTTTCAGGAAAGGGGACCCGATCAAGACCCCAAGAGAGGTTCTTGTATCTCATGCAAGAAAGAGTTCAGGGTGAGTCCATGGTGCAAAGTTTATTAAGAAAGTAAAAGAATAAAAGAATGGCCACTCCATGGACAGAGCTGCCCTGAGGGTGGCTCCTCAACCATTTTTATGGTTACTTCTTGATGATATGCTAAACAAGGGGTATAGTATCTATGCCTCCCCTTTTGAGACCACATAGGGTACCTTCCTGACATTGCCATGGCATTTGTAAACTGTGATGGTGCCGGTGGGAGTGTAGCAGTGAGGACGACTGGAGGTATCTCTCATCACCATGTTGGTTTTGGTGGAATTTGGCTGGCTCCTTTACTGCAACCTGTTTTATCAGCAAGGTCTTTAGGACCTGTATTTTGTGCTGACCGCCTGTCTCATCCTGTGATTTAGAATGCCTTAACCATCTGGGAATGCAGCCCAGTAGGTTTCTGCCTCATTTTACCTAGCTATTATTTAAGATGGAGTTGCTCTGGTTCACACGCCTCTGAAAAACATACACAAATATATCTCCTTCTTTGTCTCTGTCCCTCCCTGTCTCTCTCTCTCTCTCTCTCTCTCTCTCTCTCGCGCACACACACACACACACACACACACACACACACACACACACACACCCCTACAGAAAAACATCAAAATCTTCATAGCAATTACTTCTGGGTGGTGTAATTCGCCTAACAGGACATAGCTGATTAACCCTTTCTTGGCAACAGAGTATGACCATTTAGGGATTTTTCTGGCAGTTTGATTATTGGAGCTATTTAATCATGGCTGTATAATAATTATCCCTTAGCTTGAGTTCTTGCTGAGTAGTTCAAAACATTCATGCATGCCTCATTCCTTGAATCAGCCAGCAAATATTTATTAAACACAAGCATGTTTATTTTTATCATTTTAATACTAAATATATATTATTGATATTATTATAATTATCATTTTTATTAAGTATTAAACACCAAGCATTTATTAAGCACAAGCTTGCCTCTGTGATAGGCAACAGCCTTATAAGAGACAGAAAAAAATAGAGAAACATGGTCCCCTCTTTCATAAGGAGATAAAAAGATTATTCTCTGGCCAACAGGTATATGAAAAAATGTGCAAGATCACTAATCATTAGAGAAATGCAAATCAAAACCACCATGAGATGCCATCTTACCCTAGTCAGAATGGCTGTTGTTAAAAAGGCAAAAAATAACAGATGTTGGCAAGGATTCAGAGAAAATAGAACTCCTACACACTGTTGGTAGGAATGTAAATTAATACAGCCTCTCTCTATGGAAATCAGTAAAAAGAATCCTCAAAGAACTAAAAATGGAACTACCATTCAATCCAGCAACCACACTACTGTGTATCTACCCAATGTAAAAGCAATCAATACATCAAAAATATAGTTGCAGTCATATGTTTATTGCAGCACTGTTTATGACAGCAAAATTATGGAATCAACCTAAGTATCCATCAATGGATGTTTGGATAAAAAAAGCATAGTATATATACACAATTGAGTACTACTCAGCCATTTAAAAAATGAAATCATGCATTTTACAACAACATGGATGAAACTGGAGATCATTATCTTAAGTGAAATAAACCAGGCACAGAAAGATAAATATCACATGTTCTCACTCATAAGTGGATGCTAAAAAGCGTTTCACATGGACATAGAGAGTGGAATGATAGATAATGGAGACTGGGAGGGTTGAGGGTGGGGGGCAGATAATGAGAAATTGAACATCGAGTGCAATGTATATTATTCAGATGGTGGATACCCTAAAAGCCCTGACTTGACCATTACACAATCTATGCATGTAACAAAATTGCACATGTGCGCCATAAATACGTACAAATGAATGGAACAAAAACAAAGCATACTCTTTGAACTTCAAAAAAGAAAGGTCATTCTTCCATTTTAAAGATGATTAAACTCCAGTGTAGAAAGTTTAGATGACTTACTGATAAATTGCTGAGCACTGATTAGACTCCAGCTCTTATAATTCTTCTACACCTTGTACCAGATTATTTTCCTATACACTGCATTTAAATAAAATAAACACAACCAAGTTAAAACTCAAGAAGACATTTTTCTCCTATAGTAAATTGGAACAAATTAGGAAAATAAGAAGAGAGAGAATTACCATCCATAAGTTCATCACCCTAAGCTAACTACAGTTAAAAATGTGGCACACATTATGACAGAAATGTTTCAGTACTTATTTATAGGCAGTATACTTTTATAAAAATCAAATAAGCATGCAGTTAATTAATTAATATAAGCTATACCATAAAATACATACCAATAATTCACTCTTCTCATTATATCTTTATCATAGATAATCCAGTTAATTGTAAAAACCTACTAAATTATTAATAGTTCAATAAGCAATGATATTTAATATCTACATGCCACGGGGTTTCATATGTGAGCTATTAAATGTATCATCACAATACTCATATTTTTACCAAAAAATGAAACATAAACATCACCTGTAAGAAATACAATATTTTCATGATCATTGACATTTAGGTTTTTCTCTACATTCTTCATGCTGATAGGGTTGTGACATCTTTATACTTTACAAAAATCTAGTTATTTTGTAAAACATAAGCAATAATAATTTCAAAAATTAAAACAGGCCACTTGCCATCTCCTCTCTTCCTCCTCTCATTTAGCATTTTCTCAGGGCTATTGATTGACAAACTGGTTTGACTCATAGTAAATAATAAAAACCAATTATTATGGCTGCAGGGCAATTCAAGAAAAGTGGCAAAAATGCAACCCCACTGTATAGGAATATGTAAAATGTGTACTTATGTTTTAAATGCCATCAATATATGGTATGTGTTTTTATAAGAAGTTTCCTAAAGAAAAAAATAAGGTTTTCTCTGAAGTTGTAAGATGACTGGTAAGCAGCACACACACTTACATAAATATATGTCAAATTTCAGTTGAAGGTCACTTAAGCCTTTAGTACATAGATACAAGTGGGTCAGTCCCCCTTCAATTCTCTGGGTATGGAGGTACTGCATCCTCACTGCCATCTCTGGGTGGAGCTTATAGTTTCAGAGCCACTGCAGCTTCCCAGGTCTGTAAACCTCAGGTGCTATCTCTATCCTTCCCGACATCCATCTTGGCTTGAATCCCAGTTCATTTATTTTCTTTCCATTTCCAGCAAAAAAAAAAAAAAAAAAAAAAAACATGTCAAACTAATAATGAGAATCATGGAATTTCCTGAACTGAGGAGAACATCGTTTAGGACACAAAAGTAAGAATTTACTTTTTAGAAACGAAAACACCTTCTCAACAAACAAGTAGGTATTACCCTTTCACAGTAGAATTTTACTGTCCACACACAGCCACCACCTAGCTTCATTGGTTTGACTCCTCTTCTGTTCCTCTTAGCCTTGCTTCTTAATCCTTCTCTTCTGCATTGTCCAGGGGTTCAAACTGTATCTTCTATTATGTAGAGCAACTCCATCCCATCCTACCTTGTAGTTTTGTTACTTGGCCACACTGATACCCAGCAAGGAGTGTCCTGTTTCTCTTTGGTTTATTAAAGCATTTTCTCAGATGAAGATATTTATCTCCCAAGAGATTTCTATTGTACACTGCTTAAAAAAATTCTCTCTCTGCATAGGTTATTTTCCTTCTTTATTCAAAGATGCAGACTTTTTCCTATATTTTAGCATTTCTGAAATCCTGATGACTGTGTGTATATATAATAATAGTGAATTCTTTTGATGGTGAAGGGATTCTGGGTTTGAGCAGTTGAAAGGTAGTGATGATGACTCAAATAACTTTTAAAAAAAAAAAAAGAAAAAAGTTTGCTTTTGTCTTCTCTGCATTAAATGGCCAACGTGTTTGTAACTGAGCCAGATTGTTTTCCTCTGTCCTAAGAGGGTAGTTATTTCTTATTTTAGAGGGTTGTTAATCCCAGTTTTGTCATCTGTTGGGTCTTCAATTCTGATGAATCTTATATCGTATATGGCCATTGCATCTGCACATACATGCTCAGATACTGTGACTTAGTGAAGATACGAGACCACATAGACTACAGGTTCAAAGTACCTGCTGCCTAATAATGTAGGTTTTGACACTCACCTCAACTTGGCAGTTTCAAAGAAGAAAAGTCATTCTGTGAATTAATTGCATGGCAGCAAAGCTTCTGTAGAAGAATCAGAAAACTACTTTTGAAAATGTCAAATAAGGCCAGGTGTGGTGTTTCATGCCTGTAATCCTACCACTTTGGGAGGCCGAGGCAGGTGGATCACGAGGTCAGGAGTTTGAGACCAGCCAGACCAACATGGTGAAACCCTGTCTCTACTACAAATACAAAAATTAGCCGGGCATGGTGGCGTGTGCCTGTAATCCCAGCTACTCAGGAGGCTGAGGCAGGAGAATTGCTTGAACCCGGGAGGTGGAGGTTGCAGTGAGCCAAGATAGCACCATTGCACTCCAGCCTGGAGTGAGACTCTGTCTCAAAAAAAAAAAGAAAAAAGAAAAAGAAAAGAAAATGTCAAAACAGAATTTGCAACCTAAGATTTCTAGAGTTACTGCAAAGAGATCTTGAATCGTTATTGCCAGAAGTGCCTACCAGGCAATAATACTAACTGTAACACAGAAAACAAGTAATTATATGACCATTTGGATTAAGGAAAATGGATATGCATTCTGTAAGAAATGTTTGTAAATGATAAGAAGGAAATGTACTATATTCCTTATGGACCCATTGCAGCAGACGCTGCCATTACTCCATCTATTTCCCTTGGACCTGTCAGTGCCCTCATGCTGACATCCATCAGCCTGAGTCTGCATCTTTGTGCATGAGGACTTATTTTCTCAGAGTCACGGAAGTTTTCTCTTCCTAGAAGCATGAGTCACAGGCCAGAGATCCAGGTAATTAATGATCCTCAGGAGCAGTTCTCAACCATTCGCTCTCTGGAATATATGCACGAATACCCAAGTTCCCTCACCCCTTGAATGGGATAATTCCAAAGTATTTGTTTTCCTCCGCTCTCCAAAAGTTTCTCCATGGAGTTAATTTCCCTTCGTTCTTGTGCAAGGTGGCTCAATAATCACCCTTTACGGACAACTTTTCCTTTCCTCTTTCACTTCCTCATTCACTTGCTCTCACTTTCTCATTCACTTGCAGTTAATAGATATGTCTCTAGTCTGCTTTTGGGAACCGAACCGTGGCACCCACCATCAGACTTAGACATTTTTGGTGTTTGTACATGCAGTACTCTTTTTGAAACACATGAATGTTAACTTTAAGATTCTTTGTTGATGACCTTGGCTGCCAAAAGCGAGTTGTCATTAGTCTTTGTAGTATCCATGTGCAATACCCAACAGACATGTTATGATGAAGTCAAGTAAAAATTAGCTGATGTCATTTTCTCTTTTTATTCCTGCATTATTTTTATGTGGCTTTTGGGTTGGTCTATGAACATTGTCAAGAAACCTCACGGTTTTAAAAATACTCAGTTTTAGTTATTTATTTCAATGTCTGTGAATTTACAACCTTGGCAAGTGCTTTATGTTTATTTTTAATGGCAGATATCTATTTTAATGTGGACATTTTAAAATGCTGACATATCTACATTGTGTAGAATATGATCATTAACTTGTAACCAAGGTGTGATCTCATATTATTACCTCTCCCTTTGGTTGAAAAAAAAAAACCTAAGTTTTTATTATTTCCCTCCAAGAATAAGTCAGACAATTGGTTAAAAATTTTAAAAGGTAATAAAATAATAGTAATTTTTTAAAACTAAGAAGCTGATATTTCTACAGTGCTCTTATAATCAATAGTTTCTTAAAATTGAGGACATGCATGCATACATTTTACTAGCAGTTTGTGCATATTATAAGGTTTCCTTTATAAGAGTATAAAGAAAAAAACTCATAATCCCAATGCTCAAATACAAATACTATTAACATTTTTAATAGGTTTCTAAACATCTTTTTTGTGTTTATACTCATATTTTTTGGCATTAATAAGGTCATGTAATATATGTTGTTTTATAAACTACTATATTCACCTGATAATGCTTCACGAATGTTTTTCTGTATTACCTCCTCTTACTCAAAATGGTACATCTTCTTTTAGAGTAGATGCTATGCAGAGGATGAATATATGATCTGATTGAACGTACTTTCTGTTTCGAAGTGGCATCTTCTGCCAACAGCATCTGAAATATTCATTGTTGTATTTATTATTTGTAGTTTCTAGCTTTTTGGAGAAGGAGAACATCCAAGGATGTATATGCAAATATTTTGCCCCCGCAACAGAGTAATTAACTTTCTAGTGTATCTATTTACCTTAATGTGCTATCCAAACTTGCTACAATCCTATCAGCAGGAACTGAAGAGAGGTAAAACAAACTGGTTTTGAATTTTGACTCTTGGCTCACCAGGACAGGCTCAGGCAGATCCCCAATAGTGAAGGCCCTAGAACAGTTAGAGAGCATGAAAATCTAACAAACCAACAAAAACAAAAGTGGGACCATTATTCCTCTAACTTATTATGTTAGAATTATGTAAACCTCGGCTAGTTTCGTAAGCTCTTTGGTCATTTGTTTCATTCACTGGTACCAAGAGGAGGCTGGATTTTCTCTGTGAACATTTTGCTTGCCAAGAAAATGAGTTGACCTGTCTTTGCTTCCAGTACATTGTCATGGACATACGTAGTTTCTCTTTGCCTAGTTCTTTCTCCTGATAACATAACCCATCTCCCGCTTTTGGAAAACCACACCTTTCCTATTGTCTACCATGCAGCTTGTGTGGGGGTAACCCTACCTCTGGCTCCAGAGCTGAGCATGTTAACAAGCCTGGCCAATGAAAATACTAAATCCCTTTTATCTTAGTGATTGGTTCGGGAGTTGACATGTAACCCAAGTCAGCCAATGAGAACTCTGCTTGGGAAAAAGTATCTCTTCATTCAGTCTGCAAATCTGGCAGAAGGTAAGTCTGGAGCTGCTGATGGCCATCCTTGCCATTACTTGAGGAGGGTCTATGGAGAATAAGGTAATAAATAAACACACAGGAAAGCAGGGCCTACATAGATTGAGATCCTTTCATCTGACTTATGTCTGAAAGTTTTTCAAGAGAAAGAAGCCTTTGGGCTGTAACGGCAACAGTGGTCCATACAGAGTGTGGCAGTTATACAAGGAGGTAGCCAGATCTCAAGGAGACAGGAACCTGGCCATGCACTTTCCACATTCAGCAGTGATTCCCAGACTTCAGACGTGCCATGAATAATCTCTGGTTTAAAGTAAATCTGATCATATTGTTTAGGTTCAAAGAGAGATCCTAGACCAGCAGCATCAGCATCATCTGGGAACTTACCTGAAATGCAGATTCCAAGGCCATACTCCAGACCTACTAAATCAGAAATGCAGCAATCTGTGTTTTTAATAAACCCTCCAGGTGATTATGATGCACATTCAAAACCGGTGGAAATGAAGAGCAGGGAAAAGTGCCTTCCCTATGAGTTACCTGATGAAACTTGAATTTATTGCTTACAGATGTTTTAAGTCAAAGGTAATTCAGCCAGCAGTGTGTTAACAGGTTGCCCACTCCATAAACAGAGAAAGTAGAATTTATTTCTTCATGTAAGAAACCCATTTAAGTGCTGCTTTTTCCCCCTTCTTTGTTGAATTCCACACAAACTACACAAAACACACGTCAACCTCAACTCTTTTCCAGTAAAATAGAGGAAAGCACCATAGGGCTAAAATTAAGCCACAGGCTCCTCCCTTCTCCTAAACTCTTCTGATTTCTAACTGCCAGAAAGCTCTCATTCTATTAGCCCATGCTCTGAAGGCCTGTGGATGCGTTTGGGATAGTGTTTCCTTCATGTTTATGCCACACTTTGAGGAATACCAGCTTTACTTTGGATTTCTGCAGGGCTGTTTTCAAAGCAATTTCTCAAAGCATTCGTAATTTAATACCTGTAAGATGTTGCTCAGTCAGGGAGGCAAGGTTAGCAGAAAACCCTTCTTTGAATCCTGCCAAGGCTTGAACATGCTCATTTGTGCACAGTGCTGCTGCTTTTTAGACCCAAGAGCCTGAACGTCTTCCTCCACTAGAGGAGCATCTTATGCTGTAGGAGCAGGGCTGAGGAAGAGAGTCTTTATTCCTCTGGTAAGAGTCAACCAACACTACAGTCCCAGTAAAAATACAGTGCCTATGACCACTGATTTTCCAACACATTGGCTCATGCACATTTTGTTTCACAGACTTATTGTGAAAGCAATCAGATACTCCAAGTGTTTGGAGAAAACTCAATAGGCCATAAAGAACTCCCCTCACTTTCTTCCTTGACAGATGCTTTTGTGGTCTCTTGAACACTTCTAGAAATGGGCCACACATTACTTTGTAGCCATCTGGAAAAGTACAAAGCATCAAAGCATTAATGTGTCAGATACACCCACATTCCTATGCCATGGCGTTAGATTGCCAAAGCAGGACTGCAGAGAAGTTACATGAGAACCAACTTTGAGATTCTTAGCAGACCACCCATTTTATCTTACCGATGGAGTCAGAGATGCCAAGAATGAGGTTGAAATGGTAGAGAATATTTCTTTGGAGAGGATTCATGTGGATATGCTGTGAATTCCACCTCCCTCTATTAAGTAGTATAAAATATAAGTATCATTATGAATAGGGACTCTTTGCAGAGTAAATTATATTATATATCTAGACCATGGTTTTTTAACTTTAGCACTAATGACATTTGGGCTGGATAATTTTTTTGTGGTGAATACTGTAGGATGCTTAGTAGCATCCCTGGTCTCTACTCACTGGACAACAGCACTCCCACCCTCAGTTGCGACAACCAAAATTTTCTCTGGATTTTGCCAATGTTCTCTGGTGGACAAAATCACCCCTGGTAGAGAAGCTGTCTTAGTCCATTTGTGTGGCTATAAACAAATACCTAAGCCTGAGTAATTTACAAAGAAAAGAGGTTTATTTGGCTCATGGTTCTACAGGCTGCACAAGAAGTATGACAGCAGCATCTGCTTCTGGCAAGGGCCTCAGGCTGCTTCCACTCATGGTGAAAGGTGAAGGGAGCTGGCTGTACAGAAATCACTTGGTTAGAGAGAAAGCTAGAGAGACAGAGGCACTACTACGCTCATTCTAACAACAAGCTTTCATGGAACTACAGAGGGAAATGTCACTCGCCCCCCATCCCCCACAGGGAGGACATTAATCTATTCATGAGGGGTCCATCCCTATGACCCAAATGCCTCCCATTAGGCCCTACCTCTAACTTGAGATCAAATTTCAACATGAGATTTGTGGGAACAAACACCTAAACTATAGCAGAAACATGGCTCTAGACTTTATTGTCTCTGAAAATTATTTTGTGCATATATGTGGAGAGAGAGAGAGAAAGAGAGAGAGAGAGAGAGAGAGTGTGTGTGTGTGTGTTTGAAATGGTGCCTACCTGCTTACTTGAGCAAGAAAATGAGGAAGAATACCTTTACTTCTCATGGTTAAGAGGCCTCAGAAGAAGCTAGTTGCTGGGATGCAGCATCAAGAATTACTTTGCTTTCCTTGAAAAAGGCTTTATCTGTCTTTTATTTATGAAGCTTAGTTTTACTGGATACAAAATTCTTGGCTGATAATTCTTTTGTTTAAGGAGGTTTAAGATAGGACCCCAATTCTTGCTAGTGTGTAGGATTTCTGCTGAGAAATCATCTGTTAATCTAATAGGTTTTCCTTTATAGGTTATCTGGTGCTTTTGCGTCACAGCTCTTAGGATTCTTTCCTTCATCTTGACTTTAGATAACCTGATGACTATGTGCCTAGGTGAAGACTTTTTGTGATGAATTTCCTGGGTGTTCTTTGAGCTTCTTGTATTTGGATGTCTAGATCTCTAGCCAGGCCAGGGAAGTATTTTTTTATTATTATTATTCCCTCAAATAAGTTTTCCAAACTTTTAGATTTCTCTTCTTCCTCAGGACACCAGTTATTCTTAGGTTTGGTCATTTAACATAATCCCAAACTTCTTGGAGGCTTTGTTCATTTTTTTTCTTTGTCTGTGTTGGATTGGGTTCATTCAAAAGCCTTGTCTTTGAGCTCTGAAGTTCTTTCTTCTACTTGTTTGATTCTATTATTGTAACTTTCCAGTGTATTTTGCATTTCTATAAGTGTGTCTTTCATTTCCAAAAACTGGGATTTTTTTTTATTATATCTATTTCTCTAGAGATTTCTTCATCCATATCCTGTTTTTTTTTTAATTCCTTTAAGTGGGTTTTCACCTTTCTCTTGTGCTTCCTTGAGTAGCTTAATAATTGAGCTTCTGAATTATTTTTCTTCTTGGAAAAGAAATTCAGAGATTTCTTCTTGGTTTGGATCCATTGCAGGTGAGTTAGTGTGGTCTTCAGGGTGTTAAAGAAACTTTCTTTGTCATATTACCAGAATTGTTTTTCTGGTTCCTTCTCATTTGGGTAGACTGTGTCAGAGGAAAGATCTGGGGCTCAAGAGCCACTGTTCAGATTCTTTTGTCCCATGAGGGAATCCTTTGATGTGGTGCTCTCCCCCTTTCTCTAGGGATAGTGCTTCTCGAGAGCTGGGCTGCAGTGATTGTTATTTCTCTTCTGGGTTTAGTCACACAGCACAGCTACTGGGCTCTGGGCTGATGCTGGGGAATGTCTGCAGAGTCCTGTGATGTGATCCATCTTCAGGTCTCTCCACTGTGGATACCAACACCTGCTCCAGTAGAGGCAGCAGGGGAGTAAAGCAGACTCTGAGGGTCCTTGGTTGTAGTTTTCTTTAGTGTGCTGGTTTTCTCAAATGCTGGTTGTGCTGGCAGCGAAGTTGTCACATGGACAGACTCAGGACCGCTGGTTAGCCACGAAGTTACAGGCAGTGGAATTAGCAGTTGTTTTCTCTTTTCTTGGAGTGGGGTTGTTCACTTATGAGTTGCTGTAATGGCTTGAGTTGGTTGGCCTCCAGCCAGCAGGTGGCACTATCAAGAGAGCATCAGCAGTGGTAGTATAGTGGGGGATACAAGCTTGCCCTAATGTTGCCTGGATAAGCATTCGGGTTTCTCAAGTGATGAGTGGGGCCATAGAGCTCCCAAAAGATTATGTATTTTGTCTATTGTCTTTGGCTACCAGGGTGGGTAGAGAAAGAACATCAGGTGGGGGCAGGGATGGGCATGTCTGAGCTCAGACTCTCCTTGGGCGGGGCTTGTTGTGGCTGCTGTGGGGGTTCGGAATGTGGTTCTCAGGTCAATGGAGTTATGTTCCAAGGGGCGGTTATGGCTACCTCTGCTGCTTTGTACAAGTCATCAGGGATGTGGGGGAAAGTTGTCAGTGACAGGCTCACCCAGCTCCCACACAGCCAGAAAGGTCAGTCTCACTTCCACCATGCCTCACCAATAGCACTGAGTTTATATCCAGGCAGCTAGTGCACAAGGCTGAGATCTTGTCCCAGGCTACAAGCCTCCCTACTGAGAAAACAAGCAGGGCTTCCAGGCTTCACCCCTGTCTACTTGCTGCAGCTTCTATGCTTATATCTGCACTTCCTGTTTGCCATCCTCATCTCACCAATGATTCTGCCCAGGAAAGTTTGTGCTAGGTTAAAATTATTACAAAGTTCAGCGGGGAGTTTCCTTCTCCCTATAGTCCTTCTTCAATTCCACTAGCAGCCCTCCCCAAGGAACCCTGTGAGATAAGGTCAGAAATGGCTTCCCTGGGGACCAAGAGTGCCTATAGGGCTCTTCCTGCTGCTGCTTCTACTTTTATATTTCCCTTGGTTCTCTAAATTTGTTCCAGCTCTAGGTAAGATTAAATCTTTCTCCCATGATCTGGATTTTCAGGTTCCCCAAGAAGGATTTGTGTTCGGAGATCCCCCTCTCACACTTTTGGGCATTCAGTTTTCTGGCTGACTCATGGAGTTTACAGCAGCAAGCCACTTCTTTCAAAGGGTCTGTGAATTCTTTCAGTTTTCCTGGTATGTTCCTGCAGTAGTTCTTGGAGCAAAAGTTCATGATGTGAGTTCTGTCCATTTGAGTGGGAGCTTCACTGTTCTGTCTGTTTGAGTGGGACACACTGTTCTGTCCATTTGGGAGCTGCAAGGTAGTCCTGCCTCCTATACATCATTTTTTTCTGATCTTCAAAAGTCTTTATATTAAATTATCTGTTACTATTATTGGTATGGTTTCTATTTTGCTGGCTGCACTTTGATGGGAACAAGGGCAACAGGGATTTGTCTACATCATCTTTCTGATGGCACCAGCATAGTGGCAGCAGTTCTGCCTCAAGTTACTGGCATGATCAGCAGCAGAGCCAGCAGAGGCTTACAGAGAAGGAGTTTGTGATGCCAGGAAGCACCTCCTAAGTGGACAAATTGGAGGCCCCCATGAGAAAAGGGCCCCTTTATCCCAGATCTAAGGTTAACTATGGGTTAGTTTCTGTTTTCTTCATAACAAAGTAGAGTCTAATCAGGTTTAAAAAAACTATCAGTAGATCACATGTAATGAGGATATTATCTTATGAACCTTTTGTTTCAGTTTTATATAAATGCATGTATGTGTATACTGGTATCTGATATGAAATGCTTTTTCTATTGTAAGACTGGAAAAAGAAAAGGGAGAAAGAGCTGGTGGCCAACACTTGGGATTCCTGTGCAATCATGAGATTTCTGTGATTATTTTTAAATTCCAGGAAAACTGACCTGAGCAAATGCCTACATATTCAGTCTGTTAAACTAAGTTTAGCTTAAAGCTGCCTTCTAACATATTTTAGGTTCAGTCTAAAGGTTTCTCCATCCATAGTAAACTGTAACCTAACTGGATGTGCAATCAGGCTGTAACCTTCTTCTGTACCAATCACCTAATTTTGGTCAATCATAGGCGACCAACTATTCAAATTGTGTTAAAGGCACACACGGAGCTGTAACCAATCCAGCTGTTTCTGTACCTCCCTTTTCTTTTCTGTAAGTCACTTTCCTTTTTCAGGCCATAAATCTGATCCCACCATGCAGCAGTGCCAGAACCGCTCTGACCCTATTCTAGTTCTGGGATTGGGCTTCCCAATTTGTGAATCATTCTTTGCTTATTTAAATCCTATTAAATTTAATTTGTCTAAAGTTTTTCTTTTAACAAGCCTTAGGAGCCTTTCCTTCACTAAAAGTGCTTTCAATAGGAAATGCCTGGACTCCCTCAAACCTGACAAATGGAGGACCCAGGAAAGCTGGAGGACTCATGGAGAGACCTTGTGCCTTGGACCCTGACTACCGTTTCTCATGGAAGCTGCTGTGCCAGCCCTGGCTTTGCTGCTCTCTTCCCATTATTGCTCTCATTTAAACCATGAAGCACACATGCCTCCCCTACTCATTAACTTAAGTGGAGGGCAGAATCTACCACCTTAAATGAAGTAAAATTATATCAGCTTTTTAACTTATAAACATGGCATTTGGAATATTCTGGGCCCTGTGCTAAGCATTATTGGACTTTATCCAATCCAGCATTGCCTGGGCTTCTGAATTAGCTTTCTCTTTCTTTCTAACACTCTTTAATTCCCTACACATACCACTTCCCTTTTATGATAATCCCAGGTAACAGGTATCTGAGGTTAGAATGCTGGTGCCTCCTCAAAGATACCAAAACCAGCTAGGTAGCACCACTTTCACCTCAGAAGCATGGGTCTTATCTAAAATGTCTGCTCACAGATTGACCGTGTTTGGGCAGAAAACTGAGATGGAAGTGTCGGTCCTGACCAAGAATAAGAGGGCCTAAACCACCCTAAAAACTGAGAGTGAGCTATTCTTCTGGAGTTTGTTTTTTAAAAATACTCCTAGTACAAAAGGACAAGTATCAAATTTACCTACTCAGAAACTAGGTTTCTGCCATTGTGTAAATTTTCACCACCAAGCTCCTCCTCCAGGCCACCTACTCTAATATACCAGAACCTAGTCCTGTAATTATATGGTGAATTTCTCGGAATGCTTCGGCAACGTCTTGACATTCAATCATGTATACTTCATTTTGGGACTGAGCTGGACTACACTGCAGAGAGTTTTAGAGACTCTTTCATGCTAGGAATAATAAAGGAAACAGTTATTTTAAGTGCAATTAATGAAGTGCCAGAGGATTCCATTCACAAAAGAATGCAGGGGGAAAGATATTATTTGGTTGTGAATTCACTTTGTCCTTCCAGGCTCTACAAATCTTCAGAAACTTTAAAATTCCAATTCTGTGATAAAACTTGGATGAGTTGCATAGAGATTATTTGATCTAATGTTGCAGGCAAGAAAAATAAGAACCAAGACATTTAAATGACTAATGGTGAGCTCATTTAACTGCTTATCAGCAAAGCTATTGGATATAACATTGATTTCCAATAGATAATTTATTTTAGGAACAGCAAGTATAATCCGTTGTTAAGCAGCACATCATATGGCAGGAGAATTGCAATTTCACAAGCATTTACTTGACATTGAACATTTAATTTAAAAGTTTGCATCAACTAGAAAGCCCCTAATGGAATATCTGGCTCAAGCTCCAGATGGCTTACTGCTCCTCCCTCACAATCTACCATGCCAATAAAAATGAACATTGTTACCCAAGCAGGTAGAGACAAACAGCATCATTTTCTTGCACAGATAAGTGTATGTGTAACTGTGGACACAGTTGTTTGTGTACCAAAATGAGATTTTCAAGAAGTGAAGATGAAATTATAGATCTGCAAACCTATATAATGTCCTAAGAAATGGCATGGTCTCAGCTACCCTGTTGGTATTTAACACTCAATATTTCAAATGCCAATATTTTGATATATTATTTAGTTGAGGAAAGGAGATACCACTATACCTGTGAGTCTTAATGAGAGTACCTTGCAAACTTTAATGTCAACTGGGGATCTTGTTTAAATCGCAGATTCAGGACCACGCGGTGGCTCACGCCTGTAATCTGAGCTCTTTAGGAGCTTGAGGTAGGAGGATTGCTTGAAGCCAGTTCAAGATCACCCTGCACAACATGGCAAGACCTCGTCTCTACAAAATAAGAAAAAAAAAAATTAGCCCAAGTGTGGTGGTGCCACCTGTAGTTCCAGCTACTCAAGAGGCTAAGGTGGGAGGATTGTTTGAGCCCAGGAATTTGAGGTAAGAGTGAGCTATTATCATGCCACTGCATTCCAACATGGGTGACACAGCAGGAGCCTATCTCTAAAAAAAGAAGGAAAAAAAAATTCAGATTCAGTAGGTCTTGGGTGGGGTCTGAGATGCTGCCTAGGTGGTGCTGTGCCATCGCTGTTGCTGCTGCTACTGCTTCTTGGACCACACTTTAAGTAGCAAGATCTAGTAGATTTGTATATGAAGATGAGTAGTGGAAAGACCCTGGAGGCAGAACTACAGGCACCTAAGCTTTTTTTCTACCACTTACTAGGTGAATAATCTTAGGACAATCCTTGAACCACTTTGAGGATAGTTTTCTCTTGAGAAAAATTAAATAATAATAATGATACTTGTTCCAAGCAAATGAGAAAATACATGGGCAAGTGGTTTTGAAAAGCCAGTCTATGTAAATAATTGCTAGCTATGGATATCATTCTGCTACGGACTCAATCTGAACTGTTAAGGGAAAATGCTTTATGGTTACTTGCTAGGGAAAAGTTTCTCAATAAAACTCAGAGAGTGAATTTTTCTCTATCTGAACTTGATAATCAAATTTCTAATAGATTTTTGGAAAGAAAGTGTCTTGAAGGACACTTTGAAGAGAAAGTGGCTTGGTGGCTAATGTGCCGACAAACACAAGAGCATATTTAACCTTCATGCACTGTGTTTGGTCTTCTTGAGGTTTAATTTAACTGATGACATTCATAGGCTACAGTGTAAAAAGTGAACCTGACAGTAATAACTGTGCAAGCTATTTGCTTTATTATAGACTTAGGACTTTGGAGTGCTTTCCAGACAATGGTGGGTCTTGAAAAGATGGTACTGCAAGCTGTGCAAACATACAGTGTGTGCAGGCAAACTTCTGCTTGGTTAATGGATATCTCACAGCTGAGCAAACCGAAGGGCTGTTTGTTAGGCCTCCTTTCCCTTCCATGGTAAACCAAACAGGAAAGTGAATTCCATTGGGATAACCCACAGGGTGCCTCTCTTAGGTAAACAGCAGATTTGTAAAAAGCTCTCTGTGCACACTGTCCCTGTTTACATCACAAATGACCTTCCTGGAGCATTTTAAGCTTCCAGCGCAGGTAATGGAAGGGATAGATTTATCTGTTACACTATAGCCCTCTTTATCTCCCTTGCCTCCTCCCTTCTATCCACTAAATAAAAGCAGTAAGACCACTCCAATTTATAATCTGTCCTATATTAATGGAATGGGAATGATTTCACAATAACAGCTGTAAAGAATCCATACAACTAATAAAAATGGGACCATACTTGATTCTGAGTGTCCTGATAATACTTCTTCACTAACAAGACAATATCTCAGCAATGCAAGAAGTGCTCAGTGTTTATTTTATAAAACTATCTGAAGACAAAAGCCAAGAATAATATGCTCTCTTGCATTAATAAAGAAGAGATTACCTCTAGCAAGCAGTTTAAAAATATTTGTTCTTATAGCTCATTGGTGAAGACCGCAGCCATCTACTCAGACCTTTGTTCAAATTCCAGTTTCATGTCTTTTCATTTGTATGATCTTGGATTATTTACTTAATTTCTTATACTTCAGTCTCATCATCTGTAAAATGGGGTAACACTAGCGTGCATGGAGTCATCGTGAGGCTTAAATAAGATATTTTATATATAATGTTTAGTACAAGACTTGGTACATAGTAAATGCTCAAAAATACTGCTTATTCTTACTAGCATTATCTGCATGCTAACCCACTGACTTCACAGTATTACCTACAAACTGATGGTATCCATTTTCTGGGGCCAGAAGTTTATAGAAGCAACCTCTAGGGTCTTGTGGATGTCTGCATTCAGGATATATTGATAGTCATAATGACAGCGGCTACCATTAATTGAGGAAGACAGAGCCAAGTGTTTTACATGTGTCAGTTCTCAGGACAGCTCTAAGATATTTCATCCTCATTTACAAATGAAGAAAGCAAGATGTAGAGACTGCTATGTTTTGATTATGGCTTGTCCTCTCCAAAACTCTTGTTGAAATTTTATCTCCAGTGCATGAGTGTTAGGAGCTGGGGCCTAATGGGAGATGTTTGGGTCATGGGGGCAGTTCCCTCATGAATAGATTAATGCCCTCCTGTGGGAGTCAATGAGAGCATGGTGTTAAAAAAGAGTCTGGCTTCCTCAGTTTCTCTCTTTTGTTTCCTTCCTTGCCGTGTGATCTCTCTGTACTTTCCCACTTCCCTTTCACTTTCCACCAAGAGTGGAAGCAGCATGAGGCCTTCACCAGAAGCTGAGTAGATGGCCTTGCCATGCTTCTTATACTTCCTAGCCTACAGAACTGTGAGCGAAATTATCCTCTTTTCTTTATAAATTACCCATCCTCAGGGATCCTGTTAGAGCAACACAAAAATGGACTAAGAGATGTGCCTGGAAGGTTGTAGAGTCAACATTTGAACTTCTGGATGTCAAACCTTTGTGCCGCTCAATCTGACATGCTAATTAACACACATGCTAAAGCTGATATGGTTCACACTTGGCTTGGGTTTACTCACACCCAACAGTTGTACACTGCTGAGAGTATTTGGAAACTTTCTGGTGTTCATATTCCTTCCAGAAAATGATAGAATTTAGGGAGGTTACAACACTCGATTTGTGAAAATAATTCCTTCTATCCAAAACAGAGGTTCCTAATTGTTTTAAGGACATGCTTTGACTTGTATGGAGAAAGATCTACAGAAAGCTTTCACTCTGACAGGGAAGACATCTCTGTCATCATCATTTATCCATAAGTCTTATTTTCATGTATCAAAACAAATACCCATAGCATGATTTCAGGCTTCCATGGCCAGCCAAATAAGGTCATCTCTACCTGTTCATCAGTGTCCAAGTTCCTTCAAGGAAGTACAAACCCATTCTGTTATCACAGATTATGCTAAACACAAATATCCCTGGAAAAAGCAGCAAAATGGCATGTTACAGACTGAGCATTTGTGAAATAAAAAAATATCGTGGCTTTTGAGTTCAGTAGACCTGAGTTTGCTATCTGAGTAAGCAAGTTTCTTTCAACTTCTCTCAGCCTCTTTAAGATAAGTCTAATAAAAATTACCTCATGGACCATTGCAAAGATCAAATGAGATAACATTTCTAAATCACTTAGCTGTTGGAATATAGTAAATGTAATAGCTGTAGCTATTATTATTTCTAGTTACTTTCCAGAGAGTCATTTGCAGTGAAACATAAGGCTTCTGGATTCCTGTGAGATACATGGAATCTTCTGGGGGTGGTGAGGATAGCACGTAAAGAGAAAGATAGCAGTAGGAAGAGACAGTCTTGTGAAAATAGTTCACATTCCAGGGACACTCATGGTGAGCCCTACTGTGTATGATCCTCACTTTGATTGAGGGCATTTTCTAAGTGTGCACACTTGATCCTCCTTACAGAGCTTCTAAAAATGACTCAGGGATACTAATCTGTTTGAAAAGTGGAAAGTCCATCTTGCTCAGCTTTGAATTGACATTTTTCAGAATAGTAAGAAATAAGAAGACTTATTTTAAACCTAGATTATTTCAAAGGAAAATAGAATGAGTAGGCCTTAGAAAAGATGGTAGGAGGATCCAAGAATTTTTTATAACTTATAAAAGTAATTGTGCTGTTCTTTCCTGCAGCCTAGGAGGTTCATTAAATAAAGTGCTTAATAAACGTTCATTAATGAAATGCTGATGGTTGTCTCAAGGTTTTATTCAATGATCAATGATGTGAGGTGCTAAATTTTGGTGTGCCTGAGTCTTATTATAAAGTATCTTTCCAAGACATACCAGAGCCCAACAAACATATGAAAAAAAAATGCTCAAAATCACCAATCATCAGAGAGATGCAAATCAAAACCACAGTGAGATATCATCTCACACCAGTCAGAATAGCTATTATTAAAAAGTCAAAAAATAGCAGATGATGGTAAAGTTGCAGAGAAAAGGAAACACTTATACACTGTTGATGGGAATGCAAATTAATTCAGCCCCTGTGGAAAGCAATTTGGAAATTTCCCAAAGAACTAAAAATAGAATTACCATTTGACCCAGCAATCTCATTACTGGGTATATACCCAAATGAAAATAAATTTTTTTTAACTTTTATTTTAGGGTTGGGAGTACATGTGAAAGTTTGTTACACAGGTAAATACGTGTCGTGGGGGTTTGTTGTACGTATTATTTCATCATCCAAGTATTAAGCCCAGTAACCAGCAGTTATCTTTTCTACTCCTCTCCATTCTTCAGCCCTCCCCCTCAAGTAGACCCCAGTGTTCAGTTTCCTTCTTCGTGTTTATAAGTTCCTTATCATTTAGTTCCCACTTGTAAGTGAGGACCTGCAGTATTTGGTTTTCTGCTCCTGCATTAGTTTTCTAAGGATAATAGCATCCAGCTCCATCCCTGTTCCCACAAAAGACAGGATCTCATTCATTTTATGGATGCATAATATTCCATGATGTATGTGTATCAAGTTTTCTTTATCCAATCTGTCATTGATGGGTGTTTATGTTGATTTCACATCTTTGCTATTGTGTATGGTGCTGCAGTGAATATTCATATGCATGTGTCCTTATGGTAGAATGATTTATATTCATCTGGGTATATACCCAGTAATGGGGTTACTCTACCAACAAGACATTTTCACTCATATGTTCATCACAGCACTATCCACAATAGCAAAGACATGGTACCAACTCAGGTACTCACCAATAGTAGATATGATAAAGAAAATGTGGTACATATACACCATGGAATACTATGCAGCCGTAAAAAAGAACAAAATCATGATCATGTCCTTTGCAGCAATATGGATGCAGGTGGAGGCCATTATCCTCAGTCAATTAACACAGAAACAGAAAATTAAAAACTGTATGTTCTTAATTATAAGTGGGAGCCAAACATTGAGAACACATGGACACAAAGACGGGAACAATAGAGACTGGGGACTGCAAAAGCAGGGAAGGAGGTTAAGATTGAAAAACTACCTATCGGATAGTATGTTTGCTACTTGGGCAATGGTATCATTAGAAGCCAAACCTCAGCATTATGCAACATAGCAAACCTGCATGTTACCTCATGAATCTAAAATAAAAAACAAAATTTTAAAAAAGTTTTTTCTAGATATATACACAGGCAAATATCTCTCACTTCAGCTTTCTTCAGCAGAAATGTCCTTTCAAAATTTGGCTAAAATGCAAGTACTCCCTAAAGAACAACACTTTAGGAATTTGTGGTTACTTACTTGATTATTTTCATGGAAGCGTCTGCTAATGGCATGTTGGAACTCAGAACAAAATAACTTTTTATCAGTAGATAGGGAAAGACTAAATTAGTGAACATGTAACCCTAATTATGAGCATTTCCTCTGAATGCTAAGAAGGGCAAAATTTTTAAAAAAGAAGAAATCTGTAGGCACCTGGACAAGTTGCTTCTGAAACTTTAGCTGCATCAGAACTACCTGAAGGATTTGTTAAAATATAGGTTCCTAGGTACCACCGCCAGAGACTCTGATTCGGTAGGTGTGGGATGGGAGCCAAGGATTTGTATTTCTAAAATGTTCACATGTGATGCTGCTGTTATGAGGACCATACTTTGAATGGCAATAACGAAGCATGTTGTGGGTTGCATATAAGTGTAGGGACTAGAGGAGTCATGTGGGAAGATGAGGAGGACTTCCAAACACTGAAGAATGTATCTGGAGCTCGACTTCAATAGAATGTGGGGAAAGATTTATAAATCCAACAGAATTAGAGATGGATGCTCTCCAGACTTTGCATATGCCATATCTCTCACTAGGAACATCCTTAGGTCTTTAACCATCTGCTGAAGCCCAATTATCTTTTAAAGGTATCTTTTAAACAATTGTTCCCTGACCAGCCAAGGCTGAGTCACTGCCATTTTTCAGCACACTACCATAGCACTCTAATTGGACCTTCATTAACACATTCCACACTGACCTGTAATCTCTTGTTTGCACCTCTTTCTCCCTAATCATGAGTGCAGCAAGCTTGCAGCATGTCATAGTTATCTTTGTATCTATCGCACCTGGTGTCATGCCTTTTATGTAACTGACATGCAGTAAATGATTATGGGATTAGTGAAAGCAAACTGGGGACTAATTTAGATTTACTTTAAAGAAGTAATAAATTATCTGCTCTATTTTACTGCGAAACTGTTCAGAATCATCTGTACCTGTGCCTCTACTTTCCTCCCATTCTATATTGAACCAACTTCAGTTAGTTCAAGTGGCTGGAAGTTGGCCTAACTTTACTTAAGCTTTCATCTCCATCTCTCCATCTTTAAATGTCCCCAAAGATGTTCAATTTGCTTAATCTAATACTTTAATTTGGATTAAATAAAATTATTTAATTTGAATTAAATAATTTAACCAAGCAGTTGCATTTGAAGTTTTGATTCCATTGGCTTTTTAATTGAATCTTTCCTTGAATTACCTCTCTGCGTACATATTCCTAATAGTTTTTTGCTCTTTGGCTACACATTCTCAATATTTTTTTGGCTGATTTTTTTTTCTTCTCTTTGACAGCTTAATGTTGGGGTGTTCCAAGGCTCTGTCCTTGGACCTCTTCATTTTTCTGTCCACAATCATTGGTGATCATCTCCAATCTCAAGGCTTGAATGCCATTGGTACCATGATGACTCTATTGCACCTGTAGCCTCAATCTCTCTAATGAATCCTGGATATAATTCTCCACTTGGATAACTAATCTAACTCATTCAATGGCTATTTTAACTTATTGAAGGCACATTAAATTTAACTTTATCAAAATTGAACCCGCCTGATCTCTAATACCCCTATACTAGTTCCTCCCATAGACTTATGTTAGTAAATGTCAGTCTATTCTTCCAGTGGATCATGCCTGCAACTTCAGTATAAGCTTTGCCTCTTCATTTTGTGTTACATGACACCTTAAGCAAATCTCTTCTCTATCTCTGAAATGTATTCAAAATGCATCCACTTCCTACCAACTTCACTATGTCTATTCAGGTGCATCACCTGTCACCTGGAATATTATAACAGCGTCATGACTGATCTTTTGCTACAGCCTTGCCCTAGATAGTTTAACATAAACTCTGCAGTATATACTCAACAAAGTAATACAAGTTTTAAATGACTGACTTTTAAGATTTCTTGTTCTTATATCACTGTTCTGCTCAAAACACTTCAATGGCTTCAAATCTCAGAGTAAAACCCACAATCCTTACAATGGCCTGTCTCTGACCTACTCTCCTACCACTCCCAGCCTTGCTCACTGTGCTCTGGCCACCTCAGCCTTCTAAATGTTCTGCACACCAAGTGCATTCTTGCCCTAGGGCTTGTACTTGCTGCCTCTTCTGCATGGAAAGCTCTTTCTACAGACATGCCCATTTCCTTTTGCTCAGATATTAGCTTGTCACAAAGATCCCAACAACTCTGTCTAATACACTTCCCATTAGCTCTCTTTCCCTGTATACTGCTGTATTGTTCTTCATAGTACCTGATATATAGTTATTTTTTGTTTGTTTTTTCCTATCTCTTCCAACTAGAACAAAACTTTCCAAAGAAAGTTATCCAGTTTGTTCACTACTTTATCTCCAGTGCCTAAAGTAGTGCCAGACATATGAATGTGAGTAGATGAGCAAAAGTAACACATGTGGTGAAAATTGGCTAGAGATGCACAAAAGCCATTTCTTCTTTGTAGGACTATGGTTAATTTAACATTCACCAGCACCTTAAGTCTAGGTAGTAACCATGACAGGTTTTCACCAATGGGAGGGGTGTATTTTACCATTTAATTTTATTGAGACCATATTTTAAACATGATGAAGCTGTACAAAGGAGCCTGTGTCCTTAAGCTGCCATGTGGAAGACAGCTCACTGAACCCCATTGGCTGAGATGTGAGCAAGAAAAACACCTCAAGTTGTATTAAGTCACTAAGAATTGAGGATCACTTGTTATAGCAGTTAGCCTTTCCTAACCTTGAAAATCCTATTAAAGCTAAAAGTATTTAGATTAAAACTAATCTAATGTGAAAATACTGGGAAGCTCAGAAAGATTATGTATGTGATTTCTCTAAGGAAAGGCTGCCACATAAAATACAGAATGCTCAGTTAAAATTTAATTTTAGTTAAACAATGAATAATTTCTAGTATAATATTGCATGGGACATACATATACTAAAACAGTATTCATTGTTTATCTGAAATAAAAATATAATTGTGCATCCCATATTTTTATTTGCTAAATCTGACAACTTTAGTCTAATGAGATATGTAACACAATCAGAACTTGAGTCTAATTTCAATTACCAATCCAACTTTCTTCCCACTAGTCTACCCTAAAAATTGCCAATGCAAATGTGTCAGGAGGCAAAAACTCATAAATTTATATTTTCTATCTCTCATTTACAAAGAAACCTAACAACATTCAGAAACCTTGAGAAGCCATTCTTCTAGTTCTTTCTCCCCAGAGAGAGAACACAGGTTTGAATACAGGATATGGCCTACGGGTATATCTAATTTTGTGTTCCAGACAGCTCAGCTTCAGTATTAATATCCAACAACTTATAACCAGTAGAAGTAATTAAAACTACATAGTCCCGGTGATAATATGACAGGGTCAATTTAAAGGTTAGCTTTGAAATTTAAAAATGCCGTAAAAAATTTACTTGTTCTTGCTGCTCATTTCCCGCCAGAAATCACAAACCTCAATGAAGCTTTGGTAATCATCTCCCTGGCAACTAGTCACCACCTTCATCATGGAATGAGGACTGTGAAATTTCCGAGAAAAGCTCCAGAATTTAAATAGGCCTTGCTTTCAAACTAATAAAAAAAGATGGAAAAAAAATTGTAAAATGCAAACAAGTACATATGAATATAAACTGGAAACTGATTCAGCTTTCAAAATATTTTCTACTTTTACGAGGTCATAATGACAAGAACTAATGGATTGCTTCATGAAATTCAAGCATTCTAAGTTTTATTTTATAGCAGCCTGCACTCAACAATGACAATTTTAATTCATTAAAAGTAAAAGTATAAAAATATGACGCATAAATTTATAGTCAGATAAATAGAAATTTGAGACGACCAAAAAATTGTTGCTAGAAAATTCATTGCTTATTACATAACTTTTCACATATATATTTACAATGTAAATGTTGTAAATGTTTTTGCTTTCTGTTTTAAAGGATTTAAAAAGTATTGGGTTGTGCTTTAGGCCAGAGGTTGGCAAACTACAGTCCATGGGCGAAATCTTGTCTACCACATGTTTTTAAAAATAAAGTTCAATTGTGCCTTCTCTATGACTGCTTTTGCTCTTTAATGGTAGAGCTGGTAGTTGTAACAGAAACCACAGGATCCACAAAGTGTAAAATATTTACTATCTTGCTCTTTGGAAAAGAAGTTTGCCAAACTCTGCTTTAGAGTTTAAATTATTCTAATCTGCTGCAGGACACTGTCTTCTTTAGAGCACTTTACTTCAACATTAAGGCTTGAACGGGGAGTACATGTAAAAGATGTGACAAAATGCCCCCAAAAGTTGTTCTGAACCTAATAAAATTACAGAAATAAGATGACACAATCAAGTCCTATTATGAACTCTTGAGCTAAAATGGGAAAAGAACTTTTCTAACTGAAATTCTGAAAATGGAATCAATATGAAAGATGTGGGACCCATCAAGGGAGGCTGGATAGAGACAAGAGGGACAAATGGAGAAACAGAGCACTAAGAGTTGTAATGAAACTGGCTCTTCTGTGTATAGTTCATTCAGTGGAAAGTTCAGATGAGAGAGGCTGAGCCCTCCAACTGGGGGAAGGATCTACCCCATCAATGCTATGGGATGAACGATTGTTCTTGGCCCTACAATTAGCTGGTGGCAAGGCCAATTCCCCAATTGTCACATTTTCTCCACATCACCCACAGATGGGTAATATGCTTCATCAACAACTAAGAAACAGCCTTAATTAGATACCATTCTCTAAGGGGTAGCTGTGTATTTTTTTCTTATATTGGGCATAAAATTATTGACCCAAACTCTAATGGTGTCTATTTGTTTACAGAGTTTGAAGGAAGCCTTTTACTCAAGGACTAAAAGTAACAATAAGAAGGATGAAGTGAGACTAGCTAGATCTATCTGTACATAGTGTGAAGTTGGGTAGTCCTAGACCTTTAACTTAAATGTGCAATAGGTGCTATGTGGAAGAAGGACCTCACACATAATCTATAGATATCATTCTTGGTCATGACTACAACCCCCTCCTAAGGGCTGAAAATATCAAACCAGGATCTCCAGCCTAGTCCTTTCTCTCCAGTTCTAGATTCTTAGATCTTCCTTGTATTAGTTGAGCTTTTTGGGAAGCAGGCACCAAGATGGAGTTAGAAATAGGAGAATTAGGAGAAATAGTCAGAATTAGGAGAAATGCCATGAAATCCAAAGGGGGAAAGAAGCAGAATTAGGCAGAGAGCACCTTCAGTCCATAGGTCTGAGACCTGTGAAAGGGAGGGGGAAGAACACAGAGTTTTCGCTAGGAAAGGCCCCATACTGCAGCAAAGCTCTGAGAAAGTCCCAGCCAACCCAATGGGAAGCTCCAGTGCAAAGATTGCCTATAGAGGATTCCCACATTGGACAGATGTGGGCCTAGTACTCCCACAGGATCGGATACTCCTGCGGTCATTGACTGATATTGCTTAGAGAAACGGCCTAGCCTTGGCTCAAAAACCTCAGTGGATCCAGAACATACTGCAGGTTAAGAGACTATTAGGATGCCGCAAAACAGCACTCTTTCTTGGCTCTTTTTGATAATGACATTAATATGCTAGTGTCACTCATATGAAGTTGTCTTTATTTTATTTATTTATTTATTTTCAAGACAGAGTCTCACTCTGTTGCCCAGGCTGGAGTGCAGTGGTGCCATCAAAGCTCACTGCAGCCTTGAATTGCTGGGCTCAAGGGATCCTCTCCCCTCAGCCTCCTGAGCAGGTGGGATTACAGGCACACACCACTACTTTCAGCTAATTAAAAATAAAATAAAATAGAGATAGGGTATCGCTTTGTTGCCCAGGCTGGTCTCGATCTCCTGGCTTCAAACAATCCTCCTGCCTCAGCCTCCCAAGTCTTTATTTCTTCTTAACCAGAAGTACAAATAGTTTTGAAATGTACTGCTCTATGACTTAAATAGCTCTCACAAGTAGGGAATATTACATTTTAGGATGACACACCACTTTCCTTTCTCATCCCCTCACAAGTGGTAGGAGAAGAAGAATGAGATAGGATTCTGGGCTCCTTGGGAAAACATCATAGCCCATCACGGGAGATCTGCCTAATGTTCAATTTGTTATAGGTCTTCTGTGTTTGAGTCAGAGAGAAACAGAAAATGAAAACAAGAGTGAAAGCAACAGAGAGATTGCCCTGAAAGACCAATTCTTTCCCCCTTAGTCCTTCTTGTCAGTAGCACTGTTTAATGTCTAAATGCAGTTCCATTATAGCTGAGCTCTCTAGTAATTCTTCCAATATTTTAGCAATTAGAATGAAATTGTAATTTTTTTCTGTTTGTTTTGCATTTTTGTGTGTATGTGCTCATGCATAGATTCACTAGCGTTTTAATAAGAAGTAGGGAGATTTCATTAGAAAACTCAAACTATGCTTTTAAGCATTGTCTCATAAGCTTTGCCATTTTAAACACTTATTTTAATTAAATGAATCTATCTGAACTTCAGAAGTTCTCACCACCTTAGATAAATTATTTATCAGTGTAGCAGGTAGAAGAATAACCATATGTGATTTTTAATTAAAATATGGTTAGAGTTGGTCATTAGATGACTGACAGAGGCATTCTATCTTCTTCTCATACCATGTCTACACAAGACACAGTAACCTAGCTAAATATATATATATATTTATTTATATATTATATATATTTATTCATATATATTATATATATATTTTATATATATATATAAATCACATACATATATATTATAGACAAATGCCAAAAGTTTCTGGGTACAATGCAAAAAAATGTTTTAAAAGTTTAAAAAATTTAAGAAGAGTGTCAATAAGATTAGTATATAGACCAGTATGGGATGGCATAGATTGGTGCAGAACACAGAACAGCAGAACAAAATACAACAACAAAAAAAAGAAAATAAAGATCAGTACATTAAAAAAAATAGAAATTATAGTCGTTGACACCTTCTATTTACATGTCTTCTCCAAATTTGAGTTTTCAATTTGTAAAATTAAGATAAAACACCAGATTATGGTAAGGATTAAATAGAATATATAAAGTCTCTAAGTATTATTAGTAATAATGTGCAAAAAAGGTGGTGATTTCATGGTGACATCAAAAGAGGGAGAGGCTGATAAATAAAAACTTACATTTATCTGAACTTCCCAACAGGCACCTTCCACTATGTCCTCCTTTCTCCTCTTTACTTTAATCCTTATTTTTATGCAGACTGAGGATAGGGAATGCTCTCAACCAAATGGACTGTAACATATTGGTGCCGGCTTTATCCTGTAATTTTCCTGATCCTTGTTTAGCTTTTTATAGTTTTACCCTGCCTGAACTAATTTTCCTCCTATTTCCAAATGCTGCCTATGTATTAGTCAGCTATTGCTATGTAAAATCCACTCCAAAACTTAATCATTTAAAACATCAGTCCTTTATTATCACTCATATATGTGAAGATCAGCTATTGATTGGTTGATCCATTCTGGGCTTGGGTGCAAGCCGCAGTTTAGCCCCAGGTCCTTAGACCAGCAACATACCAAGGGCGCACATTTTTCACGGTAATTGCGAAGGCAGAAGAGAGCAAGATTAGCCATATAAACGTATTACAAACCTTTGCTTTCATGGAGTCTGCTAACATCTAAGTAGCCAAAGTACATTTTGTAAGTAAGAAATAGGAGGAACTGCAAATTACATTGCAAAAAGCATGGACGCTGCATGGGTTTTGGAGGGGAGAAGAAATTGAGCCATGAATTTAATCTATCAATCTACCAAAATCTGTTTGCTGATGAGATCAGCAGATATATTTCTTGCCGACTCTCTCCTCCAAAACCTCTTGTAATTACATACGTTCACACTTGCTCATCTATCGCTCCAACTCTCCTATTGAGGATATAATTTGTGATGAATAATCTACCTTTTCGTTGCAAGACAGCTATTTTCACTTAACTCTCCTAATTGGATGGGGGAACAACTCTCCAATTATGAAGGAATAATTTATCAACTCAGTAACAATAAGCTAGCAAAAATAAAGTGGTAGATTTAATTTATTTTGCTTTATTTTTCAAGTCAGAACCTACAAACCTGATAAAGTTTTCTATGTATTCCTCTTTTATCAAAGCTTTGGGAATTCAAAAGGCACATCACATGCCTGTCTCACACAGATACATTTCTTCATTATGAAGTCTTTAGGACTGATGTATTAGTGAAGGTTACTGTGAAAAACATTTTACATTTTTAAATGGAGTCATTCACGTAGGCTGTTCTAGGTATTCGTGAAAATGCCGTGCTGCATGTGGAAATTGAGCAGCAAAAGAGGGATAGAAAACGTAAAAATAATGAAAGGAAGGAATGGGAAGGGAAGGGAAGGGAAGGGAAGGGAAAGGAAAGGAAAGGAAAGGAAGACTTCATTTAGCTTGAGTGAAAATGCTAATTGTTACATGCCTTCCCAGCAGTCTCAGTCTTACAACTGCGATTTATTGTGGGACCCCTGCTAGCTTGGCCAGGTGCCAAATGACTGCAAAATTATGTAGTTATCTTATCAATTTATTTCTACCTTCTGCAGTCCCTCTTCATCAGCAGCCACACTGCACTGATTCTCATTTGGAATCAAACTAAAAGCAATCATTTGTCTATTGGGTTTGACCAAATTTTTGCTTCTTCCTGAGCTGGGAGCTCCATGGTCTAAATTGAAAGCATTCTGTCTGCCCAGCCAGAAGGCACAGCATGGCCGAGCAGCCTCCACATAGAACAAAGAGTAGGAAGCCACTTGGGTGACCACGGCAAAGTGAACCTGAACGCTAAGCAGCCAGGCTAGATGATTCGTCTGCCTGCTGTCAAGGCAAATGAGCTTTTTGTTGTTGTTTTAAATTACCCATGCCTTTCACTGTCTCTCTATAAGCACAATATTCCATGATTTTATTAGCCTTGCAGGTGAAATTCAATGAATTTCACTCTCTGTCGTTGAATGGCCCTTGAAAATACTGCCGTTCAAGTGAATATTAGGTAAGGGAGTCACTGAATGCTAACATGAGGTGTCTTTGAGATTGAAACAGAATTAATTATTGAAGTTTTTTTTTATTTTTATTTATTTTTTATTTTTTATTAAAGTTTGAGGGTACATGTGCACATTGTGCAGGTTAGTTACATATGTATACATGTGACATGCTGGTGCGCTGCACCCACCAACTCGTCATCTAGCATTAGGTATATCTCCCAATGCTATCCCTCCCCCCTCCCCCCACCCCACAACAGTCCCCAGAGTGTGATATTCCCCTTCCTGTGTCCATGTGATCTCATTGTTCAATTCTCACCTATGAGTGAGAATATGCGGTGTTTGGTTTTTTGTCCTTACGATAGTTTACTGACAATGATGATTTCCAATTTCATCCATGTCCCTACAAAGGACATGAACTCATCCTTTTTTATGGCTGCATAGTATTCCACGGTGTATATGTGCCACATTTTCTTAATCCAGTCTATCATTGTTGGACATTTGGGTTGGTTCCAAGTCTTTGCTATTGTGAATAATGCCTCAATAAACATACGTGTGCATGTGTCTTTATAGCAGCATGATTTATAGTCCTTTGGGTATACACCCAGTAATGGAATGGCTGGGTCAAATGGTACTTCCAGTTCTAGATCCCTGAGGAATCGCCACACTGACTTCCACAATGGTTGAACTAGTTTACCGTCCCACCAACAGTGTAAAAGTGTTCCTATTTCTCCACATCCTCTCCAGCACCTGTTGTTTCCTGACTTTTTAATGATTGCCATTCTAACTGGTGTGAGATGGTATCTCATTGTGGTTTTGATTTGCATTTCTCTGATGGCCAGTGATGATGAGCATTTTTTCATGTGTTTTTTGGCTGCATAAATGTCTTCTTTTGAGTAGTGTCTGTTCATGTCCTTCGCCCACTTTTTGATGGGGTTGTTTGTTTTTTTCTTGTAAATTTGTTTGAGTTCATTGTAGATTCTGGATATTAGCCCTTTGTCAGATGAGTAGGTTGTGAAATTTTCTCCCATTTTGTAGGTTGCCTGTTCACTCTGATGGTAGTTTCTTTTGCTGTGCAGAAGCTCTTTAGTTTAATTAGATCCCATTTGTCAATTTTGTCTTTTGTTGCCATTGCTTTTGGTGTTTTAGACATGAAGTCCTTGCCCATGCCTATGTCCTGAATGGTAAAGCCTAGGTTTTCTTCTAGGGTTTTTAATTATCGAAGTTTTTTTAACCACCCCTGTTTTCAGAACTTTTATACCACTGAAACTGTCTAACTATATATTAAGGGTAAATAAGCTTAAATCCCCTTAGTTCTTCACTGATTCATTCAGAAACACTCTCCTCAGTGTGGTGGAAGGTGAAATGAAGCAGATACTATGACCCTTGTCTCTGGGAGTTCATATTCGCCTAGGGGAGGTTAAATACACACATATAAAAACAGAACCAATATTACAGAGTCTGTCCATGGTGACAATGAATGAATAATTTGGAAAATTAAGTTTTAGAGGGGTTGGATGATGTCAGTGTTTTCACATACTTTTATGCTGTGCAGTTTTTCAAATGTAACTATGTGGGAAAGCACTAGATACAAAATAGATTAAAGTGACTCTTTTTGAAATGTCTTCAGCCTTGTCCCTCAAAGTTTGAATGACTGAAGCCTTCCAACTTCTGGCTCCAGTCCCACCTTGTTAAGCTATGTTAGTTAGTTATCTGCAAGTGTCATCACTAACTAATGCGCTCCGAGAGGGCAAGTGTCTTCATTGATCCTGCACTCCTACAGCAAGGATAGAACAAATGCAAGGCAAGTGCATGCCAACACCCCTCCCTCATCAGAAGCAGGCATTTCTTATTGATCACAGAATGCTTTTATTCTGATCCTAGATTTGGCTTGAACACACTCACTCTTGTGCTCAAAGCGGCCACCACTAATTTACTATGTTGGCAAAGGAGAAGAAATGGACTTGCCTTTTCTGCCCTATCATTTACCACAGTGCTATCAAATGTTTTTAATGAAGTTTAAAATGATTTTTATAAATCAACACAGACAATACAGATAATACAGACAATAGGTCTGTAATAGGACATTCTTGCACTGCTATAAAGAAATACCTGAGACTGGGTAATTTATAGGAAAAGAGGTTTAACTGGCTCACAATTCTGTAGGCTTTATAGGAAACACATTAGCATTTGCTTCTGGGGAGTCTTCAGGAAGCTTTTACTCATGGCAGAAGGCAAAGGGGGAGCAGGTATCTCACATGGTGAAAGCAGGAGTGAGAGAGAATGGAGGGGGAGGTGCCACACACTTTTAAATGACCAGATCGTATGAAAAATCACTCACTATCATTAAGACAGTACCAAGCTATGAGGAATCCACCCCCATGATCTAAACACCTCCCATCAGGCCTCACCTCTAGCATTGGAGATTACACTTCAACATGAGATTTGAACAGAGACAAATATCCAAACTATATCAAGGTCTTATTTTCCTAGAATGGTAAGAAAAATATAGCCACAAATTTACAAGAGATCTAATGTGGTAAGATGTGAGCACAAAAACATTTCTGTGTCTTGACACTTTTCTCTATTCCTAAAATCTTCCATATCCTTCTAATCATTTCCTCTAACCCTGGGAATCTGCACATGAGGATTGCACATAAATTCTTGTTCACATAAATGTTTACAGCAGTCACTGTGAGGCTGGTTTGCACAGATGCAATATGTACACAACATTGGTTTTCACCCTCAAATACAAAATGCTGTCAAAATAACAAAGAAATTGATTTTGATTTACTATTGCATAGCAAATAACACTTGGACATTCACATGGAGCTTTAGTTTGTAAAAGGTAAGCTAAGAACTCAGACCTAATCAACACTCACCTACGGAGCAGGAATTTGGCAAGTTATTACTCAGTGAGTGAAAAAAAGGATCAATTTTACCACGTTCCTATTATTTGTTCCTTCTCTTCAAAGAACTTATAATCAAATATGGAATACAAATGATTAAATAGCTAGTGTCCATAAAACAGTTTTCCACCTCTTTTCCTTTCACTCATGCTACTTTCTTGGTCTTTGTTGCCCTTTTTCATCTCTGTTACCCATCTGGCATAATTCTTCTCATTCTTTGAAGGCTAACTCAATGTTATCTTTTGTATTGAGTCTTTCAAACCTGTGTCAACTAGCAGAATTTAATGTCATTTCATTTCTGCTTCCTTAGTACTATATTCTTAGTTCAATTATTTCAGAGGGTACCTTTAATTATGGCTAATAATTTATGCTTCTTTCCCCCAATTTTATCCTTCAGGGTGAGAATTATATTTTCTTCATTTTTTTTTTTAATTCTAGAATTGAGAGTAGGTATGTATTATGTCATAGTCTGGGTTTCCCAGAAACCAAAGACTATGGTAAAAGCTTGTATGCATTTTTATTAGCGAGTAAAATTTCTGGGAACAGAAGGAAAAGGGATAGCTGGATGTGGATGTGGAAAAGGAAAAAAGAATTTGCTATGGATTGCACTACTGTCAGCTACTAAATGTGAATGACTGTTTAATCTCACAAGATAGTCTCTTTAAAGATCATCTAGCCAACACTTTTTAGAGCAGTCTATACTTGAGGAAAAGGATAGAAAAGTTTATTCACCAATTTCTGTCGTCTATTGGTGAGTTTTGCCCCATATAGCCTGAAGCGGCTCATACTTCTGTATTGTACATGTACGGGCGCAAATGAATTGTTGCAGTCTTTATTGCCTCACTATCCAGAGGGAAGATCCAGTGCAGGAGGAGAAAGGGGCTGACATGGGCATCAATAGAGTGCTGGCAGTTTATACTTGCTGGAGTGTGTATGAGTCCACACAGAGTTAGTTTACACAACAGTGATGACTGGATCAAAGGACAAGTGAGGCTGAGAGGATCTGAAATGCCTCAGAAGAGATGCCTGATTCACAGCATGTATGTAATAATTTTTACAATTGATTTGACTACAAGGTAGTATATAGTGATACATAAAATTGAGGCATACATAATGTCTTGTGGGATCAATTAGCACTGCCAGGGAATAAAGAAAGTGTTTTGAAGGAGGAAGAAAGTGTTTTGAAGGAGGCACATAATTTCCATAGGTAAAAGGGGCTCATGGGCAAGGCATTCAAGGCAGAAGAAATGAATTTAAAAAGAGAATGTGAAAAGCACATGGAGAGTTCAGGAAATGGAAGAAAGCTCCACTGAACTCAGAGCATGGACTGATTATTAAAGAAATAATGAGGTTGGAAAGTTAATAAAAGTCCTTGAATTAATTCAGTCAATAAATATTTTACTGAACACCTACTATGTTCCAGGCACTGGAAAAATAGTAATGGACAAATCCCATGCTAAACTGTTTGGACTCTCTTCAGGATATAGTAAAGAGCTAGAGAAGGATTTCCTTTCAAGGTAGGTAACTAAAGCCTGCACACTATAGGGCACAAAGCAAATAAATGGCAAATCTCCTTTCTGTGTGTCAGTTGAAGGACTAGTTAATCACATTATACAGGAAATGTTATGCAGGAAAAAAATTTATTTTCACGTTGGGAAGTGACTTTCTCTGCCAGGGAGCATACATAGACCTTCCAACCTCTACTGCTTGGCAGAAAGTGCTCTTTACTGCAGATAATGGAGGCACAAGACAGGTAACTCAACTTAGCAAGTAAGATGCACAAGTACTAAGCAGACAGTGCTTGAAATAAGGGCAAACATTTAAAGAGCATCACATGCCTTTTGCAAAGGGAATTGGAGAGGCAACACTCAATATAAGACCATTGATAAATAAAAAGTATGCATTTTAAGCAAACTTTTAGCAGGTGCAAATGCAGTCCATAAGGTTGCTCATAAATTCAAAAATGATCTTTAAACCAAGATCTATGAATTCTAGACCAGGTAGAATTAGATGAAAATAATGCAGGATACATTTGAAAAGCAGCACATGAAGAAAGGTGCTGTGTTGAATCAGAAGAGAGACTGCCTTTACTTTTACTGTAATTAGCAAGAAGTAAGTAGACCATATTACACTTAACATTACTGGATTCCCAAATGATTGCCTGCAGTTGGGCTCAGGTTAATGCAAAATTGAATATACTACTTTGAACCATATGAAATTGTTTTTTATAAATAAATAATGTTCACACATCAGAAACTGCATGATTCAAAAATATGTAGTTCTCAGTTTTCAAATGGTGGAGTAAGAACCTCTGAAAATCAGCTTCTTTATAAAAGAAATGAGAAACTGAAAATTAACTAAAAGCTTGCAAATATTGCAAGGGATTTTTCCCTTGGAATGTCATTTTCCTGAATAAACTATGAGTTTATGGTATTTTACCTTGCCCTGATCTGATCACTCTTTCCACAGCTCCCTGGTGGACTTTTAAAAAGCATCCTCAAAACTACAGTAGCTGTGAAAACCAATCACTTATCATCCACTGGATAGACAAGTTTAGAGTGCCTCAAAAAGCTTCATTGCTAGAGAACTGTCACTATTTCATCTGCCTAGCAGCTCATTGAAAAATCCCAGTTCTCAGGGTTTGTCTTTATTTGACCTGACTCAGAACTTGCTCTATGCCAACAGTGCTATCCATGAGGCATTTTTCAAAAATAATCAATGACAATTTGTTTAATATCAAAGCTGCCTGAGGAGGCATAGTCTCGGGAATATATTAAAGCTAACAAATGAATGAGAAAAAAAAGAAAAGAAGAAAAAATTAGAAATGAACCCTCTATAATGACCTTTGAAAAGCTGTGACACATTTCTGGGAATCTAAAAGGCATGCCCATAAACAGGGCCATATAATTGAAAGACATGAGAAGATTCAAATCTCTCACTTTGGCTGAACTTGAGGCTCTGAACAAGCACAGAATAAAGGCCTAAGTAAAGTTGTAAACAGCCTTCCTGAGCATTGAAGCATTCCCCAATACATATCCTCAAATCACTTGACAAAGGTTAGGAGACATTTGTTCAAAGCATTTAACTAAATGTTGGTCCAATTATTAATCAGCCAACTAAAAAGCTAACTGAGCAGTTACTTCAGTGGCCACACACTACAAAAAATACAGACATCACAGCATTAGTCCAGAGAAAGAATATTAAACAAATATCAACAACTACAACAATAAAAAACAACAAACCCTGGGGAGGGGAACATCTTCTTTTTAGAGTTGCCACATTACACTACTTAAAATATCCCTTATTCAACAACAACAAAAAAATCACAAGACATGCAAAGAAACATGAAACCATGGCCCATACACAGGAAAAGAAGTAATTAATAGAAACCATCCTCGAGAAAGCCCAGACATTTTTAAACCTAAAAATTATGTTTAAAGAACTAAAGAAAGTGTCTAAAGAACTGAAAGGATGTATAAAAACATTTTACCAAATGGAAAATATTCGTAAAGATTTAAGAATCATAAAATAGAACCAAATAAAAATTCTGAAGCTAAATAGTAAAACAACTGAAATAAAAAAACTCACTAGATGAGATTAGTGATTCACTGGCAGAGTTTGAAGTGGTGAAATAAAAAATCAGTCTAGGAAAAAGGAAGAAAAAAATAATAAGAAAAAATTCACAGAGCCTATGAGACCCTGGGACACGATTAAAGCAGCTTATGCATAATAGAAATTGCAGAAGGAAAGGAAAAAGAGAAAGAAGTAAAAGACCTCTACAATGAAAAGCATTAAACACTGATGAAATAAACTGAAGAGGCCACAAGAAATGAAAAGATATTCCATGTTCCTGGATTGGAAGAATCAATATTGTTAAAATGTTCATACTACCCAGTAATCTACAAATTCAATGCAATCCCTATCAAAATACCAATGACATCCTTCACGGAAATAGAAAAAAAAATCCTACAATGTATAGGGAACCACTAAAGCACAGAATAGCCAAAGCTCTCTTAAGTTAAAAAAAAAAAAGAAAGAAAAGAAGAGAAAAACAACTGGAGGAATTATATTACCTGAGTTCAAATTATACTACAGAGCTATAATAAGCCAAACAGCATGATACTTGCATAAAAACAGAACCATAGACCAATGAAGCAAAATAGAGAACCCAGAAGCAAATCCACACACCTACAGTGAACTCATTTTTAACAAAGACAACAAGAACATACACTGAGGAAAAGATATTTTCTTCAACAATTGGTGCTGGGAAAACTGAATATTCATATTCAGAAGAATAAAACTAGACCCCTATCTCTCACCGTATACAAAAATCCAATCAAAATGAATTAAGGATTTAAATTTAAGTCCTCAAATTATGAAACTACTAAAAGAAAACATTGGGGAATCTTCCCAGGACACTGGAATGGGCAAATATTTTTTGAGTAATATCTCACAAGCACAGGCAAACAGAGCAAAAATAGACAAATAGGATCACATCAAATTAAAAGCCTCTGTACAGCAAAGGAAACAATCAACAAAGTGAAGAAATAACCCACAGAATGGGAGAAAATGTTTTCAAACTACCCATCTGACAAGAGATTAATAATCTGAATACATAAGATGCTCAAAAAAACTATAGGAAAAAAAATCTAATAATTCAATTAAGAACTAGGCAAAAGATATGAGTAAATATTTTTCAAAAGAAGGCGTACAAATGGCAAACAGGTATATGAAATGGTGCTCAACATCACTGACCATGAAAGAAATGCAGATGAAAACTACAATAAAATATCATCTCATCCCAGTTAAAAATGGCTTTTTTTCAAAAGACAGGCAATAACAAATACTAGTGAGGATGTAGAGAAAAGGGAACCTTGTCCACTGTTGGTGGGAATGTAAATTAGTACAACCACTTTGGAGAAGAGTTTGTAGGTTTCTCAAAAAACTAAGAGTACAGTCACCATATGATCTAGTAATCCCACTGCTAGGTATATACCCAAAAGAAAATAAATCAGTATATCCAAGAGATATCAGCACTCTCGTGTTTATTGTAGCACTGTTCACAATAGCCAAGATTTTGAAGCAACCTAAGTATTCATCAGCAGATGAATGGATAAAGAATATATGATACATGCACATAATGGAGTACTATTCAGCCATAAAAAGAATGAAATTCTGTCATATGCAATGACACAGATGGAAATGGAGGTCATTAGGTTAAGTGAAATCAACCGGACAGAGAAAGACAGACATTGCATGTTCCCACTTATTTGTGGGATCTAAAAATTAAAACAATTGAATTCATGGACATAGAGCATAGAAGAATTGTTACCAGGGACTGGGAAGGGGTGGAGATGGGGATGGTTAATGGGTACAAAACAATAGTTAGAAAGAATGAATAAAATCTCTTATTTGATAGCACAACAGCGGGACTATAGTAAAAAGGATTTAATTATATATTTTAAAATAACTAAAAAGGTATAATTGGATTGTTTGTAACACAAAGGATTAATGCTTAAGGAAATCACTACCTAATTTTCTGTGATATGTGGTTATTACTCACTGCATGCCTGTACCAAAATATCTCATGTACCCCATAATTATGTACTATGTACTCACAAAAATTAAAAAGAAAAAATTTTAAAGAAAAATACCAAATACGTAAGTAATATAAATTAGTATTACATTAGCATTGTTCATGTAATAGTTGCTGCTGTGTTGTTGAGCTAAATTGCTCCCCTTCCTACATGGGCAGAATACCATCTTATAAAGTGCAGAGTTTTTTATATGAGCATGCCCACATTATGTTGCATGCACGTTGTATCTTGAAAAGTCCAGTTCTTCCATCTAGTTGTCTATGTTAACTGCTCGGAAACAGCGGCTCTCAATCCTTACTGCGCGTTAGAGTCATTTGTGGAGTTTTAAAATATATTCTTGCTTGGGTCCTTCTTCCAGGGATGGCCATGGGTGGGACTGTGTGGCACTGGTATGTTGTAAAAGCTCCCTGGTGACTCTAATATGTAATCAGGGTAGAGATTCTATTCTACGACATCTTTGTTCTTAAACCCCATGAAGCTCTTTTGTCTTTATTTGGCCTTTATTTGGCCCAAACTCATCATTGCCTTTGTTCTTTAGTTCTCAGCTAAGGAATATTAAGGTCATATCTTTTGGCTCCTATGCTATTAAAAGCATAAAATCAAATGTGGGCACTAAAATCAAGTGTCTATATTCAGTTCAAGGTGGTCAGTCATATTCAAATTATAATTTTATAAAATTTTTTTTGATTATAATGAAAATGAAAATATAATATTAAAATAAAAATTCAATGGAAATTTTAGGGCCAGACTGTAAGTATTTTAAACTTTTCCTGCTATATACTCTCTACTTCAACTATTCAACCCCACCACTGCAGTGCAAAAGCAGCCATAGGTAACATGTTAAAATGAATGGGCATAGCTATATTCCAATTAAGTTTTATTAACAAAAGCAGGCCATGTTTCATACAATCCTGACCTAGGTTATTCCCTTAACTGCTGTGTAGTATTCCACTGTATAAATATAGCACAGTTTATTTATTCGTTCTCACAGTGGGAGAAATTTAAGTTGGTTCCAACTTAACATTAGCGGAAACAATGCTGCAATGACCATCCTTTCCTGTCTCCTGTGTGCATCTGCCAGAATTTCTAAAATGTGTACACATGCTAATAGCTAAATTTTATTAGGTATTATTAACAGCGTTTGGCTATGATTAACATTTATACTGAGCTTATTTTATTCCAAGCATTATACTAAGTCCTCTGTGAACTCTTTTAATACTCATGACAGAGAGTATTCTAGAGAAAAGAGGCTGAGACTGAGTCTCAGAGAGGCTAATTTGCCTAGGAACACAGATCTATTAGGTGACAGACTCAAGACTCAAACTAAGACATCATTTCTCCTGAGTTCATGTTCCTAGTCCTTACAATCTACTCTTTGGAGCAGAGAAATTTCTGGTAAATAATTAGATGTATCTTTAAAATTATTGGATAGTATCCCCTTTATCTTCCAGTGTAGTTGTTATAGTTTACACTTCTACTAGAGTTGTTTGAAAGTTCTCATTTCTCCACATCCTTGCCAATACTTGGTATTTGTCAGCTATTTTGATTTTTACTAGTATAATAAGAGTTAAATGTATTACAATTTATTAAAAATTATATAGTGCTAATTTCTAGTAAAATTGAACATTTTTCTTATGTTTATTAGCAAATAACTCTGAGATTGCTTATTTATGTCCTCTGCCTGCTTTTCTTGGACTCTTACTGGTTTATAGGGATTTTTTGTATATTTCAGATACCAAAATTGTATTATATGTTGCAAGTGTCTTGACCAAACTATTGCTTGTCATTAAAGTTTTCATAATATACTTCAGTTTTTATAATATAATATACTTTTTATAATATACTTCGAAGTTTTTATAATATACTTTTTATAATCTAATATCCTATTTAATTTGTCCATGGATTTTCTTAAATATTTTAATGACCTTATTTACTTCTAAAAACTCTATTGGATTCTTTTATTTTTCAAATAACCTATTCATTTTTCTTATTGTTCAATCATTTCTTTATTTTTACATACCTTCTTTTAATCTCTTTTTGCATTTTGGACATTTATTTTATACCTCTTTCTGATAATTTAAACATTTTTATCATTTACATATGGTTTACTTACATAGTTTAAATATATATGTACAAATACATAGCGTGTATACTATATTGAATATACATTATTATATGTGTGTGTGTGTGTATATATATATACTATATGAATACAGAATCTCTTCTAAAATTTACAGATAACAAATAATGTCATGGACTAGAGCAAGAGTATATCTACTCTGCCCACTACCAAGATGTAGGCTTAGAAATTGTGTGTAGTGGGTCACACTAGATGTTTTCAAAAATGGATTTAAGAAAGGATTTTTAGACTCAAGCTTCTTAGTAAACAAAAACCTTATTAATTTCAGAAAAGAACTCCATGAATCCTGGTTGCATGCTTCAGATCAACGGGGAAGAAAAAAGTAAAAATTACTTCAGAACAGTCTACTTTTATAATATCTTCAATGAAACAAAAGTTATATAGCCTTGAACTTTTAAAATTTTATTTGAACACATGTTATGAGGACAAGGTGGTAGCAGCTTGCTTCTTCTATCTGCTTTTGATCCATTTCTGGCATCTGTCATGAATATAACTCTCAGTCACAACTGATTGAAGCATTAGTATTATGGAGTGAGTTCATAGATCACAAACAATAAAAAGCTATTTCTAATGGTGCTTGGTGATAATTTTGTTAAGAGATATTCAAAGGTTGCTATTAAGACTTGTTTATTTTAAATTGTGAAATAAATGAGCACATTTCCCAGAAGTCTTTAAATATTAACAATGAGAATGCTTTGGTGGTTTTAAATTATCTTCTGCTTGACAGTGCCAAAGCTACTTCCTGAACATCACATCAGATAATTCCTGACCCCAGGGTTCACCCGTTTATACTAAAATTATCAAGTCTTACAACTTAAAGAAACATGAATAAATGTTAAATTCAGCGCACTTACTCTAAAGAATTCCTTCCTAAAATGGGAATATTTCCAGTCAATTATGTGTAGCTAAAATGAGTAGTGGCTGTTAGAGAAAGACCTTTCAAATATTTTTCTTTCTGATATCTTGATTCATTCATCAAATATTTATTGCATGCATACCACATGCCAAGCTCTATATTTGTTTGTTTATTTTGCCTTATTTATCTAAAATTAATCAACTGAGAAGGTGAAATGTTTGTCCCACCATCAGCTTGCTTTACCTTTTTCATGAGGCTGTTATTGTACTGCTTGTTTATGATAATTTTAATTTTAGTCTGTTTTTGTTGTTCAACCAAGACCATTAATTGGTTTGGAATACAAAATCAAAATGAAAATGAGATTTTAAAAATTCTAAGTAAATAAATGTGAAACATAAATAACTACAAACACACCCTTTCTGTAAATATTCCTATAACATCAGGCAATGTTTGGAAAACAGATCTGATGAAGAAAATGAAGGATTTACAGATTATCCATCTGCCTCAGCCCAACCTTTTAATGGTTCAGAACAAAGAAACCCCCAAAGGGGTTGGGAGTGGGGCTTGGGCACTTAATAGCCTACTGGGGTGGAAGAACATCAGCCTCCTTGCACCTTCCTTCATCATGTACTTGAGGAAGGATTGTATGGAGCCAGCTCATGGAGCCCTCACCCACCTTCCAGCAAGACCAAGTTAAAACACATCCCATAATTTCCTACATTAGCCTCTTAGAACAAACGTTCTTAACCTGGGGCCCTTGGACTGAATTCAGCAGTGTTTAACTTGGTTGGAAAGAAAATGACATCTAATTTTTACTAATCTCAAACTCATACTTAGTACACCTTTTAATTATGAATGCAGCAACAAGGCACAGTAGTATTGACAGAATATGACTTTGTCATAGATATTTTTATATAACATTATAGTTGTTGCAGGCATTTCCAAATATAGTTGACACCTATCATTACTTCAGAATTATAGGAGCATTAGCCTTGCTTCTAGAGATTGTCATTCAATGCCTGAATAAAAAAGCACATATACAACTATATCTCACATTTCCTTTTCTTACTTACCATTTTGTTACCTGCATCTAAGTATAACTGGTTGCCTTTATCATATGTAAAATATAATAATGATGATGATGATACTAAGAGCTTCGAGTTTAGAAGGAGACAAAAACCAAAAACATATGATTAAAAAAAAGTCTAAAAGAAAAAGACCACTTGAGTTTTTGCCCCAAAAGCCCTCCATGTGCCCCTCAAATGGACTTGCACAGGAATCACCTGGAATATCTTGTTAAAATGCCTAGTTTGAGTCAGCAGGCCTGGGGTGACAGACACTAATTAGCATTGCTAAGCTCCCAGGTGAAACTGATCTGCTGGTCCATGGATGATACTAAGCAGTAGTGGTAAGAGTGTAAGTCTTACAATTTATGGCCTCATCTTTCAGAATGTTTCTTTTTGTTTTTTCCTTTCTCCCACCTAGTACTGAGTTACACATAGTATTTGTAAAAGCTGACACAAGTTGATATGGTTTAGCTGTGTCCCCATCCAAATCTCATCTTGAATTGTAGTTCCCATAATCCCCATGTGTCATGGGAGGGACCGAGTGGTGGGTAATTTAATCAGCAGGCGTTTACCCTTATGCTGTGCTTGTGATGATGAGTGAGTTCTCAGAAGGTCTGATGGTTTTATATGGGGCTTTTCCCCTCTTGCACTTTCTTCTCTCTCCTGCCACGATGTGATGAAGGACATATTTGCTTCCCCTTCCACCTTGATTGTGTTTCCTGAGGCCTCCGCAGCCTTGCAGAATGGTAAGTTAATTAAACCTCTTTCCATTATAAATTACTCAGGCTCGGTTATGTCCTTACAGCAGTGTGCAAACGGACTAAACCACAAGTTTACGTCACAAATTTTTGAAATGGTGTTTTCTGGCTGGCTGGCCAGATTACAAGCATTGTGTCATGAACAGAACAGCAAATATCTCTAAGAAGCTTGAAAGCAAAATGATGCACCACTAGTCCAAATAATTAACATGAGTGTTGATAGCACCCTCTTTTAATCAAGTTGGTCTGATGGGTTTTCCTGGTGCAAGATTTCAACAAGAATACAAGGCTGGTGGTATTCAGTGGAGGGGTTTTAAAATCAAACCTAATAACCAGAATCCCTGCCCCCTTCGGAAACAAAGAATCACAATAGAGGCTTTTAAAAAGCTCTGTGCATTATTCCCAGCTTAGCTAAGTATGGGCTTGATTAGTTGAATGGCCTTTATTTTCCCGCATTTCCTATCATTGGAAACATCTGTGGAGAGGAAAGATGGTTATCAAGGCAATTGACCATTGTCACAGTTTAGTAGTCCCTGATGGCTTTTTCCAAACCCTTCTCTAGGGCTTTTGTTTCCCAAAGCAAATTGGTAAACATCTGGTCTATCCAAGCCAAACTCTCATGCTGCATTTACAATCATGCCACTTTCACTTTCAGCATCTGCTGGTCACTAATTCATGCAGTAATCCTTTAAAGACAGGGCCCCAGGGCTTCTCTTTTGGCCAGTTCTGGACATTTCATTTCTCTGGTGGCTCATGTAAGTTTTGCTCAACTTGCTCAATAGCTCAGTCTCCTAAGTCAAATAAATTTCTCCCAACCACAAAATGTAAGATACTTCAGAACCAAAAACCAGAGGGAATTAAACCAGAAATTTAAGGATGGCCTGGGCAAGAGTGACTGTTTTCAAGAATTAAAACAGTTCTGTTGAGTTACCCACAACACCTGCTCCTCTGACCCAGTTACCAGATCCTTAGTAACTCAAATCCCTGTTACCACAGCCTCGGTCCAAGTGTCATAGTCTGCCACCCTCCACCTGGGCCCCAGGCCCTCTATGTTATATTTTCTGATTTTTCCAGCACCCTGCTATAATTTTCCATGGTCTTCCACAGACTGCAGTTAAAGATTCTTCATTACTGGAGCATCTCCTTCCATTTGTACTCTGGCCTTTCACATTGTTTCTTCTCTTCTCCAAATCCAGTCAACCCAAACTGCTCATAGGTCCCCAAAACCCCATATTATCATTTATCCATGTGCCCAGCTCTTCCCTTTGCCTGGAATGTGCCATCTCCTTATCTACCTAAAAAAAGTAAAAGAAAAAATCTGAATCTCTGAGTTAAGGAGTTTTTGGTGAAAACCTTTTGTTCACTTTGCAAAGGAAGATTGTTTTTCACTCATGTCTAGATCTTGTTCATGGTATCACTGTGACTCTTATCACAGTGCTGCACAGTTTATTTCATTGATAGGATATTCAGCTACACTTTGAGCCATTAGAACATCCAGGTTGGTTTTATTCCTCTTATTCCCAGATGCTAGCACAGTGCCTGGCACGTTGGAGGCACTTCGTCAATGTCCATTAAATGGTTGATGGATTATTTAGTTGATTTATGTTTTTCTCTCTTTTTTTGTTCTTTAGCTAAGTGAAGAAAGAAATCACTCATAGGGTAGAATACAACCATGTTGGCATGTCCACAGCTATGTGAAATAAAGATTTGGGTCATTGTTAGCATCATGAGGAGAAGCAGGGACATTTATAAAGGAACATCTGAGCAGTGATCTTTTATTTTCTGTCTGACATTGCTAGATAGAAAAATTTCACTTGACCTTCAAGTATTATTTATTCGCCTCAAAGACAGCTGGGCTCCGTGTGTGTAGGCAGGCATGTAGAATTTTGGAGAAGGGAATATGATTAGATTATTGTTACTTGGATGATTTGCTTATTATGTTTCTCTGTAGTCACAGTTAAGAGTTTCATACGTGAGAGATGGACTTGCTTGAGTCAAAGAAACCATTTGCTTTCTGATCTCTTTAAACAGTAAAGGAATCACCTGTTCTTGTTTAGTCTCTGTGATCATTTATTATTTTTTATTATTTCAGCAACTAAAGCTATTCCTTAGTGCTTAAAAAATATTGACAAAATATAAAATTCTTCCTTGATTATGCCTTTTCTCTCTGCCTTTTCAAATTTGACTGGCTTTTGGTTGAGATATTCTTCTCAGATGAATAAGTTGAAATGGGAAGGTGTTTGTGTGAGTGCAGCACTGTTGGTCTAAACAAAAATGATATATCAAAAGATCTATGAGAGTAAGTCTTTTATTGAAAATGTGAATTTTTACAAAATGGTAAAACTTACATTTTAATGGGGCTAGGTTCATGTTTTTGTTTTTGTTTTTTAACTGAATAGTTGGTACATCTGGAATTAGCTTCAGTTCCCTTGGCTGACTTAAGTTATAGTAACATTGGACAATTGCATAGTCTCTCTGAGGTTTGGTATTTCCAGTTTTAAACATGGTTAACAATGCTAGTCCTTTCTCTTATTCATAGAAATTAATCAAGGAATAAGATGTTGATCTAAAACATTTTATAAGATTTATTAATTATTAGGCCCGGTGCAGTGGCTCATGCCTGTAATCCCAGCATTTTGGGCAGCCAAGGCGGGCGGATCACAAGGTCAAGAGTTCGAGACCAGCCTGGCCAATATGATGAAACCCTGTCTCTACCAAAAATACAAAAATTAGCCGGGAATGGTGGCGGGTGCCTGTAGTCCCAGCTACTCAGGAGGCTGAAGCAGGAGAATTGCTTGAACCTGGGAGGCGAAGGTTGCAGTGAGCCGAGATCACGCCATTGCACTCTAGTCTGGGTGACAGAGCGAGACTCCATCTCAAAAACAAAACAAAACAAAACAAAGATTTATGAATTATTTAATATATAAATACAAAAAAATACCTTAGCTGCTAGAACCTATGTTCCAATAATATGACAGTGAGATACCATTTGATGATAGGTAGGCTTCTGTTTTTAGTTTAGTTTATGTAAAAATATATTTAATTCCATATTTCATGAATATCCCCATAAATAGGCTTGAATAAATATAATTTTATAATTTGAATAGGTAATCTTGCTGTTAATAATTTAATTCTATTGAAACCAGTTATCCATCCCAAATTTACAGCATCCCATATTCATCATAAATTTTCTTTATTTTGATGCAAAGTCGCTTTCCTGTGGGAACAGCTCATGGAATTTGCATATTTAAGTTCCACTGTTTCTAGAGGTCATTGCCTGTTTTGTTTATAAGCTTGTTCCTTCTTAATGTTTCCACTTCAGTTAAACTTGAGATCACAGAAAGAAGGAAAAAAAATTGAGTAGTGGGTATCCCTTCCTATTGGATCTTCAGTTTAGCAGAAAAGCCCTGAAATTTTATGAAAAGTGTTTTGATATGAAAATTTTATCCTATTGACTAATCTCCAAATGTCTGGACTTCACATGGTTGCTTAACCAACACCCAACCCATCTTTACATGTATAACTTTCTTGGCTATTCCAATGTTACTATTTCTTTCTTTTACTGCTCCTATTCATTTATTTCTACAAACCAGTTCTGTAGAATATGTAACTTAATTGTCACAATCAAATCACTCTGTGGCAATAAGAGAAAGCCAACTGTACAGCAAGAGAAATATGTTATAAAACATCAACTATTTATTTATTTATTTATTTATCTGAGACTAGGTCTCACTCTGTTTCCCAGGCTGGAGAGCAGTGGTGTGATCTCAACTCACTGCAACCTCTGCCTCCCGGGCTCAAGCGATTCTCACACCTCAGCCTCCTGAGTTACTGGTACTAAAGGCACACACCACCATGCTCAGATAATTTTTTTTTTTTTTTTTTTTTTTGGTAGTGATGGGGTCTTCCTATGTTGCCCAGGCTGGTGTCAAACTCCTAGGCTCAACCTATCTGCCTGCCTCGGCCTCCCACAGTACTGGGATTATAGACCCAATCCTGGCCATAAAGACAACTATTCTAAGGAGAGTTTGCTCTGTGAGTGATTTTGAAAATGCCCTAGAGATTTTTTGCTTTAATTTTTTTCTTAGGGCTTTGAACCTATATGAGTCCAGAGTTAATTTTGTTACACAATAGATTTTTTTTTTTTAAGAATGGTTCCTGCATGCATATCCCCACCAAGTTTTCTTCTGAGAGTTGAAATGTTGTCTGGTCGAAAGATATGAGAAGCTACTAAGTTATTGCTTAGTCATTTCCTCATGAAGATAATTTTTGCTTTTATTGGCATTGGCTGACCCTTCATGAGGAAGATAAACATAAGATTTTCGCAATCAGTTATACTCAGAACAGAAATACTAGAGAAGGTGCAGGAAGAGGACAATGATGACTATAAAAGCAGAAGAAAGTAGGACTTACAAAGAAAGATCAAAGCAAGTGGAGTCCCTTTATCTGATCAGGAGGCATGTAAGGGCATGAAGACATTTCAAAGAAAAGTCACTAAACAGACTTCTTGGAAAGTTAAAATGATGAAGGTAGAAAATGGTTCCAGTCTCTAGAATTTTAAACTCTGAAGAAAAACAGAAGTTTGATAGATAACTTTTCATTTGCTCAAAAAGTGATGCTAAGTTAGAGAGGAATGGTAGATCAGCTGCTCTGTTTTCACAAAAGATCAAATAACAAGAATTTCCTTTTGTCCTGCAGTGTGATGGATTTAGGCCAACCCTTGGGTCACTTTAGGACACTTAGGTTTTTAAGCATTGAATTAAGTATGTCTCTAGAGTTTATTATCATTTGGAGTAAAACACTCTGAAGTTTGAGGGCAAAGTAATATTATCTTTAGCCTGAATTGATAAAATATGTCCTCAATGACAAAAGGTGGGAAAAAATTTTATGACAGGTCTTCCTGCTTGATGGTTTTAGGTAGTTGGTGAAAGCAGAATGAAGATCCCAAATTAAACCCAAGATTTGTGCAGGGTTGGGTTTCACATGAATCTGAAAATAACTAGAAGTTTGGTTGTAAAGGTGGCCCAAATTATATTTGCCTGTGGGAAATTAGAGGAGAGAGAGCAAGCAAGCAGACAAATTTGGTCCACCAGCCAATCCTTAGTTAATAGACATGAAGAGAAAACTCTATATGAGATATGATGATTGCCTCTCCTGTTCCTAGGCCCAGAATTAAGTCTAGAAAAGGGGTTTAAGTCTAGAAAAGTGAAAGGGCTAGCAGGTGGAGAAAAGCCAAAAAATAAAGGTCTTAACGTTTATTTTAATTAAAATTCCTTAAGATGTTGGGCTCTTAGTAAAACTATTTTGAGATTCATATGTCTAAATGTGACACAAAATAGGGAGAAACATGAAGCCCACATTTGTGCACAAAATAGTCGTGGCTTTAGCATCCTGAGTAACCCACCGTGTACCACTTTGACATGCTGAGCATTCCAGCAGAGGTGTTTGGTACAGGCAGGGCCACCAGCAGAGGTGGCATTGCCAAGAGGGAGGTGACCATAGTGGGTAACATAGGCAATTATTTCCCGGCTGCTTATCAGCAGCTGAGGTCTTGGCAGTCGACATTGAGAAGGGCCAGGACTTTTCGGGAAGCACACGTGAGACACTCTGGAAGATGTCTCAAGATCACTGGAAAATTGTTGTCACTTTTACCAGTATGTGGGACGGAAGTGAAACTAAATAAAGTTTAGGTTACTCTAGCTGTGCACTGGGCAATGGTGGATGAAGAAATACTGGTGCATGTAAAGAAAAACAAAATCTGGTCATGTCAACCTCATGAAATCTTAAGATAGAGGTGATCCTGACAAGTTGCAATAGAGTGAGACACAAAACAAAGCCAATATTAATGGAGGTGGGCAATGATCAGACTTGAGAAATAGCTTTTTTTAGTATAAAGATCATCCATTATTTATCTAGAGCTATATGTACATATGTCAAGACTTGTATTTGAATGTATTGTATTTCAGATGCATTATATTCTTTAACCCTCACAACAACTGGGTAAGTAATAATTACTGTATCTCTTATAATCTTTTCAGCTATAGTTACAGAAGACCTAGCTAAAACTGGTGTAACATTAAGGACCATTATTGTCTCTTATAAGAAGAAGAAGATGACAGGAGAGGGGAATATGCCAGAGCTGGTGCAGTAATTTATGAATGTCATTAAGAATTTAGGGGAGTGGGGGGAAAATAAAATAAAATAAAATAAATAGAAGAAAAACAAAAGAATCTAGGGTCTTTACAACTCTCCAATAAGTCACCGTTTTTATATTTGCTTCCTTCTCACCGTTATCTATCATAGTTACCAGGTGGCTACATCATCATGGGATTACAGTGACTGGCAAAGAAAAGGAGAGTTTCCTCTCACATCTTAGATGTCTCTAAGCGCCTTTCCCTGAGATCTCACTAGATTTCACTGGACTGAATCATGCTCAGGTTCTCAGTGCAAAGGAAGCTGGTAAAGTGAATAACAGCACTGTCAATCTGTTGAGTGGGAGCAAGGCTCTCCCAACTAAGATGGGGGATAGGAATGGCAATTAAGTAGGTGACAGCCATTTTATATGTGGGAAGAAAACAGAGGATATAAAACTTGCCCCAGGTCACAGAGCTCATAAGCAACCGAGCTGGGTCAAAAACTCACATTCTTCACAATCATGCTATAATGTACTCACTCCAGAGAGTCAGCCTGGGATCTAACCATCTCTTGGAATAGCCTGCAAATATAAGACAACCAAAGTATGATCTGGGGCTCAGGGGACGACACACTGGTGTGTCTTCCATCATGTTTCTGCCTTCTAGCTTTTCACTAGGCAGGCTTATGTAGAAGGCAGAGAGTGAAATTTTCTGAGTGCCCTAAATTCTCTTTCCAGCTTTCCATTTGACATTGGAGCATCTTTTTTATCTCTGAGTAACTGGAAAAGTCCGTCATTGCCATTCTAAAACACATTTTATGTGATAAGTCCCTATAAAACATCGAGGAAGCCTCTTTGATTTTAATACTTCTTTTGATCTCACAAAGGCTACAAGAAGGACATGTTGCTAAAGAAATAACAAGCTTCAAAAACTGTTAGAAGAATTTCTTTGTGGTTGCCATTTCAGATTCCTTAAATCCATATTGTTGCACTTGAGCTTCCTTTTGGCTTTCAAATGCTTCTTTTCAGCACTGATAATTTGCCAAGACATATCTAAGAGCTGAAAGAAAAGGAGATGGCAAGTACGGTATCAGTGATGTGATGTGTATGTCAACGGTACTCAATCACATTCCAGTATCCAGACTGCATCTAATTAGCAGGACTGCACTCACACCTCAACTTTCCCACATTACCTTCATCATCACAGGGCTGAGAATACTGAATACCATCCAAAACCCAGGCAAATAGTTTTCCAGTTTCATCTGTGGTGTCATTAACACTTAGGCCATGAAAGAAAATATTAACAGTCAAATAATCAAATATTTCTATTTGACTGTCTGGCTGCTCTTGGCATTTTAGTTGAGTCAAGAAAAAGTGCTCTGATAAAACAGAGTGAGCATGTGAGAACATGCAGTCCAAAATAAACCAATCACCCATTGATAAGTATGTGTTGCTGCACTTGCCACTTTTACCATCTCTGAGGATCCGTTTCCTCTGCTGGTAAATGAAAATGCTTATGTACACTTACAATAATTACAAAAGAGTAAAAGTGTAAATGGACACAGGTACAACTTAAGAGAATATAAGGATAGTGTTACTAATTTTACAGTAAATGAAATACGGGCATAACTTGTTTAATTGCACTTCACTTCTGTTTTGATTCATAGATATTGAGTTTTTTACAAATTGAAGGTTTGTGGCAAGCCTGTGTCTATCAGCACCATTTTTCCAACAGCATGTGTTCACCTTGTGTCTCTGTGTGACATTTGGGTAATTCCCACAATATTTCACACTTTCTAATCATTATTATATCTGCTATGGTGATACGTGATCAGTGATCTTGGATTTATTATTGCAACTGTTTTTGGGGCATCACAAAACACATTCATAGAAGATGGCAAACTGAATAAATGCTATGTACTCTGACTTCTCCACCAACCAGCCATTCCCTCACCTCTCTCCCTCTCTTCAAGCCTCCCTATTTCCTGAGACACAACAATATTGAAGCTAGACCAATTAATAACCTTACAATGGCCTCTGAGTGTTCACATGAAAGGAAGAGTCACACATCTCTCACATTAAATCAAAAGTTAGAAATGGTTAAGCTTAGTGAGGAAGGTATGTCAAAAGCCTAGGCCTCTTGCACCAAACAGTTAGCCAAGTAATGAATGCAAAGGAAAAGTTCTTGCGGGAAATTAACTGTGCTACTCCAGTGAATGCATGAATGATAACAAAGTCTTATGGCTGATCAGAAGAAAGTTTCAGAGGTCTGATTAGAAGATCAAACCAGCCACAACATTCCCTTAAGCCAAAGCCTAATCTAGAGAAAGACCCTAACTCTCTTCAATTCTATGAAGGCTAAGGAAGGTAAGGAAGTTGAAGAAGAAAAGTTTGAAGCTAGTAGAGGCTGGTTCATGAGGTTTAAGGAAGTCATCTTCATAACATAAAAGTGTCAGGTGAAGCAGCATGTGTCAGGTGAAGAAGCTGCAGAAGATCTAGCTAAGATGAATGATGAAGATGCCATCCCAGCAACAGAGTTTCAATGTAGATAAAACAGCCTTACATTGAAAAAAGATGCCATCTAGGACTTTTATAGCTAGAAAGGAGAAGTCAAAACCAAGCTTCAAAGCTTCAAATGACAGGCTGACTTTTTTGTTAGGGGCTAATGCAGCTGGTGACTTTAAGGTGAAGCCAAAGTTCATTTACCATTTTGGAAATCCTAGGGCCCTTTAAATTATGCTAAATCTACTCTGCCTGCACTCTATAAATGGAACAACAAAGCCTGGATGACAGCTTATCCCTTTATATCATGGTTTGCTGAGTACTTTAAGCCCACTGTTAAGACCTACTGCTATAAAAAAAAATGATTCCTTTCAAAATACTACTGCTCATTGACAAGGGACCTGGTTACCCAGGAGCACTGATGGAAATGTGCAAAAAGATTAATGTTGTTTTTATGCCTGCTGACACAACATTTATTCTGCAGCCCATGGATCAAGGAGTCATTTCAACTTTCAAGTATTATTACTTAAGAAATACATTTTATAAGGCTTTAGCTGGCATAGATAGTGATTTCTCTGATAGATCTGGGCAAAGTAAATTAATACCCTTCTGGACAGGATTCATGATTCTGGATGTCATTAAAAACGTGTGATTGATGAAAAGAGATCAAAATGGCAATATTACCAATAATTTTGTAAAAGTTGATTCCAGCTCTCATAGATGACTTTGAAGGGTTCATGACTTCAGAGAAGGGAGTCAGTACAGACATGGTAAAAACAGCAGGAGAATTAGAATTAGAAGGAGAGTCTGAAGATGTGACTGAATTGCTGTGATCTCATAATTTGAATGCATGAGGAGTTGCCTCGAATGGATGAGCATGGAAAGTAGTTTTTAAGGTAAAATCAACTCCTGGTAAAAATGCTGTGAAGGTTGTTTAAATGACAGCAAAGAATTAAGAATATTACAGAAACTTAGTTGATAAAGCAGAGGCAGGGTTTGAGAGGATTGACTGCAATTTTGAAAGAAGTTCTACTATGGGTAAAATCCCATCAAACAGCATCACATGCTCCAGAGAACTCTTTTGTGAAAGGAAGAGTCAATTAATGTGGCAAACTTTATTGTTGTCTTATTGTAAGAAATTGTCACAGCCACCCACGCCTCAGCAATGCTGATTAGTCAGCAGCCTTCAATATCCAGGCAAGACCTACCACAAGCAAAAAGATTATAGTTCCCTGAAGGCTCAGACGATTGTTAGCATTTTTTAGGAATAAAGTATTTTTAAATTAAGGTCTGTACATTTTTAAAACAATGCTTTGCACACTTGATGGACTAGAGAATAGTGTAAACATAACTATTACTGCACAGGGAAACCAAAAAAATTGTGTGAGTGGTTTCATTGCAATACTTGCTTTATTGCAGTAGTCTGAAAACCAAACCTACAATATCCTTGAAGGATGCCCATAGTGGAAATGGTCTCTAACATGTCTTATTAATGGGATCTACTTTGGCTTTCTGATGTCTAGATACAATTCTACTACAGAAGAAAGCAATTATGTTCCACCATCTCTGTGAGAAACATCTGCCTCTGGAATGAAGAAGTAAGAAAACCTGGCTTAAAATCAAATTTTATAATGAATAATTTAAGAAAAACACTTTTGAATTATTTTAAATAGAAAATTTATTAACTGGAAAACAATGTTAAAACATTTTAATAAGAAGAATTCAAACCATCCAGCAGATTTTATTCACATTTAAATTTCATTTTATTTGTCAGTTATCTTATTTGGAACACATAATGATTTTTTACAGTCATATGAAGGCCAGAATTTGCATTGGTTTGAGCAGAATTGAAACAAGAGTCTGAATGCAGGACCCGAATGTATCCTGGTCCTGCGTACCACTGAATGATGGTTGTCTGCTCTGGCTTAAATTTCAATAAGGACAAGTCTGGGTTTTGCAGCTGGCTGACACATCCAGGATAGTGACAGCAAAACCACAAATTCTCCATTTAGTGGTTTCAGTTTCTCAACTTGGAAGAATACTTATGATGCAGGGACACCTTGCACTTTCATACTTGTCAAATCATTTCTCTTCTTAGCTTTCCCTAAATCCCTATGTCCACTTTTGCCCACAGCCTTGTATAACAATAGGTGCTAATTGGAGAAAAGACGCCAATCACCATTACAACATATCAAAGTCTTGTTATTATAAGAAATTATCACAAGGCTTTGCTCCTTATATTTCGTTTTGCTTTAAAAGTTAGATAGACATTTGTATGCTTGTCTTTCTGTGAAGACCACAATGTTTCTGAAATCAGGAACTCTTCCATCTTTTATGCCTCTTTCTGTCTAATGCCTAGCATTGAATATATTAGAAGCTCAATAATTGCTGGTTGAATAGTTGATGAAAGAACAACATAGAATTAAGATTGGATAAAAGGAATCAGTAATCTTCCCTTTTAATTCCAGTTCCATTCATTGTTTTCTTTCTGACCAAGTCACTAAATGCCCTGATTCTTCACTTAAAAAATGAGGATTTTTTAATAAAAGTATCATAATGTCTATCCTTGTCCACCACACAGGGCTAATGTAAAGAATGAATGAGACAGTTTGTGTGAAAGCACAGTTATACTAACAACATACTATAGAAATGCCACTAACTAATGTAACTAATGTAAACTAACACTTTTAATAATTATTAACAAAAATGAACTCTTGCTTGGCAGAAAACAAGCAGATAATCTCCTCTTTCACCAGGGCCACCCATAGCCATGACATTTTTGCCATGACTTCCCCAGGGATACCCTCTAGGGATAACTCATCTAGATGGTACCCACAGTGCAGTAAGCCCTTCCATATATGTTTTGTTGTATTTTAAAAGTTGAAAGTTAAAAATATTTCTGGAGGAATTATCCATAATGATACACAAATACTACGTGTGACTCTGAGTGTAGATAGGTCACCCAGGGAAGAAACCCTCACAGGAGGGATGGAGTGTCTTTGAAAGTTGACCCTGAAGCTATGTGATGAGCCCCCTGCAGCGTCTGCTCACCTCCCACTGAGCCTGGGTCCTCAAGCAGTCCTGGAGGATCCTGCTGCCCCCCACCAGCTCAGGAGACTCTCTCCCTCTTTTGCTCTGTCTTTCTCACTCTCTTCTTTGCATTTTCTACCACATTCTTTCACCCTTTCCTATTCTTTGGGATCTAGAAGTAGAAAAAGTGTTGTTAGCCTCAGTGCCTTCACTCTTACTCATTACTTTCAGGTCTTGATTAACAAATTATCAGCTAAAATTTCTATACTAGTTGTATCAGTTCACTAGGGCAGCCCTAACAAATTATCACAAACTCAGTAGTTTAAAACAACATAAATTTATTTTCTTACCATTCTGGAGGCTAGAAGTACAAAATCAAAGTGTTGGCATGGATACATTTCTACTAAAGACTCTGGAAGAGAATTTTTCTTTACATCTTCCTGCCTCTGGTGGCCCCAGATGTTCCTTGGTTTGTGGCTGCAAAACCCTAAACTCTGCTTCTGTCTTCACATGCATTTTCTCCCTCTGTGTCTTCACTTCTGGCTCTCATTAGGACACTTATCATTGGATTTAGGGCCCAGTGAGTAATCTACGATAATCTTATCATCTCAAAATATTTGACTTAATTACATCTTCAAAGTTATTTTTTTGCAGATAATGTCACATTCGCAGGTTACAGAGGTTAGGATGTGGACATATATTTTAGGGGCACCATTCAACCACTGCACTAGGTAAAGAACTTAAAAGTGGATTGTAATTTCTCAAAACCGAGACCAGCCTTCTATTATATGCTAACCCTTCCATTGCATATAATAGAAAAAGTTATCTGAACATAAACACGGCAGAAAACTTCTTTCTCTTAATGAATGCAGATACTCCTTTACCCAACTCCTTTGATGATGTTACCTCTGAGATATTGCCAAAATCCAGACAAGAATCCAAATACTTCCAGGGATAACTGGAAGTGTAGAAACCTTGCGACTCCATGAACTTTATTGACATGAAAAAGCCGTTTGAAGAACACAGAGGGTACATTCACTAAAATAAATGCTGTTATAGAACAAGAAACAGGACTTGATTTCTTCTTTTCCAGATTCCAGTAAGTGTGCAGTACATTTTAGGTAGTGGGAAGTCTGGAAATCTTTATGCGCAGGCTGACCAGAGTTCAGAGTCTTACTCTTTCACTTGCTCAGTGTAAGTATCCAAGGCTAGTTATTTAAACTCCCTGAATCTCAGTTTACTTGACTATAAAGAAAAATAATAGATAATATTTATAGAGTCCTCAGCATGTGCCAGATACCGTTTTAAATGATTTTATGTGTTCTTTCTAAATACTCATAACAGCATTATGAAGTAGTAGGGCAGCTGCCCATTCAATATATCTCCTCCTTTCTCTCCCAGTAAGAAAGTTTTAAATGGCCTATGGTCACCCACACAGAGGGTATATTTCCTAACATACTTTGCAAGAATAGGTGGCCATGTGAGTAAGTTCTCTTGAAAAGAATGAGAGCCAAAGTGATATGTGTGAACTTGGCATCATTTTCTTCAAAGATCATTGTTGGTTTTGCATTTCCAATGCAAATATTCCAATACACATATGTGTGTGTGTATATATCTATATCTATATATATCTTCTTTAAGTCATATTTTAGAATATCTTTTTATAGAAATTTAGCCTATATCCTAATTAGCACAGGTGGGTCTTATCATGCCTGGTTTACAGATGAGGAAACTGGGGTACAAATTATTAAAGTTAGGTGACTTGCTCAATGTTATATAGCTGACAAGTGACTTCTAACCTAGCAGTATATCATGCACACTCAGTTTGATTCTCACCTTATGTTTCTAACTTATTTACATAACTGATCTAATAATATTTTGAATGTAAGTTGTAGCAAAATAACATAAATAAACCAACTTACTTACTGTTGTCCTTACCTATACTTCATAAATGTGTTTATTAATTTGTCCATTCATCCACTTGTTAAAAATATTTAAACAGATCCATGAGCTGAGCACTGAAGATGACTAACAAATAGTTCCTATCCTCAAGGACATTTATATTAGATATATGAGATATGTAGCAAATAAATTACAATATAACAGGTTATATGCAACATATATCAGGTACTGTTATAGCATAGAGCAAGTGATTAACTTTATCTAATGGTTGGAGAAAGGGTTTTTAAAGAAACTTCATACAGGTATGAGTGAGAAAGGGTCATTTTAAGTAGAAGAATATGAATGCAAAGTATAAAAACATGAAACAGGCCAGGCGTGGTGACTCATGCCTGTAATCCCAGCACTTTGGGAGGCCGAGGTGGCTGGATTCCCTGAGGTCAGGAGTTTGAGATCAGCCTGGCCAACATGGTGAAACCCCGTCTCTACTAAAAATACAAAAAAAACAATTTGCCAAGTGTAGTGGCACACACCTGTAGTCCAGCTACTCAGGAGGCTGAGGCAGGAGAATCGCTTGAGCCCGGGAAGCAGAGGTTGCAGTAAGCCAAGATCCCACCACTACACTCCGACCTGGGCAACAGAGCAAGACCCAATCTCAAAAATAAATAAATAAATAAAAATAATAATAAATAAAAATATGAAACAGCCTGGGGAGGTGCTGAAGGCATAGAAATCATTCAATAGAGTATGATGCAGAGAGAGTAGGAGTATTTAGTGAATTTGAAGATGAAGCTTCAGATGTAGATTATGAAGGGCTTGGTATGCCATACTTGGTGGTTTGGACATGATCTTGTAAGAGATAAAGACCCATTAAATATATTCAGATAAAGGAGATATATTATCAGACTTATGTAGTACTCTGGGTGCAATTTGAAAGATGTGAGACTACGTGCAAAGAGCCTGGTAAGGAAACTCCAAGTTTTGTCAAGAATGATGAGAAGTGCTCAAAGACAATAGTAGTCAGATAGAAAAGTGGAAAAGATTTTAGGAATTACTCATACTTAGGATTGGAAGAATTTATAGATTAACTGGATTTAGGGGATACAGATGAGAACGGAGTATAACTTCGAGAATTCTGACTCAGATGACTGGGTGGATGATGGTGCTGCCAATGAAGATAAGGAAAACAGAAAGAAGAGCAGTTAGAGGCTGACGATGAGTTCACCGGAGGGCTCTGGACTGGAAAAAAATAAGCATTAAAAGATCATAGGTGGTTGTTAAAGCCATGGCAGTGAATAGGTGAGAGTGTCTGGTGGAAGGGAAAAGGACTTTAAGAAAAAAGAGAGAAAAAAGATGAACTGGAAAGGCCAATTTTTAAAAAACAAATGAAGAAAGAGCAAGAAAAATGGTCAGAGTTATTGAAAAACATCCAGAAAAAAATAGATATCATGAAATCAAAGGTCAGGGTCTCAAAATAGTTCAAGGAAATTGTCAACAGAATTAAAGGTCATGGAGCATTCAAATAGGATTTTAAATGTGAGCCATTTTTATTGAATATTGATTAGGTATTTAATAAAAATCAGATTTGGCAAGTAAGAAAATTTTGATGAACCTTGTTTAAATAAATGGGAATGGGATGGTAAAAGGTAGATTGTTTTATATTCTAAGATCCTATCAGTGAAAAAAATATCATTTGCTCATTGAGTTTGTGTTGTTAGGCATGAGGTAAAAAATAAATCTTGGCTTATGGCTAAAACTACATCAATCCTAAAACTAGATCACACTATTGCATTTTTATTTTTCAATTAATTAGATTAAGAGCACTATCCCATCCATTGGGCAATGCCATCTGATCCTTTTTATCTTCCTAGTGACAAACTTCAAGCAATTACAAACTCAACATTGAAAATTCATGCTAAACTAACTCAGTTTTTCATAATCTAAACAAGTCAATAAAATAGATACTGCCCAAATGTTCATAAGATAACATCTGTTTGGGAAGAGAAAATCGTTAATCTGAAAAGGTGATTTTCACTTTATATATAATATCTATCATTTTATCTCTTCTCCATTCAAGTAGATGAATTATGTAATAGTGTTTGCTAAACCAATGAGGGCAAGGTATATGTAGTTATGTGTAAAACAACTTTGTAGATCTTCATCATAATCAATATGCTCTACTGTCCTCATTAAGAACTCAAGTGTATAAATAGGTGTGTACACACGTGCATGCTACAAACATCAATTTGTAGTATGATCTGATTATACAGGAGTACCTTATAGTGACTACTACTAGTGGGATGCTTAATGCTGTAACACAGAAACTAAGTCAAGAGTTGACCAAGACAAAATAAACCCATGGAGGGGGTTCCAAGATGGCCGAATAGGAACAGCTCCAGTCTACAGCTCTGAGTGTAAGCAACGCAGAAGATGGGTGATTTCTGCATTTCTAACTGAGGTACCACATTCATCTCACTGAGGCTTGTTGGACAGTGGGTGCAGCCCATGGAGCGTGAGCCGAAGCAGGGCGAGGCATCACCTCACCCAGGAAGCGCAAGGGGTCAGAGAGTTCCCTTTCCTAGCCAAGGGAAGCTGTTACAGAGGGCACCTGGAAAATCAGGTCACTCCCACCCTAATACTGCGCTTTTCCAGTGGTCTTAGCAAATGGCACACCAGGAGATTATATCCCACACCTGGCTCGGAGGGTCCCATGCCCACGGAGCCTCGCTCATTGCTAGCACAGCAGTCTGAGATCGAACTGCAAAGTGGCAGTGAGGCTGGGGGAGGGGTGCCCGCCATTGCTGAGGCTTAGGTAGGTAAACAAAGTGGCCAGGAAGCTGGAACTGGGTGGAGCCCACCACATCTCAATGAGGCCTGCCTGCCTTTGTAGACTCCACCTCTGGGGGCAGGGCATAGCTGAACAAAAGGCAGCAGCAAACTCTGCAGTCTTAAATGTCCCTGTCTGACAGCTTTGAAGACAATAGTGCCTCTCCTAGCACAGAGTTTGAGATCTGAGAACAGAAGAGTGCCTCCTCAAGTGGGTCCCTGACCCCCGAGTAGCCTAACTGGGAGGCACCCCCCAGTAGGGGCAGACTGACACCTCACACGTTTGGGTTCCCCTCTGAGACGAAGCTTCCAGAGGAATGATCAGGCAGCAACATCTGTTGTTCAGCAATATTTGCTGTTCTCCAGCCTCCGCTGCTGATACTCAGGCAAACAGGGTCTGGAGTGGACCTCCAGCAAACTCCAACAGACCTGCAGCTGAGGGTCCTGACTGTTAGAAGGAAAACTAACAAAGGACATCCACACCAAAACCCCATCTCTGCGTCACCATCATCAAAGACCAAAGGTAGATAAAAACCACAAAGATGGGGGAAAAACAGAGCAGAAAAGCTGAAAATTCTAAAAATCAAAGCACCTCTCCCTGTCCAAAGGAACACAGCTCCTCGCCAGCAACGGAACAAAGCTAGATGGAGAATGAATTTGACAAGTTGAGAGAAGGCCTCAGACGATCAAATTTCTCTGAGCTAAAGGAGGAACTTTGAACCCAATGCTAAGAAGCTAAAAACCTTGAAAAAAGATTAGACGAATGGCTAACTAGAATAACCAGGGTAGAAAAGTCCTTAAATCACCTGATGGAACTGAAAACCATGGCAAGAGAACTACGTGACTAATGCACAAGCTTCAGTAGCCGATTTGATCAACTAGAAGAAAGGGTATCAGTGATTGAAGACCAAATGAATGAAATGAAGAGAGAAGGAATTAGAGAAAAAAGAGTAAAAAGAAATGAACAAAGCCTCCAAGAAATATGGGACTATGTGAAAAGACCAAATCTACGTCTGATTGGTGTACCTAAAAGTAACGGGGAGAATGGAACCAAGTTGGAAAACACTCTGCAGGATATTATCCAGGAGAACTTCCCCAATCTAGCAAGGCAGGCCAACATTCAAATTCAGGAAATACAGAGAATGCCACAAAGATACTCCTCAAGAAGAGCAAGTCCAAGACACATAATTGTCAGATTCACCAAAGTTGAAATGAAGGAACAAATGTTAAGGGCAGCCAGAGAGAAAGGTCGGGTTACCCACAAAGAGAAGCCCATCAGACTAACAGCTGATCTCTCGGCAGAAATTCTACAAGCCAGAAGAGAGTGGGGGTCAATATTCAACATTGTTAAAGAAAAGAATTTTCAACCCAGAATTTCATATCCAGCCAAACTAAGCTTCATACATGAAGGAGAAATAAAATCCTTTACAGACAAGCAAAAGTTGAGAGATTTTATCATCACCAGGCCTGCCCTACAAGAGCTCCTGAAGGAAGCACTAAACATGGAAAGGAACAACTGGTACCAGCCACTGCAAAAACATGCCAAATTATAAAGACCATCAATGCTAGGAAGAAATGGCATCAACTAATGAGCAAAATAACCAGCTAACATCATAATGACAGGATCAAATTCACACATAACAATATTAACCTTAAATGTAAATGGGCTAAATGCTCCAATTAAAAGACACAAACTGGCAAATTGGGTAAAGAGTCAAGACCCATCAATGTGCTGTATTCAGGAGACCCATCTCACGTGCAGAGACATACATAGGCTCAAAATAAAGGGATGGAGGAAGAGCTACCGAGCAAATGGAAAACAAAAAAAGGCAGGGGTTGCAATCCTAGTCTCTGATAAAACAGACTTTAAACCAACAGAGATCAAAAGAGACAAAGAAGGCCATTATATAATGGTAAAGGGATCAATTCAACAAGAAGAGCTACTTATCCTAAATATATATACACCCAATACAGGAGCACCCGTATTCATAAAGCAAGTCCTTAGAGAACTACAAAGAGACTTAGACTCCCTCACAATAATAATGGGAGACTTTAACACCCCACTGTCAACATTAGACAGATCAACGAGACAGAAAGTTAACAAGGATATCCAGGAATTGAACTCAGCTCTGCACCAAGCGGACCTAATAGACATCTACAGAACTCTCCACCCCAAATCAACAGAATATACATTCTTCTCAGCACCACATCACACTTAGTCCAAAATTGGCCACATAGTTGGAAGTAAAGCATTCCTCAGCAAATGTAAAAGAACAGAAATTATAACAAACTGTCTCTCAGACCACAGTGCAATCAAACTAGAACTCAGGATTAAGAAACTCACTCAAAACTGCTCAACTACTTGGAAACTGAACAACCTGCTCCTGAATGACTGCTGGGTACATAACAGAATGAAGGCAGAAATAAAGATGTTCTTTGAAACCAATGAGAACAAAGACACAACATACCAGAATCTCTGGGACATATTTAAAGCCGTGTGTAGAGGGAAATTTATACCACTAAATGCCCACAAGAGAAAGCAGGAAAGATCTAAAATTGACACCCTAACATCACAATTAAAAGAACTAGAGAAGCAAGAGCAAACACATTCAAAAGTTAGCAGAAGGCAAGAAATAGGAACACTTTTACACTGTTGGTGGTACTGTAAACTGGTTCAACCATTGTGGAAGACAGTGTGGCGATTCCTCAAGGATCTAAAACTAGAAATACCATTTGACCCAGCCATCACATTACTGGGTATATACACAAAGGATTATAAATCATGCTGCTATAAAGACACATGCACACGTATGTTTATTGTGGCACTGTTCACAATAGCAAAGACTTGGAACCAACCCAAATGTCCATCAATGATAGACTGGATTAAGAAAATGTGGCACATATACACCATGGAATACTATGCAGCCATAAAAAATGATGAGCTCATGTCCTTTGTAGGGACATGGATGAAGCTGGAAACCATCATTCTCAGCAAACTATCGCAAGGACAGAAAACCAAACACCGCATGTTCTCACTCATAGGTGGGAATTGAACAATGAGAACACTTGGACACAGGGTGGGGAACATCACACACCGGGGCCTGTCATGGGGTGGGGGGAGGGAGGAGGGATAGCATTAGGAGATATACCTAATGTAAATGATGAGTTAATGGGTGCAGCACACCAACATGGCACATGTATACATATGTAACAAACTTGCACGTTGTGCACATGTACCCTAGAACTTAAAGTATAATAAAATAAAAAATAAAAAAAAGGCCATGGAGATTAAATTATATATTTAAAAAAGCATTCCCCTGAATAATAAGTAGTAATGATGGTCCTTTGCCAGGATATATAAGAAAAATATCTGTGAAAATATCAACTTACAGTAGTAACTCGAAGAGAACTTTCAGCAATACATGCCAATTAAAATAAGTTAGATATAAATATTTTAGTTAATAAATATTTATTGAGCGCCCTAGTATGGGCAAGATGTCATATTGGTGAAAAATATAAAGGTCTCTACTCTCATGGAACTTAAATTAGTTAATTACCAAATTAGCAAAGACATTTTAATAGCCATGCTGGTGAGTGTGAATGAAAATGAGCATTCTCATAAACGGCTGGTAGAAGTGTCACTTGATGGAAAATTTCTTGAGGAAAACTTGGCAGGAACATTTATATTCATAGATTTTATATTCATGGATTGTAAAATGCATGCTATTTGACTCCACTATTACACCTCTAATATGTTATCTTAAGGAAACAATAGGAGATGAAGCAAAGAGTTGTACATATGTAGATCTATTGTGCTCTATTTTATAAGAGAAAAGAACAGCAAAGTTAAAATATACAAAATTGGGTGAGCATTTAAATAAATTATGGTACCATAGATTGAAGGTCATCTTTTGAGATCCATTTGTATTTATTTATTCTTTATCGTATACATTTAAGCTGTACAACATGATGTTTTGATATATGTATGTGTAGTGAAGTGATTACTACAATCAAGTAAATTAGCATATCCATCATCTCACAGAGTTACTCTTCTTCTTTTTAGGGAGGTGAGCGGAGCGGGGGAGGGGAATAATAATTAAAATCTACTCTTTCAGCAAATTTCCAGTATATAATTCAATATTATTAACTATAGTTCTCATAATGTACTTGAGATGTCTAGATTTATTCATCTGAGAGAACGGCATCTTTGTGCCCCCTAAGATCCATCTTTATTATTTTTATTTTATTTTTGGGCCAGTGTCTCACTCTGTCACCCAGGCTGGAGTGCAGTGGCCCTATAATGGCTCACTGTAGCCTCCAGCTACCAGGTTCAAGTGATCCTCCCATCTCAGCCTCCTAAATAGCTGAAACTACAGGCACACGCCGCCATGCCTGGCTAGTTCTGTTTTTGTTTTTGTTTTTTTGTTTTTTGTAGAGACGGGGTCTTGCCATCTTGCCTCAAACTGCTGGGTTCCAGTAATCCTCCCACCTCTGTTTCCTAAAGTGCTGGCATGAACCACTGCACCTGGCCGGATTCATCTTTAAAAGCCTATGTAATTGTCTGGGAAAATAATCACTATTAATTGCCGAGTTAAAAAATAAGAAGGTTGTTCTATGTAGTATGATCTTTTTTGACATTCGTGAAATATAAACCCCACACTAAAAAATTTAAAAAAAAAGACATTAACAAAAATTCCTTAAGTGAATGTCTGTGTTGTCACCCCACATAATATAACCTGCATGACAGCACCCACAAACTCAACCCCTCACTTTCTCCTGGAGGAAAATACCATTTTGAATTTCACAGTAATTATTTACTTGCTTTTCGGGATAATTTACCACTTAACATGTATCCAAGAAGAGTAGAGCTTAATTTTGTCTATTTTTGAACTTTATATGAATGTAATCATATTGTATTCTTTTATGTGTTTTGCTTCTTTTGCTCAACATTCTGTGTAAGGTTGATCCCTGCTTGTTCATAGTCATAGCTAAAATACAATGCTGTGTATAGTCTATTGTGTAAAAGACCACAATTATCATATCTATTCTAGATGCTGTTGCATGTGTACATGACCATCAAGTGCACTAAATTCTGGAAATCCTTTTTCTAAGATTGTTCTACCAACTTTCACTTTCACCAGAAATGTACAAAAATAACTGTTATATAATATGTAGCATGACTACACAGATATAAATCACATAGGGATTTTTGTTGGATTACATCAAATTTAGAGACTAATTTGTTAATATTACTTTGTGTAAAACCTTGTTTTTCTTTTTTGTTTTATATTTACATTGTAGGAAAGCAATACGTATATATACATATATAATATTCCTACATATAATATATAAAATATATATTTGTATATATATAATGGGAGTACTTTTATTTCTACTGTTGAAATGAGTTTGAAGAAAGAAAGGAGCTTAACAAAAAACACTTGACCATGACAGGAAGAAGGAAGTAAGATTCTGATGAAAGAAGTGGGTAAGTTGACACCAATGAGGTATACAAGTGCTATTAATGTAGGAAAGAAGAAAGACCCACAGTGAATCTGAAGATAAAATGTTAAAGGAAACAGAGTGAGAAGAGAGAAGAATCCAAAACTGCTCCCCAAGCAAAGGGAACACGATAAAATGAAAATGGAATAAAGTAGACAGAAGTCATGAGGTCTAGCATTTGCAATCTTAAATGGAAGAGACATGAACATTTGCCAGAGAGGTAGCCAAACACAAGCATACGTAATGCATGTGGAGGGAGCTATAAGTCCTGGAAGCATGAAGGAGCATCAGAGTGGGAAATGCATCTTAACTGTTGATTCCACCATATACTGGCCTTTGCATGGTGTACTAAAATATTCTACCCTACCCTGTTATTTATAATCTGAGAAGGTGAGAAACAGCAAAGTGAAATCCAGTCCCTTTGTGATTACCATCCTAGAGAAGGAAATCTTTGGGTTGCTCAAAGTAGTTGGTTTTATGAGTTCATATGATAGTTACGACTGATAACCAAATCTTTATTTTTAGCATAAGGCAGAATCTTGAATATTATGATTGTTTCAATGGACAATTCTTTGCTTCATGGCTTTTATAAATTATTTTGTACCTCATTCAAAAAATGTGTAACAGCTTTGTGGAAATTTACTTGACGTAATAAGCAGCGCATATTTAAGTGTACAACTTTACACTTATTTGACATATGTACACACTAATGAAACCATCAACAAAATCAAGACAAGGTACAAGTTTCCTCATTCCCCTTTGTAATCCTTCTTTTCTGACCCTCCTTGACCCTTCCCCATTCTCTGGTAACCACTCATTTGCTTTCTGTTACTACAGTTTAGTTGACATTGTCTAGAATTTTATACAAATGGGATCCTTCAGTAGGTACTCTTTTTTTGTCTGGCCATTTTCATTCGGCATAATTAGAGATTTAGCCATGTTTTTGTGTATCAGTAGTTCATTCCCTTTTTTGAGGAGTACTAATCTGTTGTTTAGATGTATCATCATTTATTTATCCATTCATCTGTTGATGGGCATATGGATATTTTCCAATTTAGAACCCTGACAACTAAAACTGCTATGAACATGCATGTAAAAGTGTGGAGGTAGGCTTTCACTTGTCATGTGTAAATACTTGGAAGTGAAATAGCTGTGTTATAGGGTAGGCATATGTTTAACTTTTTAAGAAGCTTCCAAACTGTTTTCCAAACTGATTGGGACATTTTACATTTTCAGCAGCATTATAGGAGTTTGTTTCTTTACACCCTCAACAACACTTGACATGATTATTCTTTTAAATTTTCGACATCCCAATAGATGGGTAGTAGTGTCACATATGGTTTTATTTGCATTTTTTGAATAACGAATTATGTTGAACATGTTTCTTATATTTATATGCTGTATGTTTATACATTAGTGAAGTGTCTGTTCATGTTATTTGTCCAATTTTATTTTAACCTATGTGTTTTTTCATTGGTTGTTTTTGAGAGTGATTTATACATTCTTGATACAAGTTCATTAGTGCATGTGATTTGTGAATGTATTTTTTCAGTATACATCTTCTCTTTTATTACCATATAATAGTATCTTTTGAAGGGCAGAATTTTTTTTCTTTTTTTGAGAAAGGGTCTGAAAGTGTCTGGCTTGTCGCCCAGGCTGGAGTGCAGTGGCGTGATCCCAGCTCACTGCAACCTCCAACAACCAGGCTCAAATGATCCTCCCACCTCAGCCTCCCTGATAGCTGGGACCACAGGTATATCCCACCACACAAGGCTAATTTCTCTATTTTTTGTAGAGATGAGGTTTCTCTATCTTGCCCAGGCTGGTCTCGAACTCCTGACCTCAAGTGATACGCCCACCTTGCCTTTGGACGTTCTGGGATTATAGGCATAAGCTACCACACCTAGTCAGAAATTCTTAATTTTGATAAAGTCCAATTTGTTTATTTTTTAACAGATCATGCCTTTGGTGTTGGTCTAAGAAATAGTTGCCTAACCCAAGGCCATAAAATCTCTTCTATATTTTTCTTCTGGAAGTTTTGTAGTTTTAAGTTTTACATCTTTTTTATAATCCATTTTGAGTTAATTTCTGTATATGATGCAAGGTATTAATATTTTTTTTGTTTTTGTTTTGATTTTTTTGGCATATGGATATCTAATCATTCCAGAAACCTTTGTTGAAACACTATCCTTTCTCCACTGAAGTGCCTTTGTAATTTTAATGAAAATCAATTAACCATACATGAGTAACTCTATTTATGGACTCTATCTTATGTTTCATTTGTTAAGTTGTCCATGTTGACACAAATATAGTATGGTTTTGATTATTATATCTATCTAAATATATAACTATTGGAGTCAGGTAGTGTTAGTTCTTCAAATTTATTTTTATTTTTCAAGGTTATTATTTATTAGTATTACTTTGCTACTCTAGAGCCTTTACATTCTCATATGATTTCTAGAATCAGCTTGTGAACTTCTACCCAAAAAATGCCTATTATGATTTTGACTTAGAATATGTTGGATCCATAGGTTAATTTGGAGAATTGATATCTTAAAAACAAGTCATCTTCTAATCATGAAGGTGGCATCTCTCTCTATTTATTTGACTTCCTTAAGTTCTCTGAGCAATTTTTTGTAGTTTTCAGTATGCAAGCATTATACATTTTTGTCAGATTTATTTCTATATATTTCATATTTTCATATTGTAAATGGCATTTTTAAATTTTAATGTCCAATTGTGTTGCTAGTATGTAGAAATGCAATTGATTCTTTACATTAATCTTGTACACTGACCTTGCTGAACTCACTTGCTAATATTCATAGTGATTTGTAGATTACATTAAACTTTCTACGCAGATGATTACACTATCTTGCAAAATAAAGACAAATTTACTTCTTTTTTCCAACTTGTATATTTTTGGTATTTTTTCTGTCTTCTTTTGAATTAACTGAGTATTTCATATGATTCTATTTTATCTGTGGCTTATTAGTTTTAGTTTGTGCTATTTTAGTGTTTGCTTTAGGGCTTATAATCAATCTTAACTTATCAGTGTATATCTTTAAGTACTATTTCACCTCCTTTTGTATTAGGACCTCACAAAACATAGAAATACCCATTTCTATTCTCCTGATTTTTTGCTATTGCTTCCAGACATCTTGTTTTTAGAAATCTTATAAATCTTATAATATATTCTTGTTTTTTGCTTTCAACAGTTGATTATCTTTTACAGAGACTTAAATAACAACCAAAATGTATTTATATTAACACACATAGTTATCTTATTTGGTGCTGTTTATTCTCTTGTATAGATCCAGAATTCCACCTGGTATTATTTTCCTTTTGCTTGAAGAATTTCCTTTAGCATTTTTTATAGTTCAGAACTGTTATAAATGAATTATTTCAGCATTGGTATACCTGAAAAAGCCTTTCTTTTACTTTCAGTTTTAAAGGTATTTTTGTTAGTTCAAGAATTCAAGGTTGTCCCTTTTTTCTTTCAGTACTCTAAAATAATGTTACTAACACATAAAATTGTCTTTTATATTGCATGATCTCAAACAAGACATCTGCTCTCATCCTTATCTTTTTTCCTCTACATAAAATGTTTCTTTGTTCTATGACTACTTTTAACATTTTCTCTTTACCACTTGTTTTAAGGAAATCAATTATAATATGTGGTGCTGCAATTTTCCTTATGTATCTTGTCATTTGAGTTCATTGAGCTTCTCAGTTATGTTGACCTTTAATTTTTATCAATAGAAAGTTTTTTGTCTCATGTCTCCAGATAGTTTTTTCTTTCCCTACTCCCATTGTAAACTCCAATTACATGTATATTAGGCCATTAAAATTGTCCCACAGCTCACTGATACTCTTCTTTTTCAGTGCTTTCTTTTTCCTGTTTGTTTCCCTTTTGATAGTTTCGATTGCTATGTTTTGGTGTTAACTAATCTTTTCTTCTCTTTATGTAGTTTTTATCTTTAGAAGTTTGATTTGGGTCTTTCAAAAAAATACATATCCTCACAATTCTGCTTAACATCTTAAATCTTTTCTCTAGCTTCTTGCACATATGAACTATAGTTACAATAACTGGTTTAGTGTTCTTATTAACTATCATCTGTCTCCTCTGTGTCATTCCGGATCAGTTTTAATTGATTGATTTTTGTCTTCATTATAGCTGTATTATCTTGTTTCTTTACAAAATGATAAGTTTTGACTGGATGCCAGACATTATACATTTTACCTTTCTGGGGGATGGATATTTTTGTATTCCTGCACATATTCCAAATCTTGTTCTAAGATGTAGATAAGTTACTTAAAAACAGTTTGATCTATTTAAGTCTTGTTCTCAAGCTTTGCTAGGCAAGCTGAGAGCAGCATAATGAGATAAAAGTCTTCTGAGTATGCTATCCAGTACCTCATGAATTATGAGGGGGCTACATACCAGTTGGTGGTAAGAGGCAGTATTTCTGGCCCTTTAGAACTCTGGGCACTTTCTCTAATTTTCTCTGGTGGCTACATTCCCAGCCTTGATAGTTTTCTCAGAAAAATATGCTAACCAACAGTCAGCTGAAGATTTAAGAGGGACCCTATGAAGATAAATGTCTGGGGATCCCTGCATATAGATTTCTTTTATTTGGTACTCTGTCCTGCAAAGTGTAGACACCTTGGCCTTCCTGTACACACCCAGCTCTATGTTTTCAACTCACAGATACTGCTAGGTTCCACCTGAGTCCCCCTTTCCCGAATCACATCCTGGACACTCTTTTCTTTTTTTTTTTCTCAAAGATTTCTGTTCATTGCCTTATGTCAAAACTTTTAAGAACCATTTCTTTGCATATATTTTGTCCATCTTTTTTCATTTTAGATGGGATACATCCAGTCTCTGTTACTTCATCTTGGTCAGAACTCAAAGTTTCATTGAAAATTTTAATAATGATAGCAATAAAATATTACTATGACATGTTAATATGCTATATATCCTCTAAAACACAAGACAATATGTTAACTTTTTGCTTATTTTGTTGACTTTTGAGAAAAAGTATACACATTATTTCTGAATATGTTAAAGGCAAAAGGGTCATCAATAAACAGCTGCGATATTTTAGCTAAGATTATTCAAACTTAGTTAGGTTTGGTTCGAAAAACTGAAGCAGTTCCCTGCTACTTATTTGGTTTTAAATATTTTTATTTTCTCATGTCCTACAGGAGTGATTGTAATTCTATATTGTGTTAGTTTCTACTATAACAAATATTTTATTCTGATCTAGAGTCTGAACTGTAAAAGAAATTGTGCTGCTTCCTTAGAAGTGAACCAATATAAAGACTTGGGAAGCTAAAAATTTTTATCTCTTCTGATGCTAGATTTACAGGTTTTTAAAACATTCTCATTTACTTGGGTTTCGCTCAGCAACAAAGAAACATGATATTTAGTACTGGGAATTTAAAGGTAATGGGAATTTGAAGGATTTGAAGATTTTGCCACTCCCTTTAGTAAGCTTATATTTCAGTAGTCAGGTATGTTTATATTATCAAACCTAAACTTTGAATTTGTCACACCAAGAAAACATGCATAATTATTTTACTATTCTACTTTCCTACTCATCTCTAGCAGAAGATCCAAGGGTATGGGTCTTAGACTTCCCTGCAGACACCGTTAATGCCCAGAGCCTATGAACTTTCTAGAGGTGGAGTAGCTACAGAATCAGAAAATAAATGAGTAATGATTTATCATTTCAGGTTTTAAAAAGATGAATTTTTACTTTTTTTCTAATTAGAAACTCTCACAGAGGGCAATTAGCTACCTTGTGAAGCAATGAGCCTTCCATTAAAGAAAGTATTTAAGCCAGAGTTGAGTGTGTGTGTGTATGTGTGTGCACACGCGCATGTTCAAAGATTATAAAGGTCTTTGAATTGAATGTTCATTAGGATAAGTAACCATTTTATTTTAGTTTTCCAACCAAAAGTCTGTGTCAACCAGAATTTATTCTATGTATTTTGGATAGAAAGAAATTTACTATAGGAAAAACTTACACAATTATTGGAAAGTTGGATGAATTAAGATCAACATAGAAAATTTCAAGAAATCCAGAAGGTGAGGAATTTCAACAAAATCATTCTCCAAGTATCTCAGTTACTTATGGACCAGCATGGGCAACTTATGGTATGATATATGAAGTCACAGGCAAAACCCCTTACTGGCTTCCTGCCAATGCCCACTCACCTGCCTACAGCTGCCACCAGAAGATAATAGCTTCTCCTTTTCTTTGTTTTTAAATCTCATTAAAGTGCCTCTCTGGTAGAATTTAGCTAGACTCAAGCTAGCAAGGACAACTGAGGAATTCTGTTTCCAGTCTTTATGCCTATACTGGACAGAGAAGAACTCAGAAAAGTGATAATGGTTCTACATATCAACAAAAAATGTCCACCTCAAAGCCCACAGCTTTAAGCACCAAGTACAAGAGATATTCGTGGGAAGAGAATCAGGAATTCAATTTTATCCATCTGTTCATCATTCCAGTAGCCCATCCATTCATCCATCCATATGCTTATTTATTTCACAAACATTGAGAAGTCTGTGCTTGTGAAGTACTAATATACAGTATACAGGCAGGACATTGGATAGTGATTTCAAACTTTTAAAAAAAACAAGACACATGACAATCAAGATGATATTATCTGTTATATCCACCCACAAGAGCTTAAATTGTACATATTACATGTACAGTTGTGTCTTGGTATCCACAGGGGATTGGTTCCAGAACTCCTCACATGTACCAAAATCCTATTTTACTCATCTGTCCCTGCAAAGCCTGTGGATACAAAAAGTTGGCCCTGCATGTAGGTGGGTTTCACAACACCTGAATACTGTATCTTTGATCTGCATTTGGTTACGGATATGGAACCCATCTAGTGGAGGGCCAACTGTGTTCATTTAAAAAATCCATGTATAAATAGACCCATGCGGTTTGAACTCATGTTGCTTGAGGGTCTACTGTACTGTCTACTGTACTGTTTCACCACTGATTTTGGTGAATCACCATTGAGAATCACCACATTGCAATGAAGTTCAGTCAGTGTAGAAAACACAAAATTCTCCTTTCTCCAACTGTCTTAGTCTGTTTTATATTGCTTATAACAGAATCACTGAAACTGAGTAAATTTATAAATAAAAGGAATGTATTTCTCACAGTTCTGGAGGCTGAGAAGACTGAGGTGGATGGGCTGCATCTGTTGAGAGACTTCTTGCTGGCAGGGACTCTCTGTAGAGTCCTGAGGCAGTGCAGGGCATCACATGGTGAGGCAGTTTACTGTGCTAGCTCAGGTCACACTTCTTCTTATAAAGCCACCAGTCCCATGCCCATGATAACCCATTAATATGTGAATAGATTAATCCATTCATGAGGGCAGACCCCTCATGACTCGACACCCTTTCAAAGGCTCCCTCTCAATATTGCCACATTGGGGGTGAAAGTTCAACATCACTTTTGGAGGAGACAAATATTAAAACCATAGTGCCAACTGTTTTGAATACTTAGAATGCAGAAAAGGTAGGCTTTGAGTAACATTACTGTGGGCATCATTCATGGCTTATCTTTGTATTTCTCGTATTTAGCATAGTGAAGGATTCATGCTTTATCTTCAGTAAATATTGTAGAACAGTGTATGATAACAATTTGAACTGCTAAAAAGATCTATCAGGATCTATACATTAAGAAACTCATCATCTATGTAAGGAAGACTAATATGCTAGTGGAGCTATACAATACAATGAGCTTCACGCTGTAATGATGTAATAAAAAAGCAGAGTGCAAGTATACACAACAGAGAAGCTCCCTGGCTGAGAACTTTAGAGGAGGCTCCTTAGGGGCAGTGATAATGGAAATGGACCTTGAAGGATGAATAGGAATTTGCCTAGTGATGGTTGTGAAGGGCACAACAGACCAGAGGAAATGACTGTAAATACAGACAGAGATGCAGAAGTCAGAAGAGTGTGGAGCAGAGACCCTGAATTGTGAGGGACTGGAGTGTTGGTCCAGGAAATGAGGCTGAACAGGAAAATACTTTCCCATTTAAGCCACACTGAAAAGTTTTATACATCATACTAAGAAGCTTGGATTCTGTTCCTGCTTGGTGGTCTTAAGCAGGGAAATAACATGATCCAATTTGCATTTAAGAAAGATGAAGGTAGCCATGTGGAAAGAAAATAGACTTCCAGGGCAAGAGGTTAGTTAGGAGGCGGTTGCAGCGTAATAGGTCACTTGTGTTAAAGTGTGATCATGAGAATGAAAAGGGAAGTTTAGATTAAGAGATATTTTGGAATTGCTACAATTGATAGGGGTTAACGGAGAAGGACTATGGACAATCCTTTATCTTCTAGTTTGGGCAATGGACTGAATGGAAAATTAAGTTGTAGGCCCATACACCTTTCCAATATGAAGTCTCTAAGATCACTTTGAAGGCATGAAGGTAGCATTCAGTTAATTCAATTTGATGCACCCTGCTTTCCTTTCCTCTCTAAAGTCTCCAATACTCATTACCCTCTTCCCTTAAAACTGACTATAAAAAAGAACTGGCTCCAATGTTTTCATTCTCCTTACTGCTTACAGGACATGAGTACCAGTGTTATTTCTCCCTAAGAATTAATGTGCTATTAGTCATTCATTTAAAAAATAAATATAAAAACTTGGACCTTTGTCAAATGGGTAGATTGCTAAAATTTTCTCCCATTCTGTAGGTTGCCTGTTCACTCTGATGATGGTATCTTTTGCTGTGCAGAAGCTCTTCAGTTTAATTAGATCCCATTTGTCAATTGTGGCTTTTGTTGCCATTGCTTTTGGTGTTTTAGACATGAAGTCCTTGCCCATGCCTATGTCCTGAATGGTATTGCCTACGTTTTCTTCTAGGGTTTTTATGGTTTTGGGTTTTACATTTAAGTCTTTAATCCATCTTGAGTTAATTTTTGTATAAGGTGTAAGGAAGGGGTCCAGTTTCTGTTTTCTGTATATGGCTAGCCATTTTTCCTGGCACCATTTATTAAATAGAAAATCCTTTCCTCATTGCTTGTTTTTGTCACATTTTTCAAAGATTAGATGGTTGTAGATGTGTGGTGTTATTTCTGAGGTCTCTGTTCTGTTATATTGGTCTATATATCTGTTTTGGTATGAGTTTCATGCTGTTTTGGTTACTGTAGCCTTGTAGTATAGTTTGAAGTCAAGTAGAGTGATGCCTCCAGCTTTGTTCTTTTTGCTTAGGATTTTCTTGGCTATATCTACAAGGAACTTAAACATATTTACAAAAAAAAAAACAACCCCATCAAAAAGTGGGCAAAGGATATGAACAGACACTTCTCAGAAGGAGACATTCATGCGGCCAACAGACATATGAAAAAAAGCTCATCATCACTGGTCATTAGAGAAATGCAAATCAAAACCACAATGAGATACCATCTCACGCCAGTTAGAATGGCGATTAAAAAGTCAGGAAACAACAGGTGCTGGTGAGGCTGTAGAGAAATAGGAATGCTGTTAAACTGTTGGTGGGAGTGTGAATTAGTTCAACCATTGCGGAGGACAGTGTGGTGATTCCTCAAGGATCCAGAACCAGAAATACCATTTGACCCAGCAATCCTATTACTGGGTATGTACCCAAAGTATCATAAATCATTCTACTATAAAGACACATGCACACGTATGTTTATTGCAGCACTATTTACAATAGCAAAGACTTGGAACCAACCCAAATGTCCATCAGTGATAGACTGGATAAAGAAAACGTGGCATATATACACCATGGAATACTATGCAGCCATAAAAAAGGATGAGTTCATGTCCTTTGCAGGGACATGGATGATGCCAGAAACCATCATCCTCAGCAAACTAACACAAGAACAGAAAACCAAACACTGCAGGTTCTCACTCATAAGTGGGAGTTGAACAGTGAGATCACATGGACACAGGGAGGGGAACATCACACACTGGGGCCTGCCGGGGGGTGGGGGACAAAGGGAGGGAGACCATTAGGACAAATACCTAATGCATGCAGTCTTAAAACCTAGATGACGGGTTGATGGGTGCAGCAAATCACCATGGCACATGTATACCTATGTAACAAACCTGTACATTCTGCACTTGTATCCCAGAACTTAAAATAAATACATAAATAAACAAAAATAAAGGTGTCTTTAATTTTGAAAAACTTACAAATTCTAAATGTTGTTCCTGGTAGATGTTTCTGACTTCTGTCCAAGATGGTGCTTCTGAGCCCTACTGGACTCCTTTGGTCTTCTTTTTTTACTGAGGGTGGCATTTGCTAACTTTTTACCCTGTGTCAGATCTTGCGTGTGCTATGACCCATTTCTCAATTGAGTTTCCATCCCTTTCAGATAGGCCTGGAGATGTGATTAGGATAGGAGAGCAAGTTGGAAGTTTTGTTGTTGTTGTTGTTGTTGGCTCTTGGTTGTCTCAAGTGAGCAATTTGCGTTTTCAGGGAACCACAACCTAGGAACTGGAGCCACATATGTCTCAATGGAATCACAGCCCCTCATCCGCATACCACAAAAAAAATCCTTCTCTCCTAGTGGGAGGAAGGGAATGAATTGCAGAGAAACATGGGGAAGGAGAAAAAAAAAAGAAATTATTTTTGGCAAGTTTAGATTCCATAAGCATGTTAACAGTTGTTGAAAGTTTTTAACAGGCAGATAGAATGGAGGGTTAAAAACTAATTATTACTTCCACAATTCTGTAAATTTAAATAAGGATATTGCAAGAACTGCCCCGATACTCATTATAATTCTGGTAAAATTAAAGAACATGAAGATCTCTTAAAATGCACCTTTTTAAAGAAAGCTACCCAGACGGAACTGTGAAGTAAATCTGAAGTTACTTGTAATTCCGGCAGCCTCACTACCAAGCTCTGTAGCTCTGGGATACACAGCGTCTTGTTGTGGGATACATTCCATTCTGTTTTTTTCACCTGCACAGTGAGGAGGTTATATCATTACTTAAAAACTTCTCCAGTTTTGAAATTTTATTATCCCATCTTTCCATTTTCCACTAGTGCTTCATTTAAAAATAAATGAATCCAGAATTAAGCAGCCCCACCCATTTTCTAGGGACGCATTTTTTTTTTTCTTTTCAAATAAAAGTGAGTTTAACTCAAACTTGGCCTGCGCATACCCTGCCTCTTTTTAACTTTGGAGATAAGCTTTCTTTTCTGAAAGCTTATATTAACACAATAGCCAACAGGTGGCGCTGCAGGCCTGTGCCAGTTTACAGTCCTTTGACATCTGTGTTTTTTTATAGTAGTAGAATACATACATCTCTGTATTTCTTCAACCCAAAATAACAGGGTCTAGTGAAATAACCTACCCTGTACTAAGTATAAGCCCCAATGATTAATAATCTATTATCTGCTTGCAAATGAATCTGACAGTGGTAGAAATTTATCACCCGAAAAACTTGACACTTATAGTTGCTTGTGTATCTTGAAAGGGGCAATTTTAGGTACACCAAAAGGCATATTCCAGTCCAGAAACATATAGTATGATGCTATTCTTGTAATGATGAAGACAAGGAAAGGTGTTGTATCTATTTACATATCATCATTCATCAGCCAAATTTGCAATGCTTCCATTTTTAATCAAAGATTTGTTGCATTAGATCTGGTAGTATCCTTGGTCATAACTGAAAACACACAAGCTCGTGTTATAGATGGACTAGCAGAAGATCCACAAATGTTGTATGATCCCTAAGAAACCATGGCTATTTAATAGCATATCTCAAATGATAATTGAGATCTCTTCTAAGCCCACCTTGTCTTGGGAGAACCTGAGCTCATTGAAGGTAAGTTCCCGGACTCAGGCAAATCCCCATCTCAATTTCTCCAATCTGTAAATAAATAAGTAAATCTATCTTTGGGATTTGCCTGATTTGCCTTTCACATTCACTAGGATAGGTTACAAACGTTGGAAACTGTTACTCTATGATTGTCAGTTCCAGAAAATCAGCTTGGCTTATGATTCAGCAAAACAATCTGCAGGCACACTTTTATGACACAATCTATACCTCCTGGACAAGTTGTACCAAATAAAGAACTTGCCTAGAATTCCTTCATTCAAGATCAATAAACTGACAAAGAGTGCAGCTGTTTAAGCCTTTAATCTACAGAGGAGCAGAGAAGCTAGCAGTGAAGGTGGATGGTGAGGAAACATCTGCTTTTCCTCTTTCTGTCATCAAGTATAGGGCCTCTTCAGGGAAACTCCCACTTGCTCCAACTGATCTGCAGCTTTGACTTCCAAAAGGGACTGATTCTGACCTCCCTCTCACCTCTGACTTTCAGCCTTGCCAACCTCTGGGATCCTGGAGATAGCTTAATAAAGGTCATCATCACTCAGATTAACCTGTTTTCTAAATTGCTGTTGTTTGAAATGGTTTAAGCAGCTGCCTGGGAATGTGGAGAAGCGTAGACTGAAGATCTGGAGTATTGGTTTGGTTTGTCATTATCCTTCCCCTGTCTCATCCCAGAAAGAGTGAACCTGTGGACGTTCCAACAAACCATAATGCAGAAAGAGTGGATATTTGTCTGTCAAGTTCTAATTAATAATAATGATAGCTAATAGTATATATCAAGTATATTTCTTTACTTTTTACCACAACTTTAGTGACTGGTTTTAGTAATTCCTTTGCAGCTGTGAAAACTGAGATTAAGATAGGTCTAATTATTTGTCTGAAGTCACAGTCTTAAGAACTAACCAGTATACTAGCTGCAAGTGACTCATATCACTATAAATGGTGGAACCAGAATCCAATTTCGAATTTGTCTAACTCCCTAGGTTTTTTGCTAGTGAGCTGACTGAAATGTATAGCCATTGCCTGGAAGCACAATAATCTAGAATAATATGGTATTTTAAAAATGCTAAATCCAGCTGTCTTAGTATAAACCATAGCTCCTTAAGATGTATTATTTCATTAACTTATTTATTTTTTTTTTCTTTTTTGGTTTGTTTGTTTGTTTTTGAGACAGAGTCTCCCTCTGTCGTCCAGGCTAGAGTACAGTGGTGTGATTTCAGCTCACTGCAACCTCCGCCACCCGGGTTCAAGCGATTCTCCTTCCTCAGCTTCCTGAGTAGCTGGGACTACAGACATGTGCCACCATGCTTGGCTAATTTTTGTATTTTTAGTAGACACGGGGTTTTACCATGTTGGCCAAGCTGGTCTCGATCTCCTGACCTCGTGATCCACCCACCTTGGCCTCCCAAAGTGCTGGGATTACAGGCGTGAGCCACCACGCCCAGCCAACGTATTTCTTTTTTGGTATATCTGTTGTGTTCTTAATGAAGAAATACATAATGTTCTTAATGAAAAAATAAATACATAAAAGAAATGCAGTGTGCAGTCACATTGTTGCAATACAAAGCACCTTTTCAAAATTCAGACATCTAGGCCTGTGAAACCTGAGTGGGAAGTGCAGCTTCAAGGATCAGGGCCCTGGGTACAGAATAAAGTCAGACACTTGAAATTTAAATCCCAGTTTTTTTCTTCTCTATGGAGAATGATTTTTCTATGTTTGTTCCTGAATTCAAAAGTAAAAAACCAGAGAAGCCACAATTTGCATCTTCCCTCTTGTGCACCTGGGGAAAGTATCACACAGATGCAGATTGAATATGTTTATATCGCAAAAAGGAAAATGATGATCATATTTCAACTCAGATGTGATCCATTTGGGTGATTGAGTTTTACGATTTCTTTCTGTTTTCTTCCCAGATAAGTTCTGCAACAGTCAAGAATGTTAATGGCTACACGAAAAACTTCTATTAGCTTAAATTAGTAAGGGTTTATTTTTCTCATGTGGCAACAATGTTAGATATAGGGAACTGCCGGTATTGTTCAGCTGGAAGGTGTCAGTGCTGACTTTTATGACTCTCAATCTCACTTTCAGATTTGGGCATTAGATGGCTGCACAAATATTAGACAAATTTCCATTTTGAGGCAGAAAGAAGAGAGCAAGGTAGCATCATTTTTGTCTTTCTTTTTTATTAATAGAGCAAAAACTTTTCAGAGACATGAGAGCCGACCTCTGCTTACTCCTCATTGGCCATAAGTGAGCCTCATGGCTACCCCATATGGCAAGGTAGCCTGGGAAGGTGAGATTTTAGCTTTCATGGCATCTGAGTGAAAGGGCGTGAGAGACAGAGAATTGCTAGAAAGTCTGCCACACTTTCCACCAGGCAAGAAAATAACCCAGATCATATGTACCTGCAAATGAGGGCAGGTATATGTGATCCCTGATTCAGCAGTTCTCAAAGAATGGGCAATACATGCAAACTAGCAGTCATGCATTCAGCTCAACAAATACTTATCAAGCACTATGTCATACATTAAAAACTACAAATATAGTCTGCTCCTATGGAGATTAAATTCTGTCACTAGTAACGTCCCTCCACCCAGGCTTTAACTGGTTGGCCAGCTGGTATAATGAAATCAGTAGCCTAGAGTTGACCAGCTAAAGAGACTACAGGGAAAAATGATGTATGTGTGGTAATATCAGAAGCATGCTTCTCAATACTCTCTTCCTCACAGATCTCCTTCTGCCTTTCTAAAGCAAATGTCTGAAACTCTAGTAGGGAGAAAGATTTCAACCCCTTCTCTGGCTCCACTGTTCACTTCTTTTCTGCTCCCTGGCAATGGAAGAAGTATTACCAGCATAAATGTTCAGAGCTTGGAATATTAATGGGTCATGATTTCTAGTGAGAAAGGAAAATATATTTTAATAGGTCCTGAAAACCAAATGCAGACTCTTCCTTTCTGCCCGTCTGGTGCTTATGGCTATCCAGGGAATTTTAATTCAGATATATAGTGTAGACATGGCCATATTGTTCTCCCCATATTTCCTTTCTCTATATGACCATCCAAATAGTGCAGAATCTCAAAATGTAGATTTAGAAAATGATAGGGGACCTTCATCCTAATCTGCCAGCTCAGCTTTTAATGTGGAGTTTTCCACTGTGAGTATTAGATTCTTGCACAGCTATTAATAAAGCAAGCCTTGTCCCCGTTCTTGTCTTATTCATTGTGGATATAGCACCTTTGGGAATCCCATGGAGAGGAGAGTGATACACAGGGCAGAATGAGAAATTTCTAGGTCTCTTGAAAATTATCATCAACTATCCTAAATTCACATCCTCACCCCAAGTGAATTTGTACAGAGGACCAAAACAGAAGAATGTAGGGGTCAGGAAACTTAGCAGTACCCTGTCTTCTTTTCATACCTCTGTCTACCTCTTTCTTAGCTGCTCTGTCCCAAAGCATGGGAGTAGTTAGTCTGGCTGGTGAGAATTTCAGGACATAAATTAGATTACAGTTGCCAGCAGGCAGTCACTGTGTTCTAAACAAACAACAACAACAAAACACAGGAACAGAGGCTCCAGGCTCCTTTTGCCTGGTTTCTTTCCCTTCAGGGAGGAAAAGGTAAAAATATCAGTAGGTATTTCCCTTAGGAATCTTGCCAACTCAAATTCTCTTCTCTGGTAACATGTACATAAGTGGGTAAATAAACTTAATTTTTCTTACTTCTCATCTATTATTTTTCTTTTCAAAGAGTGGTCCCAAGCTTCATGATCTAAATGTACATTTAAACCTATAGCCTTGAGTGCATGTGTGCAGCTATTAATCAAATTGTAATTCTTGTTTCACTATTTTTTCATGTCCATAGGGTTCAACCCTTTCTGCTTGCCTGATTACAATGCCACTAAAATCTTTTCTTAATGCTTAATGAAATATAATAATAATGTCAACTACTACTTATTGAATGCCTGTTATGTGTAGAATACTGTGTTAGGTGACTTATTTACTACTTTTCTCAGTTACCACTAAAATCTTTTCTTAATGGTTAATGAAATATAATAATATCAACTACTACTTATTGAATGCTTGCTATGTGCAGAATACTGTTAGGTGATTTATTACTACCGCTAAAGTCATCTCCCCTGCCCCCCACCACCCCCAAAACAATGTGATCTGGGGTATGTTTGAAAACAAACACGTCATGAGATTCAAAAAATGTAAAGATCTTTGGGAAGCCCTAATTATAAATGTAAATGGAGATATAGTGATCCCTTAATTATGCATGTAGGGCCCATCATAATCTGGTTTTGATGTACTCAGAAAAATAATTTTTTTAAAAAAAATTTATTCTCTCAAAGTTAGATGGTTTTCTCAGTCAAAATATTATCTTCATTGTTCTTCACAAATGCCCTCACTGGGCATTTCGTACTCTTTCTCCTAATTGCCTTCTTATTCTTTTCTATTTCTTCTTCTTACTCTTTTCTATTTTTCTATACCCTTCTCATTTTTCAAGACTCACTTTAAGATATCATCTCTGAAAATCATTTTCCGATGCCCTGTTTCATAAAAGATATTTTCTGAAATTCCTGAGGTATTTTGAGTGTATAGCTTGCAAAGAATAACTTTTTAATTTGGTGTGAATACAAGTTTGAGTCTAAACAAGTTAAATTGGAGAACTTCTATGTCAATATGACTCACATAAGACTTTTGATCACCTATGTCAACATGACTTACTGATTTCTTCCAGGAAAACTTTGCCCAGAAGATAATATAAATAACTCCACTGTTTGCTTGAAGAAATTTCTAAAACTCAATTTATCAAAGACGATAGCCTTCTCACCTTGGCAAATGCTTGCTTAGCAAACAGAGGCATCTGTGCAGACACACTTCAAAACACATGCTTCACTGACAACCAATATGGCCATTATAGCATGAATTTTGCCCAGTTTAGTCAGTTACCCACTTCGAAAGACCAACCTTAGATTGCTTAAGCCCAAAACCCCAAAGTGCTATAAATACTCTACTTCTGACTTCCCCTTCTGAGCTGCTTCTGATACTCTATCAAGGTGATGTTCTCTCCAACTGTAATAAATTCCAATAAACTTAATTTTGCTTTATTAATATCACCAGGTTGCCTGGCAATATTTTGAGGAATTCAACACTGGAATTGGATGTATCTTAGTATAGCTGACAAACTAGGAAGGGCTGTATAACATAAGTCTGTATGCATGAGCTTTGGCATTTTAACCAATGAGTTTTTCTTAGAATTTATAATAAGGGAAGAATGAGCTTTGCATGACAAGTGTACAGACTTTATCAGCAGAGAAGAATGATTCCAAGTCTCAAGAATCCATGAGCCCTAAAAATTCACTTCTCAGATTTTTCCCAGGAAAGAATAATACTTGCGTATAATAGAGGGACTTAATTAATCTCAGAGGAGAGACTAGAAAACAGCACTATCCCAGCAGTCCACTTATATCCCTATAGAGCATGAAAGTGGAAGATAAGAAATATGTTCTTGATGTATCTCAGATAGGTTTGAGACAGATCTACTGAGACATAGTGAGACAGCCTCAGAAGAGAAAAGAGAAAAAAGTAACATTTTTCCATGGCTCAGGTCCTGAAGGCATCTAATGGATAGTATAAAGAAGATATAGAGTGAGCTGCATTGGCTTATAGCTGGAGACCAGGTGGAAAACACCCATCTCAGTAGCATCAGCATAGTTAAACCATAGACCAGATTTGCACGTCTCACAAATGTCAGTTCTGTGCACACCTATACCCTATGGAAAATAGAGGCAAATCTAAGTTAAAAAGGTATAGGGGAGTGGAACAAAATATTTTAACTGTAGATACAGTAAATTGGCTAAACTTAAGCTTCTGCCGGTAGGTGAAATGTGAGCTCAACTAGAAATCAATTTCAACTGTAGAATATTAATGTCACAGAAAAATAAATTTATATTTATTTTTTATATATTAAATTTGTGGTGTCAGATTTAATAACTACAGCCTAAGAAGAGTGAAAAAAAGGCAACTGAAAAAGCTGTTTATACTTTTAGAATTCCTCAAGCAGAATATACACTTAAAGTGGGATTTCATCCACTGTGGGTGTCTTTAGATCTCCAGTGCTTCAATTGTGGTCAACAGCTGCCCTGTGGAACACTATGAATGTCTCTAGTCTCATCAAATGGGATTCCTAAAAGCAAAGATTTGATGTAATTTTTGACCTCTAAATGAATTTAAAGTAAGATTATGGATTTAGCTTCAGAAAATCTTTATCAATTGAAAAAAAAATTTGTGAAGCCATCTTCCCATTTTGCTTACGTCTAATGAAGGAAAATAAATTAAGTGTAGTAATAACAACAACAGGGATAAGCTGAAGGTCAGCCATGATAAACCAGAAGGTTGGTTCATCATGCGCTCTAGAGTAAAAGGTCGAGATTGACAAGCATGTAGATATATGTGGGAAAAGCTTTGTTGGGGACCTTATCCTCTGGGGGATATTTAGGACAGGGTTAGGCTGAAAAGGCAAAAGCCAAGAGAACATCTTTTAAAATAAATATTCCCAGTCTTGGGCATTGTTTTCCCCTCACAATAACCTTTGCTTATCTATTTATAGCTTGGGTAACAGGAACCAAGCTCATCTTGTGTTAACATAGAACAGTTAATTATGAATGCTACTCGGAAATGAAAGTTAATCAACCTGGTTCAGTTTCCTAGCTTACAATGATATCAGAAAGTTTAGATGTGAAACCTGTCATCAGATAGCATGATATCTATTTTCTTTTTTAAAATTTTGAAATATATCATTTAGATAAGAGTGTATATAGCACATTTGTATAAATTTTAAAATGTTGATAAAAATGAACATTGTGAACCAATCACCTAGCTTAACAAAACATAGTCTTAAAGCTCTCTGGGTATCAGTACCTGACTGTTTCCTCCTACCTCCTTCTGGAGGTAGTTAATATCTGTATTATCATTAATCATTTTTGTTTTTCTTCATAGTTTTCTATTTATATAAGTTCCTGTAAACAAGATCTCATTTTATTTGACATGTTTTTGTACTTACATGTTTTATAATACATTTTTAAAAGGATTAAATCACAGTGACTGTTTTCCCATGACTTTTTTGTGTGGCATTAGGTACTGATATACATTGCTACATATTCATATGGATATGTGTAGCTACAATGCCTTCATTTCCACTGCTTTATAATATTCCATTGTGGAATAAACTACAATATATTTACTCATACTAAAGTCTATAGAGATTTAGGTTGGTTCCATGGTTTTTATTATAAGCAATGCATTTATGCATGTTTGTACATCTCCTTGTAAAGTGTGGCAAGGATTTCTCTACAGGGGAGATTGCTGGTTTTATAGCCTTTGCATATGTTCAAATTTATTAGAGTATGCTAAATTGTTTTCCAAAATAGTTTCCTTATTTATATTCCCAACATCGATATTACAATCTTGCCCATTGACTCACTGTCTTGTCAATACTTGTTAAAATCAGACTTTACTCTTTGATGAGCTACTGGTTTAATTTGGATCCTAGTTTTCATCTTAATTTTGCATTTTCTAATTACAGATAAAGTTGAGTGCTTTCTTATTTTTATTGGTTGTGTTACCTTTCCTTTGAAATGTTTGCTTTCTATGTTTTTCCCATTTTATATTGTTGTTTTTTTCTTATTGATTTTAGAGTTTCTTTGTATAGTTTTAATAATCAAGCTTTGTCAATCATTTTTGTTCCAAATATGTTCTTCCATCTTGTGACTTGTGTTTTGCCTAAAATGTCTTAATTTTAGGGTAGCTGAATTTATCAGTCTTTTCCTTTAAACTTTATGCTTTTTGCATTATTTCAAGAAACATTTCTATGCCCTGAGGTCATAAACTTTTTGACCTATATTTTTGTCTATAAGTTTAAAGTTTGCCTTTTACTTTTAAGTAGTTAAACCATTTGGAATTGATTTTTGAGTAATAATCATACAATATAGGAACCCAATTTCTTTCTTTCTTTGTTTTGGATAACCTATTGTTCCAATATATTTAATTAACATTTTATCCTTTCCCCAATGATTCATAGTAGTAGTTCTGTCATATATTAAGTTTACTTAAATGCATTAGTTGATTGTGGGCTCTCTGCTTCCTTGGTCTATTTTTTAATCCTTGCACCATTATCAAGCTGTCTTAATTTAAATTAAATGTTTGGCCCGGGTTAGACCTGTCTTCCCACATTCTCTTCCCTTCCCTTTCTATCTTCATCCTGGTTTTATACTTCAAAATAGTTCTTACTTTAAAAAACTTTATTTCTCAAGAAAACCATCCCCAATTTATATCCCTGGCTCCTAAGAAAAGGGATTATTTTTCAATTGTAAGAGACCATAGCCTTAGACGAAATTATTTCATATTATTGTGAGTTATTTCACTAGCACAAATAAATCTCAAATATTGTTTTGATCTATGAGATGCGTTCTGCTCCCAAGAGTAATTAACTCATTGTAGACCACATCTAAGACTCCATAAATCAAAAACACTTGGCCTTGAGTTCCTTGGTGAGGTGATATGACACATATTCTGCTTTCACGGAGGACAGCCAACATAAAAAAAAGTACTTCTTCTCACAAAAACATATGCCTGATTATGAAGAGATTTGGATGATTTACAGATGTAACTAGGATTTGGAAAATAGTGTTTGTAACTCTATATCCAAGGATGGTCTCCAAGAGCATGTCAAAATTACTTAGTTTTTTACTTCATCTGTACTGAGTGATCCATCAAATATAAAATTCTCAGATGTGAAGAAAAGGATATCATTGGAGTTGAGATTTAAGTTTTTCCATAAAGTTCATGTATCAGAGAAAAGACTATTTGTCCACCAAGTACTGAAAGGATAGGTTCCTCTATGGTGATGAATTTTTTCTTTTTTTTGAGATGGGGTCTTGCTCTGCCACTCAGCCTGGAGTACAGTGGCACAATCTTGGCTCACTGCAACCTCCGCCTCATGGGTTCAAGCGATTCTCCTTCCTCAGCCTCCCAAGAGGCTGGGATTACAGACACACACCACCATGCCTGGCTATTTTTTATATATTTTTTATTTTTAGTGGAGACAGGGTTTACCATGTTGGCCAGGCTGGTCTTGAACTCCTGACCTCAAGTGATCTGCCTGCTTCGGCCTCCCATAGTGCTGGGATTACAGGCATGAGCCAACGTGCCTGGCCTATAGTGATGAATTTACCACCCTTCAGGTTCTGGGTCTCTTAGGCTTAGAAGTTCAGTATGTTCGGCAATAGATGGTAGATCTATCTCTGAAGAGCAGACTCCACTTTTAACATACTCATGAAAGCTGATGCATGATGCAGAATGCTAATTGATTAATGGACAATCATTACAGGGTTTGTAACATTTGACAAACCAAATCTAGAACTTCTTTGTGAGCACAGTATAGATTCAACTAATTATTGCATAAATAATCATTAAAAATATATTGTGAGCCAAATATGGTCACAAGAAGTTAGGTTAGTTGTAGGATTCAAAAGCCTAATAATGCCAGGTGTTTCAGTGATCTACTATAAGGCAACAAAGCACCTGAAGCTTAGTAGTTTAAAACACCAACAATCATTTATTTTGCTCATAAGTCTGCAATTCTGGAAGGACTCAGAAGAGACTGTGTATCTGTGTTCTACATGTCATTAGCTGGAACAGCCTGAATGCAGGAGGTGACTTGATGCCTGGGGGCTGGAATCATCTGAAGGTTGACTCATTCACATATCTGACAGCTGCTGTTGGCTGTCTATTGTGAGAGCAGCTGGGGCTTTTGGCTTGGACACCTATAGGTAGCTTGGCTTTCTCCTAGCATGGTGGCTGGGTTCCAAGAGTGAACACCCAAGAGTAGTAAAAAGGTGCAAATGCATGGCAGTTTTTTGAAGTAACATTGGAAATCACGCACATCACTTACACAGTACTGTACTGGACAAGGAAATTGACACTTGCCCAGGTTGAAGGGCAGGTGAAATAGACCTCACCATGCTCTTAAGTAGCTTCACAGTCACATTGTAAAAAGAACATATAGGAGAGAATATTTGCAGCAGTCATCTTTGGAAAATATTGCCTGCTCCATCAGGCTATTAGAGTCCAGTGCGTGTACTGTTCCACAATTGAGCTATAACTGCAGTTTGATAAAACAGATGATATTCTTAACCCTATTTGGGCAAAATTTTCAAAAAGTCGTTAGCTTTCAAATGGCTAAATTTGACACGACTAAACTGGCTCTTTAGCCATAATATTCACATTTGAAAAGTACACCGACCAGTGGAAACGGCAATGGATAAACAATCAAGAGATGAGAATATCAGTCCTAACACTCCCATTATCTGTAAAACTTTGGAAAATATCAACCCCTCTGAACAACAGTTTGATAATTAGGGATTTTTTTACTCTAAGGTCATGTGACCACTTCTTGGCCTTTTAGCTAAGATCAAGTGTAAAATTATGTGACTTATATATGTGAATGACTGAGTATCTTGTTCATTTGGTTTATTTCCCTTTTCATTTTTTATAGGAAATATTTATTTGGGGGAAGGCTGTCAAGAAGGATGGCATTGAAACTGCTGGGAAATGTAAATTTGGAGCAGATCTGGAATCTGCTGCAAGTGTGAACACCCTCAGATGTTTTTGACTGGTGTTTGGAGAAGTGACCAGTTTCTCACCAGCCAACTGAAGAACAGATTTAATAAAATCTGGATTCTCCATATCTTCACTAAGAACATCTTTTTGTAGAGTAAAGGAGAATATAAAGATGATTTTTAACAATCAGCTAGTTCCTTACTAATGTTTTTACAGAAAACTGTACTGAACCTCCTTTTACCTTTTGGGAGCCTTGCAATTCAGTTCAGTAGATCTTACAGATAGGTTACTGACAAACAGAAAAAGTCACCTTCCTTTAGGCAAGGTTTCTCAACCTCAAGACAATTGACAATTTGGGCTGGATAATTCTTTCTTGCTAGAAGCTGACTTGTGTAGCGTAGGGAGCTTAGCATCTCTGCCTTCTATCCATTATATGCCAGTAACATCCCCTTTCCCTGTTCTGATCAACAAAAATGTCTTCAGACATTCCCAAATGTCTGGGACATAGTCATCCCTGGTGGAAGTCCACTGCTTCAGTATGTCATGCTGGAATTTTGTAGATTTTATCTACATGTTAGTCTTAATAGATAATGTGGTATTAAAAAATGCAGTGAGTCCTGTGCATTGTGACCAATTAAAACTCTAGAACAGTAGTTTTCAGTCTCGAACTCAGCCTCCAAGACTCTGACATAAATGATGTGGGTGTCACCTAGGTAGATTTTGTTGTTATTATTGTTATTGTGGGTTGTTGGCTTGTTTGGTTTTAGACTCCAAAGTGATTACAATATTCCACCAGGGACAAGAGACACTGCATTAGAGAAAAGTTAGTATCCTACTTTGAGTCCATGTAAGTTTGTGGACATGTGACTGTCACCGAAGTACTGAGCCAGGGCAAACTTGGACAAAGTTCCAGTCTCCTCATGCCAGCAATAGTCACTCCCTGCCAGACTTAGGCATCATCTGGCCAATGTCTCCAACAGGGAAGGTTACAATTAGTAAGACAGAATTATCTGCAGATTCAGAGATCAATCCTAGATCTGGGGCAAATATGGAAAAGGATCTTTATAATTAGCCTGACAAAAGACATTAATGGAAGAATTGAAATGCATAACAAATAAATGACAGAGATAAATGCTTGTGGTGGTGGTTCTTTGTGTGAGAAAGCACTGTTACTGACAGTGATATTGATATCTATTGTTAAGGGCAAGGTTAAGAAGGCAGATGCGTGCTTAATGGCAGGGAATATTTTCAATGGTGCTATTAATGTCATTGTGCATTTGTATGCCCATTATAACAAGTAAGAGTAAGATGGGTGCGATAAGGAGTGGCCTGGGAAAACCTCATAGCTTTTGGTATTGCACTAGCCATGATTTCTTAATGTTGAAAATTTTGAACGAAGCATTTTATTTATCACAGATATTTGTAAGAGTTTTTCAAATTCAAATCAACAGAAGAATTTTTTTGTTAGCCATTGCATACGGTGACTTATGCGAGTTCTTCAACCAGGTAGAAATCTCTGAGAACTGGCTGGATTCTGGCTCCCAGAGGCAACTAAGAGGGGGAAATTTTTGACATTTTGGAATCCCAGAAATCTGGATGAAAAGTAAAATGTTTCACAAAGGTTCTGGAGGTAAATGTATCACAGTGTTAGGAACAGTGGCATTTCAGAGGAGGAAAGGAACAGGCGCTCCGTCATTCTTGTCCTGCCCTAGCTCCAATTGCTTGGGTGCCACTATCTAAGAATCTTCATCTTGCTGCCCTTCAGTTATTCACACAGTAAATTGGAACTGGCAAGACCTAGAAGCCCAAAACCCTATTCTTTTGACTAGTCATTTCTCCATAATCATCACCCTTTGTTAAAATGGTATACAAGCCCCTGAGGCTAATTGCCTCTTTGGATTTTTAACTTCTTTTCTGTGAAGCCCCTGTGCATGTAAAATTAAAAGTATTTTTTATTCAAGTACTTTTTAATTTTAAAATTAAAAGTATTTTAAAGTTTAATTTTAAATTAATTAAAATTAAATTTTAATTTTAAAATTATAAAATACTTTTAATTGCAAATTTAAAGTACTTTAAAATTAAAAGTATACTTTAAAGCCCCCATATCTCTTTTCCTGTTAATCTGTCTTTTGTTAGTTTAATTCAAATACAGAACATAAGAAAGTAAAGAAAATTTATTTTCTTCTTCTACAAAGCTCATCACACTGATCTCTGTAGCTACAATTATATTGCCTTTTTCTATTTGTTTTCCTTCCTTCCTCTTATGAGGACCCTTGTGAATATATTGGATCCACTCAAGTAACATAATAGTAAAATCTCCATCTCTCAAAATTCTTACTTTAATCACAACTGTAAAGTCACTTTTGCTTCATATCATAACATTTTTGGATTTCAGGGGTCAGGATATGGGCATTCTGGAGAGTCAATCAGTCTACCACTGTATCTTATTCACAGTGTATGTGGTTCTAACAGAGGGACCCATTCACTGGTGAAAGGATGGGATGCAAATCAGGCTTGGCCAATTAAAGAAATCCACTTACCCCTAACCAACCACAGTGCTTATATCAGCTTGATCCACAAACTCTAACTTGATCTAATGAAACTTATATCAGAACTATTGGAAGAGAAGGAAATTGATTTCCAGTTGGGTTGTGTAATAAATTAAATGAAAGCCTGAAGCTTTTGGTGGCTATGTTTGTTGACAGTTAGGAGTACCCCGCCTTAAAATAAGGCATCACAGGGGAAAATTAAAGCCAGGATGGGGAGATTGAAGTCATTTGCTTACCCATATCCAACATTACCTGAAAGTCTATTCTGCTCTATTCTTTAAATTAAATAAAACTAAAAAGTAATTTTCTGCTTAATCTAAACTAAATTGGATTTCTATGTCTTGCAACCCAAAGTATCATGAATAATACATTATTATTCCCTATATAGAACATTAAATAAAAAATAAACTGGAGGTCAGAATGGTAATTTTAAAAATGCCACAAAGAGAAAGACAAGACTTTAATTGACTGACTCTTGTGTTATTTTTACATGTACTCAAATGAGCTGACAATATCTGATAATGTATGATAAACTCATAATTCATCTGTGCAGGAAGTTCTTCCATTAATTAGTAACCAAGTATTTCCTGAGGTTTTTCTCATGATGATAAGCATTTTGCTAAATTCAAACTGGGCTACCTTCTCTCAAGTGACACTATTCAATTAGAGAACAAAGCCTGTGCAAAAGGATTCATTCCTCTACAATAAGATGGGGCAGAGATACATGCTAACTGATGGTGTAGGTAAGTAAAAATCCAGGAATTTTGTGAAGAGGGGTGGAAGGATATCAGAACTATTGTTTGTAAGTGACACTTGACCCAGCTAGCATAGGAAAAATTGTTCTGTAGTCTGATCAGTGTGCTAAGTGAGTGGGAAGGCTCCAGGTTTCCAGCTGAATCAGGTATCATGCACTGTGGTTATGGAGATGGAATCTACTAGATCCCACTGATAATAGTGACAGAAGGTAGAAAGTTGGAAAACAAGTTCCCAAAAAGGAGGAGAGTGCTTTTCCCATCAAAAGAGGAGTGTGTTGGGTTTATAAAAGAGTAATTGTCTACCACAGCTAGATAAGAGAGGGAATGTCTTGGGGAAGACTGAGACAGGCTTTGAAGGGGGCATAGAATTTAGACACAAACCAAAAAGGGACTGTCTGGCAACTCCAAAATCACATGCTCTGTGACCTAGAAGAGTAACAAATTTTAACCAAAGGGAAAAGAAGAATAGAATCTGGGGAGAGAGGCCTGAGGGAGGCAGACAGTTCCCATAGAGAAGTAACAGTTGTTACTAACTCCTTTATGTAAGAATAACGACACAGACTCACTGACACAGTGTGGGAGGGAGCTCAAATCAACAGTTCTTTATTTCTTAATCATGCAGTAAATTATTAGAATTAAGTGACAGCTTCTTCTATGCAACCATAAAGTTATAGAATAGTGTTTTTATTTGTGTGTTTTTGTGTGATAATAAGTTACCCTTGCCTAAATGAGGCCCTTGCCTAACCCCAACTAAACTCCAGTGGAACCCTTTCTACAGTTTACAGTTACGAGGAGCATGGTGGCCACCTAGATAGTGTTAATGAGGCAGGAGGGATGTATTTGCAATTTCCGTTTTAGTTAGAAGATTCTGAATTGAATCATAGCGTTGCTTTTAATTTTATCCCCATCCCCAAGAAGTAATCCTAGTGAGTAAAAAAATTAATTTAGTAACCCAAGTGAGCACTCTTGCTGACATTTACTCACGGCGAGGGCAGGGGCAGGGGATTATGTGTGAAAATAGTATGAATACTGCAAATACATTGTAGGTTAGTTGGCATCTTGAAGGCTGGTTCTGGCATCTCAGAACTCTGTAAAATATTCTTTCTATGAGAAAATGCAATCTGATTTGCCTACTGGGTGAACCACAATTCCTTCAGTAAGGAATTATCTGTCATAGGAGATGAGGTTGCCAAAAAGGAATCATTTATGAAGGATCTTCTAGGCCAGGCAGAGGAGTCTGATGCAGAAGGGAAGAGAAGCCACTGGAAGCATCAGATGATGGAAGTGGCAGAATGAGAGCAATGATATGGGCCAGTTGGAAGGACAGGGCCATGAAGACTTAACTGGAGGAAGAAGCCGACATCAGAATCATCAACACCTAAGCAGTGACTGTGAATCTTGCTGCTTTTTTTAAGAGAAGGAGGAAAATTAATGCAATGAAATTTCCTAGGATTCTTCAAAAAGACCATTAGAGGTCTCTTTGAGTAAACAAAAGAACTTTATTTCTCTATGGCCTGATAAAATCATGCTTTCTCTAGCTTATGGTTTGTAACTCTGCACTTGAAAAAAAGTATTTTCCTTGGAGAGGGTAAAAACACAAGCCTAAACAGAAGCATTCTGTTGAGGTCATGCTTCAGTCAAAAGCTTTAAAAGCTCAGTGGGCACTTTCTCATGCAGAAATGGAAACAGCAGTGGTTTAAGATGAAGCGTGTCCATTCAATACAGTCCAGCAGGAAATGGTTATTAATAATTCCTGTGTCCCTCAAAATTGTCTTCTACCAGCTCCTGAAAAATAACGGCTTAAATAAAATAAGTTTTTGTTTCTTCTTTTATAAATAACAATAGGTGAGGATTTCCTTCCCGGGACTTCTAAGCACCCTGAATTTTATTGTATTTTACCAGATATACTATTATAATGTATTATAGTATATTTACGAAATATACTATTTACGTCAGAGTTCCTGCAGTAGCCATGTTTTATTACTCTGAAATCAACATGCCAATTAGTTAACTATGAATGTAGGCATTTGTATTAGTTTCTTATCGTTGTCATGTGTAACAAATTACCACCAACATAATGGCTTAAAATAACACAAATTTATTATCTTACATTTCAGGAGGTCAGAATTATAAAATGGGTCAGCAGGGCTGTATTCCTTCTAGAGGCTCTAGGAAAGAATTCATTTCGTTGTTATTTTCAGTTTCTTGGGGCCATCTGCATGCCTTGGTTCATGGCTTCTTCCTGTGATTTTAAAACCAGCAGTGTGGCTTCTTAAACTCGTTCTCTGACCTCTGCTTCTGTCATCACATCTTTTCTCTTACTGGCTCTCCTATTTCCCTCCTTAGAACTTTTCTTGTGATTATATCGGGCCCATCACGATACTCCAGGATAATCTCATCTCAAGATCCTTAATTTAATAACATCTGCAAGGTCTCTTTTTGCCACAGTAGCTAACACATTCACAGGTCCTGGGGACTAGGATGGAAACTCCATAAAATATATTATTTTTAAGTGCCTGCTCTTCTGGAAAGGGATACTGGTCCAAGATTATCTAAATTATCATTAATAAAACAATCCATGTTATTAAATTTTTTTCTTGTGGTATTTAATATCATAAGTAGTTGGTTTGGGGTCATGATTTTGAGGAGATTGTATAGCAGAAGGGGGTCTAGAGGTTTAATTCTATTATGGGTTTTCTTAGCTTAGAATGAATAAGGGAAGAGATTCCTCTATCTTCCTCCCACTTCAGAGAGCCTCTGACATACCCCCTTGTCTTCATCTCCATGTAATAAAGCTGAGCATTTAGAGCTTATTTTCTGGATATTTTCAGTCTGCTCTTAAAATGCATTTGGGCAGGAATCAGTTGGATTTCTTCTTTTATGACCAAAAGGATGTGCTGGATGTACACTAGTGTTTGGTCATTGATGGGACACAATTACTGAATATTGGAAATGTCCAGCCTGGGTCAGCAGAGGGCCTTTGCAATGCCTCACCACATCATTCTTCAACTCAGTGCATTCTTCAACTGCACATTCAGGAAGCAAGTGAAGCTATAGTTTATTTTTTGTCCAAGGAACACAGTCTAGGTGCTGACAGGAGTTGAAATGTGGCCCTTATAGCTATTTGATCTTGAGCAAAATATTGCAATTGCCTATCTTCTTCCTATTTGGAAAAAAAGGGCAATGTCTACTTACCACTTTTTGGAGCTTTTTGATACACTTAGACTTAAATTCTTAATAATATTTGTTATTATAGCAATAAATAAAATCATGTTAGAGTCCCAAATTTCTGTGTTTGGTGTTATAACAACAAATATCAACAAACAGTTGGCTTTTATAGTTTTTACCTGGTGAAACCCAGTACCCCTAAAAATGTGATGAAGCTGACAAAGACAAATCTGAGCCACAATGGAGGAATTAAAACTTAATTGATGAGCATGTGTAAGTAATTATGTCAGACTGAGGTCACATCAGAGATTCCCACTTCCCCAAAAATTTATCAGATGAAATGAATTTAAAAACAAAAAACGAAAAGTGAGCAATAAGAAGTCACAACCCAGTATCACAAATACCAAAAGTTTTTGGCAAGAAAACTGTTCCTTTACTCATAACACTTCTAAAATGAAATGTGTGTGATTTTTTTTCTGCCAACAACCAATTCTCCAACTCCCTGTGGAACCAAGTGGGTGTCCTACAATTTCATTTCAATTCTGACACTATCTGACGTTAGCACAGACTCCGTAGATTAAGGGCTAAGTCTCACAAGACTGAAACTGCCCTCACAGGGTTAAGGAGAAATACAAGCCAGACTTTAGGCAGAATTATAGTGGGTAAGCTGACCAGGGTATGCTGGTATGCTTCAACTCACTTGCCTGCAGCTGCCAGCTAACCAAGAGTCACATAGCACTTTGACCACCTGCTCCCCTATTGTTCCTATAGATAGAATCTCTAACACTGAAACTTTTAACCCAGGAATTGCTTAAAGTGTTTTTTAGATCCTGAATCCCAGTGGAACAGCTGTCATCAAGTGGTCTGAAGACCCCCACCAAGGAACCAATTCAGCAGAAGAATGCAGTTTTCTTCATCTCTCTGTCCCATGACTTCACCCTTTACTTTTCAATCAATCAGTGATCCCCACACTTTAGCCCATCACCCATCCAGACCGCTTAAAAAATCCATCACCAGATGTCTCAGGGAGGCACATTTGAGGTTTCTTCTTGTCTCCTCCTTCAGCTGCTCTTTGATTATTAAACTCTTTCTGTGTGGCAACCCCTAGTGTCTCAGGATATTGAATCACTCTGCATTGGGCAATGAACTTACGGTTACAAGACTGCTCCCCACATCAGACATGGTTGCAAATAGTGTATCCCCAGATTACCCACACTTCTGTCTGACTTTAATACATATTGGGAATTCCCCAAAAACTCTTCCTCAGTTTTAGATATTTTGCTATAATAGCTCACAGAACTCAGGGAAATACTTTATGTTTACTGATTTATCATAAAATATATTACAAAAATGCAAACGAATGGCCAGTTGAAGAGGTATATAGGGCCAGGTCCAGAAGGGTCCTGAGTGCAAGACCTTCTGTCCAATGGGGTTAGGGCGCACCACTCTGCTGGTATGTGGATGTGTTAACCAACCGAGAAGGAATCAATGGATGGAGAAACTATTCTAAAAATAAATCCAAACAACAGAAGTATATTTTTCATTAATGTCTTATGCTTTAGAAGAATAAGAACATGAATTCAATAAAAATCTAGATGACAAAACAATGAAATAAAACAGAAGTGGAGATTGGAAAATAGAGCCAGTAAATTGAGAAGAAAAATGATTCCATCATAGACAGAATAAATTATTAAACCTAACAGGAAACACAATAAACATGGTTGGCAATAAAATTAATAACATAAGAAATGTCTTGAGATAATAAGAAAGGAAAATGACAGAATGATGAAGACAATCTGGAATGGAAATATTGTGCAAAATGGAGAAACTAATTCAACATCTGGAAAATTCTGTTCCTGAGTGTTCTGCTAATATAAGAAATATTATAAATGAAACAGGCATTCAAAGAAATGCCTGGAAGAGTGAGAACTTGATCTACAAGTTGGGAAAAACCTCAGTTTATTTTAGAAGAAAAAATAGATCCAGAGTGATTGACACTCAGACATATCCTAGCTAAGATTTAAAAATATACTGAAAAAAAATTTTTTTCAAGCATTCAGACAGCAAAAGTGGGAGATGCTAGTCTGTCTTTAAGCTTTTCCTCACTGGCATTTAAGGCTAGAATTCAAGAGCAAAGTCTATAAAATTCTGAAAGAAAAAATTGTGATCCACGAATACTATGCCCAATCCAGTTGTCATTCCAGCATAAAAATCATAGACATTTTTAAACAAGTGAGAGCTATAGCTATATATACTCATGGATTCTTTATGGCATAAAGGTACTTGGTTATTAAACTCTTTCTGTGCTGCAACAGAGCAAGTTGCAGTACAACTTTCCTGACAACTAAGAGATTTTTTAAATAAACTTAGAAATGCAAGAGATGAAAATAAAAAGATCGTTGGTGACCATTAAATTTATGTTAAAATGAACCAACAGTGGGAATTATGATTACAGGATGGAGTACAAATGTAACTTTTACACACACATACACATGTGCATCCATATGCATAACAAAAATTAACTGCCAAGAAGAGGAACCAGAAGGAATGATAAAGTCTAATTTTATTGTCTCTATAGCAAGTAATCTAAAAACTCACAATATTAAAATATAAAGATAATTCCAAGATCTTAGTTATTTTAATAACCTTTTTCTATAAAGTTTAAGAAATCTTTTAGGAAGTAATATGTATTGGGGATAAAAAAAATTGATCCTAGGTTTTAAATGCATTTTATTACAATTTAAGTTTTTTTCTGCTACATTAAGTACAATAGAATTACATCATTTAACTTATAGATTGCCATAGAACTTATCCTTGTAAAATTCACCTCCATTAGATCAATGCCTACAGGTAGGAGAGTGACAGTTATTCAACAGGACTTCAAAACAAAATGCCAAATTTGCCATTCTTTTCTATGATTTTTCAAGCAGCAGAATACCTGTATCTCTGATCAAGTAAGATTTACATTCTAACTCAACAAATATTTGTTGAACACATACTATAAACAGCTATTAAGCGTCTATGCTAGGTGCTGTCATATGTCTTATTTTGTTCAATAATCAAAACACTAAACCGTCCTATAAAAGAATATTTTAAAACAGATCTTATAAGCAACTAGGATCACTTTCTTTTATACTTATTGAATGGTTTAAATGACTTGACATACACAAGTTTTTTTTTTTTTTTCCCCCTTGGTCTAGCTAAGAGAGTTCCTAGTGTCCACAACAATTAGTGAACAGCATTTATACATGAAAACAAGTGTACTCTACTGTTTTAAAAACATCTACTGGATGGTTTTTAATCTTTAGAAAAATAATGCTTTTGTGCACTGGTTTTAAAAACAACTAAACTAAGGTAAAATATCACATCAGTAAAATGTCAAACTATTTAATTAAAAAGTAAATTATATACTATGGTTCAATTTTTTATAGACTGAAAACTATTCATCTTGTTCTCTATCAAGCTACTGACTCATCCAAATGGAGAGATGTAATGACATTCAACTCAAGCTAAAGTTATTCTAACTGGTAGAAAGATAATATTTTAAATTTACTCTCTTTTAAATACTTTGATATTCTGTTAAAATGCTCTATAATGATTATGAATTACTATAGACTGAGTTGTGCCTCCCGTCCTCCAAAATTCACATACTGGAGCACTAATCTCCAATGTCTCTTAAAATAAGGCTTTTAAAGAAGTAATTAAGGTAAATGAGGTCATAAAAAAAGAGGCCTAACCCAATAAGACTGATGTCCTTATAAGAAGAGAAAAAGACACCAGGAGTGCACGCTAACAAAAGAAAGTCCATGTGAGGACACAGAGAGAAGATGACCCTCTGCAAACCAAGGAGAGAGGCCTCAGGAGAAATCAAACCTGCTGACATCTTTTTCTTGGACTTCCAGACTCCAGAACTGTGAGAAACTAAATTCCTCTTGGTTAAGCTACCTAGTCTATGGAACTTTGGTATGGTAGCCTGGGCAAGCTAATGCATTCATTATTTCTCTCTCTCTCTCTCTCTCTCTCTCTCTCTCTGTCTCTCTCTCTCCCCCCAGCCCGCCCCACCCCACCACCCCCCGTCACCACCCTCCCATAGTTGACAGAATGCCAGATGGCCTTTTGAGAAAAGATGCTCTGTAAGTGTAAAGATATAATCATGATAAAGCCCCTAAAGAGTCTGAAAAAGACTTGACTTTATCCACACTTACCAAGACTGAAAAATTGGTCTCAAGGTTTCTTAAGAAGAGGCCCTCTCCTGAGAACATTCTCAACTGTCAATTTCCAATCACGTCAGAAAACACTAGAAGAGCTCCTTTTACAATAGTTGGCACTTTAGCTTTTGGTCCCCTCAAGACTCTGAAAGTGCAGTGATCTATTTCTTATTTCTTAAACTTAAAAATGTTTTGAGCTGTGTGAAGGTGATGGTTCAACTTGATATTTTTCCCCAGTACCTTGAGAAAACAAACCTAGGTTGTTTTCTCCCATTGGCTGATCTATTACAGAATTTGTCTCTTCTATTGATCCTATATTTCCCAAATTTTCTTTCCACTGCATTCTTTACAAATATACTGTGTTAAAGTCAAATACATTTGAAAAAAAATTGTCCATCTTTTCAAAGAGATTCCTCAGAATTCTTAGACATAAGGATTATAGAGAACTCTAATTTTAGAGCTTGGAGAGTTCTCCATAAGAACTTTCTAACTTTATGTTTTTATTGAATAATTATCAAAAATTCACAAACATTTTCCAGATTATGTATATGACTTCTTATAATGAAACTTTTTCACAAAATATCAGTGTCAGTTTTCCCATTTGTGTTTATTAATTCAGGCCTATGCCAGGACCACATGATACTCTGGCATCAAAACAAACTAAATTTTGGCATCATTTCCAAAAGAGAAAACCAGAGAGCTGAGATATCGTAAGACATATAGCCGTAGATGATGCTGACCTCAGAAGAACCTGCCTTGTAGCAAAGTGTACAATGATCACTCTAAGAGAAGATTTGGTAGGACCTTTTCACTTTAGTGTACCACCTCTTACTGGTTCTTTAGCAGTAGAAACACTGCTATGCTAATATTAAATATTCCACGTATTTGTGAATTTTTGATAAGTATTAAATATACCATGAAGAATGTTCTGTTCCTGATTCCAGGAGTAATTTTACTGTATACCCAGAGAAGAAATAAGTAACTAACAACTTGCATTTTGAGTATATTGTCAACTTTTGCTTATAATATCATTTATCTTTTAAGACATCTATTATTTCTACAGCTCACACGTGCCCTCATTTACCCTTACAATCTTCTTTTATTTATCTACTTCTTTTCTGAACACTATAAACACCTAAAAAGAACTGGGAACATCGAAATAGTCTTGAAGCTATCCTTGAAACCTAAGGTCTTTGTGCTGCAGAAGAGAGAAGGTGACTTTTTAGATGGGAATTTATCTGACAATTGTTTCATGCTGCTGTTTCTAGCAGTTGCCCAGTTATCTGAATGCTATAAAACTCAAAAGCTGATATAATGAAATTATAGGCACATAGACCATTTATACCTATCCAGGGCTGGCTTGGTTCCTCTTCAATGTCTCTTTCCATTAATAATTTCTTTTTAATCAGCAGCAAGGGGGAGTACAATGAATATCTTCTGCCAGGCTAGATGGTCTTTTACATTGCCCGAAATTTCAGGATCCATGCATAGACCAACCCAAGGTGTTTTACTTACACAGTTACTCTAAAGTGTTCTAAGATATTCTCTCTCTAAACAATTACTTATCTTTGTGAAAGTCTTGTTTTCTATAACTACAAATATGGACCAGTCTTTCATTTATTTATTCCTCTCTGTCTGTCTTTTTAGGCCAGAGCTTGATGAACTTTTTCTGTACACAGCAGTGTAGTCAATAACTATATTTTCAGCTTTATTGACCTTATGTCCTCAGTCATAACTACTTAATACTGACACTGTAATTCAAAAGCAGGCATTGATATAACTGAATTGGCATGATTTTATTCCAATAAAACTTTATTTACAAAAATGGGAAGAAGGACAGATTTGGCCAAAGGATCATAGTTTTGAACCTCTGTTCAGACACAAGAAAATGTTAATAATACAGACTAAACTTAAAAGTATGTCATGTTTGTAGCTGTTAGATTGTTCATAACACAAAGACTGAGTAAATATTCTTCCAGTGTTTGAAAACTGTTATGTAATTCAACAAAAAGTCTCTCACATTATTGATAAATAACTGAAGTTCCTATCATCCTTGTTGCTTCACTCCCGTCCCATTGGTTAACATAAATGAAGATATCAACCAGCATTCAGGTCAGAACTATAACTGTTTGTCAGTTACAAATGTAGGTTGGCTGTTAATATAAGAGTTTGGCAAAATATCAAATAAAGCATCCTATAAGAATAAATTAAACATGTAGAATGGACAACATTGTATAGTTATTATTTGAAAATTGTGCTCTATACTTCCTTTTATCAGGAAAAAAAGAATAATTTGTTGTGTGTATGTAGATTTGATATAGAGATGCACATATTTGCTGAGGAGCCATTAGAGTCACATGAGATTTAACTGTTCCAGAAATCTATAGCAACCCTATGGTTGACCTCATGTGATTATTTTGTTTAGGATTTTGGTCCATGGGCAGGAAAAAGCTTACTAAAAATCATCCCTTACAAAATGCTGTAACGGAATCATATAGAAGTGATTAACTTCATGAACATAATGAAGCAGCTCAATCTGAGTTCAAATCCTAGCTCCGTCTCATAACTGTGCAATATAGTATAATTAATTTTATTCATTTGGGCCTCTAATTTTCTCATCTATCAAAAACACAATAATGATAATACCTAACTCACATATTTTCTGAAGGAATAACTGTGAAAAAAATACATGGAAGATTTGGTGGAATCCCTGATAAGTAAAGGCATTCAATACTATTAACTGTGGAACTGTAACAGTTATAGGTGGGCAAAGCTACTTGTGAGGCTGAGACAGAATGATTGCTTGAGCCCAGGAGTTCATGCTGCAGTGAGCTATCATCACTCATGCCACTGCTCTGAAGCCTGAGCCACAGAGTGAGACTCTGTCTCTAAATATAAATAATACAATTATAATTGACTAAGTGTGTCAAATAGCACTGGTTTTCTTCCAATATCCATTCCTTACTTCTTCATTAGTAATCAAGCCCCTTTCATTTAGCAGGATACATGACTTCTAGAAATCAACCCCTGATGGAAAGTATTACACCTCTGGGAAAAGAAAGATGTGTTATTGAAAAAGAGGTTTCCTTACCCTGATAGCCAATAAAGGGCACACAGATATAGAAGTTTGCAATGTCCACCCAATCATTGTCCAAGAGAGAAGATTCCCTGGCACAGCACTCTGAGTCCCAGTGGCAAGCCTTAAACTATTAACAAATCAAGTCCTTAAATCTCAGAACCAATGTCCCTTCTGTTCTGATTACGTGCTAACCAGCCATTCTGATTGTTACTTCGCAGCTGGGGTGGGGCGGGGGGGGAGCAGGAAGAAGTATTGAACTTAATTATACTATCCCCTCCTCAGTTAAAATTAAAATTTAATTGAATCAATCAGGATTTTTGTTGTACATCCTAAATTTGGTTTTATATGTTCACCTTGGTTAATGTGAGTGGTCCCTTAATAAACTAATCTACATGAAAAACAATTCAACTTTCTAAAACTGCAAGGTTTGGAGATGAACTATGAACAATGGGAATCATTAACAAGTCTTGGTTCTCTGAGATTTTCTAGAATAATTTTCAGACTTGTCTTTCTTGAGAAAGCTACCTGCAACCAAGCAAAGAAACAAATAAGAAAATAAGGAACAGACATTTGGTTACCCACTTTTATTTGTCTTGGTAAGAACATTAAGAATGAAACAAAACCTTGCTTCTGTTAGAAGATAGCAAAAAGTAATTAGAATAATAATAAGAATTTTGAAAGAATGAAGAATGAAATAAAACCAACAAAAACATCTATCATCTTGATCACCATTGCACATGTGCACGCACACACACACACACACACACACACACACACATGCACACACCAAGCGTTTTAACATAAAAAGGTAGGATATAATCTTGGAATAACATAGAGTCTCTTTCAAAAAGAAATATTGTTGGTTACACCTTGGCATGTAAAAGATACGTTAATAAAAAGTGAAGACAAAAATTTTAACATAAAAATGTATTGTCTGATATGGCATTATATAGAATCCTTTTTGGATACAAAGTTGTCAGTCCCTATGTGCATATTTGACAGTGCAAAATAGTTTGACTATCCAATTTATTCAGGTAATTTATTTTTACTACAATCACTACCCAAAAATCCAATTTCACAAATTATAATTTGACAAAATGGAAACGACACACCTCACATGATTTCACTCCATCTGGCAAATTCTGAGTGAAGTGAGAGAAGTTGAAAAACAGTAAACCCCAATCCTCTAGCCCTCTTCTGAGCCATTTTCTCAGCCCCGGGATAAGGACCACCCTAGAGGTAGGACTACATTTCACTGACAAAGTGATCTGTCCAGAAGGCACATGGATGGAGTCAAGGGAAAGACATAGTTTCCAGAAAATTGTGACTGGTAGGCAGGCAAAATGAATGTCCCATGAAGAAAATTTCTAAAGTTTGGAAGTAAAACAGAAAGCTTATTTTGATCTTTGATGTAATGTTGTTGCATCAAGATTGCCTAAGGATGATGTGATTCTCCAGAGGAGTGTTGATTACTATTACTGTTAATTAGAACATACATATATATATGATATATGATATATATATGAGACACATATATGATATATGAGACACATATATATGAGACACATATATATATGAGACACATATATGATATATATATGAGACACATATATGATATATATGAGACACATATAAGATATATATATGAGACATATATGATATATATATGAGACACATATATGATATATATATGAGACACATATATGATATATATGAGACACATATATGATCTATATATGAGACACATATGACATATATGAGACACATATATGATATATATGAGACACATATGATCTATATATGAGACACATATATGATCTATATATGAGACATATATGATCTATATATGAGACACATATATATCATATATATGAGACACATATATGATATATATGAGACACATACATGATATATATATGAGACATATATATATGATGGTAAAGTTACAATTCTGTAATATATTAATTTAAGAAAATTGATGTAAATTATTTCTATCTCATAGTTATGCAAAAAGTTTTTTCCTGATAGTAATTCAAATTACTTTGGTCTATTAAAGAAGATAACCACAGAGGCTATGTTTTATTGTACTGTGGAACATTAATTGGTTTTGCTTTAACTTATAAATATTACTTGATCATTTTGTGTTTTGTGATTCAATGACATACATTTATTTTTTTTTGAAGTAATATATGAGCTCACATTCATTTCATCTTATCTACCTTTGAACTAGTTTTCTCATCCTGCTGGTTCTCATTAATGAGCTAAAATAAAAGTTTAGCATATGCTTACTATTAGTATAATTGTGTGAGATTTTTAGCAACATTTTGAAAATTAAACTTTTGAGAGTCTACAACAGAGACTGCTCAACACAGAGCTGTGAAAATTGGGTCCTTGATCACTCAACACAGGATACATGTCTTTGTCTGAGCAGAATGACATAAATTAAAGAAAATGTCATCTTGGCATGGAATTTGGGAAACATTTCCCTGGAAGATAGTCAGCAGGCTGCTCCTGTGGGGCACTATCTATATTTTTAATTTTTGCAGTAACTCAGACATTCAACTTGCAGTATCTTTCTCTCCTCCCCCTCCCTATTTTCCCACATTTTACAAGTCACTGCACTCTGTTCTTTTAGGTTTGTTTTTCTCCAATTTATGCCTTTTGCAATCTCCTAGCCATTGGCTTTCTGTTGGGACTCCATTCTACCTCTTTTTGCTTCAAATTATTTCAATAATTATTTCAATAACTGTTCCTAGATCCATCAAAACATAGCAGGAATTAGGACATTATTCTACTAAAAAAAAGTCCTTGATGCATCACCAACTACCTATAAAACAAAGCCTGTGGCTCTCAGATAAATTCCATCTATCTTCACATTATCTTCTATTTATCATTGTTATGGTCTACCATTGTATCATATCAAATTTATGTTTCTCAGATATACCAGGAATTTCCATACCTCTGTGCACATGGGAGATAAACCTATGCTGGGGGAAATGTATAAACTTCCCAACAGGTTAGATTGTAATTGGCAGCAGTCTGACTTAGGTCAGAACACCAGTTCTCTGTCTCTAAGTGAACAGGTCTTGAGAAATTTGCTTAGTCTCTCTAGGTGTCATTTTTCTAATCTATAAACTGGTGATATATCACACAGGGTTGAGAATTAAAAGGTGTCACTGTGATTCATTTGTTTACTCATGCAGTTTTTTATTAGTTACTTTAACAAATAGGAAATGGGCCCTCACTAGGTGCCACTGTACAAAGTCCTGGGGCTACAAAGTCCAATTAATCAAGGTCTCTGTAGCCAGGTTCAAGGTATGTGTAACTTTCTTTAAAATATTTTTAGCATAGCAAGAGTGATATTCTCTGAATGCTGGTTGGATAAGCTACAACCCAGATGCAAATAACATGCTACTGAAAGATGCTTACTCCTGGTTTGCTTAGCTAGCAGTGTAGCCTGTTCTCCAGAAGCACTGTTACAAAGCACACCTGCTATTCTTATCTCAACCAACACCAAAGGTTTGTAAATCAGCATGGTGAATATCAGCAATTCGATTTTTCTTGTGCAACTAATATCTTGATGGCATGATGAATGTTAGAAACAGTTTTGCGTTGGTGAACTCTAAATATTGGCTAAGAATTTAGAGCTATTGTCCAGTCTTGCATGAACAGGGCTTAGAAATACAGTGAAGTGTGTGGTCTTTTCCTGGAGGGATGATGCCAAGAGATAATCTCTAAATGGTTTTGTAAAATTGGAGGATTCCATCTGCTAAATGCCTGCTGAAAGAATAGCATTCGGCCTTTGTTCATTAACAGGGTGCCCTCAATTGAATCTTTCCCATGTAAAGTGAAGGTTAGAACACCTGAAAGACAAACAGATGGGATTTGATTCAGTTTTTAGATCAGTTTATATGAACTGTTTTTGTGACTGCTTATTTATCAATAGATGTATAATTAATAAGTATCTGCCCATTACAATTTTGTGGGTTAAGATGGAGAAAGCTGGTATAGCTAAATCTCACCCATTTCAGAAGTTTAGGTATCCACTTTTATTTATCAAAAAGCACCTAAAATATGTGCACATAGGAAATCAACTAGATCATTTTGCTAAAGCAGGAGACTCACTGCCAAGGAGAAGAGACAGATGAGTTAACCTGCAATTACAGTGAAGTGTTAGAAGTGTTTGTACAGGGAGATATGAGAGCACAGAGAAAGCATATTTGAATCAAAGAAAGGTTTTATTATAAACTGACCCAAATCTGTCGAGTTATTCACAATTATTAAGTTCTTTTTGGTAAGTTTTTATAGCCTTCAGTAGTCAGAGTAGGTGAAGGCTATAGGTTTTTTTGCCTACAATCTTATTATCAAGTGATGTGTTTAAAAGACAGCAAGCCTGAGACCTTATTCTATTAAACATTTGAACATTTATTAGAAAGCTGGCACAGAAAAGTAGGTCATCCAGATATTCCATAAGCTCTATGAAGTCTCAGTGCTCCACCCTTTCAGGTTCTCTGACAAGCATCTTTATGTGAAAGAATCACTCAACAACATTCTAATCATAGGACTCAGTTAATCTAGGTCTGTTTGAGCAAAGAATTGCTTGAAAATGATGACATATATGACCATTAAGCAAATTTATAACCCCAACCCTGATATTCATCTGAGATAAATAGCTGGTAGTAGCAGCCTCTGAAAAGTGGATTTCTGAATAGAGTTTTAAATGCTAACCTCCCACACTTTGAATGTGCTTTCCTGAATAGAGTACTTCAAATGATAAATAACCACATCTAGTTAGATTAAGATAACAGATAAATATGAACCAACTTATAATTTAGTACTTAAAATGCAGATAATATGGCAAAAGTGAAGGGCAAAAATGATAGGAGGGAGCATTTTGAGAGGGGCATCACTTAAACTGAGTTTTAAATCCCAAAAAGTCACTACGAAGTACTAATATATAAATGAAGTGCCTGAAACTTTGGGGGCAGGTGCTTAATAAATGTTTTCCTTCCATTTCTTCTTTGCACATGTCTGTTTTTTCAGTCCAAGACATTCTTCCCATCACTATTGCTCTAAATCTATCCATCTCTGAAAGCCCAGCATAAAGGCCATTCCTTCAGCTGAACTTCCCCTAATCATCAGCACCACTACCCAAATCCCCTACTTCCCTATCCCCCTCCCCACAGCTAGAATCAGTCTCTTGTCTAGTCTACCATGGGCTCCCACAGTATACTGTTCACTGAATATTAGAAATCCTTTCTAGGCTCCTTTCAGGCAAGTACCTTATCTTATAATTTCCAGGTGCCTTCCATATACTGGGTGCTCCATAAATGTTTGCAGAATAAATAAATGGAGAATTGTTATAACACTGACATTATCTTCTCCTTCAGAATCCTTGTTTGTGTCCTTCAGACTTTTCAACTAAATCCTTTTAAAGGCAGTGGAGGGTGCAAAAGAAATGAAGGTGCATACCTGGAAAGATAAGCAAAGATATTTCTTTGTGGGTTCTTGTTTTATCTGAAAAAATGTCATCCTACTTATACCTTTTTTTCAGTACTTTAAAATAAAAAATCTTAATTGTGCCAAGCTAAATTACTTTTAAAGTGAAGAAAAAAAATGAGATGATGCTCCATGTTTATTCTGTGGTTGGGTGCACCTGGGGAAGCAAGAACTCAGGCTTGGGAAGCGTGACTTCAGGTAAACTCTCTTTAGTGTGTCTCTCATGATACTGTCTTTTAGCATCAGCTGAAAAACTTGTTTAAAAGTAAAATTTCATGCAGGGCCCCAGCTTCAGAATTTTAATTCAGGATGTCTGGAGTGGGCCTGGGGGTGGGGGTGGGGTGGCGGTTAGGGAGGAGCCAATTAGCACTTCTAATATGCAATTTAAGGGATTCAGTTACAAGGTTAGGTTTTGATAGACACTCTACAAAGGGGGAATTCTAGTTGATTAATGGTCAAATTTCTAGCTATAGAATGATACTTCCCTTAGTGCAGTGCTCTTTGAGCTCCAAGGTGTAACTTTACACTAAGCTTTAAGTAATTTTGTGTGACAAAAGGCTTCTTAAAAATATGGAGATCTTAAAACTTTGATTAAATCAAATCTGTCCTCTGATCTCATGTAGATTACAAATCTTATAGCTCAGATGGCCTACAGATTCTAAATAATTGCCCATTTAAGTCACTTTCTTCTTGCTTTTTATGATTTAAAAAAAGACTCAAAATAGTTGAGACATTTGCACAGTGTTACACTGTGGGTCAAAGGGAGAGTAGGAATAGGTCAGAGAACTAATTATGCTCACCTTGGTGTTCCCTCACTACCTTCTCACCAAAGGGTTGTCGTATACACCATTTCAATGACTCACTGACCTGGAAGCTGCCCCTCTGTGGCCAGCCAATCTCCTTTATCCTTACACTTTTTTCAATCTTGGCTTTGATACACTAAATCCCTCAGGATCTTGCTGGGACTGTGGCAAGCTTTATTCTTAAAATCAGCCTGAGACCACCGGCTCATTTCACAACTGTCAGAAACTGAAGAGCTGTCATCCTTCTGTACAGGTTTGAAAGCACAAGTGAGCTGAAGTTGAGCCTTCTCCTGCTTATTACAAATCTCCTGAATCACTCGGCAGGCAAAGCCACTGCAATAAATCAAGAGTAGGCTTTTGTTCCATTTATAGAACAATGGAGGCTTTCTCTGGAACCAAAGTCACACTTGTGTATTCATTTAATGAAAATGGCTTATAATCAGAGTCCATTGTGCCAAAAAAAATGCATTGTAATTTCACATGTTTTCTCCATTATGCTACAAAGTAAGTAGAGAGAGACATAATTAGCCTTATAAAATGATTAACAAATCAAGACATAAAGAGATCAAGAGATCTTAAAGTTCACATTTTCCAAGGAAATAGAGTGTAGATATTCTACCCTTCCCTATCCAATATTCTTTGCATTATTTATGATCCTCCCTCTTCAAAATGTCTGCTTATTTTCAAAATACATTTGAGAAACTTGCAATAAAAGCACATACTGAATAAGGCAAATACAAATATATAAAAACATCCAAAAAGAGCTTATGAATCTCTCAGAGCAAGAAGAAACATTCAAGGAACATGGAATATTATGGAATAATATGGATAATATCCATAACATGGAATAATATGGGTAATATCCATAATAACATGGAATATTATTGTCTCAACTGAGCAGTGGAATTGGCTTTGAGCTTCCTGGTAACCAATGTGAAAAGAAATCAAAATGAATCATAGGCTTTTAATTGCCTGGTAAAAGCAACTATATTATTTTTCACAAAATGGAGTATCATTTCTACTCTAAATTCTAAAGAACAAATCTTTAGTAGTAATAATGCAGAAAAAGTAAAAATGATTTTATACTATTTCTTGCCATCCTTAAAGAAACATAAGGATATACTATTAAATTGTAATTCAGTAAAGAGCCTTTGGTAAGACAAGGTTATTATTCCAATACTTCATTTTCACATTGCCATGCAGGTCTTTCCTATTAGCGGTGGGCATTACTTTCTTGCCTCTTGAATTTGGGCCAAGTCACGTGATTTCCTTTTGCAAAAGGATTTTAGCAGATGTAATGCAAGCAAACACTTGAAATATTCTGTGGGTAGGCTTATTCTGTTGTGCCTTTACCACCAGCATGAGAAGAACATGTCCCACGTATCCTGAAGGCCGAAGGAGGATGAGACTTTTAGATCAGACCCAAATCTTCAGGCTTGTAGAAAGAAACAGAACTGCCACATCTGTATCCCGCCAAGTCCAAAACCCAAAATGCCAACTCACACATCCTAGACAAGTGGTATATTAAGGCACTACCTTTCGGAGTGGTTTATTGGGCAGAACTTTATAAGTGAGGTTTTCAAAGATATCATTTATAGGCAAGACAATCCTTTCTTTTGGTATACCGTATTATACATTCTGAAAAATGTAAACAGGCATCTAACCACCACTACAAACAAGACATAAAACATTTTTATCACCTCAAAGGTTCCTTCATTTATGTTTAGCAGCCAGTCCCCTCTACTACTGCCAGTGACTATCAGTCCCTGATCTTCTCTCTGTCTCTATAGTTTTGCCTTTACCAGATTATCATCTAGATAGAATCATACGGTATGTAGCATTTTGTGTCTGCCCTTACTTAGAATAATCCATTTGGGATAAATTCATATTGTTGCACTTATCAGTAATTTATGCTTACAATTGCTAAATGGTATCCCATTGTGTGGCTGCACCACAGTTTGTTTATATATTCTGCAGCTTATGGATGATGGGTTGTTTCCAGTTTGGGGCAGTATGAATAAAGGTGCTGTAAAGCTCATGTGCAACTTTTGATATGAACATATTTTCACTTAGCTTTGAGTAAATACCTAAGAGTACAATCACTGGATCATACAAAAGTATATAAGAGACTGCTATTCCCCAAAGTGGCTATACCATTTTGCATTATCTCCAGGATTGTATGAGAGTTCCAGTTGCTCTACATCCTCACTAACACTTTATATTGTCAGATTGTACAATTTTAGCCATTTATAGAAATGTGCAATGGTATCTGATTGTAATTGAGCAGCATTTTTGTGGCAATGATTAACTGATAAAAAGAGTTAAGTCAATGTGATCCAAATACAATGTTTGCTGGTGTTCCAAACTTCACATGTAACTACTGCTTTTTAAATAAAAGATGGCAAAAGTTAACCTATATTTTAATTGTTCCAGATGCAGTCTTTCAGAAAAATTTGGAAATCTATTAAGACTTCCAGGATGTCTAGTGGTAATTCCTATAGCCTCCAATATTACAGTGACAATGTATTAACTGCAATAACTGCTCTAGGCAATTGTTCTTTCCCTTTTTCTCTCATTTTATTTTAAAAGTTGTAACAGGCCTGTCTTTTCTATTGGCTGCAATACTCTTTTAAAGACCAGTCAGAGTTATTTTATTACTTCTGCTTTATAAACAGGAGTAAAATGCTAACTAGAATCTGTCCTCCAGGACTGAAACTTGAGATGGAGAGAGAAGTTTCCTATGTTTTAGTATTTAATTTCTCCTCTCAGTCCAGGAAATTAGATTTCAATAATGTGTTCTTTTCATTTAGAACTGTTTCAAAGGTAAAAGAGGTAGCATTTCAATAGATTCCCTGCAAAATAAAATCTAAATAAAAACTCAATTTTTCCAAATACAGAATGCCATTTAGCATAATGTCTGTCTTAATTAGTGTCAATTCAAAAGGAAATTGACCTAGAAAAAAGGAAATTGGGTTCATGTCTTAGAAATTAGTTCCTGGTTTCGTGGTCTGTGGTCATCAGTACCCGGAAGGGCAACTGTGCAATGCTCCATTCTTTTTGCTGAATGGCTATTCCAGGCCTAAGATCTTTTGGGGTTTTTTCCAGGTAATAGGCTCCAATGAGCCTTGCCACATTTTAGTATAATACTTCAGATTTCAAGCAAACATTATTTTTACTAACCCTGTTGACTCTCGAGTGTCCTAAAGTTTATAACTCATTAATATTCAACAAAATGTTCTGGTAGGGATGTTTGTCCCAAGGAAGAAAAAATTGATGAGAAAATAAAAACTATGTTTAAATATTTTAATCCTGTCATGTGAATGAGAAAAGAAACTTAATGTTTTCCATAGGGATGTGCTAGGAATCATAAGGAGATACTTTGTGAAGTCAGATTTGCTTCAATGTGAGGAATAAGTGCTTTCACCAATAGAGCTTCTGGCAAGGTCAGAAGTGGTTTCCCTGTGCTCAGTTAACACCCAGACAGTTTGAAATGCAATCACATAATCTGAATAAAACCTGTGAGGTAATTCCTAGCTCTGGAATTTTCTGATTCTGTTATTCTCATGCTTGGGCTATAGAAATACAAAGGATTTCTTATCTGTTAGATATACTTCTTAAAATGACCCTTCACCCTTCCCATACCTCATGGTGCACATGGTGCTGGTGGTTCTCTCACTCTCTCTTTCTCTCTGTTTTCTTCCTCTTCCTCCTTCTCCTGCTCCTCTCCCCATCTCTATATCTCTCGTACATGTGTTGTGGGGAGAGGGGAATGGCACAGGGAACTGGGAACTGTATTTTCCAGTAATTTTTTTTTTGTTTTGTTTCTGTTTCAGTACATTTTGGTCTTTTGTTGTGAGTGACAGAAACCTAACTTGAACCAATTATGTCCTTCCTCCTGTCCCAGAAAGGGGAATACTTTGATTCATGGAATCAAGCTGCAACAAGAACATGGATATAGTTCCCTTAGAAACCAATGAAACCAGCCTCTGGAACACTGCTTAGGGCTCTCTTTCTTATCTCTTGTCTCTGCCTTCCTCTGTGTTGGATTCATCTCTTCTATTGCTAATCAGCTTTTTCCAGGTCACATGGTGCAAGGTGCATGGTTTCTGGAGGTGTCTAAATTTTTAACCAAATTTTAATAGAGGACGGAGCATCTTTCTCTTGTACCCATTTTTAAAATCCTAAGAAAGTACTTAGTTTGAATGAGGTATCCACTCCTGTGGCCTGAGGGGCAATAGATTCCTATAATTGTCAGCCCCATTGAAGCACATAAGAAAACAAAGCAATTAAAATCCACTGCTGGGTTGAATTCCTTTATGTAACAAACAGCTATAGCACCTACTATATGGTAGGCACTATTGTCTGTGCTTTGCAAATATTAATTTATTTAATCCTTATACTATCATTCCTATTATTATTATTTTCCTCTAGAGATGAAGAAACTGAGGCACAGAGCACTTAAGGAATGGCCCAGGGCAGGACTGGACTGAATCAGAGTCTATTCACATGGCACAGCCTGCTTCACATTCACAAAATCTGAGAGTGTTACCCTCAGAGCTACTTTCTAGATCCTTAACCCACCTCTATTTTCTTCACAGAGTTTTATCTTTTTACTGTGTACTTATGCTTAGCATAGCAGTCTTTTTGACTGGCCCCCAGTCTTCTCCCCCAACTGACAGAGGAATAATCTTTATCTGGTTGAGATGTCAAGTGGTGAGAAATATTGGCATTCCTTAAAAAAGCAATTTTTCTTTTTTTCTCAAATGTATCACGTGCAGTTAAGTGGCACTGACTTGTGCCCCCACTGACCAAATTTCACAGAGATGGCCTGTCAGGGGCTGGAGAATCTTTTGAGGAATGGGTGTCTTCTCTATGGAAATATCCCAATTACTATTTCTTGTGGGAAATGCAGCATCACCCCAGAGATCTGTAGCCATCAGGAAGAGTAGCCAAGCTGAAGGGACATCCATCTTCATTCCCAGTAGGGACACCACCATCTTCTCTAACTTGTCATCTTGAGGAATAGAAAACTCTAACTAAATAAATGAAAAAGGATGGCAGAAAATAATCCACAGTGACTTACGCATCATTCTCCATCCATAAATAACTTTATATTTCACTTCTGGCAGCAGAGCCGAGCCAGGAGGTAATGAGCCATTGTGGAAAACCCATCTGTTGCTCATAAGGGGAAAGGCCAGATTTATGGAGGAAGAATCTGGAGTGTAAGTCCTGTTGTTGTTAATGGAAGTTGCACATCTAATTGGTCATGCTGAAAATATGCCCTATTATATTCTTTTCCTGGCCAGATGGATGTGCTGAGCTGCAATGCTGAGAAGAAAAATGTACCTAAAGAATTCAAGAGTAGGAGTGGGCATCCCAGCGGGTAGGGAACTGACAATTCTAATGAGGACAGATAGTACTTGTCCATGGGCCTGATTTAAAGATGTTTTCCAAAGAACCCAAAGGGCCCAATAGAGGTATTTCTAAATGGAGTCCCATAGTCCAGTCCCCTGGAGTGGATAGCGCTGAATCATTTCAGCTAGCTCTCACCAGCCCCATCATTAGAAACACTTCTGCCTCTCATTCTTTTGTAACTGGCCCATTGGTACTTAATAATTGCTTTGAGACTTTCTCAGAATGGTGCTGGATATTGGCAATTGAAAGCCTTTTCTTCCAGCTTTCTCTTTACCACTGTCTTTTCTCCCAGCATCCTCTTTACCACCGTGGTAGGAAGAAAAACAGTAATCAAAGGCAAACTCATATACTAAAATTTTTCCAATCATCTTTGAATTAGAGTTGACAGAAGTGAGGGATTATATCTTAAGACAATTCCTGGTACATTGTAGTTGCTTAATAAACATTGAAGGAAGGAGAATAAAATCAAGTAACACTGATTCACAGAATCTTAGAGATTCAACTCTCTGAGCAGCCTTACATATTTTTATTAGTTAGGTTGTGTTAACTGCTATAACAATCCCTAATTCAAAGTAACTTAACAAAGGTTTAGTGCTTTCATGCCGTGGCCCAAAATAGTGGATGTGAAGGAGGGGCATGTGGTGGCAGGTGACACAATGGTCCACAGTCATTCCCCATCTTGCAGTACTTCCAACTTCCTACCTGCTCTCCAAGGTCACACAGAAGGAAAGAAGAGTGAGGAGGCCTTGGCAGGGTGCATTACTCTCAAGTCTTGGAGTGAGATATGCCACCTCCACCATTACGCTGGTCAAAACTCAATTATCTGGCCCCAAATAATAAAGCAAAAGCTGGAAAATGTAGTTTTCCCACATGCCCAGAAGGAAAAGAGCTGCGTTTTGTGAACACATGGAATTGTCACTGTTACTGAGACTCTTTAGTCAGCACCTTCATTTTACAGATGGTCAAACAAGTGCTGAGACTGGATGACTTTCAGCAAGTCACATGATCGTTCCTTGGCAGACTCAGAACAAGAACTCTGATTTCCTATTTCCTAATACCACTGTGTACGTGGGGGAGAGAGAGCGAGAGCAAGAGCAAGAGAGAGAGAGAGAGAGATGGAGAGAAAGAGAGAATGGGAGAGAGAGAGAAAGTAGAGAAATCAGGTAAGGGGAACGGGCGAGGAATGGGGAAGAGGAGGGGGAAGAAGGGGAGGGAAAGGAGGAAGGTGGAGCACCCTATTAGGAGACCTGGAGAGGAGTCAGAACATCCAAACTCACGTTCCTGACTCTTTCATCAGCCTGACTAATCAATTACACTCCTCATTTTTCCCTTCTATAAAGTAAGAAGTGCGAGTGATTATTGAGATCCTTTCAAACTCTAACAATCTTCTATTAAGAGACATTGGGAAGCATAAACCAAAATACAGTCATGCATCATGTAATGATGAGGATACATTCTGAGAAATGCATCATCAGGCAATTTTGTAATTGTGTGAACATAATAGAGTGTACTTACACAGGCCTCGATGGTATAGCCCCTACACACCTGGGCTGTATGGTACAGCCTATTGCTCCCGGGCTACAAACCTGTAGAGCATGTTATTGTACTGAGTACCATAGGCAATGATAACACAGTGATAAGTATTTATGTATCTAAACATACAAAAGTTCCAGTAAAAATATGTGTACAAGATACAGTATAAAAGCTTAAAAATGTTGCACCTGTATAGGGTATTTACCATGAATGGAGCTTGCAGGAACTGTGAGTTGCTCTGGGTGGGTCCGTGAGTGAGTGAGTGGTGAGTGAATGTGAAGGTGTGGGACATTACTGTGCACTACTGTAGACTTTATAAACATTGTACACTTAGGCCACGCTAAATGTATTTACATTTATTTTTTTCAATAGGAAATTAACCTTAGCTTACCATAACTTTTTCACAAACTTTTAAATTTTTAAAACTTTTTTGACTCACAATAAAGCTTAGCTTAAACACAAACATATTGTATAGCTGTATAAAAATATTCTTCCTTATATCCTTATTCTATAAGCTTTTTTCAATTTCTAAATTCTTAAATTTATTTTTATTTTTTCAACTTCTTTGTTAAAAATGAAGACACAAAGACACACATTAGTCTAGGCTTCCACAGGGTGAGGGTCATCAATATCACTGTCTCCCACTTCCACATCTTCTTCCACTGGAAGGTCTTCAGGGGCAGTAACATCCATGGAAATGTCATCTCCTATGATAACAATGCCTTCTTCTGGAATACTTCTGGAGGACCCACCTGGATTTTAAAAAATATACAAGTTAGAAAGAGTACGTTCTAAAATAATGATAAAAAGTACAGTATAGTAAATACATAAACCAGTAACATCATTATCAAGTATTATGTGCTATATGTAATTGTATGTGCTATACTTTTATATAACTGGCAATGCATTAGGTTTGTTTATACCAGCTTCACCACAAACTCATGAGTAATGCATTGCACTGCAATGTTAAGATGGCTGCGGCATCAGTGATTTTTTAGCTCCACAATAAAATTACGGAACCACCACCATCTATGTGGCCTGCTATTGATCAAAAGGTCACTATGCAGTAAATGACTGTAATAAGAGAAGCTGTCAAAGTCAAGCAAGTGGATATGAGATGAGGGATGTGATAATGTTAAAGAAAGACAGGTAGGTTCAGCCTTCTGGGCATCATGGCTTGTGAGGATGGCACAGAGGCTTCTCACCCAGTAGTGACTCAGAGACCATGGGCATCTTCCTGGAGTCCATTTTGTCCTCGTATAGACTCTCTCTCCTCCTATTCCCCCAATCCAGGCCCATTGCCTTCTCATCAGAGACCCATGGTATGAGCCCCACTGCCAGGCTGTCACAAGACTTGGGAGCAGCCTGGCCAATGGCAGGGCTGAGGGGGCCTGGCAGCATGTAGCTGGGCAACTGCCCCTTTTCCTACCTTCTCAGGAGCTTCACTCTCTCACTCAGCTTCAAGTGTGCAAGTTGCAGCAGCAAAGGGATTAAGGTGACCCTATAGGTGGCTTCATTAACTGCTCCAAGGCCAGTCAACCCCGAGAGACTGTCCTCATGCAGGGGTGATAACAGGCCACAACAAGGCCGCTGGCAGCAGACTCAAATCCCTTTTCAATTCTGCCCACTTTAGCTTGTTCAAAGGGGAGAGAGATCAATTTCTGAAATCAGCCTTTCCCTTAAACACCGCCAAGTGGCAGCCAAAGCATAAAAAGAGGTAATCCTTCAAGGAGTGACACTTCAGGCTCATCAAACACTTTCATCTCAGGATTCTAAAATCTTTTTCAATCATTAATCGTTTTCTCTAAGCCTCCTGTTCTCAGAATCATGCAGAAGCAATGTGGAAGCTCTGCAAGGAAGGATGGAAAGCAAGAATCTAAAAGGCACTAGTGGAGCACAGCTATATTTCCATCTTCCACCGGGTTTCTGTAAATAACATGAATAGAAATAAAAAATTGCTTGAAATAATGGCTATCATATTGAGACAGCATTGCTCAAACCTGGAGAGGGAGCAATTATGAGCTAGGAAATCTAGAGTTATGGTTTTCACTCACCTGGTCTCCACTGATGGTGAGGCTGGATCAATCCCTTAATATCTCTCAGTGTCTCTCTGTCTTCACCTTTGACTGGGTTAACATGGAAACATTTTCTAATCATTATGAGAGACCCAGAGACGATCATCTTAGACTGCAAACTCTCAAATGGGTTTATATTTGTGGAAGGCATGATTTTATAGCTACAAAATTAGGTAATATAGAAATAATTACACTTCCTTATTTTTTTAACCAGCAGCATAAACCAGACACCAGATTTTATCTCACCAGACTGATGGAAAATTTGATCTCAGCCATATAGAGGCTGCCCCATCACAGTTTAGGGATTCTCAGGGACTTGGGTCACTGGTCCTCACCAATTCATGATGAGCGGTCCATTGGCAGAACTTGCTCAGCTCCTCGAGGACTGCTGACTGCTGCTTCTGTTAATGGAAATGCCAACTGATGTTGGAAACCTCAGTTCCACAGGTTCTCTACTTCATGTCTTCCAGGCATCTTCCCTCTGAGGTCTCATTGTTTCCCCAGTGCTGTCTCACAGAGGAGGTGGTGTGTCCTCCCTGTCCACAGGATGGATGACTTCTAACCCCTTCCTGGAAGAAGGCAGGAAGGAATTGACTGGAAGAAATCTTTCTTATTTCCTTTACTACTGACAAAGGCTCTCTTCTTTGATCAAACTTAAGTCTGGCTCCTCTGAGCTCCCTTTGTGACAAGCCCAGCTTTGGGCTCTGCCCTTTTCCAGTTTAGTCCAGTTTTAGCAGGACTCCTGCTGTGTCACTTTAGCAAAAATCCCCCATATTTGATATCCGATTAAATTCCCTATCCCCCATCCTCAATGTGTCATCACCTCGGCCTGCCTTCAGCAAGGATCCTGTCTGTCCAACTGGTTTCGCCAGAATCCCCTTTACCCCTGATGTTTCCTCTTAGTAATTTTCCATCCACTGCTTCCAACCCTGCTTCTTGGCTATAAATCTTTGTTGTATTTGAAGTTATACTCGACTCCTCTGTGCTGCTAAAGAACATGTCGTGAGTAATTTTTTTTCTTAACACTACCTTCAAAGTCATTCCACCATTTCCCTTCTCACTTTACACTCTGCACAGTGAAAGTTGTTTTTTTTTTTTTTTTGTTAAAGGAAAATGCGGCCAGGTACAGTGGCTCACGCCTGTAATCCCAGCACTTTGGGAGGCAAAAGCGGGCATATCACGAGGTCAGGAGTTCGAGACCAGCCTGGCCAATATGGTGAAACCCTGTCTCTACTAAAAATACACATATTAGCTGGGCGTGGTGGTGGGCGCCTGTAGTTCCAGCTACTTGGGAGGCTGAGGCAGAAGAATCGCTTGAACCCGGGAGGCAGAGGTTACAGTGAGCTGAGATCTCGCCACTGTACTCTAGCCTGGTTGACAGAGTGAGGCTCCATCTCAAAAAAAAAAAAAAAAAAAAAAAAGGAAAATGTAAAGGCCATGGCTCTTGGTTTGAAAAAGAGAAAAAATATATATAAAATGAACAAAATGGCTTCAAAAATTTTAATAAGCCATCTTCCTAAATTCTGTCACTAAGAAAACCAACATAGACTACCACCACCTCAAATTACAGAAGAAACAATGTTCAGCCAAAGAGATAGGCAGAAGCCAAAAATAGGATCTGCGTGTCTGTGGTGCATCTTCCGGTCACTAGTGTTTGCTATAGACCAGGTTAATGGATACTGGCATTTACTAAAAACTGCTTGTGGCTTGAGTGATTCCGAAGGAACTTTCTATAAGCCTGTATGAATACTTTCATCACTCCATGTTAGGTAAAGGACAAGGGGTCAAATAGTTCACTCAGTTTGTTTTCTATCTGAAATACTGCACTTAGTCAACTTCCACAATGAGCCAGCAATTTCTCTTGAGGAAACCCATTACAGATAACAGTTTTTGGACCAAATCTAAACTTTCCCTGGCTGATCACCATTCCATCCTCTAGTCTAGAATCATAAAGCCTGTTGGGAAGAAAATTAACTTCTGCCAGATTTCCATTATGTGCCAGACATTTTCAGATCACTTTTTATGTTTGCTTCATACAAATTCTGAAAGGTAGCGATTATTTTCTCCATCAAGGAGATGCAGAAAGAGATGAAGGAGGTATCAAGGAGGTTAAGTGATTTGCCAAAAGTCAGTTATAAGACAAAACAGTGGTACCTCAGTTCTAAAGCAACATCCTTCCCACTGTACCAGGCTATGTGCCAACTTGCACATAATCATCTGTAGAAATGTTATTTCTAATGAGATCACTGCCATGATCCCACTAACTTTTCCAGGTTAACCATTCACTCACCATTATTCTGACAATAGTAGCCAACATTTATTGAGGACTTTATTATGGTCAAGATTTCTGGTCATGCCTTTACATGGACCACCTCATTTAAGTATCTCCAGAATCCTATGGGGCAGATACAATTGTACTCTCATCTTACAGTCATAGAGTTACCCAGCTTGTTAACAAATTAAAGTCTTGCCTATGCCTCTTTAGCAAATGGTTGCCCACTTTCTCCTGAGACAAATTCCTAGAGAGATTGCTTTTTCAATTGTCTACGCATTTTAAAATATCTTATTTCCCCTATTGAATCAGACTCAACTCAGTATGTCACTACTTTCTGAGCAAGGAAGATGAAGATCTTGCAGTTTCATTACAGTGTGGTAGAACTTACTAATAAAATTGCTAAATTAAGGTTACCTTTCTGCCCCATTTTTTCAGAGTTATTGAAATGTTTCATACCAAGAAAGACCTTCTCCCTCATCCTTGGCCCCAAATTTCCAGCCCTAATAGAGATGATGAACTCAAACTATGAAAATGCAAGCAAATAAACCTCTCTGGTGGTACTCTGAATTTAAACTCAAGCTTTTACATTTCTAACATGGTCTCATACACAAAAATAATATAACAGCATTAATTCTATCTTACAATGGGAATTGTTCAGCTACAAAATTCAGGCATCTGAGGACAAAGTCCTATGAATGGCTAATACACTCCCCTTCCTACACCCTTGCCAAATTTCCGGAGGAAACACTAACTGCAATGCATTGCCATTTCGGAAAAGTCTTATTTTCCCCCCTAATAAAAGGTCTCCTCAGTTGGAAGCAGAATGTCAGGATGTCAGATAATAATCATGAACCTCCTGATTTTTCCAGTGAAAGAAAAATTTAATTCGTGGCCATTAAAGTCAAACAACCAAAGTCTAATGAACAACAATACAGAAGATAGATGAATCTCACTGACATAATGTTGAGTGGCAGGAATGAGACCCAAATAAGCACACATGGTATGGTTCTATCTGTATAGTTCTCAAAGCACATAAGTTAAACCTATGGCCCCAAGTTAAACCTATGGCCCCACATCAGGATAGGAATTACCTTTGAGGAGGGATTGCCTAGAAATGACAGCAAAATAAATTTCTGGGATGGTCATTCTGTTTCTCGATCTGGCTGTTGGTTACATGAATGTGTATAATTTGTGAAAAATCATTGAGCTGCAATGCTTGTGTACTTCTCTGTATGTCATACTTCAATAAAAATTTATGAAAAATCAAAAAGTCAAACCACTAAAAAATTTATTCACATGAAAATATACACAAAACACACACACAAGTTTGTTCAGCATTGCAGATATTGCCAGAAAAATTGATTTATAGGGCATCAGAATTTTAGTTAAAGAAAGTACTGTTTATTAAATCTATTATATTCAGATGGAGAGCCAGAGAATGATGTTTTTCTATTTCCCCTTCTTTATATTCAATTTTTTTTGAAAAAAATAATGCCCTTCGAATTAAGAAGGAATTTATAGAATATCAGTAGGAGAGAGCAAATTACCTTCATTTACTCACCAAAAAATCAAAAGTATCCATCCCCTTATTTTAAGGATAGTGAGGTCATTAAATCAATTCTGTGCAGGCCAAGACATTGTTCTCTGAGAAAAGGAAGACAGTTATCATCATATGCTTAATTATAACCTACCAAGGTTTTATTTGTAGGCCACCATAATGCTATCTTAAAAACAGATGTTTCATAAAATACTGTTCTACAGATGCGTTTGGCATATTGGAGAAGTTACCAATTTCTCCTCCCTTCCTCCCTATATCCTGATGCAGTGGGAGCTGAAGCACTCACTTAGTTTGTTCTTCTGGGAAACCGTCCTCATGCCTTGAGGTCTGGGGTAGTGAGGCTCTCCTTTGAGCTGCCAAAGAGCCATATGCTAACTCCATCATTGGATTTAGCATATTCCAGCTCATCAGTTTACATATTCATCTTCCACTCTATAATGTATGCAATTTGACCACAGGTGAGATACACATGAGGTTGCTCTGTCCCTGTGTCCTCAGTCTACCTCAGCAATCACCTGCAGCTGCAGGGAGCAGGAACTATATACCCTGACATCTTCCCACTTCAAGTGCTTAAATCTCTGTAATACTCTACCTGCAGGAATTTGCTCAGCCATGCAAGACAGCCTAAATGTCCTAGAGACTTAATGCTTTACAAGAAATGAGGGTTAGATATTGGTGGATTAATGCCCCAGTGTCTGTTTACTGTTGCATAATAAAACACCCCAAACACAGAGCCATTCAACAACATTGATTTTACCAGGGAGCTCACAAATTCTCAGAGTCAGGAATTTGGAAAGAGTAAGCGAGGACAGCTTGTCTCTGCACCATGATGGTTAGGTCTCATTTGAGAAAACGCAGTCATGGAGTGACTTAGTAACTGAGGGTAGGAATCATCAGAAAGCTTACTTAAAAATTTTCTCCCATTCTGTAGGTTGCCTGTTCACTCTGATGATAGTATCTTTTGCTGTGCAGAAGCTCTTTAGTTTAATTAGATCCCATTTGTCAATTTTGGCTTTTGTTGCCCTTGCTTTTGGTGTTTTAGTCATGAAGTCCTTGCCCATGCCTATGTCCTGAATGGTATTGCCTAGGTTTTCTTCTAGGGTATTTATGGTTTTAGGTCTAACATTTAAGTCTTTGATCCATCTTGAATTAATTTTTGTATAAGGTGTAAGGAAGGGATCCAGTTTCAGCTTTCTACATATGGCTAGCCAGTTTTCCCAGCACCATTTATTAAATAGGGGGAATCCTTTCCCCATTTCTTGTTTTTGTCAGGTTTGTCAAAGATCAGAGGGCTAATATCCAGAATCTACAAAGAACTTAAACAAATTTACAGAAAAAATCAAACAACCCCATCAAAAAGTGGGCAAAGCATATGAACAGACACTTCTTAAAACAAGACATTTATGCAGCCAACAGACACATGAAAAAATGCTCATCATCACTGGCCATCAGAGAAATGCAAATCAAAACCACAGTGAGATTCCATCTCACACCTGTTAGGATGGCGATCATTAAAAAGTCAGGAAACAACAGGTGCTGGAGAGGATGTGGAGAAATAGGAACACTTTTACACTGTTGGTGGGACTGTAAACTAGTTCAACCATTGTGGAAGGCAGTGCGGTGATTCCTCAAGGATCTAGAACTAGAAATACCATTTGACTCAGTCATCCCATTACTGGGTATATACCCAAAGGATTGTAAATCATGCTGCTATAAAGACACATGCACACATATGTTTATTGCAGCACTATTCACAATAGCAAAGACTTGGAACCAACCCAAATGTCCATCGATGATAGACTGGATTAAGAAAATGTGGCACATATATACCATGGAATACTATGCAGCCATAAAAAAGGATGAGTTCATGTCCTTTGTAGGAACATGGATGAAACTGGAAACCATCATTCTCAGCAAACTATCGCAAGGACAGAAAACTAAACACCGCATGTTCTCACTCATAGGTGGGAATTGAACAGTGAGAACACTTGGATACAGGAAGGGGAACATCACACACCGGGGCCTGTCATAGGGTGGGAGGCTGGGGGAGGGATAGCATTAGGAGAAATACCTAATGTAAATGATGAGTTAATGGGTACAGCACACCAACATGGCACATGTATACATATGTAACAAACCTGCACGTTGTGCACATGTACCCTAGAACTTAAACTATAATAAAAAGAAAGAAAGCTTACTTAATCAGTTTCTGACAATCAGTGCTGGCTGTAGCTGGTTCCTCATGTGGATCTAATGGCTGGAACGTCTGCATGTGTCATACACATGTAGTTTGGGCTCCTCACAACATGGAGGCAGAGTTCTAAAAGTGAGCATCCTAAGAGAAACTAAAAGAAGCTGTATTTCCCTTTATGTTCCAGTCTCTGAAGTCACGTAACACCATTTCCACTAAGGTCACAAGTTTATCCATATTTAAGGGGAGGGGATTAGACCCAAGCTCTTGAGTAGATGAGTCTCAAGGTCACATGATAAGAGGAGCATATCAGATGAGAGATATTGTTGTGGTCATGTCTGGAAAGGAATACACACCAGAACTCATCTCTTTTGTTCCTCATTGGGACAATTCTGAGATATATGTTCTACATGATTCTTCCAAGTGTCTCAGTAGGACAGAGTCCTAACTGCCCACAGCAATAATCCATTCATATAGATACAACAGCTGACTTTTCTGACTTACTTGTGTCACTTTCCACACTCCTCTATTTGTACTTCCTAGGATCACCTTCCAAATATTGTCTGCACCCAAGTCCTTGCCTTACAGAATGCTTCTGGGAAAACCCTGATAAGAGGAGTTGAGTCTTTATGTTCTATAGCTGGAGTCTAACACCATGGCTGTGTCATAATTAGTGCTTAATAAAAGTTAACCAGTTAAATAGACATCTCATTTCATGGATTAGGATAGTGATACAAGGAAAACATTGGCTGAGCAGCAGCTTTTAGAGCTAAATATCAAATTCATATTGAAATTATTTTAGTATTTTCTTTTATTCACAAGCTCAGAGCTCTTTAAGACTTGTTGAACCTTTCCTAAAATGTTCTAGAAAGTAGGATCAAAATGATTCCATGTAATTTGACTCCTACTCTGTTGTCATCTTATTCTAACACAACTATTACCATTACCAATGGGGTAATTGTTGTGTGCCACTTACAGTTAGTATTTCTACGTATGATAAATAAGCTAGTGAATTCCGCAGTGCTCTATAGGGGATACATGCCAATCTGATCAATTAACAAAACTGAATGTATTTATATCCTTACAGTTGTTTTGCAAGATTATTCTGTCACTTTCTGTATTCTTAAGCCAGCTTCTTAACTGGAATAGTTTTAATAATGAGGTAATTTTTTTCCAAATTCACAACTTCCACAGCTATTGCTCTATATCTGCAAAATATCATAGAGTCAACATTTTATAGCAGAAAAATAAACCATTATAAATCTAAGCTAACCTTCTCTATATACTGAAGAACGCTGAGTGAAGTGCAGCTCAGAGATAGTTCAAAATAACTTGTTTAAAAATATAGCTAATTAGTGGGGGAAAGTGGAATTAGATTTCAGTTCGTTCAAAACCAATTCTTTGAATATATAGAATTAATATATATCAATTGATATATATATATCTTTCAATATATTGGGCTTCTTTTAATATATTGTGTTATCTATGAACTACATTTATCAGACCTTCAGTCTTAACTGAGAGCATGAGATAGAACTGAGATGAATAAACTTCTTAATGCATGGTCAGATAATATAAATTCTAGCTGTAATATCAGATGTAATAAATCATAAGCAGAACTTATTTTAGAGACAATCTATTGAAACTAGTGTTATAAATTGCTGACATTCAGAAAGGCTAAGTGAATTTATTCATTGTCTCACTAATTCAATAAATATTTATTGAGTGCCCATATTTCATGTCAACCACTATTGTTTGCCTTGATGATTGAAAGATAAAGCTTCCATGGAGCTTATATTATGATCCAAATAGGATCTTACTCAACCTTTGAGATTGTTGTCACTTTGCTTTACCCTTCAGATATTTAGATTTTGGATAGCAAACACCATAATGTGCACATGGCTACATAACACAGACGTTTCACATGCAGTTTACTGGTAAAATGTATTGAGTAATTTTGAATTTGCAAGTGCGAGAGGCACTTCTGAATATATAGAGAGCCATGAAGCATAGTGTCAAGACGGTACATACCCTAGGCTCTTGTTGTCCGGCTTAGGAGAGGGAGAGTAATAGGATGAGTTACTGCAAGAGGGGAAGACAGATAAATATCAAGAAGTACCAAATGATAATCTTGTCTCCAAAGGAAAAGTGACTAAATAATGGGGATCACCACTGGGAATCGTCTTGCAGAATCTGGTTCTCTCTTTTGAAGTACCAGACATTAGTCTTTTGTTTTGCTTTTAAACAACTTGAACTACAGAAAATTTGCAGAGACATTACCCAAAATGTTTTGTTCTGGACCATTTGAGGCAAGTTGCGAACATGATGCCCTATCTCCTCCCACCTCATCACCAGTAAGTTCATGTGTATGTCCTACAAACAGAGATATTCTTCTATATAAACCTAACGCAATCATCAAAACCGGTGAAATTATCACTGATCCATTAATATCTCCTAATCTACAGACTACATTCAAGTTTGCCAGTTGTCCCAATAAAGACTATGGCAGAAAGGATTTAGTTCAGAATGAAGCATTACATTTAGTTGCCATGTCTTTTTATTCTCCTTCAATAGCTCTTTAGTCTTTGCTTGATGATTTTGATGATTACAGACCAGTTATTACATAAAATTTTCCTCAGTGTGGCTTTATCTGATGTTTCCTCATGATTAGATTCAGATTACACCTCCTCGGCAAGAACCCATCACAAATGAGTTTCTGTGTTCTTTTCATTGCATTCTGTCAGTTGTCGTACGATTTTGCTTCATCCTTTTATTGATGAATTTAAGTGTGCTCATCTGATTAAGGTGGTATCTAACAGGTTTCTCATTAGAAGCTTATTCATTTTCTCTTTGGAATTAATAAGGATTTCATGAGAAAAAACATTGAGACTATGTGAATATCCTGTTCCTCATCAAACTTTTAACTGGTTTATTGACATTATTATGAACTCATGGTTTTCTTTTTTTCAGAGGAAAATAGTTTTCTCAGATTTGGCTAGGGGAAACTCTTGCTGTCTAGTTGCTGTGTCTTGTTGACATATCCCATCATTCTTTGGAGACTTCCTTCCTGTCACAAGGTGGCCTGGGTTCTTGGATTTTCCATGTCCTATCTCTGGAATCAGACATTTATGCAAGGAGCCCTGCTTGCTTTCTTTCATGGAGATTGATATTAGAAACCAAGATCTGGGTGTCAAGTGTCCTCATTACTATTGAGATATTGTTTCTCTTAGTGAACAGAACTAAAAAATGTGTGTGTGTGTGTGCGCGCATGTGCGTGTGTGTATCTGGTGTACAGATGTGTGTTTGTGTATTGTCCTAGTCTGCTTCATGCTGCTGTAACAGAATACCACAAGCTGATAATTTATAAAGAAGAGAAATTACCAAAATCTCACAAATCATCCCGAAAGAACTTACTCATATAACCAAATACCACTGTACCCCAATAACTTATGGAAAAATAAAATAAATAATAATAATAAAAGAATGGAAATTTACTTTTCACAGTTTTCTGGAGGCCTGGGCATCTGGTCTGGTAAAGGCTTTCTTGTTTTGTCCTCACATGGTGGAAGGCAGAAGGGCAAGCTTGCCAAATGTTGTGTGAAGACTCTTTTTTTTTTAAGACCTTAATTTCATCTGTGACAGAAGATTCTTCTGGCCTAACCACCTCTTAAAGGCCCTGCCTCTTAATACTATCACATTTGGCAAGACCTGAAATTTTGGGGAGACACATTCAAACCATAGAATGCATGTACACATTCTTCTGTCTATCCATCTATTTTTATCTATCCATACTGTAAATTATAATGTATTCTAATGCCTCCAATTTCAAGTCAATATCACAAGAATCATTATGGCTTTTCTCCTTTCCATATTTGTAACTTTCCTCCCTGACAGTGATCCACCCCACTCCTATTCTTCGAGTATATTTTCTTATTTGATTAGACCCGTATATGGAACCAACCTCTCTTTGTCACCATCCTCCCACTTCCATCACAGATGCCCTCCTCACCCTGCTCAGGCTATAAGATTGCTTGCTAAGGTCCATCACCGTCAACAACTTCCTTATTCCACTTGGGCTGTGATACTATGCAGCAAGCCACCCATCCGTGGGGATGCTCTCCTGCCCCACCTGGGCCCTAACAGTTCATGCTTAGGCTGGAAACCCTCTCCTGTTCACATGGATGTTCTCCTCATTCTGCTTGGGTTGTGACACCATTACTAGGCCACCACCCACTCCTCACCCTGTGGCTATATCAATGGATCTCAAATCTGACTGCCTTGGGTCTATTTTATAAAATACCAATGTCTAATCCCAACCCAGAACAGTCAGCTCAAAACTTCTTGGGGATGGAGCCCAGAATAAATATTTTATTAAAAAAAAAAAAAAAGAAAACTTCCCAGGCGATGATAATGAGCAGCCAAAGCTGAGAACTATTGAGTTAGATGGTTCAAATGTTGAAATGCTAATTGGCATCAGTTTAGGATATCTTAAAGCACCCAGCTCATTGTGAGGAACAGAAATAACTGGGTTTGGTTAAGGCCTCTCCTTTTCCCTTCACCAGAGCTAGAAAATTCACTCCCATTGGTTTTTGTTTTGTTTTGTTTTGTTTTTTCCTTTACCCTCAATCTTCTATGTTTGCATAGCTGATGAATATCCTTCTACTTGACATTGCTTTTTTTTTTTTTTTTTGGATACTGCTGATTGATTCAGTCAGGTTATAGTGATCCAGGCTTACTCAGAAAGACTTTACATTATCTGAATCAAAGTCAATATGTTGATTTTAATAATGATATCAATAGTTACCACAGAGATCATACCATAGGCATGTTCAGAACATGCCATCCCAAAATATGCCACTTTGGCATACTGATTATTTTGAGTTAAAGCATTTAATAACAACAGATGCAAAAAGGGCACTCTGATCTTCCTTTTCTTCCTGAAAACAAGAGATAAAATTTCTATGAGAAAGGTACCCTCCCTGTACCAGGAGAAAGAAAGACATTTTTATCGTCCATATTGGCAAATCAAGGCTAAAAGAAAACTATACAAATCTTCTAAAACTAATCTTATCTACCTAGTATTTTTTCACAATTAACTGCCCTAGCTCAAACCCCTTTTTCTTGACAAATTTTCACAATGCACTACTCTTTGTCCATCTAGTACATAAACTTTCAGCTCTCACTGCTTTTTGGGTCTTCATTTTTTTCTTTGGAAGGCTCCCACGTAGATATAAAAATTACAGAATAAAATGTGTAGATTTTTCTCCTGCTAATTTTTCTTATGTTGGTTTAATGCTTACACCCAGTCAGAGATCCTAAGAAGACAGAAGAGAAATTTTACTCTAAGAAGAACTTTTTATATCAATCACACTTAAGAATCATTACTGCTCTATAAAGTAAATAAATGTGTCCGCATTTTACAGATGGGACTGAACGAGATTAAGTAACTTGTCCAAGGTTACTGAACAAGCAATTTTTACTTTAAATCCTATGTTCTTCCTGTGCATTGCTCTGCCTCTCACATTTTAACTTTCAAAGGCCAAACTTTTTTGCTCATTTTCATATTTTTTGAAGAAATTTTCCATAATTGTAGCATTCAAGTGCTAACAAAAGTCACTGTAGCATAATTGACTAAAAACTGGATTTCAATATGAGTTAGGGCAATCTTGGATGCCTGCCAGAGTTATTTACTAACAGTGATTAAGAAGCCCAAAGGAAGCATGCATAAGAAAGATTCATGTGCAGACCCAAATGGACTCCTGTAAGAGTGAAGCTCAGTATTGTAAATTGGACAGGAAAACAGAGGCAATTATCTAAATGTGGTTTCTTTGTGCTATAAGCCTGCATTCCTGAGCAGCTTAAGTACAAAGGCTGAAAAGAAAATTGTTTGGCCTGGGACTTGTCATTTGAATTTTCCCCAAAGGTCACATTCAGATATATAAAAGTAATAAATTTAAGTATTACTTTAAAATGTCTACTTATCTAATCCTCAGGTAGTTCTCAAGTTAAATGTTATTATTCAGATCTTTCCAAGAGCCATTGACTGATTTTTCTTTATGTTGTTTTTATTAACGTGAGTCACCTTTAACCTGAATTATGTAACGAAAAGGACAAAGAAGGGAGAGAGAAAGGGAGAAAGAGATAAACAATAAAGAAAGCAAGAAACTGACCTTTGACTGAGGTGGTCAAGTCAAAGCATCTCTTATTACATAGGAGGATATATCTCACAAATGGGATTTACCTTAGCATGAATTTCCCTGTTTCTAGAGGATGGAACATTTAGCAGGTTATTAATGACCCATGATACTTGCATTTCATTGTTTAACCAGAAAAAAAAATAGTGTCATATGAGGAATTTTAGATGACTAGCTATGACTCCATTTATTGGTCAAAGAAAGGATTATGGAAAAATCTGAATTTGCTTTGTTCTTTATCACTTGATAGTTCCCTAAGCATTGAGCTGTGAATCCAACTTGCTTGTATGTTCCAAGTTCAAGTATTAAAGGACAATTATAAATCATTTGTGAGCAATTTAGTTAAAGAAGTTCCCTGGGAGCCGGGTGCAGTGGCTCACGCCTGTAGTCCCAGCACTTTGGGAGGCCGAGGCGGGTGGATCACAAGGTCAGGAGATCGAGACCATCCTGGCCAACATGGTGAAACCTTGTCTCTACTAAAAAAAAAAATACAAAAATTAGCTGGGCGTGGTGGTGGGTGCCTGTAGTCCCAGCTACTCAGGAGGCTGAGACAGGAGAATCGCTTGAACCTGGGAGGCGGAGGTTGCAATGAGCCGAGATTGCGCTACTGCACTCCAGCCTGGTAACAGAGCAAGACTCCGTCTCAAAAAAAAAAAGTTTCCTGGATAGCTCTTTGAGGATTTTAATAAATTATGGATACATTAATTAGTCATCATGATTTTTGGATAATAGAGTAACCTTGAAGCTTACTCTAGAAGATTAGAATATTCTAGACTTTGTTCTTTCCTCTTTTATTCCTCTGTCCAAGGACTGGCAGGGCAGAGTTGCAACCTTCTAAGCAATGGTTTCCAAAAATTTTTGGTTGTGTATTTCTGTTGATGAAAAAAAAACACAAAGTTTGTGAATATATTCTCCAAAATAATAGATATGCACTACTATAATAATATAATATAGAATCAATTTATATGTAATATATAAATGGTAAGAATAGAAGATAAAAATGTAACCATCCAACAGGTTCACCTTGCCCACTGCCTAGACAGAGCCAATTTATAAAGACAGGGTAATTGCAATAGAGAAAGAATAATTCATGCAGAGCCAGCTGTGTGGGAGACCAGAGTCTTCCTATTACTCATATCAGTCTCCCCAAGCATTTAGGGATAAGAGTTTTTAAAGATAATTTGGCAGGTGAGGAGGCCAGGGAGTCAGGAGTGGTAATTGGTTGGGTCAGAAATGAAATCATAGCAAGGCAAAGCTGTCCTCTTGCACTGATTCAGTTCTTGGGTGGGTGCCACAAGACCAGATGAGCCAGTTTATGGATCTGGATGGTGCCAGCTGACCTATCAAGTGCATGGTTGGCAAAATATCTCTAGCACTGATCTTAGGTTTTATAATAATGATGTTGTCCCCAGGAGCAATTTAGGGAGAGGGTCAGAATCTTGTAGCCTCCAACTGCCTGACTCCTAAACTATAATTTCTACTCTTGTGACTAATTTGTTAGTCCTACAAAGGCAATGTGTTCCCCAGGCAGGAAAAGGGTTTGTTTTGGGAAAGGGCTGTTATTACCTTTGTTTCAAAGTTAAACTATAAACTAAGTTCCTCCCAAAGTTAGTTCAGCCTATGCCCCAGAATGAACAAGGACATCTTGGGGCTTAGACACAAGATGGAGTTGGTTAGTCAGATTTCTTTCACTGTCTCAGTTATAATTTTGTGATGGCAGTTTCAAAAACAATAATAAAAATTTTATTATTTTAATGTTATAGTCCATTTTAGGGGTCATTTGTCATATTTTAATGTATATAAAAATTGCTTGGGAATATTGTTAAAAATGCAGATATTGATTCAGTAAGTAAGAGATGTGGCCTGAGAATTTACATTTTTAACAAGCAAGCAAGGGATACTGATATTGCTGGACTATGGACCACATTTTTTAACAGCAAGACTGAGAATCAAATGTCACATTTTATAAATTATTTCCTCCTCTTCACATTTCAAAAAATTTAATAGCACTTCCTTGGTCCAGGGAAACAACCAAAGCACTCACATACTTACTGCGATGGTTAGGCTAGCTTCGTTTGAAAGATGATGTCACAAAATAGGTTTATGCTTTTTCCAACCCTCTGGAAGTGAGCCTGGCTTCCCCTGAAATCTGAGCGTCCACACTGATGACCCTATGGATAGATTCTTTTGGCTCTTAATCTTTCTACTCATAGTTTTCCTCCTGAATACAATGCCCTGAGCTTAACAAACTCCTTTTAGCTTAGTAGCAACAAAACTGGGACTAGGGTGAAACACTATCCTTAGATAAAAAAGTTTAAGAGGATGCCAAAAAATAACCAAGTAATCAAGGTAGGTAGTGTTATGATTCAATATTTTAAACAATTAAATTGACAAATTGTGGCTGGCTGCCTGTTTTGTAAATAAAGTTTTATTTGTCCCAATGTTCTTCTTTGTCTTGCCTACTGGGCACTGCCCACTGCAGCACCAAGAGCTTTATCAGACAAATCCTAAATGTCCTCTTCCAAGTAATTGTTAAATATAGCCTTCAATAAACTAACTTAAAAAAATCTATAGGTTATAGCATACAATATTTGAAGAAAAATCAAATATTTTTACATTAATTCTCTGGATTATTAAAAAATTAGAAGGAATATTTAAATTTATGATGTCTTTTAATGAAATTAGCCTGAAAGATAGAATGGCCCCAGTGGTAAAAATATTACATTAATTCCAATCTTGAATGTTGTATAAAATCTGACCCATAATTTTTCTGCTGTGAAGGAAATGCAAGAGGTATCAGATTTGATAGCATTTCTACCTAAGGGGCAGAAAAAGTAAATTATCTACAAAGGAAGAATGTATTCAAACTCAGTCTTGAGATACCTCAATATATCAGTAAATGATCTTAAAATCCATTCAATCATCAAGCTAGAAACTTTGATGCTGTTGTTAATTTTTCCTTTTTGGTTTCATTTGGCCATAATCGATTGGTTGCTGAATTATTTTAGTTATATTCCTCAGAGACCTTTGGATTTGCCTTTTATCCTTTCTAAACCTTTATTATTATTATTATTATTATTATTATTATTATTATTATTATTATTTTGAGACAGAATCTCACTCTGTCATCCAGGCTGGAGTGCATAGGCATGATCTCAGCTCACTGCAGCCTCCGCCTCCTGGGTTCAAGCGATTCTCCTGCCTCAGCCTCACGAGTAGCTGGGATTACAGGCACATGCCACCATGCCCGGGTAATTTTTGTATTTTTACTAGAGATGGGGTTTCACCATGTTGGCCAGGCTGGTCTCGAACTCCTGACCTCAGGTGATCTGCCCACCTCAGCCTCCCAAAGTGCTGGGATTACAGGCATGAGCCACCTTGCCTAGCCCATATCCTTTCTACTCCAACACTCACCTGCACTGCTCCTCAAGAATCTAGGTTCTTCCAATTCCAATTCAATCTCCATATTGCTATCAGAGTAATCCCTCTAAAATAAAGCTCCAGTCACTTCATTTCACAACTTTAAAACTTTATAAAACTTTCTGTGATGGGGTAAATGCACAGCATTTAGCTTAGTGCTAATCAGACTGCATAGCCTTATCTTCCACTGTTTCCTGTATACTTGCTACAGCCATGTTGCACTGTTTGCTGAAGTCATTGAGAAATATGTACTCTCTGAAGTCATGGATCTCAAATAATATATAAGCCTGCTATAACTTGGGGTTTTGTTCATTTTATAAAAAGAGTCTGAGTCTAAAGCCAAATGCAAACATAAAACTCAAGAAATAGATAGAAGGAGATAAAGATGGAAATGGAAATAGAGGTAGAGAGGTAGGGAAAAGAGGGCAGTAGGAGAGCTAACAGGATTGAGACTAGGATGCAGCTGTATCTGAGCTAGTTCACCTCTAGATATAAATATCTAGATCTTTATGTAAATTTAGTTTTTACAATAAATTCATTCTCTTTGTATAGACTAACTTGAGTTGAGTTTTTGAGGTTTGCAACTAAGACTCTTAAACAATACAATAAACCTAATAAAAATTGAATTCTGGTGCTGCTGTTCATTATTATACAATTGGTATCTGTGGTTTTCTAGTTTCTAGTTAAGATTAGCCAAAATGAAAAGCAGACAATGGGCATTAGTAGGGGCAGGAGATGGAGGCAAGAAAATACCCGTAATTAAAGACAGGCAAATTGTTCTTTTTTTTCTATGAAGATTTTTCATTTTCTTATTGGCTCACATTTTAGAATTGTCCAAACAAAGTAGGCCTCTACACTTACAGGTATATAAAGTTCAAAATACATGCATTATATGTACATAACACAATGAAAACAAAACAAAAGAATATGCATTTTTCAGAGCTGGTGACTTTTATTGCTGTACTGGAACTAATATTGTCAGGTGTAGGCTGAAGGTAAAGGACAAGAAAGGATTTATCTTGATTATTGTTCTTCCAGTTATGTTTTTGCTGAGTGTCACAGTGACCTTCCCAACGCAGATGCTCACAAGCTGCCAGCTTCTCAACATCTGTTACTATTGCTACTTTGAAAATTTAGAAAATCAATGTACAGCTGGACTCTGCATTTATTATGGTCACAAATGGAATCTCCAAAGCCAATGGGGTTGATTTTGTCTAATGATTCAACCCAAAGAAATATATGCCTTAGGCCATTTGCTCGAGCCTGAGCTATTAGGAAGCATGAGATGACCTTGGACTTTTGATCCCGTCTAATTTTCTGGCCACAGCAAAAGCACTCAGGGCAATCAACAGGAGTTATTTAAATCATATATTTGTCCTTATTTTAATAACTTTATTCTTTCATGAGTCATAATTAACTGCTTTAAAATCACATGTTTTTATCTGAAAAAGGCAAGTCTTGTCAAAAAAATAACCTGCAAATTGACCACAGCTAATTTACTAACAAAAATCAAAGACTGGTGGCATACTTTTTAAATCAAAAACTAGGCCTAGTGAGGATGTTTGGCCAAATGTTCTTGTATAAAACTTTTGTTATGTTTGTAGACTTTCCATCACTGTTAACATTTCATTAGGAAAGGAAATGAGGTGCCTTCGTTTTGGACATCCACAACTCAAAGCAGCAATCTCCAAAAAGCAAAACACAATTTCATTCATGAATAGAACATTCTTTTCTCATCAACAAATTGGTAATGCAGGCAGGATGCTGGCTGTCCTAATGCTACTGGGGCATAGATTTTGGCAGCAGCTGTCTGCAAGTGAGCCTGTGGACATGCTGAGGGTCACCCTTACTTGTCTTTTTCTGTTAATTTCTCTCCCATACTTCTCATTAAGATAAGAAGTCTCACCACTCCTACACGTGGCTTTCTCAGCAGCTTTCTGGCCTGTGCACTAGTTGGGTTGATTTACGATTTAATTTTATGGATGATATCACACAATTATCTCCAGATGGAATAATCAGGATGAAGAGCTGCCAACCAACATTAGAAATGAAGCAGGTTCATCCAGCACCAGCCATTTCTTCACTGTAATTATTTTTTGTTTTGACTTCATAAATTTGTCCAGAGACACTGGGTGTTCTTTTTCAGCAGGGCCTCATTTGTCTAATTCAAATGAGATTATCTCACCCTGTTCCCCACATTTCCCCATATTTTTCTTATCATTTTGCATCCAACAGAGAGACTCATAAATTATGATTTGTGGAGCTAAAAATATACAAAATCTAATCTGCCCAATTTATGATGCACCAACAGAGTCATCTTGATGAATTGTGAATCTTAAAGTTTTGATTCACAAAAGGGAATTCACTTTTGATTCACAAGAGGGAAGAAGGAAAGGAGAAGCAGAGTTGGTGATCTGCAGGTCCCCTCATCGATGAAATCACCTAAATAAAACTTGCCAAGTTAAAGCCAGAAATGTACAACCAGTTGTAATGACTGGATATGTTCCATTCACTGAGCCCTCAGTTGCTATGTGATCTGCGGTACTGAAGGACATTTGTTCTTTTTGTTTTTTAATGGTACACTGAAGAATTATGATGGGTCAACCTGACCAAGTGTTCTCCATCTTTCTTCTTTCCTCCTAGGCATAAGAAAATTGCATGCTTTATTCCAGCCAAAATTCATCATAGAAGCCTATGAGAGCATCTTAACCACAAAGATCCCTTTGTTGAATGCTGGTATTTACAAAAATGATAATACAGAGCTACAACAGCAAAACATACTTCAGAAGCTTTGGACACTTGCTTATTTAGTTATTCAACAAATATTCATTGTTATGCCAGACTATTTTTATGCTTGTAGGCCAAATTAAGTTTCTTTAGCCAAAGAACAATGAAACTCTATTATAGTATCTAAAGCAGGGAAGAGGAAGCAGTGAAGTAGGACATAATTAGATCTTACACGTGGGTTATGGAGAAATAACTGGAGTAGAGAGAGGTTCTCTAAGGGTGGTTCTTGAACCAAGCCCATCAGCATTGCCTGTGAGCTTGTTAGAAATGTATATTCTGAGCCCCATCCCAGACCTGTTGAATCGGAAACTGTGGGTGAGAATGACTACTTTGTACTTTAACAAGCCCTCTGGGTGATATACACTTACTGGAGCGTGGCAAAAGTAGCTGTGGAGGATTTCAGATGAACATCCTTATTAACTAAGATATAGCTGACCCTTAAACACAAGTTTGAACTGTGAGTCCACTTGTACATGAACTTTCCTTTGCCTCTTCCACCTCTGAGACAGCAAGACCAACCCCTTGTCCTTCCCCTTCTCCTCAGCCTAGTCAAGTGAAAATGATGAGAATGAAGACCTTTATAAGGATCTACTTTTACTGAATACATAGTAAATATATTTTTTCTTCCTTACAATTTTTTTCTTTTCTTTTTTTTTTTTTTTTTAAGAGACAGGGTCTCCTTATGTTACCCAGGTTGGATTTAAACTCCCGAACCCCTGAGCTCAAACAATTCCCTCTCTTTTGCCTCTTGAGTAGTTAGGATTACAGGTTCAGCCATTGCACCCAGCTCTATGATTTTCTTAATAACATTTTTTCTCCAGATTACTTTGTTGTAAGAGTACAATATATAATGCACATAACGTACAAAATGTATGTTAACTGTTTATATTATTGATAAGGCATTCTGGTTAATAATAGGCTATTACTAGTTAAGATTTGGGGGAGTCAAAAATTGTTGATTTGACTGCCTAGGAAGTCAGCACCACCAACCCCTGAGTTGTTCAAGCACCAACTGTACAGTCATATCTTGCTTAAATATGGGGATACATTCAGAGAAATGCATCACTAAGCAGTTCTGTTCTTCTGTAAACATCATAGAATGCACTTACACAAACTGAGATTGCATAGCCTACTACACCCCTAGAGTCTATGGTATAGCTTATTGCTTGTAGTCTACAAATTTGTACATCATGTTACTGTACTGAATACTGTAGACAGTTGTAACACAAAGGTAGGTGTGTATCTAAACATAGAAAGGGTATAGTAAAAACAAGGTGTACAGGCATTGTGACTTTAGTACTAATATCCCTCTGGTATACTATGAATAATATCACAGGGTGTACATTTCTGTGACATTAGGAGTAATATCCACCTAGAATAGGATGAATAATATCACAGGGGGCACACACCATGTGACTTTAGGAGTATCACCACCCTGCATTATGAGGAATACTGTCCCAGGGTATTAACCCCCTGTGACCTGAGGAGTAACATCCCGCTGGAATATTACGAATAATATCACAGTGTGTACACCAACTGTGATATTAGGAGTCTTATTAATTTTTAGGATATTAGGTATAGTATCACAGTAGGTGTACCTACTGTGATATTAAAAGTTATATCTCCCTAGGGTATTGCGAATAACATCACAGTGGGTGTACACCCAATGTGATATTTGAAGTAATATCTTCCTAAGGTATGACAAAAAATATCAAAGCGTGGACCCCATCTGTGACATTAAAGGTAACACCTCTGTGGATATTCCGAATAATATCACAGGGTGTACACAGCCTGTGACATTAGGAGTAGCATCCCCATAAGATATTCCGAGTAATATCACAGGGTGCACACCCCATGTGACATTAAGGGTAACATCTTCTTAGGATGTTACGAACAACATCACACGGTGTACGCCCCCTGTGACTTTTCAAGTAACATCCCCCTAGAATATTATGAATAATATCATGGGTGTACACCCCATGTGACATTAGGAGTAACATCTCCCTAGGATATTACAAAGAATATCACTGGGTGTACACCCTCTGCCATATTAGGAGTAACATCCTTCTAGGACATTATGAATAATATCACAAGGTGTACACACACTGTGATATTTGGAGAGATATCTCCCTAGGATATAAGGTGTACACCCACTGTGATATTAGAAGCAATATCTATGACAGTATGAGACATATCAAAGGGAGTACTCTCACTGTGATAATAGATTTAATGTTTACCATCAATATTACAAATAATATCACAGGTTGTACACACATGAGGTATACCCACTGTGGTATTATTTATACTGTCTTAGAGAGATATAACTCTCTAATATAACACAGAGAGTGATAACTCTGTAATATCTCTGAGATATTACAAATAATCACAGTGAGTGTACACATAGTGTACATAGTGTACACCCACTGTGAGATTTACAGTAATATCTCCCTATAAGACTATAAATAGTATCGAAGGGTGTACACCCCCTGTGACCTTAGGAGTAACATCCCTCTGGATATCGGGAATAATATCATAAGGCGTACCCACCCTGTGACATTTTGTACACCCTTTGTGACATTAAAAGTCACATCCCCCTAGTGTATTATGAATAATATCAAAGGCTGTTGACGCACACGGTGTGCGCACCCTGTTACATTAGGTGTAATCTTTTTCTGTGATTTACGAATAATATCACAGAAGGTGTACACACATGGTGGACACTCCAGGTGACATTAGGAGCAACATCACCCCAAGATTTTAGAAATAATATTACCAGGGTTGCATACACATGGTATACTCTCCCTGTGACATTAGCAGCAACATTCCCCTAGAATATTATGAATAACATCAGAGAGGGAGTACACATATAATGTATGCACCTTGTAAAATTAGGAGTAGCATCTCCCTACGATGTTATGAATAATATCACAGAATGTGTACACACATGGCGTATACCCCGTGTGATGTTAAGTGTTACATCCTTCTAGTATGTTAGGAATAATACCACAAAGGTGTTCGCACATGGCTAACACCATATGGAATATTAGGATTCACATCCCTCCAGAATATTACAAACAACATCACAGGGGCTGTGCACACATGGTGCACATGCCCTGTGGCGTTAGGAGAACATTTCCCTGACACATTACGAGTAATATCACAGAGTGTACACCTTCTGTGACATTTGGAGTAACGTCCCCTAGGATAGTACAAAGAATATCACAGGGTGTACATCCCCTGTGACCTGAGGAGTAACATCTTTCTAGGATATTGTGAATAATATCACAAGATGCACAGCCCCTGTGACACGAGGAGTAACATCCACCTAGGATATTATGAATAATATCACAGGGAGTACACCCCGTGTGACAGTAGGAGTAACCTCGCCCAAGGATATAAGGAACAAATACAGAGGATGCACACGTGTTGTGACGTTAGCAGTAACATCCATTTAGGATATTACGAATATTATCACAGTGTGAATACCCTCTGTGATATTAGGAGTAACATCCCCCTACCATATTGGGAACCATATCATACTGTGTACACCCCCTGTGACTTTAGAGGTAACATTTCATTAGGATATTATGAATAATATTACAAGGTGTACAGCCCCTGCGATCCTGGTCATGGTTCACGTTCTCCTGTTTATTCCCATGTCTAGTAATTTTCTATTGGATGTTAGACACTAAATGCTGTATTGTTAAATGTCCATTTTTTGTGTGTGTTGATTTAAAGCATGTTGAGTTTTGTTTGGTATGCAGTTACATTTCTTGCAGATCAGTTTAGTCATTTCAAGCTAGCTTTTTTTTTTTAGCTTCATTAGCCTATGTCTCAGTAGACTTTACTTCAGGGCTACTTTAGCTCATCTACTACCTTTCTGGGGTTTCTACTGAATGCCTCAGGCGTTCATTGAAGTGTCTCTACTCTGACTTGTCAGAGCTCAAATGTATTTTAGCCCTAATGAGCTTTGAAGATTGCTCAGCTTTCATATTCCTTTTTCTTTGTCCAGCCTTATAGATTCTTGCCTCATGCTAGTACAGCTATGTATTCAGATAAAGAAAGCCCTATGCCAATCTCTGGAACTCTCTTTCTGTATAACCCACTCTCTTTTGCACTCTGTCTCACAAATTTCAATTCCCTCAATTTTCCCTAATTGATTTCTTCCTCTTCAATTCCATGAGATTTTTATGTTAAATTTTGTGTACCTTTCCCTCCACCATTGTCCAGAAATTGTCTCACAGAGTCAAGGTAACTACAGGTCTCACATCATTTCTTTCCCTTATCACAGTCTGTATTGTCAGTTTTCCAATACCTGAAAATAGTTGTCTTCCCCTTTGCACCCCAGTTCTCTAGTTATTTATGGTGAGAAAACCAGTTCAGTATCAGTTGTCTCATCATGGCTGTTGGCAGAAACCTCCCTGGGTACCTTTTGAAGTCCTGTCAAGGAGAACCTTACTAAGTTGTTATAGGTCATGGTACCTTCTTTCCAGTATATGGTAAGAGAATGGTTACCTCCTGGTGGGGTAGAATACTAAAATGAAAAATCCTAAGACAAATTAATAACAAGCAAGAATCAAAGTTTATGTCTAATTTGCTTCAAAGGAGTAGATTCTAAGAAGATAAACTCAAAATTTTCTCCTTTTTATAAAAAATAAAGGAGGTAGTAAAGAAATGTCCAGTTAAAAAAAATTTAACTTCTGTTTGTAGTATGATTGGGTAATTAACTCCCCAGGAGAAATTGTAATCTTATTAAATCTATCAGAAAATTGCTTATTTTCTCTGAAATGCTAATTACTTTCCAGAAGAAGATAATAAATGATATTAGTTAACATACTTCTATCTACTTTACATTTTGAACAGCTTTTTTTTTTTTTTGTAATTATAATCCTCACTTCCTTATAACAAGTGTCATAGCTCTAGGAAGGAAAATGAAGCCTGGGGCAAGCAATGGTGATACCCTTCATTTCACTACTAAATCAACTCTGTGGTCATCCCCAGCCTCAAAAGTTCCAACATTTATACTATGTTCTGCTGGATTTCAGAGAGAGGATAGCAAAATGACTGGTTTGTCTTCAGTTACAACGCAATTTGGTATATTGGAAGCAGATGAGACATGGCAGTTCCAATACTTGGTGGTTCTAGGCTGTCCTCTAGCTACAATTAGAGAAAGAGCTTATTTGTATCTGCTGATGCCTTAACAGCCCCTGGTGCGGAGATCCAACGTCACCTAGTGGGGATAGATCACACTTACATTAATTCAGCTTCTCAGGTTTTAATATCCTTACCTTTTTTGCTTTAATATCCTTACCTTTCTTGCAAAGAAGAATTTGGTGACTAGATATAGATAACACGGAAGGAGGAAGAGAAAAGGAAAATAACACAAGATAATACGTATGATGAAAATTGAACTTCAAGTGACTGCACACTCATTATCTCAAAGTTCTGTCCTGGCTCACTTTTAAAATTCCTATTCACTAAATAAAGCTTATTTAAATTTGCTTCAATTTTTTTTTTTTTTTGAGACTGAGTCTCACTCCGTCACTCAGGCTGGAGTGCAGTGGCATGATCTCGGCTAACTGCAACCTCCACCTCCCGGGTTCAAGTGATTCTCATGCCTCAGCTTCCCAAGTAGCTGGGATTACAAGCATGCACCATTACACCCAGCTAATTTTTGTATTTTTTGCAGAGATCGGGTTTTGCTATGTTGGCCAGCCTGGTCTCAAACTCTTGGCCTCAAGTGATTCACCTGCATTGGCCTCCCAAAGTGCAGTGATTACAGGTGTGAACCACCATGCCGGGCTGCTTCAGTGATTAATTGTTATAATAAATTTGTATACAGTGCATTGTAGCCAAAAAGAATGAGTTTATTTGTCCTATATATTGAAAAGGAGATACATTCCAAGATTTCTGCTTTCTGTGTTTTGTGAAAAGAGACGTAGCAGAAATGTTTCCATTCTGCTAATTGTAAAGTGAAAAGTTCCCATTCCAGTAAGTTCATCACAGGTAGGAACAAGTAGCCTGATGGGAATCATTAGTGAAAGCATCCACTAGCTAACTGTTGAAAGTATCTAGCACAAGATAATTAACTGGTGCAGAAACGACTGTGTAGGTTCAACAAACAAGAAAAAAGTAAAGGTCCTCACACCCAAATCAGGAAGACTGTCAGGAAAATTTCATGCCATAATAGCAGGATTTTTCAACCTCAGCACTACTGAGATTTTGGACTAAATGATTCCTTATGACTAGGGGTGAGGCAGTTTGGGGGAGATGGAATTTTTAGGAGGAGACTGTCCTGTGTATCATAAGATGTTTAGCAGCATTCTGGGCCTCTATGCATTAGATGCCAGCAGAACCTCACCCCTACCAAATGTGGCAATCAAAACATCTCTAGACATTGCCCAACGTCCCCTAGAGGAAGCAAAATTACCTGTTTTTGAGAACCACTTTTCTATAAAAAGAGGAGTATCAAACATGGGAGGCCAAGGCAGGTGGATCACCTGAGGTCAGGAGTTCAAGACCAACCTAGCCAACATGGTGAAACCCCATCTCTACTAAAAATACAAAAATTCGCCGGACATGGTGGTGCATGCCTGTAATCCCAGCTACTTGGGAAGCTGAGGCAGGAGAATTGCTTGAACCTGGGAGGCGAAGGTTGCAGTGAGCAGAAATCACACGACTGCACTTCAGTCTGATCAATGGAGACAGACTCTGTCTCAAAAATAAATAAATAAATAAATAACAAATTTAACTTTTTTCTCCCTTTATTAGTCTGCTAGGGCTGCCATAACAAAATACCATGGACTGAGTGGCTTAAACAACAGAAACCTATTTTCTCACAGTTCCAGAGGCTGGAAATCCAAAATCATGGTGTCAGCATGTTTGGTTTCTTCTAAGGCTTCTCTTCTTGGCTTGCAGATGGCCTCTGCTGTGGACTGAGTATTTGTGTTTCCCGAAAATTCATATGTTGAAGCCAAAATTCTCAATGTGGTCACATTTGGAGGTGTGGATTTGGAAGGTAATTAGGTCATGATGGTGGAGCCCTCGTGAATGGGATTAGTACCCTTATACGAAAAGACATGAGCGATATTACTCTCTCTCTCTCAGCCACATGAAGATAAAATGAGAAAGCAGCTATCTGCAAGCCAGGAAGAATACTCTTACCAGACACCAGATCTAACAGCACCTTGATCTTGGACTTCCTGGTTTCTAGAACTGTGAGAAATAAATTTCTATTTTTTGGAACACCAAGTTTATGGTATTCTGTTAGCAACCTCAACTTACTGAGACAACTGCTTTCTTGCTATGTCCTCACATGGCCTTTTCTCTGTTTACACACATACGTGGTGACTCTCACTGTGGGTGCCACAGATCGGCACATCAAACAAAGGCATATGCTAAAGCACAGAACGGATCACATAAATACAGTAAGTCCAATCTCTTTTTAACTTACATCAGTTAGATTGGGTTAGAGCTCACTCTAAAGACCTCATTTTAACTTAATTATCTCTTTAAAGCCCTCTCTTCAAATACAGTCACATTCTGAGGTACTGGAGGTAAGGACTTCAACATGTAAATCTTGGGTGATAGAATTCAGTTCATAATACTCCCCTACCTTGGACAGTCAAGTATTATTTGGGGATGGTAGTAGCAAGTAATTCAATTTCTGGAAAAGAACAGAAAGTTAGTTTGAGAAAGTTAGAATTAGTTAGAGTCTTTTTTCCTCAACCTACCTTCCCCTACCCAATCCTTCACCTCTGTGGCGTAGCCAACTAATAAATGCTTCATTGTCTAAACCTTAATTATAGATCCAATTTTTCACATTGATTGTGACAGAATCAGTGTGAGACTTGGTTATCCAGAGATATTAACTCATTCTAGGGCCTTCTAATATATTCTTTTTCTTGCAGTTTATATTGACAAAATGGGAACATTGTTTTTACAAATCTTTGCAGCAATTTGGGAATGTCAATCTAAAGATTAGGAAATTGGATTTGGTTATGATGAGTGTTTTGAACTTGACTTTTTATAATTTTGTTTTTAAAAATCCCAAACCATCTCTCCTTTAGGCAACAGACTTTCTTGTATTAATTTTTCAATGTACATATATATGTGTATAATATGTATTTTAATATATATAATTGATATCGATTCATTATATGTATGTATTAAAATATATACTGCTACTTAGATCTTTTATTAGTTTTCTGTACTTGGTAGCACTTTGCAAAGTATCACCTTGCCAAGAAAAGTTAAAGAAAATAAAATTTTAGGTTATGGATTTAATTCAGTGTAGAAAAAATGATGGCTATTTGGTTGTTGTTGCTCTGAATTACATCTGGTAACTCTGGTAAACAGAAAACTGAAATATGCTCTAAGTGAAATTTTGAATACAATGTAGATTAAATGGAAAGGGGTAGCCAAATTGTTTTGGCTAATAGAGATTCCAAGATTGCAAAGGACTTTACGAATAACAACTAAATATAAGATCCCTTAATGTCGCAGTTTGTTTTAAAGTTTGACCTAAAAAAATGGGTATATCAAAGTGTTCTCAGTATACTTAGAGATTTCATTTTTTTCTTTATATTTTTCTCAGTTAACCATTTTCAGTAATAAGTCCATATTAATTTCACAATGAGAAAACAGTTAAACATCCTCCATAAATGTTTGTAATGGCTATGCCAGATTGGCTTCCAACAGGAATCTCATATCCCTTCTCATATGCTTCAGTGTTCTACAGAGCCTGACTAGCCATAAGTTGCATTTCTCTGACTCTTTTGTAGGTCCAAATCATCTTTAGGCTCAACTAAATTAGCAGGAAGTGACTTAATATAGAGAATTAAGTTAAATAAAAAATTGGCAGAAGGGCTTGGGCCTTTGGCTGTGCCATGAATACCTCTTAGAACAACATTGTGGGATTAGCCCACACAGAAGCTATAACTCTACATAGAATGCAATTAGACTCATTTCCATGAGATTTGGAATACAAAAGTAAGGCAGCAACATGGTTGGAATGATATTGGGTTTTTCCGCAACAGCGTCAACATCATTGTCTTTATGGGTGTCAAGAGGCAAGGCATAGAACATTTGTTTCTTTCCTCAGTAGATATCTAGAAGGCTTGGCATCTCTCCAAAAACATGGCAGTGGCTTCCTGACCCCTGGAACCTGGCCAAATGAGTTTGCATTTTGAGCTTACACTCCCAATTGGTAGCTTTCTGATGAGAGTTATAGCTTCTATATGGGCTGATCCCACAACGTTCTTCTAAGAGGTATTCATGGCACAGCCAAAGGCCCGAGCCCTTCTGCCAATTTTTTATTTAACTTAATTCTCTATATTAAGTCACTTCCTGCTTAACACAGCTAGAGTCTTATGTTTTGTGTAAATGAAGGCCAATGTACTAAAAACTGTACTACACCATTTTAAATAGTCAATTTATAACTCTTAGTTAGGTTGTTGTAAGTAAATGACACTGAAGAGAAACAAAAGAGATCTTAGTCCTTATTTCTTTTTTATTTCACTCATGAGTGATCTGGTTGTCTTATAAGCAGTTAAAATGCAAAGAACAATGCATGTTTGCAATTAAAATAAACCAAATTCTGATCATAGTTATTAAGAAGTCTGCACAGGCACAAATGGTATATAAGATCAACATTTAGGGGTTTTCACAACTGGAAGTGAGGATAGGGGGATTAAAAGTTAGAAAGAAAACTGACAGAATGACTGTAAGAAGTAGAGGAAAGGGAGCAGTCAAAGATGAATCAGGTTTCGCACTTGAGATTCTGTGAGAATACTGATGCCTTGAAAGGAATGAAAAATAGCCATGCAGTTGGGTTTGTGATGAAGATAATAAGCCCAGATTTAAACACATTAATTAAAGCACAGGTTTTGTTAAAGGGGATAGATGTTTCCAGTAGGGTAGTGGAAAAAGTTGAGCTTATTGGGAATATTGCCCAGGAGATTAATCATAGAATTATCCAACAAAACCAAAGAGATAAGATGAATAACCAGGATTTTTTAAAAAGAGAGAAGGGGAGGAAGCCACAGGTCAGCACATCAAACAAAGGCATATCCTAAAGCACAGAAAAGATCAAATAAACACAGTAAGTCCAAGCAAGTAAAAGTGGGCAGGGGTGACTGCAAATCTAAGTGTGGGAATACTAGGCTCAAGCAAGGACATTTCTTTCACGAGAACCTTGGTGCATTTGTCCAGGCCAGGAGCCTTCAGGAGCTGGGCCAAAAATGGACAAGGTGCAAGTAAAGGTATCTAGAAGAAAATGCCAGCAAGCAATTGACAATGGCTGGGTCTTTAGAGGTGGTTTAGGCTACAGATTTGGATGTTGGGGCCATTCCTATTGAGGTAATAGTTGACATCACTGATGGTGACACATAGGGAGAAAAAAGTGTGGCTTCACAATAATGGGATGGTAGTGGAAAATTCAGCTAAAATGAAACTTAAAGGGAAGATGGTAGAAGATAAAAAAAGACCAACAGAGCAGTACTATTTACTGCATAAAGAGAGGCAGAACTACAAGTGGCTAAGTGTGGTTGACGGCATCAAGTGCTGTTGAAAGGTGGAAGACAGCATTGTTAAGTGACCATTGAACATTGTTAACCAAAAGGTCGTTTGTCACTGATGACCTTCACAAAGAGAATTTGATTAGCATAACCTGAGTAAAGAAAGAAGCTAAGAGATTAAGGAGGTTACAGATGGTATTATTAGAGGCTATTTTGGGCTTCCAGCTTAATCAGGAGGGAGAGATACAAGTCCAAGCTATTCTTGTTCATATTTCTTTGTGACTGATGTCTTAGACTCCTGCATTTTTCTTCAATACCTTTTTGCCTTAGAATAATTGACTCCACCTTTCTCTTTGTAGAAAGGTAAAACTAATGCATTTAAAAATAACATCCATTCTATTGAATGTGGGCAGGAGGTAGAAGACACAAAGAATACCATTTCTGCCAAATGATAAAATAACTTGGATCTTTCAGTGCTTATAGAGTACACATCCCAAGATGCCAAAAGCTGAAGAGGTGGTAATGAAAGGGTAGCTTCAAGGGCTAAAAGAGTTAAGAGCAACCTTAGAGTGTCAGACTGATTTTTCCCTTTAAAGGTCTTCCATTTTCCTATCCAACAATATAAATTTTTGTATTAGTGGAGAGTGGAGGAGAATGAAGTTGGCAAAAGACTATCAACTTTGGAGTCACAGAGTACTTTATATTTCCTGTACAACCATGTCTAGAACATCCATTTGAGGCTGGCCAGGGACACGAATTACCCTAGCTCTCATAAGTTCCCCTCAGGCAACATAAAATCAGACAAATTATTAGACAATGTAAACCAGACTAGTCTTTAAGTGACCTAAGTTACCATGGAAACATAGTACTATGGAAATGGGTACTGAATAGGAAGTCCTTTAAGAGGTAATATTAGGAACTCAGGATCAATGTGAAAATATATATCTCTAGGTATGTGTACATATAATGTGTCTGTAGGGATATGTGTATATAGATGTGTTCTGCCTTGAGCACTCTTCCTCCGGACCGCCACAAAATTGACTTCTCTTCACTCAGGTGCTATCTTAAATGTCACCTCAGTGGGGTTTTCCCTAAAAATCCCATGTAAAATAGCTCCACTACTCCTGCCTGTCATTCCTCATGACATTACCCTATTTTCTTCAAAACATTTATCACTTTCTTAAATTATCTTATTCATTTTTTAAAATGTATAGTCTTTTTCCTTCTTCATTTCCAGTATTTATAACAGTGTCTGGAATATAGTAATTGATCAAAAAATAATTATTAATTGAATATGCCTAAATAGTAGCAAAAATTACCTCTTCAGAAAGATAAGAGGACACTGAGGAGAGTTAAGGAAATAGTCTGTCTAGAATAGAAGGAAATGGAATATCCTATAGGTAAAAACAAGATATTGAAGATGAAAGAAAGAAAAAATTGGTGTCTGATAGAGTAATAACTAGAGCATTGATTTAACCTTAGAAAGAAGGACCAACTCTTTTAGTTAGAGGAACCAGTGAGAAGGAGGGTTAAATAAGAAGAGACTAGATAAAGCTTTAGGGGGAAAGAAGTAAATTACTAAAGAAGCATTAAGAAAGAGGGAGGCTGAATGTTAGAGAAATTTTATTTTCTTCTTTTTAAAATTTTTTTATTATACTTTAAGTTCTGGGATACATGGGCAGAACATGCAGGTTTGCTACATAGCTATACATATGCAATGGTGGTTTGATGCACCCATCAACCTGCCATCTAGGTTTTAAGCCCTGCATGCATTAGGCATTTGTCCTAATGCTTTCCCTTCCCTTGCCCCTCACCCCGCGATAGGCCCCAGTGTGTGATGTTCCCCTCCCCATGTCTATGTATTCTCATTGTTCAGCTCCCACTTATGAGTGAGAACTTGCGGTGTTTGGTTTTCTGTTCCTGTGTTAGTTTGCTGAGAATGATAGTTTCCAGCTTCATCCATGTCCCGGCAAAGGACATGAACTCTTTCTTTTTTATGGCTGTATAGTATTCCATGGCATATATGTGCCACATTTGTGTTATCCAGTCTATCATTGATGGGCATTTGGTCAGTTCCAAGTCTTTCCTATTATGAATAGTGCTGCAAGAAACATATGTGTGCATGTGTCTTTATAATAGAATGATTTATGACCCTTTGGGTATATAGCCAGTAATGGAATCACTGGGTCAAATGGTATTTCTGGTTCTAAATCCTTGAGAAATAACCACACTGTCTTCCACAATGGCTGAACTAATTTATACTCCCACCAGCAGTGTAAAAGCATTCCTATTTCTCTACATCTTCTCCAGCATCTGTTGTTTCCTGATTTTAAATGGTTGGCATTCTAACTGGCATGAGATGGTATCTCATTGTGGTTTTGATTTTCATTTCTCTAATGAACAGTGATGATGAGCTTTTTTTCATATGTTTGTTGTCCACACGAATGTCTTCTTTTGAGTAGTGTCTGTTCATACCTTTCACCCACTTTTTGATGGGGTTGTTTTTTTCTTGTAAATTTGTTTATGTTCTTTATAGATTCTGGATATTAGCCCTTTGTCAGATGGATAGATTGAAAAAATTTTCTTCCATCCTGTAGGTTGCCTGTTTACTCTGATGATAATTTCTTTTGCTGTGCAGAAGCTCTTTAGTTTAATTAGATCCCATTTGTCGGTTTTGGCCTTTCTTGCAATTGCTTTTGGTGTTTTAGTCATGAAGACTTTGCCCATGCCTATATCCTGAATTGTATTGCTTAGGTTTTCTTCTAGGGTTTTTATGGTTTTAGGTTTTATATTCAAGTCTTTAATTCATCTTGAGTTAATTTTTGTATAAGGTGTAAGGAAGGGATCCAGTTTCAGTTTTCTGCATATGGCTAGCCAGTTTTCCCAGCACCATTTATTAAATAGGGAATTTTTTCTCGATGCTTGTTTTTTTCCAGTTTGTCAAAGATCAGATGATTGTGGATGTGTGGTGTTATTTCTGAGGCCTCTGTTCTGTTCCATTGGTCTATATATCTGTTTTGGTACCAGTACCATGCTCTTTTGGTTACTGTAGCCTTGTAGTATATAGTTTGAAGCCATGTAGTATGATAACTCCAGCTTTGTTCTTTTTGCTTAAGATTGTCTTGGCTATACAGTCTCTTTTTAAGAAACTCACTCAAAACCGCACAACTACATGGAAACTGAACAACCTGCTCCTGAATGACTACTGGGTAAATAAGGAAATTAAGGTAGAAATAAGTACGTTTTTTGAAACCAATGAGAACAGACACAACAGACCAGAATCTCTAGGACACAGCTAAAGCACTGTTAAGAGGGAAATTTATAGCACTAAATGCCCACATCAGAAAGCGTGAATGATCTAAAATCAACACCCTAACATCGCAATTAAAAGAACTAGTGAAGCAAGAGCAAACAAATTCAAAAGCTAGCAGAAGACAAGAAATAACTAAGATTAGAGCAGAAAGGTTTTTTGAAAAAACGCTTAAAAAAAAATCAATGAATCCAGGGCTGGTTTTTTGAAAAGATTAACAAAATAGATAGACTGCTAGCCGGACTAATAAAGAAGAAAAGAGAGAAGAATCAAATAGACACCATAAAAAATGATAAAGGGGATATCATCACTGATCCCACAGAAATGCAATCTACCATCAGAGAATATTATAAACACCTCTATGCAAATGAACTAGAAAATCTAGAAGAAATGGATTAATTCCTGGACATACACACCCTCCCAAGACTAAATGAGGAAGAAGTCAAATCCCAGAATAGACCAATAACAATTTCTGAAATTGAAGCAGTAATTAATAGCCTACCAACCAAAAAAAGTCCAGGACCAGACAGATTCACAGCAGAATTCTACCAGAGGTACAAAGAGGAGCTGGTACCTTTCCTTCCAAAACTATTCCAACAGTAGAAAAAAGAGGGGCTCCTTTCTAACTCATTTTATGAGGCTGGCATCATCCTGATACCAAAAACTGGCAAAGACACAACAAAAAAAGAAAATTTCAGGACAATATCCCTGAATGAACATCAATGCAAAAATCCTCAATAAAATACTGGCAAACCGAATCCAGCAGCACATCAAAAAGCTTATCTACCATGATCAAGTCAGCTTCATCCCTGGGATGCAAGGCTGGTTCAACATATACAAATCAATAAATGTAATCCATCACATAAACAGAACCAATGACAAAGACCACATGATTATCTCAGTAGATGCAGAAAAGGCCTTCAATAAAATTCAACACCCCTTCATGCTAAAAGCACTCAATAAACTAAGTATTAATGGAGCATATCTCAAAATAATAAGAGCTATTTATGACAAACCCATAGCCAATATCATACTGAATAAGCAAAAGCTGGAACATTCCTTTTGAAACAGACCCAAGAAAAGGATGCCCTCTCTCACCACTCCTATTCAACATAGTATTGGAAATTCCGGCCATGGCAATCAGGCAAAAGAAAAAAATAAAGGGTACTCAAACAGGAAGACTCAGATTGTCTCTGTTTGCAGGTGACATGATTGTACATTTAGAAAACCCCATTGTCTCAGCCCAAAATCTCCTTAAGCTGATTAGCAACTTCAGCAAAGTCTCAGAATACAAAACTAATGTGCAAAAATCACAAGCGTTGCTGTACATCAATAATAGAGAGCCAAATCATGAGTGAACTCCTGTCCACAATTGCTATAAAGAAAATAAAATACTTTGGAATACAACTTACAAGGGACGTGAAAGACTTCTTCAAGAGAGAGAGAGCAAGAATGTAACTGCACCTGGAAAAGCTGAAGGCACTCAACACTAGCCTGGGAAAGCAGCCAAGGAGGTGGTACAGTGCAGAGCCACAGAGGCTGAGCTGCCTAAGGCCTTGGGAACCCACTCATTACATCAGCATGCCCTGGATGTGAGACATGAAGTCAAAGGAGATTATATTGGAGCTTTAAGTTTTAATGAGTAGCCTGCTGGGTTTCAGACTTGCATGGGGCCTGTGGCCCCTTTGTTATGGCAAATTTCTCCCATTTGGAATGGGAACATTTACCCAATGCCTGTATTCCCATTGTATCTAGGAAGTAACTAAATTGCTTTTGATCTTACAGGGTCATAGGCAGAAGGGACTTGCCTTATCTCAGATGAGACTTTGGACTTGGACTTTTGAGTTAATGCTGGAATGAGTTAAGACTTTGGGTCACTGTTGGGAAGGCAGGATTGCATTTAGAAATGTGAGGAGGACATGAGATTTTGGAGGGACCAGGGACAGAATGATATGGTTTGGCTCTATGTCCCCACCTAAATCTCATCTCAAATTTTAATCTCCACATGTCAAGGGAGGGACCTAATGGGAGATAATTGGATCATGGGGGCAGTTTCCCCCATGCTGTTCTTGTGATAGTGAGTTCTCATGAGATGTGATAGTTTAAAAGTGTTTGGCAGTCTCCCCCTCGCTCTATCTCTCTCTCCTGCTGTCATGTAAGATATGCCTTGCTTCCCCTTCATCCTCTACCACTATTGTATTCCCTCAGGCCTCCCCAGCCATGTGGTACAGTAAATCAATTAAATCTCTTTCCTTTATAAATTACCCAGTCTCAGGTAGTTCTAAAGCAGTGTGAAAACTAATACAGAAGGTCCCTTTAAACACCACCAAGAGCACCAGGATGGGATTCTGAATAGCAGCCAATGTGTATCCATGGTCCTGATTGGTAACTTAGACTTGATCCACACTCAGCATTTTCCCTGTCCTTCCCAGGTGCAGCAGGCTCCATCCTTCTACTTTCATTCCTTACATCAGTGGTCCCCAAAAGGTTGGGGACCAGGGACGAGTTTCATGGAAGATAATTTTTCTATAGACCCCAGGCGGGGATGGTTTTGGGATAAACTGTTCCACCTCAGATCATCAGGCATGAGTTATATTCTCATATGGAGTGCACAACCTAGATCCCTCACACTCACAGTTCATAATAGGGTTTGTGCTCCTATGAGAATCTAATACTACTGCTGATCTGACAGGAGGTAGAGCTCAGGTGGTAATGTTTGCTCTCCTGCCACTCATCTCCTGTGGCTTAGTTCCTAACAGGCCATTGAGTGACACAAGTTTATAGCCCAGGGGTTGGGAACATCTGCCTTACATTATTCCATACATGCATTATTCCATACATGTAGATTTGTCTTTCACATTTTAAGGCCCTAGAGAAGCATATTTATAATTTTTAAAATTCGGACAGCCCTCTACATTCCCAGCACCCCTAGGTCTAGATAGTGTTTTACACCTATTTTATTTTAATGGAATATATCCATCTAATAAATGGTAAATGCATCAAGGGCTTTTGCTCTCCCTAGCTGGGATGCCAAACTGCAAGGGAATATTTCCACACTGACTGAGGGTGAGATTCTTCCTTCATACTATCATCATCTTTAAAGATGCCTAAGTTCCTAATTCTATTAGTCAAATGTATAGTATACACAGGGTTAAGAGAAATGAGCAGGGAATCTTGCAGTTTCCTCAGGGCTGGTAACAGTGTAGAGCTATTATCTAAGGTGCAAGGGAAAGAAGTGTTCAGATTACAAAGAGAGTATTGACTCTCTACCAGAAGCTATGACCTTCACTAGAAAGCTACAGCCGCTCCACTGCAGCAGAGCAGAGAGGGAGCCAGACTTGACACACACCCTGACACTCTCTAATCTGCTGCTAGTGTTTGAACACCTGCGTTAGCCCATTTTGTGTCGCTATAAAGAAATACCTGACACTGAGTAATTTATAAAGGAAAGAGATTCATATGGGTCATACTTCTGCAGGCTGTACAAGCATGGCACTGGCATCTGTTTGGCTTCTGGTGAGGCCTCAGGAAGCTTTTACTCAGGGCAGAAGGTGAAGAGGAAGCAGGCATGTCATATGGCAAGAGACAAAGCAAAAGAGAAGGGATCAAGAAATAAAAGGAATACGCCAGATTCTTTAAACAACCAAATCTCATGTGAACTAATGGAGTGAGAACTCACTTATCACCAAGGGGATGGCACCAAGCCATTCATTAAGGATCTGCCCCCATGACCCAAACACCTCCCACTAGGTTCCACTTCTAATATTGGTGATATTTCAACATGACATCCAGAGGGGACAAATATCTCAGCTATACAACACCCAACTAGGAGACAGAAGTCAATGGAGCTGTAGATGCATGCACCATTCAGGTCAGCTTCCTTGGGCAAATGACAAGATGGAGAAGAGTGAAGAGAGGACCTGGGGGGTAAATTGAAAATTTTCTAGCATGCCCTTCCTCCATTAAGGGACACTTACATGTGTCCTGGACTGGAAAGAAAGGTATTTCCATGGAATGAAAAAGAGACTGGCAGAATCATTCTAAATGGGATGACTGACAGGTGGGGCCTACTGTTGCTGAATGTGGTTTTCACGGGAGGAGAGGGGGAGGCAAAGGGCAACTCAGCTTCCTCAGTATCAGGTCAGTGCTTATTCTGGGTTTCTCAGTCTCAAGTTCTCCTCTCCAAATGGTCCTCCCCTTCTTCCTCTTTTTTAGCACCATTGTTTTCACTCATCTTTGGGAGAAGGAAAGTTTTCTAAACAAGCCTACAGCCCAATTTGTATGTCTTTCACTGTAGCCAGTAGTTTGTGGCTCAATCATTGAGTATTTTTTAGTCTTCATTCAAATTTCACAGTAGGTAACCTAGGTCTACTACAACAGGGTCTTAGGGTACATAAAAAGGAATTTGTAGGTGGTGTTGGGGTGAGGAAAAATAAACTAAAACTTCAGTGTGCAACCATCCACATACATTTTTATAGTTAGAGTAACAAAAATATGTTCGTGCTATTGAATGTAGAAGACAGAGGGAAGCATGCAAGGTGAATATGTGTTTTATGACCCACATGAGGCTCCTGAAATGTGATTTTTTAAAAATAGTGCTTGCCCCTCATGTCTATTAGCAGCTATGCATGAAAGTGAGAAGACAGGAACATTTTGTTTTACCTTTAAAATTCCCTGTATGATAACTTATATTTAGAATTAAAGCGGAAAATAAAACTAAAAATAAAATAAAATCTTGATCTTCTAATACTGGAATTTACTTTGTATTTATAAACGTGAAACATGGCCATGAAAATGATTCCCTGATTTGTGCAGCCTTAGTGTAGAGAGTAAGCAGTCCCATGCTTTGTTGACTATAAGTATGCCCTATTTTGTCAACTCAGAGCCCAGGGCTATACTAAAGTCAACATCTGGTTTAAGCCAGGCCTATCTGTCTGATTTTCCCCTTCAGCAAATCTGAACTACCCTTTATTTCACCACCACTCTTTGCTCATACACTCTTCCCTTCTTTGGATTTCTACTCCTCCTTCAAGATTTCGTACACATTTCTTTCATGTATTTTCACAATGCCAATGCTACAAATTGTTTGTGATCCACACTGGAAGAAAAATGTTCTACATCTTTATATTGAAGGAAGGGTTTGATGTGGCTCTCCTTGACAGCTAAGACTCCAAGCACACAGTCTAGAATAGGGATACTCAAGTTGCGGTCCAATGACCATAATATTTGCATCACCTGCAAGCTGATTAGAGAAGCAAATTCATAGGTCCTACTTGCAGTGACTGTAGAAGAGGTTTGAGGAAAATTTATACGATCCATTTTACATGCCACTTAACTCCAGAGGACATTCTCAACTGAGATACCTACTTAAAAGATTTTTTTTTTAACTTTTTTTTTTTTAAGACAGAATCTCACTCTGTCACCCAGGCTGGAGTGCAGTGGCATGATCTTGGCTCACTTCAACCTCTGCGTCCCAGGTTTAAGCAATTCTCCTGCCTCAGCCTCCCGAGTAGCTGGGATTACAGGCTCCCGCCACCACCACGCTTGGCTAATTTTTCTATTTTTAGTAGAGACGGGGTTTCACCATGTTGGCCAGGCTGGTCTCGAACCCCTGACCTCAGGTGATCCACCTGCCTCGGCCTCCCAAAGTGTTGGGATTACAGGTGTGACCCACCAAGCCTGGCCTTTTTTTTTACTACTTAATACCTACTCTCAAATAAAATTTGCTGCCCAGCATATAGTTCAGTGAAGGGATTAGTAATTTCAGTGTGGCTTGCCCTGGCCCCCAATAAAATCAGTCTGGCTTGTTGTTTTTGTTGTCTCCCAATTTGATCAGCAATAAATGATACAGAAAATACACATAGATCATAGAACTTTCAAGTTAAAAAGTCTATTAGAACTTCCGTTTGAGGATTCTGAAATACAAAAGTCATGCAAAATGATTTTGCTAACATTACTTAGTGTGAACACAAGGAAGTATTATTGTAATCAAGATAGTCCTCATAACAACTATACTGTATGAATACTATTATTCTATCTATTTCACAGATAAACACAGGGAGGGTAAGTAACTTATTGAAGATACATCATGAGTAAATAGTTTAAATGGCACTCAAGCCTTGGCAGTCTGGCTCTAAAGTTTCCAGTCTTAATCATTATACTATATCAGACAGGCAGGTTTCAGGTTTCTTCCTACTATTGCTGCTGTATTTTCTAAACACTGAAGTCAAAATGACAAAAAATCTATATTCACATAGTGGAGTCACCACTTTAGCTTAAGTTGTGCCCAATGTTGTAATACAGACATATTTAGCCACATGGAGCTGATTTACGTGGCAAATCTGACTAAAGCTACACTATGCATGGTAGTTTTCCAGGGTGGAAGAATAGAGATGGGCAGTTTGCTAAAGAGAAAGGGTTGAGAGTACAGTGTGATCTTTCTTCAGAAACATGTTGAACCTGAAAGAGCAGACAACATTTAAAGGTGACATTATAATGAGTGACCTTGTGACACACTTGGACGTAGACAGTGCTGTTTGATGTTTAAGTTAAGAAAAAAAGTTAATTCCCAGCCAAGGCCACTGTCCGCATGGATTTTCTCTGGGTAATTCTTTTTTCTCTCACATTTAAGTTTGACGCTAAATGCGGGAACAATGACATTCTTCTGATTCTGCATGGGTTACTATTTAGCCTGGGCACCTCTCAGGTTTTCACAATGTTATTCTCAACAATTCGCAGCTCTTTGGAGATGGCAAGCTTTGCATGGTTATTATTGGAGCCCATGGACATCCTAGTAGGCACTGGTGATCTTGGGAGTGATGAGGTATCCTCGAAGGAAGAACAACACAGCAGGTGCTATGTGGCAGAAAAGACTTTTATTGGCTCACTTGGATACTTGATGAGGACTCTTGGAAAGATTTGAGATCTTATTTTGAAGGTATTAAAGATCTTTGTATCAGTTAGGATTCAGTCAAGAAAACAAGATCACTCTGTATTCTAACTACAGCAGGTCCTTGAATAATGTTTCATTCAACATCATTTCACTATAATGTTGATCGAAAAAAAAGTTAATTCACAGCCAAGGCCACTGTCTGCATAGATTTTCTCTGGATAATTATTTTTTCTCTCACATCTCAAAGATGTGCATATTAAGTGAAATAGCCTGTCCAAATTGTCCCAGTCTGAGAGAGAGAGAGAGAGAGAGAAAGAGAGAGAGAGCGTGTGTGTGTGTGTGTGTGTGTGTGTGTGTGTGTGTGTATGTACCCTGCAGAGTATAGGCATCCTGTCCAGGGCTGGTTCCCGCCTTGTGATCTGAGCTGCTGGAATAGGATCCAGCCACCTGTGACCCTGAACTGGAAAAAGTAGACTGGGAAATAAGCGAATAAATATAAATTATTATCAAATATTAATTTGTAAAGTCTATGATAATCATACAAATTTACAATAAACAATGCAGTACAAAAGCATTCAGTGAGCTTTCCTTATTTGTAGTTGTTTATTTTTGAACTGTGTGGTGGTAGGAGGTGCTTTTTATGATTTTTGCCTTGCAAATATTTATTCCTTGATTTAATGCACTGCCACTATGACCACCATCACTCACTGATTCACCAAAAATTAAATAATTATCTTTCTTGTTTTATTAGTCTTTCTTAAATGTATGTATATCTCACATTTATTTCAATGTTTACTATTAGAAATGTTTTGAGTCTTAATTTAGGAGTTCAGTGATTTTTGGTGATCAGAAATCTGCCATAGGAACTTAACCCTTTTTGATATCAATTAGCCTATGGTAAAACTGGTTTCATTATATGTTATTTCACTTAAAGTCACCGTTTGCAAGGATCTGTTATGCACATTAGGTGAGAGCTCCCTGTGTCACAGATTTAGTACAGGATTGGGGACCTATGTGATAGTTAGAAAAGTGGCAGTGTCAGGGAAACTACTGTGGAAGGCCAGGGGAGCTGCCCCCAAAGGCAGAGAAATTGATGCTGAAGACTTCAGATTGAAGTACCCAATCGGATTCTTCAAAATTTGCCTGGAGGCTGCTACAACTCTTGAGAATCATTAAGAAGCTCCCACCATCTGCTTTTTCTGAAAAGTGGGTCATATTTTGGAGTTACCAGAAAGCTGCTGTGAAACTCTTGTCTTCCTACACATCTGGCTGTACTTGCCTCCAGAAAATAATGATTACTGCTTTGCATTCACTTTTCAAATCAGACACCAGCTCCTTTCATTGTCAAACACCATACGTGGAGGAAGATTCTGAGAAATATAATTCCCAGCCTTAGAGTACGGTGGCAGTAGTGCCAAATTGACAGCAAATAATGTAGTTTGCGACTATGACTGCAGTAGGAGCAAAACCCAAAAAAGTAGTTAATTACTATTAACATGATGCCAATCCTAAAATGTCTGGAAGAAACCAAACCAAAGCAGCACACATACAGAACAACAACAACGAAAAAATAAAGCAAAATAGTCTTGCTCTTAACTAGTAATGATAACAGTATAGGTCAGGAGTAGAATAAAAGATTTATATGTAGAGGTAAATTTACAGATAATTTTGAAATTGATCAACATTTTAGATTAAAAAAAATTACTATACAAGTTCAAAAATGACCACCAAGGATTAGACATTAGGTTGAGTATAAAAAATGTAAATAGGAATCTAACCTTAACTTTCAGAATGTGCATGAAAACAAGGCATACATATTGACTGGATAGATGCCAAAGAAAGTGTAAAATAAAACCCCTATCCATTGACTGAACAGTCATTTGAAAGTGGCCATGTGATAAGAATAAATTATATTTTCTCATAGTTTTTGATGAATACTGAAAAGAATAAGGTTACTTCAGGAAGCAAATCCCTAGTTTAAAAACAAAATTTCTCAGAACCAAGAAGATAATGTTTAATTTTAATGGCTAAATGTTTTCCATTTTAAGCTTTAGAAATCAATTCCAGTATGGTTGGGAAATAACCTATATTTTAAAGTACTATTAGTGTTCGTATTTATTGTCCTCATCTTTGTGTGTAGTTACATGATCTTTTACTGACTTCATATCTCCACCCTCATGTTTGTTTCAAATCAGTTCTACTCTATGTACCAAGCTGAGGTCTCAGATGGGTGTCTGTCACCTTCTTCTAATAGCCAAATATGCTATTTCATGGGCAAAATGGAATTGGAAATTGTTACTCTTGAAAAAAAAAATGCGAAACACAAAACACATGCAGCTAGCTCTCTTACATAGCCTGCTTGGGTATGCAAGTGATCAAAATGCAGAATTCTTATTGCTTCAGATCAATAGGTCTTTAGCAGATGGGCTTGGGAAACATGCTCCTCATGAATAATGTAAGAAAATATTCAAAATTAAACATTAAAAAACAGCTAACACTTATAAAGTTCATATAATAGATTGGGTACAGTCTATAGGCTCCCATGTGATGAACTTCCCTTTGAGAAAAGGGCTGTTGTCATTATTCTCATCTCACAGATTAGGAAACTTCAGATAGATGATTGATGGAACATACTCAAAATTACAGAGCTGAGGAGTTGAAGAGTCGTGATGCATGGATGCAAATGAAAGCCTTGGATGTAAACTCATGCATTTGAACTCCACAGCCTGCGCTATTTGCCATAATTCTATCCTGCTTCTCAAAAGAAATAAAATCAAATTAAAATGCTTGTAAGAGACAAGGCCAGGGACAGCACAAAATACAGAAATAACTTCGATTTTCTCTATTACTTATAGCTTTACATTTTGCCTTTAAGACAATGATCTTTTTGTTTGTTTATGGATTTTTAATTGCTCCTATACTTTCTATCAAAAAGACTATATTTCCTTCAACTAATCTCTGCAGTTTTGTTCAAAAATCAGTTGACCATTTTTGTTTGTGTCTGTTTGTAAGTTTTCTTTCCTGTCCAATTGATCTGTGGCACCTATCCTTACACTACTATCATAGACTTGATAACTGTCACCCTCCTACTTTTTTTTTGTTGTCAAGATTGTATTAGCTATTCTAAAATAGCTGTGCCCTTCCATATATATCTTACAATGATCTTGTCTGTCTAGGAAAAAAAGTCTTGCTGGGATTTTGAGAGGAATTGCACTAAACCTAATTTGCACTAAATTTGGGAAGAATTGACATCTTTACTATTTTGAGTGTTCTGATCCATGAACACGATGCATTCTCTTCTTTGGTTTCTTTTAACAACATTTTGTAATTTTCAGCATATAGAACCTTAACATTTTAAAGCATGTGCCTGAGCATTTCATTTTCTTTGAAACAATTACAAATAGTATTATGTTTTTAATTTCAGTTTCTACATATTCATTCTTGGTATATAAAATGTGATTAAATTGTGCATGTTGATGCTGTATTTGCAAACCTTGCTGACCTTACCGGTTCTAGAGTTTTGGGAGTTGTATATTTCTTGGTATTTTCTATGTAGATAACCATATCATCTGCAAATAGGGACAGTTTTATTTTCTTCCAATCAGTATGCTTTTTTTTTCCTTATTGCAGGGGCTAGAAGTATGAGTACTATATTGAATAAATGGCGACAGCAGAAATCATTGTCTTCTTCCTACTCTTGAGTGAAAACAGCCAGTCTGTCACTACTAAATATGATGCTAGCTGAAGGGATTTTATAGATGCCCTCTATCAAGTTAAGGTAATTCTCTTCTATCCCTAACTTGCTGAGAGTTTTTATCAGGAATGAAATTCAAATTCTGCCTAACTTTTTTTTCTGTGTCAATTGATATGATTACACAACTGATACGATGAATTACACTGATCGATTTCAAATATTGACACACTTTGCATGTTTGAAATAAATTCTACTTGGAAATGATGTATAATACTTTATATTCATTATTGGATTCAGTTTGCTGAAGTTGAAGGTTTTAGTCGAAGATTTTTAATCTAAGTTCTGAAGAGATATTGGTCTGTATTATTCACTTTTTGTACTCTCTTTGTGTGGTTTTGGTCTTAAGACAATAATGACCTCCTAAAGGGCATTGGGAAGTGTTATTCTCTCTTCTGTTTTATGGAGGAAACTGTATAAAATTGTTTTTAACTCTATTTTAAATATTTTGTGGAATTCTCCTGTTAAACTGCCTGGGCCTGGAGATCTATTTTATGGGAGTTGTATATTGATTTTTAGTTTGAGGATTTGATATAAATGTGGTAATAAATATGGAGTGTAACACATAAGTAGCAATTTTTCTCAATAGGGTGGTGTAGCAGGTGTGTTAGCAAATCACCTCATTTCTTTTGGACCTTTATACCATTTCTCTGCACAGCTGCCTGTCTTCGAATGGCCAGAACCTGCATCTTTGCTAGCAGGCTGTATTGAAACCCACATAGCTCACATGTAAGGTTGACAGGAAAGACTGAGAATTAAATCTCCCGTTGCCCCCAAGCCTTTAACCAAAAACTGACAAGTACAGGAATATAAATACCCCAGTTTCCCTGCCCTTCACTAGATAACGCTGAGGAGTATATTTTGCATCACTTCTAGAGTTTTTCTGCAGGATTAGGCTCCAGTTATCCATTACAGAAACCAGCTTTATAATACCCCCTTTATTGTTTGCCTTTCCTCTCCCTAGCTCTCTACCCCTCACCTACTTGTGTTTCTTATGCTTGCCAATAAACTGCCAGCACTCAAATGTTTGCTTCAGAGTCTGCTTTGGGAGAAGTCCAACATAAAACATTTAATATCATATATGAGTATCTTATGCATATGGAACATGGTGATTGAAAACTGATACTATAAATTGCGAATCAGAAAATGCTATAAGGGAAAAATATGGAATTTATACTTAGAGTCTATATTTAGGTCCTACGTGTGTGTGTGTGTGTGTGTGTGTGTGTGTGTCTGCATGAATTATGCACAAATGATAATTCTATGAGGTGCATTAAAAGTAAATTTAGTGGAAATAAGTGTGCTATTTCAAACCACATTTAAATGGAACAGCATTCCAGGGTTCCAGTCATGCTCTTGGCTGCCTATAGGAACTTTTGTTCAGGTCCTAGGGTGGAAATTTACTGAACATAAGCTAAAATTTCTCCAGAGCTTTCTTTCCTTAAATAACACAGGAAAACCAAAACAACAACAAAAGTACTAGTGAACAACACCAGTGGAAAGGCAAACATGACTACTATTTTTAAAGTACGAGATGATAATTTTGTGCAATAAAATTACATCAATTATAAACTGAATATTTGGTAAGCAACTTGGGTATTTTCCTTAACAAAAAGAAAATTTTGTGCTTGTTAAGTAAAAGTATGGATAAATATTAAAAATCTTTCAATGTTCTCTTCTCAGCACTCTCAAATACAAAGGGATCATGGGTACTTTCCTGGAATAATATGGAATTTTGAAGTTTGGATCAGGAATAAAGGTGGTAGCTGTAATTTTTAGGGCTGATAAGACAATTCCAGGGGAGATGCTAACATATAGAATGGGTTAACTTTCCAAATAGTTGTTCATCTGAAGGGCTGATGCTGAGAAGATAAATATAGTATGAAAACAGATGAAAAAAGACTTTGGAAACCAGATGACAGGGAGAAATAAGGAGAATAATATGGAGCTTGGATCAATGCCTGAGTGTATGATTCAGGGAGAGGCAACATCTTTATCTAAATGCCTATAGACTCAGTATTGGGTGGGGATAGAGTGGTGAATGTGGATAACCTTCAGGAGCATTTCGTTTGTTTGAAATGCATGCAAATATTCATAAATACAGATCCGTTTCAACTATGTCTTTTCATATTACCTCAGCCCCTCGTAACCTAGTTTCTTTTGCAAGAATCTTTTGGGCTTCTTATCTTGTTTCATTAAGGGCAAAACTTTGAGAGAAAGTATCAGAAAAGGATTCTTACACTCTTAATATCTGGTATGTGAAATAACTAGATACAATATTTTAATACATAGCAAACTCACTTTGGAAAAAACTATTGAGATAAAAGTTGCAAATTTGGCCAGCTAGAAGTCCACCTGTCTGTGTGATTTCAGGAGACCCTTGCATGCAAATGTCATGCTAATTCTGTGATAGTGGTTCCTTTCATTCTAACTGAAGAGCTTTGGGATCTTCAATATAAATTGAATTTTTCATTAATATGAACTTCAACATTACAATGAGATTGTACACATATTAACTAAATGATCCTCAAAATAGCTCGATGAAGTAGGTCCAATGAATTCTCATTAATCTTTTATTACAGGTTAAAGAAAGGTAACTTATCAAGGAATTTTATTTTAAAATTCAAATATCCCTGGGAATCAGTGCTATAGAATAACTTAGAAAGAAAAGAATACTGGCCTGGTGCCTGCTTGAAATGAAGGTGAGAAGAGAATACGACATGGAGAATGAGAAGGTGCTAGGAAGCAAACTTTTTGAATTTTATGATTTGGCTAGGACCTTCCCTGAGTGAAATCTAGTGCTTCAAGGCATGACCACACTTACAACACAAACACTTTAATTGTGAACTACTCAAAGCATCTCTGCAGTTTGCCTGTTCATGCCATCCAAAGTTTTGAAAAAGAGGAAGAAGAAAAATTGTTTTTCTCTCCCTTAAATGTCTGTGGTATTTGGCCTTGTTGTTTAATTCAATTACTGTAGAAGGCTTGCTTTCTCCACCTAGTGGCCAGAAAAAAAGAAGATTTTTATCTATGGAGATGAAAAGAAGCAAGAAAAGGCAACAGAATATGTAGAGTAATAGCAACTATAATTTGTTGAGTATTTGTGCAGGTGCTGTGATAAATGCTTTACATATGTTACCAATCCCCACACCCTGGGAGACAGGAATTATCATCCCACTTTACTAAAGCAAAGAAAAATCAAGTGATGCCCAGGTTCACATAGTTTGAATATGGCCAGAAATATATATTTGAATATAGCCAGGAATTTAACCTAAGTGTATAACTTCAAAGCCAGTTTTCATCTGCATTAATAAATTTGCTTTCTGGAACACATGGTTGCTAGAAATTCTGTCATTTTTTTTGGAAATAAAGTCATATGATACATATGATCACCAAGCTTTAAGACAAGCCCAAATAGAGTGAGAAGGGGACCTAGGACTGAGCACTAAGGAACTCCAGCGTAGGGGTGTGTGTGTGTGAGTCTAAGGGGAAGTCTAGTTCCTTATTTCAAAGTAATATTTTATCACTTTTCATTATTAAGCAGTTGTACTATTGGTTCCACTTTCTCTTATTTGCCTTCCAAACAGAATACCTCAAAGGAAAAAGTACTTAAAACCAGTAAACTACACAATATAGACCTAACAGATTCCACAGAAATCTCACCAAAGCAATTATAAGATATGGAGCATATGGATTGCAGAGAATAAGAGAGGACAGGAGAGGAGAGAGGAGAAAGAAAGGAAGAAAGAAAAAGAAAAGAAAGAAAGAAAGAAAGAAAGAGAGAGAGAGAGAAAGAAAGAAAGAAAGAAAGAAAGAAAGAAAGAAAGAAAGAAAAAGAAAGAGAAAGAAAGAGGAAGGAAGGAAGGAAAAAAAAAGGAAAGAGCTTACAGTCAGATAGGATGGCCAGTGTTCCCTACCTCCAAAAAAGTTAAGTTCCAAAAAGCAAAATTTTTTTAATTTTACCTGTACTATGCAAGACTTTTCCAGTACTTGCTCTGATATTAAGCAAAATGAGATGGCACATTTGGAAGTGGTTGCTTCAGATTCAGGAATAGGTGATGACATGAGTTTCATTTGTTCTAATCATTGACCGAAACTTCTATTTTTGCTTAATGGAACACAGGACATATGATCCATTCTGTGAGTAAGTAGAGAGAGAAATAAAAAGAAAACCAAAGGTTTTCTCTCTATCCTGGTCATGTTTTACTGATTTGTTTAGCTTCTAAAACTAACTAGCTAGCTGATAAAAAATAAAATAAAATTATGACCTAAGGTACATTTAAGCTGAAAACCTGAAATGCACTTCTCCCTCTGCTGCACAGATCCTTCTGGAATTACGTTTCTTATTTGGTTAGTGTTTCATACAAAACAATGGGGTTTCTCGTGGCGAAGACTTTCCTTGCACTAGATTAGCTCTCAGTAAAATATACCGAATCCAAGTATCTCATCTTAAGGCCAGTGGTCCTTAAAGTGTGGTCCGGGACCACCAGCATCAGCAACTTCTGGAAACTTATTAGAAAGGCAAATTCTCAGGCCTTGCCCCAGGCCAAGTGAAATGGAAACTCTTGGGTTGAGGCTCAGCAGTCTGTGTTTTAACAAGCCCTCTAGGTGATTCTGTACCTGTTAAGGTTTAGGAATTACTGTGTTAGGTAGTAATGTTATCTTCTACAAGGGAAGGGCAAGGTCTAGTAACAACAAATGGCGTAAAAGAATACATCACTTTCCCAACATTTTAAGATTACATTAGTACTCCAGAAATCAGATGCAATCCTGGAGAGGAGAAAACACAAATCGATTGTGATTCAACTTTCCACCAAAATGTGCCAGGTAAAATTGGTGCTTAAAATAAAATTTAAATTGAATTTGAGAAAAAGAAAACATTGTTTCTTGCATGTCTGGTTTTGTGGATTGAGATTGTGCCTGCCACACTATAGTGCGTCTACTATTTACTGGTTATTAAGACTGCTGAGCCCTGTAAATTGTTGTTAAATCACTGCAAATCCCCTCCTGCTACTGCAAAAACATATTCATTAAATTAATTTACAAAATGGGGTATAAATCTGATGATAAGCGACATGATCATTAGGAATGCATATCACGGTAACATAAGAACTGCCATTTCATAAAAAAACACATCTAATCTTGAACCACAAATCTTTACAGGACTCACATTATCACTGTAACCACATTTCCCTTATATTCCACCCTAGATATAATTGACATTTTCTTAAGTATGGAGAAAATATAATAATTTCCCGTTATGATTTTACATGCCAATGCAATTATACAAATTTTTCAATACAATAAAATATAAAGATGTTAAGTTGATTAAACAGAATTAACCTTCCTTCCCCCAAAGCTCTAACCACAGAGCAGAGAAGCCTTAGACAACTATTTGAAAACTCCTCAGTAATCTTGTTCATTGAAGGTACTTCGCATCATAAAAATTTCAATAACTCACAATTTTATGTAGTGTTTTATAGTACCTAGAGTTTTTTCATATATTTTCTCATTTAATCCATTCAAAAGTCCTGCTCACAGCATATCATCATCCACATTTTCAAATGAGAAATCTGTTATTTGGAGAATTTGTCAGTTTCTTCTCTAAGACTGCAAAGTTAATGGAGGCAGAACCAAGCACTCCTTAGAGAGAATGGGTTTCCATTGGAATATTCTGTTCTTCACAAGTTGAGTACATGGGTCCACATTCCAAGTGTTCCAGTTGCCTCCAACTACACAACAAACCACCACAAATTTCGTGATATAAAAACAGCAGCAATTACTTGTCAGTGTCATTTCTCATGATTCTGGAGTTTGATTGAGCTCAGACAAGGGGTTCTTACTGAGGGTCTTTTGTGTTAGGATCCATCACAATGACTGACACTGGAGTTATCTTGAAGGCTTCTTCACTTACATATCTGGTAACTGATCTGGAAAGTCTTAAACAGATGGAGACCAGAATAGAATAGCTTGGTCTTCTCTGGCATCTCTCTCTCTATCTCTATGAGATCTCTACTCTTGAGCATGTTGGCTTCATGGTTGCCAGACTTCTTATAGGATGCCTCCGTACTCCAAATGTGTATGTCTCAGACAGAAAGTTAGACAGGCAGAACTTTAGGCACCTTTTATAACCTAGCCTCTGAAGTCACTGAGTGCCATTTTCTCCATTTTATATTTATTAGACAAATGACAATAATATCAGCCCATATTAAACAGGATAAAAATTAGACTGCTATGTCTTGATGGGAGGAGTGTCAAAGAATTTACAGACACCTGTGGAAGCAAGCTGGTTGGATGCATAAATCCAAAATGGACCAAATCATTGATTAAGACTTTATATTAATCATTTATACACCTTCTTGACCCCAGTTAGTCAGGTTATTACCCTTCTCCTCCCACAAAGGAGACTTCAAGTTTATCCTCCAGAGAAGTTAGGCTAGAGATGCTATGGATTTGGGAACACGGAAGAGCAGAGGATGGATGTGAAACATAGGATGAAAAACATGAATATTAAGAGGCCTGAGCCCATATTGAGACAGGATAGTTCCCTTGACCCCTTAGTGGGAATTATGAAGGGGTAGCTCGCTTACTCAGCCAGCAGCACTCAAACCCCTTGCAGGAGCGGAGCATGCAAGTGAGTGGATGCAGGAGCCGGGGTGAGTGGCTTTGGACTCCAGCAGGAATGAACCCCATACCAGCCCACGGCAGTGTCTAGGGGTTGCCCACAACTTCTGGAGCCTCAGAAGGTGTGTGTTACAGCATGCTCTTTTAGCTTTGCCATTTGCAGATGGCTTAACTCTTAAACTGCTCAGTGGAGAGTCAGTGTGATAGCCTCTTGCACCTGCACCTGGGTCCTTGTCCGGTGCCCAAGAGGAATGATGTTATACAGACTTGAAGGATGGTGAATATGGAGATTTTACTGAGCAGTGGAAGTGGCTCTCAGTGGGATGGGGAACTGCAAAGGGGATGGATTGAGAAGGCAGTCTTCTCCTGGAGTTTGGCCCTCCCCCAGCCAAACTCCTCTCCAACCGTCCCTGGCCGAACTCCTCTCTGACCATAGTCTTTGATGTCCAGCTGCTTCTCCTCTTGACATGCAGTCATTTCTCTCTTCTGTCCTTCTCCGCCATGCCACTCTGCTCCTCTGCCAGTGGAGCTTGGGTTTTTATGGTTACAGGGTGGGGCAGGCCAGGCTGGTTTCTGAAAAGGCAACATTCAGTCGGAAAAACAGGGATGTGAAGTTCTCAAGTTAGGGACACAGGTCCAGGTTTGATGGTGGAGCCCTCGCCAGGGACCCCGCCCTCTTCTACCCAGTATTTCCCTGCCTCCTGTCTGTATCAATATTACTAGCTGATAAGTACACACTACATCCCATCTCCACCAAGGCAAGAGCTGGATGTATTTTCTCCAGAAAAACAGAAAGCCCCCTGAGCAAAGATCTTCAGACACTGACCTTTGAATGTCTTTCAGCCAAGAGCTGATCCATGAGCAATCACCTTGTCTTGAAGCCCATCTCTGCACACAGTGCTTTTTAGTGCCTGGAACTTAGGTATTAATGACAATTAGCCATTTGAAGAAAGTCTCTGACAGAGAGGAAATCCAAAGTAAACAAATGGAGAGCTATAAACTAACCAGAGCTCAGATCTACTACATGCTAGGCAGTTTTCAAGGAGCACCAAAAGCTGCCTATCTCTTATTCTTGCAATAACCTTGTAAATAGCCATTATACTATCTCCATTTAATAATGGGCCTGAGGCATAGGTTTTTAAATGATTTGCCCACAGTCATTCAACGCAAAGAAGTCAAAGCCATTTCCAGTACTTATAGTTCCCTCCCCTGGATGCTCTGTGAATTCTAGTTTTACAACCCTGTCCCATGCCCACCTTTCCTGAAGTGATTATATTTTTGAAATAATTAGTACATTATGTAGTGTTTCTTGTTTCCTAATTGCCTGTGCATGTCTGTATACAACGTTGAGTGCAAGTAGTGTTTTTCCAGTTTAATTTGCTATTCTTTTGCAATAATCTATCACTTTTCTTTAATGGAACCAGGTTGTAAAAGATACTATTTTCTCAGCTTCCCAGTAAAATCTGGCCCTGAGGTTTTATTTAATTAACCTTAGCCATTGTATGCAGATAACAACCTCCATTTTAATAAGAGAATAACAAGAAGAAGTCCTTTGGGAAGTGAAGATAGGTAAGTGGCAAAACATTTGCCATTTTTCCCCCTAGGAAAAAATAGATCTTATTCTTCATTGGTTGGAGGAAAAAAAATTAAAAGAGAGAAAAAAAAATCTTTGTCGCTGGAAGTCGCATTTCCATTCAGCAGATGTCTCTCTTCTGAATAATTTCAGGAACCGGAGAGGGATCCCCTACAGGAAGTAATTAAAACTTGGCAGTAGGGACATACGTTGACTTTTAAAACTCCAAACCAGAATTATCAGTCATATCTCTTGGAAATATTATGAGATAGTTTAAGATTCACTATCAGCACACACCTACAGTGAACTTATTTTCAATAAATGTGCCAAGAACATACACTGGGGTAAAGACAGTCTCTTCAATAAGTGGTTCTGGGAAAAAAGAATATCCATATGCAGAAGAATAAAACTAAACCTCTGTCTCTTACCATATATAAAAATCAAATTAGAATGAGTTAAAAACTTAAATCTAAGACCTCAATCTATGAAACAACTACAAGAAAACATTGGGGAAACTCTCCAGGACATTGATCTGGGCAAAAATTTCTTGAGTAATACCCCACAAACACAGGCAACCAAGGCAAAATGAACAAATGAGATCACATCAAGTTATAAAGCTTCTGCACCACAAAGGAAATAATTAAAAGTGAAGAGAGATCCACAGAATGGGAGAAAATACTTGTGTACTACCCATCTGACAAGGGATTAATAACCACGATTTATAATAAGCTCAAACAACTCTATAAGAAAAGCAATCCAATAATCTGATTGTAAAATGGTCAAGAGATGTGAATAGGCATTTCCTGAAGGAAAACATACAAATAGCAAACAGGCATGTGAAAAGATGCTCAACATGTGTATTAGTTCATTTTCACAGTGCTGATAAAGACATACCCAAGACTGAGCAATTTACAAAAGAAGGAGGTTTAATTGGACTTACAGTTCTGTGTGGCTATGGAAGCTTCACAATCATGATGGAAGGCGAGGAGGAGCAAGTCACATTTTACATGGCTAGTGGCAGGCAAAAAATGAGAGCTTGTGCAGGGTAACTCCTCTTTTTAAAACCATCAGAACTCGTGAGACTTATTCACCATCACAAGAATAGCACAAGAAAGACCTGTCCCCATGATTCAATTACCTTCCACTGGATCCCTCCCATGACACATTGAAATTGTGGGAGTTACAGTTCAAGATGAGATTTGGGTGGGGACAGAGCCAAACCCTATCGACATCATTGATCATCAGAGAAATGCAATCAAAAATGCAATTAGATATCATCACACCCAGTTAAAATGGCTTATATCTAAAAAACAGGCAATATCAAATGCTAGAGAGAATGTGGAGAAAATGGAACCCTCGTACACTGCTGGTGGGAATGTAAATTAGTACAATCACTATGGAGAACAGTTTGGAGGTTCCTCAAAAAACTAAAAATAGAGCTACCATATGATCCAGCAATGCTACTGCTGAGTACATACCCCAAAGAAAGGAAATCAGTATATGGAAGAGATATCTGCACTCCTGTGTTTGTTACAGCACTGTTCACAATAGCCAAAATTTGGAAGCAACATAAGTGTCCATCAATAGATGAATGGATAAAGGAAATGTGATACTTCTACACGATGGAGTACTATTCAGCCATAAAAAAGAAAGATTCTGTCATTTGCAACAACATGGATGGAACTGGAGGTCATTATGTTTAGTGAAATAAACCAGGCACAGAAAGACAAACATCTCATGTTCTCACTTATTTGCGGGATCTAAAAATCAAAACAATTGAACACATGGAGATAGTAAAAGGGTGGTTACCAAAGGCTGGGAAGGGTAGTGGCAGTTGACAGGAAATGGGGATAGTGAATGGGCAGAAAAAAAATAGAACGAATGAACAAGACCTACTATTTTATAGCACAACAGAGTGACTATAGTCAATAATAATTTAATTGCACATTTTGAAATAACGGAAACAATATAATTGAATTGTTTGTAACACAAAGGATAAATGCTTGAGGGAATGGATACCTCATTTTTCATGATATAATTATTATACATTGCATGCCTGTATCAAAATATCTCATGTACCCCATAAATTTATACACCTACTATGTAACCACAAAATTTAAAATTAAAAATTAAAAAAAGAAAGATTCACTATCCGCTGTAGACAATCAACAATGAACTTGGCTCTCCCTGGGATCCCGAAAAAAAAATGTATTTTTTTGAGAAATATTTATTGTTTTTATGGCTCTAAGGAAAAATAATTTCAGTTATGATTATTTTAAGGTCTTCTTGTTTTTATTGTTGTTTGTTTTTTGTTTTGAGACAGAGTTTCACTGCATTGCCCAGGCTAAAGGGCAGTGGCATGATCTCGGTTCACTGCAACCTCTACCCCAGGGGTACAAATGATTTTCCTGCCTCCTTCTTCCAAGTAGCTGGGATTACAGGCATGTGCTACCATGCTCGTCTAATTTTTTTGTATTTATAGTAGAGACTGGATTTCACCATGTGGGCCAGTCTGGTCTCGAACTCCTGGCCTTAAGTGCTTGCCTTGTCCTCCCAAAGTGCTGGGATGACAGGTGTGAGCTGCTGCACCTGGCCTCAGTTATGTTTAGTTTTAATCATATATAAGCAAGCTCAATTGTATTTATTCCCTTAATTATTAGGGAGAGTAAGTGCCTTCCAGTTTAGAATTGTGTGATCATGGTACTGGACAGAACTGTCTCAAGATAGAACCAAGATTGAAATAAAACTTTAGGAATCCAGCCCCTCCACCCCACCAAAATAATTTCTTGCCTTTCTATAGCACTTTGTAATTTATCAGATGCTTTTGCCACTATTACCTGTATTGATCCTCAAAATAATCTTGTGAGTTTTATGTAGAACAGTGCCAAATTAGGAAAGGATCAAAGAAAAAAACTTTCACCTGGTTTTGGATTGCCAGATTTAGCAAATAAAAATATAAGATAATCAGTTAAATTTAAATTTCTGATAAATGATCAATATTTTAGTATAATTGTGTCCAATGTAGTATTTGGGATTCATTTATTTTAAAAATGTGTTTTTATTTATTGTTTTTCTGAAGCTCAATTTTAACTAGGCATCCTGTATTCATTTGGCAACCCTAAGTTGGTACCACGGGCAGATGTGCAGAAGATATAAAAAAAGAAAATATTTGTCCAGCATTTTAGTGAAGGGCCTCTTCTTCATTGTTCACTACTTTGATTAAGTTTGAAGGCTACACATGGCTAAGATCAGCCAATCAAAGGACTTTATTGTCCTGGCCAGAATGATTGCTCAGTGATAAGCATGTGACTCAAGCTGGACTAATGGATACAGTCCCAGGATGATTAGTGAAAATATTGAGGAGATTATCTTTTCTCATGGGATTGGTAATGTCAGGACAATGTGAGTTTAGAATTGCTCACTGGGGGAATTCTGAGAAAAAATTCATCTCAGCAAAAAGGAGTTACAGGAGAGAAACAGTGTGTTTGTGAGATTATTTGAGCCTCGAAACCAGGGATACTTCTAGGTGCTTAAACCTCTTGCAACCAACAGATTTCTAATTAACATCCTGAGATATGTGAATTTGTTGGGAGAAAAGCTGAGTGTTGGGAGAGAAGATGAGGCAGGGCTTGCATGTCTGACATAATGTAAAAGAGTCTCGGAACATGTCTGGGATCCAGGGTCTAAAACCCCTTGTGGCCTTTGGAACACCAAGCTCTGTGCTAAAGGGTGGAAGGCTACCCTGATGCACCATAATCAAAGCCCGGGGCATAAAACCCCTCATGGCTTGGATAGAATCCAGGGCTTGTGGCCTCTGGAATGTGCCTAGACTTGCTGGCTCCTTGCTCCTTGCTCTCCCAGGATCGATTGTATCTTGAGTTAAAATAACCTGCTGCCCATTATCTCAAGTAGCAGAGCAAATACTAAACCATCACAGCAGTAAATCGTGTGCTTAATACAACGCTCCCTTTGGACCCCCACTTTCTCACCACCTGTTTCTTTGTTGGATTACCAATAAATAGTGTGGGCTCCCAGAGCTCGGGGCCTTCACAGCCTCCATACACTCATGATGGCCCCCTGGACCCACTTTTCTCTCTCAAACTGTCTTTTTCTCATTCTTTTGACTCCACTGGACTTCGTCACTCCCACGGCTTGGTGTTGGGTCTGATCACCCCAACATGAATTATTTCCTAATTTGCCCACTAAATCAGATCTCCCTGACACCCAGGCTTGTGTGTGCAGCCTTCCCTGGTTTCCTCTGACCTTCATCTTCATCCTTCAACAAGAAACTACTCACGGACAGGTTCTCCAGAACTGTGTGTGCTTCTCTGAGGCAGAAATTTTGGATATGATGGAAACGAGTTCTCCCTAGGCAAATGTAGCTGACAGGCTTCCTATAAAGCCCCAAAATTATTCATCTAAGACAGGAGTCTGCAAACTTTGTAAAGGGTCAGATAGTGAATATTTTTAATTTTGTAGGCCATACAATCTCAGACATGATGATGCAACATTGTCGTTTCAGTGTGAAAGTACTTAAAGACAATAAGTAAAATTAATAGGTGTGGCTGTGTTTCAATACATCATCTGTATTTACTAAAATAGGCAGTGGACCAAATTTGGCCTGCAAGCCATAATTTGCTGACCCCTGATTAAAGGATCCAACAAAAGTCAGTGTCTAGTATCAGTAAGGTATTCTCAGATGGTCAAATAATTCTCATTATAATAACCCAGCTAACTCTGAGACTAGTGAGAGTTTTTGAATTGGAAGTTCATCTCCTGGGCTGTGTGCAGATATGGATATAGCCGAAGATAAATTAGTTTATATGTCTTCTCAATTTTGCGTTTAGAAAGTCTAGACTCTTCAAGTCTATATAAAAAAAATTATCTGCACATTTATGTGAAAAAAAACTCATTTTTTTTTAATGTTTGCCTAGCATGAGCCTTTGAAGATATTATCTGGACACAGATCTTCCTCAAGCTTTCAGATACTATTGTTATTTGATGTTTGTCTCATATTGACCAAACTGGTCCTAAAGACTGCTTATTAGGTAGATTTGTAACAACTTTTGTTTGTTACAAACCACCCTAAAACTGAATAACTAGAGACAATAACAATAATGTATTTTGCTCACAAAACTGTAACTTGGGTAGGTTTGGGTGGAGAAGGCTCATTTCTATTTTATGTGGCATTAGCTGGGATCTCTTAACTAGAAGCTGGGGAATTTATTTCTAATATAAATGACAAATTGTTGCTGGCTGTGAGCTGGAAACTCAGCAGAGCTGAGGGATGAAGTTTCAGTTCTCTGAATTGGCAGCCCCATGCAGCCTGGCCTTCCTCACAGTATGATGGCTGTTAAGTCCCATCCCAAGAGAAAGAGACAAATGGAAACTGGATCACACTTTATAGCCTAGCCTCAGAATTATACATCATCACTTCTGCCTCATTCTATTCACTGGGGCAGTAACAAAGCCCCCATCCAATTTCAAGGGAAGTGAAAAAGTAGAGTAAAAAAGTTCTGGAAGGACAGATAGGATTAGAAGTGTTACAGAAACATTTTTTAAAGAGAAGATATCCATTTTTTAAAAATTTGAATAAACGTTGCACAAAAAAATATTTTAACAAAATATAGCGTGGTGGCATAAGGAAAAGAGAGAGAGAGAGAGCATCCAAAGATGTTTAGAACTTTTTTTTAATGCGAAATATCTCATAATCCAGTGATATAGTTTGGCTGTGTCCCCACCCAAATCTCATCTTGAATTGTAACTCCAACAATTCCCACACGTCTTTGGAGGAACCCAGTGAGAGGCAATTGAATTATGGGGGCAGGTCTTTCCTGCGCTATTCTCATGATAGCGAATGAGTCTCATGAGATCTGATGGTTTTAAAAACGGGAGTTTCCCTACTCAAGCTCTCTCTTTGCCTGCTGCCATCCGCATAAGATGTGACTTGCTCCTCCTTGCCTTCCACCATGATTGTGAGGCCTCCCCAGCCATGTAGAACTGTAAGTCCATTAAACCTGTTTTCCTTCCCGATCTCGAGTATATCTTTATCAGCAGCATGAAAATGGGCTAATACATCCAGCAGAGAAATAAGAGGTCTAAACTTAAAAACCATGATTTAAAAATACATAACTATAAAGTGAAAATGTAATATTTATGCTATCCTAATAATAGACACTTTCTTTAGCAAAACTTTCAAAGTCAGAATTATATTTTATAGTATTTCTACAGAAAGAGATTATTTATCCAATTCAATCTTACACTTTAGAAAAAGTTCAAGCAATGAGAAAAAGTGTTTTACTAATTTTTGATAAATAAATCTGTCAAAATCAATAACAATAACAACAACAACAAAAAAACATGAATACAAGACACAATTAAAACTGGAAATGTGAGCATCTTTAAATATATTATCCCATGGACAAGGGAGATTATTTTATGGATGAAGAAATAATTAATTCAACAGCTGCTGTCCATGTCAGTATGACTGCTTCATAGTAATGGTAGAGATCAAAACGTAGAAGACACAATGGGCCTTCAATGAGTGCAGCTGATGAGTACAATTAAAAAGTAAAAAATAACTTCAATACAATGTGGGGGAGAATGCTAAAACAAAGACAGATCTGAAGAATGCTGAATCAAATCTAGTAGAATTAAGGAAGTGATTCCCCCAGGAAGTGTTGCATAAATTGAGTCCTAGGATGATAGTAGTTAGCCAGGGATAGGTGGGAGAATGTCAGTGAGTATAGCATGTACGAAGGCAGACAGACGGAGGAGAATGTATGCAAGGGCTGGCAACTGGTGCAATGATAATGTCCACATGGGTCCAACCATGAAGGATTTCATTTGACATGCTCAAGAGTTTAGTTGGAATTCTCAAATCCTCCTTTTTAAGCAGTTATGGTTGTATGACCAGATCTGAATTGTTTAAAAGTCACCAGTGGCAGCATTGAACCAGTGAGCATCATTTATTAGAAATGAGGACCTAGAGTAAGGCAGTAATAGTGGTGGCCAATTTAAGTGTAATTCATTGAAAAAAATGATCAATCTTGGTGAATGATTAGATGTGGAGAATAAAAAGTAAGATGACTAAGATTTCTAAATTTGACTCCCGTGTTCTCTCCACCTAAATATATTACATCAAATAAAAACAGGGCTGAAGGTTAATCTACTTATAAAACATGCTGAGATCATTATTGGAGTTCCAAAACCCTCTGCAGAAAGTTGTAGCCTAGACTAACATAGAGGTAGGGAGGTGTTAAGACTAACAAGTTTTTTACCACTTGGCCTGCTATAACCAGTGTGTTAGATCCCTATCGACTGAGGCAGTGACAAATTCCTACCCAATTTTGAGAGAAGGGAATGTGGACACTACCTCTTTTTGGTACCATGAAAAAGTTCTGGAAGTGTACATAAGGATCAGAAAGACTGTGGCAACAAAGTACCAAAAACTGGGTGGTTTTAAACAACAGAAACTTATTCCCTTACGGTTCTGGAAGCCAGAAGTTCAAAATGAAATATAGATGTTGGCAGGGTTGGTTCTTTCTGGAGATTATAAGGGAGAATCTGCTCCAGGTTTTTCTCCTAGCTACTGATAGGTGATAAAAACTCTTGGTGTTCCTTGGCTTGTAGACATATCACTCCAATCTCTGCTTCTGTCTTCTCATGAAACACTTCTCTGTGTCTTCTGTGTCTTCACATAGTTTTATCTTCTCTATCTCTGGGTTTTAATTTTCCTCTTTATAAGGACACCAGTTATTGGATTAGGGGCCATCCTAATCCAGTATGACTTCATAACTTGATTACATCTGCAAGAACCTATTTCCAAATAAGAGCACATTGACAGGTTTCAAGTAGACATGAAATCTGGTGGGAACACTAGTCAACCCAGTTCAGGCTTGGAAAGCATTTGGGGGCCGTGCCGTCTCATCTTTTTAAAAGCTGTATAACACAGTCTCCTCTGTTGCTGACAAACAATTGTGCAAGTCTATCATTTTTGTAGATTGCATTAATGGCCTCACTTATTTTCCCTTTGTGGCTTTACAGTGCTTCCCCTTAAAGAAGTGAGGCACATTTTTCCTCCTCTGGGCTTTGGCTTGAACTAGTAGGATAATTAGTGGAAGCGTCAGTGTGCAAGTTTTGAACCTAGGACTCAAGGATTTTTGTGTGTTTCTGCTTGTTTCTTGTTGCCTCTTGCTCCTACAAAGAGGATTAGAAACATATAGTACAGAGCTGAGCCAAATCCAGCCAAGCCCAGCTTAGGTCTGCCCACCTTCAGCTGATCTCCAGACAATCCACGGATCCATGAGGATAAATGGCTGTTGTTTTTTTAGCAATTAGTAGCTAATACCACCCCAACAATAGCAATATTCTATATCACTTGCTTATATAGCATATTTCTTCTACGAATGTCATCAACTTAGAGACTTGGAGAAACCCAACGATAATACAATAATAGTTAACATTTACTGCCTTGCTAGGCATTTTACAATAATTATTACAGCAGTCTTACAAAGTAGGTTGAGTAGAGGTGACTTTGGGGAACTTTGGATTTTTGTTTTCTACCTCCTTTCAGCAGCTTATCAAGGAGCTCGTATCACAGACATTTATTGAGTAACTCCTGTGAGTCAGACTTTCTGATGGGTGCTGGGAATTTTGAATACAAGAAACTCCAAGCCATCAAAGGGCTTTACAGCTGAATTATTCTTTTGTACTTTTTTGCACTCTGTGAATCCCTCCTTTCTAGGAAGGACATCACCCCTGACCCAGAGGCTGCATGCTACACATTGACCTAAATCTTCCCTGTTTCCTTTCCTTGTTACTTTGTGGTGCATTGTAGAGGCAGAGTCACTGCAGTGGAATACTCACTAAAAAGTGTCAAATCTGGTGCCAGCCTGTCTATACCAGCATACTTTGGTACAATGAGAGATGAGGGATTTGTGCTCTGATACAAGGGAAAGGTATTAATGGCATGTGTGTGTCCATGCCTACTTTGCTTCCCATAGGAAAGGTTTTTATCCCATTTAGGCAGGAAAACTGAGGCCCAGAGAGATTAATTCAACATTACATAACTAGTAGTGCTGGAACTTGAATCTGTGTCTGTGACTCTGAAGCCTGCACTCCCAGTCACTACTGCATCCTCTTTCAGGTTGTGAATAATTGCACTGCCCTTTAACTTGTGATTCAGCACTCTGCTAGCTATACTCCACCCACTCTTCCCCTCAACAATTGCCACAGCCCCTACCCCTGCCATCTGAGTTATGAAGTTATTGATGATTATTTCTCATTATTTCTCTTTCCTTTATCTCCATCTCACTTGCTCAATACCCTTTGATTTTAGAGACATCTCAGTCTACCATATATAACACACCTTTCTTTCCTTGTCACATTATAAATTATTGACCTCCCTCTAAACTGTTCATTATCTCATAGTGAACAGAAGTCATGCCTTTATTCATTTCATATGAATTCATTCATTGACTAGGCAGATGTTCATGCAGTAACTCCTGTGAGTCAGACTTTTTGATGGGTGCTGAGAATTTGGAATACAGCAAACTTGCAGCCATCAAGGGTCTTTACAGCTGAATTCTTCTTTAGTGCTTTTTGAGGTCTAGCATAGTGTTAGGTAGATGTTAACTATTATCATGCTATTCCTTAAAAGCATAAGAAAGGAGTAAAGAGGGTGAAATATTTCCAGTTAAAATAATTTAAAAAATATATCACTTAAAGAACTGCCTTTCTTCACATACTTAGAAACTTGATAGTTTATCTTTTTTTTTTCTTTTTAAAGTACGAGGGAAGAACAAAGAGGGATAAGGAAAAGAACATATACAAGGAATAAAACAAAGGCACAAAAATAGTATTAATATTTAGCAAAATGTTATCACAAGGAGAACCATATGTTTTCAAATAAATGAAAAGAGTTCATCCCTACAGCAAGCAACTGATGAAATGCTGGAGTAAAAGTTACAGAAATTAGGTGGGCTGATACTTCCCTTTGGAGCAAATAAAATAAAGACACTTAAACATTTGTAATCAAAGTTTAATATTCTCTAGTAGCAGCTTGTATTTTCTGAAGATGTCCACACCAATATCACACACCATTTTACAATGTGGCCTTGATATTCTTTCCATCTAGTGGCGGGCTCTGTGGATGAATGTTTGTAATGGTCTTCATCAATATGTAACCATTGGAGGGGCTCTTCCCGCTGGCTGCATGAAGAAAGACCACAGCACTGTAGCAGACAAAGTGTTTAACAGACACAAGGCCGATCAGCCTACATGGAAGACAGAATTAGCCCTCACATCATCTCCTCCAAACCTCCCAGGTTAGGGATTTTTCAAAGGCAGTTTGGGGGAAGGGGTGGGAGTAGCCAGGTAACAGGTGCTTGATGGTGATTGGTTGGGGTGGAGATGAAATCATAAGGGGTGGAAGCTGCCTCCCTGGGCTAAATTGCTTCTGGGTGGGGCCAAAGGAGTGGGGTTGGCAGTTCCAGGTGGAGCCATGGGGGTTAGACATGCAGAAAACTCAAAAAGAGATCTCAAAAGGCCAATCTACAATAGTGGTATTATTTGAAGGAGTAATTGGGGAATTTGCATATCTTATAACCTCCAGAGTAATTGCTGACAATCATTTATGTATGCACTTTAGCAGGACTAAGGATCCTCTCCTCCCCCTAGCCTAATAGCCTCCCATTAGCTTTACAAAAGCAATTCAGTTTTGGGCAAGGCCTATTATCATTTAAACTATAGCCTAAATATCTTCCAAAGTTAGGTTGACCCAATATCTCAGGAATAATTAAGGAAGCAGCAAGATGGAGTGTGCGTTAACTCAGATCTCTTTCACTGTCATAATTTTTTTCACTGATAGAATTTTTGCAAAGTTTGCAAAGGCAGTTTCAAATAGAGTACGCTATGTGACTGCTAAGGGTAGCTCATAAAAATATCATGTACTTCTTCTTGGTTCCTTTAAGGTATTTGCTCTTGTAATTCAGCTACCATGTTGTGAGGAAGCTCAGGCAACCCATGTAGAGGCTTATATGGAGAAAACAAAGACACCCAGTCCAGAGCTCAACTGAGCATCCAGCCAATAACCAGACCAACTTGAAAGCCATGTGAGTGAACCAGCTTGAATGAGTGTCTTCCAGCCCCCACTTGATGTGAAACCGCCTTTGCAAAAATTATAACTGAGAAAATTATTAGAGTCAAAGAGATCTGACCTAACCAACTCCATCTTGCTTCTAACCTCCAAGTTGTCTTTGTTCATTCCTGGGCTGAACTAACTTTAGGAGGAACTTTGATTATAGTTTAACTTTGAAACAAAGATGATAACAGCCCTTTCCCAAAGCAAACCTGCTTCCTGCCTGGGGAAGCTGCCCCACTGCCTTTTTAGGACTAACAAACTAAACACAAGATTAGAAACTATGGTTTAGTAGTCATGCAGCTGAAGGCTACAAGATTTTGACCCTCCCCAAATTGCTCCTGGGGATAACATCACTACTATAAAACCTAAGATCAGTGTTAGGGATATTTTGCAGACCCTGCACTTGATGGATCAGCTGGCACCATCCAGATTGATAAACTGGCTCATTTGGTCTCGTGGACCCCACCCAGGAACTGACTCAGTGCAAGAGGACAGCTTGTACTCTCTATAATTGCACCTTCAACCCGACCAATCAGCACTTCTGACTCACTGGCCCCTAGCCACCAAATTGTCCTTAAAAAACCCAATCCCCCAATTTTAGATTTGAATAATAATAAAAGTCTGGTCTCCCATACAGCCAGCTCTGAGTAAATTAAACTCTTTCTCTATTGCAATTCTCCTGTCTGGATAAATTGGCTGTGTCTAGGCATCAGGCAAGGTGAACTCATGGGGCAGTTACATGAAGACTGGAGGAAGGGAGAAACAGAGGAAGGGAGGAAAGGAGGAAGGAAGGAAGAAAACATTGCTTCATGCCTCTTTCCTTTGATTTATTATTCCTTCATAAGAGCTGTAAAAGCATTTAGAAACTAAAATTTTCTTTTTTTTTTTTTTATTATAGTAAGTTCTAGGGTACATGTGCACAACATGCAGGTTTGTTACATATGTATACATGTGCCATGTTGGTTTGCTGCACCCATTAACTCGTCATTTACATTAGATATTTCTCCTAATGCTATCCCTCCGCCCTCCCACCGATCCCACGACAGGCCCCGGTGTGTGATGTTCCCTGCCCTGTGTCCAGGTGTTCTCATTGTTCAATTCCCACCTATGAGTGAGAACATGCAGTGTTTGGAAACTAAAATTTTCTTACCATAATTGGTATCTTGTTCTGTGACATAGAATTTCAAAGTTGGAAGGAATGCTAAAGGTCATCTCTTCAATTTTTGGAGGTAAGAAAGGATCTCTGCATCACTTTTTATTTATGGTTGGCATATTTACTATTTTCAAAGTATTTATTGCATTTGGAGGGCCAGTTAGAAAAATGTTTCTTTCCATTAGCCAAATTCTGCCTTCTCTATTTCCGCTCATGACTCTTGCTTCCTGAAATTGGTATAGATTGTGATGTGCCTGATTTTTTTTTTTTTTTTTGGTAGCACGGTGTAAACTGAAGACTCCTCAAATGAAAACAGATTACATTTCTTTACTTTCCATGATCTAATCAGAACTTGCCTCCCAAGCCTATCTCCTGCTCATTTTTCTATCTCTACTAGAGATTGTTTACTATTTCTCAAACGTATCTTACATACTTCTGCCTTGCTTTGACCTCCAGTGGGGATGCTCTTCCTGTTAATCCATATCCTGTTGTCAGAACCTTGCCCACAGATCAAAGTATTTTCGAACTCCTAGTTATCCATTAAAATTATTTTAATCCCTATCAAGCTGATGCAATTTTTACTGTTATTTGAACTTCCATAGAACTTGTTATCATTTCAAGGAACATAAAATAGTCAACATTTTGGAAAAATTATATATTCTTCCCTTATAGTCACGTAACACTAGAAACACTATCTTTTAATACTTAGTACTGAGCTTTGCACATAAAAAGTACTTATCAAATATATAATTGATTGACTTTGTTGACTTAAATACATTAAAATTTAAAAACAAAAGCAAAAAACAATTAACTTTATACCAGACAGGAAAGAACTATAGCAGAATATCCTGACACTGTTAAATTTTGTTGCTGTTGAGTTATCTAGTTGTGCTGGTTCTTTTCTAGCTGTTGCCTGTTGACTACTTAGGTTAATTTTCTATTCTTCTCTGTCTTGCTTTGCACACTAGATTGATGCAATTAACAGACCCCCTCGATAGCTGGCATCAGTTTGAATTTCATCAATGAGAGACAGTGGCAGGAGACAGGATGGCAAAAGGAGGTGGTTTGGGTGTTTGTCCCTCACTTTTTAAAGTGCCTCTGATAGCAGCTGCATCCCTTCATGACTGCAGCCCACTAGACATTTTCTCCATGGCTCCAGCTCTTGCTCTGATATTACTGTCTTCTGCCTTTATTTCTTCAACCCTCATGGTGATAACACCTTTCTACTGTGGCTAGTCTCATCACTGCCTTTTTAATTTTTATTTTTAAATCTCAGCACAAACTTTTTAAAGTAGTCCTTTTATTAATGTTTTCCATTTGAACAATCTGGAGTGAATTCTGTTTCATGTGTAAATAGTGACTGATAGGTTAATTAGCAAATTAGTTTGGAGAAAAAGACACCTTTTCTTCATTGAGAAAGGTGCCACAAAAATCACCCACGTTAAGGCATATACATTTTCCCTTGCAAAAGGATACCTACACTTCTTAGAAGTTCTGAAGCCCCTTGAAGATAATGGCCCAGGACATTTTCTAGGAAAGGCTCTTCTGCCTAAGGTTTAGACAAAAGAAAAAACGAATTTATGTGAATAGACATTTCTCCAAAGAGTGCATACAAATGGCCAGCAGTGTATTAAAAGATGCTCAACATCACTAATCATGGGAAAATGCAAATCAAAACCATGATGAGATGTCATATTGAAAAGAGCCAGCTTGGTTTAGGCAGACACTAAGGGCAGGGTCCCCCCACCCCACAAATGTTTAAACCAGACATTTTGTGTATAAGGGAACTTGCACAGGGGACTTGCCTAAACATGCCCACAGTGGAAAATTCCGTTCCTTAATTCATGCACAGTAAGGGAAATAAATCAATATGGAGCATCTCAGTGTATGGGCTGGCAGGCACATTGAAAGGGTTGGGTGGAGCCACCAGGAATTCACACCTTAAGCCCGGATATTCAACTGTGAAGTGGGTAACTGGCTTTCAGGACCCCTCTCTTTGCCGAGAGCATTCCTTTTGCATGATAAATTTTACTCCACTCACTCTCTGGGGGCCGTGCACCTAATTTTTCCTGGTCATGAGACAAGAACCCAGACCTAGCTGTGCTAAAGGAGCAAAAGTTCTGCATCATTTTGGTGGCTGTATGGGGATCCTGAGGAAAGGTGAGTAAAAGGTGGACCCCAAAAAATCTCTTTCACTTTCGTTGCTGAGCCTTCTCATCCTCAGACTTCTTCTCTAAACAGATGTAGCACCGGGCTTCTGTTAGCCAATTAAGAATGAAGGGCATGGCTGCAGAAGCTGCCATCCACCCCCGTCACACTCAGAGGTTGAGAATATGGGCCTCATTCCAATCCAGTCTTTTCTATGGCATTTTTCTTCTTCCTTTTGGGGCTGTTACAGCACCTATCTTTTCTTTTACAATATTGGGGGTGTTATTGCAAACTGTAGAGATATTACGAGATAGAAAGGGTCTTTGGCCCAGCCATCAGACAGACATGCAATTTAGAACAACGCAATTTCCGTGTGTTCTTAAGCATGTTCCCCTCCACTCCAGGCTGAGGCGCATGGCCATGTCTGCCTCATGTGCATGCAGCACCCAACGGCCACACAGCACAGGAATGAGCCTCAGTAGCCACCCAGGCCCTGGGCGGTCTCCAGGGCCAAGGGCCCCATGAGGCTGGCTGGCCAGTGTTTCCCACTTGTCATCCCCTCCCACCACATGCCCACAGAGTCTTTCTTCCCCTGGCCGAGCCAAAAGGAGAGTACAAAGATTAAGAGTTTCTCTCCTTATTTGAGGAATTTATTTGCATAGAGCTAGAGGTTTTTTTCCCAGGCGCCGTTTCTGCCCCACACATAAGCTGTTTTATTTTCCTTTTCTCTGTTATTTATTTCTCTGTTATTTATTTTCCATTTCTCTGTTAACACAGACCTGCGAATACAGGGAGTTTTCTATGTGAGAGGTTTTTTTTTTTTTTTTTTTTTTTTTTTCCTTTTGGAAAGTGTCTTGCAAGGCCAGGACCCCAATTCACAGAACTCCCTTTTCTCTCCTTTGTATGAGGGGGGCCACCTGGGACTTAAGGACTCCATGAACTCTCCTGAAGCACATTTTTTTGTCACAAACTCAATTCCAGGCTTCGGGTTGAAGCCCTAGGAGGGAAAACTGGATCTAAGGGATATGGAGGCAGGCAACAACGGAGCACAGCGCGCGTAAGCATGACTAATTCCTGCTGATTAGCCACCACCGCCCTCCACCCCAGTTTCATAGATAGAGGTCATGCAAGTATCCATGGTATAGACAAGGTCTAGGGAACTCAAAGGTTGCCAACAGCAGGGAGGAGGCAGCACATGGATAAATGCAGATTGTTCCCACCCTTAAGGCCTCCCTGTTAACATGGGTGAAAATCTGCATTGGCACCCACAGGTGGTACCCCACCAAGGTCTCTGGGAATCGGAGATATAAGGATTGAGGAAGGAAGGTGGACACCTCTTCTTCTCTCCCTCACGTACCTCGTGTATTCACTGGGAAGCAAAAGGAACTAGGGAGGCCTTGTTCCCCTCTTTCTAGAAGGGTAACCAGTCATCTTCAGTCTGTATTTCTCTGGAATGACTCTTGAATCACTGGGATTCCTTTGAAAGAAAAAAAACAAAATGCCTTCTTTGTACTTTTTCCTCCTCTGTCCTCTCTTCACAGATGGTAATTGTGTCCTCATATCACAGGACACTCCCCTTGGATGCATCACCCAAACTGGAAAACCTTAAGGACATTATGCTAAGTGAAATAAGCCAGACATAGAAAGACAAATATTGCATGATTCCATTTATATGCAGTACCTAAAATTGTCAAACTTACAGAATCAGAAATTAGAATGGTGGTTTCCAGGGGCTGTGGGAGGGAAAAAAGGAGAATTGTCTTACAATGAGTATAGTTTCTGTTATACAAGATGAGTAAGTTCTAGAGACCTGATCTACAATATAGTCGCTCTAGCTAACAATACTGCATTGTGCACTTAAAAAATGGTTAAGAGACAGCCGGGCGCAGTGACTTACGCCTGTAATCCCAGCACTTTGGGAGGCGGAGGTGGGCGGATCACGAGGTCAGGAAATCGAGACCATCCTGGCTAACACGGTGAAACCCCTTCTCTACTAAAAAATACAAAAAATTAGCCGGGCGTGGTGGCGGGTGCCTGTAGTCCCAGCTACTCGGGAGGCTGAGGCAAGAGAATGGCATGAACCCGGGAGGCAGAGCTTGCAGTGAGCCGAGATTGCACCACTGCACTCCAGCGGGGGCGACAGAGAGAGACTCTGTCTCAAAAAACAAACGAACAAAAAAATGGTTAAGAGAGTTGATCTCAGGAAAAGGGGTGGTGGAAGCAGGAGAAATATTTTAGAGGTGATAGATATGCTTATTACTTGATTGTGGCGATGATTTCACAGGGATATGCATATGTTCAAACCCATTAAATTATGTACATTAAATATCTGCAGTTATTTTGTGTATTAATTGCATCCTAGAAAAGCTATTAAAATGAATAAAGTAGGAGAAGCTGAAGAGGGGGAAATGGAGACTTGCTGTTCAATGGTGTAAAATTTCAGTCATGCAAATTAAAAGTTTGGAGATCTGCTATACAGTATTATGCTTATAGTTAACAATTCTGCACTATTCACTTAAAAATTGTTAAGAGCATGTATCTCATGTTACAAGGGTTTTTTTTTTATAATCACAACAAAAGAAATAAAAAGAAAAAAAGGAACTTACAAAGATTATGAGCCCTCACAACCCCATCTCAAGACATTCTATAAACAAGGGCTGTAATATATCAAAGATGGAGGCCTCCATCAGTGACAATCCAACTAAATTGCTTGAGAAAAAGATGAGTAACAGAGCTTTGGCATTTAAAAACATAAAAGATAGAGAGTTTGTGGACTCTGAATAGAGTGGAGGGTCGGCTGAAGGAAGACAGCAGGAAGGGACAGAATTCTATAATGGAAAAAAGTAGCTGGATTCTGAGCCCATCGGGTTGACATAACTCTGGGTTTCCTAATGGCCCCCAAAAATGTGAGGGCCAGTGAGCAGGGAAAAACATATCCTATTACCACCCCAGTTTCTTAGACTCAGAAATGGCAAAAAATCCAAATGTAAAGAGGCACGAATCATAGTGAAAGAATAAGGACTACACTTTTGCACTGAATATGGCAATAACTGTTTTATATCAGCTGCCAATATTTAGTGTCCTTGAACCCTTAGATATGCCCCATCTCAAAAATATTTTGTATCCTGGAAAGAACAAACCCCATCAACTCCCTTATTCAATTTTACATTCAATTAGATGCCCACAAGTAAGTGTTGTTTCAGACTTCATCTTATTACTATTTGTGTGTTTGGGTCCAACATGCCAGGGGTAGATGAAGAGTAGCTACATTGTTACAGAAGAAAAGTAAAAACCAGGAAGTGTTTATAAAGTAACTATTATTAGAAGCAATTCAGTCCAATTATTTACTGTCTACGTACACTATTTCTTAAACATCTACCTCACTAGGATGAATTCTGGAGTGTCCTGAAACCATTTAGCCTCAAAGGGTTCTGCTTTTGGGTAAACCAGTTTGCCAAAATTATGATAATTTTAACTGATTACCTTTAGCTTCCAAATAACTGTTTTATGGATCTATATTTTCTAATGAAATTTTAGATATGAGAAGAAAGAGTAAACCTATTTTGAAATTATAAAATTATGATAACTTTCACCATTCTTTATAGATCTGAAATTTGTACTTCATTAATCTGTTAAGTTATTGTTTTCTATGATTCCTCCTAATGATATATGTGAGTCAAAACCCAATCTAGTCTTGTTAATTTTTTCCCTGGAAGATGTGAGAAGAGGAGAAAATTCTTTATGAAGGGTTTGAGTCAACTTGGACGTCCAGGGAATTTTTTTTTTTCCCTCGTAGGAACATACAGAATTAAGACTTTTCTTCCTTATTCATAATGGAGTTATGCCACTATCATTGTGCCATTTCCTGAAATATATGTGGCATATCTTTCCTGAAAAATGTTACATAATATTAGCAAATATCCTGCTTAAAGTATAAAACTATTTGCTTGAGCTTTTTGATACATTAGGGAAAAATATTTTAATTACAGAAAAAGAAGTTGTAATTCTACTTCACTGTGGCTTCTACAATTTCTGCTGGAAACAGGCCCTCCCTTTGCTGCAATTGCTAAATGCGTTCCATAGTGTGCTTTGGACACAGTCCCATATTTAATCCTAATGACTGGGTAGAAAGTGCCAGCCCTGGGCTTCAGGACCACATAAGAATTGATGAGCCCCCCTTGAAACCAAGTGCAAGAGGCCGAAGGACTAATGTCTGGATATTGCTTTTCATTGCATTTAATAAGGAATAAAAGCCTTGGACTGCCCTCTGCTCTTTGTTTTCCCACAATTTCCATCTAACTGTTATTAAAGGAAACAAAGCACAGTCTAAAAACTTCTGATTTGCCAACTGCTAACTGCTAGATCTCTCATGAGAGCATACATAATACTTTCTATAGGAGAAGTGTACAAGTCCCCTTAGGAAGTCAGCATTGAAAGTCACTCTGATAGGGACAAAAGGCAGAGAAATTCTAGACAGAGAGGAGAGGGGAGGAGAAAAGAAGTAGCCAGACATCTGAGAGAAGCAGCTTGACTTCAGAGGGACAGCTTGATGGCAGGGCTTTGGAGAAGAGCCTTGCCAGGGGTGGCCAGACTCCAGGGGAAGACAACCTTCCCAGTCTATCCCCTTTTCGGCTCCCTTTCCTGATGAAAGCCACTTTCATTGGCAATAAAAATCCTCCATATTCACTACCTTTCAATTTGTTCATGTGACCTGATTCTCCTGGACATTGAACAAGAGCTTGGGAGCCACGGGTGCAGATGCTTTAGCCGTTTAATTCTTAAGCCCTCTAAAGATGGCAAAGCTAAAAGAGCACTGTAATACATGCCCTCTGGGGCTCCAGGGGTCACAGGTACACCCCTAGGTGCCGCCATGGGGCTGCGCTGAGTTCTGCTTTGGCTGGTGCCCAGAAGTACTAGTCCCAGCTCCTGAACCTGCTCACCTGTGTGCTCCTCCTCCCGCAAGGGGTTAAGAGCTACGGGCTGAGTAAGCAAGGCACCCCTTTTGCGAGGTCCGTTAAGGGGTCAGGGAAAATTTTCTGTTTCAACTCCACATGGAGTTGACTCTACTTATGGTCCAGTGGAGAAGCAACTACATGCCTAATAAAGACAATAGGAATTCAATGCAGCCCCTTAGGGACATTGGAGCCACCATCGTTAGCTAGTTGAAACTTCCTAGGTTGTTTTTAAGTTTTCTTCATCACTCTAACTCTAGTACTGAAATTTTCAGTTTTTCCTTCCTTGTGTTGAACTTTCATGTTTCTACTCTCAAGGAAATTATAGCTGATTGAGAACTATTCATAGAAAGTGGGTTGAGAAAATAGACATGTGCAGAAAGGTGTGAGCATATCAGTCAACGCATTTTCAACCTCTAAAAGAAGGGCACATTCGGCTAGGCACACTGGTGCAGGCCTATAATCCCAGCACTTTGGGAGGCCAAGGTGGGTGGTTCACTTGAGCCCAGGAGTTTGAGACCAGCCTGGGCAACATGGTAAAACCCTGCCTCTACATAAAATACAAAAATTAGCCAGATGTGGTGGTGTATGCCTGTAGTCCTAGTTACTCAGGAGGCTGAGGTAGGAGGATCACTTAAGCCTGGGTGGTTGAGGTTGCAGTGAGCCAAGATCATGCCACTGCACTCCAGTCTAAGTGACAAGGTGAGATCCTGTCTCAAAAGAAGAAGAAGAGGAGGAGGAGGAGAAGGAGGAGGAGGGAGGGAGGAGGACGGAGGGCACTTTTTTTTGAGACAGAGCTTGCTTTGTCGTTAGGCTGCAGTCCCGAGGAGGAGGAGGAAGAGGGGGAGGAGGAGGAGGTGGAGGGGGAGGGGGGAGGGGGAGGAGGAGGAGGGGGAGGGGGAGGAGGGAGGGAGGACAGAGGGCACATTTTTTTTTTGGCGACGGAGTCTTGCTCTGTCGTTAGGCTGGCGTGCAGTGGTGTGATCTTGGCTCACTGCAACCTCCGCCTCTTGGGTTCAAGTGATTCCCCTGCCTCAGCCTCCTGAGTAGCTGGGACTACAAGCACGCGCCACCATACGTGGCTAATTTTTTTATATTTTAGTAGAGACGGGGTAGGAGGGCACATTTTTAAGAAGAAAACTTTGAACACATTCATTGATGCTCTTCTCTTCTAGGACCTTTTTTAAGATTTATAGTGAGCACTTACTCATTGAGTATAAACATAGCTCTATGTAAATCAACATAGGGTCACATACTGTGAAGCCAAAAGTATCTAAGACAGGTCTCAATCAATTTAGAAAGTCTGTTTTGCCAAGGTTGAGAATGTACCCATGACACTGCCTCAGCAGGTGATTACCACATGTGCCCAAGGTGCTCAGGGCACACCTTGGTTTTACACATTTTAGGGAGACATGAGACATCAATCAATGTGTAAGATGTATATTGGTTTGGTCCAAAAAGGCAGCACAACTCAAAGTGGGGGCTTCCAGGTCATAGGTAGATAAGAAACAAGAGTTTGCATTATTTTAGGTTTTTGATCAGCCTTTCACTGAATTCACATTTTACATGTAGGGCTGTGGGTAGAGGAATAGGTATTTATGCCCTAGTCTAGCTCAGTGAATCTGCATTTTTACATAAATAATAGGGCAGAGGAAGGAACCAGATATGCATTTGCCTCAGGTGAGCAGAGGGATTACTTTTAGTTCTGTCAGTCCTTTGTCCCACCCCTGTGAAGATAAGCTATTAATTTATATTGTCAGTATAAAATTCAACAGAACTGTTTTAGGGTAAAGATTTTGAGGCCCACAAGGAATTTTCTTGTAGGCAAATTGTGAGAGAGGTATGCAGCTTTTTTTTTTTTTTTTTTTTAATCTTTGGAGCTATCTTATTAAGGAATAAAATGGGAGGCAGGTTTACCTGATGCAGTTCCTAGCTTGACTTTTCCCTTTGGCTCAGTGATTATGGGGTCCCAAAATTTATTTTCTTTTCACAATACATAAGCTCTATCTGATTTCTTCTTTAAAACTTTACTTGTGGATTTATTCAATGCAAAGTCTTGCATACTGATGAAATTTAGAGTTGAGAGACTGCAGGTTAACATTCAGAAAATTATTCTGTATAATAAAAGAGACACTAACCAGTTAATTTCAAACTTGGCAAGCCTATGATTGCCTAGTACTTCTCTGGATGCCTGTGTGTTTCTACTAATTCATAACATGGTAGAACATGGGCCAGAATGTGAGAGGAAAAAAATGATCTATTCTAACAGTTTCTAACTATCCAATCTTTTTTGAGAGAAAGTCTTCAAGAACCTAGCGTCAATTTTGTAAATTCAAAGAGTGGGCAAAAACATATATTGTAACTGAGAGTGTTGACGAGAAAAGAGTCAAACTCTGAAAAATATTTGAAGAGATTTATTCTGAGCCAAATATGAGTGACCATCACCCGTGACACAGCCCTCAGGAAGTCCTGAGAACATGTGCCCAAGGTGGTCAGGGCGCAGCTTGGTTTTATACATGTTAGGGAGGCATGAGACATCAATCAAATACATTTGAGAAATACATTGGTTTGGTCCAGAAAGGCGGGACAATTCGAAGTGGGGGGCTTCCAGGCTATAGGTAAATTTAAACATTTTCTGGTTGACAATTGGTTGAGTTTGTCTAAAGACCTGAGATCAATGGAAAGGAAATGTTTAGGTTAAGATGAAAGATTGTGGAAACCAGGGTTCTTTTGAAGTCTCATAGTGGCTGCTGTTAGAGACAATAGATGACAAACGTTTCCTATTCAGACCTTTAAAAGGTTCAAGACTCTCAGCTAATCTCTTCAGGATTGGGAGGGCCAGGAAGAAAAAGATCTAGCTATGTTAATAGAGATTCTTTACAGATGCAAATTTTCCTCCACAAAGGACAGCTTTGCAAAGGCCATTTCAAAATATGGCAAAGAAACATGTTTGGGGGTAAAATATTTTGATTTTCTCCTTTGTCACATGTTATGCCAGAGGCAGATTGGAAAGTCAGTCATGATATATATGGTTAAATAAAACCATCTGATGAGAATTTATGGTTTGTAAGGCATGACTTCCCAGACCCCTTAGATAGGAATGTGGGCAAGATAAGAAAAAATCAGAGCTTAGTCATCAGGACTACCCCCATTTTTCTAACAGATAGTTTATTTTCTCTCTATCTTTTTCCTCCTTTTCCCCACTTCCTATTTAGCCCTTTAGAAATGCAAATATAGCCTTTCACCTCCCCTTCACCAGGCATTCCCTACAGGTCAAGTTCTAACTCTGTGCTTAGGAGCCACAGAAAGGAACTCTCAGCCAGCAGGAGGTTTCCTGAAGAGATAACAGTCTATTTACAACCCAAAGTCTACCTGCCCAAGAAGAAGAAGAAAGTGTCAGCAGAACCAGCTGGGTAGATAGGGCACCAAGCTAACATGTGGACCCCTCATCTGCTCACTCCCCCTCCCACCATGGGCAGTTCATGTTAGGCACCCTTTAAAATTGCTCACTTTCGGCCCGGCGCAGTGGCTCACGCCTGTAATCCCAGCACTCTGGGAGGCCGAAGTGGGTGGATCACCTGAGGTCGGGAGTTTGAGACCAGCCTGACCAACATGGAGAAACCCCGTCTCTACTAAAAATACAAAAAATTAACCAGGCGTTGTGGCGCATGCCTGTAATCCCAGCTACTTAGGAGGCTGAGGCAGGGGAATCACTTGAACCCTGGAGGCAGAGGTTGCAGTGAGCTGAGATTGTGCCATTGCACTCCAGCCTGGGCAACAAGAGCGAAACTCCATCTCAAAAAAAAAAAAAAAAAAAAAAAAGCGCTCACTTTCTGCTTTGAAAGTGAAGTGGTGCCCTTAAAGGCAGGAAACCTGTACTTCTCCTGAGCTAGCTTTGGAATAAAAAGTCATTTTCTGTATAGCAGACCTTGCTCTTGTTAATTGAACTCCGTAAGCGGCGAGTTACTGAACCAGGGTTTCAGTTACAATATGACATGATTTATAGAAGACCAAAACCCCTCCCTCTTCCCAGGACCTATACTGTTTCTCTGAATATATTGCCATATTGTTCCCTTGACCATATAATGTTTCAAACATTTTATCCAGGGAGCTCTTATATGCAACAATTGTCACTTGGCAGAAATGAAGGATTGTGAATGAACAAAAAGTAAAAGAAGAAAAAGAAAACAAAATTGTTGAAGGGAGAAGTAGAAAAAAGTCTAAAATCTGGGGAACCATTAGAAAGCAGACTGCGTGACTGTCAAAGTCAAAGACTGACAAGTCAGGGAGTGACTTGGTCAAGGTTTAGGTGAAAGAGGAACTAAAAAATGATTTGGAGATGGTGAAAATATAATCTATTTCCATTTTGCTTAATTCTTACTTGATTTCTTAATTAGAACCAATAAGGGATGAATGTTGCTGTTTCTCCTAGATCTATATTAACATAAAGATACTTCTGGGCTGGACACAGTGGCTCATGCCTGTAACCCCAGCACTTTGGGAGGCTGAGGCGGGTGGATTGCTTGAGCCCAGGAGTTTGAGACCAGCCTGGGCAACATAGTGAGACCCCATCTCTACAAAAAATACAAAAATAAAAATCAGCCAAGTGTAGTGGCACATGTCTATAGTCCCAGCTACTCAGGAGGCTGAAGTGGGAGCACTGTTTGAGAGGTGGAGGTTGCAGTGGGGTATGACCATACCACTGCATTCCAGCCTGGATGTGAGAGTGAGACCTTGTCTCAAAAAAAAAAACAAAACAACAACAACAAAAAAACTTTGGTGTTCTGCCTAAGGGCATACAAAAACTTGGAGATTCCCTATAGAATTGTTTCTCCAGTTCCTTCTGGTGAGGCAGTGCTGGGATAACAGGGAACTGCACACTGGATAATAGGTTTACACTCTCTTCAGTGGCCACCCCGAATCAGGTATCTCAGCAAGCAGAAACCAACAGGAAGGTAAAAAACAAACTGTGTTTGCGGATGATGGCATAATACAGTCATATTGCCGCAGGCTCTCTTGTCCCTTTAAAAGAACAGCATCTCCTTTGCATCTACCATTTGGAGGGCACTCACCAATGGAGTAGTTTTATAGTGTGCTATTTTATTTTAAGAGTCACCCTAAATTGATTATTCAAACACAGCAGCGCATTAAGATTATTGCTGCACTGCTAGGGGAAAAACAAAGAAGAAGAAAAGGGACAAAGAAAAACATGTTCTGGCAGTTGGCAGAAAGCATGTCAATCCGATAGCAGAAGCTGCGACAGAGCAAAAGTGAAATATCTCTGCTTCTGTTAAGGAATAACATGTACAAAGAGTAGTCTTCTGAAGCAAACACATTGATAAACAGATGGCTCTGATCCTATCAGAAAAAATTCAACCAAGTAGTCACACTTTAGAACTGAAATACAGAGAGCTACTTGGGAGAAGAGGATGAGGGAAAGATAAAAATAAAACTCATAGCTCATTCTTAAGTCAGAGAAAACCCTTAATTAATCAGTTTTGGTTCTCGTGGTTCTTCATTCTCCTTTGAATAGTAAAACCTGGTCCTTCTGTGAGACACAAAAGACTCATCTACATAGAAAAGCCAGTTCGTTTCTCAGGTTCCTAAGTTCTGGTACCTGAAAGTAACTAGACCTTCTCCGGTCGTCCCCACACAAGCCAGCCTTAACCTGCTGCCTGCTGGGTAGGGTTTTTGCCGCTTTTCTCATCCCGCTGAACTATTTAGAGGATCGCAAGAGGAGATGAGTTTAAGAGGGACTTTTTCCACTCTCAGGGAAATCCTAGCCTTGATTTCTATGCCAGGCAAAATTCCAGTTTCTTTAGGGAAGACTCAATTTTTTGAGCCTGTAATAGCACTGTGGAAGAAATCTTGATATCTGACTTCTCACCTAAGATCTGCTAAGAACTAGTTATTCAACATTTTAAAAGCATGTGCACTTTGACATACCAATTCCACTTCTAGGAATTTATTCCTCAAGCATTCTTTCACACATGTACAAAATATCATTTGGACAATATTAAATGCTACATTTTAGGAAGAGCTAGAGTTTGTAAACAAGAAAATTTTAGCATTATGGGACTCGCTAAATAAGTTCTGGTACATCCATATACTGAAATATTATACAACCAATAAAGTGAATAAAGCTATTCCATACACAAGTGCCAGGTGTGTCCCACAAACCCTGGCCAATGGATTAAATGAGTACTCAGACACAGGCATGCAGTGTAAGAGAGCTAGGTGACTGCCTGGCTCTAGTGGCCAGAAACCAGCTCCAAGAAGCTGGAGCTGCTTGCTTTTATTCAGTGCAGGCACAATGCTGAAAACCTGGAGCAAACACAACCTGTAGGTAATTAACATTTATTGTTCCCCTTCAGGGAATGTCTCGTGCATGGGCGTGGATGATCAAAGGTCAGCTCTTGGTCAATGTAAGTAAACAAACCTGTTTAAGATAAATTTCCCTATACTCCCTTGTACCTACTCCTTGCCCTCTGCCTCAGGGTTATAGAACAGTTGCCTTCAGCTATTCTCCCCCAGGGCTCTGCAAAACTTTCTGACCTTTCCGAAGGTTTGCATCCTTTCCCTGTAGTTTTTCCCACCACTCTGACTGATCCCCCACATCACAAGAAATATTATTTCATGGGAAAGTGAAAGTGCCAAACAGTGAGTATGTTATAGTCCCTAGCATTTACGTTTGTACAATTATTTGTGGGAAAACACATACACACACACAAGAAACTAGTAATAGTGATTGTTTCTGGGGAAAACAATGTGTATGTTTTAGGTTTCAGACTTGGTATATTTTGAATACTTCATACTATTTAAAAATACAATAAAAACATGAAATAGAGTAAAATAATCACAATATTACTCTAAAAATCACTCACTAGGAAAGTATGTGAGATGATAGATATGTTATTCTGTTTCACTGTAGTAGCCATTTTACTATGTACATATATCCTATAACATGTTGTGACCTTCAAATATATACAGTAAAATTTATTTTAAATTAAATATATATTTATAATATTTTTATGTATGTATAACCATATATAGATTTTATGTGATTATGAATATAAGAAGCTAACACAAATTAGCCTAAACACAGCTTGAGGATGGTGTGGGGGATGAGTAAAGTAAGCAGAGAGAGATAAGCATAGGAAGGGAAAAGTAAACCAAGAAGAAAAAGAGAAAAGGTGTATACTTTAAATTTTTTTCACATTTATTCTATGAACACTTTTTTGGTTAAAAAATGTAGTTTATGTGCATATATGTCTAAAGAAATTGAAAAAAAAAGTTTGATCTATAGCTAATGGCTCGTATGAATGTCCATCCATGATAAACTGTTGTGTTTTTTTTTTTTAATTTGCCGAAGTGAAAAACAGTATTTTTGAATTTTGTGAAAATTCAAGCAAAAACTTATTTGTATGTGTGTATACATATTTCACCAGTATACATACATATATATATATATACACACATATATATACGTGTGTATATATATGTGTGTATGTATATATGTGTGTGTGTGTGTGTGTGTGTGTATATATGTATGTATGTATCCTCGCTATGACTTTTAAGGATGAAAGAATGAAAAAATACACATACTCAGCCATTGCCAGTGATCTTTTCAGTAGAATGTCATTGGAGAGAAGGATGGATGAAAAGGTGATTAGCTTTGCCTTTGTATATCTTTAGTTCACTTGTTGTAAACAAGAGTCTATCCCTTTCTTTTTGTGTGTTTGTTTTGAGACAGGATCTCATTCTGTTGCCCAGGCTGGAGTGCAGTGCTGTGGTGTGATCACAGCTCAGTGAAGCCTCGACCTCCCCGGCTCAACAGATCCTCCCATCTCAGTCTCAAAAGTGGCCTAGGTAAGACGATTTTTTTCTTTTGGAGATGGGGATCTCACTACATTGCTCAAGTTGGCCTTGAACTCTTGGGCTCAAGCAATCCTCTTGCCTCAGTCTCTTGAGTAGACGGGGCTATAGGTACATGCCGTCGTGTTTGGCTGATTTCTAAAATCACTTCCAACAGTCACCTTATGATTGCATTCTATTTCTTAAAATTAGTAAAAGAAGAACATTGGGATTTTGATAGAATATGCATTTGTCTCTGTTTGTCCTGATTTGGTTATGTGAAACATGTGCAGTTGGTGATGTTGGTTTCAAGTGGGCATTAGCATCAGAATGCTCTCAAATTCATCAGAATTTTGTGAATATATCAAAATTCCTTTTAAGGATAAGTACAGCAATATCCAAGAGTTCTTGTGGGTGGTCTGCCACTTTTTCTGCCCTCTAAAATGCTTTTCTGTCATTAATATCTAGAAATGATTACATCAGACAAAAATGTTTTACTAGATTAATCTAACTCCAAGTGGATTGTATTTTATTCAAAAAGGGTGAAATTCTATTGATTTCTTAATCTGGGAACTGATATTTTCCTTCTTGTGACTTCACAAATTTCGCCAAATCAAATGACCACAGATAAACCTGTTCTTCCCAAAAATGAGATTAAAATGGAAGACAGGTGCTATTAACTGCCTTATTTGGTGGTTAAGAGCAGAGGATTTTAGAGTAAAGCAAATTTGTGCTTTAATCTGATATTTACCACTTACATGTTAGGTGACCTTGATAGAGCTGAGTTATTTTATATCTCTAAACTTTAGTTACCTTATTTATATAAATGAGGAAAATACTCTTCCTTCATAGAATTGTCATTAGGATTCCATGATATAATATATGAAAGTCACAGGAAGATTAACTGAACTCAAAGTGCTATTATTATTGTTATTATTGACTGCTACCACTGCTCTTGCTACAATTGTAGTCATTATAGTCCATGTTGTAACTTCATAAATTTCACTAAAATTTTCTAGTATTTTTTAACAAATATATATTTATTAGATAATATAGTCATTTAGTATAGTATATAAATCTGACTATAAATGTTTTACATATAAACTGATGTATTCATGAGTATCTGTGCTATTCATATTACCATATAAATAATAAAATATTCTAGAAAATATACTGTTTATTATAAAAAAGATATTACACACATATATTATACATATAATGTATTCTTATATCATATATTTATATGAGAGAATGAGAGATGGGGAAATTGGCCTGCCATAGGTTCCTTTTTCTCTGCCGGAATCATCTTTCCCAGCCCCCATAGTTGCTGCTATCTATTTATTTTTCACACACTTGAATTTAAAAAGAGAGAGATGGAGAAGGGAAGGAGGGAGGAAAACAAGAAGAAGGGAAGAAGGGAGGGAGGGAGGGAGGAAGGAAAAATAAATATTGGCAAAAGTCAACATGTTTGGGCAGATAGTGATTTAAGTTGCTCTGAACTTCAGGTTTCAGGTCTCAGAAATGTGGATCCCTGAAGGAAAGTGTGAGTAAGACAGGGGAATTTAGGGTGAGCCTTGAGCTCTTCATCCCACAACACAAATGCTGCTGATGCACCTTTCACAGCAGATGGAGGAAAGCAGGGGCCTATTGGCATATTGATGTCATTGTCTACCAGTCTGACCTGCTCAGCCTTGACAAGCTGTTAACAGCTAGCTAGGAGGAAGTATCATGCATGCGGACTGACTGTTCCACTATTACTTCAGTTGGAATCTGGGCTGTCCAGATCATTTAAGAGCTGCAACAACCAGGGCTTGGCATGATATATCTAGGCCTAGTTGGGGCAGAAATAGGAGAAGGATGGGAGTGACAGCCAAGAGCCACGGTTTTGAAAGGGCAGAGAGAGGCCTTGCAGATTTGGCTCATTTTCCAATTTTAGAAAGAAATTACCCTACATATTTTTTTAGCCTGAAATTTGATAAGGTAATTTTTGTAGAACTGAAAGTAAGTCTCTGAAATTAAAAATATAAAAATCCAAGATTTAATTTTTATTCATAGATAATAGTAAAACAATGTTCAAGATTATGATTATCTGCCAATCAATATATACTGCTTCAAGTTCAAAATTATTTTTAGGTGCATCATCACCTGTGATATTCGTTACCACCCTATTACCCGTTAGTTCCCCTTACAGAAGTAGAAATTGAGGTTCAGATTATGCATGAGACTCAAAGTCATTAAATATGCAATAACTTCAAGATGAGGATTCTAAGAGACTAAGATCAAGAAGAGATATAATAATAATACAATTTATAGGACATTAAAAAGTTACTTCCTGCTCTGTTTCTTTGGTTGAATTCCCCCAGAAACAGAGTCTGAGACAAGGATTTAAGCACAAGTAGTTTATTTGGAAAGAGATTGTTGGAAGACATTTCTCCACAGGAGTCTCACATTTCCATACATCTTGTGAGCAGAGCCACTGTCTTTGATCTGGACTATCTTTTCAAGGTTGTTTATATAGCAAACAACCTTGGGAGATAGAGATAGTGTCTCCCTTCACAGAACAAGAATGCTTTTGGTTTATTTTGGTTTGGCTTGTCTTTTTACTTTCCAATATAGTAAAGATGTCTCACTTTGAAGGTTCATCTCCCATAACACGACCCGAATGTGCAGGTGTCACCTGGTTTTCTTGGTGTCACACTGTGAGGATTGGGACTTGGGAAACAAGCTCATGCACTAATGCTCTGGTTACTGTTATTGCTGTGAGTAATACATCCCTTTGTATCTGACCCAGGAATCTTGTATCTTTTACCAGCTTCCATGATATTTTGCTAAGCTAATTATTACCTTGCAAGTAGAGTAAAATCTGATACCCTTCATAGTCTTGCAGTGACCCCAGGAGGCACCAGTAGGGGATTATGAAAGTAAGACGTAGAAGGAAAGCAAGCCAATAAGGAGGAGCACATGCTATGGGAAACTGAAGGCTGGAACTTTGGAAGACAGCATAGACCATGCCTCAGCTATCCCCAACCAAGGGGTAAGGGGGCTAGGGCATTTATTCAGCAACATCCACCAATCACTGGTTGAGTGCTGCTCCAGATATTTATCTCCCTGTCTTATCTGGCCTGTTGTGTGTGTGTGTGTGTGTATGTGTGTGAGTTTGTGTGTGCATGCATGCATGTGTTTGTGTGTGCATGTGCCAGCAGGGTACACAGAACAGAGAAAGCCCTTAGGAATACAGTGACAAATGGAAGCCATTGGTTAGCTATTCATGGGAGTGACGAATGTGGAGGTGACAAAGGAAGGGTACCAACATCACCTGCTACCCTTTGGCCCAAGTAGTTTTCTTCAATTTCTAGGCCTCAACTTCCCTCTAACATTCTTACAGATCTCTAAAGATGTGTTTCTCATTGTCTTTCTTGTAGCTCAGCCAAGTTATGATGGGCACAAAGGTAGACAAACAGTTACTGAGTTAGGCTATTTAATGGCTTTCACTTAAGATTTCTTGGATAAGGGATCCTTGCCTAGAAGGAGTTTAATATTTTGGCCCTGAGCCAGAAAGAGTGCTGAGATGAACTCTTAATATCATTTTAGCATTTTAAGTTAGTAAATTATTGTTCCTTTAAAAAGTGTTGTATCCTAGGGAAAAAAAAAAATGATTCCTGATAGAGTATGCTCATATTAAGAACCTTCCAAAGACAAGCTGCTGTCACTGGGCTGTATTCTTGCCACCTCATGGCTGGCTCTGCTGATCAGATTCACAGTTCTTCTATTGACTGGTGTAATGTGTCCTTATAGTTTCTATAATAGTTTCTGAATCTTAGAGCTCATGAACAGCAAACAGAAGTTTACACAATGACAATATACAATATCTATTTCTCACTTCCTCTGAAGATATCAGTAGGCAGGAAATGCAGAATGCATTTATTCAGTCAGTTTTAATTTACTCAACAAGTATGTATTGAATGTCTCCTACATGCATGGCATCGAGTCCTGGAGATTCAGTGATAGACAAAACAAGGCAAAATAAAACAAAATAATACTATATGTGATCTCTGACCCTCTGGGGCTTACATTCTAGTGGAAGAGGCATGTTCATCAAAATTTATAAAAAATTTACAAAATTATGACTCTGAAATGTGCTATAAAGGAGAAATTGAGAGCCTGTAATGGGGGAAGGGGGAAGGAGAACTGGATCTAGAGAGGGAGATCAGGGAAAACATCTTTAATAAAGTGTATAATGGATATAGACTTCCAACTAACTTTCTATTTATGAAACATGAAACAAATATGTATGTCCTGTTCCAAAAATTTGGAACCCAAATAGTAAAACAGCTCTTTTTTTTTTAAATAAAACTGTTTTGTGTTGCATATACTTAAAAAAAAATTATCAAAAAATCTAGGTTATCTAGATTTTTGTGTTGCATATACTTGCAATATTATTAGAAAATCTAGGCTATCTCTTGTATTAATTTCTTGTTGCTACTATAGTGAATTACAACAAAGCCACTTAGTGGATTAATAAAGCAATACAACTTTATTATCCTGAAGTTCTGGAGGCCAGGGGTCCATAATAGGCCAGCAGGACTGTGTTCCTTTGGAGACTTTGGAGAAGAGTCTGTTTCCTTGCCTTTTCCAGATTCAAGAGGCTGCCTGCATTCCTTGGCTTGTGGCCCTTCATCACTCTGACCTCTGCTTCCATGATCACATCTCCTTCTCTGAGTCTGATTCTCACAAATGGCCTAGCATACTCTTCTATTCTTCTTCCTGTATTGTGCCACTTTTGTTTCTTCACTGGTGACAGGATTGGTGAAGAAGAGATATGGTACAGATGCATCTTACTTATGAGGTACATTAATAACCTAGTACTTTCTGAAATACTTCTACGTCCAAAAGCAAACCTTGACTCATCTGTGGGGCATTTTTGTGGGTATCTACATCTCACAGTTCTCAGTATTTTCCATTTATAGTGGCTTTTTCTAGATGACTAATTAACACCGACACCTATCCCAGCCACTGAATTCTTATGGCCCACTCCTTTAGCAGCTCCTGATGGACAGACTTGCTTCTAAGACACTCCAAGTTTAGTTCTTCTCTATGAGATCCACATCAGCTCTTCAGCAAGCAAACACACATCCTTGACTCATCAAACTCTGGAAGTGCAGGCTCTTCCCAGAGCAAACGTGCCTCTTAATTCTACAGCCCAGAAGGACACTCTGCCCGTCATCTCAGATACAGGTATTTCACTCATAAGATATCAGCTATTTTATTCCACAATCTCTATGGAATATCAGGTTATGTGAGTAGTTCCCTCAAAGTTTCTGATCACTTGGCTTATGATAAGAGGAAATACCTCCCCTTCTTCTACAACAATGGTCTCTCTCTAAAGGAATCTTCTAATTTTCCAAATTGCTAATGAATTCTTAGCCTTTTCTCATATAACTTGGAGAACTAATATTGGCATAACTATCTTTTTAAAAATATAACTTTATTAAGATACATTTTATATACCAATGAAATGTACCCATTTGAAAGTTATAGTAATCAACCTTGTAACCACCACCACAGTTGCAGTATAGAATATTTCCATGCTCCAAAAATTTCTCTCATGCCCCTGTCAATTAATCCCCCGTCTACTTAACCCCATTCTCTTGTCCACAGGCAACCACTAATCTGCTTTGTATCACATTTGATTACCCAGTCTAGAATTTCATATACGTGAGATCACAGGATATATATTCTTTGTTGTCTGCCTTCTGTTCCTAAACATAATGCTTCTGATAATTATTTTGCTTAGCTTTGTTTTGTTGTGTTTTTCAGTAGTTTGTTCATTTTTTATTGCTGAATAGTTTTCCATTTTACTGATACACCGCTGTTTGTTTATCCATTCACATGTTGATGTATATTTAGTTTTCAGTTTTGGGCTATTAGGAACAAAGCTGCTGTGAACATTTGCATAATAGTCTATATGTGGGCACATGTTTTCATTTTGTTAGATAAATATCCAGGAGAGAAATTGCTAGACCATAGGTTAAGTGTATGTTCACTTTTAAAGCAATTTCCAATTTTCCAAACAAATGGCATAACTAGCTTATGACTTCCCCAATTTGCAGGTGCTGCAGAGATGGCTTAGTGTTTTACTTTCAAGTGTGGAGTTGCTTTGCCACTATTATTCTTAATTTGAGGATTTTAGATGATACTCTGAAATAACGGAAACATTTCTATTTAACTAACATATAAAATGCTTAGTTTAACTTCCTTCCTATACAATACCAGACTGAAATATTTGAGAGAGCAGGAACTATGTCTTATTTCTTCTTTGTTCTTCAAGATACAGTACCTGGCCACATAGTAAGTTAAAAAAAAAAAAAAAAAGAAAAGAAAAGAATAGAAAAGCAAAACAATTGAAATAAAAGCTAGCAACTTTGAAGGTATTGCCCGAACACTAAAACTATAATTATTTTAATTATTTCTTTCATTGTCTATAATTTAATAATTTCGACTTGAAGTTAGCAAAATCCGTAAACCCAAGTAAAAAACGGCAGTGCTATATATTCACCATTTCCTCTCTGGCTAGCTATAAGAAATCTTTTCAGTTCCCAAGCAAAGTAAAATAACAAGGCAAAAGGGAAAAGAAAGAACAGTCATCAAAGGCACATTTTTTTTTTCTCTATTCCTGTCTTCTGGGCCTCTGAGGCTGCACCTTGAGTTTGAACATGTATTAAAATTGGCATGAAGCCATTTTCCTCCCAGGCTGTAATTTCAGAAAGCCTTGTCTGGGAAGAAATGACCTTTCAGCTACTTCAAAAGCAGCTCCTCCCTAACACCCTATGATGTCAGGGCTGACTGGGACTGTGGCAGGGCTCTCAATTAAAAGGATGACTTCTAAATAGTGTCTCATCATGTCACCTCAGGCTTGTGATGGTGACCTCTGTGGCCGGAGGGAGAAACTGTGGCTACACAGGAGTCAAAGTTAGAGTCATGAGTTTGGAAATGAACAGAAAAATGAAAAGGAGAATATCACCACTTTTTAGGGAAGAATTTTTTCAGAATATGAAATGCAGGCAGCTGTGAATATACCTAGAGTACTCCAGTTGGCTTCACAAAAGTGGTAGCTAGCTTGTGCTGGGTTCTACTTCCCAAGCCTTGTCCTGCAGCTCTCTGATCCGAAGGGCATTTTGCCTTTTGAAGATCAAAGGCATCCTTAGGAATATGTCTTTATTTTTTCCCTCAGCCCACTTTCCCTTATTCAGTCTTCTCTGATTATATTTCATCTAACACTCTCATGCATCCTTTGGGCTTTAGAATAAAGTGAAGAAAGGTGGTTCCTGAGGAGACAGAAAGTCTTGTCACAATTTGATCTATCCAGATAAGCCATCCATTATCCTGTTTTGACAGTTCTAGTCAAATGCAGCTATTTAGTGTTCTATCACATGTAACATTGACAGATGTATGGCCCTTAATGGCCTTCTCATTAAAAAAAACCAAAAAGCAGGAGATGCTTTTATCTGACAAATGTGGGATGGAGGATTCTGACCACTTATACAAGTGCCTAAAGTCCCCTAGAAGAAATACTGAAAGGTTATATCACTCTACTCAGATTTCTAACTTCCAGATCTGTGGCTTATTTAACACATGCCCATACAAACGCTTGTATACAGATATCTAATTCAGTGAACTTTGCAAAGAAAATTGGTTAACATGTTAATTTAAACAAACAAATGAAACACACTTCATTTTAACCTCAGATTATGCCCTACATTCTAGAAGTGTAAAAGAATCAGGGGTCAAAAAATTAAGCTATTTTTAACCGAATCTGACCTCAGGATGGGAAAGAGAGTGAAAAATTAAAAAGCAATGGAAGTAAGCACAAATAACAAGGTGAATTACAATAGATCAGACTACAAGCAACCGTAAAATTTTGCGTGAAAGACTGTAAGAAATAGTAGAAAGCTATTAATAAGGATTGTGGTAAATGTGGATGCGCTAAAATGGCAGGGTATCATATTAATTTTATAAAAACAAGTTGCATGTAGGCCAATTCTGTAGTTTAAAAATGAAATATATGCATACATACCTGTGTTATTGGTGATGTATATCATCTATATCCTGGGCTTTTATATGTTAACGCAATCATAGCAGCTGAAAATTTATCTACTTTATATATTTATATATAAGATGCTGGAATAAGTTTAATTACATAAAATGATTCTGATGGATGCAACCAACCTCGATATTTAGCCAAATAGTTCTACCGTTTTTATTATTATAATAAAGGCTGTCAGAACACTGTCTCAGATACCTATGTATTTCCATAGGAGAAACGTCTAGAAGTGGAATTGCTTGGCATAAACTTCTGTAAGTTGTAAAATGCTTCCTGTGTACTCTCCAAAATAACCTCCACCAATATGGAGCAAGAGTACAATCCCACCAGTAAGGCATAGTTATAATTCCCCAAAACCTCGCCCCTACTCCGTTGTGAACATAAGGTATTTCCTCATTTTATTATAAGTTTTAATTGGGCTTGTGAAGGCAGATGTGCCTATTGATATACTTTGCTCATTTTTATTTGGTGTTTTAAATTTTTTTTAACTGTGTGTGTGTTAAGAATTATAGTTAGCTTCAAATAAAAGCCTCTCCGTCATACAGGGCCTTAAATAATGTTTTTCATTGCCTTCATGACAGTTTTAATTTGTGACTCATTTTCATGTAACAATTATAATCATGGAAATTTTTAAATTCTGATTTTTCCTTGTGCTCGACTTTTACAGATATAGCATCTAATGACTATACTAATTTCTATTCTCATTTTGGGAGAATACCAATTGCAGGTTTTTCTCTAGTTTTTCTCACTTTTAATACAGTATCTCTTTTAGAGTACTAATAAATTTGCTTTGATTCATTAGTTTTACATTAAAATTTAATCACCATTCATTAAATTATTTATTAATTGAAACATAGTTTCTATTTTTTTAACTTTTATTTTAGGTTTGATGATACATATGAAGGTTTGTTACGTATATAAGCATGGGTCACTGGGGTTTGTTGTACATATTATTTCATCACCCAGGTATTAAGCTCAATACCTAATAGTTATCTTTTCTGCTTCTTTCCCTCCTCTCACTCTTCCCCCTCAAGTGGACCCCAGTGTCTGTTATTTCCTTCTTGGTGTTCATAAGTTCTTGTTATTTAGCCCCCACTTATAAGTGAGAACATGCAGTATTTGGTTTTCTTTTCCTGTGTTAATTTGCTAATGATGATAGCCTCCAGCTCCATCCATGTTCCCACAAAAGACATGATTTCATTCTTTTTTATGGCTGCATAATATTTCATGGTGTATATGTACCACATTTTCTTTATCCATTCTGACACTGATGGGCATTTAGGTTGATTTCATTTCTTTGTTATTGTGAATAGTGCTGCAATGAAAATCCACGTTCATGTATCTTTATGGTAGAATGGTTTCTAGTCCTCTGGGTGTATACCCAGTAATAGGATTGCTGAGTTGAGTGGTAGTTCTGCTTTTAGCTCTTTGAGGAATTGCCATACTATTTTCCGCAATGATTGAACTAATTTGCACTCCCCCCAACAGTATATAAGTGATCTTTTATCTCTGCAACCTTGCCAGCATCTGGGTTTTTTTTTTTTTTTTTTTTTTTTTTTTTTTTTTTTTACTTTTTAATAATTGCCAATCTGACTGGTGTAAGATGGTATCTCATTGTGGTTTTGATTTGCATTTCTCTAATGATCAGTGATATTGAGCTTTTTTTCATGTTTGTTAGACGAACGTATGTCTTTTTTTGAGAAGTGTCTGTTCATGTCCTTTGTCCACTTTTTTTTTTTTTTGAGACGAGGTCTCGCTCTGTCGCCTAGGCTGGAGTGCAGTGGCATGATCTCTGCTCACTGCAACCTCTGTCTACTGGGTTCAAGAGATTCTCCTGCCTCAGTACCCTGAGTAGCTGGACTACAGGCGCCTGCCATCACGCCCGGCTAATTTTTTGTATTTTTAGTAGAGACAGGGTTTCACCAAGTTAGCCAGGATGGTCTCGATCTCCTGACCTCGTGATCTGCCCACCTCGGCCTCCCAAAGTGCTGGGATTACAGGGGTGAGCCACCGTGCCCGGCCTTTGTCCACTTTTTAATGGGATTGTTTGTTTTTCCCTTGTAAATTTGTTTATATTCCTTATAGATGCTGGATGTTAGGCCTTTGTCAGATGAATAATTTGCAAATATTAACTTAAACATAGTTTTAAAATGTCTGACCTTTGTTTTGCCACTTGTTCATTCTTATAGAGAAAGATTTGTGGTATTTTTGTTTGTTTGGTTGGTTTTTGGCATTGGGATTAGAGGCGGGTTTTATGAGACCATTTAAAAAATCATTTAGTAAATATGGAGAAAAATGGAAAAGTTTACTATTAATAGGCTTTGCTTTTGTTCCACAAGTAGAGGTAGAGGAAGGGACCAGAGAGGTATTTTTGTTTTTGTTTGTTTGTTTGGCTTCATCTGGCAGCAGAAAATTTTTCTGCAGAACCCTTCTTTCATTGTGTGTTGGTAGCCCTGAGTTAGGCAGGCAGCTCAACCCTGTTTCCCTGGCATGCTGCCCTTTCCTGGAGGCAACTGTGGCACTTCCATTGGTGCCATATACAAATACAGTATGTGCCGTCCTGGTCCCTGCTTCCTCTAGCCTTGGAAACCTGTAGCATGTCCCAGGGCCGGTTGAGATTGACATGTCTCTCACTCACTTTCCTCCTCACACTCCACCTCAGTTCTAGGCACGCTTGCTACAAATTAGGAATGACAATGACAGCCTTAGGTTCAATATTCTTCCACTTACCATCTGCAGGCAGGAGGTAGGGCACAAATCAGTTTTTTTCTTTCAAATTAGCGTCATTTGAATCACAGGTGGATTTTGGGGGTCATCAAGCTTTATAGAATGCTAGAGATACATCATTATGGGACAAAAATATCACTGAAAACATTTAATAAAAAAGAAAACAGCATTTACCCATATCTCCCTTGGGGAGATGAATCTGGATGTTGAGAAAGAATACTTTGATGATCTGGTTGAAGTGGGGATTGAGTGCACAAGGAACCTACTCAGGTCAAACAAGATCACCACAACAGCTCGTGGCATAGCGGGAGCTCCTATTAACTGTTGAGTAGCATGTCCAAGTTGAAAGATGGGAAGACTAAGACTCCATATTGCCCTTCATTAGCTCTCCAATCCCCTGCCCCTTTCAGACAACCCCTCATGGCCTTTATATATAAATGCTTATCAGATATTAAAGAATATGGAGTTGAAAGGGCACCAAATAATCAAACTGCCAAGGGTTATCAGGTGTTTTGGTCTGGGCCTTATCTGCATTCCGTATTGCAAAACTTCCTTAAAGTTTCTGGCCTGTGGCTGAGACCATTTCTCTAGTTACCAGGGCTGTTACAGTCTCCCAGCTCTTCTGTTTATATTCACGTAGACTTTCAGTAGATATCTGAAGATTTAAGCATGTGATTTTTTAGGTTGCCACACTATTTGGACCCATCTATTTCCAAGTTTTAAAAATCTTGGCTTTCAAAAAAATCTTGACTTTCATATATAAAACTTCACACACTTTTCTGATCAAAAAATAAATTTGTGTAGTTAAGCTGAATTTCTAGGGACATGATATAGCTGAAAAGTTTTATGCAGGTGGTCAGTATCTTAGGCAGAAGTTTTAGGTGTGACTTGACTTTGATGTTCCCAGATATTTTATGCTCTATCACAAAGGTTTAAAATCACCCAAGGTGGTATGATTTCAGAGTTGATTTTAATATCAAGTGCACCAAAAGCACCCAGAGAGAGCTAATGCTATACAACAACAACAGCACGAAAAGCCATTGGAATGGAACTGTGACAATTGCATGATTAATACAAATGCTGGAGGTTTGCCATCTGTAAATTTTCTACAACATTTAATCACTTTTCAAGTTAAATAAACTCAAACCATGTTTGAATTTTCTGATACTTGCACATATCAGAGTCACGCAGTTTGAATTTTTCTCAGAGCCCTTTTTGTCACAGCTGTACTCAGGATAACTTTGTCCATGGTTACATCCAATCATCCCTTGTTGTATGCCTTCCACTCTTTTGTCATGTAAACTGCTATGGTGTGAATGTTTGTGATCCTTCCAAAATTCATGTTGAAACTTAGTCATCAACGTGATAGTATTAAGAGATGGACCCTTCACAAGGTAATTAAGACATGAAGGTGGAACCCACATGAATGGGATTAGTAACGTTATAAAAGGGCTAGAGAGAATAAGCTAGACCCTCTTTTTGCCCTTTTCCATCCCTTCTGCCATCCGAGGGAAATGTTCAGTTTCTCTGGAGGACACAGAGTTCAAGGTGTTATCTTGGAAGCAGAGACTCCAGACACTGAACTCGTCAGCGCTTTGATCTTGGACATCCCAGTCTCCAGATCTTTGAGAAACAAATGTATGTTCTTTATAAATTACGTAGTCCTCAGATGTCTTTTCATAGCAGCAGGAATGCTAATACATTGACCCTTCTGTCATATCCTCAGGAGCCTCTCTTCCTCCAGGTGGGGGCTGTGCTCAGCTTCGGGTGCCATGAGACCTGGCAGACCCAACTCACTGCCCCTTCTCTAGGCAATTTGTCCCCCATTGTGCTAAAGGGCAGCTTCACCCAGCCTCTCCTGCTTGAAAGAAGCTGCTGCCTTTTCCACATCTGAGGGCTCACATAATAGGTGGCACTAATTCACCCAGTGGGAAGATTGAGAGAACAGCCTGGAGGGGAGGTTGATGAGAGGACACAGGAGCCTTCTGGCTTCATTTAACCTCTCAAAAATCAGGAGCAAATTTCTTCCTACTAGAAGCAATGCATTTGAGGTGACACTTTTAGATATGATAAGATTGTCTTTTGAATGTTAACACAACAACAGGTCATTGTTGAAGGCTTCCTAAAATAGAAAAGTTTGTATGTGTATGGTAGGGGATAATGAAAGAAATTCATATTATAATAAAAGTTAAAAGACAAATATGAATAATAGAGTCTTTACAAAGTTATTTGTTCTCATTAATATATCTAAGCATTAAAGATCTGAAATTATCAGGTTATTAGCACCCCAAGGGAAAGAATTATGCCTCAGGAAATTCAATTAATAAACAAGCCCCCTGGGTATATTTAGACTTTGTTAGAAATACACATACATATATTAGGTATCAAGTGCAGAATAAAGCAGACTGTCAGATCTAATTTATTATAAAAATGTACACTACTTTTGAAGAAAGGAAATTAAAACACACATATACACATTTGGAAGCTTGAAACCAGTGTTTTTTATTTGACGTTAAGTCTTTGATTGATATGTTTATCCTTTTATCATTTTCCCCTATCTTGCACCTTTTTAGCATTCCTTCTCTGACAGGGAACCAATTGCAGAATACATCGTCTTTTACTTAGTCATACAATCCAGAAATTTAGGAATTAGTCTAGACTTTAAGCCATCCTTCCTTCTTCCTTTCGTCAGTTACCAAAGCTTGCCTATTTTAGTTACAAACAGCTGTCAAATCCACCCATCACATCCTCGCCTCTGTTGCCTTTGTTCAGTTCTGTTTCAGTCTTTGTTCAGATGATCAACACAAATATTAAGTGAGCTCTTTGCTTTTAGTTTTGCTCCATTCAAGGTCAATGTCATTTACATGTGATAGCCAATTACTCTTCTAAAACAAAATGTGACTTTTTCCTATGCCTTAAGCCTTTAAATAGCTTCTTACTGGCACACAGAGATAACAAACTGCTGAGAATGGTGCAACATGGTTTGACCCCTCCAAGCTTTCCCATCTGATATGGTTTGGCTCTTTGTCCTCACCCAAATCTCATCTTGAATTGTACTCCCATAATTCCCATGCATTGTGGGAGGGACCTGGTGGGAGATAATTGAATCATGGGGCAATTTCCCCCATATTGTTCTCATGGTAGTGAATAAGTCTCACAAGATCTGATGGTTTAAAAAGGGAAAACCCATTTCACTTGGCTCTCATTCTCTCTTCTTTTTGCCTGCCGCCATCCATGTAAGACATGACTTGCTCCTCCTTGCCTTCTGCCATGATTGTGAGGCCTCCCTAGCCATGTGGAACTGTAAGTCCATTAAACTTCTTTTTCTTCCCAGTCTTGGGTATGTCTTTATCAGCAGTGTGAAAACAGGCTAACACAGTAAAATGGTACCAGCAGAATGGGGCATTGCTGAAAAGATACCCAAAAATGTGGAAGCAACTTTGGAACTGCATAACAGGCAGAGGTTGGAACAGTTTGGAGGGCTCAGAAGAAGACAGGAAATGCAGGAATGTTTAGAACTGTCTAGAGACTTGTTGAATGGCTTTGTCAAAAATTCTGATAGTGATGTAACAATAAGGTCCAGGCTGAGGTGGTCTCAGATGGAGATGAGGAACTTGTTGGGAGCTGGAGCAGAGGTAACTCTTGTTATGTTTTAGCAAAGAGACTGGTAGCATTTTGCCCCTGCCATGGAGATTTGTGGAACCTTGAACTTGAGGGAGATGATTTAGGGTATCTGGCGGAAGAAATTTCGAAGCAGCAAAACCTTTAAGAGGTGTCTTGGATGCTGTTAAAGGCAATCAGTTTTATAAGGGAAGCAGAGCATAAAAGTTTGGAAAGTTTGCAGCCTAACAATGCAGTAGTAAAGACAATCCCATTTTCTGAGGAGAAATTCAAGCAGGCTGCAGAAATTTGCATAAGTAACAAGCTGAATGTTAATCCTCAAGACAATGGGGAAAATATCTCCAGAGCTTGTCAGAGGTCTTCACAGCAGCCCCTCCCATCATGGGCTCGGAGGCCTAGGAAGAAAAAATGGTTTCATGTGTCAGGCCATGGGTCCCTGTGCTGGGTGCAGCCTAGGGACTTGGTGCCCTGTGTCTCAACCTCTCCAGCCGTGGCTGAAAGGGGCCAGTGTAGACCTTGGGCCATAGCTTCAGAGGGTGCAAGCCTCAAGCCTTGGCAGCTTCCACATGGTGTTGAGCCATCGAGTGCACAGAAGTCAAGAATTGAGGTTTGGTAACCTCCACCTAGATTTCAGAAGATATCTGGAAACGCCTGGATGCCCAGGAAGAAGTTTGCTGTAGGGGCAGGGTCCTCATGGAGAACTTCTGGTGGGGCAGTGCAGAAGAGAAATGTGGGGTGGGAGCCCCCACACAGAGTCCCTGCTGGGGCACCACCAAGTGGAGCTGTGAGAAGAGGGCCACCATCCTCCAGACCCCAGAATGATAGATCCATGGAGAGCTTGCACTATACACCTGGAAAAGCTGCAGACACTCAATGCCAGCCAGTGAAAGCACCCGGTAGGAAGACTATACCTTGCGAAGCCACAGGGGTGGAGCTGCCCAAGACCATGGGAATGCACCTCCTGCATCAGTGTGACCTGGATATGAGACATGGAGTCAAAGGAGATCATTTCGGACCTTTAAGATTTGACTGTGCTGCTAGATTTTGGACTTGCATGGGGCCTGTAGCCCCTTTGTTTTGGCCAGTTCCTCCCATTTGGAATGGCTGTATCTACCCAATGCCTGTACCCCCATCGTATCTAGGAAGTAACTAACTTGCTTTTGATTTTATAGGCTTATAGGCAGAAGGGACTTGCCTTGTCTCAGATGAGACTTTGGACTGTGGACTTTTGAGTTAATGCTGAAATGAATTAAGACTCTGGGTGATGGTTGGGAAGGCACGATTGGTTTTGAAATGTGAGGACATGAGATTTGGGAGGGGGTCTGGGGCAGAATGATATGGTATGGCTCTGTGTCCCCACCCAAATCTCATCTTGAATTGTTCTCTCATAATTCCCATGCATTGTGGGAGGGACTCAGTGGGAGATAATTGAATCATGGGGTGGTTTCCCCCATACCATTCTCATGATAGTGAACAAGTCTCATGAGATCTGATGGTTTGATAAGGGGAAACCCGTTTTGCTTGGCTCTCATTCTCTCTTCTCTTTGCCTACCACCATCCATTAAGACAAGACTTGCTCCTCCTTGCCTTCCACCATGATTGTGAGGCCTCCCTAGCTACGTGGAACTGTAAGTCCATTAAACTTCTTTTTCTTCCCAGTTTCAGGTATGTCTTTATCAACAGCATGAAAACAGGCTAACATACCATCTCGACTCTCATTACCACTCTCTTGTGGTATTTACTCACATCATGCTTGACTGATTTAAGTTGCCTATATGTATTTTATTCTCACTCAGATCTTGCTCCTTTACCTGGGTAGGTCCTACTCACTCTACCCATATGAAGCAATGTCTCCAGCAGGAGTTCTTCCCAGACTTCCTCCAGGCTGGGTTAGAATCCTCTCTTATAGCCTCCAAAAGCACTATGTGATTCTCTCTCTCATAGTAGTTGTCTTACTATAGCAGATCAATATACTTTCATTGGTAGAACCAGGTTAGGGTTAACATTTTATTTCTCTTTAAACCCCTGGATATAACACCAAGCCTGGCATATTGCAAAAACTCATTAACTTAGGGCTCTGCTCTAGCTGTTCACTCTGCCTTTATTGGTTTCCCCCAATAGCTGCATGGCTCCCCACTCAGTTCCTTCAAATCGTTGTGTATCTGTTACCTTCTCAATGAGACCAACCCTGACAGAGAGAAAGGGACCGATGTTATAAATCCAGTTGTAATCTAACCCCAAAGCTTAAACATATAAGGCAAACAAGAAAAAAACTATGTGATGTCACTGAGAAATATCTTTAAATGTACTAATAAAGTCTAATAGCAGAGCAAACGAGTAATTCAGTCTGAACTATAGAAATGCAAAAATATATTATCTTTAAAACATAATAAATAACATGATCTAATACAGTTTTCAAAATTCAATTATCTCAAGAGATTCCAGAAAAGTGGTTTAAATTTAACTCTAATTACATATAAAAATAATTAATAAATCATAAAATAATTAAATTAACCTGATGAAGATATTGGCACATCAATAGGCAATATCATACCTGAATGTAAAACATTAGCGATAATTTCAATAAAACCACAGTGAAGGCAAAGATATGAAATGTTGTTTATATATATATTATATATTTATAGATATATATATTATTTATATATGTAATATATATTATTATAATACATAATATATATTGTATATTATATTATATATTATAAATTATATATTATATATAATAATCATATATTATAGATATAATATATATTATATATAATAATATAATATATATTATATATTTATAGATCTAATATATATTATATATTTATAGATATAATATATATTATATATTTATAGATATAATACATATTATATATTTATAGATGTAATATATATTATATATTTATAGATATATATTATATATTTTATAGATATAGATATATATTATATATTTATATTTAAATCTATATATTATATATCATATAATATATATTATATATTATATAACAATTATATATTATACAGTATTATATATCTATAAATATATATATTTTATATATATTATATATATATATTATATATATATATATATAGTTAGAGACAGGATCTTGCTATGTTGCCCAAGCTGGAATGCAGTGGCCAGTCACCCATGATCATAGTGATCATAGTGAGCTACAGGTTTGTATTCCTGGGCTCAAGCAATCCTCCTGCCTTAGACTACCAAGTAGCTGGGACTATAGGTGCATGCCACCACACTTGGTTTCATTAATAGTTTTAATGTTCTGGCAATTATAACCAAAACAATAGATAATGTAATCAAAATAAAAATTATAATTGGAAGATAAAATATTAGGGACAATAATGTTGAATATATAACATTTATTGAGTCAATGGAGGGGTAAAAAATAAAGATTCAGAAACACATGTAAAAATAAAAAAAAATTCTCCTTAAATACCAAAAATAAATTGGTAGAAAATGTAATAGAAAATAATCACCTCAAAATAGCAACAAAATATAAAATAGTTAAAAATAATTGTAGCCAAATGTGTGCTAGACTTTTATGGAAAAAAAAAAACACTGTAAAAATATTAACAGAAATGTTAAAAAGTGAAGGGAGTACTATTTTTTGAAAGATCAAAAATTATGTGTCAATATTATTCTTAGAATGTTAATTATTTTTAAATGTATTTATATGACATCACTTAGAAGGTATTTTGAAACTTGAAATTATAATTCTAATTTTACTCCAGAAAAATTAGAGACAAATGAGAATGGCTCTGTTTAAAAAATGAACTCTTAAGGATTTATATTTAATAGGATATGGCCACTAAAGTATCTTAGAAAGTTTTAATAATGAAATGTCATAAGCATTGAGAGGAAAATTTACGAAACAAAATAATACCACTTAGATACAGTTGCTAATGTACACAAGAAGTTAATACACACTTAATAAGGTATATACATCAGCATGAAAGAGGTTTATTTAATAAATATTTTTCAGGGCCGGGCGCGGTGGCTCACGCCTGTAATCCTAGCACTTTGGGAGGCTGAGGCGGGTGGAGCACGAGGTCAGGAGATCAAGACCATCCTGGCTAAGGTGGTGAAACCCCGTCTCTACTAAAAATACGAAAAAAAAAAATTAGCCGGGCGTGGTAGCCGGCGCCTGTAGTCCCAGCTACTTGGGAGGCTGAGGCAGGAAAATAGCGTGAACCTGGGAGGCTGAGCTTGCAGTGGGCGGAGATCGCGCCACTGCACTCCAGCCTGAGCGACAGAGCGAGACTCCTCCGTCTCAAAAAAGAAAAGGAAATATTTTTTCAGAATATTGATTTTGATGCTAGTGAAAAAAAAGCAAAACAATTAAAATTGACAATACAACACAAAATTTAGATACTGACCTTATACCAAAATAAATTCCAAAAGTAATAAAAAGCAAAATATTTAAAATCAGTCATGAAAAGTATAATGTATATATGGCTATTTAATTTACCTCTACAGGATAAAGGATACAGTTAAGTTAAAAACAATAGAAAAAAATTAAAAAATAAAAATATCCTGATTTGAATATTAAAAAGTAAATAACTTATCAAAGAAGGCATAAAGTTAAAAATTAATAACAAAAATATATAGTAAATAAGCCACAGAAATACTTAACATAATAGAGAAAAAGCTCATATCAAACACAAAAATATGGTAAATTGAAATAAAAGTAATTTTGCAAATAGTGCCACAGAACTGCTAATAAAATACAGACTGGTTAATCTCAACGGTGATCAAAGAAATCTAAATTAAAATACAATTTTTGCTTATTAAATTAGTAAAGATGAAAACATTTTAAAATGCAGCTTCAGTAGGCCATCATTGAAATATGCACCCTCATACATAACTGAGAGTAGAAAATTATGTACTCTTTTGAAAAGCAAGTAAAATATCCCTACCCTCTAACTTGGTAATTTCCCTTTTAGAAAAATCTACCCTAAGGAAAGAATCTGACATATAGATAGAGATTTATCTGTTGTTTATAACAGTGAAAATTTAGCAATAGCCTAATTGTTTAACCTTGGGGAAATAGCTAAGAAAATTATGATGCATCCATATAATGGAATATTCTATACAGAGGTCACAAAGTCAAAATGAACAGAGACCAGTCAGTTAATATAAATGAGTAAAACAGGGAGATGAAAGAAAACCTTACAGACAAACCAATATTTGATCTACATTAGAAGCTGCCATTCAGCTCTAAATATCAATAAGTTTTTTGAGAGGATACAGGCGCCTTTTTCTATAATTCCCTATTTTCTTGCAGCAGCTGGAAATCTGGCTTAGTTAATGTTAAATCAATCAACTTTTACATTACTGGCAACTAATTTAAACTTTATGTCTATAAACAAAGCAAATCTGCCCGCCCAATGTAGTGCATGGAAGATTGCTTTAAATCTTTTGTTGCACAGCTATTAAAATTAATTTTCATGGAAATCTTATTTTGAAACATGGGGGATTGCCCATAATATAATAAACAGGAGATTTAAAATTTGAAGGCTGAAAACTGCCTCCAGACAAGAATAGTGTTTATTTTGTCATCGTTGCCTGCCCAATATCCAGCACAAAGTCTGATACAGAGCAAGCAGCTGCTCAGCAAACATTCAAATGACTGTTATCAGATGGAAATACTAAGTCAGCTATAAACAAAAAGGCATAAACTGACAGAAAATATATCAATATGCCAACATTAATTGCCTCTTGTTTTCCTTACTTGAAAGGAAAATATTAGATTCATTTTATTCATTAGTATTTCATTCATTCATTTCATAAATATTTATTGAGGACCCAGAATTTACTGGGGAATGTTCTCAATAATGGAGATATAGAAGTTAAAAAGAAACGACAAAAATAAATTCCTGCTAAATGAAACTGGTATTCTAATTAGGGACAACATGCAATAAACGATATAAATAAATTAACTGTATAGTATGTTTCATACGAAGTGAGAAGACATAAGAAGTAAATGCCTTAACATTTGTACTTGAGATTTGTTTTAATCAGGTGTGTTAAGACACAGAGACATGAGGTGATTCCCATAGAGGAAGAAGTTTCTGCTCACAGATACTAAAAACAGGAGACACAGTACACCATGCTGGGCTACATGGAAGGGCACCAAGGGAAGTCAGTGGGCAGAAGGGATGAGAGAAAGTCATAAGCTACAACCTTTATTGGGGTTTCAGAGGGAAAGGTGAGGTAGGGCAGGGCAAACACCTTTGGACTGCCTAGTTTGTATAATGCAGGTGGGCTTTGCGGCATAAAGTCTGTCCCTAGCTGACTTGGACCTGACCCTAGGTTGATTGAGGGGAGAGGAAACACTGGCCTAGGTACGTAAGAGCTTGATAAAGGAGATGGTTAGGGCTGTGGGCTCTGGAATGGTTACTTTGTGCATGAAAGATGCACTCCCTGACAAGCCTTTTGCTATCCCTTAGAATTGGCTACCTTTGGGAGGGCAGTCGCTCCCTGATTAGTGACAATAGAAATGCCAGAACACCAAGAATAAAGAAAATAAGTAAAATTAAGACAGTAAAATATAGCAAAGAAAGGGGATAGAGAATGTTGGAGTGAGTGGGCTGGAATTTTAAGCAGGAATGCCAGGATAGGCCTCACTGAGAAGATGAAAAATTGTGTGAAGATCTGAAGTGGGAGAGGGAGTGACCCATTTGCATATCAAAGAAAGTTCTTTCCAGGCAGAAGGAACTGCAAGTGCAAAGGCATTGATGTGGGAATGTGTCTGGCCATTTGGAGGAATAGCAAGTAGGACAGAATGACTTGACCTGCATGAGTGCATGAGGGAAGTTGAAGGAAATAAGTCAGAGATATAATGGGGTGAGGCACAGAGGGGAGAAGAGTGAGCAAGTACTGTAGGCTGTTGTAACCCATTTTAAGGATTTTGACTTTTAGCTAACTGAATCCACAAATGTGCTTATATGTAATAAAAAATGGCCAAGTATGGTTTATCCCAGGAACATGAAGATGATAAAAGGTAGAAAATACATTAACAATTTACTGCATTAATAGACCAAAAGGAAAAAAAAAGTTATTTCATTTGATTCAGAAAAAAAGCACTTGATGGATTTTAGTACATATTTAAAACCTTAAAAAAAAGTCCTAGGAAACTATAATTAGAAGGAAACATTCTTCACTTTATAGAGGTCATGTACCAAAAATTTATAGTACACTACCCCTAGCAAAAGACGTTAAGTACATTCCCTTTAAAATTGAGAATGAGATTAGTATGCTTATTCTCACTATTAATGCTTAACATGGTCCTGGAAGTCCTGGCCAAGTGTGTAACAAAAGAAAAAGAGAAAGGAAAGTAGTAAAATTTTAAATAGAAGAAATAAAATTGTCATTATTTATGGAAGTATTATCTGCCTTAAAACATTAAAAAAGAATTATTAAATTATTAAATCTAATAAGAAAGTTCAGTAAAATTGTCATGAACAAGATTAAAAAAACAAATTACTTAAATGGAGAACTTGAAACAATACTTATATGGAGAATGTTTTAAATATCTAATAAGGCTACAAGAATACAATGGGAATCACTGGGGAGATGGTCATTATTACCCTTGGCTAAGACAACCTAATATTATAAAAATGTCAATTATATTTAAATTAACCTGTAAATTCAGTGCAATACCAAACATTTATTTCTATTTTGTTCATGACTTAATATATTTATTTTAAAATTTACATGGCTGAATAAATATCCACCATCCACCATCACTACATTAATTTTAATTTAAAAAGAGAGAAAAGAGAAATGATTTTCTTGACTGGATATTAAGATATATATTAAAAACAGTGTGGTATTGATGGGGGAAAAAAAGGCAAACTGGCCATTGAAAAGAATGAAAATGTAAAAGGCAGATATATATGGTTATGAAAATTTAATATACAATAAAGATGGCACCACCAAATCAATGAGGAAAGTATAGATTACATGAGTCCATTTTCACACTGCTATAAAGAAAATACCCGAGACTTGGTAATTTATAAACAAAGGAGGTTTAATTGATTCACATTCATTGTCTCAGGGGTGGCTCAGGAAGCTTGCAATCATGACAGAAGGGGAAACAGGAATATCTTACATAGTGGCAGGCAAGAGAGAGCTTGTGAGAGCAAGAAAAACTGCCTTATAAAACCATCAGATCTTGCGAGAATTCGCTCTCACTCTCACTCTCATGAGAATAGCATGAGGGAACTGCTCCCATGATCCAGTCACCTCCCACCAGTCCCTTCCTCGACACACAGGGATTATGGGGATTACAATTTGTGATGAGATTCGGATGGGATCACAGGGTCTAACCACATCATATTACTTGGGAAAACTCCCACAAAATCAAGAAAAAATTAAACTTTTCCCTACATATCACTATATATAAAAGGAGATCACAGGTAATTAAATACCTAAATGTGAAAAATAAATCTATAAGCTTCATGGAGGAAAATAAAAATGTAATTGTAAACTACAGGGAAGTAGTAATTCTTAAACATAACTTCAAATGTACAAACCATGGAGCACAAAAATATATGAATTATACAAAAATTAAGAATTTCTTTTCAGAAACTGATATCTTGGATAAAGTTTATAAGTGACAGAAGGTGAGAAATAATTTGCAGTTGTTTAAAACCACCAAGAAATTAATATCTAGAATATAAAATGAACTCTTAGAAAATCATAAAAAGACAGAAAAACCAAGAGAAAAATGGGCAATGGTTGTGAATAAACAGTTTAACAAAAAGGAAATCAAAAATTAAGCATATGAAGTCATATTTTAAATAATTGCTAATCAGAAAATGAAAGTTAAACCACAATGAGATATTGCTTTACATCATTAGCCTGACAAATTAGAAAGCTGAATAATGCTGCGCATTGGTGAGAATATGGACTTCTTGCACACTGCTGGGAATGTAGACTGTTGCAGCCATTACGGAGTGTGGTCTGTCATCAGTAAGGCAATTAAGAAAATGCATATTCACTCTATCATCTAGAAATTTCACTCCTTAACATATATTATAGAAATTAGTGCTAGTCATCAAATATTTCTGTCTCTCAACCTCCTAGGCGCATGATAAGATTGCACTGATTTGCTCTTCCACCTTTGAAGATAGATGTGGCCATGTGATTTACTTTGGCCGATGAAATGTGAATGGAGATATGTTTTCTTGCTACTGCTGCAGTGATAATGGAAACAATATGTTAAGATGGAGTCTCTATCAACCTGGGTCCTAGGGTGGCTATAATGAGCATATTCTCTATGTTAGTTAAGACCTATCTTGGATCTCCAGAATGAGTGAAAAATAAACTTTTGTTGTGTTAAGCCACTGAAATTACGAGATTGTTTGTTCCTGTAGCACAATTTGTAACTGATACAGTATTCCAAGGAATTTTTTAAAATAGGCACATCTTATGACCTGAATATGTATCTCCTCCAAATTCAAATCTCAAAGCCCTGCCCCTCATTGTGGTTATATTTGGGGATAGGGCTTTTGGTGGGATTTCTATCTCTCTCAATATATGCACAGAGGAAGGGACATAGGAGGACAGGGTTAGAAGGTGGCCATTTACAAGTCAGGAAGAGATCCCTCACCAGGAACCAAACTGGCTAGCATCTTCATCTTGGTGTTTTAGCCTCTGGAACTGTGAGGGAAAAAAAAAAAGTATCTGTTGTTTAAACGATCCACTCTGTGCTATTTTGTTATGGCAGACCTAGCTAACTAATACAGTGCATAAGGTGATATGTATAAGGGTTGCTTTTTTTTTTTTTTTTTAAGCTTTTTAGTAGTTGTGGGGAGCTGGAAGCAATCTGATCCTCTGTTATTGACTAAATTATGACCCTGCCCCCAAATTAGTATATGTGAAGTTCTTTTTTTTTTTATTATTATACTTTAAGTTTTAGAGTACATGTGCACAACGTGCAGGTTTGTTACATATGTATACATGTGCCATGTTGGTGTGCTGCACCCATTAACTCATCATTTAGCATTAGGTATATCTCCTAATGCTATCCCTCCCCCCTCCCCCCACCCCACAACAGTACCCGGTGTGTGATGTTCCCCTCCCTGTGTCCATGTGTTCTCATTGTTGAATTCCCACCTATGAGTGAGAACATGCGGTGTTTGGTTTTTCGTCTTTGCAATAGTTTGCTGAGAATGATGGTTTCCAGCTTCATCCATGTCCTTACAAAGGACATGAACTCATCATTTTTTATGGCTGCATAGTATTCCATGGTGTATATGTGCCACATTTTCTTAATCCAGTCTATCATTGTTGGACATTTGGGTTGTTTCCAAGTCTTTGCTATTGTGAATAGTGCTGCAATAAACATATGTGTGCATGTGTCTTTATAGCAGCATGATTTATAATCCTTTGGGTATATACCCAGTAATGGGATGGCTGGGTCAAATGGTATTTCTAGTTCTAGATCCCTGAGGAATCGCCACAACAACTTCCACAATGGTTGAACTAGATTACAGTCCCACCAACAGTGTAAAAGTGTTCCTATTTCTCCACATCCACTCCAGCACCTGTTGTTTCCTGACTTCTTTATGATCGCCATTCTAACTGGTGTGAGATGGTATCTCATTGTGGTTTTGATTTGCATTTCTCTGATGGCCAGTGATGATGAGCATTTTTTCATGTGTCTTGTGGCTGCATAAATGTCTTCTTTTGAGAAGTGTCTGTTCATATCCTTTGCCCACTTTTTGATGGGGTTGTTTGTTTTTTACCTGTAAATTTGTTTGAGTTCATTGTAGATTCTGGATATTAGCCCTTTGTCAGATGAGTAGGTTGCAAAAATTTTCTCCCATTCTATAGGTTGCCTGTTCACTCTGATGGTGGTTTCTTTTGCTGTGCAGAAGCTCTTTAGTTTAATTAGATCCCATTTGTCAATTTTGGCTTTTGTTGCCATTGCTTTTGGTGTTTTAGACATGAAGTCCTTGCCCATGCCTATGTCCTGAATGGTATTGCCTAGGTTTTCTTCTAGGGTTTTTATGGTTTTATGTCTAACATTTAAGTCTTTAATCCATCTTGAATTAATTTTTGTATAAGGTATAAGGAAGGGATCCAGTTTCAGCTTTCCACATATGGCTAGCCAGTTTTCCCAGCACCATTTATTAAATAGGGACTCCTTTCCCCATTGCTTGTTTTTGTCAGGTTTGTCAAAGATTAGATAGTTGTAGATATGCAGCATTATTTCTGAGGGCTCTGTTCTGTTCCATTGGTCTATATCTCTGTTTTGGTACCAGTACCATGCTGTTTTGGTTACTGTAGCCTTGTAGTATAGTTTGAAGTCAGGTAGCGTGATGCCTCCAGCTTTGTTCTTTTGGCTTAGGATTGACTTGGCGATGCGGGCTCTTTTTTGGTCCCATATGAACTTTAAAGTAGTTTTTTCCAGTTTTGTGAAGAAAGTCATTGGTAGCTTGATGGGGATGGCATTGAATCTATAAATTACCTTGGGCAGTATGGCCATTTTCACGATATTGATTCTTCCTACCCATGAGCATGGAATGTTCTTCCATTTGTTTGTATCCTCTTTTATTTCATTGAGCAGTGGTTTGTAGTTCTCCTTGAAGAGGTCCTTCACATCCCTTGTAAGTTGGATTCCTAGGTATTTTATTCTCTTTGAAGCAGTTGTGAATGGGAGTTCACTCATGATTTGGCTCTCTGTTTGTCTGTTGTTGGTGTATAAGAATGTTTGTGATTTTTGCACATTGATTTTGTATCTTGAGATTTTGCTGAAGTTGCTTATCAGCTTAAGGAGATTTTGGGCTGAGACGATGGGGTTTTCTAGATATACAATCATGTCATCTGCAAACAGGGACAATTTGACTTCCTCTTTTCCTAACTGAATGTCCTTTATTTCCTTCTCCTGCCTGATTGCCCTGGCCAGAACTTCCAACACTATGTTGAATAGGAGTGGTGAGAGAGGGCATCCCTGTCTTGTGCCAGTTTTCAAAGGGAATGCTTCCATTTTTTGTCCATTCAGTATGATATTGGCTGTGGGTTTGTCATAGATAGCTCTTATTATTTTGAGTTAGGTCCCGTTGATACCTAATTTATTGAGAGTTTTTAGCATGAAAGGTTTTTGAATTTTGTCAAAGGCTTTTTCTGCTTCTATTGAGATAATCCTGTGGTTTTTGTCTTTGGTTCTGTTTACATGTTGGATTACGTTTATTGATTTTCATATGTTGAACCAGCCTTGCATCCCAGGGATGAAGCCCACTTGATCATGGTGGATAAGCTTTTTGATGTGTTGCTGGATTCGGTTTGCCAATATTTTATTGAGGATTTTTGCATCGATGTTCATCAAGGATATTGGTCTAAAATTCTCTTTTTTGGTTGTGTCTCTGCCAGGCTTTGGTATCAGGATGATGCTGGCCTCATAAAATGAGTTAGGGAGGATTCCCTCTTTTTCTATTGATTGGAATAGTTTCAGAAGGAATGGTCCCAGCTCCTCCTTGTACCTGTGGTAGAATTCAGCTGTGAATCCATCTGGTCCTGGACTTTTTTTGGTTGGTAAGCTATTGATTATTGCCTCAATTTCAGAGCCTGTTATTGGTCTATTCAGAGATTCAACTTCTTCTTGGTTTAGTCTTGGGAGAGTGTATGTGTCGAGGAATGTATCCATTTCTTCGAGATTTTCTAGTTTATTTGCATAGAGGTGTTTATAGTATTCTCTGATGGTAGTGTGTATTCCTGTGGGATCAGTGGTGATATCCCCTTTGTCATTTTTTATTGCATCTATTTGATTCTTCTCTCTTTTCTTCTTTATTAGTCTTGCTAGCAGTCTTTCAATTTTGTTGATCTTTTCAAAAAACCAGCTCCTGGATTCATTGATTTTTTGAAGGGTTTTTTGTGTCTCTATCTCCTTCAGTTCTGCTCTGGTCTTAGTTATTTCTTGCCTTCTGCTAGCTTTTGAATGCGTTTGCTCTTGCTTCTCTAGTTCTTTTAATTGTGATGTTAGGGTGTCAATTTTAGATCTTTCCTGCTTTCTCTTGTGGGCATTTAGTGCTATAAATTTCCCTCTACACACTGCTTTGAATGTGTCCCAGAGATTCTGGTATGTTGTGTCTTTGTTCTCATTGGTTTGAAAGAACATCTTTATTTCTGCCTTCATTCCGTTATGTACCCAGTAGTCATTCAGGAGCAGGTTGTTCAATTTCCATGTAGTTGAGCCGTTTTGAGTGAGTTTCTTAATCCTGAGTTCTAGTTTGATTGCACTGGGGTCTGAGAGAGAGCCTGTTATAATTTCCGTTCTTTTACATTTGCTGAGGAGTGCTTTACTTCCAACATGTGGTCAATTTTGGAATGGGTGTGGTGTGGTGCTGAAAAGAATATATATTCTGTTGATTTGGGGTGGAGAGTTCTGTAGATGTCTATTAGGTCCACTTGGTGCAGAGCTGAGTTCAATTCCTGGATATTCTTGTTACCTTTCTGTCTCGTTGATCTGTCTAATGTTGACAGTGGGGTGTTAAAGTCTCCCATTATTGTGTGGGAGTCTAAGTCACTTTGTAGGTCACTAAGGACTTGCTTTATAAATCTGGGTGCTCCTGTATTGTGTGCATATATATTTAGGATAGTTAGTTCTTCTTGTTGAATTGATCTCTTTACTGTTATGTAATGGCCTTCTTTGTCTCTTTTGATCTTTGTTGGTTTAAAGTCTGTTTTATCCGAGACTAGGATTGCAACCCCTGCCTTTTTTGTTTTCCATTTGCTTGGTAGATCTTCCTCCATCCCTTTATTTTGAGCCTATGTGTGTCTCTGCACGTGAGATGGGTTTCCTCAATACAGCACACTGATGGGCCTTGACTCTTTATCCAATTTGCCAGTCTGTGTCTTTTAATTGGAGCATTTAGCCCATTTACATTTAAGGTTAGTATTGTTACGTGTGAATTTGATCCTGTCATTATGATGTTAGCTGGTTATTTTGCTCGTTAGTTGATGCAGTTTCTTCCTAGCCTTGATGGTCTTTACAATTTGGCATGTTTTTGCAGTGGCTGGTACCAGTTGTTCCTTTCCAGGTGTAGTGCTTCCTTCAGGAGCTCTTTTAGGGCAGGCCTGGTGGTGACAAAATCTCTCAGCATTTGCTTGTCTGTAAAGGATTTTATTTCTCCTTCACTTATGAAGCTTAGTTTGGCTGCATATGAAATTCTGGGTTGAAAATTCTTTTCTTTAAGAATGTTGAATATTGACCCCCACTCTCTTCTGGCTTGTAGAGTTTCTGCCAAGAGATCCGCTGTTAGTCTGATGGGCTTCCCTTTGTGGGTAACTTGACCTTTCTCTCTGGCTGCCCTTAACATTTGTTCCTTCATTTCAACTTTGGTGAATCTGACAATTATGTGTCTTGGAGTTGCTCTTCTTGAGGAGTATCTTTGTGGCATTCTCTGTATTTCCTGAATTTGAATGTTGGCCTGCCTTGCTAGATTGGGGAAGTTCTCCTGGATAATATCCTGCAGAGTGTTTTCCCACTTGGTTCCATTCTCCTTGTCACTTTCAGGTACACCAATCAGATGTAGATTTGGTCTTTTCACATAGTTCCATATTTCTTGGAGGCTTTGTTCGTTTCTTTTTATTCTTTTTTCTCTAAGCTTCTCTTCACACTTCATTTCATTCATTTCGTCTTCCATCGCTGATACCCTTTCTTCCAGTTGATCGCATCAGCTCCTGAGGCTTGTGCATTCGTCACGTAGTTCTTGTGCCGTGGTTTTCAGCTCCATCAGGTCCTTTAGGGACTTCTCTGCATTGGTTATTCTAGTTATCCATTTGTCTAATTTTTTTTCAGAGTTTTTAACTTCTTTGCCATTGGTTCAAATTTCCTCCTGTAGCTCGGAGTAGTTTGATCTTCTGAAGCCTTCCTCTCTCAACTCATCAAAGTCATTCTCCGTCCAGCTTTGTTCCGTTGCTGGTGAGGAGCTGTGTTCCTTTGGAGGAGGAGAGGTGCTCAGATTTTTAGAGTTTCCAGTTTTTCTGCTCTGTTTTTTCCTCATCTTTGTGGTTTTATCTACCTTTGGTCTTTGATGATGGTGACATACAGATGGGTTTTTGGTGTGGATGTCCTTTCTGTTTGTTAGTTTTTCTTCTAACAGTCAGGACCCTCAGCTGCAGGTCTGTTGGAGTTTACTGGAGGTCCACTCCAGCCCTGTTTGCCTGGGTATCAACAGCGGTGGCTGCAGAACAGCGGATATTGGTGAACCGCAAATGCTGCTGCCTGATCATTCCTCTGGAAGTTTTGTCTCAGAGGAGTACCTGGCCATGTGAGGTGTCAGTGTGCCCCTACTGGGGGGCGCTTCCCAGTTAGGCTACTCGGGGGTCAGGGACCCACTTGAGGAGGCAGTCTGCACATTCTCAGATCTCCAGCTGCATGCTGGGAGAACCACTACTCTCTTCAAAGCTATCAGACAATCCATCTTACTTGCTGTTGGCCATCTGCAACCCAAGGGAAAATCCTTTCCCAGACATCAACCTTTCTGCCATCTTGATTTTGAACTTCCAGCCTCCAGAATTGTGAGAAATAAATTTCTGTTCTTTAAGCTGCCCCATCTGTGATATTTTGGTTATAGAACCATAAGTAGATAAATATAACCTCCATCCTTGGGAGAACAGGCAGGTAAAATCTGGTGGCTGCAAAATCCCAATAAGTCTGCAGAGGTTATTGCTGTCTTTTGTTTGTCTGTGCTCTGCCCCCAGAGGTGGAGCCTACAGAGGCAGGCAGCCCTCCTTGAGCTGTGGTGGGCTCCACCCAGTTCGAGCTTCCTGGCCGCTTTGTTTACCTACTGAAGCCTGAGCAATGGCGGGAGCCCCTCCCCCAGCCTCACTGCTGCCTTGCAGTTTGATCTCAGACTGCTGTGCTAGCAATGCGTGAGGCTGCGTGGGCGTAGGACCCTCCAAGCCAGGTGTGGGATATAATCTCCTGGTGTGCCATTTGATACACCCGTTGGAAAAGCACAGTATTAGTGTGGGAGTGACCCGATTTTCCAGGTGCCGTCTGTCACCCCTTTCTTTGACTAGGAAAGGGAATTCCCTGACCCCTTGCCCTTCCCGGGTGAGGCGATGCCTTGCCCTGCTTCAGCTCATGCGCGGTGCCCTGCACGAACTGTCCGGCACTCCCCAGTGAGATGAACCTGGTACCTCAGTTGGAAATGCAGAAATCACCTGTCTTCTGCGTCACTCACACTGGGAGCTGTAGACTGGAGCTGTTCCTATTTGGCCATCTTGGCTCCACCCTAGTATATTTGAAGTTCTAACCCCCAGTACTGTAGAACATGACTGTATTTGGACATAGGGCCTTTAAAAAGGTGAGTAAGGTTAAATGAGGTCATAGGACGGGCTCCTAATCCAATAGTATTGGTGACCTTATCAAAAGAGACACCAGCTAGTTCTTTCTCACTCTGTGTGCAAGCACCAAGGAAAGGCCATGTGAGTACACAGCAAGAAGGTGGCCATCTACAACCCAAGGGAAAATCCTTTCCCAGACATCAACCTTTCTGCCATCTTGATTTTGAACTTCCAGCCTCCAGAACTGTGAGAAATAAATTTCTGTTGTTTAAGCTGCCCCATCTGTGATATTTTGGTTATAGAACCATGAGTAGATAAATATAACCTCCATCCTTGGGAGAACAGGCAGGTAAATTCTGGTGGCTGCAAAATCCCAAGTACTAATCCATCTTACTTAGGGAGTTTTTCTTGGCTATGCTATAACCATTAGATTCTCCTGGGAGTATCAGGTTTTCTTGTTATTTGTACCACCAACCCTGACTCCAACCATATCAAAATTCTTTCCCTGGAATTTTTTTTTTAATTAGGACTTAGAGATGACATAAATCAGCACAGCTCTGGTACTGGTCTAAAAGGAAGGAGAATAAAAAAATTGGAATTAAAAAAAAATCAAAGATGAGAGGCAGAAAGAAAGTTTTGCTGGTATTTAATTTCTTAGTTCCAGATGTGTCTGAGATCGGTTACATTTTGCTCCCCCTGCAGCTTGATTTTTAAGCCAAATATTAATACATCTCCTCCTTGAGAATCAGGCATATAAAATTGACTTTCTTTTATTTGGAATTAAAATAATATAAATCTCAAACAAGACTTCAAGTTTTCTAGATTCTTCACGTCTAAAAGTTTTAAGAACACAACTTAAGAATTAGAGAACCCCAGCTGGTTCTCAGCACACAGAAGTTATTCTGCAAGGAACAAATATACCTATAGTTGGAAAAGCTGCTATAAAAAATGAGACTTTTATCTCTGACTTTAGAATCAGCACAGTAATGGAAACACTTTAGAAACTCTAAAGCATTTTATAGTTGCATTGTGCAGGATAATTCTTCGGTTTACCTGTCAACTACAGTAAGCCACTGAAATGCAAGTTTCCTCTAGTGCTATTAAGTTGCCCCATACAATTCATAAGGTATGCTGTGGTATAATCTACCCGGACATAAGGGAAAAAAAGTATCTCTCTCTCAAACAAAGATAACACTTTCCAGGAGGGAGGGAGGGTGGTGACATGGTCAGGCTGAAAGCTGAGACATGATCACATGAAGTTGCCTGTACAGGAAACACCTAAGACGTGCTGCAGTGCCCTGACCCTGACTTCAGACTTTAGATGGTCATTCTAGAAATCTCTGAGTGACATTTTGAAAATATGGCTGTAGTATTTCATTCTCTTCTAAGTTCTTGACCATTCTTTTCTCTACCAAAGAGCAGACTTTATGCATCCTGCTGAGCCACTAGAATATTTCTAAGACAGTAGTTCTGGAGGTTAACTTTTCTAGATACAAATTGGATAATAAAGAAACTCATTATCCTTAGTCTCAACTCACATGAAATCCTGAGGGTCCATCCTGAGCCATCTGAAGGTTCAGATATGTCAGTGTTGATTTCACCTTTTGATTTAAACAGTACCTTATCCCATTCCTACAGTGAAATAGCTAAAATCTGCTATAGTAATGAAATGAATTGTTTTCATGCCACTCATCATATATACTATTCAGTGCCGACAATAATTATGCCTCACAAGTTTTTCCTTAGAATCTCAGAACTCAATAAAAACAGTCATTTAGTACTTAATGAGTAGATAGCACCTAATTAGTTTTAGTATCTCGAATGCTTCAGAGGAAAGGCAGCTTATTAGTAGGAATTTCTAAACATATATTAAGCCTTCTAATGCCCCTGTAAGTGCTATAAACATTTTAACATTTTAGTACAAATGCTGAGAGAGTCAGTTACTTGCCATACCACCAGACATAAGTTAGTAAAGATGAGAGTGAATTCTAATTTTCAATCCATTTCTTTCCCTGCAGAACTCAACAGAGTTCCTTTTAATGGCGGACAATATAGCACAATGCAACTTCTAGGGTTGTTATGTGATTTGCTTCTGATGCAATGCCTTTTATTTTGTGTCCCTGGTGCAGTTCTTCTATCATTACAATGGAAAATATGACAGCTCAATGCAGAAATGTGTTCAATCTAAAGTAAAACACATGCAGAAGCATCAGGACTCAATTCAAAATTCTGTTAATAAACATCACTGACAGAGTATCTTAGCTTAGTTAGCAAGTCAGACTTCTGTGACATTAAGGTATGTGCAAATCTGAAAAAGCCTTCAGCATTTCCACACAAGTCTGCAAGATTTAGGATTGCAGCAGGCTGAATTTTTCTGAAGGCATTTCCCAGGTATAATAACAGGCTGGCACATTCAAAGCACATTTTTCTAGGCAGGTATTTACTTAATTGCTATTTAATGCACCTTCAGACATAAAGTTCCCTTGAGTCAAAATGAAATTACTCAATAGCCACAGACCAATCCATGAGACTTATTCCCAAAATATAACCCAAACACAGCACCTCTTGTCACTAAGAGAAGTTTAGAGAGATGGGAAAAAAACAAGTGGCTAGCCCTTCTCTTTCTCTTCTGTTAAATAACATTACTTTCATGACCTGGTTTCTTGAGATTCATCTAATGGGGACCTCACAACCAATGCTATCAGCCAATTTCTGCATACTCAAAGAACACACCAACTATGCTCTCTTACAGTATTGTGACTCCAGTTGAGCTTTTTTATAGATTATGAAATATTTAAATCAAAGAGGTATGAGGAATAATATAGTCACCATGCTGCTTCACAAAGAAAATGCTAATACAGTTAAAGTCCTGTGTGTATTTCTGTACCATTTCTTCCCCAACACCTTTCTCCCAGGAATAACCACTATATTAAAATTGGCATTTTATTGTTTCTCTGTGTTTATTATTTGAGATTCATTCATACAGATATGGATTTTATTAATTTCACTGCAGTACTGCATTCCACTGCATTAAGATACCATATTTTATTTATTCAATGTTCTATTGATGGACATTGGAATTATTCCCATTAGGAGCTATTAAGAACAATGCTGCAAAATGCCTACATGTACATGTCTGCTCAGATATATGAGCAAGAGTTGCTTTACGGTATATAATATCTAGGTTATGCACAGTCTGCTACTCCCTCAAAAGGTTGTACCAAGAGCCTCTGTACTTAAAAGCCTGTTTTAAGTGATATTTACAGAGTAATAAAATGTTTAATTTTCTAATAAACTTAGTATCTTCAAGCGTTTTAATTTTGCCAGCACTCATAAAATGGAGTAGCTTTTCATGTTTATTGACCATTGTCTTCCCTTTGTAAATAGTCATTCACCTCTTTTCATTTTTCTTTTTATTATTGATTTATAAGCATTATTTACATATTATAGATTCTAAAAATATATAGTCCTGATTGGAACATGAATATGGAGGGCTTTAATAGGGAAATTGCCCCCACAGTGTATTTAATTAAATATCTAAAGTGGTTTTATGTAGTGAAAAGAATGTTTGTGTTTTTTTTTAAGATATAAATTCATGATAGATATATAGTAAACGAAGTAAATGCCAGGAAAAAGAAAAACTTGAGCAAGAACATAATCAGTGTACTTAAGAACCTCAGTTTTAAGTAATTATAGCATAATAAAATGTAAATATCATGCATTTAACCAAAAAGAGTGACATAATTTTATTGTCAAGTAGGTTTGTGTGGGGAAATAGGATGTAATAAAACTAAATTCTCATTTTATATAGCAGGAAGTCAGTAGATAATAGATACAATTTTTAAAAAAGTGAATTGCATGCTACTTAAAAATATGGAGAAAAACACATCAATAATAAGTTACTAAAATACTTGAAAGCATTTGCCTCTAAGGAGTAGAATAAAAATAGGCAGGAATGAGACAGGGAACGGTTGGTTTTCAGTACAAATGCTGTATTAATAATCAACTTTTAAAAGTTATACATGTATTACTTTGATATAAACATTAAATTTACAATTTTAGCTATACCTATCTATGAAATTTAGAATTTTAGGTATATCTATCTATAGGCATATAAATAGATTACAAACACAAACATAAAAATAACATAGGAACCCATGAACCAAATGTTTAATAGTGTTTACATGGGGTCTCAAGGTTGTAATTGACTTTTATTTTCTAGTTAATACTTTTCTGAGTTCTCCAATATTTCTAAAATACGCATATATTTATTTCTTAGCACAATATTGGTGCTATTAATTTTTAAAGTGAAAGGAAATAATTAAAAAGAACAAGATTATCCTTCAAAGGGTGTAGGAAATGGACTTCAAATGATGGGAGGGGAGGCCAAAAGCAAAGAACAATTAGGAAACCATGAAGGCCTGAACTAGAGAGTGTCCATGCTAAAAAGTTCAAATTAACATGTTTTGGTAAGAAACTTAACTTAATGTGGGAAAAGTTTGAAGCATAAATTTTGAGAGCCTTTAAATTCTCTGGTTTGGGCAAACTGGTGTTCCCATTCACTGAGATAGGAAATTTGTCTTGTAGAGCAAATTGAGTTCCATTTTAGAGATACTAAATCCTTTATTATGCTGCAATAGTTGGAGTGGTCTAACTGCTGTAACTAACAACTGCAATTCTCAGTGGCCTAACAAAACTTGACTCTTCTTTCCAGCAAAATCTGGTGCAAATGTTTCTGGCTGGTGAACCTGTGAAACTATCATCTTTTAATGCTGTCGGGGAAGAGAAAGAGCTCGGGTGATCGCACAGACCATGATACGGATGATACACAGAAGTGATCTGTGTTGATTCTAACCACATCCCATTAGCCCTATGTCTATCATACAGCCTGCATAACTGCAAGGAAGGTTGGCAAATGTCTAGTAAAACACAAATATGAAGCAAAGGTTTAGGTGGACACATAGCATTTTCTCCACTCCAGACCTCCTGGTGGGGAAATTCAGGAGACAGAAATGTCCAGCTGAATTAGAAATCTGAACGAGAGAAAACGTTCAATAATGTCATTACTTAAATGGTAGTTGAAGTCAGGATTAGGTGATTTAGGGGGCGCATAGACTAAGAAAGAATTGGCATGGAACCCAAGAGAATGTGTAAACATATGCAAAGGAGGAAGGAAGAGGCAGAGAGGAAACAACCAGAGACAGAAAGTTAAATCAGATGAGAGAATCAGTGAAGGAAGAAACTCTATGATGCCAGATGTTAGAGAAAGGCAAATCGAATTTGGACAGGAAAACTTTTCTATGTTGATCTTGGCAACTAGAAAGTCATTGGTAGCTTTCACATACAAGGATTAAGTAGGTTTGGAAGCAGGAATCAATCTCTGGGGGTTGTGGAGAAAGTGGGAAATGAGAAGTATGAATGAATAACAAACATCTCTTTCAAATCCTTAAATACTTTGAAGGGAAGGAGGGCCAGAGAGCAATTAGAAGAGTAGGGATGAATGGGTGATGGAGAACTCCATATATTTTCTTAGTAACCATTTCGTTTCCTATTTATATGAGTCAGAAACACTTAATTACCAAATAGATTCTGATCAATGTAAGCACACTGGTTTTCTGTAATTCCAGTGCAAAAGAATATACTGCTTTACTCAGACTGAATGCCCATACCAAGAGTTTTGAATTATCAATTACAACTTGCCAATTCTATTTACTATTTACGTTAATCTGGGGCCCCAGTGTGAGAGGCCATGTTCCCCATTAAATCGCTCAAACATGTAGCAGGCAGGAATTCTCATAAAATTAAATTTTGTAAGGGGAGGATTTAGATTTTGTAGAAAATGTAAAATAGTGTAGCATTGGGCAGGATTAGAATAAGAAAAACATGATATTGTGGGAAAGGGGAGGGGAGCCAGAAGAAAAATTATGTTTGCTAACAAAGTAATTAAATGCTCTGTGGAATATCCATTTAGTTATATATTTAAATGGTTTAATAATTTTTTAAAATTATAAAATATTTATTTTTCTTATATTCCTTTGTTTCAGTTTTTTTGGTAGCAACATTTAACATTCGGACTTACTCTCTTAACAAATTTTAGTAATTTGTTAATTGCTATATAAAAATAGAAACAATTAGGGTAACTATCCAGAGTCTCCGGGAAGGTGGGAGGGCGCTTTCAGGATTTCGATGACCACTCAGCCTCAAAGCTGTGTTGTCTGTGAGATAGCATTAGATACAAGATCATGTTGTTATCCAAAGTGATTGTGGAAAATATATTAAACTAGGGGAGAGGCTTAAGCTGTTTAAGAGTATTTGCTTCCCTCCTCCTGCACCCCTTGGTATAGGATTCATCAGTTCATAGGCCTGAAAGCTATCTCTTGGTAAGCCTAAAAAGTCAGAGCCTGGAGTTCTGATACCTTTGTTCCTCCTAATTGTGTCTCCCCAGCAGCACAAGTGCAGACATCCCTGACCACAGGCTAGGAAACTCACTTAATACTTTTCAGCAGCTTACCAAGAGGAAACAGGGGGAGGGAAATCACATTTTCACATGAGAAATTATGATCAGCTGTGATCCTCTGTCAGCCCATGAATTTCAACTGGTGCTGCATTTTCAAATTCACTATTTCAGTCCTAATCAGTCTGTGGAAAGCAGTCATGGGGGTTATACTTCACAAGCAGTTTGGCTTACTGAACACTCAAAGGAGACTGCAAGCGAGCTTTCAGCTGATAAAATTTGCTCCTCAGAGTACAAAGGGAATATAAGTAAATCTGTCTTTATAGGCCCAGCATTTGAAGCAAACTAAAGAATAGCTTGAAAGCATTTGATTGTCAGAGATTTGAGGCAAAGCCTGGATTTTCAATAGGCGATGGGCTGGGGCATCCTCTGTGCTGAAGGCGGCAGGAGTTTCTCAAAGCCCTACTGAGTTGGAAATGGAAGGACACATTTTATTTCTAGTGCTAAGAAACATCTGGAGGGGAAAGCCTTGCTTCTTGTAGTTTCCTTGGATATTAGAACCTGTTCTACAGAACCCACAAATTCCAAATACTTTTCCCAGATGAATCCCAAGAGGCAAAATTTTAGGTGGACTTTGTCATAGAGTTACTGTATCTAAAACAGCTTTCCATTACCGGACTTGGAAATAAATAACCTCATGGAAGTACACATATACATGTAAGATTAAGCTACTGTTTCCATTTTATTTTTGTTTGTTTTCCATGTGGGGGTAAAAATTTCAGAAGTGTATAGTGAAATTAATGTGTTTAAAATAAATCCTACCTTATTGAAAAATCAATAATACTCATTGTTGAAGTTAAAAATCTCTCTATGTTAGAAAAATGCAAAGCCTAGAAGTAGCTGCTTTAAATTATTGAGTTTATGTACCCAGACCCACAAGCACGCTTGCTGGATTGTAGTCTGTGGTGCCCTCTGGTGGAACAGAATCACTATCGTGTCTCTTAATCCTTAAAACCAAGTGTCAATGTTCAAAGAAATCTAGATTCATTTTAGACAGATGTGTCCTAGGATTTGAAAGACTTCCATGAAGTGTAATGCCAGCTGTTTTGGGGGGTGTGTGTGCGTGTGTGTGTTTTGTTTTGATTTTTCAATGAATAGAAAGTCCCCTACTTTTGAATATTCATCCTATGTTGATTTGTTCAGAATTTGAGGCTTCTATAGATACATTTTTGAGGTGTGCTTTAAAAAAAATTATTAAAAAGAATTCTGGTAATTCCCAATTCCATAGTTTTAGAAGTAGTAACATTTCTAAACTTTGTCTTTGATAACTTAGTCTTATGACTTGTTTGGTGTTTTTAACCACATAATCTAAAATTTACTACCAGTAAGAGAAATGCCTACTTAAATGGAATCATTGGAAATGATGTTGTACAAACAAACAAGTAAAATAACACCACCACCAAAAATGAGACCTATTGTGAATGCAAGCTTGATTTGCAGCATGTTTGCCCATTTTCACAACCATTGTAGGTTTGGGCCCTATTCATAAATAATACTGTTAATGGGAGTTCATTCATGATTTGGCTCTCTGCTTGTCAGTTGTTGGTATATAGGAATGCTTGTGATTTTTGCACGTTGATTTTGTATCCTGAGACTACGCTGAAGTTGCTTATCAACTTAAGAAGCTTTTGGACTGAGACAATGGGGTTTTCTAGATAGAGGATTATGTCATCTGTAAACAGACAATTTGACTTCCTCTCTTCCTATTTGAGTAACTTCTATTTCTTTCTCTTGCCTGATTGCCCTGGCCAGAACTTCGAATACTATGTTGAATAGGAGTGGTGAGAGAGGGCAATCTTGTCTTGTGCTGATTTTCAAAGGGAATGTTTCTAGCTTTTGCCAATTCAGTATGATATTGACTGTGGGTTTGTCCTATATGGCTCTTATTATTTTGAGGTATGTTCCTTCAAAACCTAGTTTATTGAGAGTTTTTAATATGAAGGGATGTTGAATTTTATCGAAGGCCTTTTCTGTGTCCATCAAGATGATCGTGGTTTTTGTTTTTAGTTCTGTTTACGATAAATTACATTTATTGATTTTCATATGTTGAACCAGCCTTGCATCCGGGGATAAAACTAACTTGATCATGGTGGATGAGCTTTTTGATGTGCTGCTGGATTCCATTTGCCTGTATTTTATTGAAGATTTTTACATTGATGTTCATTAGGAATATTGGCCTGAAGTTTTCTTTTATTGTTGTTGTATCTCTGCCAGGTTTTGGTATCAGGATGATGCTGGCATCATAAAATGAGTTAGGGAGGAGTCCTTTCTTTTCAATTGTTTAGAATAATTTCAGAGGAAATGGTACCTGCTCCTCTTTCTACCTCTGGTGGAATTCAGCTGTAAATCTGTCTTTTTCTGGGCTTTTTTTGGTTGGTAGGCTATATATTACTGCCTCAATTTCAGAACTCGCTCTTGGTATTCAGGGATTGAACTTCTTTCTGCTTCAGTCTTGGGAGGGTGTACGTATCCAGAAATTTATCCATTTTTTCTAGATTTTCAAGTTTATTTGCATAAAGGTGTTTAGAGTATTCTCCAATGGTTGTTTGTATTTCTGAGGGTCAGTGGTGAAATCACCTTTATCATTTTTTATTTTGCCTATTTGATTCTTCTCTCTTGTCTTCTTTGTTAGTCCAGCTAGCAGTCTATTTTATTTATTTATTTTTTCCAGAAAACAAGCTCCTGGATTTGTTGATTTTTTGAAGTCTTTTTCATGTCTATATCTCTTTCAGTTCTGCTCTGATCTTGGTTATTTCTTGTCTTCTGCTAGATTTGGGGTTTGTTTGCTCTTGGTTCTCTAGTTCTTTCAGTTGTGATGTTAGAGTGTCGATTTGAGATCTTTCTAGCTTTTTGATGTGGGCATTTAATGTTATAAATTTCCCGCTTAACACTGCTTCAGCGGCATACGAAAGATTCTGGTATGTTGTCTCTTTGTTCTCATTAGTTTCAAGGAACTTCTTGATTTCTGCCTTAATTTCATTATTTACCCAGGACTCTTTCAGGAACAAGTTGCTGAATTTCCACATAGTTGTGTGGTTTTGAGTGAGTTTCTTAATCTTAAGTTCTAATTTGATTATGCTGTAGTCTGAGAGATGGTTCCTTGTGATTTCAGTTCTTTTGCATTTGCTGTGTTTTACTTCTAGGTATGTGATCAATTTTCGAGTAAGTGCCATGTGGTGCCAATCTGGGAACACAGCTAACAAGGGAAGTGAAGAGCCTCTTCAAGGAGAACTACTCAAGGCATTGCTCAAGGAAATCAGAGAGGAAACAAATGGAAAAACATTTCATGTTCGTAAATAGGAAGAATCAATATTGTCAAAATGGCCAAACTCCCCGAAGTAATTTATAGATTCATTGGTATTCCCATTAAACTACCATTGACATAGGTATTATGGAAAAAAGCTATTTTAAAATTCATATGGAACCAAAAAAGAGCCCGTGTAGCCTCGACAATCCTAAGCAAAAAGAACAAAGCTGGAGGTATCACATTACTCAACTTCAAAATATACTACAAGGCTACAGTAACCAAAATAGCATGGTACTGGTACAAAAACAGACACATAGACCAATGGAACAGAATGGAGAACTCATTTATAAGACTGCACATCTACAACCATCTGATCTTTGAGAAATCTGACAAAAACAAGCGATGGGGAAGGGATTCCTTATTTGATAAATGATGCTGGGAGAACTGGCTAGCCATATGCAGAAAACTGGAACTGGACCGTTTCCTTACACCTCATACAAAGATTAACTCAAGGTGGATTAGACTTAAATGTGAAACCTAAAACTATAAAAACCCTAGAAGAAAATCTAGGTAATAACACTGAGGACATAGGCACGGGCAAAATTTCATGACAAAGACATAGGCATGGGCAAAGATTTCATGATGAAGACATGCAATTGCAAAAAAGATGCAAATTGCAACAAAAGCAAAAATTGACAAATAAAATTTAATTAAACTAATTTTTTGTTGTTGTTTTGAGATAGAGTCTTGCTGTGTCACCCAGGCTGGAGTGCAGTGGTGTGATCTTGGCTCACTGCAACCTCTGCCTCCCAGGTTCAAGCAATTCTTCTGCCTCAGCCTCCCAAGTAGCTGGGATTACAGGTGCCCACCATCAAGCCTGGCTCACTTTTGTGTTATTAGTAGAGATGGGATTTCACCATGTTGGCAAGGCTGGTCTCAAACTTCTGACTTTGGGTGATCTGCCTGCCTCGGCCTCCCAAAGTGCTAGGATTACAGGTGTGAGCCACCGTGCCTGGCTGTGATGTAATTAAACTAAGGAGCTTCTGCACAGCAAAAGAAACTATTAACAAACAGACAACCTACAGAATCGGAGAAAATTTTTGCAGTCTATTCATCTGACAAAAGTCTAATATCCAGCATCTATAAGGAACTTAAACAAATGTACAAGAAAAAAAAAAAAAAAGTGGGCAAAGTACATGAACAGATACTTCTAAAAAGAAAACATACATGTGACCAACAAACATGATAAAAAGCTCAACATCACTGATCATTAGAGAAATGTAAATCAACATTACAATTCTCACACCAGTCAGAATGGCAATTATTAAAAAGTCAAGAAACATCAGATGCTGGCGCAAGGCTGTGGAGAAATAGGAATGCTTTTACACTGTTTGTGGGAATGTAAATTAATTCAACTATTGTCAAAGACGGCGTGGCAATTCCTCAAGGTCCCAGAATCAGAAACAGCATTTTATCCAGCAATCCTGTTACTGGGTATATACTCCAATAAATAGAAATCATTCTATTACAAAGATACATGCACAGGTATGTTCCTTGCAGCACTATTCACAGTAGCAAAGACATGAAATCAATCCAAATGCCCATCAATGATAGATTAGATAAAGAAAATGTGGAACATATACACCATGGAATACTATGCAGCCATATAAAGGAATGAGATCATGTCCTTTGCAGGGACATGGATGGAGCCAGAACCCATTATCCTCAGCAAACTAGTGCAGAAACAGAAAACCAAACACTTCATGTTCTCATTTATAAGTGGGAGCTGAACAATGAGAACACATGGACACAGGGAGGGGAGCAACACACACTGGGGCCTGTTGGGGGTGTGTGGGGAAAGGGAGAGCATCAGGAAAAATAGTTAATGCTTGCTAGGCTTAATACCTAGGTGATAGGTGCAGCAAACCACCATGGCACACATTTACCTATGTAACAAACCTTTGCATCCTGCACATGTACCCCAGAACTTAAAATGAAATAAAATACAATAAAATATATTTTAAAAATTAGTGGCTGAATATGGTGGTTCACGCCTGTAATCCCAGCACTTCAGGAGGCCATAGCGGGTGGATCACGAGGTCAGGATATCGAGACCATCCTGGCTAACAAGGTAAAACACCATCTCTACTAAAAATACAAAAAATTAGCCGGCCGTGGTTGTGGGCGCCTGTAGTCCCAGCTACTTGGGAGGCTGAGGCAGGAGAATGGTGTGAACCTGGGAGGCGGAGCTTGAAGTGAGCTGAGATCACGCCACTGCACTCCAGTCTGGGCGACAGAGCAAAACTCTGTCTCAAAAAAAAAGAAAAGAAATTAGTAACACTGATTTCCTTCCTTCCCAACTTGAGAAAATTGTAAACTTTCCAAAATGTTCGAATCTTATCAGAAGAGATTCTACAGAATATGACACTCTGAATTACCTCAGAAATGCAAAGTGTGTTTTTGAGAGTGTGACAATAATAAAAAAGCTTAAGCCAAACAAAATTGGACATATTTGAAGACAACAATGAAAAAAACAAAACATAAACAAAAAACGAATTTTGCCTCTGAAAACCAAAAGCTTTAATAAGATGCATTAGTTGAGAGAGAAATTAAAAATTGTCTTAAGGATCTGGACACATAACCTGAGGCCCAGAGAGATGTAGTATCCTGGTCACGTTCTCTAAGTAGAGAGCCCACTGTGACCTATGGAACCCAGGTCTGATTTTAAAGTTTGAGTGCTTCCATTCTGCCAGGATTTCTCTCCATGAGGTAAAGAGCTGGGTCCTATCTGAATAGGCAGGTGTGCATGAGCCCCTATCTACAAGTGTGAATGTGTGTGTTCCCATTGTTCATGTTGTAATGTATGTGCATGAAAAGACAATATTTCCAACCAATACAGGCATGTTTTGAGACAGTAGAACATGGTTCTGAGAAGCCTGAGTACAAAGTAAGGGCTTACTCACCGAACAGGTTATTGGTTTTACCTTCCTTTTGAGACCATCCTGCCAAGCAACTATCATGCCAATGGCAGCACTGTGGTCACATAAGAAGGTCTAATGATACTAAACTTTCCAATTTTACAACTGAATCCAATTTACCCATTCTATTCTTACCCAGGAACATTGTGGTTATAATATGGGTTCCAATTTTCTCCAGAAACAAAAGAATCTGATTATATGTTCACAAGAATCCAGTCTCCATAATGGTCAGTGTCATTTCATTCAATAAATTAGCCTTTTCATTTTGCATCAATTTATTCATTCATTCACATGTTCAAAAATTATTTATTGGTCTTGGCCTACAGAGGACAGCCAAAAAATTATTTACTGGGAGACATCCAGTTTCTCTCAGGATAATGCTGCTTGAATACAAATGTTTCTACTTTACTTACCAAACCCATACAGAGCATTTAGAAAAGAGAGAGAAAGAGAGAGAGAAAAATTACAATCTATGCCTATAGCATTACAAGGAAAGAAAACATATTACAACCTTCAATTTATGTACAATTACCTGAGAAGCCCATGCCAGGGTGAATAGTCAAACATATTACACAGAAAAGAAGTAGATGCAACTGGGAAAAACTAACATCATCATCATCATCATCTCTGTCTCTTTCTCTCTCTGTCTCTGTAATCACTCTGGAGAAGCCAGCTGCCATGTTCTGAGGACACTCAAGCAACCCTATGAAGAAGCCTACATGAAGAGGAACTGAGATCTCCAGCTAACATCCAGAGAACAGAGGTCTCCTGCCAACAGCTTGGAAGAGAATCCCTCAGCCATAGTCAACCCTTTAAGTGACTGCAGCCCTGGCTGACATCTCATTGCCACCTCATGAGAGGCCCTGAGCCAAAATCTCCCCCTTAAACTGCTTTCCAAGTTCCTTTCCCACAGGAACTGTGGTATAATAATTGTTTCTTGCTTTAAGGCACCCGATTCAGGATGATCTATTATACAGCAATAGATGGTAACTAATGTAGGGCGGGTCAAATGGAAAGGATTTGGATGTGCCTACGACCACAAGTATTAGTCTTGCAAGAGTAATGCTTTCTGGAAGAGATGAGCTATCTTAATAGGGAAAGTCTTCCCTTGGAGGCTTGGCAGTGAAGGGAAAGAACAAAGCAAGTTTATAAATTAAGGGTCTAAAAGAAACATGAAAATTACAGAATCGAAACACACAGCCCTCTTCTATTTCACAAACACTACATTTAACAACCTGCGTTTCACTGTGCCAACCAAAAAGTACATTCTTGAACTAAGAAACCTGATAAACCACCTAAATCCCAGACTCCCAACACAGAAACTCATGCTATTATTCACCCAGGAAAATTTAGGACATTTAAAAACAAACAGAAAATGGCAAGCAATAACAATATAAAGCTACTGTAAGAAGAAAACAGAATATGAACATCAAAACTCCTCAGCTAATTAAAATTATGTCACCTGCATGTGAAATCATAAAATGGAAAACTTGTAAAACAGTACTCTGATATAAATTAAATATCTTTAAACGAACACTTGTAAATATGAAAGACCTTAAATTAGACAAAAATTCAGACTAGAAATGGGCCAAAATAGGAAGATGTGATATGAGTGTTGACAAATCCTAGGAAGTAAATTGAAGAAAAATTCAACATTATCTCAGAAATAAAGACTAACATGACAAGGCTGAACACAGTGGTCCACGCCTGTAATCCCAGTAGTTTGGGAGGCCAAGGTGGGTGGATCACTTGAGGTCAGGAGTTCGAGACCAGCCTGGCCAACATGGCAAAACCCCATCTCCACTAAAAATACAAAAAACTAGCCAGGCGTGATGGCGGTTGCCAGTAGTTCCAGCTACTTGGGAGGCTGAGGCACAAGAATTGCTTGAAGGGAGGCAGAGGTTTCAGTGAGCCAAGATCGCGCCACCGCACTCCAGCCTGGGTGACAGAGCCAGACCTTGTCTCCAAAAGGGGAAAAAAAAGACAAAATGACAAGTAACCTAGGTAGTGAAGTATCAACTAAAATAGAAAAGACATTAAGGAGAGGAATGAAGCAGACGAGAAAAAGAAAGAGTGATAAAGTGATACAGAAGATAGGCAGAAGATCCAAGAAAAACAATGAAACAAACTAATGTTTAAAACTAACTATTTAAAACTATAATCAAAGAAAACTTTCCAGAAATAGAAAATCTCAATCTATTTATTGAAAGGGGTCAATATTCCTGGAGAATCAAGGTTGGGACACATCCTAGAGAACAGACTGACAGGCTTTAATGCTATAGAAATAAAAAAATTGGTTATTCCAGAATAAAAAGACCACATTTCTCTCTCTCTCTCTCTTTCTTTCTTTCTTTCTCTCTTTCTTTCTCTCTTTCTCTCTCTTTCTTCCCTTCCCTTCCCTCCCCTCCCCTTCCCTTCCCTTTCTTTCCTTTCTTTTCTTTTCTTTCCCCTCCCTCCCTCCCTCCCTTTTCTTTCTTTTCCTTCCTTCCTTCCTTCCTTCCTTCCTTCCTTCCTTCCTTCCTTCCTTCCTTCCTTCCTTTCTTTTCTTTCTTTCTTTCTCTCTCTCTCTCTGTCCTTCCTTCCTTCCTTCCTTCCTTTCTTCCTTCCTTCCTACTGTGTTACCCAGGCTGGTTTCAAATTTCTGAGCTCTAGTGATCTTCCTGCCCCAGCTCCCAAAGTGCTAGGATTATAAGCAGGAGCCACCACGCTGTGCCAAAAAGACCACATTTCTTATGAAACATAAGATCAGTAGGATCTTGACAGTAATAAGCAAAATAAATAATAGTGGTACAAGAAATTTCAGTAAATTCAAGGAAAAGATATATGACTCACAATTTTACATCCAGCCAAATGTCTTTCAAGTATTGAAACTGTAGGAAAGCAAATTTAAACATTCAAAGACTTGAGGGATATTATACTCCAGACCCTTTCTTGAAGGGTGGACCAAAGGAAGACCTTCATCCAATGGGGATATGGCAAGAAAAACCTGAACAGAAGGAGTAAAGTAAACATTGGCTAGACATTTTTTTAAGATCTAGCAATACAACAAAGCTGAAGACAAGGGAGGAACAAGAGTACATAAGGTTATGTGACCTGATCTAGTAGAAATAAACATAAAAAAGAAGAAAGAGGAAAATTGAATAAATGTATTGGTTGCTGAATAGATAACATGTGGGAGCCAAAGGATAATATTTAAATTTCATAAATCAAATAGTAGAGTACATAAGATGAAAATATAATGATAATGATGATAATAATGATAATACTAATAATAAAGTGTTTATTTCTACCAACTATTAGATAACATCAATAACAGTTTATTGTTTTTGTTATTATCATTACTTTATTTAGCCACATAGTATTTTGAAATAATAATAATTGGGTGCCTTTAAATAGGGCATATACTGTCCAATTCCCACTGGGTCTGCACTCCTATAATGTCACTTATTCACATTCCCTGCCGAGTCCCAGAAGGCATTTTAGTTGAGGCCATGGGGATACTTTATACATAGCGAACAAAATACATGTAGATTTTGATTCAAGAAGCTGACACATCTATCTATATCTGATTAGCATTCATGATCCTGATAAAATTTGAGGCACTGAGAAAGTGAGTTCCTACATATGAAAGCCTGAGGTTTGGAGGAAGGATTTTGAAGAATTTACTAAGATGAACAGAATACTACTTCATTCAGTCAACCTTCCTTGGCAACACCATATATATAGATATCCGTATTTCCAATGGTGCCTTTAAGCTTATTTGATTATGGTGGATTGAGATATAATATTATCTTCATTTATAGAATGAGGTAATTTTATTACTTATCATGAAACCTGGAAAAAAATGTTTTTGTAGTGTGATGCCAAAAGAGAGTAACAAAATCTTCATAAATAATTTTTCTAAACAAGCAATTATAGATGACCTACCTACTATGTAAAGTAGGATGTTGTGAGAAATTCTATATATTCAGATGAGGACACAGCCAATAATTATGCCAAATTCTAAAATAATAGGTTAAATACACATACATCAACTAAAGGATGTGCTCTGATGAGGGGGTAATAATTCTTAACATGTGCTGCAAATAAGTTGAATGAGCTTAGATAATTTATTAAAATAAATCTTGAAGGTCAAGGTACCAGATTCCTGCTGTATCCCTCTTACCTCCATCCCCTCAGCTTCATCTCTGATGTCCACTGTGGCTTTTGCCTAGTTCCATATGAAATTTAACTCATCTTGCTCTCCTAGCAGCTCACTCTTAAGTGTGTATAGCACATCTTTTGCTTTTCGGCTGAGGGTTTCTCTTTTTGGCATACGTAGAAGTACAGAGGAGTTAGTACACCCTAGGGCAACCTTCAGTGGGTACTGGAGTTGATAAATGTTTCTTTTTCGAGATGATCTGGTGGGAAATTCTGAAAGTTGTTTTGGAAGCTCCTCAGAAGGTCTGTTTAGATGAAGTTGCCCATGTTGTTTGCCAACTCAATAGCACACTCCTTTTTTCTCCTTCTTTTACACGTTCTCTGGCCCTGTTTCTAGGAATCAACTCCAAATATAACTACCTGCACACCAGACCTTGTTACTAGGTTTTAGGAGATTCAGGTGAGGCCAGTCATCTAGCAAAATGTAAAGAGTCTAGCGATTATGGAAACCAGTATTAAAACTTCTCAAAAAAACAAAATAGAATTACCATATGATCCAGCAATCTCACTGTTGGGTATATATCCAAAAGAAAGGAAATTGTATATTGAAGAGAGATCTGCATTCTCATGTTTATTGCAGCACAATTCACAATAGCCAACATATGGAATCAACCTAAGTGTCCATCAACAAATGAACAAATAAAGAAAATGTGTCATATATACACAACAAAATATTATTCAGCCATAAAAAGAATTGAATCTTGTCATTCTCAGCAACATAGATAGAACTAGAGGTCATTAAGTTTAATAAGCCAGGTATACAAAGACAGATATCTCATATTCTCCCTCAGGTGTGGGGCCTAAAAAAGTGGATCTCATGGACATAGAAAGTAGAACGGTGGTTACCAGAGGCTGGAAAGGGAAGGGAGAAGGGAGGAGAAAGACAAGTTAGTGAATGGGGATGAAAATACTATTAGACAGAAGGAATAAGTTCTAGTATTTGATAGTAAAGTAGGAAAATTATAGTTAACCATAATTTGTTATATATTTCAAAATAGCTAGAAGGAATGTAATGTTCCCACATAAAGATAAATGTTTGCAGTGATGGATATCCCAGTTACCTTGATTAGATCATTACATACATGATTATTGTATATACGCATGAAAATATCACATGTACCCCCAAAATATGTACAACTACTATATATCAACTGAAAAAAAATATTTTTAGGTCCCATCCTCCCTCATAAGTGGGAGAGAAGAACTTCCTTTGCTTTGTTGATAATTCTATCCCAAATGCCTTAGGCTACTTCTTGATGCATTCTTAATGATCTACCTGTAATAAGCAGCCTTGGGTCTCTGATTCTCAACATGTGCAATTCTCCCTTTTGAGTACAGTGATTCTTACATGAGCATGCATTACAAAATTATTTGTGGAGCTTTATGAAAATTCATCATCCTGGACTTCATCCTAAAACTATAGTGTTAGAATTTCCTAAGGTTCTTCTGATATTCAGCCATGATTTATAATCATTGGTCTAGAGAGCCCAATCTACTCTTTGTCCACCACCATCATTTATCCATTTAATTATAATTTATTAACCTTCAACTATGTATCAGGCACTGTGCTAGGAACTGGGGATAAGATAATAACTAGAACTAGGTCCATTTGGGCATCCTAAGCTTATCTTGGTGTATAGCCATGCCACCCTGAATGCACCTGATCTCGTCTGAACTTATCTTGGATGTCACTGCCTCTATAAACCCTTTACCAGACACTTTTACTACCATGAGCTTTAACTTTCCATTCCCTCTGCCCATAATTAGAGGTCTCATTCTTAATTCTTCTCCAATAACTATGATTCACCTTGCTACAAAATTTGCTGCATTGCTCTGAAATGATTTACAATTCTGTTTATTCCACTCTGAGCTCTCCAAGTAGAGCAATTGTATTCATTATTATGACATTTTTGGTAATGTTAAAAGGAAAAAAGGGAGGGATAGAGAAAAAGAAGGAAGGGAAATAGTAAGGAAAGCACATTTACTATTGTGAATGTCCATGACATCATCCTTAAACTTGGCCCTTTGCAGAATGCTTTAATTCAGATAGAAAGTAAACAAAAATAAATATTATGTGTTTGCAAGTTGGGCTCTCTCATATTTAATTCTCTCAACAGTCTTGTCTTAGACATATTATCATTTCCATTTTGAAGATAAGTAACCAGATATTCTAAAAGATAAAGTGTCTTCCTCAAGGTGTCACTTATTTCTTAGTAAATGGAGGATCTGGGGTTTGAACCCAAAGCTCCCAGTGAGAAAAAGGCCCAGAGTTTTTACTGGCCTTGCATATATAGACTGCTGCAGTGTATGAGTATGTCTGTTTGTAGACTCTTCCCTCCACTGTAACTTCTCACAGGCAGAAATAACATTTGTTTCATCATTTCCAGTATAAGAGTCAGTGTTTAACAAAGTTACCATCAGGAGAGGAATAAATTCTTCAAGGGACTGTTCATCTGTTTCTTTTGATTTTTGGCATTAAAGATCTCGGTAGTCCTGCTAGAAATTTTCCATCAAGGTTATTCTCCAAGTTCTTGTGGATGACTTTGAAATTTAAATTTTCCCATCATCTTCCAGAATGAAGGCTGAGGTTAAAAAGGCATATTTCATTTTTCCTCCTTTTCCCCATGGCCTTCAGTGTCTTTTTTTCTCACCATTATCCTTTCCCTCATCTGTGATATATCTGAAAAATGTTTTACTTATATCTTCAGCTGGCTCTCCTCTTCCCATTTCTCTGTTCTTTAAGCTTCTGAAGCTGCATCTTCCCTGTGGAACTCATGCCAAATATAATTATCCTGCACTGTTTAGGAAAGGCTTAGATTTGTTTCATAGGTTGTTTCTTTAGCCTTAATAAGTACAGACACTTATTAGCTGGCCACAATTTCATTCTTCCCTCTGTGGGTTGCATTTCTTTGCTCATTAATGTGTAAATCATAGATTTCCCTAATTACACACTGTTGCCTTCTCATTTCGTCTCAGAGCTTGAAAATTAGTACGGGGCGGGGTCGGACCCTGATAGAAATGTCTAGAATGGTTTCTTCATACACATTTGGGGATGCTACAGGGACAGAGTAAATTTAGCTTTAATGTGTGTGTTTGTATGTGTGGTTGGCTGCACTGAATGTTCAGTTTGTCTGATTCTGAGGTTAAGAACACAACAGCTAGTGTTTAAGGAAAACATGTTTCAAGAACCTCAGCCTTGCAAAGTCAAAACTATAAATTCAAATGAATTAATTAAATGTTCAGTAAACACTAAAGTACTTTTGCCATTTATCTCATGTCTCCTAATGATTTAACTCTGAAATTAACAATCTTTGTGTTTCTGGTAAAAAAGCTGGAAATGTTTTTTACTTGATGATAAATTTATTTATTTGAATCTACTACAGTAATGATTTGAACTAGTTTGTATATGGAGAAATATACAAAGCTGATTATAATTAGAGTTATTTTTGAAATTCTTCTAATGGGTGAAAATCCAAAATACACTGTGTCCTCCTATCCTTGTAACTCAAAGTGTAGTCTTGGGTCCAGCAGCCTTGGAGCCAGAATCTCAGGACACACCTATCCACCACAGCCCAGACCTACAGAATTATAATTTGCACTTTTAACAAGATCTGCTGGTAATCCTGTACACATTAAAACTTGAGAAACATTGTTCATTATCATGGATCCCTCCAAAATACTTCGCTTTGAAATACATGGCTAGTTCAACCAAACTGCTATAAGAAAAATAAAAAAGGTAGCTAGGTAGCATGTATGTAAAACCCACCACAGAAAGAATTCAAGTTCTGAACAGAGTTTCTCAGCCAATTTGCTTTGTTTTTGTAAGGGGTACTTCTTAAGGATATTAACCATATTATCACATGTTTCTGTTGCACAGTATTTCTACTGGCTAAAACTTATTTCAAAGAGGATTATAGGGTTGAGGAAGAGAACACCACCACTCAAAAGGATGTAGTCATTAGAACCAATCTCACTATTTCAAGGAGTGAGGATAAAGCCATGTAGAGATGGGAACTTTTACTACCAAATATTTAGGTTTCCAGCTTACATGTTTCATGTACTTTACTACATGGATAATGATTTCCTTCTCCTTTGTAAGGAAACATCAGCTATACATCAGATACGATCTTTTATTCTCCTTTAAGAGCTGCTCTGAGTGGCTAGTTTGCCATATTAATTTTGTCCTTTTCAATTTGTGTTTTGAGCATGTGAACTGCTTTGGCAATGACTAAACAGTGGCTGAAACAGTAAAGGATAACTTGCTTATGAATAGCAGTGTGCCATACTGGGTCTTCCTATTTATTTCCTTATTTCTGAGATAGAATTTAAAAAACAAAGACAACCAAAAAATCCCACAAATTTAGCAGTATTGCAAATGACCAGAAAATATTTATCAGCACATTAAAAAAATTCAAGCTCTCTGCTCATTACCCTGAGTAATAGCACAAAGGTGAGATACACCAAAAGAATAATCACTAAAATTCACCAGGTGATTGGACATAATGCAATAGATGGAACGCATCTCTCATTGGAACCCTCTTAATCATCTGGTTTTTCCTTCCCATTTGCAGGCAACTGTTTCTGATCAAAAGAATTTAGGGTGTGGAGTTGGATAAGCAACCCAGTAAATGTGGTAGAAGTGTTTAATTGATACTTCTGTTGTACCCTTGTCAGGTGACTTTGTTCCAAGTACTTATTCTTGCAATATTGATTTAAGGAGGGACACTGTTAAACTCACATGCATGGAAAATACTAGTGAGAAAATTTCATAACCGAGTTGAATAAATTTGTAAAAGTGTGGGAAATAGAATTTAAAAGCATGACCATGTAGCTCACTTTCATCCTTTAAGGTTATTTAAAAAAAAATAGCTGTGTAGGAGCGAAAAGGTAATACTTTCTATTGCCCTTCATGAGGGTTATAGCTAATACTCCTATAACAAAAGACAGATTAGTAAGAGAACTACAAAAAATTATTTAACAAAGTTTTACATGAAACAGAAGCTTTCAGGAATGACTCAAAGACTCAGGGAAAACCGTGTATTTTTATGCTTTGGTGGTGTAAAGAATGGACAATTTTGTAGAAAGAAATGTGATTGTATAAAAACAGTGTGATCTATTAGTTATGACCAAGAGTGGAAATTCAGCAAGGCCTGTTTGTTCAGATTCTTCTTGGCTTCTTGGTGTAGCATTTCTTTCCCTCCCCAACCCAGCTATGGGGCAGGACCACTTCGGAACTAGGGTATTATGACCTATTTTGAGGCAAGGTTGGTCAGAAAATTCCTGTATTCGTCCATTTTCATACTGCTATAAAGAACTGCCTGAGACTGGGTAGTTTATAAAGGAAAGAGGTTTAATTGATTCACAGTTCAGCATGCCTGGGGAACCCTCAGAAAACTCACAATTGATGGTGGAAAGCAAAGGGGAAGCAAGAAACCTTCTTCACAAGGTGGCAGGAAGAAGAAGAACCCAGTGAGGAAGGAAAATCCCTTATAAAACCATCAGATTTTGTGAGAACTCACTCACTATCACGAGAATAGCATGGGGGAAAACACCTCCATGATTCAATTACCTCCACCTGGTCTCTCCCTTAACACATGGGGATTATGGGAATTATGGGGATGACAATTCAAGATGAGATTTGAGTGGGGACAGGAAGCCTAACCATATCAATTCCTTTACAACCATCCTTCACACAGAAAGACAGGAAAAATCAGAGTGAGCTTCTTGCTTCTGAGACCTCCACCAGTCTCCTTTAGGTCAAAGTACTTAGTTGTAATGTTTTCTGAGACACAGCAGTTGCAAATTCTCTGATACTCCTCCCATTCAATGATAAGGTCTGTGTTTCTGAGTGGACTTGCGACTCTTGTAATCAATAGAATACATTAGAAGCAATGCTGTATGACTTTTAAACTTAGTCTGAAACAATGAGTCTACTTCCACCTTGTTCTTGGAGCACTGAACAGATCTGTAAGAAGCTCAACTGCCCTGAGGTTGCCACACTGTTAGGAAGCTGTGTCACACAGTTAAGCCAAAATGTAGGTAGCCTGGTCATCAGCCTGATCTTTAAATCCTCCCAGCCCAGGCCCTTCAAGTCTTCCCAGTTGAGGCCTCAAGTAACCTAAAATAGAGATGAGCCATTTCTGTTGTTCCCTCCCTGAATTCTTGACCAACATTATCAATCAGCATAATATAATGGTTGTTTTGAGCCACTAATTTTAAGGTGATTTGCTTCACAGCAATAGTAATGAAAATAACCTTCTCCCTCTGTGTCTCCACCCATTTCCCCAAGGTCCAGAGTTCTATGATATATATTATTTTCCAAAGCAATAGCTGAAAATACATAGAATTTTGGCTATGAATAGTACCTTAAATTGTATCCAATCCGGATTTCCTCCAAATTGAGTAATTTCCACAGAGCCATATTTTCATACTACCTATATTATTATTAATTCATGCTTTTCTTTTAATTCTCTTAATTATTTTTACTATTTAGCCTTATTTTAAGTGATAGCGGCCATGATGGAATCTTGATGCTGTTTTATTTTTCTAAAATTATCAATATTCATAAATACAAATATAAGAAACATACTTATCAGTGTATCACCAAATAACATGTTGTATACTAACAGTGTAACATGTCTTCCAGTTTTGAAAATAATGATCTGATACAAACCTTCTGTATGACAGACAACTCCATCTGACATAGACTAATTATGCTCTGGGCTCTTTCCATTTCTAAGATCAAAGAATAAAAAGCATTCTACTGTTCTGTCAACTTCTTCTTGTTTTGACTGTTTCTCCAAAAGCACTTATTGTCTTTTATACTTTGTGCAAAATTATGCATTTTATTTATTTTATACTTTGTGCAAAGTTATGCATTTTATTCATTTTATTTCAAGTAACTAAATTTTATACCTTGCCCTCCTCAAGTACAATAGAGTTTACTTCCGATGGTAACTACTCCCTTAACTGTTGACTTTGGTCTTCACAAACCTGTTCCTGTTGAAACCTATTAAAAAGGAAATAAGGCAGAAGGGATGCCTGGAACACATGTCTGTGTATATGAATAATGTAGTGGATATATCATATCAAAAATGATGTTGTAGGTTGGGCGTGGTGGCTCACGCCTGTAATCCCAGCACTTTGGGAGGCTGAGTCACGCGGGTCACGAGGTCAGGAGATTGAGACCATCCTGGCTAACATGGTAAAACACTGTCTCCACTGAAAATACAAAAAATTAGCCCGGCATGGTGGCAGACGCCTGTAGTCCCAGCTACTCGGGAGGCTGAGGCAGGAGAATGGCGTGAACCTGGGAGGTCGAGCTTGCAGTGAGCCAAGATTGCACCACTGCACTCCAGCCTGGGTGACAGAGCGAGACTCCATCACAAAAAAAGAAAAGAAAATAAAAAAATAAAAAGAGATGTTGTAGCATAGGGCTACTCAAAGTGTGGTAATGAGGCAGGTGCCAGTGGGTGAAAGGTTTATTACTGTCCTATGGGGAGATAACAACAAAATTTGAGAATCGGCATTTTTAAACTTTATAATTTAATGTCAGTTGAATTTAATAATACTTAAAAATAGGGAGCTTAAATTGTGTGTCTGTTTAATTTCATCTAGAAAGTTTTCATTGTGTTTTACAAAAGTATTGGTTTACGACAGACTAGAAGTTAAAGCAAAAATAAATGATTATTACAGATAGTTTGAGAAGCACTTTATAAAAAAACTAAATAGAATATAAAATTTTATTTTAAAAAGGACTCAGTAAATTGTAAGAATATCATCTCAATTTGTCAATGATATAATTTGTAGATATTCTGGGAAAAAAGTGGAAAGAAGCATATTCACTAACATAACCAATATTCTAGCATTAATTGTTGCTGAGTGGTGGGACATGACCCTAAAATGCATATCATAACCAGTTATTTAAAAAGAAAATGGAAATATTTGTCTTCCTACTGATTGTCTTACTCTTTTTCCTCTGCCCCAAACTCCATCAGAATTTCAGCACTTGAAAAAATGAACACCACTGTCTCTCAACAACTTTCACCAATTGCATTTGACTGAATTAATTTTATAAGACAGCTTTCAATTAAATCCAACATTGCTGGAACATAATGTTTTAAAACATTTAGGCAAAGCATAATAAGGCTTTAAAACAGAGCTAGAAACACGTTTTGTCATGCCTTGATCCTAGATTGCCTACATTTCTGCTTAACAGATGCAATAAAGCATAGTTACTGCTAAAATGCTCTTGTCTGCTTTCGGTAATAACCAAAGTGATTCTCATAGATCAAATGGGCTCATTAGATACTGAGACATGGAAACACACTCACACATAATTGGTATTCCACTTCGTAGCCATAATCTATATGATGTAATGTTGCTAAAGAAATGGGATTTGAAGCCAAATTTGAAGTTTGAGTTTGAATGGCAATTCATCGGTTGCTCCTACCTCCATGGTTGTTTCAAGAATCAGATATTAATTATGTAAAGAGTCTGAAGAAATACTTTAATATTTGATATGTAGGGTTTTAAAGTAATCTGTTCAATTTTGCTTATAACATTATAAATAGACTTATATAAAGGTAACTAATCTCCCGAATCTGCTATTCCATTACATAAAGGCCTGCTTGTGGTTGAGATATATGGATGCAATTGCTAGTTTAGGAATATGTTTCTGACAAAAATAAGATTTTCTTCTCAAATCATGCCACTTGCAGTTTGGCTCTACACCAGCCCATTATAGCCATATTCAATAATATTGTTCTATCTCTTCTTAAAACTCACTTATCTCTTATTTTCTGTAATACTGTGTTTCTCCATCTAGCTATAAACAATTTTTTCTCAGCATCTTTTATTGATTCCTTCTACTCTATCAAGACTTTCTTTGAGTTATCACTGTTTTTTCTTTGGCCCAATTTTATATTCACTATTCCCTCTCCCTGAGCCATCTTAATAACTTTCATGATATTAGCTACCCACTATAACCTAATGACTTACACTTTTCTGACTTCAATCTTGATTTCTTTTCAAACCTTGACTTAAATATACAACTGAAGGTTAAATCATCTCATGTAAATGTTTCACCAAGAGTTCCAACTCAAAATATCTCATAGTGACCTCGTTAACTTCTGCCACAAAAGCTGTTTCTCTTCCACTAATTCTGTCTCATTTTTTGAACTGTTATATCCTCAACTACTCTAATCAGAACCTAGAGAATCTCTTCCACTGGTTCCCCATTTTCTAAACTCTATATCCATTCAACTACTGAATACTTCTAACTTAATATCTCTACTTATCACCTTGTATTACATAAAAAACAACCTGAAAATCTCAGTGGCTGGCCACTGTAGGCATTTGTTCTCATTTGTATGGTTCTAGGGGGTGACTGTGTTTCTGCTGATTTAGGCTGGACCTATCAGGGATGCTCTGCTTCAGACTGCAAGGCAACTGGGTTTGGCCTCAGACCAAGTATGAGATTCAGAGGTATTCCCATCCTCCTGGAACTAGAAGCTACCTAGAGTATGTTTTGTGGTGATAAATTCAAGAGGGTTAATTGCATACTCACATATCAAACCTCTGTTTATAACAAGTCTACTCATATCCCATTGTCCAAAGAAAATAATTAAGCCCAAAGACAAGGGGTGGGAAATATACTCTGCCTCTAGTGCAAGGGACAATCTCACGTGGCAAATGCTGTGGGCGTGTAATTCCAAAACAGGGAGAACACAAAGAATTAGAGACTTACGACCCAATCTACCACAGTATCATAAGTATTTCTTAGCGCTATCCTATGTCCTCATTCTAAAAGGTATGTTCCCATTTCATTACTAATTATCTCTGCACAGACTTAGGTCTCCCACCAACCTAAACCCATCTTCCATAGTGCAGCCAGAGCACTCAACAGAAAACACAATTCAGACCATGTAACTTCCCTCATTATAGTTCTTCAGAGGCTCCCCGTTGCTCACTGAATAAAATCCAAGCTCCTCAGCAATGCGTACAGCGTTCTCCAATGCACATTCGTGTCCTTCTCTGCAGACTCATCTCCCCCAACTCCTCCCTTTACTTTGTGCATCAGGATTAATGAAATACAAATAATTGTCTCTGTGTTGCAGTTCCACAAGTTTCCACACCTTTCTGCTATTGTTCACATTGTTCCTTCTCTTGAAACGTTCATTTTTCTCCTTATTCATCTGGCAAATTCTTGCTTGTCTTGTAAGACCTAGCTCACACATTGTCTCTGTGGTGAGTCTTGGGATATCCTCAGGCTGGCTAGTGCTCCGTCATAGACCTTACTATGTTTTGTTCAGTGGATTGATCCAAAGTTATTTCTTTTCCAGCATACCCCCAAAAACTCTTTCAGGAGTCTGTGAACATGAGTAGGAAAAAAATATATTCCTTTATTCTTACTAACATCCAACAGAAATTTAACATTTCGTTTAATGACAATTGTAAACAACAAACCACAGTACTATTTAGAGTGCTTTATCACCAATAGAAATTACGAATAATTTTATATCACACTACAATTTTTGTAGATAATTCAAAATTTCATGTCAGTAAATCATATATAGCATTAATAAAGCAGTTCATTTATTACTAAATCGACAAATTAAAAATATTTTAATTTTTTCAATATAACTTCTATATTTTATTCCCATGAATTTTGTTTCTGTAAACATTTCTAAAGTATTACCAAATGCCAAAGAGAGCCTTGACACTCAGAAAACCAAGAACCCTGAATAATGCTTCTCTGTTGGCAGTTTGACAATTTCATTGCAAGGAGTACTGGAGAATTCAAAAGCCAGATGGATATCTGAGTCAAAAATATTCACCTCTCTCTTCTGAAATTTTTTCCTTAGTGTTTGTATTGTTTTGTTAATGTGTGTGTTTATTTGGAAGAGTAACACATTCACAAAATAACGCAAAAGATGTGAAAAGTATATAGTAAAAAAATTTCCTTTGAACACAAGCTCCCGTACCTCCACCCATGGAATAAACCAGTGTGATAACTTCCTTGTAACTGTTTCTAGAGACATTCTATCCCTGTACAAGCAGATTCTGTGTGTGGGTATGGATATGTATAAACACAAAAGGAAAGATATAAAATAAAACACACATGTACACACAGACACAGATTTTTGTTTTTGTAACTCAGCTGACTGGTATACCAGACATCGTTCTTCACCTTTTATTTTATTGAATACTATCTCTTTTTTCTTCTTATTTATTTATTTTTCCACAGGTTATTACAGGTCATTAGTTGTTCTTTATAACTCATGTTGGTTACATGAGTAAGTTCTTTATTGGTGATTTGTGAGATTTTGGAGCACACATCACCCAAGTGCATCCATCACCCAAGTGTATACTGCACCCTATTTGTAGTCTTTTATCCCTCGCCTCCCTCCTACTCTTCTCCCCAAATCCCCCCAAGTCCATTGTATCATTCTTATGCCTTTGCATCCTCATAGCTTAGCTCCCACATATCAGTGAGAACATACAATGTTTAGTTTTCCATTTCTGAGTTATTTCACTTTTACAGTAATAGTCTCCAATCTCATCCAGGTCACTCTGAGTGCCGTTAATTCATTTCTTTTTTATGGCGGAGTAGTTGGATACTAACTCTCTCTCATTCGTTCTAAATTACTGTTGTATGTAAAAATAAGAACTTCTTGACATTCAACTTCAGTTGTTTTTTTCCCCATTTAAGGAAAATAAATTTGTAATCAAAATAAGAATTTAAAAATTAAGTATAACTCACCACATACTATCTCAAGTACAGTTTTATTGATTGATTGATTGATTGATTGATCCTGAAATCCTCCACAAAAATCTGAGTGTCCTGGCCATCAAATATAAGTAGCTTAAAGTAAATAACATGAGGCAGTCTTCTGGGTATTGCTAATGGATGCTGACTTTTTTACTTAAATAGTTTAAAGTGCAGCTCCTAAAAAGTGGATTGTCCATCACTGCTCAATAGTATGAGTATTTATTTTCTTCTATAAGTTTGCATTTTCCAGATTTTCTATAATCATTATGAACAATCAGAATAATTAGGAAAAAAATTAAAGAAAACAAAAATCCAAATTGAGAGAGCCAAAGACATGGAGACAGAAAGGCAATGAACCAGAGAAAAAAATAAATAAGGACTTTATAACATAGCTAAATACAGATGGAAAAAAAAGAAAGCTAATAAGAAACTCATTCAAAACTCCGACTTTTCTAGCAGCCAAGACTGGGTGCAATTCACTAAATAAGACAGAGAAGTGTTAAAGAAGAATAGATATCCTGCTTCAGCTGTGTACCACAATAGGCAAGCATCACCCAGGCAACAGTATGGCTAACACAGACACAAATTCAAGAGGCAGGGTTTGAGGTGTACAGGGGACTGGGACTCACAATGCCTGCTGACAAATTTTCATGTGAGGAATATACACATGCAGCTCATGAGGGAGAAGGCAGAGCCTGGGAGGTGAGCACACATTGCCAGCTTCAGCATTTACCTCCTAGCTGTCCTCCAGAGTGGATGGGGAGGAGGAAAGTTGGAGGAAGCAAAAGGTCAGAGTTTGCAAACAAAAGAGCAGAAGGACAAAAACATCAAGGTGTACTAAAGATGTCATATTTTGTTTGAAATAAACAATGAATTAAGTAGTAATAGCCCAATATAGAAGAGATGTTTTAGGCATCCTCTAAGACTGGAAAGACTCTTATAATTCAGAATTATAAGAATGCTTCAGAAGAAATATATAGAATGACATTCTTACCCATTAATTTTAAGTTAAATAGAAATTTCTTTTCCATTCACCACTGTGGATTAATTCCTGAAAGGATCTAACAATAACATCTGCCACCTGGAAAATCATGTGTCTTCTCTGAGCCTCAGTGTTCCCATCTGTATAAAAGAAAAATAAATCCCTGCTCTACTAACCATATGTACTAGAGAATATGAAAGTTACATACCTATGATGATTTTGGAATTTGTTCAGTGCTATAAAAAAGGGTTATTAATTTCTCATATATCAGTAGCAAAAGGACACAGATGTCTTTTTATTTCTTGTTGCACTGGGTCCAGCTGATTCAAAGTGGACCTCATACCTAAGCACCTAGCCACCTGCCACACTTCTTGATGTTTCAGAGCAGAACCAGGTTCTCTTTCTTCACAGTTTTCACTTCTTTGCCAGATACTGAAACAATTTTCTTTCTTCAGTTTTCTTCCTCCATAATTAACTGGAATGAAAAAAAAACAAGTCTTAATCTAATCAGAAGCCCTAAAGAGTGAAAAGATTTAGAGAAGTACTGTCTGAGAAAAATCCAACTTGCTGTAGGTCAAGTAATAAGATCTTTGTGAACTCGACTCCCTGTTCACCTTTCAACCAGGATCTATCTGGTATCTCAAAAAGGTTACCTTTCTAACCCCTGAAAATGGTTGCTGGCCTCAACCACTGCATATTGATGTAGGTTCCTTGTATTCTTGACTTCAGCAGAATCTTTTAATAAGATAATAGCATTCAATGTTTGCTGAGCACTTACTATATGCCAGTTACCCTTTCAAATGTTTTACATGTATTTATTTAACTCACAAAAACTCACATGAGACAGATACTATTAGTTTACTTATTTTAGAGATGAGGAAAACAAGGTTTATAATGTTAACAATGGAGAGCTGAAAATTAAACACAAGTTGCCTGATTTGAAAGACTGTACTTTTACTGCTGGACTGTACCTCGGCTACAGTAGTAGAGAGGGACTTGGGGGGAATTATTACCCCCTGGATGCCCCGTTTTTATGACACTTAATATTTTTAGGTATATTTCCTGTTTAGAAGTGTAGTAGATATACTGCTCATGAATATGGATGCCTATGTATAAAGATTGTTAAAGTTTTAATGTTTTGTACTGTATAAAATAAATTTACCTTGGTAAATAACCTTATTGAATATCAGACAAGGGAGTTGTCAAAAAATGTCAAGAGTCTTAGAGGAATAAAATGTCTCCGTAGTGCTAGGTACAAGTAATAGCAGCGTCTAGAGTAGAGAGGTGAAGGAAGCGTGCCCTAATTGCTGTTGGAAAAGCCCTCATTAATCAATAAACTTCTGGTTTTTACCTTACTTTTCCTGCCATGATGACTTCCAGTGCAGTAGCTAAGTGTAGCAAGAAAACCATCTCAATTCTGATAAGCCCTTTCCTATCAGAATTGTTGGCTACTCTCTTCCTAGATCAGTTCACTCTCGGGGGACCCTGACTTCACCAATGCTGAAGCAAGACAATGGAGAGATAGAAAACATGGTGCTCTTTGTCCTGTCTTTCCTTTTGTTTTGAGGGTCTGGAAAGATCAAAGTACCAGTGGGGAAATAACAAAACTGATATTACAGAAGTCAAAAGTCTTTCTTTTTGTTGGTTCCTAGTTAAGCCTCAGAGTAACACGTCTTATTTAAGGAAATTTGGTTAGGATTTTGAAATTAAAAACTAACATAATCAAGAATTCTAGTTTCAGCTCAGACATGTAGAAAGATAGAGAGCTCCACACTTACAACATTGAAAATGTTGGACAGGCTGCAAATTTGATGACTTTTCTTGAGGCCATCAGAAAACTGAGGTCACAGGGTAACTCACTATAGTAAAATCTTAGAAAAGAGGTATCTCCTGAGAAAAACAGGACCTGAGTAAGCATCTGCTTGCTTGCAGCAGTTTCTGTGCATGTCTTATTGCATGGCAGAGGCACCTGACAGTCACAACTGAAGCAAACCCTGAGAATGACCCTATGGTCTAAGAAGCATGTTGCTTTAGAGTTCTGAGTCAAGGAATCAGGAAGTGACCAGCCCGGAAATTCACTCCTTATCTGTGAAGGAACTCACGGCTTAACTCTTGGAACACAGGTGGTCCAAGGAATAGAGGCCCTTTGTTTTTGGGGTAAGTGGAGATTGCTAGGTGAAATGTGTGATGTGAAAGTGCTATATAAACTGCATGCTTTCTACAGACAGTAGTGGTCTTCCTATTCAGCCCACTGCCATTGAACCACACCATACGTAAGTCCCCCCAGTAAACCCTGTGTCTCCTTCACTGGCTCTGGTTCTTTGGCCTCTTGAACATGGTGCCATCCCCACTGGAGTCAATAGGAGTCCAGCACAGCACTTATGTATTAGCTTCCCATGGCTGTCATAGCAAAGTACCACAAGCTAGGTGCCTTAAAACAACCGAAATTTATTTTCTCACAGTTCTTGATTTTCAGGCCAGAATCCTGAAATCAAGGTGTCCCAGAGCCATGCTCCCTCTGAGGTTCTAGGAAAGAATCTGTTCCACTCCTCCCTTTCAACTTCTGGTTGCTTCCGGCAATCCTTGGCATCCCTTGGCTTGCAGCTTCATCTCTCCTGTTGCTGCCTTGGTTCTCACATGGCTGTCTTCCTTCTGTGTGTGTGTGCATATGTGTCCAAGTTTTCCTCTTTTTATAAGGACACCAGTCATATTGGATTTAGGGCCCACCCTAATCCCTAATCTCATTTTAAGTTGATTACATCTCCAAAGACCTTATTTCCAGATAAGGTCATATTAACAGCTTCTGGAGGTTACATCTTAAACATATCTTTTTTGAGCAGGTCTGGAGGGAGACACCATTCAACCCTGTATACCATATAAGCCCGGGAATATGATTCCCCTAAACATTCTTAATGAGTTGCTAAAGACAGCCTGTGGGCTAGTGTGAGAGTGTGGAGCCCAGAGAATCTGCAAATATAACAGAATGTGCTCCCTCTTGCAGGCTTTTCCTCCAAACTCCCACCAGGAAAATTGGAGAGGAATCTCCAGAAAGAGACAAAGAGAACGTGAGAAAGAGATCTTGCAAAAGTCAAATCCCTGATACCCAGACTCAGGCATATCAGAACCTCAAAGAACTCACTTCTCTTACCAAAATTTTAAGACACAATGCATATATATATGTATATACACACAAGCGTATATATATGTCCACATACACATATATATACACATATGTGTATATAAAAAATAAAATACATATATATGTATATATATACGTGTATATATATACATATATGCATTGTGCCTTAAAATTTTAAAAATATATAAAATATATTAATATTTTAAAATTATATATATATATATATATATATTTTTTTTTTTTTGAAACAGAGTCTCACTCTGTCACCCAGGCTAGAGTGCAATGGTGCCATCTTGGCTCACTGCAACCTCCACAGCCCAGACTCAAGTGATTCTCGTGCCTCAGCCTCCCAAGTAACTGGGACTACAGGTGCGTACCACCCCACCCAGGTAATTTTTGTATTTTTGTAGAGACAGGTTTTTACCATGTTGGCCAGGCTGGTCTCAAACTCCTGAGCTCAAATGATCCATCTCCATTCTGCCTCCCAAAGTGCTAGGATTATAGGCGTGAGCCACTGTGCCCGGCCACAATGCATATTTTAATAGAAATTCTGCAGAGGGTTCACCAAAGTAGTAGGCTTTATGTTAGTTTTACAAAGGCTTTGATTCCTGCTTGCAGGACCACAATGGTAAAAGGATGTATGCATGGTAATCTCTCCACCCCAAATGCTATGTAAACCCCAAAGCACATACCTGGGTAGTAGCATAAAGAGACCTGGTTGATCACTGACCTGAAAGATTCAGTGTCAGGAAAGTAAGAAAGTGATGGCAAAATCTACGTAAGAAAGCCCTAAGCAATTTAAAATTATAATCAGAAGCCAAAGGAGTTGTCATTTTAGTTGGTGGGCGTGGGTTTAATATATTCCATATGATATGCTTTGTAAACGATGGTATATTGGCAACTTCTAGCTCTGGAGGGTCTCCCATTGAAGTCTGGAATCAGCTGCCCCATGTCAATTATTGTCTGAATAAGCAGACAATAAATGACATGCCACCAAACCTTAAATGAAGCCTTACAACCAGTCTTTCCTTAGGACTCACCAATTGCTTTTAAGTATGGCTCACCTGAGCTCAGGAATTCCAGACCAGCCTGGGCAACATGGTGAAACCCCATCTCTACAAAAAATTAGCCAGGCATGGTGGTGCACGCTTGTTGTCCCAGCTACTCAGGAGGCTGACATGGGAGGATCACCTGAGCCCAGGGAGTAGAGGTTGCAGTGAGCTGAGATTGTGTCACTGCCGTCCAGCCTGGACAACAGAGTGAAATCCTGTCTCAAAAATAAAATAAAATAAAATATAAAATAAAATAAAATAGGCTGGTTAATACTCTCTCATGGACATTTAGTTTAGGACTTTTGCTAAGCTATAAGGGATGTTAAACATTGAAGAGATGGTAGAAATAATTTGTCTGATCTCTGAAACTGAAGGTCTTTAAAATTTGGGTAATATAGCCATGTGTATAGTTTTCAGAGGAATAATAGATATCTTGCGGTTTCAAACACAAGCAAAAATGTTAGTTTTCTCTTCATGTATAACACCTATATTCTCATAAAAACATGCCAGCTTGCATTTATGTACAGTAAAATTCCAACAAAAATCATTCTAGGGTTTTAGAGTTCAAGATAGAGTTACCTTTGGAAGAAGGGTTTGCATAATGACTGAAACAGAGCATGGGAAAGTGATATCTTTTTGGTTGCTAATAATATTCTGTTTCTTGGTTATTCTTGTGTATTCAGCTTGTGGACATCGTTGTGTTGATCATTCATGGTATATTGTTGTTTGTTTATTATCTTACTGCATTTTAGTAAAAAGTAAAAATCAAAACCCAAAACAAACAGGAAACAAATCAACCATAAGACAAGAGGGGCGGGAGATCATGGCAGCAGGCAAAGAGGCAGAGCTATGCATATATCTCACAGCCACTGTCTTATGCTCATTAGACTTGTTTCAGGTGTTTTAGAGGCCAGACCTTGTTACATTTTCTAGTAGCAATAGTTTGTCTTAGAAATATTTGTTTGATGCAACCTACCTATTGGTGTGACTATTTTGATACCGTCTACTTGTTGGGATAAACATGCTTTATCAACTCGAGGTCTAAAGAAGATTCTGCCCCTAGTTCTTCAATCTGGTTTTCAGTTCACAATGTATAGTAGTCTTCTCAAATTGTTAACACTTGCCCCCTTCCATCAGTAGCTGCCTTTAGATTATATGCTGATATGTAGGAAGTCCTAAGAAGGTAGAGCGTGTCTGGTGATTGGATGATAAAATAGGATTATCATTCAAAATCGTGGGTGAATTTAGCTCAACCAGCAGCTATGTTTCTGTGTTCTCTTGTTCTTGTGGCCTGGAAGCTGGTGGCTTCAAGCCTGGCATTTGTGTCCTCCAGAATCTGAGCAGCATTGCAAAGTAGCTAAGTGTCACCTTGGTTCTACCATTGCCTCCTTTCATCTTCTTAGATATTAATCTTGTCTTTAACTCTCAGGAGTTACCCTCATAAAAACATCTTTAAAGAGAAACATCAGAACTAAACAGTTAAAATTATGCATAACACTTGATTGATGATAATTTTTAGAGCATTTACACATGATATATATATTGCCTGTTTTATCATAATCATTCTGAGAAATAAAAGATATGTATTTTGAGACATAAAAAACCTGACATTCAGAAAGGAAGAAAAAATATTTTGCAGATGGTATACCTAAAGTCAAAATCCAAGCTCTTTTCACTGCTTGCCTGGTATTTTTTCTAATATTTTGTTATCTATCTCTAAGAATAAAGTTATAATGGTGAAATGCCAGGTAATAGAAAAGTTATTTTGGGCAAACAATTCATTCCTTCAAGCCATATGAATAGATTCAGCATTATTAGGAGGAAAATCATTGGCTTTTGTACTTAGCTGATCCTGTGTGTGGATTTTGCCTGTACCATGAAAACATGGCCAAGTCCTATAACTTTGAAAAGTTATGTCCAACTTAGAATGGCATATTCCACTCTCCTTGCTGTCAAAAGAATTAAATGTCCCAGATCACTTGGGAAAAAGATAACAGACACTCTGTTAAGGGGCTGAACTAGGGAGTAAGCAGCAGCAAGGGTTAAACATATTGCCCACAAAACTCTCTGATCTTATTTCACACCAAAATGTCACAAACTGGTACTTACTAGAATACAATACCTTACAAACAAGAATGCCTACTCTCTTTTGGCATCATTAAATTATTTATGGAGGGTCCATTTGCTAGAAACTGTTCAATGAATGAGTCAATGAAAAGTTAAACCTATCTATTTGGTAGACAAGTACTTTCCTTCTAGAGTAAATCAGACAGACTCAAATACAGAAAAGATTGAAACAGCAAGTTATTTCTGGAACAGAAAATGTGAATTGTGTTGAGTTTTGTCACTAAGGTGATTAGAATAAGTGTCCAATGCCCTTCTTCTACAGAAATCACAAATCCCAGGCCAAGTGAGGCAATCTATTAAAAAAAAATGCTGATTAAAAACAAACAAGTAAGAACACACACACACAAACAACTGCCTTCCCCATTGGCATTTCCCAAAGTCATTTCAGAAGAAATTTTTGAAGCCAGGGGTTGAGAATTTGAATGTATTTTTAAAGCACTCTCTAGCCCTTCCTAAGTATAGGTCCATGGGTAGGTTGCCCAACTCTCCAAGCCCCATCTGGGAAATGGGGACAATTTTCCAATCCCTGTCTCAGAGCACTCTTGTGAAAGTTGTATGAACTCAAGTATGTGAGGGCACTTGGTGCAGCTCTTGGCACAGAGTGAGTGCCCAGTTAATAGTGATTCTTTCTCTTAACAGCCTTATCTCACATTACTGGTTTTGTGTAGGAATAGAGAACCTGGGATTTGGGTTTGGAATCCACTAGAGACTAATACAGCAGCGCCACCTGGTGACCATTTTACCACAATAGTAACCTAACAACGTCCTAAAGATCATGGGTGAGAAAGCTATCTCCCTTTGTTTCTAAAGATTTAAATAAAAATACAGTCTCTTGATATATTAGAGAGACTTTTATCATTATTGAAAGTGTCACTCCTTAAAAAAATCCAGAAATAATCAAATTCTCAGAGATTAAGTTTGAGCTATATTTTCATTGTACTGCCTTTGGAAAGCAGCAGTTAAATGTTATCTTCATCAGCATCAATTAAAAAAGGCATAATGGAACATAAACCTTGTTAGAACTATTGAGAATTGACAATTCACTCTGTTCTTCTTGGAGAAAATAAATTATTAGACAGTAAAAAAATGCATAGATATGAGATCAGAAAATCATGATTATTTTATGTACGAGGGTCACATAATAAATGTAGTTTGTTTCTTCATTTCCTAGTCTTCATTCTGCTGTGTTCATACCTTGTAACCTAGGGTTCTTCACCAGAAACCTCTAGGTACATTTTAGGAAATGCCAAAATGTCTTGCAATTTGAAGCAAAATTTTTGTGCATATTGGGTGGTGGTGCAGTACTATTATTTTTTAATCCTAAACAAATAAACAAAAAAGAATTTCTATCAAAAGAAAGCTTTGATAGAACATGGGTGTGGTGTTCTGAATGTTTATGTCTCCCAAAAATTCATATGTTGAAATACCCCTAAGGTGATGGTATTAAAAAGTGGGGGCTTTTTGACATGATTAGCTCATGAGGACTCTGCCCTCATAAAAGGAATTAGTGCCCTTATGGAAAAGGCCTGTGAGAACTTGTTTGCCCCTTCAGCCTTGTAAAGACACATAGAAAGCACAATCTATGAGGAACAGGCCCTCACCAGACCCCAAAACTGGTGCCTTGATCTTGGACTTTCCAGCTTCCAAAACTGTGAGCAATGAATTTCCGTTGTTTATAAATTACCCAATCCAAGACATTTTGTTACAACAGCCCAAACAGAACAAAGGCAGTGGGTAAAACTAAGTTCAAGATCTTTGTTCCAGGCCGGACACAGTGGCTCACGCCTGTAATCCCAGCACTTTGGGAGGCCGAGGCGGGTGAATCACAAGGTCAGGAGATCGAGACCATCCTAACACGGTGAAACCCCGTCTTTACTAAAAAATACAAAAAATTAGCCGGGCGTGGTGGCAGGCGCCTGTAGGAGAATGGCGTGATCCCGGGAGGCGGAGCTCGCAGTGAGCCAAGATCGCGCCACTGCACTCCAGCCTGGGCGACAGAGCGAGACTCCGTCTCAAAAAAAAAAATCTTTGTTCCACACTTACTTTCTTAAACTATCCAATAAATCCATTCTTCCAGTTTTCTCGTCTAGTTTTCTCTTCTGCCAGTACAATGTGAACTGATGTTCAGAAAGGGAAATGGTATATACACAACATATTCTTAGAGCCTGGGCACCGGTTGGAGAGCTTTCTCCACAGCCTCCCCTGGGTGCATGTATTCTAAAGCAAGAAGATGCCATGTGGGAAATCACCTTGATGTAGTGGTAGCTTCCAACTACACTGTTATGCAGATTATACTAGAAGTCATAGAACAGAAAGACTCACAGACCAATAAAGATGCTAGAAGCACGGGGCTTATTAAATCAATTTTAAATACACAGAAAAGAAACAAGGTGAAAGTCATGGGGTAGGTTGACTCATTGAGGTTAAAGTGCGAGAGGGGTGGAAGCACACTAGCTGAATGTTCTGCAATGTTGGTATATATACTCCTTTTCCCTCTGCCACATCATCCTTCTCCAGTGATGGTGTGTTATACCAGAGTTGGGTTTTGAGCAATGAAAGAGGGAGCCAGTGGAGCATTCTTACTCCCTCCAAGACAATCAGGGGCAAACCACTGAAATTCACCAATTAGGTTGATGAGCTGCTGTGGGTACCAGAATGGAAGGCAACAAAGAGTGAGCAAATTAAGACCTAATGAATAGTGAATGCTTAATTTTCTCATATATATATATATATCTAGTGTATCACATATAGTGTTTTCTTGGTCTTTCTTTCCCTTTCTATTTTTGTTCACACTCACATGCTGTACTTAGCTTTTCTGTCTTAAGGGTCGCTTTGTTGTTTAACACATCATAGGAATTTCATGTATCCCTTTGTTTTCCTGTCTTCTACAGTAGAATGGAATATTTTTGAACAACACAGCAAATGACTATTACAGAACAGGATATTACTGGCTCTTAAATATGAGCTCCAAGCTAGCTTGGATTACTCTGGTCTGGAAAAATAGGTTTTCTTTTTATTTGCTTAGCACAGTCTTCTGTAACTTGAGGAATGGACACTTCTGATTTTGGTTGACCTGGATTTAATCCTTGCAGGGATACAAACCATAGGTGTCAAATATAACTGGCCTTCATCCAAGATTCATCAAGTAGTTGGTAGCTGTTAGGCATGTTTGGAGACAGGAGTTCTGTGGTCTCTAAATCCCTAAACTTGAGAATGAGGAAGATTGTGGGAGTCCCTGGGAAGACCTAAATGGTCCTCTCTTTCTAAATTCCCACAAACAGTGGCTTTCTCAGGTCCCCTTGGCATGTATTGAATATTCTCTCCTCTGTCATTTTTTGTTAGCTGAGATGATTATTTAAAAAATTCCAGCACTGTTCCAGATTAAAGGTGGGCACCACTCCTTCCTATCAGCCCTCCTCCCACAACCAGTCTCTGGATGAGTGCAGAAAAACACAACAGCCCTATTCAATTGATTTTATTTTCATTTTTTATTGAAAGCTTCATCAAAGAAAACAGAAGTTTAAACCTAACATCCACTGATCTACAGAAAGCCCAAGGGATGGGGGAGATGGTTGCTAATTTGACTGTGGTACAGATGAAGAAATTAAAAATAAAACCAGAAACACCTTAGAATTACAGAACTTTCCATGACAGTCAGAGACAGCAGTACAAAAATGCTCTTAAATAAAGTTCAAAATTGAATGATGTTTCAGAAGTTCCATGAAGTTGAATATGGACTGAAACAAGGGTTTTAAAAGAAGCTGTGTCCCTTTTTTTTTTTATAGAGACTGAATATCTCATAGCAGATACTACTACATATATTTTTTTAAATTAAGATTCCATTTTTCTTCTTCT